>NC_000005.10:7510000-8760000 GCF_000001405.40 Homo sapiens | reverse complement strand
TCCACAGATCTCTAGGGCAGGGGCAAAATTCTGCCAATCTCTTGTTAAAACATAGCAAGAGTCACCTTACTCCAGTTCCCAACAAGTTCTTCATATCCATCTGAGACCACCTCAGCCTGGATTTCATTGTCCATATCATTATCAGCATTTTGGCAAAGCCATTTGACAAGTCTCTAGGAAGTTCCAAACTTCTCCACATTTTCCTACCTTCTTCTGAGCCCTCAAAACTATTCTAATATCTGCCTGTTACCCAGTTCCAAAGTCGCTTTCGCTTTTTCATGTATCTTTAGAGCAGCATCCCACTGCTGGTACCAACTTACTGTATTAGTCTGTTCTCACACTCCTGATAACGACAAACCTGAGACTGGATAATTTATACAGAAAAAGAGGTTTAATAGACTCACAGTTCCATCTGGCTGGGGAGGCCTCACAAACGTGGCAGAAAGCAAGGAGGAGCAAGTCATGTCTTACTTACATGGATGGTGGAAGGCAAAGACAGAGTGAGAGCCAAGTGAAAGGGGTTTCCCCTTATAAAACCGTCAGAACTCATGAGACTTATTCACTACCATGAAAACAGTATGGGGGAAACCACCACCATGATTTAATTATCTCCCACTGGGTCCCACCCACAACACATGGGAATTATGGGAGCTACAATTCATGATGAGATTTGGGTGGGGTCACAGCCAAACCATATCAGAGAGGCTTCCATGAAGACCTCTGACATGTCCTGGAGACATGCCTTGATGGTTAACATTTAACTCTTTGTTACTTACACAAATTTTTGTATCAGGCTTGAATTTCTCCCCAGAAAATGGGTTTCTCCTTTCTATTGAATTGTCAGGCTGTTGCAGATTTTTCAAAAATGTATGTTCTGCTTCCTCTTGAATGCTTTGCCGCTTAGAAAATTTTTCTGCCAGGTACCCTAAGTCATCCATCTCAAGTTCAAAATTCCAAAGATCTCTAGGACAGGGGCAAAATGCTGCCAGTCTCTTTGCATAGCAACAGTGACCTTACTCCAGTTCCCAAAAAGTTATTATCTCCATCTGAGACCACCTTAGCCTGAACTTCATTGTTGATGTCACTATCAGATATTTGGTCAAAGCCATTCAACAAGTCTGTAGGAAGTTCCAAACTTTTCCACATCTTTCTGTCTTCTTCTGAGCCCTCCAAGTTGTTCCAACCTCTGCCTATTATCCAGTTCCAAAGTCACTACCACGTTTTGAGGTGTCTTTATAGCAGCACCTCACTGTCTGTGGTACAAATTTACTGTATTAGTCCGTTCTCACGCTGCTATGAAGAAATACCGGAGACTGGGTAATTTATAAAGAAAAGAGGTTTAATTGACTCACAGTTTCTCATGGCTGGGGAGGCCTCAGGAAACTTACAATCATGGTGAAGGCACCTCTTCACAGGACTGCAGGAGAGAGAATGAATGCCAGCAGGGGAAACACCAGATGCTTATAAAACTATAAGATCTCATGGGACTCCCTCATTATCATGAGAACAGCATAGGGGAACCCGCCCCCATGATCCAGTGACCTTCACCTAGTCCCACCCTTGACACATGGAGATTATTGCAATTCCAGGTAAGATTTAGGTAGCGACACAGCCAAACCATATCAACAGCCAACATTTTCCTGATGTTCAGACCCTAATATGGACAATAGGGACTATGTATTTCTTACCCACCAAAGGTGTGTTTTGAGAATCTCAAACCAAATTGGAGTAAAATTTTTTTATCCTCCAGGATATAATGAAGGGCAAAGTGTATAATGATATAATTGATATAGAAAAAGAAAGTAAGAAGAGATACTGGAGGGAAGGGAGAGGAAAAAAGGCAAACGTGGAACAATGAATTACAGAACAGGAAGAAGAAGAGAAAAGAAAGGCAAGAAAGGAGGTGAGTAGGTACCTGAGAATATGTTCATTTGGGTAGGAAATTGCTGGTGAACAGAAGGTTGATCTGGGAGCTAAGATGGCTGCAAACTTGTGAATTAAATTTAGAATGTGTTGAGTTGATGTAACAGTGCCATAGTTGTCTGCAGATGCTGTAAGAAAATATCATATATGGGTAGCTTAATCAGCAGGCGTTTGTTTCTCAAGGTCTGGGAGGCTGGGAATTCCAAGGTCAAGGTGCTAGCATATTTGATCCTGGTGAGGGCCCACTTCTTGTCCTGCAGATGGCCACCTTCTTGGTGTGTCCTCACATAGAGGAGAGACGAAGCTCTGGTGTCCCTTCCTCTGCTTATAAGGGCATTACTCATATTATAAAAGCCTCATCCCCCTCACCTCATCTAAATTTAATCACCTTCCAAAGGCTTTCTACCTCCAAATGGCATTGTCTTGAGGTTCAACATATGAATTTTCAGGGGGACACAAACATTCAATCCATTAAAAGTAACAGGACTTCCCAGAGTCAGTCCCTCCATTCCAGTTCAGAATGCAAAATGAGGAAAGCTTTTAGCCTGTCTTGGGCTATATACAAGGAAAACATTGTTTAAAATGTTTGTTTTTCCACACTTTACAACATTAAGAAGTTCTATCACAACCAACCATAAAATAAAGTTCTTTGACTTGACTCCTACTCTTTAAGGGTCTCAGGACCCTAAGTCTGTGCTCCACCCAACAATTTCATTATTGGGCATATGCCCAAAGGAATCATGACACATGTATGTGTCTGTTCATTGCAGCACTATTCACAATAGCAAAGACATGGAATCAACCTACATGCCCATCAGTGATAGACAGGATTTAAAAAAATGTGGTACATATACCATGGAGTATTATGCAGTCATAAAAAAGAACGAGATCATATCCTTTGCAGGAACATAGATGGAGCTGGGGCCATTATACTTAGAGAACTAATGCAGGAACAGAAAAGCAAAAACTGCATGTTTTCACGTATAAGTGGGAGCTAAATAATGAGAACACATGGACACATAGAGGGGAACAACACACACTGGGGTATTTTGGAGGGTGGAAGGTGGGAGAAGAGAGAGAATCAGGAAAAATGACTAATGGGTACTAGGCTTAAAACCTGGATAATGAAATAATCTGTACAACAAACCCCTCTGACACAAGTTTACCTATATAACAAATCAGCGCATGTATGCCTAACTTAAAATACAAGTTAAAAAATTTTGAATTACATACTTTCTTAAAATCTACAATAGGAACATTTAAAACATGAACCTTCAGACCCACAGAAGCTCTGGGACATTTTCTCTTGCCTCCGATGACTCTAAGAGTCCCCACTGCCTAAGTTCCTTTTAAAATGGAGTTTCCTTCATGCTCTGATGGCACCACCTGCTGGAACAAAAATGTCACCTAACACCAAGTGACATGGGCAATCATGCTTGGCACTCTTCTTCCAGAAAATGTTGACATCTAAAGTGACTTATGTTTTACCATCACCAAATTTAAGTTCAAAATTCCATGGGGCATATTAAATATAAATACTTAAGAATAAAGCATCTTACTTTAACAAATTAAATTTCATTCTATTGGCTTGGATGCCTTTTTGTTCAAATCAGCATTGTGAACTACGATAAACATCTAACCTGAACAAAGTTTAGTAATAAATAGCTGATGACATTTCCTGTGTGATTTTTATACATTATTTTCTCAAATGCTTTTACACAACATCTAGGAGGATAGACAAGCCATGGCACATGTCTGGTAAGGTTAGCAGTTCAAATCAGTAGATCAGTGAGTGTTATTACTTTTATTATTTCAACAAATTGTTGAATATATTAAACAAATTATCACAGTGGGTCAATTGGGTCAATAATATTCTTTTATGTTGGGGCCTAGGGAAACTTGGGCCAGAAATTGAAGACAGAGTGGAGCCAAAACTGAAGGGAAGCTGTTTATTAGACAAAATCAACTAGACATTGATGATGTCTCAGTCAGAGTTCTCCAGAGAAACAGAACCAATAGGATGTAGATAGGTAGGTAGATAGATCGATCAATAGACAGACAGAGATAGATTAATAGATTGATAGATCAATAGATTGATAAGTAGGTAGATAAGTAGATACATAGATTAATAGATTGATGGGTAGGAAGTAGATAGATGATAGATTGATAGATAAAGATAGATTAATAGATTGATAGATCATTAGATTGATATGTAGGTCAGTAAGTAGATAGATAGATACATAGATTGATAGGTAGGTAAGTAGATAGATAGACAGATAGAAAGGAAGAGAGTTACTTTGAAGAATAGGCTCACATGATTATGGAGGCTGAGAAGCCCAATAGTATGCAACCTGCAAGCTGGGGGCTCAGGAAAGTGAGTGGTGTAGTTCAAATCCAAACCCGAAGGCCCAGAACCCAGAAGTGCCAATATCTGAGGGAAAAAGATGGGTGTCCCAGGTGAAGAAGAGAGAGTAAATTTGCCTTTTCTCCACCTTTTTGATCTACTGGATTCCTCCAGGGACTGGATGATGCCTGCTCTTATGAATGACAGGTGAGAGTGGATCTTCCTTACTCAGTCCACTGATTCCAGTGCCCATCTCTTCCAGAGACACGTTCACAACCCAGAAATAAAGTTTACCAGTTTTCTGGGCATCTTTCAATCCAGTCAACTTGACACATAAATTTCACCATCACAGCTGATGACTAGAGAGTCACTCTCTCTCTCTCTTTCTCAGTTGCTGCTGCTTTCTTTCTCTCTTTCACACATACACATACTCAGAAACTCATACACACACTCATACATACTCACACATACTTAAACTCACACACACACTCAGAGCTCCGCACCATCTGAAGCTTAGATGGCAGCCCCTGAGGTGGTCTGTCCGTGGGCACAGGGAGAGCTGTCCTGGAGTGCCCTGCAGGAGGGCTCATGCTCATGACACCAGACCTCCAAAGAGGGGACCTGAACAGTTATCCTCACTGCCCACCTCTGCTAGAGCAGGAAGATAAGTTGGAGGATGTTATCTTGTTGTTTATAAACTGTTAATGAGTGAACAGTTCACAGCTCTGTAGTTGGCAGATGGCCGTCAGTATTTGTCATACCCTTTCAGAGCCTCAGTTCAAGATCAAGACCACACATTAATATACACATAGCAGGCCAGGCGCAGGGGCTCATGCCTGTAATCCTAGCACTTTGGGAGGCCAAGATGGGCGGATCATGAGGTCAGGAGATGGAGAACATACTGGCTAACATGGTGAAACCCCATCTCTACTAAAAATACAAAAAATTAGCCGGGCGTGGTGGCGGGTGCCTGTAGTCCCAGCTACTCGGGAGGCTGAGGCAGGAAAATGGCGTGAACCCGTGAGGCGGAGCTTGCAGTGAGCTGAGATCGCGCCACTGCACTCCAGCCTGGGCCACAGAGCGAGACTCCGTCTCAAAAAAAAAAAGAAAAAAAAATATATATATATACACACACACACATAGCAGTGATCCAGAAACCCCTGGTCTGCAACTAATAAATATGTAAGATGATAGATTAGTTAGCCTGATTTAATCATTTTATATTGTAAACTTATATAAAGCATTGCATCGTACCTCATAAATAAATATGAGTATTTGTCAATTAAAAATAAAAATTATAAAAATGAAGCAAATAAAAGCACTTTAGCATTTATTATCTTCTGAAAACATTTCCACCAATGCAAATTTTCTATTTTAAAATGAAGTTTTCTTTTCATTTCTCTTATTCTAACATTCTCCCTAACTACCCTTCTTCCCAATTGGCTTTCTTTTCATTCATTTTGAGATTATTTTCTTTCCACGAAAAAACAATTAGCAAATTCGGAGAGCTTTTGAATCTTACCTCAAGATCCACCATAGGATTGTGCTTTCTTTCCTGTTGGCTTTCACAGAGCTTGTGATGGAGCCACGCTGTGAGGCTGTTTATGCAGCCTGCCCCACTAATTTCCCTCTCACCGTCTGTAGTGAAGACCTTTATCTAACTTTAATACAGCAACACATGATGCTCCTCGATGAAACAGCTTCTTCCTTCAACATATGGTGTGTTCCTCTTCGTTGTCGAAGAATGCCTCCTAATTCTTCTTAGTACAAATTTCTCTTCATGTTTTCTGTACAGATAAACTAAATAGTACTATAACGCTCCTCCTAAGTAAACAGTATGCCACTGGATGATATTTCCAAATTGTATTGTGTATTTTCCTGATGTTTCTTATTTGCAGATTGTGACCAGGTATACTATAGCATCATTGAATGTTTTCATTTCACACTTTGGAGTTTGGACTTCTCAGCAATATTATTTCCTAGTCATTTATTAGAGTTTGATATTGGGATCTGCATACCAACATTTCCTTATATCTACCCACATACTCATCACTATGGAAACAGCTGCCCCAACATGGCATGATCCACTCCGATGTGTACGAATCCCATGACTCTGGCACTTCTTTGTAGGTGCTCCAGGAGAAACTCCTGGCAAAACAGAAGAAACATGAACAGCTGGAAAATACACAGTGAATACCCACATTCTTTATGGTTATATTAAGCAGAACATTATTTTAGACAGAACATACACTCAGCCTTTTAGACCTATGGGTTCCCTAAACCAGGTCAAAAATATGGGAAAAAGAAAAATAGATGGTTGCATCTGTACTCAATATGTACAGGCTATTTTCTTGTCATTATTCTCTAGACATCAAAATATAACAACTATTTGCATAGCATTTATATTGTGTTACATATTATCAGTAATCTAGAGAGGATTTAAAAGATATGAGAAAATGTGTCTTACACACATATTATATGCAAATATATATATGGGACTAAAGCATCTCTGTATTTTGGTATCCTTGAGATAACAGGGTTTATGTGTGTGTGTGTATGTGTGTGTGCACTCTCTATACTCAAGTGCATTGAACTCTATCTAGCTAAGTGATTCAGGGTGAGTTGATAAGCATCACTGAGTCTCTTTCCACATTTGTAAAGTGGGAATAGCAAAACTAACTTACAAAGATTGTTGTGAGAATTTAATATGACAAAAATATTGAAAGTATGTATGCCAGGTAAATAATCATCAACCCAGTCACATTTAGTTCTCAGTTACTTTTCTTTGCCTCCTTCTCTTCCTCCTTCATTATCTTCTCATTTTAAAATGTATTTTCCTCTCTGTTAGGCACCCTGCTGGCCAGTAAAGGACAATAATTTTGACTTCTGGATGTAAACCAGGAAGTTGCATGTTTAACAAGCATCTCTAGAGACACTGATACAATTGATCAGCTCTTTGCATTTTGAGGAGGTGGGGAACATGCTAACAACATCTGCAATGTGGATTATTAAAAGAAGATTTTCCCAGCTTTGGCTGTACACTGAAATCTCTAGGGTGTGTTTAAAAATCCTGTTGTCCAAGCACACACAAAAGCAAATAAATTAGAATCTCTCAGTATGGGATCCGGGTAGATATAGTTTTATAAGGAAATCCAACATAGTGCAAGGTTCCTAACTATTAATACAATTTTTAAAAGATATTAGCGATTCTCCAGCAGATTAGAATTGGGAAACCAATGATTTAAAACAACAGATTATATAACAAATAACAAGGAGAAAACACACAAATACTATGAAAGAGGCTGTCGTTTTTTGTAATAAACCATAATCTTAGAATAGTTTTAGGCTTAGAAAAAGATTGCAAAGACAATATAGAGGGTTCCTGTACACCCAAGCTCAGTTTTGCATACTGTTAATAATAACTATAAATTACATTACAGTATGTTACAATTATTACAACCAATATATAAGAATTAATAGCACATTCTTAACTCAAATTACTTCATGTAATTGTTTCCGTTGTTTTTGGCCTTTCCTTAGTTTTCGTCTTATGTCTTTTTCTCTCCCGGGATCCCATCCAGATATCACATTACGTTTAGTCCTCAGGCTCCTCTTGACTGTGATAGCATCTAGGATGTTGTTTTCTTTGTTTGGTTTTGTCTATTTATGTTTTATTTATTTATACTTTCTTTCCAACTTTTAGTTCAAGGGGTACATGTGCAGGTTTGTTACATGGGTTAATTGTGTGTTGTGAGGGTCTGGTGTATGGATCATTTTGTCACCCAGGTATCAGCATAGTACCTGATAGGTTGTTTTTCAATCCTCACTCCCCTCTCACCCTCCACCCTGAGGCAGGCTCTGGTGTCTACTCTGCCCTTCTTTGTGTCCATGTGTACTTCATGTTTAGTTCCCACTTATAAATAAGAACATGTGGTATTTGGTGTGCCATTCCTGTGTTAATTTGCTTAGGGTAATGGCCTTCAGCCCCAGCCATGTTGCTGCAAAGGACATTGTCCTAAGGAAGGACATGATGCCATTATTTTTTATGGTTGCGTAGTATGCCATGGTGTGTGTGTACAATATTTCCTTTATCTACTCCGTGTTTATGGGTATCTAGGTTGATTACATGACTTTGCTATTGTGAATAGTGCTGTGGTGAACATATGCATGTATGTGTCTTTATGGTAGAACAATTTATATTCCCAGTTATGAGGTTGCTAGGTTGAATGGTAGTTCTGCTGTAAGTTCTTTGAGAAATCTCTAGACAGCTTTCCACAATGTTTGAACTAATTTACATTCCCACCAACAGTGTATAAATGTTCCCTTTTATCCACAATCTCATCAGCGTCTGTTACTTTTTGACTTTTTAGTAATGGCCATTCTGACTGGTGTGAAATAATATCTCAGTTTGGTTTTGATATGTATTTCCTTAATGATTAGTGATATTGGATATTTTTTTCTGTGCTGTTGACAATGTGACACTCCTTTTGAGAAGTGTCTGTTCTTGTCCTTTGTCAATTTTTAATGGGGTTGTTTGTTTTTTTGCTTGTTGATTTGTTTAAGTTCCTTATAGAGTCTGTATTTTATACCTTTGTCAGATGCATAGTTTGCAAATATTATTTTTCCCATTCTGTAGGGTATATGTTTACTCAGTTGATAGTTTATTTTGCTATGCAGAAGCTCTTTAGTTTAATTAGGCCCTATCATTAATTTTTGTTTTTGTTGCAGTTGGTTTTGGAGCATTCTGTCAAATTACTAACAGCACTTTTTACAGAATTAGAAAAACGAATTTCAAAAATGTATTTGGAACCACAAAAGAGCCCGAATAACCAAAGCAATCCTAAGCAAAAGAACAAAGCTGGAGGACTCACACTATCTGATTTCAAAGTATATTACAAGGCTACAGTAACCAAAACAGCATGGGACTGGTACAAAAACAGACACATAGATCAATGTAACAGGTTAGCGAACCCCAGAAATAAGGCTGCACACCTACAACTGTCTGACCTGTGACAAAGTCAACAATAATAAGCAATAGGGAAATGACTCCCTATTAAATAAATGGTGCTGGGATAACTGGCTACTCATCTGCAGAAGATTGAAACTGGACTTCTTCCTTTCACCATATACAAAAATTACCTAAAGATGGATTACAGACTTAAAGGTAAGACCTACAACTATAAAAACCCTAGAAGGAAATGTAGGAAATACCATTCTGGACCTCGGCCCTGGTAAAGACTTCATGACATTCTTTGTTTTTTGATGACCTTGATACTTTTGGATTACTGGTCAGGTAGTTTGTAAAATATCCTTCAGTTTGTGTTTGCTGAACATTTTTCTCAAGGTTAGACAGGGGTTCTGGACTCTTGTGATAAAGACTAAAGAGGAAACATGCCATTCTTATCACATCTTATCAAGGGTACATAATATTAACATGATTCATCCCTGTGGATATTGGCCTTATCCATGTTTCTGTAATGTGCAGTTATTCTCTTCTCTTGGCTTGCCATACTGTATTCTTTGGAAGGAAGTTATTATGCACAGCCCACACCTGAGGAATCAGGTTTTTGCTCTACTTCCTTGAGAATACAGCATTAACAGAAATTATTTGGATTTTTTTCTGTATGGAAGATTTGTCTCTTCTTCCATTTTATTCACTTATTTTGTTACTTATTTATATCAGTGTGTATTTATGAATATATTATATTTTGGGTTATAATCCAATATTTCTTTATTTTATTGCTGAAATTGATCCAGTTTTGGTCATTTGGAGCTCTTTCAGTTGGTTCCTCTCACCTTTGAAATGTGTCTTTCTTTTTTATGTTTTTTTTTTTTTTTTTTGGAGCATGTCTTTTTTGTGTGTCACTATAAGATGCTCCCAGCTCTAAAGCTTCTTCTGTTAGATTTGGACTTTACTTACTGTCTTCTTTCATGTTGAGTTTGGCTATGCACCTGCTCAAACCAGGGCAGGCACCACACAACACTGAAAAGAATCCTCTAGGGAGGAACGCATGTGGTGTCAAGAAATACCAGCGAATAGCAGGTGAAAAACACAAACATGAAGGGCAAATGTAATAACTCAAAGAGCACCTCAGTATGGGATGATTCAGCATAAGGCCAAAAGTCTATTTCAAAAGCCTCTGAAATTGCTTTTGCATCATGGATCTGTTAAATATTTGATGTCTGTCTTGACATTCCTAAGCCTTAAAAGGCTTCAAATCAAAATTATTTGACTACTTCCACTAAAAAATATGTTCATACATGCCTGAGTTTATGTAATGAAAAAGATAATTGATTTAAAATTTTTGAAATGGATTCATTAAAAAATTTTAAAGAGAAAATTTACTCTTTGGAATGATATTTCTTATATTAACCTGCCTATATATTTTAAATGCTGTAGTTAAAGAAAAGTGTTACCAGATAATATGAAAATGTCTGAAGCCTGTGCCATTCTACATATTAACTTTGTTTTAAGATGGAAGTGTGTGGCACATTGTTTGAGTGCCTACTTATATTATTCTTCAATATATTTTTTCTTCCAAATTTTACTTTAAACTGATGGTAACGTAGATAAGAGAAACCAGTGTATTTAAGCCAAGCTCAGTGTTTTCACGGCCTCTATGTATGACCCAAACACACTGCATAAAGCAGAATTCAGAATGTTAGCTGTTTAGTCGAGATGCATTTTATAAAGTTGTCATGATGAATTTTTATATATAAATCAGGGTCCATGATATATAGTCTGATCTGTAAAAATTTAATAGATATATGCAAATTTGTCACATAACTTTAGATATTTCTTGAGTTTTCATCTTCCAATTAATTATAAATTTCATTCAAACTTAGGCCGGGTACCTTGGCTCCTGACTGTAATCCCAGCACTTTGGGAGGCTGAGGTGGGCCGATCACCTGAGGTCAGGAGTTTGAGAGCAGCCTCACCAACATGGCAAAACCCAATCTGTACTAAAAATCCAAAAATTAGCTGGGCGTGGTGGCGGGCGCCTGTAATCCCAGCTACTCAGGAGGCTGAGGCAGGAGAATCACTTGAACCTGGGTGGTGGAGGTTGCAATGAGTCGAGATCACACTACTGTACTCCAGCCTGGGCAACAGAGCAAGACTCCATCTCAAACAAACAAACAAACTCAAAAATGTATTCTTGTAAGTCATTACAATTTATTTTGTGCACATTCTACAAGACTTTCATACTATGAACATTAAGAACATTAGATTGAGGGTAGGGGTTCGTGACCAGCCTAGACAACATAGTGAGATCCCATCTCTACAAAAAAAATTTGGAAAAAAATTAGCTTGGGATGATGACACATGTTTATAGTCTCAGCTACTGAGAAATCAGAGGTCGGAGGATTGTCGAGCCCAGGAGATTGAGACTACAGTGAGTTATGGTTGTGCCACTGAACTTCCATCTGGGCAACAGAGTGAGCCCTGTCTCCAAAAAGAAAATAAGAATATTAATAACATATTATTAATGCATAATAGTCCAGAAAAGGGAGTGCAAGTAATTAAACACACATATATATATATACAGTATTGCTTTTGACTCTTCTTGTTTCTGACTACTGATGTATTTCCTTTCTCGTTTTCTTCTCTTTTTTATCTCTGAGCAGTTAAAAAGGTATGCTTTATTTTTGGGGGGATCTTTTCAGTTGAAGACAGTGCGAAATGACCCCTTTTGGTTCAAATATTGGTGTAGCCCTGCTCCACCATTCTCCAGAGAGATAATGAGCTGCTAATATCTCCACAGGCTGATGACCAGGAGCATCATTTCTTTGTTATATTACTTGACTCACTCACTTCTCTGACCTGTTACAGAAACGCCTTTCTTTTACAGCTCCTGTCCACTGAAGTGGGAAGATCCATTTCCTTAGCCTTATCCCAGGAATGTTTAATGTCTAAGGGCTCTGTGTTAAAGGTAGCTGGGTGAAGAAGGTGTTTGGAAAGTCAGAGAAAGAAGAGAAAGGATGGAGGGGGAGAGAGAAAGAGAGAGATTAGATTTGTACTAAATATATCATTAATGAAGCAAATAAATTGCTGTACATAACAAAGTACAGATTTCCTGATGAAAAACATCAAACATTTTTATGAAAATTGATCACTTGAGGCCCACAAAATCTAAACTACATCCTAAATAACCCTCTTTACAGCTAGACGTCAGTAACAATACTTGTAGTAATAATGAGAGGTTTTATGCTCCTATTATTAGTAACATGAGTAGATTCTCTGTTAAAGCAGACTGTGCAGGGGCAGAAACAAGATATGGATAAATCTTAGTATTTCTGTTTATGTGGCCTTTCTCTTTAATCACTCTCACTTTGGGACACCAGCCACAGGGCAAAGTATTCCAAACTCACAAATTTAACTTGCAATTTGTTTCCAAGGTTAGAAAGATGAAAAAAGACACAGCGTCCTTAGAAAGCAGGGCACATGTGTCTATGGATTAGATGGCAGATGCTGCAAATTTTGGGATAATGTGGCTTCTCAAAGGCACGAAATCAAAGATTGTAACCCATTTACCATCGTGCTGATCCTCCAACATGGCAGGAACAGGATGCTGAAAGGCTCACATTGGTTTGTGTGTGGTTATAATATCTGCCACTTAACTGGAGTATGAGCCTTTAGTTAGGAAAAAGAAATGATAGAAAAATCTGACAGATAAATAGAAAATAGCATGTGCAAGATCATCAGATATACCCCTACAAATGTCAGACTATTCTCTCATGTTTATATAAGACTGTGCATGCATGTATATGTGAAAGTATATTAATATGCTGTGTTACTAGGAAATAATGCAACATGATTTAACAGTGAGGAACAGTTATTTTTTTTCTCATGAAAAAGGGATGTAATATGATGCCACTTTTTTTCTTAGTGTTTTTCTCTCTTTTTAAATGTTCTATCATTTGCATATGATTCCTTTGTAATTAAAAGCTGAGACAGGCATTGTTTCATTTCTTTTTTCTTTCTTTTATTTATTTATTTTTGTGTGTGTGTGTGGCATAAAAGTAGTTTCTTTTTTTAATGTTAATTCTTGATTTTATTTTATTTTATTTTATTTTATTATTATTATATTTTAAGTTTTAGGGTACATGTGCACAACGTGCAGGTTAGTTACATATGTATACATGTGCCATGGTGGTGTGCTGCACCCATTAACTCGTCATTTAGCATTAGGTATATCTCCTAATGCTATCCCTCCCCCCTCCCCCCACCCCACAACAGTCCCCAGGGTGTGATGTTCCCCTTCCTGTGTCCATGTGTTCTCATTGTTCAATTCCCACCTATGAGTGAGAACATGCAGTGTTTGGTTTTTTGTCCTTGCGATAGTTTACTGAGAATGATGATTTCCAATTTCATCCATGTCCCTACAAAGGACATGAACTCATCATTTTTATGGCTGCATAGTATTCCATGGTGTATATGTGCCACACTTTCTTAATCCAGTCTATCATTGTTGGACACTTGGGTTGGTTCCAAGTCTTTCGTATTGTGAATAGTGCCGCAATAAACATACGTGTGCATGTGTCTTTATAGCAGCATGATTTATAGTCCTTTGGGTACATACCCAGTAATGGGATGGCTGTGTCAAATGGTATTTCTAGTTCAAGATCCCTGAGGAATCACCACACTGACTTCCACAATGGTTGAACTAGTTTACAGTCCCACCAACAGTGTAAAAGTGTTCCTATTTCTCCACATCCTCTCCAGCACCTGTTGTTTCCTGACTTTTTAATGATTGCCATTCTAACTGGTGTGAGATGGTATCTCATTGTGGTTTTGATTTGCATTTCTCTGATGGCCAGTGATGGTGAGCATTTTTTCATGTGTTTTTTGGCTGCATAAATGTCTTCTTTTGAGAAGTGTCTGTACATGTCCTTTGCCCACTTTTTGATGGGGTTGTTTGTTTTTTTCTTGTAAATTTGTTTGAGTTCATTGTAGATTCTGGATATTAGCCCTTTGTCAGATGAGTAGGTTGCAAAAATTTTCTCCCATTCTGTAGGTTGCCCGTTCACTCTGATGGTATTTTCTTTTGCTGTGCAGAAGCTCTTTAGTTTAATTAGGTCCCATTTGTCAATTTTGGCTTTTGTTGCCATTGCTTTTGGTGTTTTAGACATGAAGTCCTTGCCCATGCCTATGTCCTAAATGGTACTGCCTAGGTTTTCTTCTAGGGTTTTTATGATTTTAGGTCTAACATGTAAATCTTTAATCCATCTTGAATTAATTTTTGTATAAGGTGTAAGGAAGGGATCCAGTTTCAGCTTTCTACATATGGCTAGCCAGTTTTCCCAGCACCATTTATTAAATGGGGAATCCTTTCCCCATTGCTTGTTTTTCTCAGGTTTGTCAAAGATCAGATAGTTGTAGATATGCGGCGTTATTTCTGGCCAGGGCAATTGGGCAGGAGAAGGAAATAAAGGGTATTCAATTAGGAAAAGGGGAAGTCAAATTGTCCGTGTTTGCAGATGACATGACTGTATATCTAGAAAACCCCATTGTCTCAGCCCAAAATCTCCTTTAGCTGATAGGCAACTGCAGCAAAATCTCAGGATACAAAATCAATGTGCAAAAATCACAAGCATTCTTATACACCAATAACAGACAAACAGAGAGCCAAATCATGAGTGAACTCTCATTCACAATTGCTTCAAAGAAAATCAAATACCTAGGAATCCAACTTACAAGGGATGTGAAGGACCTCTTCAAGGAGAACTACAAACCACTGCTCAATGAAATAAAAGAGGATACAAACAAATGGAAGAACATTCCATGCTCATGGGTAGGAAGAATCAATATCGTGAAAATGGCCATACTGCCCAAGGTAATTTATAGATTCAATGCCATCCCCATCAAGCTACCAATGACTTTCTTCACAGAATTGGAAAAAACTACTTGAAAGTTCATATGGAACCAAAAAAGAGCCCACATCGCCAAGTCAATCCTAAGCCAAAAGAACAAAGCTGGAGGCATCACGCTACCTGACTTCAAACTATACTACAAGGCTACAGTAACCAGAACAGCATGGTACTGGTACCAAAACAGAGATATAGATCAATGGAACAGAACAGAGCCCTCAGAAATAACGCCGCATATCTTTTATTTATTTTTTAAAAGTTCAGGCACATGGATGACAGCACGATGCAAATGTAAACTAGAAAATGTGGTTGATTATTTAAGGTTAAAACTGAATTTAAAAATGGGACCTCTCTTCACATCAACCAGTCAGCAAATTATTATCAGAAAAGGTGAATGTTCTTTGATTATAAACTATATGTGGGTGTAAATTATTTATGATATTTGACTTTAAAATATTTGATAATTATTGCCAAGCTAAAATTAAACTGGTTTGAAATTATAATATATTCAATGAAACATAAAAGTGGAGAAATAAAGTATAAAAGTGGAGCACAGAGGATTTTTAGGGCAGTGAAATTGCTCTGTATGACACTTTATGGTGGGTGCATATTATTATGCATTTTTCCAGACTCACAGAGTGTATAACATGCAGGGTTATCCTGAATGTAAACTCTGGGTGATACTGATGTGCAGTGTAGGTTAACCGATTGCAGCAAATGCACCACTGTGGTGTGGGATATTGAAAATGCAGGAGGCTAGGCATGTATGGGGTCAGAGTGTATATGAGGAATCTCTGTATCTTCTTGTTAATTCTTCTAACTGCTTTAAAAATAGTTTATTAAAATATATTATAGGATTATCTCTGACTTTAAAAAGGTACAGTATCAATATGTTATGAATAGCAAAGTACTTTTAGAGTAGGCACATTCAGCCAAATCCTCCATGGAAATGGACAATGGCAGTTACACCCTTTGGAACAATGTTTATTGTTCCATCAGTTGATTCTTAATGTAAAGACACTTGAGAGCCAAAATGTTTCTTCTATTTATGTAAAATAACTTTTGGATATATGCCTTCTTAATAATATTATAGTAAATTTTTTAAATGAAGATGACGTGATTTTTAAAATTTAGACAGTTATGGAGCTCATTGTAAAACTAACAACCTCTCACTCATGTCTCATGTTAAAGAAATAACCAAATAGATTTTGGCGGTGAAATCACAGAAATGAATGCAAAAACTAATGCTTTAGAATGATGGACTAGTATTAACCAATACAACTATTCATAAGCTAAAATTTATCAAAAATGGTAAAAAATATTTCATGTGCAGAAGAAGATAAGTATCTGTGATGGCTGAGTGTTTGCTTCTTCCAAAAGTTTGTGTGAATAACTTTGTGTATCACCTTACAAGATTCTTTCAAGTTTTCTCTCCCATTCTTTGAAATACTATCAAGGTTCTCAAATCTAAACCACAGACATATTATTTCTGAACTATTCACAAATGCACACTTTTAGGGTACAAATGTAACAAGAATTGCAAGAGTTTTTGAACTAATCTAATATCTTTCATGTTTCCTGGAATTCTTACAGTGTGAACACAAGTGCTATGGTTTGATTGTTTACATCTGCCACAAATGTATGTGTCAAAATGGTAACTTCCAAGATGATCATATTAGGAGGAAGGACCTTTTGGAAAATGTTTAGGTCCTTGTATTAGTCCATTTACATGCTGCTGATAAAGACATACCCAAGACTGGCAGGAAAAAGAGGTTTAATGGACTTACAGTTCCATGTGGCTGGGGAGGCCTCACAATCATGGTGCAAGGCAAGGAGGGGCAAGTCACATCTTACATGGATGGAAGCAGGCAAAGAGAGAGAGCTTGTGCAGGGGAACTCCTCTTTATAAAACCATCAGATCTTGTGAGACTTATTCACTATCAAGGGATCAGCACAAGAAAGACCTGCCGCATGATTCAGTTACCACTTGCTGGTCCCTCCCACAACACATGGGAATTATGGGAGATACAATTCAAGATGAGATTTGGGTGGGTACACAGCCAAACCATGTCATTCATGAATGGGTTTAGAGCACTTATAAAAGAGACCCCAGAGATATCCTTTGCCCCTTCCACCATGTAAGGATATAGTAAAGACGTGCTGACTGTGATCCAGGAAGCTGGTCTTCACTAGACACCAAATCTGCCTTGATTTTGAACTTCCCAGCCTCCAGAATTGCAAAAAAAAATAGATTTCTATTGTTTATAAACTACCCAGATGATGAGATTTGGTTATAGAGGCTTGAAAGGACTAAGACAACAAGATTTGGATGAATTTAAATTTTCTTCTTTGTGTCATACTATTTATATTTTCCTGAACATGTTCCTCTTCTCCTGTGACTGCCCAATTTTTAATCTGAAAAAACTGGTATAATATGAACACCCACAATACAGGTAACCAAGACTGTGTGAGAAACTAAAGGGGCTTAAAAATAAAAAAATAATGTTAGCATCCTGAGGTCATCAGTTTATTTTCCTATGTTTTAATTATTGTAGAGAGTCATTGTGAAAGTTTAAGTAAGCCTAGAAAGGAGGACCATATTTATCTTGGTATCTTTTGTTCTAAAATCGGGCATACCAAGTTATTTTAGTTTGTAAAAATACATGAAATTAAGAAAAATTAAACTGAAATAGTAAGAACTGGAAGACACAGTATAGAGAAAAGAGGAGACAAATAAGAAAATACCTTTCAGTATTTAACACATTTATGAGATTATAAGTAAAGTCAATAAATGGTAAGAAAAATGTATTTGTTTTATTCATCTAAAACTTACCAAAGTTTACTTATTATTAAGATAACTTGGAAATACATGTATGGATGGGTGATGTAGGAATATTTATTGAAGGATGATTGGATGCTCTTCTAGGATTTTTACAGAAATACGTATATTAGTTCCCATATGAATTTAATGAAGTACATATAATTTTCCCCAATTTGCAGGGAAGCAAATTGAGAATGAGAGAAGTTGACCTGCTTGACCAATGTCATATAGCTCATTAAGAGATTAATCAGAATTAGAACTACGACTAACGGTACTCTTTCTATTACATCCCAATAAGGACTGGGACCCAAACATGTTGTTGGAATGAATACTTGATTGGCATCTAATGTCTCTTCCAGTAGAGCATTATACCATCTGCATCTGTCTCAATTATTGCATATACTTTTGTTGCTCTTGTTTTTCTAATATTGGTTAGCTCTGCATCAACACCAGCCCTTTTCCACAAAGCCGGTTGGCATTGATCTTGTTTTGTCAACAAAAAATCCTTTTCAAACTTGGCTTATGGACTTTGAAATATAGACATGTATAGACTCTTAAAACCCGGAGGGTTCTAAGCTAAGCTAACATTTTATGAATATACTTGTGAGCAATAGGTTTAAAATTGTATAAATTAATGAAAACCAATGTCCTAAATTATATAATTAAATTTTAGATATTTTCATTGTATAAAAGTATGATTGAGGCAGGAGAATAGGGTCTGGAGGCAGGGAACATAAGGCCAATTAATGCTGACTTCCTAGAACTAAATCAAATGGAAACACTTCAGGTATGACAGGAAGTAACCTTTCCATTTACATAGGGTGTACACCAAGTAAATGCTTTGTAACTGCTTCATCCTCTTCATTTACATAGGGCATACACCAAATAACCAACGAAACCTCTAGAAGACATTTAAACTCCAGAAAATTCTGTAACAGAGCTCTTGAGCCCCTTTGCTCAGGCCTGCTCCCATACTGTGGAGGGTACTTTTATTTTCAATAAATCTCTGCTTTTGTTGCTTTATTCTTGCCTTGCTTTATTTGTGTGTTTTGTTCAATTCTTTGTTCAAGACACCAAGAACCTGGACACCCTCCATCGGTAACATGATTAATCCTCCAGAGCAGCATTTCCTTACAAGAGAATGGTCTTCAACTGTTTTCACCTAAATACCCTCATAGTTTTGACCAACAGGACCACCTGTGAGCCTGCACAGACCGCCCCCGCCCAGCAGGGAGAGTCTGTATGGAGTGGGAGACAGAATACGAAGCCAGGTGGGAGCAGTTGTGAAAGGGGGTAGGGATACTGTCCACGTTATGGGAGCTGAAGCTGGAGGGGCTTTGCGGGGGCCTGTGATGAGCCCGGGAGAGCTCCCAAGTTAGGTTAAGAAAGTACAATTCATTAGCTAAATAAGAAACATAAAGTGAAGAAACAAACAATCCTCTTACCCTAGTGTCAGAAAGTGTGACTCTACTTAGAGCAGAGTTTGTGATCTTCGGTATTTGCACTGGATCTACGGATCTGTGTCCTATGGAAAAGGCAATGCGTGGATCACAAGAAAGAGAAGTAGGTAACAAAGGTACATACAAAATCATATTTTTCATTCTAATTCCTTGCTTTATCACTTTTTTTCCCAGCCACAACGAGGGTTGTGTGCTAAAATCTTAACACCTTTTCTCCTGTCTTCCACCCCAGCTCTCCTCCAATCATCCAAACCTTATTCTCAGCAACTTCAACATCTAAGTAGATCAGAGCTTCTAAAAAGTGTTTCTGGGGTGACCTGAACTGCCTATCATGAACTGGGTGCTTTCTGACCCATCTAGCCATAAAGTGGGTCATGCACAGTAGCATTCTGTCATCAAATGGAACTGATATATAGGTGATCGGGCTTGAGCAGGTCCTGAAGGCGCAAGTAAGTTACGTGAGGAAGTGGCTCAAATGCCCATGGTCTCCACTCCTGCCACGCTGCCTTCTCTTCCCCAGCCTGCACCGATGGCCTCATGGGGAGTTCCCTATGATCAGTTGACAGAGGAAGACAAGACTAGGGCTTGGTTCACAGATGGTTCTGCACGATATGCAGGCACCACCCAAAAGTGGACAGGTGCAGCACTACAGCCCCTTTCCAGGACATCCCTGAAAGACACCGGAGAAGGGGAATCTTCCCAGTGGGCAGAACTTCAAGCAGTGTACCTGTTGGTTCACTTTGCATGGAAGGAGAAATGGCCACATGTGTGGTTATATACTGATTCATGGGCTGTATCCAGTGGTTCGGCTGGATGGTCAGGAACTTGGAAGAAGCATGATTGGAAAATTGGTGACAAAGAAATTTGGAGAAGAGGTATGTGAATGGACCTCTCTGATTAGTCAAAAACTGAAGATATTTTTTATCCCAAGTGAGTGCTCACCAACGGGTGACCTCAGCAGAGGAGGATTTTAATATCAAGTGTATAGGATAACTCGTTCTGTGGACACCACTGAGCCTCTTTCCCCAGCCACCCCTGTCATCACCCAATGTCCATCACCCATGAACAAAGTGGCCATGGTGGCAGGGATGGAGGTTATGCATGGGCTTAGCAACTTGGACTTAGCAACTTAGCCATCATCAAGGCTGACCTGGCTACGGCCACTGCTGAGTGCCCAATTTGCCAGCAGCAGAGACCAACACTGAGCCCTCGATATGACACCATTCCTCGGGGTGATCAGCCAGCTACCTGGTGGCAGATTATATTGGACCTCTTCCATCATGGAAAGGGCAGAGATTTGTCCTCACTGGAATAGACACTTACTCTGGATATGGGTTTGCCTATCCTGCATGCAATGCTTCTGCCAAGACTACCATCCGTGGATTCATGGAATGCCTTATCCACCATCATGGTATTCCACACAGCATTGCCTCTGACCAAGGCACTCACTTCATGGCTAAAGAAGTGCAGCAGTGGGCTCATTCTCATGGAATTCACCGGTCTTATCGTGTTCTCCATCACCCAGAAGCAGCTGGATTGATAGAACGATGGAATGGCCTTTTGAAGTGACAATTACAATGCTAACTAGGTGACAACACATTGCAGGGCTGGGGCAAAGTTCTCCAGAGGCTGTATATGCTCTGAATCAGCGTCCAATATATGGTACTGTTTCTCCCATAGCCAGGATTCACACGTCCAAAAATCAAGGGGTGCACCATCACACCTAGTGATCCACTAGCAAAATTTTTGCTTCCTGTTCCCTTGATATAACATTCGGCTGACCTAGAGGTTTTAGTTCCAGAGGGAGAAATGCTACCACCAAGAGAAACAACAAGGTTTCCATTAAACTGGAAATTAAAATTGCTACCTGGACACTTTGGGCTTCTCCTACCTTTAATCCAACAGGCTAAGAAGGGAGTGACAGTGTTGGCTGGGGTAATTGACCTGGACTATCAAGATGAAATCAGTCTACTACTCCACAGTGGAGGTAAGAAGAGTATGCATGGAATACACGAGATCCATTAGGGCATCTCTTAGTCTTACCATGCCCTGTGATTAAGGTCAATGAGAAACTACAACAGCCCAATCCAGGCAGGGCTACAAATGGCCCAGACCCTTCAGGAATGAAAGCCTGGGTCACTCCACCAGGAAAAACACCACGACCTGCTGAAGTGCTTGCTGAAGGCAAAGGGAATGCAGAATGGGTAGTGGAAAAAGGTAGTCAACAATACCAGCTACAACTGCTGTATATCTTATCTGTATCTGTATCTATATGTATATCTGTAACTATCTATGTATATCTATGTCTGTGTCTATCTATAGAAATCTGACCTTAAAAATAAACAAACAAGCATTCTTTGCCATATTAACCTCTTGCAGCTGCCATTCACAACCAAATTCCATGAAGCATGCTTGTCTATACTTTCTGTCCGTAAATCTCCACTTCTCATCCTCTCCTCATTCTTACTTTTCATTCTCCTCTTTCAGCATCTCCATTGAATCATCATCTTATCAAACCCAGCAGGCTGTTTTCTTTCCCATTTCATTGACTTTTCAACAGACTAATTTGGCATCACCTTCCTTCCTGAAATTCTTCTTTTTTAGGCTTCCCGGAGACCCATTCTCCTGGTTTTCCTTAGATCTCACTGACCAGTTATTGATGGGTTCCTCTGCTGGTGCCAACCTCTCAGTAAAACCTCTACATAGTTGAGTGACCCAGGGTTCACACTCAGGTGTTCGTCCCTTCCAGGAGATCATATGCTATCCAGTGGCATTAAATCTGTATGAACGTCAAATACTATCTCCATATTAGTGGCTCCTAAATGTAAATCTTCAGCGTTGATTTCTCATATGAACCCCAGGCTAAAACATGAAGCTACTTTTATGTCTCCATTGCACTTCCTTGTAGACAACTAGATTGGAGGATGGAGAGTAATTGTGAGATCAGAATGCAACACACAAATGGACAATGTTGATTAAGTCAATTGGCATTGGATGCAGGCATGTCCAGTAGAATAATTTTGGAAGCAAAACACAACTAGAGAACTCATTGTAGGGGATCAGGGATGGTTGAGAATCTGGGCTATGACAGTCCTGCAAGAGCAGAGATAAACACAAGGCTGGTGAGAGCTGTGCCACATTTTAAAGGCTTAATGGCCCTCAGGACATTACACAATTAAATCACAGTAACAACCTCCAGTCATTAAGAAAAGGTTAAATTATGTTCGCTTTATTTAATCTAAGGTATTCACCTGGTAATACTATTAACACTTTAGTTTCAATAGTGAAAGTGTGCAAAGTTTTCAATATATTTAGAATTATTTAGAACACTTTAGTATGCAAAAGTCAGGACAAAAGAAGCATTTCTATGTTTTACCAACTTTTATTTAGCATCAGATTAATCATCTGAACTTTTTTGGCAATTAAAATTCACTATAACATCTTCTTCATCAGTTGAACAAACGCAGGTAGTTTCTCACAGGTGTTGCTTACTGGATCCCCTTTAAGGGGGTTATGCATGGGTCTTTCCACCTCTCCTAGTCTCCTCCCTCTTTTGTTTCTTTTTTGTGTGTTGAGCCATTTATTATTATTATTATTTTTATTATTATACTTTAAGTTTTAGGGTACATGTGCACAACGTGCAGGTTAGTTACATATGTATACATGTGCCATGTTGGTATGCTGCACCCATTAACTCGTCATTTAACGTTAGTTATATCTCCTAATGCTATCCCTCCCCCCTCCCCCCACCCCACAACAGGCCCCGGTGTGTGATGCTCCCCTTCCTGTGTCCATGTGTTCTCATTGTTCAATTCGCACCTATGAGTGAGAACATGCGGTGTTTGGTTTTTTGTCCTTGCGTTAGTTTGCTGAGAATGATGGTTTCCAGCTTCATCCATGCCCCTATAAAGGGCATGAACTCATCATTTTTTATGGCTGCATAGTATTCCATGGTGTATATGTGCCACATTTTCTTAATCCAGTCTATCATTGTTGGACACTTGGCTTGGTTCCAAGTCTTTGCTATTGTGAATAGTGCCGCAATAAACATACATGTGCATGTGTCTTTATAGCAGCATGATTTTGGGTATACACCCAGTAATGGGTTGGCTGTGTCAAATGGTATTTCTAGTTCAAGATCCCTGAGGAATCCCCACACTGACTTCCACAATGGTTGAACTAGTTTACAGTCCCACCAACAGTGTAAAAGTGTTCCTGTTTCTCCACATCCTCTCCAGCACCTGTTATTTCCTGACGTTTTAATGATCGCCATTCTAACTGGTGTGAGATGGTATCCCACTGTGGTTTTGATTTGTGTTTCTCTGATGGCCAGTGATGGTGAGCATTTTTTCATGTGTTTTTTGGCTGAATAAATATCTTCTTTTGAGAAGTGTCTGTTCATATCCTTCGCCCACTTGTTGATGGGGTTGTTTGTTTTTTTTCTTGTAAATTTGTTTGAGTTCATTGTAGATTCTGGATATTAGCCCTTTGTCAGATGAGTAGATTGCAAAAATTTTCTCCCATTCTGTAGGTTACCTGTTCTGTGATGGTATTTTCTTTTGCTGTGCAGAAGCTCTTTAGTTTAATTAGGTACCATTTGTCAATTTTGGCTTTTGTTGCCATTGCTTTTGGTGTTTTAGACATGAAGTTCTTGCCCATGCCTATGTCTGAATGGTATTGCCTAGGTTTTCTTCTAGGGTTTTTATGGTTTCAGGTCTAACATTTAAGTCTTTAATCCATCTTGAATTAATTTTTGTATAAGGTGTAAGGAAGGGATCCAGTTTCAGCTTTCTACATATGGCTAGCCAGTTTTCCCAACACCATTTATTAAATAGGGAATCGTTTCCCCATTTCTTGTTGTTGTCAGGTTTGTCAAAGATCAGATGGTTGTAGATATGCAGCATTATTTCTGAGGGCTCTGTTCTGTTCCATTGGTCTATATCTCTGTTTTGGTACCAGTACCATGCTGTTTTGGTTACTGTGGCCTTGTAGTATAGTTTGAAGTCAGGTAGCATGATGCCTCCAGCTTTGTTCTTTTGGCTTAGGATTGACTTGGCAATGCAGGCTCTTTTTTGGTTCCATATGAACTTTAAAGTAGTTTTTTCCAATTCTGTGAAGAAAGTCATTGGTAGCTTGATGGGGATGGCATTGAATCTATAAATTACCTTGGGCAGTATGGCCATTTTCACGATATTGATTCTTCCTACCCATGAGCATGGAATGTTCTTCCACTTGTTTGTGTCCTCTTTTATTTCATTGAGCAGTGGTTTGTAGTTCTGCTTGAAGAGGTCCTTCACGTGCCTTGTAAGTTGGATTCCTAGGTATTTAATTCTCTTTGAAGCAATTGTGAAAGGGAGTTCACTCATGATTTGGCTCTCTGTTATTGGTGTATAAGAATGCTTGTGATTTTTGCACATTGATTTTGTATCCTGAGACTTTGCTGAAGTTGCCTATCAGCTTAAGGAGATTTTGGGCTGAGACAATGGGGTTTTCTAGATATACAATCATGTCATCTGCAAACAGGGACAATTTGACTTCCTCTTTTCCTAATTGAATGCCCTTTATTTCCTTCTCCTGCCTGATTGCTCTGGCCAGAACTTCCAACACTATGTTGAATAGGAGTGGTGAGAGAGGGCATCCCTGTCTTGTACCAGTTTTCAAAGGGAATATTTCCAGTTTTTGCCCATTCAGTATGATATTGGCTGTAGGTTTTTCATAGATAGCTCTTATTATTTTGAGATACATCCCATGAATACCTAATTTATTGAGAGTTTTTGGCATGAAGGGTTGTTGAATTTTGTCAAAGGTCTTTTTGGCATCTGTTGAGATAATCATATGGTTTTTGTCATTGGTTCTGTTTATATGCTGGATTACGTTTATTGATTTGCGTATGTTAAGCCAGTCTTGCATCCCAGGGATGAAGCCCACTTGATCATGGTGGATAAGCTTTTTGATGTGCTGCTGGATTCGGTTTGCCAGTATTTTATTGAGGATTTTCGCATCGATGTTCATCAGGGACATTGGTGTAAAATTCTCTTTTTTTGTTGTGTCTCTGCCAGGTTTTGGTATCAGGATGATGCTGGCCTCATAAAATGAGTTAGGGAGGATTCCCTCTTTTTCTATTGATTGGAATAGTTTCAGAAGGAATGGTACCAGCTCCTGCTTGTACCTCTGGTAGAATTCGGCTGTGAATCCATCTGGTCCTGGAATTTTTTTGGTTGGTAAGCTATTAATTATTGCCTCAATTTCAGAGCCTGTTATTGGTCTATTCAGAGATTCAACTTCTTCCTGGTTTAGTCTTGGGAGGGTGTATGTGTGCAGGAATTTATCCATTTCTTCTAGATTTTCCAGTTTATTTGCATAGAGGTGTTTATAGTATTCTCTGATGGTAGTTTGTATTTCTGTGGGATCGGTGGTGATATCCCCTTTATCATTTTTTATTGCATCTATTTGATTCTTCTCTCTTTTCTTCTTTATTAGTCTTGCTAGTGGTCTATCAATTTTGTTGTTCTTTTCAAAAAACCAGCTCCTGGATTCATTGATTTTTTTTGAAGGGTTTTTTGTGTCTCTATTTCCTTCATTTCTGCTCTGATCTTAGTTATTTCTTGCCTTCTGCTAGCTTTTGGATGTGTTTGTTCTTGCTTCTTTAGTTCTTTTAATTGTGATGTTAGGGTGTCAATTTTAGATCTTTCCTGCTTTCTCCTGTGGGCATTTAGTGCTATAAATTTCCCTCTACACACTGCTTTAAATGTGTCCCAGAGATTCTGGTATGTTGTGCCTTTGTTCTCATTGGTTTCAAAGAACATCTTTATTTCTGCCTTCATTTCGTTATGTACCCAGTAGTCATTCAGGAGCAGGTTGTTCAGTTTCCATGTAGTTGAGCGGTTTTGAGTGAGTTTCTTAATCGTGAGTTCTAGTTTGATTGCACTGTGGTCTGAGAGACAGTTTGTTATAATTTCTGTTCTTTTACATTTGCTGAGGAGAGCTTTACTTCCAAGTATGTGGTCAATTTTGGAATAAGTGCGGTGTGGTGCTGGAAAAAAATGTATATTCTGTTGATTTGGGGTGGAGAGTTCTGTAGATGTCTATTAGGTCCGCTTGGTGCAGAGCTGAGTTCCATTCCTGGATATCCTTGTTAACTTTCTGTTTTGTTCATCTATCTAATGTTGACAGTCGGGTGTTAAAGTCTCCTGTTATTATTGTGTGAGAGTTTAAGTCTCTTTGTAGGTCTCTAAAGACTTGCTTTATGAATCTGGGTGCTCCTGTATTGGATGCATATATATTTAGGATAGTTAGCTCTTCTTGTTGAATGGATCCCTTTACCATTATGTAATGGCCTTCTTTGTCTCTTTTGATCTTTGTTGGTTTAAAGTCTGTTTTATCAGAGACTAGGATTGCAACCCCTGCCTTTTTTTGTTTTCCATTTGCTTGGTGGATCTTCCTCCATCCCTTTATTTTGAGCCTATATGTGTCTCTGCACGTGAGATGGGTTTCCTGAATAGAGCACACTGATGGGTCTTGACTCTTTATCCAATTTGCCAGTCTGTGTCTTTTACCTGGAGCATTTAGCCCATTTACATTTAAGGTTAATATTGTTATGTGTGAATTTGATCCTGTCATTATGATGTTAGCTGGTTGTTTTGCTCATTAGTTGATGCAGTTTCTTCCTAGCCTCAATGTTCTTTACAATTTGGCATGTTTTTGCAGTGGCTCGTACTGGTTGTTCCTTTCCTTGTTTAGTGCTTCCTTCAGGAGCTCTTTTAGTGCAGTCCTGGTGGTGACAAAATCTCTCAGCATTTGCTTGTTTGTAAAGTATTTTATTTCTCCTTCACTTATGAAGCTTAGTTTGGCTGGATATGAAATTCTGGGTTGAAAATTCTTTTCTTTAAGAATGGTGAATATTGGCCCCCACTGTCTTCTGGCTTGTAGAGTTTCTGCCAAGATATCAGCTGTTAGTCTGATGGGCTTCCCTTTGTGGGTAACCCTACCTTTCTCTCTGGCTGCCCTTAACATTTTTTCCTTCATTTCAACTTTGGTGAATCTGACAGTTATGTGTCTTGGAGTTGCTCTTCTCGAGGAGTATCTTTGTGGCATTCTCTTTATTTCCTGAATTTGAATGTTGGCCTGCCTTGCTAGACTGGGGAAGTTCTCCTGGATAATATCCTGCAGAGTGTTTTCCAACTTAGATCCATTCTCCCCGTCACTTTCAGGTACACCAATCAGACGTAGATTTGGTCTTTTCACATAGTCCCATATTTCTTGGAGGCTTTGTTCGTTTCTTTTTATTCTTTTTTCTCTAAACTTGTCTTCTCGCTTCATTTCATTCATTTGATCTTCCATCAGTGATACCCTTTCTTCCAGCTGATTGAATCGGCTACTGAGGCTTATGCATTCGTCACGTAGTTCTCGTGCCTTGGTTTTCAGCTCCATCAGGTCCTTTAAGGACTTCTCTGCGTTGGTTATTCTAGTTAGCCATTTGTCTAAATTTTTTTCAAGGTTTTTAACTTCTTTGCCCTGGGTTCGAACTTCCTCCTTTAGCTCAGAGTAGTTTGATCGTCTGAAGACTTCTTCTCTCAGCTCGTCAAAGTCATTCTCCATCCAGCTTTGTTCTGTTGCTGGTGAGGAGCTGCATTCCTTTGGAGGAGGAGAGGCACTCTGATTTTTAGAGTTTCCAGTTTTTCTGCTCTGTTTTTTCCCCATCTTTGTGGTTTTATCTACCTTTGGTCTTTGATGATGGTGACGTACAGATGGGGTTTTTGGTGTGGATGTCCTTTCTGTTTGTTAGTTTTCCTTCTAACAGTCAGGACCCTCAGCTGCAGGTCTGTTGGAGTTTGCTGGAGGTCCACTCCAGTCCGTTTGCCTGGGTATCAGCAGCGGAGGCTGCAGAACAGCGAATATTGGTAAGCAGTAAATATCGCTGTCTGGTCGTTCCTCTGAAAGTTTTCTCTCAGAGGAGCACCTGGCCGTGTGAGGTGTCAGTCTGCCCCTACTGGGGGTTGCCTCCCAGTTAGGCTACTCAGGGGTCAGGGACCCACTTGAGGAGGCAGTCTGCCTGTTCTCAGATCTCAAGCTGCGTGCTGGGAGAATCACTACTCTCTTCAAAGCTGTCAGAGAGGGACATTTAAGTCTGCAGAGGATTCTGCTGCCTTTTGTTTGGCTATGCCCTGCCCCTAGAGGTGGAGCCTACAGAGGCAGGCAGGCCTCCTTGAGCTGTGGTGGGCTCCACCCAGTTCGAGCTTCCTGTCCGCTTTGTTTACCTACTCAAGCCTTGGCAATGGCAGGCACCCCTCCCCCAGCCTCACTGGTGCCTTGCAGTTTGATCTCAGACTGCTGTGCTAGCAATGAGTAAGGCTCCATGGGCGTAGGACCCTCCGAGCCAGGTGCAGGATATAATCTCCTGGTGTGCCTTTTGTTAAGCCCATTGGAAAAGCGCAGTATTAGGGTGGGAGCGACCCGATTTTCCAGGTGCCATCTGTCACCCCTTTCTTTGACTAGGAAAGGGAATTCCCTGACCCCTTGCGCTTCCCAGGTGAGGCGATGCCTCACCCTGCTTCGGCTTATGCTGGGTGCACTGCACCCACTGTCCTGCACCCACTTTCTGATGCTCCCTAGTGAGATGAGCCCAGTACCTCAGTTGGAAATGCAGAAATCACCCGTCTTCTGTGTCACTCACGCTGGGAGCTCTAGACTGGAGCTGTTCCTGTTCGGCCATCTTGGCTCCACCCCCGAGCCATTTCCCCCTTTTGTTTCTGTGTTGTATATGGTGATATAAAATTAGTGACAAATTAATGTGATTTTTTATCTTTACAAGTAAACCAAACCCAAGTAAGTGTTTAGGTAACAAGGGCAGAAAATTTTATAGTAAAATATTTGAGTTTTGCTATGATTCATTGTTTCATATTTGTTTGGGAATTACTCTGTGCACACGAGGCAAAAACATTTCAACTTAAGCCTCAAAATTTTTCTTCCAACCACTTTAATGGAAGAGTGGCCTGGAAAAAACATAAACCATAACACTCCACTCTTGAATACATACTTTAGCCACCATGAAATTTATAAAACAGTCACATAATATATGTGCATAAACACCTACTGTCCATTGCACACTACTCAGAAACACCATAGGTGACCCGAGGGCTGCAAGACTCAGAACACCAGGCTCCAGCTGTGTCAGAGAAGAGGAATTTACACTTGGTTTGTGGGATGCTGACCCACAAGAATTCAAGTCAATGACATTACACACAGACACACAGGAAAATTCTGGGCAATGACCGCCTGATTAGATGTCCCTGCAGTCTGGTTGATAAACTGCTGGGAAGAGCCCAGTGAATTGGACATCTTGGATGTCCCAGGGTTGGTGACTCTAATGTAAAAAAATAAAAAATACAAATCTGACATTATTGCCTATTACTGTCAACGAAAGACATATCTGCTGTTCCCATTTGCCCCTTAGAATGTCCACACACTTCTCCTGTCCTTCAATGTAGAGTGTATTAGCAGAGCAGGTAATTTCTTGTATTAGAGGACCTAAGACATTTTACACTGGGTGTGAATGAGGGTTGTAGCTAAACTTGGAATTTCAGACAATAATATAATTTTATTAATCAGGTCGTGAAGTGAGGATTACATGTTAGACATTCATTTACTCTTTGAGTAAAAAAAATAAAATTTTTATTGGAAATATAAATGCAGTAGAATAGGACTGATGAATGCATTAATATTTTAGTCTCTATGATTAGTATTTTTATGCTACTGAGAAAAAACATATATAGCAATGCTTCTTATGAAGCAGGGCCTCAAATAGAGACATAAAACATATTATTAGTATTTTATTTTAAAAAACAATAAGCATTGTCTTAGAATCTCAAATAAGCTGGATAATGTAAACAATATAAAGAAACTGCATTCCTCAGGAACAATTTCTGTCTGAATTCAATGAATCACCACTGGGCCAAAGTTAAGTTCGTTTCAATAGGGATGTCTGAAAATATGTGTATTACTAAACAGAGTATTTTTAAAATAGAAGTTCTACATTCTTTAATAATAGAAAAGCAATCCTTTTAACTCTTACTTGAACAGAAAGTATCTGTCTTTAAAATGTATCTTGTTACCATAATTGGTTTTACCATCATAAGTGACTTAGTTAAATGTTACACTAAAAATCTAAGGAAAAATTCAGAAACCCCTGAATCCTAACTCTTGTTTGTCTGTTTGCTCTGAATACTATTACCTTAAAATATGCAGATTTTCCAAGAAAATATGCTTTTAAAAATACTTTGTCCCATTCATTTTCTAAAAAAAAATTACTAATAGGGAATGAGACTACACCTAATATATTAAACAAACAAATATTTTTATATATACTGTTTAGTTGACGACTTATGAATACTCATCTATAGAAGTTAGAGGAAAGGTTAAGACATGTCTGGATTTTTAAAAACTGGCATAGACCTTATAGACTCACTGACAATGTCCTACACATGGTTAACTTGCCATTTTTTTTTACTGTGCTTAATATGTTTTTATTTCTAAGGGTTCTGTGATTATTTGCCAATTTAATTAAAGAAAATATTTTCTATTTAGAAAGCATTTAAGAATGTCTCACATATCTGTGGAGAAAAATAGGAAATAATACTAGAAACCATGTAAAAATGTAATGTTTTTGCAAGAGACAACTTTTCAGGCTTCAAGAGTACCCCACAGTTTCCCAGGTACTGAGTCAAATATCTGAAATTGCACTTGAAAAATTTTGCCTCTACTCATTGTTTGGAATTGTTTATCCTGCCTGTTATATGCTCTAAAAAAGAGAAATTCAACAAAATGTGAAAGGATATCACAGAGGAACAAAATAGAGAAAAACTTGAGTGGAAAATAATGAAAAGATATAAAGTGGAACTTGGAAAATATAGCAGCCATATATTCATTTTTGTAATTATCCTTGAAGAATGATTATTTCATTGGATTGCATTGTAAAAATTTTGTCAGGGCAAATTCTGTGTAAGCCTTGCTCACCACCTCTGTAGACCCACAGCCTGCCATCTTCAGCCTCCTTCCTAAGGTTCTCTTTTCTTGCTTGATTTCCACAGGAACTTTACAGGACACTAAAGATAACATTGGTTTAGAATTCACCTTTTACTCTTTGGAGCATTGTATGTATGTGCGTTTGTGTGTGCGTGTGTGTGTGTATGTATATAAACATTTGTATAGCTGTTTAGTATTTTTTTTGTGTGTATAAACATTTGTATAGCTGTTTAGTATTTTGTGTGTGTGTGTGTGTGTGTGTGTGTGTGTGTATAAACATTTGTATAGCCATTTTCATCTACACATTCCATTGCATGAAGAATTACCCAGAGATTCTTAATGATTATATTTTAAGGCAAGAAGCTATGTTTAATCCGCAAAGTATGTGTTTATGTTTTGGTGCATGGAATTTTATGTATATAACCCAGGTAGTTTGTCAGAAGTGATACATTTCATCCTGTCTAGGACAGTGTTAGGCAAATATTAATAAGTGGATTAATACAGTCGTATGTGAATACTAGTTGGTTGAATGAGACTTTTTCCTATGCCCTGTGGACTCACACATCCATCTGTTATTGCTTGAAAACAAATGGTCTTTCTCAGGAGTATCAACAGGACAAACACCAGGCAGCACTCCTCTGCATCTGAGGATGATGCAGAGAGTGACCAGGAGCTGGATTTTCTCTTTTTCTGACCGAGGAGACTCTCAGAGGTAAACATCTAGGTGACAGGCAACTGCTGCCACATTACATTGTGACTGTAGTTGCATATGAGCTGTAGATGTTTGTTAGTTCGTTGCTAGACCACATCCTCTTTATGTTTTTTACAAATACATGACATTTCTTTATTATGAATATATGCAGTTTCATTTTAAGATGATAATAGCAGTTATGAAACAAAACTTGACAAGCTTTTGACAATGTAGTCTGATGTAAGCCAAGATCATAATTATTCAGGCTTTGCTGAAAGTCAGCTCAAATTTTCCACTGTAAATATAACAACGTACTTTACTTCCAGTGGTAGGAATAGAGTTGAATTCAACTGCTGCAAACAACATTTTTCCCACTTGTAATAGCGTGTGTCCTTTCAGTATTAAAACCACACAGGGGCTTCATATGGAGCTGCATCATTTGATTAAAAACACTAACCCTCACCTCTGTAAGCGTAGAGAGAAAATATTAAACCACAATAAGATCATTCTAGTATTATTATTCGGACTGAGAATTATCTAGGGTTAGCTACTATTTTTTCCTGCCTCATGCCTCTTACTAAATATTTCTGTGTATTATATAGACAATAAAGAGAGAGAGAGAAAGAGAAAAAAGATAAGGAGAGAACACGCATTAGTCGATTATTTTATTGTCTACATTAGATATCATTTTGGAAGAGAGTATATTAGATCCAATAATTATAATAGGTTTTCTAGATTGTTTGGGGGTTTCCTTCCTTCTTTCCTTCCTTCCTACCTTCCTTCCTTCCCTTGCTCTTTCTTCCCTCCCTCCCTTCCCTTCCTCGCTCTTTCTTCCCTCCCTCCCCTTCCCCCTTCCTTCCTCCCTCCCTCCCCTCCCTCTCTCCTTTCTCTCTTACTCTCTCTCTTACTCTCTCTCTCTCTCTCTCTTTTCAGCTGTTGTTTATTGACATACCGGTAGGCTCTCTAGCCACAGGCCCGGAGGCGCTGCAGTGGTGGGGAAAAATGGAGGGTGGAGGGTGGAGTGTTTGCTGCAGGACAGCTGAGTGCAGGGCGGGGACAAGTGCGAATCAGGGAGGCCCAGGGGATTGGGGAAGCAAGTAAGGGCCAGGGCCAGAGTCGGCTTAAACCTTAAATGGAACAACTGCCCCGTGCCCTAAGGCCCCTAACCCTCGCTGGCTGTTTCCTGACCCAGGCCAGGGTTGGGAGTCCTCTAGGCATCCATTTTCTAAAGCGTACACACAGGAAAGGAAGCTGCCACTCTCTTGCCATCTGGCTCCTGGGGCCTCCAGTCCAGCATTCCTTCTTTTTCCCTTGCTTGGGTGGAGCCACATGATGGGCAGCCAGGCTGTAGGCTGTCCCACCAGAGCAGGCAGTAAACACAGCCATGTTTCAGCGAGGCATTTTTCTTCCCTTATGTCCCAGCCCATCAGTGCCACATTACAGCCCAGAGTGATCTCTACAAGCGTTGCTGGCCTCATGGATGGGTTGGGGGAAGGGGGTGGAACAGGTGCTGGAGGAGAGACTCTGGGGTCCGTCACTGCACAGAAACAACATGCAAGGTGTTGGTGAAGCCGGAGCCAGCGTGCGACCCGGTCAGCACAATGACCCAGTTTCTTTCTTTTTAAGCATAGTTAAGAGTTGCTTGTGTTCATGGTTAAGTATTTTTAGTAAATGGGAGAAACCAAGAATACTTAAATCAGACCTTTTCTGGGGGAGGGGCTTCATGAACTACTTTATCATATCCTCATAGCACCCACACGAGGCTGATTCCATCTCTCTTCTAACATATAAGGGATCAATAACTTTGATAGGTTATGTAATAGCTCCTGATAATAGTATTCCTGCTTCATTAAATAGGTCACACTGACCATTGTGTCGTAAAACAGATGCAGGCCAGGCACTATGGAGAGCCCAAAGCATGCAGAGATCTAAGTGTAGTACACAGCTTTCCTAACTAATTGGAACATGCTTCAAATATGTCAACTCTCTTGAATATCAGCCACATATCAGGCATGATAGTGTAGCAATGAACTCTAATGAGCACTCTACCTTTAAATAAGAATCCCTAATTCCATAGCCCCACACATTTACCCAATAATTTTCTTTATGGTAAAGGCATTGAGTTATAAGGTATCATATTAAGTTGCAAACATCAATTTCCAAAGACCAAAACAGCATATAACTTAGCATCTCCAAGTTATAAGAGATGTTGTGAGTTATCTATCAATCAAGTTATAAAGACATCCTTCATGTTGAAGCCAGTATGACAGGTGTTGGGGGAGAAATTGTAGGCAGGAAATTGGGTTGGCATCTTTCCCTCCAAGTTGGTCCAGCAAGAACATCTTTAACCCCATGTATTGGGGTGGAGTTTCTACAGATGAAAGATTTTGGAAGATCACCAATGTCTCACCCAATGTTTGATGCTTAAATTTGTTTCACTCCTATTGAACTCTGTCTGATGACATGTGTAAGCTATTTCATTTTTTCGAATGAAAAAGTATTCATGGTTAAGTATTTTTATTAAGTGGGAGAAAACAAGATTACTGCAGTTAGTATAGAATGAATCAGGTCATTCTTCTATGGCCTGTGGAAGCCATTTCATTTTTAAAAAAACTCTCTGGAATATTCTTTCATATATCAAGGAAAAATTTGTTTCTATGTTCATTAGTAATTTTTATTTTTTGGACCCAGTAGAATTTTATTTTTCTTCCTCCTTTCTGTGGACTGAATTGTGTTCCTCAAGATTTATATGTTGAAAAAATTAGCATCCATGTCACTATATTAAAGATATAGGGCCTTTAAGAAAGTTTAAGGTTAAATGAGTTCATCAGAGTGGAGCTCTGATCCAATAAAACTGGTGTCTCTAAGAAGAGAAAAAGGCCAGGCACATTGGCTCACGCCAGTAATCCCAGCACTTTGGGAGGCAGAGGTGGGTGGATCACAAAGTCAGGAGATCAAGACCATCCTGGCCAACATGGTGAAACCCTGTCTCTACTAAAAATACAAAAATTAGCTGGGAGTGGTGGCATGGCATGTGCCTATAATCCAAGCTACTCAGGAGGCTGAGTCAGGAGAATCACTTGAACCAGGAAGGCAGAGGTTGCAGTGAGCTGAGATCACGCCACTGCACTCCAGCCTGGTGACAGAGCGAGACTCTGTCAAAAAAAAAAAAAAAAAAAGAAAAGAAAGGAAAAAGACACCAGAGCTTTCTGCTGTATCAGAACACAACAAGCAGGTAGCAGTCTGCAAGCCAGGAAGAGAGTCCTCACCAGAAACTGAATCCTGCTGGAACCCTGATCTTGGACTTTCCAGCCTCCAGAACTGTAAGAAAATATATTTCTGTTACTTAAACCACCCAGTCTATGGTATTATTCTGTGGAAAGCCAAGCAGATGAAGACATCCCTTAGTCGCTTTGAATATTTTATAATATCTTCTTCTGCAAAGCCACACAGGCCACCTCAAAGCTTTCTTTTATATAACAATTTTCTAAAAATGTAAGAGGTGTCTTCTAATGACTTTCCTTCTGGCCTAGTATTTCCTTCAAAAATAATTCTAGACTTCACTGTTCTAAAATAATTTCAGGAAGGAGGAGCATGCTAGAGCAATGAGAATCAAAGTATTTTAGTGTTGTCACTTAGCAGAAATTAGAATTACATTTCTTTACAGGAACTGTCTCCTCCCTACTTGACTGACCACATCCACTGTTCTGTTAGTCTGTTTTCACACTGCTATAAAGATACTACCTGATACTGGGTAATTTATAAACAAAGCATGTTTAATTGACTCACAGTTCTGCATGGCTAGGGAGGCCTCAGGAAACTTAGAGTCATGTCAGAAGGGGAGCAGTTACCTTCTTCACAAGGCAGCAGGAGACAGAGTGAAGCACAAGAGAGGAACTGCCAAACACTTATAAAACCATCAGTTCTTCTGAGGACTCACTCACTATCATGAAAACAATATGGGGGAAACTGCCATGATCCAGTCACCTCCCATCAGGTCCCTCCCTGGACACTTGGGGATTACAATTTGGATTACAATTGTTGATGAGTTTTGGGTGGGGGCACAGCCAAAGCATTACATTCACCTAGAACACAAGCTCTACTTTGCTCAAACATTCCTCAATTAAGTTACACCAGCTCAATCGATTTACAAATACAAGGTCATTCCTAATGCTGGTCAATTCTTATTCCCAGGCTTTGCTTAGGATCTGGTAGGCACTAAAGCTTTTCGTGTTTTATTTTACTATGTTCAGGTTGAGAGGCATTTATTCATGTTACTCTGCTGATTATGTCTGTGCCCCAGAAGGTTTATTTCTGTGGCTTGCATTACCCAGAACTCTTTACCCTTAGTGTATATTTGAGTTTAAAAATTTGAACGCAGAAAGAGAAAGTGATCTCTGGATAGTTCCTCCATCCTCCCACCTTTCCTTTCCATCCATGCCACTCTTGAGCCAAGCTGCATTCTTCCACCTGCAACCCCAGCTCTGCCTTGGATGACTTTTCTCCATTGGTACAGTTCCCTTATCTTCTGGCAATACTTACTCTCCTTTCTTCCTTCAAGCAAAAGAATGTTAATACCATCCCTCAATTTCTACTTTCTGTGTTTTGTCCCATTCTCTGTGGGTTCTCATAACTTCCACATACACCTCTGCAAAGGGTCCAAGTCCTTTTATTAAACACACCTTAGGTTGAGAAGATCCACTAATTCCTGCTAGAGTCCTTATGGATACAGAACTCACCAGCAAAAACAAAAGCAAACAGAATAAAACAATACAGAAAACCATGATGGTATGCCGCAGGGAAAGGGTTCCATGTGTATGATGAGTGAGGATATTTGCCAAGTGAATACTGGTGGTGGGTTGGGGAACACTGGTGGTGGGTTGGGGAGGCTGCAAAAGTGGATGGTCAGGACCTGATAAGGAAAGCACTGATCTCTAGAGCAGCCACGGTGTGAGGACTGCTTAGCTGAGGGAGATTGTGGGTTAACCAGTGGCAATGCTCTCATGACTGGGCCCCAGCAGAAGATCTGAAGGTGACATATCACATCTATGTTATTATGCTCTAACCTTTCTTTGGTAAATTTGGATTTGAGATATTTCAAATGGAGTTAATTTGGAGAAAAAGAACAATGCTTACAAAGCTACTTTAATTTGGACTTCAGTTAGTGTCGTCTGGCTTGCTTTTAACATCAGAAGCACAGTAAAAGATGACAAAAACTATTAACTAATTTTAGTTGGTTAAAATAGATTTCTCTCAAATATTAAAGACATTTCATTATTTTACCAACCTTTGAATGTGTTGGTGATAAGAAAATATTTCTACAAAGTAAAAGTCAAAACTTCATTATGAAAATAACCTACATGAATGTCAAACAAGAGGCCAAACAATGAGAAGAAATTAATGAGGCTAATTTTTATTTTTGAATATTAGAGATTTTTTGACTCTTGCAATATCTCAGGCAATCATCACTAAAAGGTATTTTAAATTTAAATGCTTGCACAAAGAAAATAATGACAACTTATTTTGATCAGTTATATGTGGATATCAAATTTGAACCTTTGTCTTTTCCAAGGTCCTCACCATTTTAATGTACCCTACTAGGAGGTGTGAACAATGTTATTTGTGCTACATAATGCAGAAGACAAGGTAGTAACAAAGAGAGACATTGTAAAGCTAAATGTGGATTTTCATACCATTTTCATAAACACCAATGGTTTTACAATATACAAAATTTCCCTTTTGTTTTATTTTGTGTTTGATTTTATTTTGTCACAACATTTCTCAAAAATACTTAAGTGACTTCTCATAGATGGAAAAGTCAGCCACAATTCTTCACTTTTCCCCGATTTTTGTGCTTTGTAACATAACTTTCCATGTCCTTCTTCGAGGAGTGGAGTATGTTTTCTACCCCTTCCCTTCCCCAGTCCTATGACAAGCTTTGGCTATTGAAATATGGGAAAATGAAGGTGAGTCAATCCCAAATCCAGGCCTCAAGAGGTCTTGTACACTTGGCTAGCTCTCTTGGAAACAGTTAGTTCAGTGCAGTCAACCTCTGTGCACACTGCTGGATAACAAGAACACATTATTCAATCACCCCTTATTGCCCCAACTAACAGCCATAGAACTGTTAAGCATGAGATCATCTGGACCAATCAATACCTGCCATCTCTCTGGCTGACCACAGTGCGTGAGCCAGAATAGCAAAGATCAGCAGAACTAACAGATGGAGCCCAGACTGAGTTTCCCACCCACAGAATCATGGGCTAAATCAATGGTTCTTGTTCAAATTATTTATTAGTATTGATGTGCTAAGACTGTTCATACCAAACATTAAATGAATAAACATTATATACTAAACTGTATGCATTGTGTATAACAGAAAATAATTTTTAAAAAATGTATTAACTCACACAAAGTTAACAAATTTCAGACATATGGAAAAGTATCCTCAGTTTCTCAGGGAAAGCATTAGGTAATATTTTTGGTAATGCTGCTTTTCTTTCCCTCTACTCCATACACTCCATGGCTTATAGCTTTGCATTTTACGGATTCAGATAATATTTTTGCTAGATGTGTGCTGTGTTATTTTTTAACCTGCCATATATGTAACTATACTGTTACCTGAGTAAACAAAGGAGTAAATGGTGACCAAGTTGTTGAGGCGGAAACAATCATCGCCAACATTATTGGGATAGTTATTTGTAAGAGATTTTCCCTGAAGGCCTTCTATAGATTTGTCTTAATTCAACAGAATGCCTATAGCTTGGAAAATTTTCATCCCTTAGGATATTTAGTTGTTGAGAATTTTTGAGACTTTTTCATCTAAAAAAAATGAAGTTTAGCTCCTTTAAAATCATAACTGTCACAAGAATATTGAATACCATAATTTAAAATTTGAAGGAATGATGTTTTGATTAATAGTTTCATCAATACTTTGGGCTCCATTGCTCTGTAAAAAAAGTGTGCTTAGAGAGAACTTTTGTGAGGGTGTGCCTGAAGCTCTGCAGACGTATTTAATACCCAAGGCCAAGTAGGCCAAGAGGCTTTTATTATGGTGCAGGGAGAATCTTGACTAAGACATATGAGGAAGTAGGTAAACACTGCTTCAGGCTTCTCTACCACATTGTAGAGTGTGTGCAAACTGAGTCCTCTCCCCACGTTTGCAGGAGCCACAATTTGTTCTCAGGCTCACACATACCCATACGTCATAGATCCTGAGAGCGTAAGGCAGGAATGATGGCAGACGGCCAGAATTTTTTAAGTCTCAGATTTGACATTATAAAAATAATAATTTCTTCTCATTTGTATACTAGCTATACTAGCAAGAAAAGACTCTGAAATTAGAAAATATATGAAAATGTATATTTAAACAATAATTGAGATAACAAATTATGTGATTCTTTTTATTCAATACTGACCTGTGAAGCTTAGTCCAGGCCTCTTCATATCTTTTTTTTTTTTTTTTTTTTTTTTGAGACAGAGTTTTGCTCTTGCTGTCCAGGCTGGAGTGCAGTGGCGTGAACTCGGCTCACCGCAACCTCCGCCTACTGGGTTCAAGCGATTCTCCTGCCTCAGCCTCCCGAGTAGCTGGGATTACAGGCATGTGCCACCATGCCCGGCTAATTTTTTAAATATTTTTTTAGTAGAGATGGGGTTTCCCCATGTTGGTCAGGCTGGTCTCGAGCTCCTGATCTCAGATGATTCACCCGCCTCGGCCTCCAAAAGTGCTGGGATTACAGGCATGAGCTACCGCACCCGGCTGCCTCTCTATATCTTAAATGCACCAATAAAGTCTTGATCAACAGAAGAGGATCTTATTTGCCACTCATGAAAAATTTTTCAGGAAAAGGCAATTCTTATGATGACGTAATTTAGATGAAAGATTTTGCTGATGTTGCAAAGTTTAGGTCCCATACGAAACATTCATTCAACACACTTTTTTTAAGTACTAACAGCACAGTAGGAGCTGTTGCATGTAATTGGGAATAAGTAGAGTTCCAAACCTCAAATCATGCACAGTTTATTAAAACACATGAACTATCATTTATGCCTTGATGAAAAAATCTACACAAAACAGTGAAAGGCACAAAACAAAGGTTTAGTTCTTCTCACAGCCAAGTGATATAAGTGAAACCATAAATTCTCTGTAATATTATTCTTTGATATACTGTCTAGTGTTAAATTTATAGTGATCTTGATATGATGCTTGGAGTTCATCAAGGAAAAGCCATTCATTTATCTTTTTTTTATTAAGCTAAAAAGGATTCTTGGTCACTACATTTTCTCCCTAATATATAGAATAATTTTCTTGTAGACAGAATCACTCCTTCAATTTTTTACATCTTTGTTTACCGCCTGTATTGCTACAAGAAACAATAGAAGTGAATCACTTTATAAGTAAATATACTTTCTGCTATATACCTCGGTGATAGAGTAAATGGATTCAGTCTTTGTGAAAGACAGTTTAGAACAGGTGTCAAAAGTTTTATCAATGTGAAGAGATTTTACTGAAAGATTGCTGTTCTAGGATTTTATGCCAAAGGTATAGTTGGAACCAAAATGGTAGACAATTCATGCTTGAGGGGCCAAACTCCTCGAAAGAAGAACAATGCTGAGCAGCGAGCTTGTGCTCTGCTGTGTGCCTCTCTACACAGAGGTATGTTGTAATCTCTAATGTAATTCCTGAACATATGGTTAAAAAACATACAACCACAAGCCATATAATGATAATCAATGAACTAAGCCAAAATGAACCAAAAGAGGAAACAACAGCAAAAAACCCATCAAACATTATATAAAAATAAAAAGCATAGCAAAATGATAGATATAGTTTTTTTTTTCAACAAACCATGTTGGAACCATAGACTATGCTTACATGTGGTAGCAGGTGGATGAACAACCTATCCCACAACATTCATTTCCTTTAAATGGATAAGAACCTAAATGTAAATGTAAAACCTTAAATTATAAGACTTCTATAAGACAAATGCTGTGACCTTGGGGCACACAAATTTTCTTAGAATGCATAAATTATAGACATTAAAAGAAACATAAATTAAAAACGTCTGCACTTTTAAAGATTAAAAAAATAAAAAGAGAGGACATGCCACGAGCTAAAATAAAACATTTGTATTATCCAGAATATATAGAAAACTTGTACTGTTCAGTAATAAGAAGAAAAAAATTAAAATGAGAAAAATATTTTAAAAGACATATTAGAAGAGAGATATATGAATGGTCAATAGGGACATGAAAAGATACATTATTAGCTATTAAGAAAATACAAATCAATTAGGAAAAAAGTATAGCGCTAAATGCATGTAATTGAGCAAACACTGAAAATAAATTCACTATTTACGTGACTGTAGGACCTTGGCAAAAACAATAAAAATTGCCCCAAAAATGCTTGAGAAATGGATTATGAAATATAACAGCTAAAAGCAATCCATCAGGTCAAAGATAGACAAATGTTTGATGTCTGATTAAGAGAAAAAGGGGCTGGTGCAAATAGACAGCATGGGACAGAGGCGCCATTAATGACGCCTAACAGCTCTAAGTGAACAATTATTCTAGGCTGGACACTCTTCTGTGTACCTGATGCATATTAACTCATTGAATCCTTAAAAAATCCTACAAGGTCATATTGTTATGACTTACATATTAAAACTGAGGAAAAAGAGAAAACTCAGAAGAGGTGGAGGTTGGAGCAAAGCCTCTGGTTCCAGTGCCTAAGATAGTAGCTACCACAGAGGAGATGAAAACACTTATGTGAGCATATAAAGTGCTATTATAGTAGAATGAACCATTTCAACAGGGTTTTCAAATATAGATTAAAATAGATATGTCGCTACTGAATCTCTAAGAGAATTATTTATAGATGATTGGGATAAAATTTAAAATGGAACATGAAATTCACATGGTAAAAATTTAGTTTGATGTATATGTCCAATTTTTGTGAATTCTTCCAAGCAATGAAGGGACTGGTACCACTACTGCTACTGCTACAAATACTACTAGTGTTGCTGCTGCTGCTATTACTATTATCACTGTTACTACTATCCTTGCCACTATTTCTATTACTACTACTGCTGTTACTACTACTATTACTGCTACTGCTACACCTGCTACTGCTATCCCCACTATTCCTACTACCATTGCTCCTACTGCCACTACTGTCTTCGCTATAATGACTACCACTATTATTACTGCTGCTATTGTTATTGTCAGTATCACTACTACTGCTACTACTGCAGATGTAACTGTTACTACTATCCCTACGACTACCACTACCACCATTATTACAGTAGTCCCTCTTATCTGCAGTTTTGCTTTCCTTGGTTTCAGTTACCAGTGGCCAACAAAGGCCCAACGGAAAGTCCAGAAATAAACAATTTATAAGTTATAAATTGCATGTTGAAATCTTATACTATCCAACCCTTCAGGGACCTGCACCATCCCTTTGTACAGCAAATCCACACTGTCTACTCTGCCTGACTGTTAGTCACTTAGTAGCCCTCTGTGTTATCAAATTGACTGCGGCAGAATCTCAGTGCTTGTGTTCAAGCAACCCTTATTTTATTTAATAATGACCCCAAAGGACAAGAATAATGATATGGTGGAAACGTGGATGTATCATAGGGAAGCCCTCAAGTGCTTTAAGTGGAAAGGCGAATGTCTTCAACTTAATGCGGAAATAAAAAAACTTATATGCTATGATTGCAAAGATCCATGGTAAGAATGAATCTGCTCTCTGTGAAATTGTGAGCAGTATATGGGTATAATTCTTCTGTTTTATTATTAGTTATTATTGTTGATCTTTTATTGTGCCTAATGTATAGATCATACTTTATCATAGTTATGTATGCATGGGAAATAAAACTCTCTGTAATGTATAGACAGTTTACTACTATGATCCATGATTTCGGGCATCCGCTGGGATCTAAAATGTATCCCCCATGGATATGTAGGACAGCTGTACTACTAATTAGTATAATAATTATAGAAATAGACAGGTTTTAGTGCACACTATGTGCCAGGCCCCAGACATATTAACCGATTTAATCCTACAGAATTTCTAGGAGGTAGACACTATAAGTTATTACAATTCTTTTAGAGCATGACAAACATAGAAATATGTTAATGGCTGCTATGGGTTACCAAAATGCAATTCTCCATTCAGGCACAAGGAAGACTACACAACCTAGCCATTTGACAAGTCACAAGTCTAGTTGCAACTAGTGGTCTGCAAGATGTGACATTTGGCTGGCATGGCCTCAGTCGGTGTGAGATCTTCATGCGGTCTCTTCTGCCCCAGTGACGGTGAAGTTCCCAAGTTCCAACACTGCGGCCAGAAATGGTGATTCATTGCACTAAAGTCCCTGAGTGATTTTGTGGAAGAGAGTCCCCAGTTTACTAGCTTTGTATCTAGACCATTGCCTAAAAATAGACCTTTGGTTAAAAACTGAGAGTTAGGTGTTTATTCATTACTTTAGCACAATCTCGTTTATCCCCACTAATACAAGCTGGCTTTTGTATCCGGATTTGCATCATGGGAAAGAAAGTGATTGAACAACTTATGAATATTAATACTAGAGTCCTGAAACAGCTCTAAAATTGAATCTAGCAGGTTCTTAAAAAGGATACTACATAGTGACAAAGTACTGTTAATTCCAGAGGCACAAGTAATTCAATATTAATAAGTTTGTTAATGTGAGGCAATATTTAATAGTTTACATCAAAAAAGCATTTCTTAGAACTCCATACCCTGCTGAGCACGGTGGTTCATGCCTGTAAGTCCAGTACTTTGGGAGGCCTAGGTGGGCAGATCACTTGAGGTCAGGAGTTTGAGACCAACCTGGCAAACATGGTGAAACCCTGTCTCTACTAAAAATAGAAAAATTAGCCAGGTGTGGTGGCAGGCACCTGTAATCTCAGTTACTCGGGAGGCTGAGGCAGGAGAATTGCTTGACCTCAATCATACCACTGCACTTCAGCCTGGGTGACAGAGTGAGGCTCCATCTCAAAAATTAAAAAAAAAAAAAAAAGAATTCATACCCATTTTTACATTTAGGAAACAATAAAAAACAATCCTTTTCACTAAGCACAAAGAATATTGATATAATAATGCTACATTAAAATATATCTAGCTTGCATCTCCTCCTTGAAGACCATTTAGCACAGATTAAAGACTTGAGTATGTAGTCTTGTGAGGTGCTGTGCTGCATATGAACAGAGAAGGAAAGTATCTATTCTCAGCTACAGGCATTAAACTGCACACCAAGTATCAATAGAAAAGCATACATTTCCACTAATCCTAAATTAATAAGAAAGAGTAATTTTACTTCAACTAAATTAGAAACAACATCTAATAAATTAATTAAAACCAGGTATATAAGTACGCTGTGTAGTAGTAATTTTGTAGTATTTCTTTTTTTATAAAACATGTTGATCACTTTTTATGTATCAGTTATTATGCTAGATGCTGGAGAGGTTTTTTTTTTTAAAAAAAAAAAGTCCTATTAAAAAAAGCTATAGACTTAGTTGGGAGATTGAAGCCCAAAAAACAAATTATAGTAGGATACTCGATTGGATGTATGTTGAAGGTGCCAAAAAGAACAGACTCAAGACAAAGTTTTTCCAGAAGGGAATCTTAAATGTGGCTTGAACAAAACATACAATCTAATTTCTTGGATTACCTCTGTCTGAAATGAGGTCTTCCAGCATCCTTGTACTAAAACAATGAGGGCTTCTTTTAAAAAACAGTTTCCCAAAGGAATTAGAGCTTGAATTGACATCCACAGAGAGATAAGTTGATCTCAGATTTTCTCAGTATAATTTTATTCTCCATGGTGTTTGGCTTTTGCAACAAGACTAGTCAATGACACAGAAGTCTAATTCATGTCAAATACCATCCGCCAATTTGAAAAGTGTCCAAGAGGAAGTTGAATAAGAAGTCAGGAAAAATGACAAGTTACTGTCTAGCACTTAAAATCTGTTTTTGTTTGTTTTTCACAAGTGTATATATAACTTTTGTCTGAAAATTTGTTGGTTTTTAATATGTAGAAACATATATAAAGCAAGAACAGGACAAACATTGGTTTCCATGTTATACTATGTTACGTGAAGACTCAGACACTGGGAATTACACAATATAATTTATTTGATTACTATTGTAATAATTTTCAAAAATTCATTAGGGTCCAAATTCTAAATCCTATAATAAAAACTTCTCCCTTACATTTACAGATGATTCATATGCAGTTGGTTCAAACTCTACATATGTGTGAATCTATTTCCTGGCAATAGAAAATATAATATATAGAGAAAAGTCATGTATTGTAGATGGATGACTTTAGAAGTATAGTCACACACTGCATAACAATGTTCTGGCCAATGATGGACCCCATATGTGACAGTGGTTTTATGAGACTATAATGGAGCAAAAACTTCCTGTTGCCTGATGATGTCATAACTGTCATGACAGAATGACATAATGCAACACATTTACTCGTGGTTGTGGTGATGCTAGTGGAAACAAACTTGCTGTACTCTCAGTCATATAAAAGTATAGCACATACAGTCATATGCAGTATGTAATACTTTTTGAAGACAATATTGAGAAGTTCTGTGGATATCAGATGACTCCAGGGAACCATAGGCATCTCAAAATCTTCCAGGAATACAATACTTACATAGTAACCAAGAAGCAAATTTAATATCATGGTATTTTTAGGATAAAGCATTAATATCATGGTATTTTTAGGATAAAACAATGAAAAACCCACTTGTTGATGGGGTTGTTTTTTTCTTGTAAATTTGTTTGAGTTCATTGTAGATTCTGGATATTAGCCCTTTGTCAGATCAGTAGATTGCAAAAATTTTCTCCCATTCTGTAGGTTGCCTGTTCACTCTGATGGTAGTTTCTTTTGCTGTGCAGAAGCTCCTTAGCTTAATTATATCCCATTTGTCAATTTTGGCTTTTGTTGCCATTGCTTTTGGTGTTTTAGACATGAAGTCCTTGCCCATGCCTATGTCCTGAATGGTATTGCCTAGGTTTTCTTCTAGGGTTTTTATGGTTTTAGGTCTAATGTTTAAGTCTTTAATCCATCTTGAATTAATTTTTGTATGAGGTGTAAGGAAGGGATCCAGTTTCAGCTTTCTACATATGACTAGCCAGTTTTTCCAGCACCATTTATTAAAGAGGAAATCCTTTCCCCATTTCTTGTTTTTGTCAGGTTTGTCAAAGATCAGATAGTTGTAGATATGTGGCATTATTTCTGAGGGCTCTGTTCTGTTCCATTGGTCTATATCTCTGTTTTGGTACCAGTACCATGCTGTTTTGGTTACTGTAGCCTTGTAGTATAGTTTGAAGTCAGGTAGCGTGATGACTCCAGCTTTATTCTTTTGGATTAGGATTGACTTGGCAATGCGGGCTCTTCTTTGGTTCCATATGAACTTTCAAGTAGTTTTTTCCAATTCTGTGAAGAAAGTCATTGGTAGCTTGATGGGGATGGCATTGAGTCTATAAATTACTTTGGGCAGTATGGCCATTTTCATGATGTTAATTCTTCCTACCCATGAGCACAGACACTTCTCAAAAGAAGACATTTATTCAGCCAAAAGACACATGAAAAAATGCTCATCATCACTGGCCATCAGAGAAATGCAAATCAAAACCACAATGAGATACCATCTCACACCAGTTAGAAAGGCAATCATTAAAAAGTCAGGAAACAACAGGTGCTGGAGAGGATGTGGAGAAAAAGGAACACTTTTACACTGTTGGTGGGACCGTAAACTAGTTCAACCATTGTGGAAGTCAGTGTGGCGATTCCTCAGGGATCTAGAACCAGAAATACCATTTGACCCAGCCATCCCATTACTGGGTATATACCCAAAGGATTATAAATCATGCTGCTATAAAGACACATGCACATATATGTTTATTGCGGCACTATTCACAATAGCAAAGACTTGGAACCAACCCAAACGTCCAACAATGATAGACTGGATTAAGAAAATGTGGCACATATACACCATGGAATACTATGCAGCCATAAAAAATGATGAGTTCATGTCCTTTGTAGGGACATGGATGAAGCTGGAAATCATCATTCTCAGTAAACTATCGCAAGGACAAAAAACCGAACACCGCATATTCTCACTCATAGGTGGGAATTGAACAATGAGAACACATGGATACAGGAAGGGGGAACATCACAGACCGGGGCCTGTTGTGGAGCGGGGGGAGGGGGGAGGGATAGCGTTAGGAGATGTACCTAATGTTAAATGATGAGTTAATGGGTGCAGCACACGAACATGGCACATGTATACATATGTAACAAACCTGCACGTTGTGCACATGTACCCTAAAACTTAAAGTATAATATAAAAAAAAAGAAAAAAAACAATGAAAAACCATTGTGGATGCATTTCTTGAGTTTCAGAATGTTAATTTAACTTTTCCCTTTGATACAAAATATTTGCATGGGATGAATAACTTAAGTTGTACTGTTTTGAATGTTTTCCTCACTTTATTTTAATGGCAGGTTTAATGCAGTAATAATGTATTTATGGCAGAATCATGTGAGGAAAACATGCTAGCAAATCACGAGTTATCTACAATGTTGTTATGAAGTGCATTATTACCTCCTCTGCAAGCACATTCATTTTAAAGAGCTTCACATTTCATTAAGATGATGAAGCGCATCATAAGCCATTTATTGGGAAATCATCAGCTATTAAAGAAAATTAAGTTCTATGAGTTGTTGACAAGTTATAACTATTTAATTGTCCTATCACTATAAAATTTATATTGTGCATAAAAATAGGTATGGATATTTTAATAAATCTTATGAATACATATGCAACTTTAGAGATAAATCTGTTTGCTGGGGTTGTTGTGTTAAATTATTAATGGTACAAATATATTGTAAATCACTGGTGATGTACTTTACATTGCTGGATGATCACTAGATCCATAGATTGCTAACAAAAGGGTGTGCAAGGGAAACTCATTGATATTGTATACCACCCTTAGCCCATTACCATTTTTTGGCAACCCTGATATGGGAGGTCTAAGGTTCCTAAAAAAATGTTAAAACCAAGGAGTGATTTGTTAAGTCACAATTTTGTATGACCAGTAGATCTGGTGACCAGGTTTGCAAACCATGGTCTGCAAAATTCTCTTTCTGTAATAAAATAATCTTTCAGGGACCTTAACGTTCTCTAAACATATATTTAATCTAGTTACTCTTTTAAAAACTTTAGTGCATAAAACCTGTTTTTTTCACATTGTTTTAATTTTCACTTAGAAAAGTGTCTTTTATCTCATTAACTTTGGCATCCACATGAAGGCATGCACTATCAGCAGGGCTCCTTCAGCTAGAAATGTTGATGGGATAGGCTGAGTGCTGTGATCCCAGCTGCCCTTCTGCTTATAGTTGGAAGCTCGATGCTAAAGGTGGTAGTACAGATAGAAAATAGAAGTGCATCTGAGCCTTTTCCATTTTGTGGAGTTGATATCGGAACCTGGACAGCCAACTTTCATACCTCTTTTATGTAAGAGAATGAATCCTTATGAAGGATAAACCTCTGAAGTCAGGTTTTTGTTATTGGGAGCTGAAAGTAAGTGCTCACTGCTAGAGAAAGGTCAGACCACTATATACATAAATTCTTATAAAATGTGATTATGACTGAGATAGATTAAAGATATTTTTTCAATTTGAAAAGAAAAGGGAGAGAAAAATTGGAAGCTAACCAAATAGGACTTTGTAAATCACTGGCATAATGCGGCCATAAGTCACTGAAATCATCAAACTAAAATATTGCCTTGCTGAACAAAGAACGTCATGACAAGAAAACCTTGAATAAGTATTCCTAAAAATCACTGTCTTCTGAATTTACAGAGTATAGTGCATTTGGCAGTTAGTTTCCCTATATTATATTGGGAGACTATATCTTTTCGAAGAAGTCTAACACATTATTAGTAGTAAGTCAAAATGTTACTTCATGAGAAATAAACATAGAAAGAGACTTTGGTATTCGAAATCATTTGAAACCATTCACTGTGTTAGCTGATAGTGCCATGAACTTTCATTTTCTTACCCAAACATTGTCTAATTATCATTCCTAGTAAGAGCCTCCAGCTCTGAACAACAGTCAAGAATGCACAAGGCGGTGTCTTAGCTTGTTCTTTGAAAACAAACAAATGAAAAACGTAAATGGTGACTTGATATTGCCCCAATTATCAAGAGTATATAGACTAAAGAAATGTTTTCTTTGAAATACTAAAGAAACAAACAATTTCTGTACATTCTCGAGCCTCTTTCATTTTGCTATTAAGGAAGACTGAAGGAAAGGTCAAGCCTCTATGACAGCAGATGGAATGAGAAATTCCACAAGTGAATGTCACGAACCAACTTTCACCCCCAGTTAAGCATGGAAAGGTAAATTACAAAACCACGAATGAGATAGCAAATTGAAAAATTCATAATCCACCCAGTATATTCATATTTCAGTCATTTTTGTATATTTATATCATTCTTACTTTAATAGTTTGTAGCAGTTTACAGCAAGCTGCCCCCAAACAATAACATTCATAAGGAATTTTTTAAAAGACGCATATTAAAATGAGAAAGGGAGAAAAAAATTAAGAAAGTTTCATGAAAGGGCATTTCTACATCTGAACACAAAAGCTGGCTCTGTCATAAGAGCAGTAAGATATTTAATTAATTTTTGTTTTTCTGGAGTGAACCCTCAAAATCAACTAATTGTTGGATTCAATTTTAAATATTTTAAAATAAAACTTATTTAAGAAGAAACTATTTAATGGGAGAAAATCTTCGCAAAGTATGCATCTGACAAAGATCTAATATCCGGAATCTATAAAGAACATAAACAAATTTACAAGCAAAAGAAAAAAAAAACCATTAAAAAGTGGGCAGGGTGGGGCGCGGTGGCTCACGCCTGTAATTCCAGCACTTTGGGAGGCCAAGGTGGGCGGATCACCTGAGGTTGGAAGTTCACGACCAGCCTGACCAACATGGAGAAACCCCATCGCTACTAAAAATACAAAAAAAAAAAAATGGCCAAGCGTGGTGGTGCATGCCTGTAATCCCAGCTACTCAGGAGGCTGAGGAGGCGGAGGTTGTGGTGAGCCAAGATGGTGCCGCTGCACTCCAGCCTGGGCAACAAGAGTGAGACTCCATTTCAAAAATAAATAAATAAATAAATAGGCAAAGGACATGAACAAACACTTCAAAAGAGGACGTTCATGTGGCCAACAAGCATATGAAAAAGTGCTCAACGTCACTAATCATTAGACAAATGCAAAATCACAATGAGATGCCAGCTCACACCAGTCAGAATTGCTGTTAATTAAGAAGACAAAAAATAACAGATACTGGTAAGGTTGTACAGAGAAGGGAATGTTTAAACACTGCTGGTCGAAATGTAAACAAGTTCAGCCATGGTGGAAAGCAGTTTGACGATTTCTCAAAGAACTTAAAAAATTAATCCAGCAATCCCATTATTGGGTATATATCTAAAGGAATAAATATAGTTCTGCCATAAAGACACATGCACACGTATATTCATCATAGTACTATTCACAATAGCAAACACATGGAATCAACCTAAATGCCCATCAATGGGGCACAAGCCTGCACATGAGCCCCTTGAACCTAAAGTTAAGTCGGAAAGAAAAAAACAAAAAACAAGGAGAATACAGAATTTATATATAAAAAAAGGGGGGGAATACAGAATTTATAAACAGTCAAAAGGATACTGAAAATGTGGAAAAACGCAATATTTGCAATCCACTCAATGGATAGGTTTAAGAGAAGATTGGACTAGCAGAAATTGGGATAATTGAACTAGAAACTAGTTGAATAAAAGTAATCAAATGTAATCACAGAGAGATTAAAAAAATGGAAGAATATAGCATATTATAAGATACATTCAGGACATGGTAAAAAAAGCCAACTGTGTATACATATATATAATTTATATATAAAATATAGTATATATATATTCTATATATTATATAATTATAAATAATGTATATATATTTAATATCTATACTATTATATGGATATAGTAAACATCTGTACATAATTCTAAAAGTTAAGAGGGAGGATGAGTACAAAGCAAAAATCGAAGTTATGATAATGAAAAACATCGACTTATACATTTACAAGCCTTGAAGAACTTTAGGAAAGATAAACACGATGAGACCAACACCTGAAAATATTATAGTAAAACACTAGCCATGCACAGTGGCTCACGCCTGTAACCCCAGCACTTTGGGAGGCCAAGGCAGGCAGATCACTTGAGGCCAGGAGTTCGAGACTAGCCTGGACAACATGGTGAAACCCCGTCTCTACTGAAAATACAAAAATTATTCAGGCTTGCTGGTACACGCCTGTAATCCCAGTCACTCAGGAGGCTGAGGCATGAGAATCGCTTGAACCCAGGAGGCGGACTTTGCAGTGAGCCAAGATCATGCCACTGCACCCAGCCTGGGTGACAGAGAGACTGTCTGTGTTTGGGATCACTGTAGCTGGGACACACACACACATAAAATTGTAGTAAAACATTCAAAATAAAAGACAAGTAGACATCTCCAAAGTAACCAGAGAATAAGAGACACATGATTTCCAAATGAAAAACCTAAAACCTTAAGACTGGCAGTAACTTCTCAGCAGAAATGATGGAAGCCAGAAACGATGGACTGACAATTTTTATAGTGCCAAGATTATGTCCCTACCACACAAACATGCGTGGGACTATTTAGAGAGGTTAGACAGGGGGTGAGGAGTGGGTGAACTAGCTGCCTGAGCTCCTCCATGGGTGCTGAAGAGAGTAGCTGTGTCAGAGATCTATCACAGAGAGAGTACTCATAAGAAATGATGCTTATTATCCAAATGATTAAAAATCAAAACTAATGCCCCCACATCTCTTACCTTTTTTCCTCTCTGTTTTGTTTCCTTTATGTTCCCCTTCTTTCTTCCCATGTATTTTGTCTTTACTAGTGGCATAACTTCTGAAGATGTGTCTCAGTTCAAAGTCAATGTAAGGTCTCTTCTTTGTATATAAGAAATACATATTTACATACATGGGTATATGACTTTGTTACTAACCAAACCATATAAAATAAGTAATATGTAAAATGCAAAAATATGAAATTTAAAACAACTTGATTCTTTTAAAGATAGATTCTTATCACTATAAATACAAAATAATAATTTTAAGCAAAATTCTACTAAAACAATTCATGGCATTTGAAATCTCCATTGCTCCTGGAGGTGGAATTCTTATGATGAAATGCACTAATGCTGCATAGTGTTCTCAAAGAGTTTGATATTTAATTTAATTCATAAAAAAGAAAGTGTTTATATATAAATACATTGAGGAACTGACAAAACATACATCAAAAAATAAAATGTACACATAGGGAAATATTAAGCAATAGCTCAGTCATTTGGAAATCTTTTTTTTTTTTCCAATTTTAGTTTATAATGATTTCACACAGACCATAGATATCATTGGTATTGATTCTGACAGGGTACTTAAAATCTAAACTGCATACCTGTTTGCATCTTTCTGTAGATGTTCAATCACTTGAATCAATTGGCTTGAAGTAAGCAACTTTGCTAGTTTGTGTTATTAATATGGGAAATGCAAAGCAATAATCAATACTAAGCCATTATTTCATTAATACAAAAATCTGCCAAAGAATAGAAAGCTGACATATCATTTTTTAGTCTAATAACAGAGTGAAGCATAATTTTCAATAATGGGTTAAATATGATAAAGTGTAGGTAAAATATAGGCCAATAATTTGGGATATAAACCCATCAATTTTCATTTAGAAAAAATAGAGAATATTTTTATTTTCTATATGATTTTACATAATTACATAAATGTAAGTTACATTCTTTGCTGGACATATGCCAATTTTCTAGGCTTACTTAGGTGCAGTAATATTACAATATTCTCAATCATATTTACATTTTCTTTATTAATATATAATTTACTTTTTACAATTTAGTGTTGTATTAAAATGAAGACTTAAGTATTACTGTGCATTTTCCCAGGAAATTTTACTTTTTCTATTGTTATGGAGGCCTAGAGCCAAATTAATATATGTGCCAGTGACAAAAAATTGATTTTAGAACAATTTCTAAATATTGAGACCATTCAATTATACAACATTGAGCCCATTCAATTATATTTTTGATTTACCAACATGTCTTGCTGATTTTTTAATGCAACATTTGTTTAATAGCCTAATGTAGCACTGCTTTAAGACTGTAAAAGCTAATGTGGCCCAGCTGCAGTGACCCCAAACACGTTACAGCCTTCCCCAAGAAGCTGCCTCTGAGGTTTTCTGCCACCATGGAAAGCACACTGGAGAATCTACTCCACCTTGGAGAAACGCAGAACAGACCTGCTCTCAAGACTGGGACACATACATATTCCTTTTTTGAGGAAGTCTACTTTATTTCTATTATTGTCTTTCATTCTGGTTTCCTTCACAAATACATAAGATAACAAAAAATAAACAAACAACAAAAACAAAACAAAATTCATTGCTTCCCAAATTCACAAAAAACTCAGCGCTATAATGGGCCTTGACGTGACTATTCGCGAAGTCTGTGAGTGCCAATTCCATTCAGCATTGTGAATTTTACTTTGCAAGTAACTGCTTGATAAACCCATATATGAAAAGGTGCTTTGCAAAAATATAAATGATAATACTACTCTAAATTTGAGATTATATGGAAATGTGTTTTTTATTATCTTGAGACTTAATTCACTTTTAAATCCACTTTGCCTAAAACTTTTAGGTAATGCATCTATAAAGTGAGACCTTTTGTGCTAAGCTTATTTTAGAACAATCAAGTTGCTTGGAAATATATGATCTGCAAAATATCTTTGTCAGAGCTGTAATTACTGTTTAGCATTATGCACTGTTTCTGTTAATTGGTCTCAAATTTTAAACAAATTGAAGATAATCACTGAAGAAGCTTGTATTTCAGGCAGTTACTGATAGTTGCATCTACTTAAGTAATAACTCAGATGACCCAGGGACAAACTCTTTCCATGCCTTTAAATAGTAATGCCTCTTTGGGGAAACAGTGTATCTGTCTCAGTAACTTCTTGTTTTTCTACAGAGAAAAATGTATGTAACATTGCAAACCAGATATAGGGTAAGTGATTGGACATTAATGCTGTAAATTTCATTAGAATTTCAATACCATAATAAAGGAAGGGAAGTAAAATTGTGTGCTGTGAATGCATAGAGATCATTTCTGCACAGAGAAATATTACCATTTCAGTAGAAAAGAAAAGAGGTGATCAGGCACATTTGACAGTAATTTCCACTTTTGTTCCTTCACAAAAGTTAATGTGGCAGATATTGTTAGGCAAACAATAAAAAACATCTGATTTTGAGAGCCTGGTATACAGACAGAGAAATAAACACATTACATAAGTCAATCATTTATTTAGCTCATTCATTCAGAGGCTGTTCAATGAAACTTGTGTAGGTGAAGAAAAAGTATAATGTGTTCCTAGATTAAGTAATTCTTTCAAATCTCGTTTCACACTAAAGTTAACAGAAGATGTTACAGAAAAATACGGTTTACTTTCTCATTGCTTGCTAAAAGTTCTGAGTGGAAGTTCAGGTAACCTCTATTCTTTTTTCACAATAGTAAGTGCAAAACAAGACTATTTTCTAGCTAAAATAAGGTTTTAGGATGTTGTATTGGTCTGCTCTCAGGCTGCTAATAAAGACATACCCAAGACTGATAAATTTATGTAGAAAAAGAGATTTAATGGACTCACAGTTCCACATGGCTGGGGAGACCTCGCAATCATGGCAGAAGGCAAAAGAAGAGCAAAGGCACATATTACATGGCAGAAGGCAAAAGAAGAGCAAAGGCACATATTACGTGGTGGCAGGCAAGAGAGCCTGTGCAAAGCAACTGTCCTTTATAAGCCATCAGATTTCCTGAGACTTATTCAGTATCATGAGAACAGCATGGTAAAAACCTGCCCCCATGATTCAGTTACCTCCTTCTAGGTCCCTCCCATGACATGTGGGGATTATGGAAGCTACAATTCAATATGAGATTTGGGTGGGAAAGTTAAACCATATCAAATACAGATATTCATAAAACTCCAAATAAGCATAACGTGTGATTGCTATGTTTGTGTAAGAAATGTATTTTACCTGCAAACATTAGATTCTTCATCAATTTTTAGTTAAGGTTGCTTTTCTGGAAGTGCTCAGCAATGTGATTATTCCCTTTAGGACAGGGACTGGTGTGACTGTCACCAGAGAAGAGGAAAAACATTATTTCAATACTTATATGCAGTAATTAGGGATGATTTTAGTACTAGTATTTGTGTCCTAGAAAAAAATGCTAGCATGTTTCAAAGGTATTGAAAGCAATCATTTAATAAATAAGAAATGTCAAGGTGCCAACAGTATAATTCAGGGTTGACAATCTGTTATTTCATGTTGTATACTGGAATTAGCATTTTTCCCATTGTAAAGGTCAATTTTATTGTTTTTTGGTAAATTATTTCAGTAAAGTTTTCATTCATATCACTTTTCCTCCTTTCATCATTTGAAATACTAATGGTCCCTGGGAGGCAGCCCCTCATGGTGCTGGGTGGGTCCTGCAACTGCTTTCTCTCAGTGGAAGCGATGTTGTCCACTTTGAGTCCAAGACAGTTAAGAAGTGAACATGTACCTTCTTCAGGCTTCCAACCACCACTGGCCATGTGCAGGCCTGAGGCGATGTTGAAGTTACAGGCTGGACAATCCCAGACCTCTGCATCCATGGGCAATAAAGCACCATGCCACCAGGACCCATCACATCACAGGATTTGGTGATTATGCATGTTTGGCTGTTATCAGATCACTTCCACCACCATCCCTTTACAAGCTTCTCTGTGTGTTGAAATGAAGAATCCCTTTCCCTGTCTGGTTCCGGGTTAGAATTTACCAAAGAGAATATGCACACAATTTGGAAGATGGTAGAGGAAGAGACACCATTAACCTCAGAGCCAGCTGAGGGCAGACCAGATGCGGGTTTACTGTGGCTTCCCAGTGAGCTCCTGGGAAGTCCCCACCTCACTACCACTGACTGGGACAGCTGATACGAGCCTCTCAGAGATTCCTGAAAACTTCTGAAGCTTCTTGTGAGCCTGAGAAACACCCAATTTGGTGCCTCACCAACTGAGATGCCAGTGACAGCTTCTCTGAGTGCAGGCGGCTCCTTTCATCTTCAGAAATCATGTAGGACACACTTATTCCCAAAATGCTTACAGTAGCCCCTGTTATCCAGATTGTCCTTGCAAAGCATGAATAAATTTACTTTTATTTTTTATTTATTTAATATTTTTGAGACAGAGTCTGGCTCTGTTGCCCAGGCTGGAACCTCCGCCTCCCAATTCCAAGTGATTCTCCTGTCTCAGCCTCCTGAGTGGCTGATATTGCAGGCCTGAGTCACCAGGCCCAGCTAATTTTTGTAATTTTAGTGGAGATACGGTTTCACCATGTTGCCCAGGCTGGTCTCAAACTCCTGACCTCAAGTGATTCACCCTCCTCAGCCTCCCAAAGTGCTGGGATTACAGGTGTGAGCCACTGCCCATGGCCAATAAATTTATATTTTGAGGTCCTGAAATTTTAGGTGTATTGGTTACCACCATTAGCATTAACCTAGTTAATAGATACCACAATATTAAAACATGTTTAATAAAAAATTTAATCAAAGCAAATGAAAATATTCAGCCTGATAACACTCACCACATTTGTTTTCTTTTGGCTACATTCTCTTTCAATTTTAAGCCTTAGGTAATGTATATTTGAATTTGAATATTTCTCCAAGCCATGTATTTAAACTTGCTCTACTAATGCAGATGATTTACTCTAAACCCAGATATTTAATTCATCTATATGTAATTTAAATTCTTAACACACACAATCCACTTACCTTACTTATGTTACACTTCTATTTTTGAATATTTATAAGATAAAGCACTATGCTAAATCTTAATACCTATGTGAAATTGCCCTCTTGAACAATCTAAATTAATTTAAAAGAAATTATAGGCTGGGCGCGGTGGCTCATGCCTGTAATCCCAGCACTTTGGGAGGCCGAGGCGGGTGGATCACGAGGTCAGGAGATCGAGACCATCCTGGCTAACACGGTGAAACCCCGTCTCTACTAAAAATACAAAAAATTAGCTGGGTGTGGTGGTGGGCACCTGTAGTCCCAGCTACTCAGGAGGCTGAGGCAGGAGAATGGTGTGAACCCGGGAGGCGGAGGTTGCAGTGAGCCGAGATCGTGCCACTGCACTCTAGCCTGGGCGACACAGCAAGACTCCGTCTCAAAAAAAAAAAAAAAAAAAAAAAAGAAAGAAATTATAAAGTTCTGTGACTCTCTCATGAAGTAGAAAAGTAGAGTAGAAAAGGATTCTCAATAAAATTTTCTCAAATCCCAGCTTTCTAATTCACATGCCAAAGGTAAGAGAAAGATCCAAAACTCATTTAACTTATAAAACTAATGGCTGCCACAGGCACCAAACTTCTTATACTACATGCATATTGAAAAAAATACAAACAAATTATGATTTGAGGAGGGAGGGAATATGTATGAGAGACAAGACTGTATAGATAGATAAAAATATTCAATTGGAATCATTTCAAATAAATAATAGAAGGTACCTCACCACCTGGATGCAAAATTAATTTGCAAGAATCAATAACTTATCTAAATATGAATAACAGTTAATAAATAACATTCCATTTTTAAGATAAACAAAAGAGGATAAAATATCTAGGAATAGGCTTTGCAAGACACAGAATATAGAGATAAAATTTTAAAGTGCTACTGAGGGAAATACCCAAGAGATGAATCAAAAATCCCAAATCTTATCCCTGTATCATAAAGTGGTCTACTTTATAGAAGCAATTTTCCTATAAATTAGCCAATAAACATATAACATGATTTTTGTACAGATTCTTAAAAAACTTATGAAAAACAAATGGTGTTGAATCTTCCTTCAAAACGGAAGGAAGATGTGCTTGAACTATAACAATTGATGTTAAACACATAATGGAAAGGATAATTTGAATTCCTCTTCTGGACAAGATAGAGTAAAAAGCAGTATCTTTATCCTCCTTCCTGTTTGCAACAGACAAAAAATTTAGACAAAATATGGAAAAACAAAATATACAAAACAGACATTGAGAAACCAAGAATATGATCCATTAGAGACAGAAAACAAATGAGGTGAAAAATGAGGTTTCCCCAGCTTCCTATCTGGGGAGAATTTTCAGGCTATGATGCAAGGATTGGAAACCAAGGGGAGCTTAACTAGCTGTGTTCAGGAGATGGATCCGGAAATCTGGGGAGACCAAGGCAACTAGAGTTCATAGGACAGAATGTTGAAGAGGAGAGAGCCAGATAAAGGGAGAGAGAGAGAAACTTGGAGCTATTCAGATGATCACCCTCCAGTATTGAGCAGAAATCGACTAGCACACACATGTGAAGGAGGTATCCAAGGCCCAGAAAAGAATCACATGAGATTATTAGAGAAAAATGTGCTTGGCCCTCACACTAGGGAGGGAGCAGTGTGCATTCCTAATACCTACAGCAGAAAACTTCGTAACTCACAAGGTCATTGGATAGAGTACCCAGGAAGATCTTGCCTCTGTATGTGGAATTATTAGCCCTGGGCTAAATACGGCTGTTGTCCTGCCTTCATATACTAAAAGCATGTATCAAAATGATCAAAAATAGCTTGCAAGTAATTTAACTGCATCCAGAACAAAACTCAAGAATATTTATAGGAGTGAACATGAGGGAACGTATTTCTAATCAGAAGTCAAAAGCCTTAAAGAAAAACACAGATGGACTCAACCACATTTAAAAAAAAATTGAGCAACAGATGAACATAAACACAGCTAAAAATAAACAACTGGATAAATATTTAGAGTCTATATAGCCAGAAAAAGGACGAGTGCTGCTTTCATTTGCTGATTCCACCCATTAGAATTCAGAAGAAAGAACCTGCAGTTTCTGGTGTCAGCTTTGCGATGTCCGGATACAACAGGACGACAAACGTGAAAAGACCTGGTTGATACGGATAAGACTAAAATAAGGCAGCAGGTACCTTGGGCAAGGTTGTCAGAGTGAACAGTTTTGAGGTTTCTCAGCTGGAAACAATGTTTATACATAAAGAATTTTTGCAAATGAGGAATTCTGCTTCCTGGCAGAACCAAGGAGAGTAGGAGCCAGTTTATTCTAGAGTAAACCTCTATAAACTATGGAAGGACAACTGGAGACATCTCCCCACTGTCCAGCATGTGATGGTCATGAATACTTGTGTGGGACTTCAGTCTGGGCTACAGAGCCCTTGCCAAGCCTGTGGCCTGGTGGAAGTGTACCGTCTGCCGTCTTCCGACCTTTGCCACCATCACTCATGACTGAGACGTCAGAGCTACTTTGCCGCAGGAAGTTGCCCAACATGTTCAAGTTGCTAATTTGTGTTTTTGTCTTAGCATTTCTTCTTTTTTGATTGTACTATCTATTAGCCTGTGTTTCAACAAGTAACACATAAAGTGAAAATTGCCTATGCTTTGTTATGCACTTTTGCACTTTTTAAATATACTTTAAGTTCTGGGATACATGTGCAGAACGTGCAGGTTTGTTACATAGGTATATACACGTGCCATGGTGGTTTGCTGCACCCATCAACCCATCATCTACATTAGGTATTTCTCCTAATGCTATCCCTCCCCTAGCTCCCTACCCACCAACGGGCCCTGGTGTGTGATGCTCCCCTCCCCGTGTCCATGTATTTTCATGTTCAGCTCCCACTTATGAGAGAGAACATGCGGTGTTTGGTTTTCCGTTCTTGTGTTAGTTTGCTGAGAATGATGATTTCCAGCTCCATCCATATCCCTGCAAAGGACATGAAGTCATGCACTTTAAAAGAATATTGTGAGTCTTTAATAATATCAGGAAAAGTACTTTAAACTATGTAAGTTGTCCTACAAAATATGAAAAAGAATAGATGCTAATAAATGCAAATAAACTATGGAGTTACAGAAATGATGGCATAAGAAAAATCAACTGTTCAACCTCACACGTTAGTGAAAGCACAACACTGCAGTTGAATTCCCTGGAATCCACACGAAGACAGACTGCCACATCAGCTAAAAGAGCTTCTAGTCCATGCATGAAAACTGCACAAATAAGGACAAATGAAAGGTCAAGCCTCAAGGCTTCCAGTGTTACAAGAAGCCAGTTGCAGATTCTTTCTTTCAGGTGGTAATAGTATAATTAAGGAAAATGACATAATTCAGTTTAAGTACTAAATTTATTAGTTATTAATGTTATTGGTTATTAAACTGATCCTCACAAGCATTTTACCTTCATAATATGAATATCTTCAATAACAAAGCAGTGTGTCATCCTTAATTCTACAGTAATAAGTACTATGTTAATACTAGATCATTCCAACCTCCTGGATTGATAATGACTGAATATTAATCTGAGAGAAATACTCTTCTTTTTAAATTATACTTTAAGTTTTAGGGTGCACGTGCACAACGTGCAGGTTTGTTACGTATGTATACATGCGCCATGTTGGTGTGCTGCACCCATTAATTCGTCAGTTACATTAGGTATATTTCCTAATGATTTCTCTCCCCCCTCCCCTCCACCACATGACAGGCCCCAGTGTGTGATGTTCCCCTTCCTGTGTCCAAGTGTTCTCATTGTTCAATTCCCACCTATGAGTGAGAACATGCGGTGTTTGCTTTTTATCCTTGCAACAGTTTGCTGAGAATGATGGTTTCCAGCTTCATCCATGTCCCTACAAAAGACATGAACTCGTCATTTTTTATGGCTGCATAGTATCCCATGGTGTATATGTGCCACATTTTCTTAATCCAGTCTATTACTGATGGACATTTGGGTTGGTTCCAAGTCTTTGCTATTGTGAATAGTGCCGCAGTAAACATATATGTGCATGTGTCTTTATAGCAGCATGATTTATAATCCTTTGGGTATATACCCAGTAATGGGATGGCTGGGTCAAATGGTATTTCTAGTTCTAGATCCTTGAGGAATCACCACACTTTCTTCCACAGTGGTTGGACTAGTTTACGGTCCCACCAACAGTGTAAAAGTGTTCCTTTTTCTCCACATCCTCTCCAGCACCTGTTATTTCCTGACCTTTTAATGATCACCATTCTAACTAGTGTGAGATGGTATCTCATTGTGGTTTTGATTTGCATTTACCTGATGGCCAGTGATGATGAGCGTTTTTTCATGTGTCTGTTGGCTGCATGAATGTCTTCTTTTGAGAAGTGTCTGTTCATATCCTTTGCCCACTTTTTGATGGGGTTGTTTGTTTTTTTCTTGTAAATTTGTTTGAGTTCATTGTAGATTCTGGATATTAGCCCTTTGTCAGATGAGTAGATTGCAAAAATTTTCTCCCATTCTGTAGATTGCCTGTTCACTCTGATGGTAGTTTCTTTTGCTGTGCAGAAGCTCTTGAGTTTAATTAGATCCCATTTGTCAATTTTGGCTTTTGCTGCCATTGCTTTTGGTGTTTTAGACATGAAGTCCTTATCCATGCCTATGTCCTGAATGGTAATGCCTAGGTTTTCTTCTAGGGTTTTTATGGTTTTAGGTCTAATGTTTAAGTCTTTAATCCATCTTGAATCAATTTTTGTATAAAGTGTAAGGAAGGGATCCAGTTTCAGCTTTCTACATTTGGCTAGCCAGTTTTCCCAGCACCATTTATTAAATGGGGAATCCTTTCCCCATTCCTTGTTTTTGTCAGGTTTGTCAAAGATCAGATGGTTGTAGATGTGTGGTATTATTTCTGAGGGCTCTGTTCTGTTCCATTGGTCTATATCTCTGTTTTGGTACCAGTACCATGCTGTTTTGGTTACTATAGCCTTGTAGTATAGTTTGAAGTCAGGTAGCGTGATGCCTCCAGCTTTGTTCTTTTGGCTTAGGATTGTCTTGGCAATGTGGGCCCCTTTTTGGTTCCATATGAACTTTCAAGTAGTTTTTTCCAATTCTGTGAAGAAAGTCATTGGTAGCTTGATGGGGATGGCATTGAATCTGTAAATTACCTTGGGCAGTATGGTCATTTTCACAATATTGATTCTTCCTATCCATGAGCATGGAATGTTCTTCCATTTGTTTGTGTCCTCTTTTATTTCACTGAGCAGTGGTTTGTAGTTCTCCTTGAAGAGGTCCTTCACATCCCTTGTAAGTTGGATTCCTAGGTATTTTATTCTCTTTGAAGCAATTGTGAAAGGGAGTTCACTCATGATTTGGCTCTAATCTGAGAGAAATATTATGGAACAAATCACTTGCTTCTGGGCAGAACTATTCTTACAGCAGAACCTGGTAGCATGGTTCCATGATTCTTGATGGCTTTTGTCTTATATGTGGGTCTTCTTTTCCTCTTTTTGACTCATCCCTCCTCCTGGTATCTCAAGAGTTTAAAACTTCAGGCAGAAGAAGGGGGATTGAAAGAGCTTCATACAATACATTCTACCTGACAACTTTCAGAGAAAACACAAATCCAAATATATTCAGGTATTTTGTTTAATGTGGCAGAGCACTAGCCTCTGTGAAAATGGCCAATTATTGTGCTTTTTCTGATTAGCAAAGAATGCAAAAGAAATGGGAAAGTTCTAGGAAAAATTACTTTCTCAAGTTGAGAATCGCTATCTAATTAAGTGGAAAGGATTCAATAAGTCTTATGGGTTAATACATATTGAAAGAGAAGGCAAAATGGTCTTTTTACTTTACCACACTGACATAGGGTGTAGGAACACATGAACAAAATGGAGGGAAATATGCAGAAATTAAATGTATTATATTGGGAGGTTAATGAGAGTAGTGTAAACTTTTTGTCTTCTGAAATGATCAATTTTATTTTAAAAAATAAATCCATATACTAAGTATCATATTTTTCTATTTTCCAAAAGTAATATTAGTGTAAGATCTTACATAAGCCATCACATATAATATTCAAGTTCATAATTATATAAACACAGAAAACAATGATTTAAATAATGTGATTTTAAAGACCAGACATGTGTCAGGAAGACAGCCAAATATTCCCCAGATCCTTCCACCACTCTACCGAAAAATGCAACTGACATCAGCCACACCAGCCCACCACTTTAGCCTGAGCACTGCCTTTCCTCAAAGGGGATGGCTGTGTTGCTAACTCTTACGGTGTTCTGAATGTTGAACAATGTTTATGTAAAGCCCTTTGCAGAGTGGCAGAAAAATTACTAAAGAACTTTGGACAATCATAATTATTTCGCCTTTAGAAACTGTTAATAACTGGATAAACCATCTATCTGAGAATTTCAGATATAGTTAATTTCTTTATGATCTAATTTAGCAACTGTCTGACTGCATTCTTGGCATACACACGCTTTGTGGAGAACGGAAAATATTTTTGAAACTTGGAAACATTTCTATATTTTTGAGTTCATTTCTAAACGCTGGCTTCCACTGAATTCATGGAAATAAAACATGACAATAAGATGCGATTCTAAATAGAAGAAAAAAATGTTATGAGAAGTGACAAAATACACAGGTCACCTATTATCCAATATGATTCGTCAAAACTTCCACATCAATAAGAATGCAATTCTATTCTGCCAGTCACAGAAGTGGTTATACCAAGGTTTATTTTGCTGACCTTTCTGAAAATTTAACGTGATATTATTGCCTAAGCATGAGTTATTTACTAGATCATATCCCATTTTGTCTTCTAAGCAACGTTCACCTATGAGACTAAAAGGATGTCTGATGTCTGCCTCAGATAGATTTTTACTGAGGAAAGGCTAAACATGTTCTCATCCTATGGTGTTTAGAATCCATGAAGCAACCACAGAGAAGCAAGGAAAGGCATTGCAAGCCCAACACCTATTCCATCAGATAAAAAGCAGCACCATAGAGCTTGGCTTTGCCCACAGCCATCCCAGCATGGAAATAACTCAGATCTACCACTTAATGAAATAGCAACCCAGGGAAGAATAGTATCTGGTATCAAGCAAGGAGCCACCAACCCCCAGAAGTTCAAGGAAATGACAGGCCATTTCCTGGTACTGGACTTTCAAAGAAAGGCTTAGAGAAAGAGATGGAACATGAACTTGAAGGATGAGGAAGTTGACTATGTCCAGGAAAGGTGGAAACAAAATTTAGTGAGATGGGGGTGGGGAAAATTAAAGATTGTCAACTAAGAGGATATATGCGTAAGCTGTCTGCATACCCTGACTCATTTCATCGTCTCAGCAGCATTACGAAACAGAAACTATTAAATGTCATCCCCTCGGGAAAGAAAGTTTAGTTTACTATCTTGTCCCAGGACACACCGCTGGTGACTGGTCCAGACCTTGCATCTGTAGGAAAAAGTAGCCTAGGATCACATAAATGCCATCCACAGTTTTCAAGGATAGGCAGTTGTGGGAGTGGAGATTAGAGCCTGGAATTGTTGAAATAGAGGCTTCACATCAAACCTGATGAGGTCAGAGAACAAACAGTGGAAAGGGAATGACCAAAAACTGTATGATAACTATAAAAAATTAATCCACAATTTAATAAGCTGCTCATTTTTTAAATGCAATTCAGCTGTGTTTCATATTGCATTCATACACAAGCTGAGAACTCAGCGCCATGCATGGCAGTATCAGTCCAAAAAAATTGGGGAAGATAAAGCAACAGGATGGGGTAAAGAATGCTGGAGCTGGGACAGTCAATTGAGGATTAATGACGAGGTAAAATTGGGATAATATGGCTGGTTAACTGCCTTCCTCTCAGCTCATTCAAGAGAATTAATATCATCAAGGTGAGCCGAGTATCCCATTAACTCCATTTTTATTAGAGAATTTCTCTCCCAGCAGTGAAACAGAATCATCAGTGAGAAGTGTTTCTAACCATTATTCTGCATACGTAGTTTATTTATTTACCCCAGATGACTCTATCTTGGGGTGGAACTCCAAATTAATAGGGCAGTCTAAGCAAAATTTTTCTGGCAAAGGCAGAAGTGTAAAAGAGATTTTACACATTTAGCTTCATTCCAAGTTTGATTAGAAATTGGCGCTCCTACTTTCTCGTAGATAATTGCTCCCTGGAACACATAATTTGGTTTTGTTCAGTGAGTTCATGTTTTTTAAGTTACACTGATAGGAATTTGGTCTCCAACTTCTAAAAGGGTGGCATTTAGAATTACATTTTCCTCTTTGCTTTGTAATGCATTCGATATTTATTTATTTCCTTTCCACGATTATGCCCAAATTGAAGGGGCCTTCCTGAGTCTACAGAGACAAAACGGCTTTCCTGGAATATAGTCCAAAAAGCTTTTTTTTTTTTTTTTTTTTTTATAGGGAGGGGCAAATACTGTTCTCCCGCCCTCATGCTGGCTGTGTGATGATTGTGCTCCTTTCCTGAGACAGGCCCTTCATCATCGTCAGCGTGGCCAGCAAGATCCCTAGCTCAGTGCCCAGTCTACAAAAGGAGTGAAGGAACCAGCTCACTCTTCCTTGAGCCTGCCTCCATCCAAGGCTCATACCTTATCCACACGGCGCAGTTCAGTTTCTTGTGTATGGCCCTGAGGCTTAGGGGGTTGACTTAATATTATAGTAAGTGTTTCCTTACTGGGTTTCTTCTTTGTGGGTTGACAACTCTAGATCTTCTCCAAGTTTCCATGAAGAGGAGAAGATTCAGGAATTAAAGAGCTCCCTATCAGCATCCTGCACTTCTCTTTCCCACCCTCAGAGCATCCACTCACTGAAACTCACTCACTTTCCCAACCTCAGGGCATCCACTCACCCTCAGAGCATCAAATCACAAAAATTAATTATTTGTAATCTATTACAAGAGCAGAGGCTAATGATGCTGTCTCCTGCTTGAGCATCTCTTCTAGGACCAAGGAACCTATAAATCTACAATAAAACCAGAAGCTGAAAGAAATCCTTATGGATATTTTCAGCCTAGTGCTCTGGGTCCTTTAGTTTCAGGTGGCCCAGGAGATCATGTAGTTTTGTTTTTGTTTTTACTATAGACACTTAAGCCTTTAATTTATATTATTAGAATTGAAAAGAGGAAAGTAAAGAAATAAAATGCCGAGTAAGGCTTTTACATATCATCCAGAGTGAACCAATATTTTATATTCTGGTAACTTTGTTTGAAAACAGAGTTTGAATTAACTATTCACTCTTTTTCATAGAAAAGTAGTGAAACTGAAAGGCTGATAGCTTATCAGAACTTCACCTTGCTGCCTCAGCACATTTTTATCTTATGTATGATGTTCACATATTTCTCATCTTCTCAGAATTGCTTTCAATGTGTTGTAGAAGAATATCTGATAAGAAAGGTTTAAATTTATAATATGACACCAGCTAAGCTTGAGTGAGGCCACAATGAATCTGACTTGCTTTAACTTTGCTGAGAGTCTTCAGCCAATATCCCATTTGTGAGCCATGATTCAATAGTTTAAAATTACTCCTATTGAGTGAGTTTTTAATCATTTGTTATAACAGCTCTAACAGAATAAGCTGTGAGAAATATTGGTGTACTATGACATTTTTAATATCTCTAGGGGACTTATCTAAAAGGCATCCATAGTTAGATATAATTAATTATTTGATTAAACTAAATGTGAAAATAATTTCCTGTTCTTGATATGTTAGGGAGAGGAGAAAAGAAACTGTCACAAAAATGAAGTGAAATTGAGTCTCCATTTCTATGTTTAGAAAGCTGATTTTGACCACCCTTTTTTGTTCAGTTACCAAGATTGAGCTGACAGAAATTCACTGCATTTACATGGTTTTATTTGTAGCAATCCTGTGAGCGGGGGAGCCTTTTTTTTTTTTTTTTTTGAGACAGAGTCTCGCTCTGTCACCCAGGCTTGATTGCAGTGGCGTGATCTCGGCTCACTGCAAGCTCTGCCTCCCGGGTTCACACCTGCCTCAGCCTCCCGAGTAGCTGGGATTACAGGCGCCTGCCAACACGCCCGGCTAATTTTATTTGTATTTTTAGTAGAGACGGGGTTTCACCGTGTTAGCCAGGATGGTCACGAGCTCCTGACCTCATGATCAGCCCGCCTCAGCCTCCCAGAGTGCTGGGATTACAGGCGTAGAGCAGGGGAACTTTTTTGTATTGGATACACAGCTGATGTAATCTACTGTTACTGCAATAATTATTAAGAAAAAATCATAAATTGTAACACATTTCCAAAAATTATTTGTAATCTATTACTTCTACAGATGATTTTATCAATAAGTAATTACATAATTTAAAGTGGTTACAAGTAAAATAAATTAATTTGAATCAATTGACTATCTCCTTAGTCCCAGAAGAAGTTACTATTGATGGTGAATGCTAATTCTCATCTCAAAAGAATACAGGTATATTTGTTCCTAAAGCAGGCCAGTTCATTCTGTTGGCATATGTCATCTTTTAGTAGGATAATCAGGAAAAATATCAAGGATGTCATACTATTAAATTATTGTTAAGGTAATTCAAAGACATTCATGCATCAATTCAAACAACTTGGAGAAAAACAGATTAAAAGGTCCATGTTTGTTTACTAGATCATCATTGCACTGACAAAAAACAAGAATGAATTTAGTCAAGCATCTTAAGTAGGGTCATAATTTTTTGTTATGAAAAGAAAAGTAGAACTTAGATATTGCCCCTACCAGTGCAAGGAAAGAGAAGATTTAGGTTTGCAGAAAAGTTCTGTATGTGGACCTTTTTGGAGAGTTAAAAATAATGATAATAAACAAACAAAAACAAGGGAGCATTGATACTTTTAATAATGTCCTTCTACATCTCCACATATACTAAATTTCTACATAAGGTAATATATCTACACATACTAAAAGATAAATATAAAAATAAATGAGCACTTACAAATTCTTCTGAACTAATTACAGATCTCTGATGTTGTTTAAGGCCTAGCTACGATCAACAGTAAGACAATTAATTATATATACCTAAATGTAAATATAACATGGAGTTTTGGCATTGATTGAGCTGTTATGTAAACTGTCAGCTCTTACAAGGTTACCAATGAAATTGTCAAAGTTTGAACTCACAGGGTTGTAAGTCCTGCAAGAAAGTTCATAGTCCTTGCAGAAATTCATGAATAATGGCTTTGCTTTAATTCAATTCTTTTTTTCTTTCTTTCTTTCTTTTTTTTTTTAAATTGTACTTTAAGTTCTAGAGTACATGTACACAACGTGCAGGTTTGATACACAGGTGTACATGTCCCATGTTGGTTTGCTGCACCCATCAACTCGTCATTTACATTCAATTCTTAACATATTAACTTATTAATCTTTCCAGTCTCAGTTCCAATTGTGACTCTACCAGGTTGGCACTTTTGTTATTTGAAGAAGCAAGACTGAAAGTCTCTGTGCTTTTGAATTGATAGCAAAACCTGAACTACTACTAACATATGACTGTGAGTTAAAGCAAAACTACAGGAAAGCAGAACATGCCAATATTTTAAGCCTTAATTTTTCTAGACCAAAGTACTTTCAAGAGTTCTGAATTCTTACTTATACTTTTTAGAGCAAAAAAATCTGATTTTTCCCATGCTTTTAACCAAAACACATGAATCAATATAAGAAAAGTCATTCCAATTAATTATTACTTTTAAAATGTTTGCCCTTTTGGCAATAACATGCATAACCCAACTCTTATTGATTCAAAATATATTTCAAATTTGTGTTATAAGTTTTTTAAAAATAATCTGAATATAGTTCCTGTTGGATAAAATTAAAAGTGATTTAATAGTTCAAGATCAACAAAGTTTTATGTTGGGGGGGTGGGTTAATTAATTTTAAAACTTTAAAGATACTAAAGAAGAAAAATAGGAATGCAAGGAATGTCGCCCTGCCAAAAAAGGGAAAAGTAATTTCCTAAAAGAAAATTAAAGTATAATAAAATATTGTGTTTTTTACAATGTAATTTGTTTTTCCAGGGAATAGAGACTTTTTGTAGGAAGAAACTAATTTGGCTATAAAATGATTGGAATACAATATTAACATTTACAAATCTATTCCCTTCCTCTTACGTGCATGCCCCAATTCCGTAATGAAATGCTCATTGCTTTGGGTATGGAAGCCTAGTTCTTCTCTGGGTACATCTCATGGTCAGATTTTACCATCACTCATCTATTCATCATAGTCTTATTGTTAGGTTTTCTGCCTCTGATTGGTTCTAACTGGTTCATCATTTTACTAAATGACCACTGCAATTTATTTCACTCTAATTATCATACCAATGATTGTACTATTTTGGGAAAAGTAATTTATCATATCTATTCTAGAAAGCACACAAAATTCATGAGGAATAAAACAGGTTTGAAGATAGATGTGCCAATTGTGAAAGTCATATGTGGACTTTGTCTTAATTCTCCAGGGAAAGGAAGAGTAATGTATATATGGGATCAAATAAATCATATATTCATGTATTGCCATATATTTGTTAATCCTTAGAATTTACTTTGAAAACCCTAAAATGAATACAGGCTCTCAAAACATACTGCCACATGTTTCTGCTCTCTTTGAGCATTTCTTTTAGTGATTCCTTTTTTCATTCTACCTCTGTTTTTTGTTTGTTTTTACTGTACTTGAATTTTTAAAAAGCCCTATGTCATTTTTTTGCCACTTTTTTTGTTGTTGTTTGTTTTTTTTGTTTGTTTGTTTGTTTGTTTTGTAGAGACAGATTCTTACTCTGTCGCCCAGCCTGGAGTGCAGTGGTGTGATCGCAGCTCACTGCAGCCTTGACCTGCTGGGCTCAGGCAATTCTCTCACGTCAGTCTCCCAGTTAGGTATAGACATGTGCATATTATGCTAAACTGGTTTTTATTGTCTTTTTTATAGAGACAGGTCTCACTATGTTGCCCATGCTGGTCTTGAAGTGCTGGCCTCAAGCAATCCTCCTGTCTCAGCCACCCAAAACTCTGGGATTACAGGAGAAAGCTACTATGTCTGGCCTTGATTTTCCTTAATGAAGCAAAATTTCTAGTTAGCAAGGGTGCATGATGAGCATTTAAAAATTTTCCTCTTCATTCCATTTTTAATAAAAATTCACATCTATTTGAATTACTTATGTAGGCAGATGTCTACTCAAAACTACTTTTGGCTTTAATTTTATTTTAATTTTGCAATTTTAATAAGAATCCAAGTTTATTTTGATATACTTCTTTAATATTGACAAAGTAATTTAACAAAACCTTGTGAGTTTTGTTCATATTTGAGGCCAACAGTGGCTTTTCTTCAGAAATCTTGAAATAATTGAATATTCCATTCTGCTAAAAAAATAGAAGCAGTTTGCTCATATGTTAGCTCTGTGCTGAATTTCAGTGGAAAGGAATAGATGGATCAAGTAAATTGCGTTTCTGCATAAGGCGCTGATCTTGTTGCCTCCATCTTGAAACCTATGCCATCCTTAAATTGGCCACCCCCTAGTAGGATTCATCTGACTCCATGTGTCCAGTGCCTGACGTACTCAGATAAAAACTGTGGTTTCTCAGTTGGTTATTGGTGAGTCTGGGGTTTTTGCCCCAGCATCTCTGTGATAGAAAAATGGAGTGTTGGTTCAAGGTGACTTCCTTCTGCCACGTTGATCCACAAGATCCACAAGAACATCAGCAACTAAGGTAGATTTGGGAAGGAGGAAGATACATCCTGGGAACATTGCATAACACAGGAGTCAAGACATGTGGCCCTTCCATGAGATGAGTCCAGCTTTAGGTTAAAAACCTATTGTGATTCCTAAGGCCTCACTGTAGGCAATGAAAAAGGCTCCACCTGGCAAGGGGAAAGTGCTTTCTCTACGCCAGAGCTGGTGCACCACAGCCAAGCATGCATCCTCTGAAGGGAGCTACAGTCAAGGGCTCAGGCCCCTCCGGCCAGTCACGCTGTCTCATAAGTTTCTTTCTGAGCTTCAGTGCTTCATTGCTAGGTCTCTTTACCCGAGGCCGTCTGCAGAGGTGGTCTTCAAGGGCCTCTGCTGGGGCCTCCTTCCTTGAGGGCTCTTTCTCTCTTTCTGACCTTCTTCCTGACCTCAGACTTCAGGGACCATGAAACCACTAAAGCCTTTTGTTCAGGGCTTCCTCAAAAGTAAAATGACCCCACATCTGTGGTGTCTTGCCTGATCCTGGACATGAGGAGAGATGGAACATAGGAATCGGTGCTGTCTTGGTTTTAGACTTTTGCTTTACCATCACAGTAAGTGACTAAAGGCTTCACCCTTTCCTTTTTGGCTTATTGCTTTAACTGGCTTCTCTGACAGCTGGTGGCTGGGCTCTCTTGCAGCCCAGCTGAGCTCCTGACCCCCAGTTTTGTCCTAATCTCTTCCCCCTTGCTTCTCCTGCCTCTTGCATCTTGCTGCATGTTTAAAATTCATTTAGTGTACCATGTGTTTCACTTTGCTTCCTGTAACCAGTGGCCCTTCTGTTCCATGGCCCGTGGGGTAGGCTGACTGTTACACATGCAGGTCACCATTGCATCAGAGAAATTTTTACACTCTGTTCAAAATTAGGAGAGGGAGCTTCTTCATTCCTGGGTTGCAAATACCTGAAGAAGAAAAAAAAAGCTACATGGGAGAAAAGATGAAAGGTAAATAGGCAACCGGTTGCTACAAATTAGCTAATTAGCTAATTAAAACTCTCAAGCTTCTAGAAGAAAACAGGAGATAATTGATTTTATCTCAGGGCAAGCAAGAGTTTCTTAGATGTACCACAAGCATAAACCATAAGACAACACTGATAAATTTGACTTCATTAAATTGGGAGAAAATATTTGTAAATCATAAAGAATGGTGACAACTCAACAAATAAAATAACAGTAAATTTAAAAATGGACAAAAGATTACAAATATGTTTCATTAAAGAAGACAGTAGAATAACTAATACATCCATAAAAAGATATTCAATATCATTAGTCATTAGGTAAATGCAAATTAAAAACATAATAAGATACCATTTAACACATACACAATGGAGTGTCCATAATCAAAATGATGGACAATAGCAAGAATTGGTGAGAATGTAGAAACACCAGATTTGGCTGGTGGGGATATAAAATGGCACTTTGGAAATAATTTTATACCTTCTCAAGACATGAAACATACACTTAACAGGTGACTCAACAGTTCTGTAGATGTCTACCCAATAGAAATGAAAACTTATGTCTACACAAAGGTTTGTGCATGAATGTTCTTAACAGTCTTATTTATAATAGCCAAAACATGTTTATCCACTGGTAAATGGATAAACAATAGGTATACCCATATATTGAAATGTTACCCGTTAATAAATACACTCCTGATAAATGCAATGACTTGAAGAAGCATCAAGAAAACAATGCTTAATGAAAGAAGGCACACACAAACTACTTACTGTATGGGTTCATTTATATGAAATGTCTAGAAAAAGCATAAAAACATATATAGAGACAGAAACAAGATTCACAGTTGCCTGGAGTGAAGATTAGACATGGAGATTCACTACAAAATAGGCAGAAGAAATATTTTTGGGTTGAAGGACCTGCTCTAAAACTTAATTGTGGTGATGATGATATGATTATATAAATTTTCTAAAAATCCTTGGATGACACATTTTCACTGGGTAGAGTTTTGGCATGTGAATTAGAACTCAATAAAGTTGTTAAAAATCATAGCTTAAATATAACCACAGAAAGTTAATTGTTTGATAGCGGGGATTCTGTCTTTATCACCATTGTATTCTGAAAGCAGTGCATTCTAATGGGAAAATGGAAGCATCAGATTCATCATTAGGCTTCTGCTCAAATTACATCATTCATTTCTCCAGGGATTCAGTCAGCTACTATTTTTGAGCTTGTTCTTTGTGCCAGGCATTGTGAGCAGAGTTCTGGAAATGTGGCAGTGGAGCAGAGAAACTTAGTCACTGCCTTTATATGGCTAACATTCCAGTGGGAAAGATAGAAAACTTTAAATTAAAACATTAACCACTGGAGAAAAGTATGTCGAAGAAAAGAAAATGTCCTTTTTTAAAATAGTCATAGGAATCTCATTTTTAAATAGGTGAACAGTAGATTCCTCACTAGAGAGGTGATTTTTGGACAGAGACCTGTTTGCAAAGAGAGAGATGTGGATTTATCTGTTTATTTATTTATGTATTGGAATTTAGGATGATAACAATTTCAAATAATCTAAATATTCCCGCTCCTATTATTTTATAGTCCTTTCATATATACATACACACACATATTAATTGGAAAAATGCTATCTTGGCTGAGAGAAGCAAGGATGTTTTGTTTTGTTTCGTTTTGAGATGGAGTCTCACTCTGTTGCCAGGCTGGGGTGCAGCGGCGAGATCTCCACTCCCTGTAACCTCCGTCTCCTGGGTTCAAGGGATTCTCCTGCCTCAGCCTTCTGAGTAGCTGGGACCTACAGGTGCACACCACCATGCCCGGCTAATTTTTATATTTTTAGTAGAGACAGGGTTTCACCTGTCTCTACTAAACATCTACTAAATCTCTACTGACCTGTTGGCCAGACTGGTCTCGATCTCTTGACCTCGTGATCCACCCACCTCAGCCTCCCACAGTGCTGGGATTACAGGCGTGAGCCACCACACCGGCCAGTTTTAAAAATACATCCCCTGTGCATGTGAGCAGTGTTTCTGGACATGGGGCTGGTACTCCCCTCTCCTGTAGACTCACCTAGTCCTGTGCGAACAAATGAGAGAAGAGGAATGTGATTTGCACCCCAAGTTACCCTTGGTCTCACAGGAGGTCCTAAAGCCTAGACCAGGCTGCACACAACTACTTCGAGTACCCAGGATGGAGTTTGTGGAAGTCACCTGGGCTCACAGAGGATGAAACTGCCCACCAGATGTCAACCTTGGTTTAGCATTGGAGCAGAACTTGCTCTACCAAGATCACAGAGACCCTTTTAGGAGGCAGGAGTCCAGGGTGGCTTTTGGGATCCACCTCTTCCTGAAGGCTGGGGCACTTTGGGGCATGAATATCAACTCAGAACTGAGTTAGTTAAATGAACTGTAGCTCTTGCTGATAATTCACTCCCACATGAGAATGGGAGTTCACCCACACGATTTAGTTTTCCCATTGATAAGAGAAAATGAGGCCTTGCCAGAGAAATGCATGTTCCATACCAATGCAGTCGGCTTTGTGTTTGTGCATATCTTTCCAGGTGAAGGGATGTATTTAAACTTACAGTAAAATCTACAAAAAGACAAATGCTGATGTAAAAAAATAAACTACCAGCTTCTGTGTTCCTTTATCCCTAGTTGTCAAATGTGGTTGGGCTCAGCTCTTATTTTCAGGTAAAGAAGTGACTGCAGCCTGATTTTTTGGATTTTCTCAGTTCAGAGGAAGCCACTGCTGTTTGTTTCACTGTCTTTCCTTTTGAGCTTTTCCTGACAACAAATATTAACAGAATATCTATCTATCTATCTATCTATCTATCTATCTATCTATCTATCTGTCATCTATCATCTATCTATATTTAATCTCATAAAACACAATCTGCATTTGCACAATTGAATATTTTGGTTCTCACATATTGCTGACAGAATTTTATTAAATTTAAAGGCCAAATATTTTAACATGATCCCTATAGCAGTAATGCAGTCTTACAAATTAGACCATTCTCAATAAATTTATTAAGAATTATAAAGCTTGAATTTATTATTATTATTATCTGAGATGGAGTTTCACTCTGTCGCCCAGGCTAGAGTGTAGTGATGCAATCTCAGCTCACTGCAACTTCCACCTCTCGGGTTCAAATGATTCTCCAGCCTCAGCTTCCTGAGTAGCTAGGATTTCAGATGCCTGACACCATGCCCAGATAATTTTTGTATTTTTAGTAGAGAAGGGGTTTCACCATGCTGGCCAGGCTGGTCTCAAACTCCTGACCTCAAGTGATCTACCCTCCTCAGCCTGTCAAAGTGCTGGGAGTACAGGCGTGAGCCACCGCACCCGGCTGACTTTATAATTCTTAATAGATGTATTGAGGCCCTCTCCAGAAACAGATGCCCCCACCATACTTCCTGTATAGCCTGCAGAACTATGAGTGAAATAAACCTGTTTTCTCTATAAAAAAATAAGTATAAAGTTAATCATTTATTTTATTATTATAATTAGTGATAATTCATAAAATGAATGTCTTTGGATTTTCATTCTGTAGATACTATGTAATAAAGAAATTGTTCAATTAAGAGGCTTTTGAACTAACATGATAATATAGGTTGATGGCGTAAGGCAAAGATCATTTTCTCCCCCAAACAATAAATCAAGTTTTGACTGAGCCTTTTGTTTGTATTTCTTAAGAATAAGGAGCCATTTTCTAGATGCTCACCTTTTTTTTTAATGCTTTTGGAAAGCTCAGATATCAATGAAATGGCTTTTATAATATAGTGGTTCATAAACCTATTTATGGAAGTCTTTAAGTATACCTCCCCAAGATGTAGCATGTAATATGGCCTGTAGGAGAAAGGTACTAAATGGACATTCTTTGGTAAGGAAATTTGCTCACAATATGAGCAAACATTTATTAAACAATGACTACATGCAGTGAATAGTTCTGTGTAGTTTTACACACGTTCCATGTCATTTACTCTCACAACAACCCAGTCAGGTAGTTGCCGTTATCATTTATGTCTTCTAGATGATGAATCAATGCCCAGAGATTTTAAATAACATGCCCAACACCACATAGGGAGGTCATGTTGCAGCAAGATGTGAAGCCAGTGCTTTATCCATTATTTTCAACCACCTCACAGTATGCTTATGGATGTTTGTCTGACCTGTTTTTAAACTTCACTGGAAGTGTCAAATATAGGAAAGTTTATACTTCAGAACCAGTCCTGATTCCACAGGTTGAATGAGGCATGGGTTTTGAATTTTAGAACTTTTCAATATCCTTCTAAAAGAACTTATTAGTAGCTCTTACTTCACTTTTTATCATTTATTCTGAGGATATTCCATTGGGGGTGGAGGAGGTTTTTCTGCTGGCAGCACGCCCACTACCATATCCTCATTGCACCACAGCACCTGCTGCACTGAGCCACTCAAAGGCCCTGCAGCTCAGTGGAAGCTATTGCCTTTTTAAGAAAAGGGCCCATCTGTTCCTCTAAAAAACTTAAAGTAGATAGCATACTTTAAATCATACGCCATATCCTCAAAATTGCTGGTTTTCCTTTTAATTATCTGCAGACATTTCTGGGTATATGTTCTTTATGCTTAAGTATATTTGAGTGATTGCAAATGAATTTTTTATCTGTGTGAAAGATTGTTAAAGTTTGGCCATATGGACAGCTGTAAACACAACTCAAACAGCATAAGTAAAGACTCTATAACCTTCCTCAGATAAAAGTAAATTTCCCTTTAATGACCCTGTAACTCATTATAAGCAGATGTATGAACTCTCTGTCAATAATGTATAAGTTTACATGTTTTAATTCTAAAAACTATAACTAGAATAACATCTGACCATAGACAAATGGCAAATTATTCAAATTTACTAATACTGTGTCTCACCATTGTCATTCCCTACGGTTAAGTATAAGAAACCATAATATATATATGTACAAAAATTAGGATTTAGGACTTCTTTCTACTATATCCACTTCTGCAAAAGGTAACTTCAGTATATTTAATAATAATAAAATCTTTATTTTGGTCAATTTCACCTTCCAGCTAGGAAAAATATAATCCCTCCACCCCTAAATTCTAGTTTGAGAAAGTCCAAAGGTTCCTAAACTCCTTTAAACTCTCAGAAACTTCCATTTTAATGGTCAAAATTGACTAAGTGTTCTTGCATTTTTGCCATCTCCAGATCTCCAGGCCTCACAAAGGTAACTAAGACTTGAGATTCAAGAACTTTTCTAATTTGGGCAAAAGATTCTACTTGAATAAAAAAAATAGAAGTATAACAGCATACTTGAATAAATATATTATGGGTCATTTACAGGAAAAGTTTATGTCATATATCCTACAGAAAAGACCAGTCCTGTCTTAATCATTTCAGCTTTGCAGGGTACCATTTTGATTACCCTTACCGTTGGGTATCCTTCTAGTCCTGTCTCTCACCAAGCCCTCCTCCCATATGCTGATTTCTCCATCTTCTCTCTGTGCTTTCCCCCAGGAACTTAAATTGCTTCTCCATATTTCAAGCTTTAAGTCATCAATTTGCTGACATAAACTTATTTATGTCTTAACTAGAAAGAAACTTCTTTTTCAATATACTCAACTTTATTCTAGGACAAACGAGATAATAGATTTTTGTTCGCTTTTCCTGCTTACCCTCAGGCATGAAATCAACAAGATGACACACTGATCTAAACATTTATATACCTAATTAAAGAGCTTTAGGAGGGAAAAGTAGAAATACTCATAATTATACTTAGAGACGTGTTAATACCTGTCCCCAAAAATTGATGGAACAGGTAGACAGAAAATCAGTAAAGAAAGAAAATACTTCATCAAATCAACAACTATCAAGTTTGATCTAATTGACATTTCCAGAGCACTCCACACAACATTACCAATACACAGTCCTAGCGAAAAAAGAACATTCACCAATACAGACCATGTTGTAAATTATATAACAAGCCTCAATAAATTTGTAAGGATTTCAGTGATGCAAGATATGTTTTATGACCTGGATGAAATAAAATTGTAAAGCACTAACAGGAAAATATCTGAAAAATATCCTCAAACATTTGGAAACTAACTAAAGAATTTGTGAGTAACACATGGGGCCAAAAATAAACAAATCAAAAGGGAAATTAGAAATTATTTATACTGAAGAAGAATGAATACACAAGCTATCAAAATTTGTGAGCTACATCTAAAGCATTATATGTAGGAAATTATACACTAATAAACTGTTAGCAAAAAAAGGTATAAAATCTATGACTTTAGCTTCTACCTTAAGATACAAGAAAAAGAATATCAAATTAAGCCAAATTAAGCAGAAAAATATCTGTTGCGTGTATATTATATATTATATACGTGTATAATACATATACATAGACACACACAGCCGTATAAAGAATACTAGATCCAAGTGATGTTTAGGAAGAAGCATGCAAGGCAGAATTTCTGTCTCTAGTGTTCATTCTCCATGTACTTGTCTATCCTGTGCTATGGAACTTTATATTTAGATAGGAATTTCTAAAACATTTAATCAGCTCCTGGCACTCTACAAATGAAGCTGGACTTTAGGGGTTGAATGATTTGCTGATTGTCACAAGCTATTCTAATAATGTCATTTTCTAAAGGCAGGTAAGCATTGTCTGTCCTGCTCCAGTAGTCAGACTGGCCACCTTCACCCCCACAGGCATTAGTCCTTACTTCTTAAATAACAGCCACTAGACTTGTTCTGATGTTCTTTTATGTTGCCTTTACTAAACCATGTGTATCTCCTGGGAATCTTGAGCTTCTGATACTACCTCATAGTTTCTGAGTTCTTTTCTTGTTATATGGTTTTATGCATGTTGTTTTATTTCATGTATATTGAACACAGGGGAGTCGGGGGAGTCAACTGTTGATAGGTAAATGCTGATAACCAAAGTGATATTTTCACAAAGTTCCTATAGTTGTAAGTTTTAGGGTATTGGCTAGGGCCTAGGTCTTCATCAGACTCCCATCAATGAAACTCAGAATAATATTAAGAAATACAATTTAATAATGATAAAGTCAATCAGGGAAAATTACTCAAGTTATTTAGTGTATGCCTCAAAAACAATGATAAGAACTCCCTATGAGTGTCCAAATGATGTTTGATAGGGAGGAGAGCTATTTCATATGACACAATGTAAGTGATAAAATTGAAGAATATCTCCACATTAGAGCCTCGTAAGAGTTCAGTGTTTTTTCTCAATTTTGCTTTTATGTTGGAGCTGGAAGTTTTCTTCTTGTAACACGATATATACTCAGAGCAAAGACAGAAAGATCTTCTTGAGCCCCATATGTCCCATGATATTCTTAAGATGAGGCAAATCTGTTTAGGGAATAAATGGCTATACCACTGCAGGAACACTCACATGCAGTAGAAGCTACATGGAAAACTCACTATATTATTGCATTTCTTTACTCTCCACAACCTTTCTTTCAGATTTTTAAACTACCCCATTGGCTTTAGTTGTCAGAGGAATAGAATATAAGTGAAAATGTTATACGTATAATTTATTTTGTTTTTATTCCTAGATGGGTATATACACAGACTGTATATTCTGTACTTATAGAATAAATGATATAAAGTAAAAAAAATTTCTGTGACTACTTTATGTATGCCTTGACAGAAAGGTATTTGAAAATATTACCATGTTAAGAAGATTTATCTGTATCTGTTTTCTATACTGTGCTATGGAATTTTATATTTAGATAGGAATTTCTAAAATATTTAGAATATAAATGTCAAAAATATAAGATATTATCAAAAAGATAATATATTATTAAAATTGAGGAATTTAAATTCTTTGAAGATATCAAAATAACCTTTCTATGTCTTTTGGGAAGAGAAGGAAGAAGGTATCTGATAGATGTTTCTGCCAGAATATGTCCTGGTTAGCTTTGGAGGATGTTCTCCTTAAAGACAAGCAGTTCCTTAGACCTCTTTGGAAGAGCTGGAGATGGGAAGTTTTTCCTTTTCTTTCTTTTTATGAAATTTATACTCCTTTGTATCCTAGTACAAGTCCTTCAATGAAGCACTGTTTTTTCTAGATTACTCTGTAACACCTTTTATTATGTCAAAACTTTAGGATTCATATTTAGGCAATGTAAGTTTAATATTCTTTTTAGCATTTAATAGTATTTTATCTCAAAACAAAAAAGAGCTGCCCTTTTCTTTGTGTCTAAGCAAATCCTTTTTCATAAACTTATTCTCCATTACTTAGGAACCTTGATCGCTTTTCTTTCTGTAAAATGTCTGGTATTATTAGCTCCTTTCTCCACTGGGTTTTTCCACAAAGAATTTAAAATATTCTAGTATCTGTCATCTTAAAAATAAGAAAATGAAAAATCAATACCTTCTATTGGCTCCATGCTTGCTTCAAACTGCAGTTAAATCTCTTCTCAACTGGACAATGAAGATCTTGAATATGCTCACTGTCTTTTTTTTCTCTATCTCATTAATCTTTTAACCTACTGGTTTTTATTATCTGGAAATTCCATTAAAATAAGGTTACCATTAGCCTTGTTGAAATGACCTTTACTTTTTCTATTTGTAATTATCCAACAGCAGTTGATGATCATTGCTGAACAATTTCATCTATCTGAATAATGAATAAAGCATAAACTTAGATGTTAATAATAATCTACAAAGTTATTTTAGTCTTAACAGATCTATTTTAGTTAAATGTTTTATCAAATAAGTTATATTTTTGGAAATCCATATAATTAAATACAGATATTCACTTGATCTGTAAGTTTTAAATGGAAATTTTGCTAAAGGAAAAGAGATTTTCATCTAGTAAAAGGAAACGTGACAGCATGGTGGGAGTCTATGTTTCCATACATTTCATATATGTTATATTTTATGTAAAAAATACTAAGCAGTAAATTAAAAAAAAAAAACAGGCTAAGAAAACAAATTACTCTCAGTACAGCTGCCCTGTGATTACCAAAGAAAATCTTTATGATTATAGACAGAGTGTCAAAAATACATTTTGTAGTAAACTGTTGTTAATATTTTTCTTTGGATAGATTACTTTTCTGATATCACATCAGCTCATAGTGCATATAGAAGACAATATTACAAAAACTTTTTATACTTGACTGAATTTCATCTTAAAACTTTTAAAGAAAACCATCTTATTCTGTAGTTTTAGGTCTTACATTTAAGTCTGTAATCCATCATGAGTTAATTTATGCCTATGATTAGAGATATTTGTCTAGTTTCATTCTTCTAAATATGGTTATCCAATTTTCTCAATATCGTTTATTGAAAAGGGCATCCTTTCCCCAGTGTATTTTTTAATCAACTTCGTTGAAAATCAATTCGTTGTAGATATGTGGTTTTATTTCTGAGTTCTTTATTCTATTCCTTTGATCTATGTTTCTGTTTTTATACCAATACCATGCTGTTTTAGTGACTATGGTTCTGTAGTATAATTTGAGTCAGACAATATGATGCCTCCAGCTTTTTACTCTTCTGGACATTGGCCTAGGCAAATAGTTTGTGACTAAGACCTTAAAGCAAATGCAACAAAACAAAAATAGACAAATGAGGCTTAATTCAACTAAAAACTTTTTGCATTGGAAAAGAATCAACAGAGTTAAAAGACAGCTTACAGAATGGATGGGAAAAAGTATTTGCAAACTATGCATCCAAAACAGGACTAATATCCAGAATCTATGAGAAACTCAAACAACTCAACAAAGAAAAAACAAATACCTTCATTAAAAAGCAAGCAAAGGACATGAACAGACATTTCTCATTTTCAGGCATACAAGTAGCCAGCAAACGTGGAAAAATTCTCAATATCACTAATCATCAGAGAAATACAATTTAAAACCACAATGAGACACCAACTTACACAAATCAGAATAGCTATAAAGAAAAATTCAAAAAACAACAGATATTGGCAATGATGCAGAGAAAAGGGAATGCTTACATTGTTGGTAGAAATGTACATTATTACAGCCACTATAAAAAACCCTCAAAGGACTAAAAGTAGGACTACCATTTGATCCAGCATTCTCACCCCAAGGAAAATAAATCGTTATATCAAAAAGACACTTGCATTTGTATGCTTATCATGGCACTATTCACGATAGTAAAGCCATGGAATCAACTTGTGCCCATTAATGGTTGATTGGATAAAAAATATAATTTTATATACATATAATATATAACATATATATATATAGTGTGTGTGTGTTTATGATGGAACACTACACAACCATAAAAAGAATGAAATCACATCTTTTGCAGCAAGATGGATGGAGCTGAGGCCATTATTCTAAGTGAAATAACTGGGAAGCAGAAAATCAAAGACCACTTGTTCTCACATATAAGTTTAAGCTAAACAATGGGTACACAGGGACATACAGAGAAGAACAACAGATACTATGGACTCCAAAATAGGGGAGGATGGGAAGGCAGGATGAGCGTTGACAAATTATCTATAGTGTACAGTGTTCACTATTCGGGTGATGGTACACCAAAAGCCAAGACTTCAACACTATGTAATACATGCTTGCAACAAAACTGCACTGGTACCCCCTGAATCTGATAAAATAAAATAAAAATAGAAAAGTCTTATTCTAGCATGATGGTACAAGTCTTTTAACTTTTTTCCATTTCATTTTAAGCTATTTCACCACTTAATGTATGGAAAAAAAGTTGACTCCGAATTTCATCTTCAATACTATAATTTTGATGGAAACTTGTTATTCATATGCTAAAAGAACTGTTATCATAATATAACTAATACAGATTTTCCTTATTAATAATTCATAAAAATATTTGAAGTATAAGCTGAGTTCCAGGTAGCAGCACAGAGGCAGATTTCAGCATATTTGTGTTATTTGCATAAATGTGATTTTACATGTAGTATTTGAGTATGCTCTGTATCCATGTGACTGTACACACTCAGATACAGAAGCAAAATTGTTAAGTACTCAAGGATTGTAAATTATATTTTCCAAAAGTGGGAGCAGCATTAACATAATTTCCACATCTACCGTATGACTTTGTCCCTCCATCCAGTAAAAGGTTGAATCATGTCACTTTCCTTTGAAACTGTGTGGGCTTTGGTTTCCTGAGACAAATAGAGTATGATGCAATCAATGCCTTGACTCGTGGATTAAGTCAGAAAAAGTCATGGAGCCTCTACTTGGTGATATTGAAAAGCTTTCTTCCCAGAGGTCCCCTTTCAACATGCTCTTATGCTGTTACAAGCCCAAACCATGCTGACAGACAACAACTGGATACTTGGATAAAAACTTTAGTTGCATCAGCCTTCAGATTGTCCCAGTCCAGGTGTTCCATTTCCCAGTCACGGACATCTGAGATGTCATGGGACAGAGAAGTGTCATCTGCTGTGGACTTCCTGAGTTCCTGAGCCCTGCAATACCCGAGAATATCAAATTAGTATTTTATGCAGCAAAATTTGGGGTTGTTTATTATATAGGAAAGCTAATTAGAAGAGCAAGTAGATTAAATAGGACCTAATTTTCACTATTGTAAATTACTGTGATACATTCATCTGTAAGCACACTACCGCACTATTGCAATGCAGACGTGTATGTTTGTTTATTTACATATTTATTTTTGGTAGATATGAAGGATTACATTGAGCTATGCAATTTTACTTTGAGTAGTACATATCATTTTGTTTTATCTTAATTTGTCTGGCATCATCCTGAATTTATGAAGATTAAACCTTTGACCTTAACTTTTTCAGAATCATGCATAAAGTATTGAGGTCATAAATTATGCTTAGTTTTCACTTCAAACAGCCATGCTCAGGAGAGTCAGAGCCTCGAAGATAAAATTTCTGAACACAAGAACTGTAACTGACAGTAACAAAAATAAGTCAGAGTGAAGAAAGAAGCAACAATAACAAAAAAATCTATGAAATTCCTTTTTAAAAAGCGGAAAGTTCATTATGATCCTGAAGTTTACATGGGATTTGGAACAACTACATTTTTATAGTTAGAACTTGGAGAATAGTTTTAAATTTCACACAAGAGAACATTGAAAGAAACGTTCAGACTCCTTTTCTCTATTAATCATAATGAGATTAATGATCACTTCTGTTCTAATTTTCCAATTATAACTTCAATATATTCATTGTGCTTGGTTATAATGTGTCAATTAAGCATTCATCATTCTCAAAATTTAAAAATAGTGTACTAAAACTTGAAGCAAATGGCACTTAAATAAACCTCAAAATCCTGTTGGTCCTTTCATAATAATACTGCCAAAAACATCCTCAATTTATTGCAAAATTATGCTACACAATGAACAACCATGCATGGCTTAGTCAAATGATCAAATGATGTCAAAAAGACTTGGATAGAAATAGTTGTTATCATTATATTCTGTGACTTCTTAAATTGACAGCAGAAACAAAAAATATAATAAATATTCTCACTCAAGGCAACAAAGTTGAAAAGAGTGATTCCTAGGTTGAAAAATGATATTGGCATTTAATATAATGGAAAAACATTATTCAATATTTGGGAAAGAGTGATAAATGAGCATGTGTTTAATGAATGCAGGTTAGAATAAAAGAGTACCAAAAAAGCAACAGTAGGATGTCTTGCCACGTGCAGTATCTCTGGCCAAGAGCTGAAGGGTTGGCCTGTGGTCAACAAGCATAGATTGCAAAGGACAGTACCAACTTAAAGTCCTGGTACTATCAGTTTAACTCTAGGCAAACATATTACACTATAAAATGGTTGTAAAGAGAATCTTATTGTCAACAGAACAACAATAAAAGTTTAAATCTCACTTCAGTAACACAGAAGCTTTATGATCAGGTATGTGTGGATTCACCACTCTTAGCTGCCGGGTTTTGTTTAACTTCTGGAAATGAGAATAGTAATTTAAAAACAATATCAAAAGCACCTGTTAACAGACATTAAATATAATAACCACTACCGTGAACATATATGGAAATATTGGGAATAAGATGGGCGTTTGTAGTATCCACTGGCCTGTCTCTAGCTGTGAGTGGGGAAGATGATCTAGCTATCAGCCATACCCTAGTAACATATACAGAGTACCTTCTGATAACACATACCAAGACTGGTCAGACATATCATATCTTGTTTTAGAATAATTAAAGAAAATGAAGAAACATAAGTTTCTGAGAAAGTACTGAGACCAACAAAAAGATAATATCCCTGAAAATAAACTCTTAAAGAGGACAGAAGTTTTTAAGAGCTGTTTGGTATTTTTAAAAGAACATATGCCACTCTGCAAAGACCAAAAGATGGGAAAGTAGACAAAAAAATTAGAAACGGAATTAAAAATAGAATTGTAAACTAAGAAAGTGGAATCATATTCTTGTTACATTTTATATTTTTGAAATTTGTGCCCAGCTTTTGCTTTGCTTTATGCTTTCTGGGCAAATTTCTGCCTGCTGTGCACTGCATCTGTATAACTGACAAGGGCTAGATAAAAATGCAACACCAGCTTGGCTGATGTCACATCTAACACATGATCACTAATGTCACGTGGGCCTGCCATGCTACCTGGCAATCATACTACACATCCTTTCTCTGATTACTTTCCTACTCTCCTGTGTGACAATTTCATACCTTACACTCTCAAACACGTTTTTCTTTTCTCATGCTAACTCTCAAAAGGCAACCATTCTTCCCTCATTAATAAAAAGAGAACTTTCACAGACACCCACTAGCAGTGATGCTCATTGTATTAGTCTCTTCTCTCACTGCCAGTAAAGACATACTCAACACTGGGTAATTACAAAGGAAAGAAATTTAATGGACTCACAGTTCTACATGGCTGGAAGGCCATACAATCATGGTGGAAGGCAAGGAGGAGCAAGTCACATCTTACATGGTGGCAGGCAAAACAGAGCTTCTGCAGTGGAATTCCCCTTTATAAAACCATCAGATGTCATGACATATTCACTATCATAAGAGCAGTATGGGGGAAACTGTCCCCATAATTCAATTATCTCCACCTGGCCCCACCCTTGACATGTGGGGATTATTACAATTCAAGGGGAATTTGGGTGGGTCACAGCCAAACCATATCACCCATCAACTGGCATCTGCACCCACACACTCTGACTTTCCACTAGAAAATATGAACTTTGCAGCTACTTTGAGATACTCTAATGCAGGTATCTCCACTGCTGCATTTGTCCTCATTCCCTGTTTTCTATTCCAGGGCAAAGCTTAACCAACTCTCTCCCCTTCCTTTCTTATATCAGCAACATTTCTTTTTCTACTGGATTATTCACATTATTCAACAAAAGTCACGTTCTATCTCCCATCTTAAATAATAATCCTTTCTTTATTCTACCTTCCCACCAACTATTGTCCCTTTGCTTTGTTTCCCACTATAACAAAATTTCTCCATATACTTTTCTGCACTTGCTTCATTGAATTCATATGTTCCTATTGACTTTTAAACCCTCTCCATAAAGGCCTTGCCCTAACCCTGTGCCAGGACTGCTCTCAAGTTCAGGATAACCTTCACACCATGAAATCTGAGAATCAATTCTCAATCCTTACACTATTTGGCAGCATTTGACATAGATGATCACTGCCTCATCCTTAGTACTCTTTTTTCACTTGGCCTTTGCTGTGGTTTGGCTCTGTGGCCTGACCAAAATGTGATCTTAAATTGCAATCCAAATTGTAGTTCCCAGGTGTTGAAAGAGGGGCCTGATGGGAGGTAATTGGATCATGGGATTGGTTTCCCCCATGCTGTTCTTGTGATAGTGAGTGAGTTCTCATGAGAACAGATGGTTTTATAAGTGTTTGGAAGTTCCTACTTCTTTTTTTTCCTGCCACTTTGTGAAGAAAGTGCCTGCTTCCCCTTCTGCCATGATTGTAAGTTCCCTGAGGCCTCCCCAGCCAGGTGAACTGTGAATCAGTTAAACTTCTTTTCTTTATAAATCATGCCATCTCAGGCAGTTCTTTATAGCAGTGTGACAACGAATTAATACAGCCTTGAAGACGTAATACTCCTGGTTTCCTTGTTAAGTTTATGTCGATGGTTTCTCCTTTTCTTTTCAATGTTTAATTTTGGAGTAACTTGAGGCTTAGTCTTTTGTTCTCTTTGCTTCTCTTTCAATAGCTCCTCCCTTGGTTTTCTCATTTTCATAACTTTAAATGCCATCTATTATGTGCTGATGATGTCCAACCTGTATCACTAGGTCACATCCCTCTCTCAAACTCCTAGAATTATATGAGTGATGTCCTGCTCAGTAGCCCCCTGAAAACATCTAATACACGTTTTACCTTTACTGTGTCAAAACAGCACTAGATCTTTCCTCATAGCTGCCTTCTTTTCCCCATTTATCCATCTTTCCATTTTCTCAGGTGAAATTCCTGGTATTCGTCATTGACCCACCTCTTTCTCTAGTGCGACACATCTCACCTGTTGGGAAACATTGTTAGGTAGCTCTACCTTTGAAATACGTCCTTGATTTGACCACCTCTGAGCATCTTCCCTACTATCATTTAGGTGCAAGACACTACAATTTTATACATAAATTACAGAAATAGTTTCTATAACACTTAATGACTTTTTTGTTTCCAAACTTGCCCCTCCAAGCATCTCTTTTCAACTCAGCAGCAAGAATGATGCTCCAAAGACATAGATGACATCCTGAAAAATCCTCCATTGTCTGCATTTTGCTCAGATTGGAGGCAAAATTCATGGCTGTAAGATCCCATTTCATCTGCTTGTTTCTAGTATTCACTAAACTAACTTCTTTTTAGTCTTTAAACTCTATTATATATGTTATATATTACATGTATAATATATATATATTTCACTTTAAAATGAAGATAGATTCCAAATATTACAAAAAGTTCTCATATGATAATTTCACTTTAAATCTCTGTTAAATAGTAGATTGCCTTCATAGAACTGATATTCTAATATTCTTTTTGAATATTCTATTAGAATATATATTAAATGATATATTAATAGAAAATTAAGCCCAATGTATACACTTTTTTTCTGGATTTATTATAGAGTAATAGTATAGTTTTAAAAACTTACTGAGATACATGGAAGTCTAGGATATTAAGATAAACATTCTCAGGTTATTTTGGTCAAAACTTTATAGGAGAATTTTATGAGCTGGCTGTGATCCATTGTTCAGGAACCTTCCATTTATTTAATGGTTATCAGAGGATCCATATATAGCCAGAAAATACCACTCAGTATAAAGTTAATTTTTATTTTCTGTTTATTATTTCACTCATCATTCTACAAAGGTTTGCTATACAAATCTTTATTTTATATGCTGTGTAAGACAAAGGTGAATGAAGTTCATCTTTGAAGACTGCTCAATCCTGAAGCACAGATGACAAATACTCAGTCCTTAGCAGTTTCCAGCCTGTCTCATATTCTAATGGCTAATTAATAGCCACATCTCTCACTGATCCTGAATGGAAAATCAGAATCCTATTCAGCAATACAAGAACTCACAACGAACTGATCACATAGGCTGCTCCAGGAGGAACTTACTGGCAAGCCTTACCCCCATACTTTAGAAGAGGCCCACGGACTAAGGTGCCTTGTTACTATTAATTCACAGATCTAAATCTAAAGCAATAATTATAACACAAGTATTCTTTGTATATTAAAGAATATTTGGTAGGTCCTGTGAGTAGTAATCCTTTTTTTGACTATCTATTGTAACTGTAATATTTCTGGAGCCTCACAGCTGTCATATTTTACTATATTTTCAAAGTAAGAGCTCTTTTAGATACTTACTTTCTGAACTAAATGATTGTTCAGCTCTTCATTATTTACCTGCATTTGCCACCATTTGACTTGGGGAGGAAAACTCATATGCTACTTGATAACATGCATTAAATTCAATGTTCACCACGTGTGTCAGGAGTGATGGCGAAGTCAGACTTTGCTGCTGCCTAGGCCTGGCCAAGGCTGATCAACACAGATAAGAAATTCCTCCGCAGAGCCCTGTTTTAACCCCAGCTTTGCCCCCAAATTGCTGAACTGCCTTTATCATTAGAATTGTTTGCCATAAGCAATAGAAAGTTACTCGGCACAGTAGGACACCCACCCAGGTGACCATTAAATAGGGTAAGGCTGCTGCTACGTGCCTGTGGTTGCTGTTGCTAAATGAGACCTGGAGTGGGGACTGCTGTGTGCCCGCTCTTGTTGCCCTGCCTGACTTGAGGACCTGTGAGTAATCAAAACTGTTACACTTGCACATTGTGGTTGTGTCATTGAAGCTGTGCCTCCTGAAGCCACCCATGCAGCTGGATCCCCTGCTGTGCTCTTCTGTCTGGGCCTCTGGTAGCTGCTGGGACAGTAGTTATCACCTAAGGTAATAGAGAAACTTGAAGAGTTACACTCAAAACACCATCCACTCACCCACTTTTCTTTTGCCAGGAGGTTGCTGAATAAAATTTTCAGCCTTTTATCATGTTTGCTTAACAAAATTCAAAATCTCTGTAATTATTTATTATTCCATTATTTCATATCTGCATGGCTAAAAATTCCACTTTGTCATTTCTGGTATGTTTTTACCTATGGGCTCAAAATTGTGACTTCCTTGTTTTTTTTGTAAAGTTAAATAAAAATATTTTACTTTATGAAATGTGTATGAGATCACACAAGTGAAAATGTCAGGAACACTCACGAGCTTATTGATTTTTATTACTCTCGATAGCAATATACTGTAGATTTACTCCAACTAAACCACAGAAATAAATTATTATACATATTATGGCATCCTGCTTTGAACAATGAAAGAAAATACAGGAACATTATCATAAACAGTTTCATCTGAACCAAACATGAATCATTCATCTTTTTTATTTATCTGACTATTGAGAATTATTCCACAATATTTGGTTAAATATATCCATATCAAAAAGGAATCAAAACAAAACCCTGTCCATACTATGTTGCATATGTTTTATTTCAAAGCTTTGTTTTTATTTTGCATTTATGCTGGAAATTGATGACTTACGCTCCTTTTTCTTGAGTAGTAATAAATCTGCCCAATAAAGGGAGTGTGCATAATCATTTGGTCAATAGTAACTGGGCTGACATAGGTAGCCCCAAAAGAATATGATGTGAGCCATCAGGTCTACTTGTGAGAAAGAATATATGTGCGTGTGCACACAGATGTGCACATACACACAAGCCTTATCACAGAAGGATGTAATGACAGGCAGTGGTGTACAGCACACAAACAGTGGTCAATTCTTCCTGAGTATCATAAGAAACCAAGTAGGGTTCATGGAGAAGGAAACTCGAGTCCTGAAAATTTGGTAGCTGCTGCATGGAACAATTCCTGTAAGAGAGAACATTTTTCACAAAGACCCGAAGCACTACACTCTCAAGTGTGTTTAGAAAAAAAAAAAGGAAGAGTTTGTTATGACTGGTGCCTGTGGGTGGGTCATAGAAGCAAGGTCGATCTCAATAAGCAGAAAGGCTGGAGAAGTGGGACCTCCTGTGTAATATCAGGGGGCTATCAGTCAGAGAGCTTCTCCAGCGCTCTGAGTAGGGGAAGTCATGATTGTATTTATGTCCTACAAGGATTACTTTAGGAAAAAAGATGGAGGATTGATTACGTGCAATAGTAGAACCAGATAGTTGAAGGTGGAGACTCCTGCAATAACCCACAGAAAATTAGTGACCATGCTGTTTCCACAGGAATACAATAGTGGTGATAAAAGTGAGCTACATTAAATAATAGAATAATCATTAGAGTTATCGTGGGGCTAGAAACACTAGAGTTGTGGAGGAATGCTAGGACTTTGGTTACCAAAACAGAAATATTCATGAGATAAAGTCAGTATATAAAGAATGGAAATAGTGGGAAACAGTGAGATAAAATGACTAGAGGGCAAGTGTGCAGGTGGTCTCCAAGACTGCTCCAGGCTCACTTGTTTGCTAGGAAGACTTCACACAGAGTTAGTTGCATTCATGGCTAAGACATAGTACAGCAAAAAGGAAATAAAACAAAATCAGCAAGGGAAAGGCCCAGGATGCTAACCCTGGAGGAATCAGGCTCAAGCTTCCAAGAGTCATTCGGTGAAGCTGCACAGGACGCACCTAATTTCTCCAGCAATTAGTTGAGCAATGTGTGAGATGTGTTGTCCATCAGTGAAGCTCTGTAGAAACTCAGGGCCTCGAATTTCTACTAGAGGCTGGTAATGTAGACATTCTCTGCCTAACATGTACAAAACTCCAGACTCCCAGACAGAAAAGAATTGCTTGGCATAGAGCATATTGTTTTCACCCACACTCCAGGCACAATGATCTACTCTTATCATTTAAGAGAAGTTTTATATCTAGAGACTAATAGTTAGAATTACCAAAAAATCATTTAAAATGTTAGAATGCAAAACGATCAAGATGAGAAATGTTCCTAATAATTAGGCAATAAAAAAGCATCACACACGCACAAACATATTTTTAATGAAATAGGGAGGAAATACTCAGTACAATTATAGTTTCTCATTTCTGTAAGTGGGCACATAGTCATAGCTGGTCATTATGACTATGTTGTTCTTCCACTACCCATTCTGTATCCTTTTACCTTCAACAAGCATCTCAAAAGACCATGGTTCTCTATTTGGCAGGGTGACCCAACCTTCATTCCTGAAAGGTCTAGGCTATTTATATTCTTGTTTGCATTGGGTGGTTGTAATTTCCCATTGACCTTAATCACAGAGCATGGCAATACTAAGAGACACCCTAAGGGATTTCTTGTATTTAAGACATTCTTTTTCTTATCTCCATTGTGGAGCAGTAGTCCAGTTTCCCCAAGGTAGTCCTGACCAATCACTGCAAATATTTTACCAATAAGTTCAGAGTAGTTGCTACTTCACATTCACTAGGTCCAGTAAATGTAATGTCATCACTCTGTGCAACGGACCCATGCGATATACTGTGGAAGAAAAAGATGCTCAAGATCCTTTAATCTTGAACTAGATTGTGACATAGAGCTGGAGAATTGATATATTTCTGAGGTTTGACATATTCTGAGGATGGTGGAGGGATATGGCTGGCCTTGCCAGCTGCAAGTGAACTGCTTCTGGTGGGCCTTATGGACAGGTATTTAAAAAATGCCAGCAAATTATCAGGTTACTTTGCTCAAGCAATCAAATGACATCTGGTACAGAAACTGTAATTGGAGTCATCACTTGGTTAAGCTTACAATAAACCACTGTTGTTCTCTAAGATCCATCTGTCTTCTGCATAGGCCAATAGGTGAGTTGGTATCTGGTTAAAAAAGAAGGAAAAAATGCATAGCTATAAATACTAAAATAGAAAATGTTTTTACTTATCCTTTCTTGTGCAGCAACTTTCTCTATTTGTTATGGCAGATTTTCTATTTGTTATTTAATGTCATTTTAAGTAACAAAAATTAAAATTTAAAATTGTTAGCAGGAATTTTACCATTCATTTTCATATTATTCAATGCCAGTTTTAAATGTGAATAAATTAAATAAATGCATTTAATTAATTTTCACAGTCAACTCATATTACCCAATTCATATTTGGCAGGTCATAAGTATATACATCTATATTTTGTACTTATCAGAACTGTGGAAACACTGCCCAAGACTAAACTTAGCTGTTTTTTGTTTGTTTTTACTTATTTATACGTGTACTTTTTATCAACGTTGTCTGCTGTTGGCTTACTGATGAGTAAGGAAGGATCAAAAGGGAATGAAACTGTAGATGCTTCCATCTTTATTTCCCTCATCTTTTATGTCATCATTTTCAGCATACGTAATTAATGAATAAAGGAAAATAACATGAGTCAAAAATAAGTTGGGACAAGTTTCCTTGATCAAATGTTTCTTAAAACACTGTCATCTTTCTGTGTTCAAAGCAAGTTCTAGTTGTGGTTCTAATGGAAGGCATCACCTCTCAGGCTGTCGGTGCACTGGTTACTAGCCATAGGTTTAATGTGCTTACCTTGCATTCACTTTGAATCTAGCTGAGCTACCAGCATCATGGGTCCACTGGCATTCTGTGCTCACTGACCACTGAGAAGGCTCTATGCAAATGTGATGGTAAGGAACTTCGAGCAGGCACCTTGCCCATTCTCCTTGGCTCAGTCATGTTCTTCATTGTCTCATCAAACTGTAGTTACAAAACATAAGCACAAACATAAAATTATTAAGAATTTCGAGACTGCAATAGTATAGCATCAAACCAAGTGTGGGGCTCTTCTGCAGGCTAAAGCGTGCCCAGTTGCACAGGTGGCACACCCATGAAACTGGTCCTGGATTTCGCAGGAAGAATACCCAGCACAGAATATAGCAACTTGGTCAACCCAGCCACTCATTTGGACAAATTATCCGTAATAAAAAGCAGTGAGCCCATCCTCTTGTATCTTCAAAGTTCACTTCTAACCGGAACACGTATACCTATGTATCAAACCTGAATGTTGTGCACATGTACCCTAGAACTTAAAGTATAATTTAAAAAACAAGAAAAAAAAGATCCTAGTGATTACTTACATCAGCTGCATCTGCTGATGAATCAAAAGCAAACTATTTTTCCTGAATGGGGGCTGAATTCTGCCAGTCCTCCAGCATATTCTGCCTATTTGCTTCAAAGAAAAATTTTCATAAACTCAGTTCTCAAACTTCATTCTTTCAGAAGCATTTTCTGAGTAAGGAGTAAGAAGTAAGAAGTCTCAAAGTAGATCCAACTCTCCTGGATTTAATTCTTCATAAGGCCTTTGATGTTCTTAAGGAAGCATAAAGTATTGATTGCATTCTATAGCTACTTATCTTACATGTGTCTTATAGTTCTAATTCAATGGTAAATGGAATACAAAACCAAAATATCTTTTTAATCTTGTGGATACTAATGCACTTAATATATCTCCTTATACGTAGGAAGAAACTGAATAATTCACTAGTGTACATCTGATTTTATTTCTTTTCATAGCCTGTAACTTTGCCTAAAGCCTCAAAGTTTCTAGATATTTCAAAAAATGAATCCGTTTCTTAGATAATTGTCACCAGTCACATAATTAAAACAAGAACATCAAAACAATCATTGGTATACTTGAAGCATATTAAAAACAAAATGTAAACAAATGAGAACATTGCCTTTATTCAAACCAGCATGCATCCCTGAAGCTTTCTCACCATGTTCTGGCTAGTCTTAAATTCTATGCTCATTCATTTCACTCACCAAAGTTGTGCCTCCATTGCTGGATATTCACACTCAGATTTGTCATCCTTACCTTGAGCTCAGTAAGACTGTATTCTTACAAAGACCTGTTTGCAAGCTTGGTTCTGGCTGGCATCTGGGAACTTGGCTATATTATAAGGAATTTCCTACACTGATATAAAACTTCTCTTAAATGATAAGAGTAGATCATTGTGCCTGGAGTGTGGGTGAAAATAATATGCTCTATGCCAAGCAACTCTTTTCTGTTGCTTGGGGCTGTTATGAGAATCATCAACCCTGCGTCTTTCAAGTCTTTAATGATGGCACCATTCTGTGCAATATTTCCAGGAAAATGCTGTGTTGTTTTGCATTTGCTATTTTCTTAGGTAGAGGCAGTGCTAATGGCTTCCTTTTGGCCTTTCCCACCATAATAGTCCCCATTTCACAGGTCAGGGAACAGGGAACTCTGCCAGCTTCCAGTGTCTATTCTGAGTATGCATCTGGAGCTGGGGAAATAACCACAGGTTGGGTTTGGGAACCCACTAGACCTATTGTGAGCTAAGTTGAAACTCCATGGATCTCCTGACCACCATAAACCCCTACTGTAACTGGAGGGTCACAGTGACATTTCAGTTCTCCTGGACTCAGTATCAGTTCAGAGTCAGTGTCCAGGAGTCCCCAAAAGGTCTGATTATTTTCTTTTACCTAATGCACAATTACTCTGGCAAAAGGCTGTAAGTCTCTTTGGGGAAGTATGGGAGAAAGTTGAACGGTATAAATTTTTGGTAGTACATCAGCATCCTTCCTGGAGAAGACCCAGCCACCCCTTCATTCAAGGGATCTGTAAACTTGCTTAAGTCTAGGAATGGACCAAGGGTCCATGTTTTCTTGTTTTTTGATTCATGTTGGATGATGTAAGAACTTAGTAGTCTTCCTGTCTGTTTCACTTCTAGGAGCAAAATGATTAACTAGCTAGTGCCAGGGATCCACATGGCTATTCTGATTGTTGCCATATCCACCTTGTCCACTTTGCCTTTAATTGTGAGTGCTGCTACTTGACCCCTGCCTCCCCAGGATCCACTTATTCCCATTTCATTTAAGTTTTCCAATTGAGTGACAGCAGTCCCTATTGTTGGGTCTGGTCTACAGAGAACACCAATCACAGATCTCTTCAGGGAGGCTGAGCCTCCCTTACAAATATATTTCTCAAAGTTTTATTGGTGGAAGACATGTCTTCTGGACCCTCCCAGATGGGGTGGGTAGGTTTAAAGCAATGAATTTACTCCAACATTCTAGTCTCCCTAGGCTTTTGAATCTCTTCGCCTACATAACCTAAGGGATATCAGACATCTTTAACTCACACACAGTGGGCCATCATTTAATTCGTGTTTTAGCCAACAAACCAATCAACTAATTAGCACGTTTCCTAAATCCCTGAGCTTCAACATTAAATACAGAATCTCTGCTTAGTGGCTCCATATTAATAAATTTGGCCTGATCCAAATTTTTGTTTATTTCACCATTATCCCATACCTTTAGTATCTGTTCCCACACATGTTCCCCAGATTTCCATTTGTATAAGTTAGAAAAGTTTAATTTTTATTTTAAGTTCAGGAGTACATGTGCAGGCTTGTTACATAGGCGAACCTGTGTCATGGGGGTTTCAAGAGTAGCCATTACCATTTTCTCAGGCAATGCGGAGTTAATCTTTTCAAACAAGGTGAAGAAGCAGTGGGGAGACCACTTCCACTGGGAAACAAGACCCTTCAAAATTTAGGAGCTCGATGTCCCCAGCCTCATCAGGGTCCTCCCACACATCCCATTCCAACATACAGGATCCTATTCTTCCTAAACAATGCCCTCACTTCCACGGTACACACCATGTGAGACTGAAAATTCAACTTTTGTTGTAATTCAGTCAAACATATGATGGGGGGATTGCATCTGACTTTCAGCAGTTTCAGCCCTGTGGTTACAGGAGAGAAGATTCTGACTCAGGTAGCACTGAGAAGTTCTTAGGCTATTTATACAGAGCTGCAGCCAGGAAATCACATCCCCGAGCTCATCTTTTTCATTCATTACCTTTTCCAACAACATTAGATGCAACCAACCATCATCATTATATTCCTTAGTTTTCTGCAAATATTTGGAAGTATCATACTGTCTTAGTTTGTGTGTCTTGCCCTAAAGAAATATCTGCAGCTATGTAATTTATAAAGAAAGTCGATTTATTTGGCTTATGGCTCTGCAGCCAGTACAAGAAGCATGGTGCTAGCATCTGCTTCTGGAGAGGGCCTCAGGTTGCTACCACTCCTGGCAGAAGGGGAAGCGGAGCTAGCCTGTGGAGAGGTCACGTGATGAGAGAGGAAACAAGAGAGAGGGGAGTTACCAGTCTCTTTTTAATAACCAAGTCTTGTGGGAATAAATAGAGCAAGAATGTTCCCCCAACCGGGGAGATCGTCGATCTGTTCTTAATGGATCTCCCCTCATGACCCAAACACCTCCATTAGGCCTCACTTCCAACATTGGAGATCATATATTAACATGATATTAGGAAGGGACCAACAAGCAGACTATAGCATATTTGGAGTCACTGTATTAGGATTTTCCAGAGGAGCATAAGCAATAGGATATGTGGATATATAAAAAGGAGTTTATTAGGGAGAATTGGCTTACATGATTATAAGGCGAGTTCCCACAATAGGCCACCTGTGAGCCAGAGAAGGAGAGAAGCTGGTAACTTGACTAATTTCAAAAGCCTCAAAACTAGGGAAGCCTACAGTGAGGGCCTTAGTCAATGGCTGAAGGCCCAAGAGCCTCTGGGAGTGCAAGCGTCAGAGTTCAAAATCCAAAGAACCTGGAGTCTGATATCCAAGGGCAAGAGAAGAGGAAGCAAACATCTGGCATGGGAAGACAGAGAGAAAGGATTTTCAGCAAGCTGCCTACCCTCTTCTTCTGCCTGCTTCTTTCTAGCTGGGCTGGCAGCCGAATGGAATGTGCCCACCCACACTGAGGGTGGGTCTTCTTCTTCCAGCCCACTAGCGTAAATGTCAATCTTCTCTGGCAACATCCTTACAGACACACCAGAAACAATGCTTCATCAGCCATCTATGCATCCCTCAATCCAATCAAGTTGACACCTAATATTAACCATCGCAGTCACCAAGTTCCCTGCCTCCTGTAAGTGGTAAATTAGGAGTATCAAATATGGTTGTGTATCTCTATAAACAGTTCATTCCACAGATTATCAGTGTTGTCTGTACTATTAGACACATAGTCTTAGGTATTTTTATGTCTAATCAGATTAGAGAATTGAAACCCCAAAACCAATAAAGAAACTTCATTCTTAAAATTTTCTTCCTCTACGACCACTACTAGTACCAAAGTATTAGTCAAGATTGTCCAGAGAAACAGAACCAATAGGATAAATATATATGGGGATTTTTTTTAGAGGAATTGGTTCATACATGTATAAAGGCTGAGAAGTCCCATGAAAGACCATCTGTGGGTTGAGACCCGGGATACCAGTAGCATGGATCAATCCAAGTCTGACGGCCTAAGAACCCAGGGGGCTGCTGGTATAAGTCCTGGAGTCCAAAAGCCAAAGCCTGGAGAGCCTGGAGTTTTGATATCCAAGGAGAAGAAGAATGTTTCACAGCTCCAGAAGAGAAAGAGAGAGACCAATTTCTCTCTCCTCTGTTTTAGTTCTGTCTGGGACCCCAGCAGATTCGATGGTGCCCACCCACACTGAGGGTGGATTTAGCACTTAGACACTCAGACTCACACAGCAATCTCCTCTGGAAACACCTTCACAGACACACCCTAAAGTAATGCTTTGCTAGTTCTCTAGTATGCCTTAATCCAGTCAAGTTGACACCCAAAATTAACTATCACAGATTTTATTCTTCCATCACTCACAAACTGTGGTGTTTTGTAAGGGTCTTTCACATCAGCTAAAGAAACTTATTCTCAAGAAGAATCAGTAAACTCACATAAGAAAGTGTAGAACTCTGTAGTTTTCTTGTTATATAGGAGCATGCCATTGTGGACAGGTGGTGCTCCAGGTGACTAAATTGTCAAGCATAGACAGGCTGGATGCTGCCCAGCTAATCGGCCATCAGGTGGGATACCCCGATACACACACATTGAAATTGCCCCACAAAGAAGAACTCAGATTCCCTGGGCTGATTTAATACAGCAGCATGGTTGAAAATATGAAGGCATGCATTTGAGAAAGAACAAAATATTGCATAATCTTTAAGAGGAATAATATTGCTTAAAAAACCAAAATGTAATCTAATAGTATTTAGTTATTTGAATTTACTGCTTTAGGACATGTGACGGATAATGAATTAGATAAAGTTTCTCCAATTCTAACATAAATATTTCTTACACATTATTTCAACAGGGTCAGTCACTGGTTATTTAAAATTACTATATTCTAAAGTATTGCATGTATTTTTTTTTTCATGAAGCCATTTGTAAAGCCCACTCAACTGCATTGCCTTGAAAACAATCTTTCCCTGGATAATTTCTGGAAAAGATAAATAGAATATTTCTATTATCTCTTCCTTTTCATACTTGTTGGCACCCAAATCTTAATTTCTAATCACCGAAATTGTTTGATTTTATTTATAACTCATGTTTACCCTTTTCTCATATAAGAAAAAGTCTCCACTATTATAATACTGAGATCAATAACTACATGTTATTAGATTTCAATGACATTACAAAAATGTTCTGAAACATTTTAGTAACATTTTATTTTGAAATAGTTTAAGACCCATACAGTTTACAAAGATGATACAGACAGTTCCTGGGTATCATCCATCCAGCTCTCTGCAGTGATAATCTTACTCAGCCACAGAACGATGTCAAAGCCATAAAATCAATGTTGGTATAATACTATCTACCTCAGTTCAGACCTTATTAAAATTATACCAGCTTTTGTATGTCCTCATTTTGTAGGGGTTGGTGGAAGGTGTCTAGCTCTCTGAGATTTTGGCATTTGTATATGTTTGAGTACTCCTCAACATAATTAAGATACAGACTTATATTAAAGAGACTCCCTTCAGCCTCATCCCCTGGCAACCTCTGTTCTGCTATCCATCTTTATAATTTTCTCACTTTAAGGATGATGCGTAAATAGAAACTCACAATATGTAAACCATTGATGTTGGCCTCTATCCCACTCTCAGCATAACGCATTTAAGATCCATTCAAGTTGCTTGTGTTACCAGCAGTGTTTATGTGATTCAACTTTCTTATTTGCTTTAAATGTTGACATCTGCTGTAAGTCCTCATAAACTTACAACTAGAAGGAACCAGGGCTTGGTTTCACAGAATAGAATTATATATGGGTGATCATCCAGACTCAGGGAAATTAGTAATTGCTTAGCCCTAAACTGAGTTTTCTGTTCGGCTAGAAGACAGAGTCTTGCCTTTAAAAATAGAAATAAACTGAGAATTAATTGTTTACTGAGCATATGTTATGTGCCAGTCACTGTAACATATACAGAAAACAAGACATAGACACTTCCTCTGCCCTCATGAAGGTAAGAGCAAAAAGTGGAGAGAAAGTGGGAAGAGAGAGAAAGTAAGAGAGAGAGAGAGAAAGTCAGAAAGTATCTCCTAAGAAAGTGACATTTGTGCTGGTTGTAAACGATGTGTGGAATTAATTAAGCAAAGTCTATTCCACAGAGAAAAAAATAATAGCACTTGAAAATCACTTGAGTGGTAAGAAATAAAGTTTGGTTCAAGAACTGAGAGAAGACCACTGACTATACAGCTGAGTATAGGACAGGCAGAGAGAGAGAGAAAAAAAATCTAGAATTTTCCAGGGCCTTCTGGTTAGGTTAAAGATTTGGGTCCTCATCCTCAGAAGAATGGAACAGTTTGGGGTGGAGAACGTTATCAGTAAGTTTCTGTGTTAAAAGATGTGGAGGGACCGCAGGGAAATCAGGTCTGAGAAAAATGCAGTCACTGACTAGGCAGATAGGTTTCATATTCCTGATGAATCTACCTAGGATGAAGGGCATCTGTGGGTCTGACTGGGATGAAGCAGCAGCCCTTCTGGTATTGGCAGAAGACTGTGTTATTAGTGATGTTGCTGTGGACACACACGTACCTTCTATTTGCTATTCCTGAACTGGGAAAAGCAGCATCATGTTTGATTGAAACACCTGCTTCCTTGTCTTTAGCACAGCACTGGGCACGTGCTGGCCAATCAGTCATTGTTAGCCAATGGGATGGAGAAATAAATACACCAAGATCTCTTTTCCTCAAAAATAAGAACATCTGATGTGCTTTAGTTATTCCTTACAGCAATTCAAAACATCCTCTACCAATGACTTTTGCATATAGAATAAGTAGCAGGAAAAAGCATAAGCAAATAGGATATTAAAGATAAATTTAGTGGCTAAGCTTAAATTTGTATTTAGCTCAGTTTCCACTTGTTTTGATTTTGTTTTTGTTTTTGCTTTTTTTTTTTAATGTCCATCTTTGACTCATTTGAGAATTTAATCAAAATTCCAGTGTCTCCCTCCACTGGAAAGTGCTCACATATTATATTTTGAGGTAAAATAACATGTGTTTACTGTTGGTTCTAACAAAAGCTTGTGGACTTGAGAATAGAGGTGTGAAGAGAATAATAATGCTCATGCTAAATATATATTTTTTGCTTTAAACACTACCTAAAACAGTGACTTTCAACAGGGACAGGAGATGCTAGTGGCATCTACTGGGTACAAGCCAGGAATGGTGGGATACGCTACAACGCAGAGGTCAGCCCCTCACAGCAAAGAATTATCTGAACCAGTATGCCAATAGTGCTGAAAATGACAAGCCCTGACCTAGGATGATTATCCATAGCATGTCTTCTTAGCCTCATTTAGGATCCAGATGATCCAGATAGTAATTGCATTATTCTGCTCAGGCTGACTTAACATAGTACCATAGACTGGGTGATGACAGAAATTTATTTTCTCCTAGTTCTGAAAATTGGAAGCTCTAGATCAGGGTGCTAGCATGGTTGGTTTCTGGTAAGAGTTCTCTTTCCTGCTTCTATATAGCTGTCTTCTCACTGTATAATTACATGGCAGAGAAAAAGACCAAGTGTCTCTTCCTACAAGGACACTAATTCCATCATGAAGGTCGTATCCTCATGACCTCATCTAAACTTAATCACTGCCCACAGGCCCCATCTCCATCCAACATTATATTGGAAGTTAGGGCTTCAACACATAAATTTTGAGGAGACCCAATTCAGTTTATCTCAGTAATTAAAGAAGAAAAAAATTAAAATCAGTAATAACAATAAATTCAAGAAAATTGGTAAGTTTAATCCTAAAATACCTTAAAAATATTATTGAAAATAATGAATACCTAATAAATACAAGCATTTTAGTTCTAGTATAAATATGATAAATACCTAATTACCTTAAGACTACATTGCATTTGCTGACGTTGATATAATTATGTATTTAGCCAAACAAAAGGTTTAATTCACCTTCAAAGAATATCCTGAAAATTTATTCAAAAGAAAACTCTCAAAGTCATGGGCTATTTATTAATCCTAAATTTTCTGTGTAATTCAAGCGATTTTCAAACAATTCATTTACTTGGATGATATATACACATTAATAATTCCCTCTTGGTCAGCTGGTTACCAGGATGCAGACAGAAGAGGGTCCTTTTTCCAGGAATCCATCTACTGCTTCTAAAATCAGCTTCACAATTTCTATAATTTCTTTAGTATGAGATTGATGTTCTTTTCCTTCTCCATATCTGTCACTATTAGAGTTTCCTGTACCACTAGCATTATAATTTTGTGAGCCACCGAACAGGTAAATTGAAAAGAGAAAGAGAACTGCTCCAGAAAGTGATAAAATAGTAATTGTATTAGAGACCATATACATTTTCAAGATGGTTCTTGAAAATTTCTCCTCTGAACATCTTTCTGTATCAGTTTATGTCTTTTTGATTTGAGCCAGCTCAAGTGAAACAAAAATGTATGAGTATTTGGGATAGCACACTCTTGTATTACAATAAATGGCATGTACCTACTTCTACAGGAGCTAATTGCTTCAACTTTGCTTAACTTTCTAAAAAATATTCTCCTTTGTATTTTCAATACTCCCTTTAACTTTCCCTCTGCTACTGTTCTTGCCCTCATGTCCACAGCTAAACTGAATAAAAAAGCTGTCTGCAGCTCCTGCCTCTATTTCTACTTTTCAATTCCATCCTCAAATGATTATAATCTGGATTCTGCCCCTCCTCCCAATGGGATATCACTCTAATCATGGCCACCCATGTGTCACAGGCCCTGTGGACACTGTCACTTTTTCATCACCAGCTACTTTGCCCCTTTCTCACTCTCTTCCTGGACCCTGTGCCTCCCTTCCTGGTCTCTCGGGTGCCTCCTCCACATCTCCATCTTTTGCTTCTCCATCACTGATAATTGGCACATTCCAAAGGTTTTGAAATTTCAAAGTTTCTTCAGTCCCCAAACACTGTTATTGTCTAATCTCAGGCAACTGTCTTGCTTTAATCATCACCTGAACACTGAGGTTTCTCAAATGTGCATTGTCAGGCCAGTATCCAGACAGATACATATCAATTTCTCTCTTCTCATCTCCATTCAAACTCAAACTGTTTGGTACTCACCTCATCATTTCCTTTCGTTACCGCTGCTCACACTCTTCACCTATATAGTAAGCCCTGATTTCCTTCTAACTTACAGTAAATAAAATCAATTATTGCCATTTGCCCAACATAGAAGTCTGGACACATTCTTTCATCATTGGGCTTTCAGGTTCTGCCACTTTGTACAACTTCTTCACGAGACTTCCATGTAGACGTGATGGCCATGGCACTCCTGGGTTGCTCAGTGTACAACCTGCACAGCTATGTGAGGTGCACTGGTCTTCTCCTCCTTCACCACCAACATTTGAACAGTCACCAAATATATTTAGCTTTGCTTCTGGAATATCTCTTGCATATATTTATTTTTATCATTCAGTTCCTAGTAGAGCCTGTGATCATCTTTTTCCTGGACTGTGGATTCAGATCTCTGACTTGTCTCCTGCCTCCTGTGTTATGCCTCCAGTCTCTATAGTTGGAGTGACGTTTATAAACACGATTATGTTTTTTAAACTCTTAAATACGCCCCTCCACACTGATCGTAGATGAACAAACCTTCAGGCTTTCAAGGCCTCCAGATTTGGCCCCACTTCCTCATTCTCAGCACTCTTCCTCCAGGGTCCACACTTGCTGATGGCAGTCATTTGTCCCAAGGGCACCAATGATGTGTCTCACCTGCAGGCCTGTGCCATGTCCTCTGCCCAGCACAGTCTTCCCCTGCCCTCATCCTTCACCCATGGTCTGTTCTCAGCTTAAATATCCCTTTATTAGGGATCCCTTCTCTGACCTCTTGACCAGGCAGGCCTGCTCTGCTTGCATTCCTCCGTGCCCTGGGCTTCCCCCATTGTAACATGATTGGGCTTTATGGTGACTAGGGTTTCATCATTTCATAGAAAGATGGAAAAGTCTTGTTCACTAACGTGTCCCCACATCCAATACACTACTTGGCACATGGTAGGTACCTAGCAAAATGCTGCTGTTGATTACATATGTTCTATCAGTTCCTAGACTCTCAAATATGTATGATTTAAAACACACACACACAGAAATAAAAACTTTCAAGGTTTTAGAAAGCTCTAATTTTCACTGTTCACATGGCTTAAAGAGTATTTTCTTGAGAATGAATTAAGAAGAATAGCATTAAAAAATTTAAAATAGCATATTTTTAAAAAGTTAACTTTTACAACTTCTCAATTTAAATGTGCACTAACATAAGTATTTTTGCCTTTGCAGAAAGTTGTGGTACAGCTTTTCTGAGATAGATAAAAGGTGTCCTTTGTTATTCTGAAATATGTGTTCCATTGAAATCTATGAAATTAAATTTCCCTGAGGGAAAAAACTTAGATTAATAAGAGAAAAGACCCATCATTTACAAACTTTGTGAATTTTAGCATCTCTTTACTGTAGACAGCAGACAGCTAACATTATGGTGACACATAAGCCATGTTACCCCAGGGTTTCCTTCTGTTTTGCTTTCCTGTCCAAGGGGAATTGTTTGTATTTTCTGACACTTCCTCTCTCTTACGTTTTTCATAAACCATGCCAAGGATCTATAAATGCCCAAATATTAAAAAGCATTCTTGCTGAATACTGGATTTTAACAGAGAAAAGATATATCTGCCTTTAAATGTAATAAAAAATTATTAAATCAGAATGCTTTATTAGAAACACTTGGGTAGTTATTTTAAGCTACAGATTTGTGAACCAAGACTGGAATCAGTAACATGTTACTTAAAACGAGTGTACCTATTTGGTGGCTTTATTTAGGTTCTGTTGTTACTTTATCTCATCAGTTCTGATGAGAGCCTTTTTAGGCTTTCCTACTAGATGGAAAATTCTTGCTCACAATTCTCTGGCAATGATATTGTGCAGTGAAGACAGGCTAGTTCACAGAAGGTCTCCACATCTGTGTTCAGGGATGTAGTTACCCAAGAGGCACAGACCCGCTGGCTCTGCCCTCTTCTAGATACGTTTCAGCTACTCAGACACACAAGTCATAGATGGCTCACTAGAAATAGTAGAACCTAAAAAATAGCATATAACCCGGAGGGTAGGTTACTTTGGGATGACTATAAATTTTCTAGAAATCTATAAACAGGGAGATGATTGAGGCTGGACCAGAAACAAAGGTTTTTGGGGGAGAATAATCTTCCATTTTTAATGTTTGACTGAAATTTCTGAGAGTGGCCAGTACATTTTCACGTATTATGGTACACGGGGTGCCGTAGTAACTGAAGCAAAGGCCAAAAGGGGGTCCCAACCTCGGCCTGGAGCCTGGGTACATGATCCTTGGAGGGAGCTAGAAATGAGATAGGAGGACAGGAAATACGGTTACTCAAAATAACTTGTGTGTGTTTTTATTGAGTACTTCCAACAATATTTAAAAATAGGCAACTGTGTGAAGACTCTTTCAAATTGGTAGAAAGTAGAGAAAAACCCTGCAAGTCCTCAACTCTCCATCTCCATGATCACTTTTCATGTGCAATTCAGAAGGGAAACAAAGCACTTTTTTTCTTAATGATGTGTATATATATATATATATATATTTTTTTTTTTTCCAAAAGACTGAAACATAAATACCTCAAACAAAACTGAAACTAGTTAATTCTAAATGTACAGAGGAGAGCAGTAGTGTTGGGGATGATTGTGGGATGATCCTCCACTTTTGCCCACAGGAGGACTGGGCAGACACTGATGGCTTTGCGGCCAGATGCTGGCTCTTAATGGAGGCCAATTCTATTATGGGTCCCTTAATTTGGTTTTGAATTATCTTCTGAGGCACCAACATTTTAAAACAAGTTTCATATTTCAGGATTACAAATGTACCCCTATTAATAAAATAATGAATGCAGGCTAATATATAAGTGATCCATTAAAGATGGTATTTACTGTGGGCTCCTGGAAATATTGTCACTTCCATGATTGCCCAAGCAATAGGTGAACCTGAGAGTAGGAGTATTTGGCTACAGGATAAAGTCATTTGGGGAAAACCAGGACCCTGTGTATTCTTCAAAACCTTCAAAGCACTGGGGCTACCCTGAAAAATAAGACATAAGAACTCAATAGAAAGTATGAAACAAGATAAAGACCGAAGGCTCATCCCAGACCAATCAGGCAAATTTGCCTGGCTAGTGACAAAGTAAAGTATGAAACAAGATAAAGACCGAAGGCTCATCCCAGACCAATCAGGCAAATTTACCTGGCTAGTGACAAAGTTGATAAAACTTGGCTTCTTCGCCATATTCTGTATAGAACCATATTATTAACATCTGCATGAAGTGAGAAAATACTATATTTAAGGTCACTTATCCATGTAATTTAGATATTTGTGATTTTCAATTTCTGTGAAATCATCATTAGCCATTCCACCACTGTTATTTGTTTTTTACTATAAGTGAGAGATTCTGTACATTCATTAACCTAACTTTTACACTGGCCTACTAAGGTTCTTCCTTAACACCAGTTTTTTATAATGAGAACATTACCTACTCATGACCAAATTAATTCTACATTTTTATTCTTAAAAATTTAAAAGAATAAATAAAAGTCTAAAAATCTACTTATAATCCAAATATTTAGAAATAATTTTTCTTTATGTAATTTAATCAATTGTTGAAATGATCTACAATATTTATAGAACATTCCATAGGTGTAATTTCTCTGGCTTTTAAAATATTATAAAAATTTAGTATTAATTCTAATTTTATTTGTCTAGCTTTTAGATATTACATGAAATATTTTAGTGCCATTTCTAAATGAATTTATTACTCAACATTTTCTTTTCTCAATCTCCAAAATATTTATTATTTTTCATCCCTAAGTAGAAGAATTTGTTAAGTAATTTTTTTTTTCCTCCAAGGGCTTCTAGACTTTCCTGAGATATTTCTGACTTGCCTATGAAAAGTGCCTTTAATTAACACACTTGAAACTATATAAATATATACATAATAGTAAAATCTATACAATGAGGACATTGTATAGTTCTGTATAGTTGGTTCTGTTCTCTCCTTTCACCTACGATGCCTATTTTTTCCCCTGTCCTACATGTGTGTACTCGGCATTCCGTCTTGGTCGTGACACTGAAATATGGGCAGTCCACCTATTAGTTCTCTTGAGGTAAGCTAATTTCATGACTCTCTTCCCATCGTATTGTGTAGAAGTTGATTTTCACTCTAGAACTGCAGTGCACTTTTATATAGCCTGAGGGAATGACTGGGGTGCTGGACCCTAGGGAGCCCCACAGAGGTCATATCCTCTTTATTTAGGTTACTTGACCTCTGTACTCTTCTTTAAGTTTGTTCAATAGTCTAAATCAGGGTCATTATCATATACTGTACTATGTTTATGAGTGAGTGTGTGGTGTGCATGTGTGTGTGGATATTCCAATGGGCAACACCCGAATGTTTCAGGTCAGTTTTCAATTAATCATGGAGCAGTGGAGTCTCAGATCATGCAAAGAGAAGCAGTCTTCTTGTCCACTTTCCTTAATTTTACCCACTTGTCCCCATTCAAAAGAGGAAAAGGTTAAGTATGAAGCTTCGTTTGATTATTTATGAGCCTAATGTATTAGTGATCACTACTGATATTTAATCATCTCAAAGAGCATGTCTGTGACATAAATGAGGCTCAGGTTAGGCAAAAGCCATATTGTAGCTATCTCTTGCCTCTAGAATTTCTCTGCACCCCTGGCTCCCCCCCCCCAACATGCATATAATATTTTATATATACTTTATATATAAAACGTAAGTTTTATGTATATTTTATGTGTAATATGTCTCATATATTTATATATAATATTATTGACATCAGGTTATGTCCCTTCCCTATTTCAGCTGTTATAGATGATATTTTTTTCTCATCAGCTTTATCTAGATTTAAAGACATCCTTCATAAATAGTCCACCATAGCAAAGGAACCATAGACTCTGTTGTAAGGATTGATATATACTCTGAAATAAGGCAAGACTCAGTAAAAGCAAATGCATCTGTAGAGATAGATTTGTTCCCATTAGAATCCCTTTTCCATGCCCAAAACCTCAGCAATATTCTCATTTAACAAACCTTCGCATGTACCCTGTAAAAATAAAAGTTGAATTTTTTAAAAGAAAAAACACAAACAACAAAAGAATCCCTTTTCTGTATAATCATATAAAAACTTTTTACATTTAGCTTTCTATTCCCAGAAATTTTGTGATGAAAAATTTTACCTCAGTAGCCAAAGGTGAAGCCTTATGCCTTGGTACATCTAGGTTCTGTAAAGGTGTCTTACCATGATGTAATATACTATAAACTGCCTACTAATAAACTGTTCTACAGGAGCTTACCACAGTTTAGTAGTTAGCAGAGATGCTGTTTTGTCTGATATTCTTGCCATTATGCAAATATGCAAACATAATCATGAAAGAAAGTAGAATTTGCACAGGTGATCCACATAATATGTATTTTAATATGAAAGGCATAAATCATGAACTACAAGATACAGGTTTATATTCGTGGATCCTTCTATTGGTATTTTTCATTAATGACTATTAACAGTAATGGCAGGTGGGTTACATGGGACAATGATTAGACTAAACAAGTTTCACATTGTGGACACTGGACTACTGTGGAAATAAGAATAAGCTACAGCTGGGTTCACCACCTAGCCCAGGCACAGTGACCCACTGAAACTCTGAGGAAAAGCATGGAAGATTTATCTCCATAAGAGATAGAATAATTACCTGTAAGGAAAATCTACTTTCAAGACAATGTTTCTAAAGGAAGAGGATGCAGCAAGCGATCTCAGGCCCCTCATATTATAGCTGAGAAGTTCAGAAGTAGTGGTTATAAAGCATTGCTCCCAAGGTTTCCAGTTATTCAGGAGGAAATTAGTGTTCACAGTACTTCATCAGTGAGTTTTGTGGTTTGAGTTGCTTTGTTTGTGTAATTTTTATTGTTTCCATCTCCAACATTTCTAACATTTGACCTACGTTGAAATTCCAATATTGAAAATACTAGGTAATCTTCATTAAGCCTTAGAATAAAAAACAGCACAATATATGACAACACAAATCAATGTTTTCTGTTTGATCTTTCTTTCAACGTAAGTAATTGTGCTGAACTACAGTAAGCATGTTTTTGTTTATTTATTTTTATTTATTTATTTATTTATTATTGTGGGTTCTGGACAGAGATGTGCTGGATTTAAATCCTACCTTTGCTTGTTGTAAGCAATACAACCTAGGCAAGCCAGTTGACCTGTCTGCTCTCAAATCCTTCCTCTTTAAAACAGAAAAACAATCGTATCTGCTGTGCAGACTAGTTTGGAACAGTAAATGATTTAACATAGCAGTCTTTGAGCCATCTCTGATTCATAATAAAGTATTCAAAAATATCAGCTCTTCCATTTCTCTATGTACCAGGAGCCATTCCAGGCAACAGAAATGTATTTAGAAAACAAAAGAGATAGAGACCTTGCCTCCATGAAATGTAACTAGTGGATAAAAGATTACAACTTGAAAAAGTAACCAAGGTAATTATTGAAAAAAAAAAAGGAAAACAATATAAAAAAATACATCTAGGTCACATGATAGCAACCTAGATATGGAAAATGGGGCAATGAAGGTCTACCTGAGATCGGATTATTTAGAAAGATCTCTCTTCAAGGCAACATTTGGCCTGAGCACTGAATCAGCAGGAAAGAATCAGCTGTGTATAGCTCCAAGGGAAAAGAATTCCAGGCAGAAGGAACGAAAGCCGTAAGTGCCACACAGCAGTGCATTCAAATGCATGAAGAATGCCCTTGTGCCAGAAACAGATGGTGTCAGCAGAGAGCAAAGCAGATGAGGTGAGAACACCAGACAGTGATCAACTAATACAGATTCATAATCGTCGTGGTAAGATTGTGGTTAATTCCAGTAAGATCAGAAGCCAATGGAGGCTTGTCAACTGCAGAACAATGTAGTCTGATTCACGTTTACCAAAGGTTATTCTGGCTACCATGTGGGGAAGAGACTACAGGGGAGACAAGAATGAAAGCAGGGGCCATTCCCAGGCAGAGGTCTGGGTAAGAGACCACAGATACACTGCGAGTAGTGAGAAGCCAGAGAGATGAGTAATTCAAGGCCTAACCCATGGGCATGCTGAGAGGTTAGATGTGGCAAGTTTGGGGTTTGAACAAGTGAGTAGATTATAGTGTTATTTCTTACAATGAAGAAATCAGAGGAATACGTTGGGAGATGACTTCAAGTTACATATGGGATATATTGGATGTGATACATTTATCTGACATCCAAGGGGGAGAAATCAGGTATGAAGTTATTTGTAGAAGGCCAGAGCTCCAGAGAAAGTGAGGACTGCAGATACCGATTTGTGAGTCGTCGGCATGTAATGGATTTAAACCAGGGCACTGAAGACCTCACCTGGAGAACGTATGCCAATGGAGAAGGGGAAAACAACAACAACAACAACAACAACAACAACGAATAAGAGATGTCCCAGGCAGATTTAGGGGGAAAAAAAAAGCCAGTAAGTGAAATTGAAGAAAGCGTGAAGGAGATAAAAAGAAAACAGGAGAGTGTTATGTGGCGCATCCCAAGAAAGGAAATTTATTTCAAGAAAAAGATCCGACTGGGCGCAGTGTCCCACACCTGTAATCCCAGCACTTTGGGAGACCGAGGCGGGCAGATCACGAGGTCAGGAGATCGCAACCATCCTGGCTAACACGGTGAAACCCCGTCTCTACTGAAAATACAAAAAATTGACCAGGCGCTGTGGCTCACGCCTGTAATCCCAGCACTTTGGGAGGCTGAGGCGGGCGGATCACGAGGTCAGGAGATCGAGACCATCCTGGCTAACACGGTGAAACCCCGTCTCTACTAAAAATACAAAAAAATTAGCCGGGCGTGGTGGTGGGCACCTGTAGTCCCAGCTACTCGGGAGGCCGAAGCAGGAGGATGGCGTGAACCCGGAAGGCGGAACTTGCAGTGGGCGGAGATCACACCACTGCACTCCAGCCTGGGTAATAGAGGGAGACTCCCTCTCAAGAAAAAAAAAAAAAAAAAGAAAGAAAGATAAAGATCTGCTGTGTCAAAAATAAATAAGATGAGGACAGGGAAGTAACCACTGGATTTGACAACATAGAGAACATTTGAAATATGACCAGAGTTGTCCTAGATTGAAAAAAGCATGTGCCTCTGGTGATCTTGTAAGTGAAAATGTTATTTCATTCATAACTGGCATCAAATATACCACATCTAAAGTGGGGTTCTTCATTTATCTACCAAAATTTCATCTAGTAATTAATTGCTACAAAATTCACAAATACTGGATTTGCCCCATCTAAATGGGCCAGCATCTTGCGTGTGTCTTAGCCTTCACGAGATATTACTTCTACTGCTTAACATCTAAAATATGATCTTATTTTTGTTGAGCGAAATTTTAAGTTCTCGTGAAATTCAATCTTGCTAATTATTTATAATAGCTTCATTTTATCCTTGCTCTTATTTAGGTTCCCTCTACCTATATTCATACACAATTCATTTTTCATATTGAGATTTTTAAATTTACATAGTATAATCTGCTTGTCCACATTGGTATAGAGTTGAATTTATACCATCAGTTATATTTTTCAGTATGAAATATCTTTTCATTCATCAATGCATGAACAATCTTATATTTTTCCTTTTTATCTGAATCTTTGTTTTATAATATTTTCCACATGGATGCAATTAATCCTAACCTGGCTCCCAACTGCTAAAAGCATATATGTAAACAACTAGTATTTATTTAAATAAATAAATGTTTACACAAAACTCTTTTAAACTAAACTAATAATAAATAAACATAAATCTATTAGTTTACTATGTGCTATGGACTGAACTGTGCTCCCCTTCAATTCATATATTAAAGCCCTAACTCCCAGTGTGTCCTTATTTGTAGGTAGGGCTTTTAGGAGACAATTAAGGTTAAGTAAGGTCATAAACTCAGGGTCCTAATTCAATAGGATTGGTAGCTTTATAAGAAGAGAAAGATACACAGATCCCGCTCTCTATGCATACATACCAAGGCAAGGCCACGTAAGGGCTCAGTGAGAATATGAGTGTCCAGAAGCCAAGAAGAAAGTTGTCTCCAGAGCCCACAATGACCTTAAACTTTCAAGTTTCAGAACTGTGAGAAATAAATTTATGTTGTTTAAGCCAGCCAGTCCATGATATTTTGTTATGGCAGCTGGAACAGACTAAGACACTACATCTATTTAAGAAAAAATAGCGAGCAATTTTTTAAAAAATTTTCGAATTATATATTTCATATGCATATATAAATCCATATATTAAATATTATTTTTTATTCCAAATTTGTTTTTGAGGGAAATCTATGTTAATAGGTAGATAGTATATGCTATTTAGGATTGTTCCATGATATCTAATTATTTTATTGATAGATCTAGGCTCTTTGATTTTTCATTATTTCAAACAATAATGAAATGAGTATTCTTTAGATGTCATTTTGAACTTGCATAAGATTTCCATGTGATGGTGACAAGATATTCAGGTCTGAGTGGGGGCAGTCATGGCTTATGCCTACTGTAAATCAGATATTACTTTTAGCACCCTTTCATATTCTACTATCTATGATTAATTGCTCATGGAGATTCCTTTTGAACGTATTCCTTAGGAATGGAATCACTGGGTTTGAAGTTAAACATATAGTCCAATTTATTAAAGACTTGACTTTGTCTTCAAAATTACTACATTGGTCCAAGCTCCCACCAAAATTTTCTGTTTCCAAATTCCCTTGACAATGAATTTTGTATCTAACTTTCTAATCTTCAGCAATAGGAAAACACAGAGTGGCATTTCAATTTTCAATATACTATCTTTTCATTATTAATAAGCATATGAAGGGATCTCAAACACATTGGGCATTTAGATTTTTTGACTATGAGCTGCCTTTTCAGATTCATTGGCAATTTATCACTGGATCATATTGCTTTATCCATGTTGATTTTAGGAGTTACTAGGATATTTTAGATAATAGTCACTGGTAAAAATATACAACCTAGTATAAATTCCTGGTTGATCACTTGTCTCTCATGTCTAGTATTTTTTTTTTTCAATTATAATGTAGCTAAATCTACAAAGATTTCCATTTTAGGCATTTTTCTCAACATCATTCCAAAAAGAAAAAATAATTAAGCAGCATAAGGATTATGAGAAAAAAACAAACATTGTCTTTTTCTGCAGGGGATATTCATATAGATATTCATATAAAACAGAAGAATCAACAGAAAGACTAGTGATAAAATGTGAGTACAAAGTGGCTGTAAAGATATAAACACAAATCTATTGTAATTCAGAAAATGTCATTAGAAAATGCAATAAAATACCATTTGCATAAACATTAGACTATCACATATTCAGGAATTACCTTAGGAATGTTACTTCTTTAGAGAGTAAATTTTAAAAGCCAATAAAGTCAAATAAAAGAGTAAATAAATGGCACACAAACTAAATATTGTTAATATAACCATCCCTCCCAAATTAAACAAAATATTTAATGTGATTCCAATAGAAAACTAAAAGATTTGGGGCAATTGATAATTTTGCAAAATTTATATGACAGTACAAAACTCTCTAGATTTATAAACCAATTCTGACAAAGAACAGGTGGAGATATTCTACCATATAGATGATAATATTACATAGTCACAGGCAGGCACTCTTAAAGATACAGATAAATGGACCAATATGGAAGAATAGAAGGAGTCTAGATTGCAAAGCACAGTTGTTTAGAGCCTAGACTATGAATCTAAACCACCAGGTTGGAAAAACTTGCTCACCAGGTAGAAAAAATACAATTAGATCAGTACCTCAGTTTAAACTTGTTAGAAAATCTTCTAGATAGATTATAGTTCTGGAACATAAAAGGCAAAACTTTGAAACATTAGTGGAAAAATATAGGACAGTATTTTAAAGAAATCTTCCCCATCCTAAAATCATAAACAAGCTGCAAATTCTAAAACATAATAATTGGTTGATAATGAAAATGTTATTTATCTATTCACTGGGAAGGTTGCATTAGAGGTATCTTATTTTCTACTAGATTAAGTTAAAATTTTTAGCCTATTTCAACTGAATGAACTAATGTTGAAACAAGGCATTTCAGCCTCTCTGCCTCTCCTGGCCGTGACACAGAATTTCTCTGTTCACAGCTTTTCTCAGATGCCCTGAGCATCTCAGCACTCACCTTACCTCATTGACTCCAACAATCTCCCTGTCCTGTTAGGTCAGGACTTCTCAACTGTGATTTTGTGTTTCAGGGGACATTTGGAAAACTCTGGAGACATGATTGGTTGTAACAACCACAGAGGAGATTCCAGCAGTATAGAGTGGGCAGAGGCCAGGGATGCAGCTAATCACTCCTCAGTGCACAGGCAGCTCTCCATCATAACAAATACTTTTCTAGCCCAAAATACCAATAGTGCTGAGTTGGAGTAACTCTGTACTGTATTAAGTGTTCCTTGTTAACGCAGATTGTGGCCTCCAAAGTTTAACCCCCAGCAGTGGGCACAGGAGCTAAGGCAGAGTTGAAACCCAAATACATTTTATTAAATGAATTAATTTCATTGATTTATTACTGCCAATGGTATGTAATAATTTTTCCCTGATGCTTTTATTTCTTTCACAGGACCTACTATTATTTTTTTCTTTCTTTTTTTTAAATTATACTTTAAGTTCTAGGGTACATGTGCACAACGTGCAGGTTTGTTACGTATGTATACATGTGCCATGTTGGTTTGCTGTACCCATTAATTCGTCATTTGCATTAGGTATATCTCCTAATGCTATCCCTCCCCCCTCCCCCCACCCCACAACAGGGGTATGTGTGATGTTCGCCACCCTGTGTCCAAGTGTTCTCACCGTTCAATTCCCACCTGTGAGTGAGAACATGCGGTGCTGGTTTTCTGTCCTTGTGATAGTTTGCTCAGAATGATGGTTTCCAGCTTCATCCATGGACCTGCTATTATAATCACCTATACAAACTTCAATCCCAGATGGATTGCATTGCAGTTCATTTCTACTTCTCAATTACCAGTTTCTATTAAGACTATTGTTCTATTAAGACTATCCATTAATATTACCATTTTAATGCATGACAAGGGAACCATTCTGAAATCAAGGTAATTTATGAATGTAACTTGGAGACAATAATACTACAATCAAATAAAAATATCAATATATTATGCAGCCTTAAAAACATCCTACAAAATAGCTGAAATTAAGACACAGCCCTAAAGGAAAGCAGTTTAGGTATATAGATTTGTCTATCCTAAACTGGCATATAAAGACTCCACAAAACTGTCTTTATTAGAATTTCCTTTTTAGAACCCTCACCTATATTAAATGTAAGAAATACAGAAATACATATACAAAGTCTCTTTTACACTTCAGATAGCATGAAGCAAGGTAGAATATATTTGAAATACAACATGAGAAGTTGAAGTTCATTTTTTACATGCAGAATTTCCAGTCATTTTTACAAACAAAAGTGTTTTTCTACAAGCTTTGCTCTTGCTGTAATCTAAGAGGTGACAGCTTTTTTAATGATTTAAAAGCAATCTTCGTGGCTCAATTTCACAAAGATTGGTTTTACTGGGATAATGATAAACACTCCAAGGCTGCTGGTTAACCATCAACTTTTGTTATTTTCAAATGCACAGATTCTTTTCAGCAGTAGCTCATTTAGAGACCAGCAAGCATTTATGCCCTCATGATCCTCTGAGCACTTTGCCACTATGGGAACAGGTCTCCTGCCCATGAAACAAAGGTTACAGATCACCAGAGTCAGTTTTTTTTCTGGGGATTCGATGAGAAACACAACTGTGCATCATATTCTCTTTAAATACCAATTTTCCGTAGAGATATTTTTTTTTCACTCATTTTTTTTCAGGGAGCATACCTGGAGAATTGTGTTAGATTTTCTGGGAAGCTTGTCCAGGCCTTTAAACTGGGATGATCTGGAGGGCCAGGTGGTAGACTGGAAGGTCATTCTAGCAAATTTGGTTTATGCAAACTTTACTCAGAAGACAGTGATAAATAATTTAGCTGTACTGCACAAAGTAGATTTACAGCAAAGGCAGGAGACAAGTGAAGGCAGCCATGTAAAGACAGAAGAAAGACTTACAAAGCACACTGGGGGCAGGGCAGGGAGCGGAGGGTCTTCAGAGAGAATGTCCTCAAGGACATTGCCTGGGGCCGCTGCAGAGGATCAGTTTATCCAGTTCTACTTGTGGTTCAGAGTAAACATTAACTTTCCACCTGTCACCAAAGATGAGGAGTCAGATTCTATGCTGAATGTTATGCAAGAAAATATGTTTATGGAATGTTATGGGGGTGAAATCACATGCCTGGTATAGTTAAAAAGTTTAGTTACATTATTAGTTAGAATAATGATTGACATACCCCACTGTGATTTTTTTTTGTTTTTTGAGACAAAGTCTCACTCTGTCACCCAGGCTAGAGTGCAGGGGTACGATCTCAGCTCACTGAAAGCTCCGCCTCCCAGGTTCAAGTGATTCTCCTGCCTCAGCCTCCCAAAATGCTGGGATTACAGGCATGAGCCACTGTACCCAGCCCTCACTGTGAATTTTTTTTTTCTTTTCTTTTTTTTGCTGTTTTTTTCTTTTTTCTTTTTGACAGAGTCTCACTCTGTAGCCAGGCATGATCTTGGCTCACTGCAACCTCTGACTCCCTGGTTCAAGCAATTCTCCTGCCTCAGCCTCCCCCGTAGCTGGGATTACAGGCACGTACCACCACACCCAGCTAATTTTTTGTATTTTTAGTAGACAACAGGGTTTCACCATGTTGGCCAGGATGGTCTTGATCTCCTGACCTTGTGATCTGCCTGCCTTGGCCTCCCAAAGTTCTGGGATTACAGGTGTGAGCCACTGCACCTGGCCCGTCATTGCGATTTTTAAATGGAAGCCATTTAATGGAAGCCATTAAAAATTCTGTGAACAGAATTACAGGTTGGAAACAAAGGAGTTTGCCAGCTAGATCTATGCTTGCTTGGGGGGCTATGTCTGCTATGGCTTAGCCCCCAGGGAAGACGTTCTGGAAGCTTCTTTAAGATCCAGGACCAGGAAGTGGTTATTTAAAATCCAGGACTAGGAGTAGAGAACGCAGCCTGCAAGAGGTCCAAGAAGGCAAGTCTCTTTCACGGGTCCCCTGGCAGCTGCAGACAAGACAAGGAGGCTTCATAAAATCCCTGGAGTCTCAGAGGGTGTAGGCCTTAGAAGAGAGAGGCAGAGTGTGCCTGGCCCACACAGTGGGGAGTACAGAGGCGGCCTCAGAGGGGAGGAAAGCCAGTATGGCAGGAAGGTGGCTGCATGTGGAGGAACGGTGACTCCAGAATGGCCAGCAGGTGCCAAGGCCACACCTGAGGCTATTTGGTCAAGTCAAGGCAGCACCATAGGGTGGGTTACTGAGCAAGAGGCCAGCTGTGGATGAAGCAGAGCATGACAAAAAGAGGATGTCCCCATGCCCTTCTGCAAAGTGGCAGCCTCTGGAGGTCTCATCTTCTGGGCAACAGATGACATTGGGGGTGGTGATCATGTGGCTCCTCCCCATTCTCCAGTGATTCTCAACTCTACTGAGCACAGGAATCACCTGAGGACCTTAAAAACACAGAGACTGACTCAGTCATTAGATAATCCTTACAAAAATGTAATTTCTATAAATTGCAGTGCAAAGCCAAGCTTATCTTCATGAAACAGTAAGTATTGTGTACCTAGGATTAGGAATAAAAAATAATAATAATAAATTGCCCATAGTGTGGCCACAGTTAAAGAATGATGGGTGTAAAATAAGTCAAGCAGCATGGGGGCCAACTTCCTCTTCTACTTTTTGAGCCCACACTTCCTATTAACGGGACAGATGGCAATCAACAGCCCTGTCCCATTACACTCCACTTACTGAAGCAAATTCTCCCACGTGATCACCTCCAGATGGTGGCTCTAGTGTGATGTAAAGTAATAAGGAAGCCCATTCTGTCCTCGTAGTGCTTGCCTATGTGGATAAGCAGCATCAGTCTACGGATGGGAAAATCCACAGGAAAAGTTCAAGACTCAACCCTGATCACCGAAGGAATGAGATCACAATGGTCATGAAACTCTGAGTATAAAGGTGTCATTTCCACACTGAGCTACACAATTTCTTAATTTCCTGAGCTATGTGCATATGTCTTCACTGAAATACCCTGTGAGTGTTTGTCAAGAGCTAAGATTTGCTTAAACTGTGTTTTTTTGTTTTTCTCTTGGTTCCGAATTGGAACATATGTTTATCACCTCAGCATATGGGTGGTTCAACATGAACTGTTTTTCTCTTGTTATTTAGGGCACATCAATCAAAACTGACCTGCCAAAAAATAAGAGATGCACAACTTATTGTATGAACTGTGTTTCTTTACAAACTAGCAAGTTAACTAAATTAACTGAAATATGGCCGTGCATCTCAGTGGCATGATGGGTGGTGCCTTCAGGTAGGAGATGTTAAAGACATCATTAAGCCTGTGGAAGCAACATGAACAGACCCATCATAGCCATCAAGTTCCAGAGTTCATGTCTGAAGTAGAGTCTGCCAGTGTGATCCAGGAGTTTTCATCTCTAGCATTCTGTTTTTAATGGGGCCACAGCTGGAGGTGAGAATAATTACCATCTGAAGAAACTATCCAGAATGGCACAGGGAAGTAGGGAGAAACTAACACAAAAATCACTCTTGGGTCAGCCCAGTGGGCATTGAGCCTTGAACGTGACACCAGGTACTTTCCTGTAGGGCTAGGAGATCACTAGCAATGAAGATGATCAGAAAGCTTAGAAGTCATTTACAGGCCTTTAGGAACACAGATGGCCACATCGTGGTCCAAAATTTGATGCTGTACATTGAGTGATCTTTATTTTTTTTTATCTCAACTTGGATTTTAAATATGGGGGTACAAGTGCAGCCTTTTTACGTGGATATACTTCCCTAAGTAATGAGCCTAGTACTCCCCCGTACATAGTATCCCTCCTCCCTCCTCTAGTAGTCCCTGATGTCTATTATGCCCATTTTTATGTCCATGTATGCTCCACTTAGGAGTGAGAACATGCAGTATTTGGTTTTCTGTTTCTGCATTAGTTCCTTTAGAATTTTGGCCTCCAGCTCAATTTATGTTGCTGCAAAGGACATGATTTCATTCTGTTTTATGGCTGCATAGTATTTTGTGGTGTATATGTACCACATTTTATTTATTCAGTCCAAAGTTGATGGGCGCCTAGGTTGATTCCATGTCTTTGCTATTGTGAACAGTGCCACGGTGAACAGATGAGGACATGTGTCAATTTGTTATAATGGTTTATTTTCCTTTGAGTGTATACCCACTAATGGGATTGCTGGGTCAAATGGTAGCTCTATTTTAAGTTCTTTGAGAAATCTCCAACCTGCTTTCCACATTGGCTGAACTAATTTACATTCCTGCCAACAGCATATAAGTATTCCTTTTTCTCTGCAGCCTCGCAAGCATCTTTGGTTTTTGACTTTTTAGTAATATCCATTCTGACTGGTGTGAGATGGTGTTTCATTATGGTTTTGACTTGCATTTCTCTGTGATTAGTAATGAACATTTTTTCATATTTTTGGGCCACTTGTATGTCTTCTTTTCGAACTCCTGACCTCAAGTGATCTGCCCGCCTTGGCCTCCCGAAGTGCTGGGATTACAGCCGTGAGCTACTGCACCAGGCCAAGTATGTCTTCTTTTATGAAGTGTTTGCTCATGTCCTTTGCCCATTTTTAAATGGGGTTATTTGTTTTATTCTTGTTGATTTCGGTTCCTTATAGATTCTGAATAGCTTTGTCAGATGCCTAGTTTGCAAATATTTTCTCCCATTCTGTAAGTTGTCTGTTTATAATAGTTTCTTTTCCTGTGCAGATGATTTTTAGTTTAATTAGGTCCCACTGGCCATTTTTTGTTCTTGTTTCAATTGCTTTTGGGGATTTAGCCAAAAATTATTTGCCAGGGCAATCTAGAGAAGAGTTTTACTCTAGGATGTTTATAGTTTGAGGCCCTACATTATATCATTAATCCTTCTTGAACTTATTTGTGTACATGGTTAAAGGTAAGGGTCCAATTTTATTCTGCATATGGCTAGCCAGTTATCCCAGCACAAGTTATTAAACAGAGAGTCGTCTTCAAAGAAAGCTAGGGCTCAGATAGCAAAAGAGATCAGCATGAGCTGTCCATGAGCTGTGAAGGAAAAAAAAAAAGAAGAGAAATCACATTTATCACGCATCAGGTGCTCTCTCATTCTCTCTCATAGATCTATATATAAGTTCTGTAGTGCTCACAAAAACCCTTTGAGATAAGTATTTTTATATCTCTATTTTACACAAAAATTGAGGCTTAGAATAATATTCCTTATATGGAAATACCCAACTATTAACAGAGCCAAAATTTAAAAAACAAGCAAACAATCATCAGAGAGATAAGATAGGCCAGGCTGAATGTGCCTTGCTTGCTATTGTCTATCTTGTTTTTAGAATCTAGAGCAAAGCCTGGCACATAGAAGGCACTCGACTAATTGTATTAACCGAGCAACTCTTTGACAACAAAGTCTATACTTGTTCTACCATATCCATGTGCCTTACTAGGAATGTTTATTTTCACTGTTTCTGCTCTAGGTTACACATTCTAATATAGGAACTTCTACTGTTAAGTTATAATGGAACTACCATTTTCCTGCCACAAAGATCAAATACCTACTTAAATACACCACTATTATATGACTAGTGCTGTCCTTAGAGTAGCAGAATAGAGCAAGGAAGATGGGCTATAGAAGTGTATGGAACAGACTCTGCTGTTGACTCACTCCTATGACTAATACACACTGAGCACCTACTGTGTGCACAGCATCAAGCCAAGTGCTCACGGTGCTGGTGACTCAAGCATGAAAAGCATCATCATTGCCTTCCTTCAAGAAGCTTCCATTCCAGTGTGCTTGTGCCTGGCAATTTCAATGCAGCTCTCTTGGGGCCCACATATGGTTTGTGTTAACACAAACCTTTCAGCTGTTTCTGCTGTGTTCAGGATCTGCTCCCTGGTAACTCTTGACCTGTGGCTTTTTACCCTACATTAATATCAATAATTATGATGATCATAGTTTCTACAAATGAAATGAGACTCAAAAATAGACTGTACTATTTACAACTTGCTATAGTACAGTCAATAAGAGAGTAATATTTGAAGTTAAACTGCCTAACTCATTCAAATGCAGCTCTAAAATTTAATGATGATGGGGCCTGGGGCATAGACTTAAACCTCAGGTCCTCACATTTCCTCATTTGTCAAATAGTGATAACAATGGTGCATACTCCAAAGACTTGGCTGAAAGATGGAATTAGCTAATCTTCATAAGGTAGTTTTGAAGCATTGTCTTCAATGGAATACATTCAGGACAAGTAACTTTCAGTCTTGGGATCTGAATCTTTGTCTTCTGACTCAAGACATTTAAAAATAGGCTATTTTGTTAATCTTCTAGAAGAATGTAAGAATCTAGAGGCCCAATCAGAAAGAAAACTTCAAATTGACAACTCTGGATTGGACAAGAAAACAACTGACCCAAATTAGAACAAGACATTAGTGAGTTCATGAAGGAAATCTCCAAGGGAAAAAATGGAATGGAGTGCATGCAGTTGATAAAATGGGTAGAGTAGAGTGGGCAGTGCTAGGAATACAGTAAAGAAGAAAAATGTTACTTTTTCATAAGAAAAAATGCATTTGGAAGGGCAGGAAAACACCCTTCCCCACCACACACAGAGTACAAGAGGAACAACATCCAGAGATTTTACAAACCAAAACTCGACTTAATTTTCATCAAGGAGTATAAACCAAATCATGTAAATTCTGTCAAAATGAGGTTTTTGATATCATAGCTGAAGAGAATGGTATTCAGTAAACATTACTTGTTTCATCATAATAGTATGTGTGTAGAAGCAATTTTGTTTTCAAATGCTAGAATTAATCTATGGGAAATAAAAGCGAAGACTTGATTATGGTTTCAAGCCACATTTAAGTCTTAGAAATCTTGATCAGGGCAGATGTGAGCAAATTTTTAATGTGGCTTGAGAGGAAAGGCAGTGGGGAAAGCAAGAGTGCTAATATTCTTGTCCAAAATCGTCATAGATTTCAGAGTCACTGTGTATGATGGTTGAAACCAGTTACAGATGATAAATTAGAGAAATATTTATGCATTGTTACAGGGATACAAAATAGCAAAAATTAAGTTTCAAAGACGGACAGGGGGAGAAGAAGGCAGAAATAGCTCTGGCAGACCATCCTGGACTGCACTTACCTTTCCATGGCAAATAAACTGGACATCTTTACAGATAGAAGTGGCATAGTTACTCCTCTCCCCCGACTGTCCTTTGATGGGTAAATATTAAACAAAATATAGCACAACCGTAGGCTAGGATACTGCTCAGTGATAAAAAGTAATTTACTACTGATACAGACCACTACCTGGATGAGTCCCTAAAGAATTATGCCATGTGAAAAAAAAAAAGCCGTTTCCAAAAAACTGCATAGTGTATGATTCCAGTTCTATAACATTCTTAAAGGAACCAGATTATTGAAGTGGAGAACCGATTAATGGTGGGCAAGGTTAAGAAGGAGCTGGTCGCAAGAAGGAAGTGAGTGTGTCAGTAAAAGGGCAACGTGGAAGACCCTCGTGATTATGGAATTCTTCTGGATTTGGCTGTATGAGTGCCCATATTCTGGTTATGATACTGTATGATGACGTTGAAAATACTGTTACTTTAAAAAGTTACAAAAATACTAATGAAAAACGAGCTTAATTAAAAATCACTATGAGCCTGGAAAACACAGTGATATTTTAGTTGTTGGAACAATGTCTATTTACGAGTTTTTCTTCTCATTTTATGTCATGTTTTATGTCTTTATTGTCAATGTTTATCATTTAGTTAAATAAAAGAATGGATGGATTAAGCTGACTATATGATTCTGTTTCTTTTTTTACTTCAGGTTTATAAAGCATCTTTATTAAAATAATGAGATTAGTTCTTAACAGGGAAAAAGCAAAATGTCCAATACAATACTTAGCAATTAAAATACATGCGTGGGAATAGAAGCCCCTTGAGTCCATTTTCCACTCTTCAGATGAGCTTGGGTAAATTAATTAAGTCAGCATCCCTTCTGGACAAAGTTCTCTCCTCATTACTCTGGTTTTGCTCCCCATTTTTCCTATTGTCACTGAAAGACCTGGAGACCTAAAATAGATACTAATTATTTTCCACCTTTACCCCTCACCATTCAAAGTAGTGCATGTGTGGTTTCAACAATGAGACCCCATTAACACAGAGATTATTAAAGCCACACAGAATGAATGAATTCACAAGAATAAAGAACTTGTGCTTAGGGTTAAAGATGAATAAGTAACGTCTCCACAAAATAAAGGTTCTAGGACCATTGTTATCATTAATAAAATGTAATGAAAAAGTATACCAATGTTATTTTTCAAATGAGCAGCATGATCAAATAAGCATATTAGATAGTAAGTAAACATAGCAAAGCCTCTGTTATACCAGATAGAAAATATTTTTAAAAAACAGTTTTTGAAATATTACTGCTAATACCAGGAAGGAAAGTGCTAAAAAGAAAGCCACAGGCCAGTATTTCTTCCTTGAATGTGAATACAAATATTTTAAACCAAATATTAACAAACATAGCAAGTTAAAACAGACAAACAAAAAGTAAAAATGCACATGGACAATTTGAGTTTACCCGAGGAATTCAAGTTTGGTTTAATAATTTAAAAATAATCAACATATACATAAGCACACATACATTCATGCACACACATGCACATGTACACATTTTTACTTATACACATAAACAGATTCACATACACACATGCACACATGCATGCATGCACAGACACACACATGTGCATACACATGCATAGGTCATTCTCCTGTACCTTATAATCAATTCATGTTTTTTAAACCAAGCTTAATAAAAATTCGGAAAAGCTCTGTGAGTTATTATACAGATCTCTCTAAAACCTATTAAAAACGAAAAACTACAAAGTAAAAAAATATATATCTAGTAAAATTTTATGTTCAGAAAAGCCCATGTAAACAAAATTATGTATTATATATACACATTTCCATATATAAATATGTATACACATATGTACATATTATATACACAAATTTTCATATAAGTAAACATAGATATATGCATATGTATATATAATTTCCAACGAAAACTCTGGAAATGCTGTACTTAAAATTCTGGAAAGACATACACCACAATGCAGCATGGTTACCTTTGAGCAGTCTGGAATTTAAGAGGGGCTGGTCACTGGGGAGTATGCAGCATAGTACTTCACAACAGGGGTATACGGTTAGTGTAACCATTCCCTTGAAGATGAATGTCAAGGTACTTTTCTGCCATACTGTAATTCTAAGTACAAAGATACAACAGAAAGTCGTGTGACTACCTTGTTTTTTTCCCATGTGAATATGTCTTAAGATTTGATACCGAGAAGTGGAGATGATGGACAAAAAGAGAAGCACATTGATCATGTCAGCAAATATTACCAAGTTGTCCTTTGAAGGTTGAACCAATCTGTCATGCAAGAAATGACAGTGCCTGTTTCCCTATATTGTGAACAAAATTTGATGGTGCATTTTTATATTTTTCAATTTTGCAAATGATGTGGGTAAAAAATTATGTCCCAGTGTTGTAGTTTCCAAACATCCAATTCTCAGGGAGTGGGTCAGACTCTGTGTTGGAAGTGTTTGGATTTCCTGTCCTCTGAATTCCCTATCTCCACACTTGGCCCCTAGGTCTATTGGATTTTTGTGGTTATGCGTATTTGTAGGTTTTAAAGTAAACTTTAAATATTAATCCTTTATTTTATACACATATCAAATATTTTTAAAGTTTTAATACGTATTTCAATTTTATAGTGACTTTGTCTTATTCAAGCATGTTTTCTTGTTATCAAATTAACATTTGTTTCCTTTATGATTTTTACCATAAAGGGAAAAACTTTCATTTGTAATTTGTTTACAAGGGTCTTTTCTATCTCAGTGTTCTAAATGAATTTCTTTTATTTTCTTATAATATGTTTAAAGATTTGCCTTGTTTTATCTTTATCATTTTGATGTTTCTATAATTTATTTTTGTGACTCCTTTATTCATCATTGACTTGAAATACAATGTTTATGATAAACTGCATATATATGAAATTATGTATCTGTATTAATACATGTATTGTGTTTCAATGACTGACTTGCCTATTTAGAATATCAATCCTATAGTATTCTAATTATTCTGGGTTTATAATATGCCTTGCTACTTGGTAAGACAATTTTTTGTACTGCGTTTTACATGTCTTTAATTATTCTTGAGAATTTTCTTTAGATAAGTTTATAATTAAGTTAGCAAGATCTATAAAAGTATTTCTTTTAAGTTGTTTGCAAAAAAGTTGTATTGTAATTATAATTTAATATTTTGTTTTTATATTATAATTATGGAAGGATTGTTCTCTTTTTGCTGTTGTATCTGCCCGAATGGGAAGACCATATATCTCTCATGTATTCAGGGTGCAGGCAACTTTTATAAAGCTTAATATCTTTTCAGTGAAAATCTTTCAACATTTCCTGCTAACATTTCTTTTAGATATTTTGCAGGCTTTTTCAGTAGCTATTGTTTGCAGGACTGTTATCTTCTCCTTACCATGTTTACATGGCTATTCCTTTACAAAAGGACACTTCCTCTTCCACAGCTGCTAATCCACCACAGCTGAGAGTCTTAATGGGTAGATAATCAAAGTCACTACTATAGGGCACTGGGACATGACTACACGAGAACCTATTGGAAAGCATATAGAAGGTCTACTATTATTGGCTCTTAAATGACAAAAGTCTGAGTTCATACATGTGGTTTAAACCAAAGATGCACTGGGAAAGAAAAGGTTATTATTTTGGCACTAGAAGCATTTCACTTCTTCCAGGAGTAAACTACAAACGCTCTGTATATAAAGAAATTATCATCAGAATAAACAGACAACTTACAGAATGGGAGATAATATTTGCAAACTATGCATCTAACAAAGGTCTAATTTCCAGAATCTATAAGGCACTAAAACAACTTAACAAGAATAAAACAAATAACTCTATTAAAGAGTGGGCAAAGAACAGGAACTGACACTTCTGAGAAGACCTGTAAGTTCCCAAAGAGCATATGAAAAAATGTTCAGTATCATTAATCATCAGAGAAACGCAAATCAAAACCACAATGAGATACCATCTCACTCCAGTCAGAATGGCTTTTGTTTAAAAGTTAAAAAATAACAGATGTTGGCAAGGCTGTGAAGAAAAGGAAATGCTTATACACAGTTGGTGGGAATGTAAATCAGTTCAGCCAATGTGGAAAGCAGTTTGGAGCTTTCTCAAAGAAGGAAAAATAGAAGCACCATTTCACTCAGCAATCCTATTACAGGGGATATGCTCAAAGAAAAAAAACAGTTCTACCGAAAAGACCAGTGGACTGATACGACTGATATGTTTATTGCAGCACTATTCACAATAGCAAAGAGAAGGAATCAAGCTAGGTGCTCATCAATGGTAGATTGGATAAAGACAATGTGGCACATATACACCATGAAATACTGCACAGCCATTAGAAAGAATGAAATCATGCCCTTACCCTTTTCAGCAACATGGATACATCTGGAGGCCATTATCCTAAGTGAATTAACACAGAAACCGCCAACAAAATATTGCATGTTCCAGTGGGAGCTAAACCTTGAGTATACAGGGACACAAAGATGGAAACAGTAGACACTGGGGACTTCAAAAGAAGGAAGAAGGGGAAGGAAGTGGGGGAGGGCTGAAAAACTTCTTAGTGAGTACTGTGTTCACTATCTGGGTGACGTGATCAACAGAAGCCTAACTCTCAGCATCATGCAATATATGCCTATAATAAAACTGCAAACATAGCCCCTAATTTATTATTTGGGTGTGTGTCCCTGCCCAAGTCACAAGTCGAATTGTAATCCCTAGTGTTGGAAGTGGGGCCTGGTGGGAGGTGATTGGATGATGGGGACAGAGTTCTCATGAATGGGTTAGCACCATCCTCCCTTGGTGCTGTTTAGTGAGTGAGTTCTCATGAGATCTGGTTGTTTAAAAGCCTGTGTCATGCATCCCCCACCCCCCTTCATCCTCCTCCTCCAACCATGTAAGATGTGCCTGCTTCCCCTTTTCCTTCAACTATGATTGAAAGTTACCTGAGGCCTCTCCAGTAGCTGAGCAGATGCTGTCATGCCTTCTGTACAGCCTGGAGAACGCTGAGCCAATTAAACCTATGTTCCTTTTAAGGTACCCATTCTCAGGTATTTCTTTTTTTTTTTTAATACATTAAGTTCTAGGGTACATGTGCACAATGTGCAGGTTTGTTACATATGTGTACATGTGACGTATTGGTTTGCTGCACCCATTAACTCGTCATTTACATTAGGTATTTCTCCTAATGCTATCCCTCCCGCATTCCCCTACTGCATGACAGGCCCCAGTGTGTGATGTTCCCCTTCCTGTGTCCAAGTGTTCTCATTGTTCAATTCCCACCTATGACTGAGAACATGTGGTGTTTGGTTTTCTGTCCTTGCGACAGTTTGCTGAGAACGATCATTTCCAGCTTCATCCATGTCCCTACAAAGGGACCTTTTTTATGGCTCATCCTTTTTTATAGCTGCAGAGTATTCTATGGTGTATATGTGCCACATTTTCTTAATCCAGTCTATTATTGATGGACATTTGGGTTGGTTCCAAGTCTTTGCTATTGTGAATAGTGCTGCAATAAACACACGTGTGCATGTGTCTTTGTAGTAGCATGATTTATAAATCATTGGGTATATACCCAGTAATGGGATTGCTGGGCCAAATGGTATTTCTAGTTCTAGATCCTTGAGGAATTGCCACACTGTCTTCCACAATGGCTGAACTAGTTTACACTCCCACCAACAGTGTAAAAGCGTTCCTACTTCTCCACATCCTCTCTAGCACCTGTTGTTTCCTGACTTTTTAATGATCGCCATTCTAACTGGTGTGAGATGATATCTCATTGTGGTTTTGATTTGCATTTATCTGATGACCAGTGATGATGAGCATTTTTTCATGTGTCTGTTGGCTGCATAACTGTCTTCTTTTGAGAAGTGTCTGTTCATATCCTTTGCCCACTTTTTGATGGGATTGTTTGATTTTTTCTTGTAAATTTGTTTAAATTCTTTGTAGATTTTGGATATTAGCCCTTTGTCAGATGTGTAGATCGAAAAAATTTTCTCCCATTCTGTAGGTTGCCTCTTCACTCTGATGGTAGTTTCTTTTGCTGTGGAGAAGCTCTTTAGTTTAATTAGATCCCATTTGTCAATTTTGGCTTCTGTTGCCATTGCTTTTGGTGTTTTAGTCATGAAGTCCTTGCCCATGCCTATGTCCTGAATGGTATTGCCTAGGTTTTCCTCTAGAGTTTTTATGATTTTAGGTCTAACATTTAAGTCTTTAATCCCTCCTGAATTAATGTTTGTATAAGGTGTAAGGAAGGGATCCAGTTTCAGCTTTCTACATATGACTAGCCAGTTTTCCCAGCACCATTTACTAAATAGGGAATCCTTTCCCCACTTCTTGTTTTTGTCAGGTTTGTCAAAGATCAGATGGTTGTAGATGTGTGGTGTTATTTCTGAGGCCTCTGTTCTGTTCCATTGGTCTATATCTCTATTTTGGTACCAGTACCATGCTGTGTTGGTTACTGTTGCCTTGTAGTATAGTTTGAAGTCAGGTAGCATGATGCCTCCAGCTTTGTTCTTTTTGATTAGGATTGTCTTGGCAATGTGGGCTGTTTTTTGGTTCTATGTGAACTTTCAAGTAGTTTTTTCCAATTCTGTGAAGAAAGTCATTGGTAGCTTGATGGGGATGACATTGAATCTGTAAATTACCTTGGGCAGTATGACCATTTTCATGGTATTGATTCATCCTATTGATGAGCATGAAATTTTCTTCCATTTGTTTGTGTCCTCTTTTATTTCATTGAGCAGTGGTTTGTAGTTCTCCTTGAAGAGGTCCTTCACATCCCTTGTAAGTTGGATTCCTAGGTATTTTATTCTCTTTTTAGCAATTGTGAATTGGAGTTCACTCATGATTTGCCTGTTTGTCTGTTATTGGTGTATGGGAATGCTTGTGATTTTTGCATATTGATTTTGTATCCTGAGACTTTGCTGAAGTTGCCTATCAGCTTAAGGAAATTTTGGGCTGAGACGATGGGGTTTTCTAAATATATAATAATGTCCTCTGCAAACAGGGACAATTTGACTTCCTGTTTTCCTAACTGAATACCCTTTATTTCTTTCTCTTGCATGATTGCCCTGGCCAGAACTTCCAACACTATGTTGAATAGGAGTGGTGAGAGAGGGCATCCCTGTCTTGTGCCAGTTTTCAGCGGGAATGCTTCCAGTTTTTGCCTGTTCAGTATGATACTGGCTGTGGGTTTATCATAAATAGCTCATATTATTTTGAGATATGTTCCATCAATACCTAGTTTATTGAGAGTTTTTAGTGTGAAGGATTGTTGAATTTTGTCAAAGCCTTTCCTGCATCTATTGAGATAATCATGTGGTTTTTGTCTTTGGTTCTGTTTATGTGATGGATTACGCTTATTGATTTGCTTGTGTTGAACCAGCCTTGCATCCCAGGGATGAAGCCAACTTGATCTTCGTGGATAAGCTTTTTGATGTGCTGCTGGATTTGGTTTGCCAGTATTTTATTGAGGATTTTCGCATCGATGTTCATCAGGGATATTGGTGTAAAATTCTCTTTTTTTGTTGTGTCTCTGCCAGGTTTTGGTAAGAGGATGATGCTGGCCTCATAAAATGAGTTAGGGAGGATTCCCTCTTTTTCTATTTATTGGAATGGTTTCAGAAGGAATGGTACCAGCTTCCCTTTTTACCCCTGGTAGAATTCGATTGTGAATCCATCTGATCCTGGACATTTTTTGTTTTTTAGGCTATTAATTATTGCCTCAATATCAGAGTCTGTTATTGATCTATTCAGTGATTCAACTTCTTCCTGGTTTAGTCTTGGGAGTGTGTATTTATCCATTTCTTCTGGATTTTCCAGTTTATTTGCGTAGTGGTGTTTATAGTATTCTCTGATGGTAGTTTGTATTTCTGTGGGATCGGTGTTGATATCCCCTTTATCATTTTTTATTGCGTCTATTTGATTCTTCTGTCTTCTTTATTAGTATAGCAGTGTGAGAACACACCAATACACCAACCCCTCAATCTAAACGTAAAATAAGATAAATCTGTGTTTGGTCACCTGGTGTATGCCTCAAAGAATATCATTTAGTTTCAGTATCATTAATTTTATTACAAGACTATTATGTGTAGTCTTTCTATATTTCTGTTTTCTTTCCTCAATATTGGTACAACATTTAATTCACACCATTGCTTATAGCTGTAGCAAATTTCTTTTCAGGACTGTTTAATATTCTACAGTGTGAATCCATTATCCTGTCGATATCTGAATTGTCCCAAGTTTGCTCTTATGAACAGCCACTTGAATATTCTCAACTCCTAGAAAGATGAGCTACACTTCCATGAATATAATTGCTGGGTCATAGAGTGTATAAATTTTCAACTTTTATATAGAAAATCCAGGGAATTGCCAGTGTATTGCAAATACCCTTTAAATATATTTATGCCGAATTATATTCATATCAGCTATCCATAAGAGATCACATGAATGCAAATTATGCCTAAGATTTGAGATTTGTATGCTTCATAATTTAACAGAATATTTAACAGAATCCTTCTAAAAATATTAGATGTTCAGTGCTTAAGTGCTCAATATTTTAAACAGTCAGTCTAAGTTCCACAGTATTCTTTACTGTTTTGAACCTACAGTAGAAACTTCATGTTTCAATTTCATCACTATTTAAAATCAAATTTTAAACACGTTAACAGAGATTTTGAATTTGTTTCATTGATGACATTCACCCTTTGAAAACGTCAACATAAAATGTTACATTTGATTTTTTTTTTAAATGTGTTTTGGTTCTGTCAGTTTCAGGACTATGCCAAATGTCATGCTGAGGTCCGAAGGGAGTGGGTGGATGAGCAGAAAGAACAGCCAGGGAGCCGTGGGCAGGTGAAAGGTGATTTTATTCAGCAGCAGCAGCTCTCATCAACAGCTTTCTCGCACTGCCCTGTCTCAGCTGCTTAGTCCAGCTTCCACACACAGCTGCACAGCCGGCTCCCCTTGCCTTCAGGGTCAGCAGCTTAACTCTTTACCTGTCTGGGCACAAGCAAGCTGAGCTGTGTCCTGGCTCCCCTCTGTCTGTCTGCAAAGACGGACAAATTTGGCTTTCTCTCTTTCTCTGGATGCAAGAGCACCTGCACAAGAGACATGTCCAGCCACGTTGAGTCAAGCTGAGCCCCAAGAGGCCCTATACAGTGTTAGCAGGGCAATTATACCTTTTACAGACAGTAATGGCTCAGAGCCAAGTATGAACTTACACAAACAGGTTATATAACAAGTGGAAGCATGCGCCTGTGCGCTAAACTCGCTGAGCCCTGCAGACCTGGATACCTGCCTCAGTCTATTCTTTGACCAAAGCACATCCATGTACCTTACAGGTTCTGTGAGAAAATTATATTTGTGCTCACACTTAACCTGAAAACAGCCAATGGAATTTAATAGAAAACATTTGAAACATATTGCCTAATATTATTAATATCTTTGAGGAATCTACCCAAAAAAATCATGCTCTAATAAAGTTCTTGGCTTGCATGGCATGGTCCACACTTTTTGAAAGATACTGTTTGAATACACTTTAATTTTCAAAGCTTTCATATGATGCACCATTTCTGCAATAATAACTGCTATTATTTTCACAGCTATAGAAGATATTCTTTATTTTTGCTAAAATATTATATTTGTCTGATGTGGTTTTGTTGTATCCTCACCCAAAATGTCTCTTGAATTGTAATCCCCATAATCTCCACATGTCAAGGGAGAGAACAGGTGGAGATAATTGAATTATGGAGGCAGCTTTTCCCATGCTGTTCTTATGATAGTGAGTTCTTACAAGATCTGATGGGTTTTTTTTGTGTTTTACTGTTTGTTTGTTTTTGTTTTGAAATGGAGTTTCACTCTTGTCACCCAGGCTGGAGTGCAATGGCGCGATCTTGGCTCACTGCAATCTCTGCCTCCCAGGTTCAAGCGATTCTCCTGCCTCAGCCTCCCAAGTAGCTGGGATTACAGGCATGCACCATCATGCTGAGCTAATTTTGTATTTTTACTAGAGATGGGGTTTCACCATGTTGGTCAGTCTGGTCTCGAACTCCTGACCTCCAGTGATCCACCCACCTTGACCTCCCACAGTCCTGGGATTACAGGTGTGAGACACAGCTCCCGGCCCAAGATCTGATGGTTTTATAAGGGGCTTCCCCCTTCACTCTGCGCTCACTCCATCCTACCACCCTGTGAAAAAGGTGCCTGCTTCTCCCTTGCCTGTCACCATGATTGTAGGTTTCCTGAGGCCTCCCCTGCAATGAGGAACTGTGAATCAATGAAACATCTTTCCTTTATAAATTTCCCAGTCTCAGGTATTTCTTTGTAGCAGTGTACAATGGACTAAAACATCATCAATGTATTAAAATGAAACAATTTGAGCTTGTTCTGCTATTGTTTTTGTGACAAGTGTTTTTATAAAAGTATATGCATGCTGCTTGTATTTAACTTGAGACTATCACACTAAAACAAGCAAAGTGGGTGAGTGAGATTCCCTCTTCCCAGATCACATATGGATTTATTGTCAAGCATTACAGAATGTCGTCTCAAATCAGGTGGCCACAGAGAGGAGAAGCAGATGCCACATTGCAGGGCAGCTATGCCTGGTCTTGGAGGCCCTGAGGGATGCACTCAGCAATGAAACTCTTGGAGCAGGGGAAGGTTTGAGGATATCTGGGAATCTCCAAGCTCACTGCAGCATGGGGGTTTTTGACTCAGGTTTTCAGTCTTCACTGAAGAAGAACTTCCAGAAACCACTCCTGCACTTCATTTAGAAGAAGGTTTGCTAACATTGGTATCTTTTGGGATCCCCAAAGTTTATCCTCATTAACAAGAAAAAATAGAGCCCCTATCCCGGTGTCCTTGAACACAGCAGTTGATACTCATACTATTGTCTTTCCAATTTATTCCCTAATTTATAAACAAATTATTGTAACTCTTTTGTATGCCTTAGCCAAAAAATTAAATAGCTTTGGAAGAGAACTGGAGAATTGCCAGTCTCAGAAATATATTTATTATAGAACAGAATAGGAGTCAAGGGGATGGGTTTCTAAATGAGAAAAAATTTGCCCTTGTGTTAACGAATGAGTATGAAATCTATAGATATTCATCTATTTTTACCCAAGAAGACAGATTGTTTTTAAATCTGGGAAATTAAGACAATGTGAATAACAACAAAAAATACATGTAGATAAAAGCTAAAGTTAGAAACATGCTCTTCAGATGACAAAAATCCAAATATTTTTACTGAGAACTCAACTCATTCATATGCACACACACAAAAACAACGAATTGAATTTCAGAGTATAGTAGGTTGAATAGTGGCCTCCCAAAAGATATGCTTACATCCTAATTTATTTTTAGTGTTAACTATATCCTAGGTATTATTCCAAGTAATTATATGTGCGTGCACACACACACACACACACACACACACAGAGGGAGAGAGAGAGAGAGAATTAAAGTAATTGGCTTATATGTTTATGGGGGCTGGCAAGTCTGAAATTTGTAGGGCACACTCCCAGCCTGAAAATTCAGAAAAGGGTTGATGTTCCAGTCTTGAGACTAATATCTGCAGAGCAGCAGTCTGGAAAATTAGGCAGAGTTTCTATGTTGCAGTCTTGAGGTAGAATTTCTTCTTCTTCCAGCAACCTTTGTTCTTAAGGCCTTCAGCTGATTGGATGAGGCCCACCCATATTGCAGAGGGTAATCCGCTTTCTCAAAGTCTAGGAATCACATCTGAAAATAACTTCACAGTAACATCTAGAATGGTATTTGACCAAACAACTGTGCCACCTGGCCTAGTCAAATTGACACATATAATTAACCATCCCTAAAAGGTTAAATGATTTTTCCCAAGGTTACACAGCTGGGAAGTGCCTGAGCTGGACTTAGCCAGAAAGATCTCCACAGATACTACCCATTCAGACACTGCACTAACCTAGTCTGTAGTTACACATTGTGTATAGGTGAATTTCCTTATTTCTGTCTTTGGAAATTAAATTTCAAATGCCAAAGGAAACATTTAAAAAGCAACACTTAATGTTAAACCCCAAAAATAAAATGTGAGCTACTTTATGAACATGTATAAAGTTAAAAGAAATTCTTACTCCAACAATTTCTCAGTAGCAGCTGGCAGCTCACTCTATACTGTGAAGCATGGCTAGAATACAGGTTTTCTTCAATTAAAGAAGTGTCAACCTTCTGCATATAGCCAGCCGATATCCCCAGCACATTTTATTGAACAGGGTGTCCTTTCCCCATTGTTTATTTTTTACTTTACAGAAGATCGGTTGATTGTGGGTATGTGGCTTTATTTTGGAGTTCTCTATTCTGTTCCATTAACCTATCTGTCTTTGTAGGAGTACCATGTTGTTTCAGTTATCATTGCCTTATAGTATAATTTGAAGTCAGGCAATGTGATGCCTCTGGACTAAATTCCTATCTTTCACAATCTACAAAAATGAACTCGAGATGAATTAACAACCTAGACATAAGACCTGAAACTATAAAAATCCTAGAAGAAAACCTAGGAAAAATTATTCTGAACATCAGCCTAAACACATAATTTATAATAAAAGACCTCTAAAGCAAATGCTATGAAAACAAAAATAGGCAAGTGAGATTTGATTAAACATAAAATCTTCTGCACAGAAAAATAAATAATAAACAGAATAAACAGGCAATCTACAGAATGGGAGAAAATATTTGCAAGTTGTGCCCCTGACAAAGGACTAAAATCCAGAATCTACAAGTAATTCAAATGACTCAACAAGATAAAAAACAACACCATTAAAAACTGGTCAAAGGACATGAACAGAAATACAAAAGAAGAAATGCAAGTGGTCAATAAATGTGAAAAAAATGCTCAGTATCAATAATCATCAAAGAAATACAAATTAAAACAACACTGAAATATCATCTTAGATCAGTCGGAATGGCTATTACTAAAATGTCAAAAAACAACAGATGTTGGCATAAGTGCAGAGAAAACACTTATACTCTCTTGGTAGGAATGTAAATCAGTCCAACCTCTATAGACAGCAGTATGGAGATATCTCAAATAATTAAAAATAGAACTACCATTGGACCCAACAGTTGCACTACTGGGTATCTATACAAGGGAAAATATCATTCTATAAAAATGAATATACATTTTTATGTTTATTGCAGCACTATTCACAATAGCAAAGTCATGGACCCAACCTATATGTCCATTAATGGTCAATCGAATAAAGAAAATATGGTATATATACACTATGCCATATATACTATTCATAAAAAAGAATGAAATCATATATTTTTCAGCAACATGGATGGAACTGGAGGCCATTATCCTAAGTGGACTAATTGAGAAGCAGAAAATCAAATATGGCATGTCCCCATGTATAAGTGGGAGCTAAACAGTGGATACACATGGATGTAAAGATAGAAATAATAGACATTGGGAAGTCCAAAAAGAAAGGAAAAATTGGGGGAGGATGAGGGTTGAAAAATTACTTATTGGGTACACTGGTATCACTGGTTTATATGGGGTATCACTGGTTTATGTATTCACAAGGTTTTGCACCCATCACCATTAATTTCAGAATATTTTTATTACCACTTAAAGAAACTGCTTACCCATTGGCAGTCTTCCTTTGCCCCTCCCTCCCACTCCTTAACACTAATTGCTTTTTTCTGTATAGAATTGCCTTTTCTAGACATTCTATATAACGGGAATCATACAAACTGTGACCTACTGTGTCTGACTTCTTTTATTTAGCAGAATGTTTTAAAGGTATACCCCTGTAGTCGCATATATAGGTACTTCATTGCTTTTTGTGGGTGAATAACGTTTTATTGCATGTATGTACCATATTTCGCTTATCTGTTTATCAGTTTATAATTTGGATTGTTTCCATTTTTAGACTATTGTGAATAATGCTATGAAAATTTGTGTACAAGATTGTGTATGGGCTGTTTTCAATGATCTCGTATATAGAACTGAGAGTGGAATTGATCTGTTATACTGTAACTGTATGTATAACTTTTTGTGGCATTACCAGAGTGTTTGCCAAATTATTGGTGGCTGTTGGCATCCATTGGCTTATGGCCACATCACTCCAGTCACTGCTTCTGTCTTCACATCTCCTACTTTGGTAATCTATGTGTGTGTGACCCCTTTCCGCCTCTCATAAAGACGTTTTCCATGGCATTTAGTACGCATTGGGATAATTAAGGATGATCTCCTCATCTTAAAGTTCTTAATTATATCTGCATAAACTTTACCATATAAGGTGATATTAAAACGTGGACATATCTTTGGGCGTAATTATCTGTGTACCATAGTGTCTTTCTAGGAATTTGTTCATTTCATCTCTATTATCAAGTTTCTTGGCCTACAACTATTCAAAATATTGCCTTAAATCTTCTTTAAAAAGATTTGAAAGTCAGTAGTAATGTTTCCTCTTTCATTCCTGATTTTAGTAATTTGAACATATCAATTACAATCATCTTTGCTAGTTTTCTTATTGCTTATGTGAAGGAGTAGATATTGGAAGGTCATTACTTTGCCATGACAGAACTGGTTCTTACTAGCTGTTTTTTCAATGTGAGATACATTCAGTAATTTTAATACAATCTCCCTTATGGATCTCAGATGAAGAGTAAAAGAGATCATTTTCTGTATGATTGTACATTACATTCACCTTTTGAACAACGGCAGGTGAAATGTTCGTGGCCTGTGTTTACAGAGGTGCTATCACCTTTGAAAAACTTTGAAAATCTGAAAAACATACAGCTCAATATTTTTCTTCAGTTCTCTCCCGCAGGATAAAACTCTCGGTAATTGTTTTTTTCTATGCCTGCTTTCTTTTCTCCTTAGCTGGGAAAGCATTTTGTCAAAATTGTTGCAAAATATCTGAATTCTGGAAAAAAAGAAAATGCCATATAATATTTTTATAACGTAAAAGAAACCAAAATAGGCTTTATATCTACAGAGACACTGTTAGAATTTCATAGGGAAAAATTAAATAGCCTGAGCCATTATTCTTTTTAAGTTCAGCTATTAGCAAGATATTGAATAGATATTATGACTTTCTGTACCACAAAATATATGCTTTGTTTATAAAGGTTTAAACATCTGTTTTTAATCAAAATTATGGTTATTTTTCTTCTGCATAATTTATGACAATTCTTTGTGAGTAACTCATTCTGATTATCATAGGGCCAGTGATAGTTCAACACTAAAAAGTCAGCTTGGAAAAATTTAGCTAATTTCACATTTTAATTTAAAGTTAACCCTTGAGCTTATCTCACTTAATTCGTTGCATCTGTACAAAGAATCTCAGCCTGGGGTATCTAATCCCAGTTTGGGTCTTAGCTATTGTGTCTTCAGGATATTAAAGCCACTTTCGTAGTACATTTTACTTCAGCTGGAGTTTTTTACAACTTAGATGGAACTTAGCTTTATTGAGGGTAGACCTTAAACACTCTTTACACTGAGTTTTATTAGCTCGTGTTAACTGTATGGCTGCGGTGGCTGGCATGAAATTAACCAACCCTAAATATTAGTATGACTTAGTCAAACTTTCTTTTATTGCTAAAGATTTATCACTGCTGTTTGCTGTGGGGGTGTGGTTGAGCAAAGCGTTTTGAGTTGCATTTGTGCGTGCTTGATACCTGCTCCTTTTGATCCGGGTGATCTAGAGGACATTTTCACTGGGGTGGGGATGCATGCATGTGTAATCCTACGAGTTAATAAAAAGGCCACGACCAAACCTATTTGTTTATAGGGTTGTGTGGACCCATCTAGACATTTTCAGTGCCTTGCTCTGAATGAATAACTGTATTAACTGCATAGAATTCTTTTTTTGTTTGTCTGTTTTTTGTTGTTGTTGTTTTGTTTTTTAATCGGAGTCTCGCTCTGTCGCCCAGGCTGGAGTGCTGTGGCGCGATCTCGGCTCACTGCAACCTCCGCCTCCTGGGTTCACGCCATTCTCCTGCCTCAGCCTCCCGAGTAGCTGGGACTACAGGCGCCTGTCACCATGCCCAGCTAATTTTTTGTATTTTTAGTAGAGACAGGGTTTCACCATGTTAGCCAGGATGGTCTCGCTCTCCTGACCTCGTGATCTGCCCGCCTCGGTCTCCCAAAGAACTGCATAGAATTCTTAAGTGGAAAATTAAAATATAAGAAAGAAAGAAATAAGTATAGTTATTAACAGTTCTGGGAATTCAGGGTCTTTGAAGTCGAATTGGCAGAGGTTTGGCTGAGAGGATTTCTTATAATTAGAATATGGTTTATTTAGGGTATGATATATTGGGGCAGTGCTTTCAGAGGAATATGCTCAAGATATTATATTAGTATTAGGGCAGATATTTAGTTATATTTATTACACAAAGGAGGATTTATTTGGTAGGAGGGTCTTAGAATTTTTTAGAAAATTACCTAAATCGAGGGGTAGCTATTGGGGTATTTGTGGTTAAAATATAATTTTTGAGCTCTGACTGGATTACTGTTTAGTCTCTTGTTTTTGGGGTTTGGCAAGGGTACGTTTACCTAGGTTGACGGTAAAGTCACAGATTGGGGAAAGGGGAATTTGCGGATTTAATTGGAAATAGTTCTTGAAATTGAGCATGCCTGTATGTGTGAGCATCTATTGATTAATTCTTATGTCTTTCAAGCATGAATTAATTAACACCTTATGGTTATTATGCCAGCCTGGAATATTCAATACAAGCTCAGCTTCTACAATTGATTTGGCAGGAATCAAATCCGAATTCGTCCACAGAGGATTGGTCAGGGACCAGGCCGTCCGCGATGCTGTGATAGCATCCCCCGAAGTTATAAATACCAACTGCATGATGGTGCTCCTGTGACTGGTTAATAGTGTGGTAGTCATTAGCCCATCGACATGTCTTATTTAAGGGGAACGTGTGGGCGATCTTAGTTCTATGGCCCTGAAGTAAGAACCAGATGCCAGGTATAGTTTCAGTATAGTCACCCCCAAGTGTCATGGGCCCGGAGCGAGGAGAGTAGTACTCCCGAGTGGGATGATGATTTCTTGGAGTTTAGTAGATTAAGAGACCAAAAATTGACAGTGGATATCCATGTTGACGAGGGACGTCTTGACTAAAATGTTCTGTGTCTGATGAACGAATGTATGTACTATGTAATATTAAGTATTTATAGTACGGGTCAATATCCATGTGGATTATATTTAGGTGTACAGTCGGTAATACTAGATTTATGACAGTTGATTAAGAAATTCCTAATACGTGCTTATATGTATGTGAGCTAGATTTATAATGTATTGTTATGTATGAATGTACTATGTACAATCAAGCAATTATAGTACTATATATTATTTATGGGGACTAGCAGTAATGCAGGAAGTACATACAAGCACTAATGTAATAGTGCTAATTGATTAGTAGTGACGTGGTAGTCAAAGTATGTGCAAGAAAGAATTCAGTGAATAGCTTAATTAGAATTTCAGCTTTGAGTGTTGACAGTGAAGCGGGACGCATTTTCCCTGAGATTTCCTGGGGAGGGGAGTCTCCACTTCTGGTTTATAAGACCAGAGTATTAAATTATACTACAAGGGCACCTTCATTTAAGTAGCTTATTTTCAATTAGGCCGGTGAGTAGTATAGGGGTGAGAATGGTAGAGAAGTACATAATAGATGCCATCTGTCCGACGACAATAAAAGGGTGTTTGACTGGCTGCCCTCCAATTCATGTGAGTGTAAATAGGTTGGCCACTAAGATTCAGAATAGCCATTTACTCAACAGTCGGAATATTATGCTTTGTTGTTTAGACGTGTGAAGCATGGGAATAACTGTTAGAATGAGAATGGAGAATACAAGGGCCAGTATGCCTCCTAGTTTGTGAGGGATGGATGGTAAGATTGCCTGTGCAAACAAAAAGTACCACTCTGGTTTAATGTGGGGTTGGGTACTGAGGGGGTTGGCTAAAGCGTAGTTATCTGGGTCACCCAGGAGGTCAGGCGAAAATAGTACTAGAGTTATTCGAAGGAGGAGGAGAAAAATTAAACCTAAAATATCTTTGATTGTGTGGTAGGGGTGGAAGGTAATTTTGCCTGGGTCTGATGAAACCCCTAAAGGGTTATTAGATCCTGTTTCATGTAGGAGTAAAAGGTGAACAGCTGCTAGGGCTGTAATGATGAAGGGTAAGATGAAATGGAAAGCAAAGAATCATGTAAGGGTGGCTTTGCCAACTGAGAATCCACCTCAGATTCAATGCCCAAGGTCAGTTCCAATATATGAAATCACTGATAGTAGATTTGTAACTACTGTAGTGCCTCAGAAAGATATCTGGCCTTATGGGAGCACGTAGCCTATGAATGCTGTTGCCATAGTTGTGAGTAGGAGGATAATGCCGATATTTCAGGTTTCTAGAAATGTAAATGATCCATAGTATAAACCTCAGCCAATGTGTAAGAAGAGGCAGATGAAAAATATGGAAGCGCCATTAGCATGAAAATAGCAGACCATTCAGCCGTAGTTTACATCTCGGCTAATATGAGCAACTGAAGAGAAGGAAGTTGAGGTGTCTGATGTGTAGTGCATGGCCAAAAACAGTCCAGTGATGATCTGGAGGGTTAGGCAAGCACCAAGAAGTGAGCCGAAGTTTCATCATATAGAAATGTTAAATGGTGTGGGAAGATCAATAAATGAGTAATTAATAATTTTTATTAGCGGGTATGTTTTGCAGATATTGGCCATTAGGGTTCTTATAGTTGAAATACAGAAATGACTTTTCATGTCATTAGTCATGGTTATAGTCCGTGTGGGAATAATGGCATATACTATATTTTTATTAAGTGTCTTTTTGACTATAGGGTTTGTAGGTTTCTCTTCGAAACCTTCTCCTATTTATGGAGGTCAAGGGCTTATTACTAGTGGTGCTGTGGGTTGTGGTATTGTGTTGAATTTTGGTGGGGCTTTCATGGGGTTGATAGTCTGTGTGGTTTATTTGGGTGGTATGATGGTTGTTTTTGGCTATACTATGACGATGGAAACTGAGGAGTATTCTGAAACATAAGGGTTAAATATTGACATCTGAGGAGATTTCTTATTAGGACTGTTAATGGAGTTGATGCTGGTTCTGTGATTAATTGAGCACGATGGAGTGGGGATCACGATTGCTTTTAATAGCATAGAGAGTTGGATGATTTTTGAGGGTGAGGGGGCAGGGTTATTGCGTGAAGATTCTCTGGGTGTGGCTGCCTTGTACAGTTATGGGTGCTGATTAGTGGTAGTTGCTGGTTGATCATTATTTTTTAGTATTTACGTTGCAATTGAAATTACTTAGGATAATAGATTAGATAATAATTGTCCCAGGTTTCAAGTAGGAATTCGAGCTCCAGTTTAGTGAATATTTCATTGATGATAATTTTCTATCTAATGAAACAAAATATTGGATGGTTCTTTAATACAAAACCTCCAGTTTCAAAATGGTTTTAATATTCAGACAAAATATGTTCTTAAATATTTCCTCAATGTAGACTACAATAATATCAAAGGATGCCATGAGATCCAGCCAGTGACGGTCACGAATGTGACTCCTTGTGACAGTGTGAGTTACTCCCACCCAGGAGGTATGTAGCAGATGCTCACTTGTAAAACTCTTACTTTTATTACTAGAGCCCACATGAGCCATGACTGAAGTCTGGGTAACTATGTACAGAAACATCTCCTGTAGCATAAGTTCCTGCAGTATTGTTTAGCCTGTTTTGATTCTGTATCTGCCTAACAAAATTCATCTAGGCAGCCAGCGTCTGAGAAAAATACCCTGGATGTAATGAACATGAGGCCAAATTAATAGAAATGTTCACAATGAAGAGCAATTTTTATAAAGAACATATCCCAAAGTTATTGAATGCTACTATTTCCCTTGAAGCCAGTGTGACACACTAGCATGCAGAATTTATATTTGTGGAGTTGTTATAAAAACATACATTGGCCCTTAAACATTGTGCTTGGGTCCAATTTATAGCTGAAACAAGAAAACACATTCTCTGCTATGGCTGAGATTAAAATCTCTCTTTAAGCCTGTAATAGAGTATAGCGTAGCTACACAGGAGTTTGGACACAATAAATTATAATATTTGAATGGTGTTAAACCATAAGTTTCTTTTCCAAAAGACTGACCAAAATCTTGTAATTACAAATTCTAATTGGTATTTTAAAATAATATAATGATTTATATTCCTTTGGTATATACCCAATAACAAGACTGCTGGGCCAAATGGTAGCTCTAATTTCCTTGAGAAATCACCAAACTGCTTTCTACAGTGGCCAAACAGCAATATTCACAATAGCAAAGAACATGGAATCAAGGTAAATGCCCATCAATGGCAGACTAGATAAAGAAAATGTGGTACATATACACCAAGGAACACTGCATAGCCATAAAACAAATGAGATAATGTATTTTGCAGCAACTTGGATGAGCTGGAGGCCATTAGCCTAAGCAAACTAATGCAGGAACAGAAAACCAAAGACTGCATGTGCTCACTTGTAAATGGGAGCTAAATATTGAGTACATATGGACACAAAGAAGGGAACAATGGATACCAGACCTAATTGAGGGTGGAGGGTAGGAGGAGGGTGAGGATTGAAAAACTACCTATTGGGTACTATGTTTATTAATTGGGTGATGAAATAATATGTCCAACAAACCCCCACGACACGCAGTTTATCTATAGAACCAACCTGTATATGTACCCCTCAAAACTAAAAGTTTAGAAATAAAATATACAATACAATACAATGTGTTTTTTTCAACCAGAAGTTCTTTAGCACATGGTAGAATTTTCTTTTTATTTTATTTTAATTTTTTTTATTATACTTGAAGTTCTAGGGTACATGTGCACAAAGTGCAGGTTTGTTACGTATGTATACACGTGCCATGTTGGTTTGCTGCACCCATTAACTCCTCGTTTACATTAGGTATTTCTCCTAATGCTATCCCTACCCCCTCCCCCCACCCCACGACAGGCCCTGGTGTGTGATGTTCCCCTTCCTGTGTCCAAGTGTTCTCATTGTTCAGTTCCCACCTATGAGTGAGAACATGCGGTGTTTGGTTTTCTGTCCTTGCGATAGTTTGCTCAGAATGATGGTTTCCAGCTTCATCCATGTCACTACAAAGGACTGAACTCATCCTTTTTTATGGCTGCGTAGTATTCCATGGTGTATATGTGCCACATTTTCTTAATCCAGTCTATCATTGATGGACATTTGGGTTGGTTCCAAGTCTTTGCTGTTGTGAATAGTGCTGCAATAAACATATGAGCACACGGTAGAATTTTCAATGCAGCCTGCATGCAGTGAGCCAGACTTAGCTCACCAGCATGTTCTATAGACTGGCTTCATTCTCAGGGGCTCCTCTCCACAACCCTGTCTCTGGTCTCTATGCCCCTTACTGAGCTACACAATCTGGGGGAAAAAAAAAACCCAAAAAACTCTATCCTTCATAATTTCCTGTTCCACATCTGTCATGTGGAGGTAATGAAATTCAATGCTGTACCTTGTAGGACTGACAAGAGAAGCAGATAGGATAACTTGGGGACAGGCACTTTGTAAACCCAACAACTTATCCCCCTGAACTTTCAGGAAATGTGTCTTTTCCTCTGATTCAGCACCCACTGTCTGGATTCATTGTAGGTCTCAGCAGTGGAAATGTTAGTGTTTTCCAAAAAACTGTAACCAATTTCAGATTCACATATCTCCTTCTTTCATACATAAAGGAGATTCACATATCTCCTTCTTTCATACGTATGTTTATATGTAGTCCTTAAAAGCTTTAGATATATCCAGCAGAAATAAATAATAATATATTTGGTTAAAAACAATGTACATCTTTACAAATAGCTTCGAATTTCAATTCTTTCAAAACAATAGTGGAAACAAAAGAGATATTAAATATTGAAGGAAAAATTCAACTATGATAATTTTATTTTCTTTAATATTTTCCTCAAAAGTTGGTGTTGACCTCTGGCTGTAGCATATATACCATCAAAAATTGTCAAATTTATCTTTACCGGCACCTCTAAAACTTATATTTACAATCAAAGTTCTCCATATTAACATGAATTAAATTTCTTCAGTTACCTGCCATTTGATACGGGATGTGAAACAGAATGAACACAAGGTGCTCTCGGGTCTACTGTGTGCATTCTGTGTTCAGAGTCCATCTGCACTGCTGACTGGCTGAATCATCCTGAGCAAGTCACCCAACCTTTCTGTGACGTTTTCTCAGCTGGGTCATGGGTCCGTGCTGGCTCATTTTAGGTGTGAACTTGACTGGATTAAGGAATACCTAGAGAACTGGCAAAGCATGACTTGTGTATGTGTATGTGTGTGTGTGTATGTGTGTGTGTCTGTGTGTGTGGTGTGTGTGTGTCTGTGTGTGTATGTGTGTGTCTGTGTGTGGTGTGTGTGTCTGTGTGTGTATGTGTGTCTGTGTGTGTGTGTGTCTGTGTGGTGTGTGTATGTGTGTGTATGTGTGTGTGGTGTGTGTATGTGTGTGTGTCTGCGTGTGTGGTGTGTGTATGTGCGTTTGTGTGTGTATGTGTGTGTTGTGTGTGTATGTGTGTGTGGTGTGTGTGTCTGTGTGTGTATGTGTGTGTGTGTGTCTGTGTGGTGTGTGTATGTGTGTGTGTCTGTGTGTATGTGTGTGGTGTGTGTGTGTATGTGTGTGTCTGTGTGTGTGATGTGTGTGTGTATGTGTGTGTGTCTGTGTGTGTGTCTGTGTGTGTGGTGTTTGTGACATGTTTCCAGAGGAGATTGACACGTAAGTCAGTGGATTAAGCAGGGAAGATACACTCTCAATATGGGCAGGTACCATACAATCAGCTGGGGAGCCCAAATAGAACAGAAAATGAGAGAAGAATTTTCTCTGTCTCTCTCCTGAAGCTGAGATACTCTCCTTATCTTCCCTTGAACATCAGAACTCCAGGTTTTACAGCCTGCAGACTCTGGGATTTACACCAGTGGCACCTTGGATCCTCAGGCCTTCAGTCTCAGAATGAGCATTATGCCGTTGGCTTCCCTGGTTCTGAGGCTTTCAGACTTAGACTGGGCCACGCTGTTGGTGTCCCTGGTTCTCCAGCTTGGAACTTCCCAGCTATAATTGTATGAGCCAGTTACCCTAATAAACCACCACTCTATCCATCTATCTATCTATCTAGCTATCTATCTATCTGTCTATCTATCATCTATCTAATCATCCATTCATTCTATCGGTTCTGTCTCTCTGGAGAACTCTGTCTAATACAGGGCGCTTTGCAGGCTGAATGAGTCAATATACCTGAAGCTGTGGGTCAGGGCTACTTTTGGAAAGCACAGGACACATGTTATTCAGATGAGTCTCTGGGGAGCTCGTCCCCACCCACCCAATGCTCCTATTCTTGTCTGCACATTAATCCTGAACACATGAACTTTCACCATATGTTCACCTTTTTGTATACTTTACTAGACTCAAGGCTTCATGGGAGTGGGGACTTTGAGTTTCTTCCCTTTGTCCTCACTCCATGTTGTGCAAAAAAAAAAAGCTCAGCAAAAGGTTATTTAACAAATGACTAAATGAGTGAGATTGTACCAGTAGAAACTTTCGATAGTCCCATAATCAAGAACAAACTTGTGGACCTAATGTTAAAAGTCCTCCACAATCTCTCTGCAGCCCACCTTACAAGCCAGGCTATGCCAATGAGACTTACTAACATCTAGTTTCATGACCAACTGAACTGCTCTTAGCTCTCACAACAGGCCTCATTTTTTCCTCCTTTGCTTATATTTTCCTTTCATTATCATGTATCTTATTCCAAAGCAGTTACTTAAATTTAGTAAAAATGCATAATGAAAAGAAACAGAATTATCATAAGCATAACGTTTGAAATTATTTTCTTATACTGTTTTAACCGTGCTTGGAATTCAGAGGTCATCAGCTGATCTCTTCCTACCAACCAGGAGGGCCTCCCCTCTTTTGTGTTGGGTTCTTTAGTTAGTAGATTCAGTTCATTCAGGACATCAGTGAAATTTTCTTCTAGTGTATTTCTGAGAAAATTTTCTAGTACATGGTGGAAAATAGTTCTTTTTTTTAAATTATACTTTAAGTTTTAGGGTACATGTGCACAACATGCAGGTTTGTTACATATGTATACATGTGCCATGTTGGTGTGCTGCACCCATTAACCCATCATTTAGCATTGGGTATATCTCCTAATGCTATCCCTCCCCCCTCCCCCCACCCCACAACAGTCCCCGGTGTGGAAAATAGTTCTTTTATTAAGGCTGTCTTATACTTTCCTCTAAATCAAACTCTGAGTAGATTGAAGTCTGTTTTTGTTTGTTTTGTGTGTTTATCTTCTGTTTGCACTCACTGTGATTGTCTCAGGTGAAACAAACAAAACAGACTGCTTGGCTGAGCCTGCCTAAGTGTCTGGCATTTGTCTCTGCCTTCTGCTCCCAACTCTTGCACTCCAATCACCAACTGAGGGTTGCATGGCCCCCATGCCTTTGAAGAGAACCTCCGACTCCACCTCTTTACGCATATCAGCTGCGTTCAGCCTGTGTGCTTTTGCTTAAGTCCTACTGTGCACATCCCTGCCTCCCTGGAAAGAGTAGCCAAGCCCTATGCAAACAGATGGTCACCACACAGCTCAAGAAACCAGGAGACCAAAGTCTTCTTGCCTTATACCTATGTAAACAGCACAATTTTAGATCACATTTGCTAATATTTGCTCACACAAAACTTTCAAAAGCAAAACCACCTGTCTGCCTCTCCACACAAGTTCAAGGTCAGACTACAAGGCAAGACTCCCAACAGGAACATCAATCACTGCAAAGGGATGTTGAGGGACACCATGATCCCAAGTCTGTCCACAAAGTCCTTCTCATGCCTACTTTCACATGTTCAGTCAGTCTTAGTGTGTGTTCCAGAGCTATTCTTTACTAGACTGTTATTTTTAATTATTGCAGTAAAATAAGATAGGATAGTTTTGGTAAATAGCCACAGTGTACACCCGTCTTTTCCATGGCTTCATCTGGTCATGTGTGGTATAGGTGTACCTAGGACAGAACACTCACTGTACACGTGGGTAGATCTGAGAGGTACTTAGACACAAATTCTCTCTTCAATTTGTACTTGATTTTCACAAACAATAAAATTCCATTTAATACCTGCATTTTTGCCTTTTAATCAACAGGTTTTATGGCAATTGTGTATGAAAAATAATTTTGCACCCCAGGAAATCAGAGCTAGAATCTAAGAACAGAACAGCTGGCATCTTGGGGTCATCTTAGAAAGTTTTCTCGGTAAATAACACTAGCAATGAACTAAATACCATTTGAGAAATGTATTCTTTACAATTCAACTTTGTTTATTTTTCTAAAAATGTGAAGTGAGAAACATACATGGAGACTCCTTGAATTTCAGGCCCATGTGTCACTTATATGTGGGTGCTCAGCCCCTGTCACTGTGTCTAAGTCACATGAGACATTCAGTAGAAATACTTTTATTTTAAAAATGCATTTCTCTGATGATTAGTGACCTTGAACATTTTTTCATATACCTGTTGGCTATTTGTATATTTTCTTTGAAGAAATGTCTATTCAAGTCTTTAGGCTAATTTTTAATTACTTGTTTCTTTTTTGCTGTGGAATTGCAGGAGTTTCTTATATATTTTGAATATTAGTCTTTTATCAATTGCATGGTTTGCAAATATTTTCTCCCTTCCATGGATTGCCTGTGCACTCAGCTGATTTTTTTCCTTTGCTGTGGCAGAAACTTTTTGGTTTGATGTAGTCCCCTTTTCCATTTTTGCTTTTGCTACCTGAGCTTTTTGTGTGACATCCATGAAATCACTGCCAATACCAATTTTAGAAATCTGTTCACCTATGTTTCCTTCTAGACTGTTAGTTTCAGATCTTATAATTAAAACCACAAAGACATTACCTCACACCTGTCAAAATGGCTATCATAGAAAAAGAGAGAGACACTAAATGTTCACAAGTATGTGAAGAAATTGGAAGCCTTTTACACTGTTGGTGAAAATGCAAAATGATGCAGCCACTATAGAAAAAAGTACAGGGATTCTTTAAAAAATTAAAAATAGAATTATCACATAATGCAGTCATCCCACTTCTGAGTATTTATCCAAAAGAATAGAAGTCAGGATCTTGAGGCGATATCAGCACTCCTGTTTATTGCAACATTATTCACAATAGTTGACCACTGAGAACAATGTAAATGTCTATCAATAGATGAATAAAGAAAATGTGATATATATATCTATATAGCTATAAATATATAGTTATATATACATAAATACACTGTATATATACAGTATAAAATATACTACATATGTGTGTGATACACACACGATGAAATATTATTCAGCCTTAAAAAAGAGAAATTCTGTAATATGTCATCATATGGATGCACCTTATGTACTTTATGCTAAGTAAAAAATGCCAGTCACAGAAAGACAAATACTGCTTGATTTAGCTTACATGAGGTAACTGAAGTAATCAAATTAGAATTAAAAAGTGGAATAAAGATCACCACTGCCTGGAGGTAGGGAGAAAAGGGGAGTTACTAATGAAAGGGTATAAAGTTTCAGTTAAACAAGATGAGTAAGTTCTAGCGCTCTGCTGTATGATGTCGTACCTATAGTCAACAGTACCGTATTATACCCTGAAAATATGAATATCTTTATTCTAAAAACTGAGATGATACCTCTTCCCATTCCCATATTCTCTGCCCAGTTTTTTATAATCTGATTATGTGTCTTTCTCTTTGTAAATAATATATATTTTTAAAATTATTTTATTCAGGTGGCTATTTTCTGATCCTAAAATACTCTGCGTAAATTTGGAACTAGTAAGTCTCTTTTGTTCCATAAGTGTTGATGGTTTTCTGGGAAAAAAAAAAATCTTTTCACATGCTTGCATGGATTAAACCACTTTGCCATATCCTTACTAAATCAGGTCCTTCTCCTGTAATCCACCTTATTAATCTGTGATCAATATTGGAGCTATTACATGTCTGCAACAGAAGTAAAATTGAGGTACATCAGCTGATTCATCAGGGACCCATTGTAATAATCCAGGAAGTCTAATGTTTAGATGAATGATCAAATACTTATTTTAGTTCAATTTAAATCATTTTTAATGGAATTTGATATAATTTAATAATAATGTTAGAAGCTGAAAGACAACCTGTTCTGTAGTTGGCATTCAAAACAAATTATTGAATGAATGAATATAAATAAATGTAAAATTACTACTCAAAATTCAAGAAGACTTTTTTAAATAAAAAAGTAGAATTTTAATAATACCCTAAATCACATTTTAGAATTATATATACACAGAATATTATTTTACTCAATGGAAATCTAGAAAAATGTAAATATGATCTATTTCATTTTAGAAATGACCTATACATTTATAATTTTTTCAGTATTAACTGGTTTTTCCAATACAGTTTATCTGTGGTAATAGTAGCCCTTTATAATACCAAGATAAAACTACAGAATTAATTGTTATTTGTCGAAAAAGGCAGCTATCAGAAAAAGAAACAGCATGTGGCAGCCTTCATAATTTAGAAGCTCACAGAACCACTTTAATGGAAAAACTACTCGTGCTAACAGGCCTAACAAACTGGACTAACATCCTTTTTTCTAACACTTCATTTAGCCCTGGGTCATGTTATAATGGTCAATTGACTTTGAACACTGAAGTTATTATACACTAAATATCCAGGGATTTTTTTTCCTGCTAAGTAGGTATTGATTATAAATTACTCTGAAGGTCAGAAAAAAAAGTGTACAACTCAGAAGTAATTGAAAAAAAAAACAACTACTTGAAGAAAGTAATCAATAGCACATGTGCTACCTACTGCTTTCCTAATCCCACAGGCAAAAATCAACATATGATCCACAAATTACAAGTTAACAATCAGTGAGCCTTATACTTAATGTTTGTAGCTTATGTTGTTTAAAAATCCATCTTGCCTCTATTTTTTTTATGCAAAAGCTTCTACATGGTTAAAAACCAGTTTTCATGGAGACAATGAACAAATGTTTACAGAATATTTCCAGATATGTAAAAACGTCTACATGACAAAAATGTTATAGGAATTCTAAAAAGAATGAAGGAATGAAGTCATTTTGAAAATTATTGTTCAAAATTGCCTTTGTTTTAATATGCATATACCAAAGTGCCTTTTCCTCATTCTACTTTTGCCTCTTTCCAACTTCTTCCTTTCTTATTCAAAAGTTTCCTTCCTGTGGCCAATTTTAATGCTCAATGTTAGAAAAGAGTTGAAGACAAAATAAACTTGCTAACTCTCATAACCTATGTTACCTTGAATGTAAGCTTACTTTATAAGCTATATGTTTGCAAACATACAACTAGTTGAGACTCTGGTTTCTACAGTTCATCCCTGCTGAAACATTTCTGAAATCCAAGGGTTTGACAAAAATGTAAACTTGCAACCTAGATAATAAAGAGGAGATCAGATAAGGAAAACATAATACAAGAATTAAAGAAAAATAGTAGTGATGCTTTTAAATTTTAGTTAGTTCTAAATGTATTTGAAAGATATATTAATTAAAATATGAACAAATAAATTTAAAATGCTAAAATATCTTGTGTGACACAATTCAATATGCAGGTTGTGAAATCATTGCCAGTGCTATTAATTTTCCTAGCAAACTGGCAAGAAGAAATGGTAGTTGTTGAGACTACATATTCCATTCTTCGCTTAGCTCTGGGAGCTGTGGTCCTGGTTTTCAAGAGACAGGTATATTGCATTAGTTTGTAAGAGCTGTCATCACAAAGTATTACAGACTGAGGGATATAAACAGCAGAAGTGTACTTGCTCATAGCTCTGGCGACTAGGTCAGAGATCAAGGTGTTGGCAAGGTTTGTTTCTCCTGAAGCCTTTCTGCTTGACTTACAGGTGCCTGCTGTTTCCTGCACCTTCGTATGATCTTCCCTGTGTGTCTGTGTCCTCCTAATCTCTTTTACTTATAAGGACACCAGTCATATTGGATTAGGGCTCATCCTAATAATGTCATTTACCTATTTGCCTCTTAAAGACGCTATCGCTAAATACAGTCACATTCTATAGTATTGGGGGTTAGGTCTTCAATATATGAATGGGGAGCATAATTCAGCCCGTAATATGTGGTAATATAATAATTTCTATAATTGTTTTTATATTTTGTATATATTTAAGATGTACAACATGATGCTTTGATATATTAGGTTGGTGCAGAAGTAATTGTTGTTTTGCATTACTCTTTTTTATTATTATTATACTTTAAGTTTTAGGGTACATATGTACAACGTGCAGGTTAGTTACATATGTATACATGTGCCATGTTGGTGTGCTGCACCCAGTAACTCGTCATTTAACATTAGATATACCTAATGTTTTGCATTACTTTTAATGGCAAAAACTGCAATTACTTTTGCACCAATGTAATACATAGCAAATTGATCAATAGTCAAATTAGCACAACCATTGCCTCCATAGCTACCTTATTTCTGTTAGTAAGGAAAAAGTAACTAAGGTCTACTACCTTAGCAAATTCCCAGTATACAATACAGATTGTTAACCATAGTCCCCATGGTATACATTAGAAATCAAGACTTATCCTGCATTACAGCAGCTTAGTACCCATAGAGCTACATCCCCCTGCCGCACCCCCATATCTCTGTTCTTGGCAACCACTGTTATACTCTTCTTATTACTTTTATTTCCTTTATATATATCATTGGTTATATAGAAATATGAAAAAGTCACTAATTTGAGTATGATGAAAATAGAACTCAATCTTTTGATAAGTTATTTTTAAAAAATCCAAACAGAACTATAATCTGCTCTGATATGGCTATGCATGGTTCTGACTAACTTTCATAAGGATAATAGCAAGTATTTAAAGATGGAACTTGTTTCTGAAATGTTCGTAGCATTGGTGACACCAACCATTTGTATTTTCATCCTTATTTATCAGCATAGCATCATATCACTTATTTATACCTTCTTAGTTCAATGAAGGATACAGGCTGGAAGCCACAGCCTGCAGTTCTAGTCACACTCACAAAAGCATACCAGAAATACAAAGTAGTGTTTCCAGAACATGGAATGTACATGGAATAATTAGAAACTAATGATTGTAACCCAACATGAGAAATGCTAAATTTCTGTGAAAACAGACTACACTATGGCCTTCCACCTTGTCATCAGCCTCCTGTGTGAAACTTCAGACACATTTCTTAATGCAGCCTCACTTTAGATGAGCAAGATTCTTGTGAAAGGAAAAGGCATGTCCCACACTCACCTGCCAGCAACATTCACTATTCCTGAATTACCAAAAAACCCACCTTCCATATTCTGGACTGTGGTATCAAACCTAAAAACAATATGAAGAATTAATATTTATAAACAAAAACAGCTTGGACTAACTGTGCATTGCAGCATAATTAAGTATACTTTTCTAAAACATTAAATATTTTGCAGATAATCAGTTACATGTGAAAATGTAAAAGATATCAACAGTTATGCCATACAATGCTAAAAAGTAAGTGCAAATACACATAAATCATGATTTCCAGTACTCAGTATTAATTTAAGGAAATATGAGAATTGGGAAAATAATTTTATAGACTGAGAAATACTTTTTCCTCTCAAACTTTCTAGACCATCAGAATGGGATTAATTTTTTATTTTCCTTGTTACCTAGAAGTCTTTAAAGATTTAATCTCTGTTGTTGTTTTTTTTTTCAGAAGATAGATTACTTGAGCAGTGAATTCAGACCAGGAAAACCAGCCCCTCACTTTATCTATCTATATTTCATTTCTGTCTGGATTGACACTGACACCTGTCCTTTCCATAACCACTGAAAATTCATTATTGAGACCTGCAAAGTCACATGTTTGAGTTTACACTGTCAGCCTCGAGAGACACTCTCTAGTGAATCCCATGACCTTCAAATGGCCAAAAAAAAAAAAGGATTCGTTTTTTATCTTCCTTCCACATCACCCCTAAAAAGGTGTCTTCCAAAATTAATCTAATTAAAGTTTAGAACCCATCACCAAAATGCCAAAACTGCAGTCTTCTGCAGTCTTCTAGAGTTCTCTAATCAATGGTTTGAGAATTAAAAATAAAACAACACAAAATATAAACAAATCTAAGAGGAAAAATGGAGAGTTAATGGGTGCAGCACACCAACATGGCACATGTATACATATGTAACAAACCTGCACATTGTGCACATGTACCCTAAAACTTAAAGTATGAAAAAAGAAAAAAAAAATCCTCTTGTTTAGATCTAATTCTCCTGTTGGCCTGAAATTTCCTTCTTTCAGGTCTTCACAGCATGTACTTCTGATCCTCATTGTGCCCTAATGAGAGCCCTTTGTTAAATTTCTGATTCCATTTTCAACCAAGGCTTATCTTATCACTGAACTGCACCCCTGTGGAGAAAGAGACATTTCCCACAGAGAGGGGCTCATCAAGTATCTATTGAACTCAAGTACTGGAATTGCTGTGGGTCTGATGGACAGATAATGACAGAGTTATCAGAACATAGAGAATACTTGTCTCACAGGGAGAATGGAACTTTGAGTCAATCCTCATAAGAAAGATGAAGCTGACATTACTCATGGCCTTTACTCTCTCTTCTCTATGGAATACCTCTACGCTGACACGAAGGCATTATAGAGAAGGTCGCCATCCGGCAGCCACCATCCAAGAGACATTTTGGCATACTAGCGTGAATCATTGACAGAAAAACAGGAGTCTTGTTTGTTATTTGTCTTCAGAAACTTTCTACAATCTTAGCAAACATACATTTTAATATAAAGTTAGGAAAGAATTGCAGACTCTAAGTGTAGTGCACATCTCTAAAATAGTTCACGGAAGAGCCACAGAGGGAGACTGTCTGGCACGGTGCTGAACAATGAGTCAAAGCTGGTAACGCAGTTGCTACCCGGTCCCTCATCCACCAGCTCTGATGTCTGAACATACTGTTCACCTGTCTGTTTCAAAGAGAGAGAACAACTCTCCAAAAGAATGGGTCATTTGACCAAAGCATTACTGAGAGGTAACTAATAGCAAAGTTGTTCTAGGATAGATGGAGTAAAAGGTTTTCATCAAAAGTTTCATTTTAAAACCTTACCCAGCAAATTTATGTTCTTATTGCAATTTGGTTTCTCACAATCAGATGCTGAGTTGGAGTCTGGGGTACAAATGGGAATTAGGAGTCCGACTTGTGAAAGAATGGGGCAGTAGCAGGATGGGGCAGGGGGAGAAGTTGATCTGTAGAAGATTGACAAAGTCTCAGCCAACCCAGCCAGGAACTCTGGAACAAGTAGTACTTTCAGGCCTAAATGGTGGACCTCCATGTAACTGCCTTCTTCAATCACCGGGGTTGCCCCAGAAAAGTAGACATGAGGCGAGGCTTATCTCCACAGCTGAGGCATAGCCTGAAGGAACTGGCTCCCACACTCTGCCATCCACACTCCTTGTAGCTGAGCAGCAAGTGCTTGCTTAAAGGAAGATCTAGGAGGTTGTATTAGTCAGCATTCTCCAAGAAGTAAAACCAACAGGACAGAAATAAAGACAGACAATAGATACATGTATAGACAGAGAGATAGAGATAGAGGGAAAGATAAAAAGATTTATTATAAGGTATTGGCTTATGTGATTATGGAGGCTGGGGAGTCCAAAACCTGCAGTGTGGGTCTGCAGGCTGAAGACCCAGCAGAGCCAATGGTGCAGATAAAATCCAGGAAGGCCAGTCTCTGTTATATTCAGGATATCAGCTGATTGAATGAGGCCCACCCACATTATGAAAGGCAATTTGCTTTACCCAAAGTTTACCAATTTAAATGTCACTCTCATCTAAAAGCACCCTCCAAATTGACATGGAAAATTAACCATCACAGAGGTTGGTGTTGATATCTGTATTGATCACATTCTTCCCAAACCCTTTTGCTAGGCATCCACATCTTATGTTGTCACCCTCTCACCTCATGGAGTGTTGAGATGTGTTGTCTCAACATCTTTAATACACAGAAAGTCACTTTTCTTCAAATTCCAAGTAGGTGACAACTGATGGGACACACCTGCCTAAGGCAATACAGAGGCCACACTGAACATTCTCTTTTGAGTCTCACCCCAACACCCCAAGAGGCGTATTGACACATTGTTTCCAAATGCTATGTCATTATTCTGAGATCTCTGATAAATTTGATACTTTCCATTCCCTTATAATTATGTGTAATTTTTGTAAAAAAATAAGCAGAACAAATAAGTAACTTCACTTCTGAATATAAGCCCCAGCCAAACCTCTCAGTCAAAAGCTGTTACAAGGACTCAGCAGTGGCAGGATGACTTGGACGTGCTGGGCAGAGCCTGCAGTTTCAGGGCACCTGCTTCAGCCAGTAGAAGGGCAGGGATCGCATTGCATCTTTGGCCAGCCGTGAAGTCCAGATGGACCATGGAGGTGATAAATTTTTAGAGTCACTTTGGAGTGTCACATGAATTTTAGGATATCAGGAGACTACAGGATTTCACATATTTGAAATATTATAATAAGGCAAAATCATTTCAGGTTTTTGAGACCAAAAATCATTCCTAACATCTGGAGTTCTTTTCACCACAGATCAGCCCAAATCTCAGATAGGCGCCTTCTATTGTCTGTAAGGATGCTCTCCTTCTCTCGTTCATCCCAAGGACAATTTTGTCTCTGACTCCCACATACGAACTGGGGCCACCAGGCACTTTTTCTTGAGGTGTATGTCCTTAACTCAATTAATTTTATGAGAAATCTCTAAGAAATATGTGTTCAAAGAATTCCTTAATCTTAGAGAAAGGAAATGAAAAGAACATCATGACCACATACCATTCAAAATAATAGATAAAAAATAGTAAATTTCATCATATACAGAGGTTAAGCTTCAGTTTCACCTTGGGATGATTTGGATCTGTCTCTCATCTACGTCCATTCTGAGAAGTCGAGAACCTGAGGGGCAATCAGAAATAAATAGAGTGACCCAAAATACATTTTAAGGCATTAATTGTTGAAGGGAATATAGTCTTGAGTAACTCTGATGAATAAAACATTTAAAGTGATATTCAAGAAAAGTATAGAAAAGTCAAAGAAACAGAATAAAATGTCCAAAAATAGACCCACATTTACTTTGACAATTAGCTTTTAACAGAGATTTCCAAGATATGTAACGAAGAAAAGATTTTTTAACAAATAGTGCAAGAAACATGGCTATCTATATGGGTAATATTTGCCTCAACTTCTAACTCACACCATACGTATATAAATCAGTTCAAGATGGATCAGATAGCTAAGTGTAAGAACTAAAAACTGACACCTTTTTAAAGAACGCATAGAAGAATGTCTTTGCAACATGGAAGTAGGCAAAGTTTTCTTATAAAGGCTATAAAAAGCACCAAATATACATATATATTTCAGATAAATTGAAGTTCATCAAAATTTAGCACTTCTGATCTTTGAAAAATTATTTTAACACAAAAAAGCAAGCCAGAGTTTAGACAAAAAATATTTGCAAAGCACATATCAGATGAAGAACTTGTATCCAGAATATTGAAAGAATTTCAACTACTCAATAAGATTAACAACCACTCAATTTAAAGATGTGTGCATTTCAATGTGTTAAATTTTTATCTCAACAAAAGAAACATAAAAAAATCAGAGTCAAGTTGTGAGGGTTGAGAGAAAAAAAAGTAGCACTGCTGTAGTGTAGGTCTGAAAGCTCACCAGAACCTGTAATACCATGTGTGAAATGTTCTAATATTGAAGCCACTTAAAATATTTGATACATGGGAATTACCTTCATGCACATCCTACATACTACCTGAAGTTTAACAAACTCAACACGTTTGCACCTGCCTTTGCATTTGCTCATTCCATTCCTTTTCTTTGGAATACCGACTGTTCCCTTCCTTCTGTCTGCTAAAATCTGTTTTATCTTCAAGACCTGTCTCAAGTATCTCTCCTGGGCATTCTCTTGAATTATTGTCCTTGAGAATTCTAAAACAAGCATTGCACCCATTCTCCAGAATTTATTACTTTGCCTTTAGAGAAGGTATTTGGACCCAAGTTTCTCCTCTCTCACTTTGAAGCCTTGCACATTCTGTGTGTCCCTACCTGGGCCTGACACACGGTTGCTACTTGAGATATTTTCTGAATGAATCAAAGAAATGGAATACAGAGGTTGGCAAATTTGCTTTGAAGGTTTATTGTTCATAAAGCATATTTATCAGCATATTTCCTCATGCTGAATAGCTCTGCCACCACTTCATTTGTTTATCCTGGTCCCCTAGGTCTATACACTGGTTCTCCCCCTACATATAAGAAACGTGTTTCTCCTCCATGATGTTGCTCATCCTGTTGTTTCATGTCTCTCCACATCCTTTCTCAGGCCAGTTTTATTGTTAAAGTTATTCCATAGATCAATACCCTGGACAAGAGAAAGTCCTTGTCAAGAGACTGCCAGTTGAGTGTACAAATAACAGATAAATGAATTTCCAAAGTTATATCTCAGAGCAAAAGGTGACTTTGGGCAGTTGCCCAAAGGAAAATACCAATAAACCGCATTTAGCCACCTCACAAAGCACCGTGATTATTCGTTTGGATCAGAAAACATGAAGTGTCCATATCAACCTATGGATATTACAGTTATAAACACTGTCACAGAAAAGACAGTGGCATAGTTTTCAAATTACCAAGGAGGTGAGTCAGGATTGTAAGCATTATGCACAAACTTATATCCCGTGTTTAATAGGAATCTGGAACATATGTCTCAGAGATGTTCTCTTTGATCACATTCCTAAAGGCGGGTTATCAGCTCAGGGAGGTCAACTCTGGGGCACTGTCTGATTTCATGCACAGCCTAGAAAAGCTTCAGCCACTGCCCATGGTGTATTCTCTTAGGATCCAAATCACTGAAACTTGGGCAAAAGCAAGCCAGTAATGAGCGCGAACAAGGACTCAGAGTCAAACATCTTGTCAAAGCGCCACACTTGTGAGCCTCACTGTATTTATAATGACAAATCACACTGGTATGACAGCTAGACAACTGATCAATGTCCTGTTATTTCTGCAGTCAGGGGAAAAATCACTTAATTATATGTGTAATGAGATTAAGACATTCAGGAGGTGAGGTTTATGTGCATTTGAACTATAAATCAACTTTACTTCTTATGCTAGAAATGAAGTAAGTCTGATCTTCATTGACAAATGTAGATTTTACTGTTGCTTTGACTTTGAAGATTACAGCGAAATTCATCAGTTTCAAAGGGAAAGGAAAACTTTTGTCTGTCTTTTTAATCTCTCAATAAATGCAGCATTTTTATTTTTCCTTTTACATATAAAGAACCAAGATTAACAGTGATATCTTTTGTGAGAAATACTTGTATAGAACAGTGTTTTCCAACCTGTCAAGAGAAGTTCTGAGATCTTAAATTCTTAGTTTGGAAAGTTCCATGGCTTTGCTTGGAGCAACCATGGTTCACACCAGGGACAGTGATGAACCTGTGGTTGTAACTCATGTCAGATCCCATTTCTGTGCCTTGTGAAGTCTCTATAGTCTTCACCCTGAGAGTCTGAACATACAGACAACAGTCAGACCATACATAAAAACAGAAATCAGACCAAAATTCTGGAGCAACCTGCAGAGGACACCAACTCATTATTGACAGTAACCAACTCAGGGAAGCAGCCTGCTCCCTAGAAGTCAGACTTGGCAGGGAGTCAGACCACTATCTGCATCTTCTCTGTTGGCAAATTGTGACAAATTGCTGTAATTCCCTTATCAGGAATCAAAAAAGTGAGAATTTAAATGACCCATCCAACATCATTACCACAGTGGGTCACAGTCATCCAGTATCACAGTAAACCAGCCAAAACTTAACCACACAAATTCATGTGCTTGTGTCAGACTGTGCTTTGCAATGGAATTATGAGGGCAGTAGTATCACCCCATTTGGTAAGTGTGGTGGCTTGACAGCTTTCCCAACTCCAGTGCAGGGACTCTGTATTAAATAGCTGTCCATAAAATTGCTAGGATTTCCTGTAAAAGTTGACTTGTTGTTTAGGAGACTAATGATACCACCAATTTGATATTATCTGGTCAATATTAAACACTGTTTTCTTTAAAAAGTGTACCTTTAATTGTAGATATGAAAATATTCCTTGATCCACATTTTTCTTACAGAGAGTTCTCAAGATGAATTTTCTTCTATTATTGGTCCATAAGAGACTAAATATCACACTCTTAAATTTCATTATACTATAAGAAAGTCACTTTAATTTTTTTTTTGGTCCTGATAATTCTCTTTTCTATGGAAGGAGTGGAAGAAAATAATATCTAAGTTTTTATTTGAAGTTTTCCAGATTTGGCGTAAGGAATAAAGGAGGGAAGAAGTAAAGTGTATTAGTCCGTTTTCACACTGCTATGAAGAACTACCTGCGACTGGGTAATAAAGAAAAGACATTTAATTGACTCACAGTTCTGCAGGCTGTAGAGAAAGCATGGCTGGAAGGCTTTGGGAAACTTAACAATCATGGCAGAAGACAAAGGGGAAGGAAGCACATCTTACCATGGCAGAGCAGAAAAGAGGGTGAAGGGGGAAGCGCTACACACTTTTAATCAACTAGATCTCAGGAGAACTTCATCACAAAAACAGCAAGGGGGAAGTCTGCTCCCATGATTCAAATGCCTCCCACTGGGCCCTTCCTTCAACATGTGGGGATTTCAATTCAATAAGAGATTTGGTGGGGATATAGACCCAAACTATATCAGGAAAGATGTAATGCACTTGGATAAAATGAAGAGAGAAATGCGTGCTAAAGTCTCTTATGTGTAGTATCCATTAGGAAAACTTTATGATTACTTTACAAGCCCCTGGGGCAGGTGTTAATATTAAATAATGAGAACATACAGTAGGAAGCCTGATTCATTGTGATCTACCTGTCAACACTGTTGGGAGGTTAAAAAAAATCTATGCAATAATTTAAAGCCAAGATAGCTAGACTCTCTAAAGCCTTACATGATGTGATTTATCTTCAAATTCTCTTTCCAATTAAACATGGTAATGGTTGAAATTAAATAGAAGCCTTAGAGGATAGGAGGTGATTTTGCCCTTAATATAATCTTAAAGGCAAACATCCTGGATGTTCCAGTTGCCACTAGTCCTTTGCTAAGATCAAACACATCACACATGTGAAAGAAAACATTGTAATTTCATGAAGCTGTTGTGTAAAGCTTATAAATAATTGCCAACAAAAATACAGACTGATGACTACACAGATTTCTTGTTTTCAGAGATATATAGGAGATTTCAAAGTAGCAAATATAGAAGAAATGATTGACTGTTCCCGCTCTTAATCCTTTAGCCTACAGAAATAGTTCCTTAATAAATAGAAGACCTGAAAGCTGCAGTGTGGGTAACTGTCTCTTGTTAGGTTTGATCACTCTAAATTTACATCTTCTGAAAATATCTTGGAACCCTGGGAAGAGGTTTACAATTCAAATGTTATTTTAAAATGTGCTACAACTGCAGGGAAAGAGGCTGTCTTTAGGATCTCCATCTGCTACCAAGTCCAGCTCTGCCAAACATCTCAGTGGTGTACAGTGTGCACACTTCTTCAGGAAAGCGTCTGCATTTTATTTGCCTGTGCATGCACAGAAATAACCTGGTGTCTGGCATGGAGCTGGTGATCGACAAATCTCTGTGTAGTAGCAGTTCTTGAAGACAAGGTGCATTCATATTTCTGGGACTGTTAGAACAAAGTACCACAAGCTAGGTGCTTTCAAACTGCAGAAGTTTTTTGTTTCATAGTGCTGGAGGCTAGAAATCAAAAATTAAAGTGTTGGCAGGGCCCTGCTCCTTCTGAAAGCTGCAGAGGAGAACCTTTCTTGAATTTTTTTTTAGATTCTGATGGCTGCTGGTAATCCTTGGTGTTCCATGGCTTGAAGTTCGATGACTTCAATTTCTGCTTCTGTCACCAGATGATATCTCCCTGTGTGTCTGTGTCCAAATTTCCCTGTTTTCATAAGGACACTAGTCATATTGGATTAGGGCCTATGTTCATCACCTCATCTTAACTTGATTATGTCTACAAACACCCTATTTTCAAATGAAGTCACATTCATGGGTACTGGGATTTGGTACATCAAATTATTTGGGGGGAGGGAATAATTCAACCCATGACATAAGGCATTGTGTCCTCCACATTTTTATTCTATCTTCTTCATGCTAATATGCTGAACAGCTACGCGACTCACAGGAAATGTGATGGTTAACAGCTGGGTGTGCACATTCTCCTTGGCAGCTGAAAAATCATGAGATCTATAAATTTGGAAAGAGAGCTTTATTTCTTAAAAAGGGTTACTGCCTTCAAGGTGACCATTCTAACAGTCTGGGAAATGTATCCTCCAGCACAGCCCGCAAGTTAGGCACTTAGAAGGAGGAAAGGTATGACAGAAACGTATGCTGAAGAGGTTAGCTAAGTACACATATTCAACACATCATAGGAAAAGCTATGAATAATCATAAAGGGGAGGTTGTGCATATGTGTAATAAGAAAACATACACGCTACATGCATTTCATGTTCACCTTGCAGTGGAGACAACATTTAAATGTATCACAGCTAGGCCCTATAAGCCTAAAGGTCTTTTCAGAACACACTGGCACTCTCGTGAGCAGCCTCTGTAAACTGGCCAGAACCAGTCCCTGGTCAGTGGTGTCTTATCAAGAGAAAGTTACAGAAATTGGTCTCTTGTCCAGTCAAAGCTGTAGTTACGGCTGGTGAAACAGGGGGTCAGTTAGCCAGCACCTGGTGGTGGTTGAGCTGCAATTGTTTTAATATTGCTTTATTTCAAGACCAGTGTTTGTTTGGCTGCTGGAGAAAAAGAAACCATGTGGCAGTTAGAACGCAGTTTATTCTTTAGGTGTAGGGGAAGCATGACTTAATCCTTGCCTAGCCTGGTGGTAAGCCGTGCTTATAATTTTGTATCTTATTGCCACAAACAGTCTGTTTCATCAGTCTTATGATCCCTCTTTTAAAGTTAATGCTGCTCGATTGTTGTGTCTAAACCCCAAAGGGTGGGGGTATCATGAGGAGTATGCGACTTTCCATCTTGTCATGACCTGAGCTCAGTTTTTAGGGTTTCTCTTCGGTTCCCATGGCTGAGAGGAGATTCTTTCAGTTAGTTGCAAACCTTACAATATTATTTTTAGTTCTCATCCTTAAGCTGAATCTGTGTTTACTAAAAAGCTGAGAAAATATAGGTTATGCCATCCTCCTTCCCAATGTTCATCAAACCCGCTCTTTCTGTTTTGTTTGCAAGTGTAAGCAAAGAGAAATATGAAGCTATTGCCTTGGTTTCTTAGGGAAACCCGTATAGAGTTTTACCAAATTCTCAAAAAACAAAAGTGGGGACAGTCATACAACAAGTCAACTTGGTGTCATTCCATTGTAAGAGACTATCCATGAGATGTATTTGAGTGCTGAACATTGAAGAATCTGCTTAATTTTGTTGATGTAGAAAAATAAGAATAGTGTAAATTGGGGAATGTGCTAAAAATTTGAAATATGCCTGGCTTTAGGACTAAGGAATGTAAAGATTATCATAAAATATAAAAATCTATTTTGTGACAATTAAGAAGCATCAGGATTAGGCTAATCCATGCACACACACAAAATCCAAATTTGAAGTAAGAATGAATACATTACCTTAAGTCTAAAAATACAGTTAAGAAAGCTTTAGCTCTTACATTCTAAAATCTTCTGAGTAGAAGAAGCATACGTTAACATTTAAAGGAGGCTTTTAAAAATGCAGTTTCATTAAAACAATATTTAGCAGTCACTGGGCAAAAACCAAGTTTGACTAGCAATTCTGTGTTTTTAGCTGTCTCCAATGTGGCTATTTTGGCTGTGCATATTCAAATATAAGTTTTTGAATAAAATAGAATGCAGAATTAAACTAAGACTCTGATGAAATGTGATGTTGATAAACCATGAAGCATGAGTCACCTATATATTTTAATCCTGACACAGAAATTACAGCTAATTATGAAAAATTTGCATGGAACACTTCATATTCACAGATTGTACCAATGGCCTACCATTGGAGGATGAGAACCGTCTATAAAATTCACAGGATTGGTAGCAGATTTTCAACAATTCATAGAAACTCCTCTCCCCGGACTCCTGGGGTACTCACTGGTGGGTGGTTTGCAAGGGATGGAGGGACAGACCATGGCTGCAAAACTTAGCAAAGTTAACTGATTCCAAAGGAAATTGGTCCCACGACTAGAGCCTCTCAACTACATGCCCCTCAGAGGCACTGTCTTGGTCTTGATGTGTTGGCAACTCTGGAGGCTTTCCTGTGCCTGATATTGCATAAATGCTCAATTAGAGTTTATATAACCTGAACATATTAGCAAAAAATTGTACTTAAGATGGTGCTTGTACCTTCTGTTCTCTAAAACTCGTGCTGTGGAAGGAATTGGTTTTGTAATCAGAAAAAGTCATAATGGATCACCAAGGAAAGAGGTTATAAAAATTATATGTTGTTTCTGGGTAATTAATGAATCCCCCTTCATTTAAAAGGAGTCTGGGGCTCCTAGACAAAGGTTGAAAACTAAGTCCACATATTGAAACTCTCATTCTCTCTCATGTTTCTCACTCCAGTGGTCTGACCAGTGGAATGTAGAAAATTATATACCACAACTGGATCAAAAGATGGCCAATTTCAATATTTATTATTTTTGCCCTCACACCATCCATACTTCCATTTTCTGGTAATAATAATAATTATTTCTATTTTTCCATTTCAAAAAAATAATTTTTTCTGTGATGAATACTTACTGTTTTTGCCAACTCACATTCTCTCTAGCCTTTGTCAGGCAATAACACCTAAATTTTTCTGTGACGAATAGTTATTGTTTTTGCCAACCCAACTTCTCTCTTGCTTTTGTCAAGTAATAACACCTCAATTTTCTTTTGAAGATCAAGCTCTATTAGGGTGAACAACTGTCCCTAAGTCATGGGACTAAGGATTTTCCCAGGAGGTGGGACTTCCAGTGTTAAACCCAGGTAATTCCTACGTAAGTCTTGAAGAATAGGTGACCCCATTTCCCTGGAACATACACAGTAAGAGTGTCCATTAAACTGACCCCCTCCTCACTGCAGGAGGCAGCAGGTTATCAAAACTAGGCCAATCAGAATCTCCATCTTCTGGAAATTAAATCTTGATTATAAGATGGAAGCAAATATACAAATATTCGAAACTTTGCACCTGGAAGGGCTTGTTCATTGGGTCTCACTTCCCAGGGCCTCTAGGGTCTCTAGGCCTCTTACTTTTGAGGACTGATTGTTCAGCTATCCTTACTCAGTTCAACGAATCTCCTCTTCACTTGAATTAACCAGTGAGCATATGTCACTTGTATCTCAAAATCTTTGACTGGTCCAGAAAATGGCACCTGGATTTCAGTAAGACAAGTGAGAGGTGCTAACTACGGGATCAGCTGAGGCAAATAAGCAGAGGTTGTTAAAGTTATTTACATTCCACTCTTATTCCGGAAACAGACGAACTGTTACGTGGAAGGATTTTGTTAAATTGTTTTCTGTTGTGTCTTGGGATTTACATCAAGTGCTTATGGTGGCTGAACTTTACAGGACTTGATAGAAAAATGTTAATGCATTGAAAATAAATCAGCAAAGGAGAAAAACACAGCTTTACTGAGAGAGAAGCTTTCTCCCTAGGATCAAAAATCTAAGTTGGTCATTGTGAGCACAGTATTCAATGTTGGGGAAGCCCGACTCCCCCACTCCTCAACTAAAATTGGTGCCAGTTGAGTCCTAGGGGCAGGAAATATAGCTGAAGAAGAGAAAGGGACCTGGGCCATGCCTGGTTCTCCCAGGTCCCCATCCCTGTCTGATAAATACAGAATTGCACATGCCCTTCCCTAGGATTCTACCTCTAGGCAAAGTGCAGGCTCTATAGTTTTGAATTGCCTTCAGGCAGAGAAAAAGATGCATATTAAACTGAAATTCGTGGATGTGGGCACATATTTATAAGAAGCAGAATATCCCACACTTGACTTCAGCCCAGGAACATTACTTCTGGCTTTGATCTCTAATTAACTGAGTTGACCAAATGCAAATCGACAGAAAGCCGACTCCACCTCCACAGGAACTATGTTCTCAAGACACCTGGCCTGTGCTGCAAACTAACGCTAGGTCTTGCTTAAACCCCAGAATAATTCTGAGGTCCCCAAACCTAGAAGTTGGTTTCTAAGTGGAGCTGCCCCAGAAAGGCCAGCTCCCCACTCCTTCTTTCCAAAAAGTCCTTGGGGGAATGACGGATAAAAGCAGGGGTTCCAGTGGGCAGAATCACCATCCAGAGCTCACTTCTCTGCCAGGGCAGTAAGTCCTGCTCTTCTGGCCCAGGGGGACATAGACATTGCTCTTGGCTGCTCACCATTGCCGTGGTCTGTTGGTTGAATCTCTCTCTCCCCTTTCCCAGTGGCATCAGCAACTGCACACCAGGTCCATGATGGTTGCTGCTTCTGGGGAGGAGAGTGGGAAAGGGTTCCAAAGATCTTTACCAACATGTCAACATCTGTTCAATATTTGTGGTGGTTTCATAGTGTTGGTTCTAATATTCTCTGACTTTCCTGTATTTTGAATATTTTCTGAAAGCTTGAAACATTTTTTACTACTATTAGTACAAAAACTACACGGACAAAATTAAACAGGTAATTAAGACTTTATCCAAGGCTGTTGGAATAGGGGACTAGATCATAGCCTGAACTCAACTCTGCTGAAACAAGAGGCAGTAGGATTTTTAACAGCTTGAGTCAGAGAAGATCATAGGCCATCTGTGTTTGCCAGTTGGCCAAACCTAAATGAAAGGTAAACTTTCTTACATCTTCATGACCTAAGATAACTTTACAACTTGGAGTAAGGGGCCCCATTGAAGTTAGGCTCCCACTCTTCCACAAAGACTGATAGAGGGGGGCCTTATCTCCCTGGATGATTACATGTGAGAGGGAGGGCTCCCAGGTCCTTGAGAAAGACATTTCTAGATTTTGAAACTGTCGAGGGGCTTTTTAAGCATCAATCTAAATTACAAACACAGAGAGGCTCCGTGAAAGAAAAAGATGTTTATTTGGAAATAGAGCATTACAATGAGAATATTTGTGCCATATAAATGTATTTATATGTATCCTATTCTGGGAGGTAAAGAAAGGCAAAGGTTTTTTAAAGAAAAAATGAGGAGAACTGCATAATTATCCTTGGCTACAAAGATCCATAAAAGGGGGACTCCAGTGCAAGGTTGGACAGGCAGTTGCTGGGCAGATGTCCTTGCAGAAGTATTTTTTTGTGCAAGGTTGCGATGGCCTTTGTGCAAGGCTGTCTTTTTTTATAGTCATTTTCATTATCAAGCATGCAAACAAAACTCTCTCTTCACGGTTTCCCTGGCTCTATTTGTCAGAGTTTTATTTAACATTAGTGATTCCATTTTGATTCTGGCAACTTTCACATAAAAAGTTAAATTTCTAAGGAACAAAGTAAGAGTTTATAATTAGAAGTGTGTTTTTTTTTTTAAATAAATGCTCTAAAAAGGGGGGGAGGTCAGGGACCTAGTGTTAGGAAGACCTATTTAAATTTTAGTCAAATGGAAGGAGATTTTAATACCGTCTTGATCATCAGCTACCTTTTAATTCTCTAAATCATTGGTAGTTTATCTCTCTGTGTGAAGTGATTACTCTGATTAAAAGGAAGACTTTAGCTCGTCTTTCCCATTTATAACAATGCAAGCACCCTTTCTAATGACAATAAAGACAGCAAATATATATATATATATACACACACACATATACACATATATAATACATAAAATATCAATATACAATCTCTCTCTCTCTCTTTCTCTCTCTCTGTCTAAATCCAAGAATTCCCTGGACAAGAATTAGAATAAGGAAAACCAAGGCCATTCATCCTGGTCTTATTCCTTCTCCAGCCACCTCTTCTTCCCCTTTCCAGGGCAACCAAAGTAGGATGTTGGCAAGGTCAATAATGTTTGTTTATAAGCATTACCTAATTGAAGATGGTGATTGTCTTTTTTTCCTTTAAGCTGATGGGGTGATTTCCAACATAATTTTAGTGGTAAGATTCATACCAAAATCAATTATAGGACAATGAAAATCAATTATAAAATAATAGTAGATAACCCACTGTTACATTGTGTAGATGACAGCAAAGGCAAAGGATTTTAGAAAAGCCAAGAGCCAGAATGTGTAGGAACACTTGCAAGGCCACATAATTTAGGCAGAGTCATAAATTTCTTTAGTATAAAGGATCTAATACATTTGGAAGTGTATTTCATACACATGGATGCTGACACACCCTGCACTGCGTGAAAACAAGGAGGATTTATTCATTTATATTACGGGAAATCCTCGGCTAGTGGGTCCTGTGTTCTAAGTGGCTATGGTTTTCTTTCAGTACAAAACTTTCTCTGCTTGAGTGTAGAAAAGATAGAAAAAGATCCTGGCCCAGAGTCTGTTTCTTTGTCTCTTTGGGATCGGCCAGTCTGAGTAGAATTCATCTTTCTATCCTTACACCTCACTCTTCCAAGAGAATCAATGAAATGTGTCACCATCATTTCATAAAATATGAATAATGTCCTAGGGACTACCACTACCAAGTTACCCATAAGACATAAATGGGGACATAAGACATAAATGGGCTGATCCTATAAATTGGGCTGATCCCAATTTGACTAGTCTATGAAAGGGGCCATGACAATCCCCTGTGAAACTCCCAGCTTTGGAGGAGGAGGACTTGCATTCAGTCCTAGCTCTGCCCAGGGCTGGCTTAGGCAGGTCATTCCCTCTCTCAGAGCCTCAAGTGCCTCACCTGTATGCTGGACATTGTAATAGGTTTTGGATGTGGTTGCATCACTATCAGATAGTTGTGTTGTCCTCAAGTAGTTGTATTATTATGCAAGTTTAGAAAGCAGAATTAAAGGATTTGCAGGAGGCCTTGGAACTAGAAAGAGCTGGCTTGGGCGGAGGTCTACCTGCACTTAGTTCTTTTTCCTCCCAGGTGTGTGAGGAAAAATGAGACCAGAAAGAAAGAGGACTTTGCAGAACAGGAGGCTCTGACTTAATGTGCCACATTGCTATTCAATAGTTCAGTCCACCAGAACAGCATCATGTTAAGGAGGACACAAAGTTTATTGAACACTTACGTGATGAAAAAATAAAATTTGTTGATCTATGTGGAGAGCTGCTCTGTACTAGGGGAGGGAATAAAATTTGAAAGTGTTTATAGTTAAGAGCGGGTTTTAACCCCATTGAAACTCCTGTGCTTGGTTCCTTTTCACTTCTGCAAGTTTGATCTATGTTCAAGAACTTTTCTTACTTTCAAAAAGCTAGTGTAAATTGACTGAAATGGCTCAGCTAAAATTTCTTTGAAGAAGACCATTTATGTCTAGAAAAAGAGATTTAGATAGAAAAAAGAGACTTAGAGGCTATATAACCTCAGTAAGCTGCTGCACTAATTCTAAGGATTGAAATTCTCAAACCCCAGCAGCTCAGAAATCCTTCCCTTGGGCTGACGCCCTGCAAAGCTCCAGGGCACAGCTCCACCCCTCTCTGGGGTGTTGTTTCAGGCCTGGTTGGTGCTGGACCTTGAGTGATCTTCCTGGGTACATCTAGTGTCCAATGGAGGAAACCAGGACACACCCAGGTTGTAGTTTCTGGGCAAGTAGAAAAATGGCCTGAGCTGAAACCAGACCCTGATCATGGTGTTTGAGGATAAAAGAGTGACCAGGACTTAATCTATCCAAAGCCTGTGCCATGGAAGAGCAAGAGAGACAAGGGAGCCTCCAGTGTTCTTCTGGCAAAGGCCCTGCAGACTCCCAGCACCCACATAGCCTTTCTGTGGTCAGACAGGAAAGGTGCTGCATGAAGAGACCTCTCAGGGCATAGAATGGCCAGAGCCTGAGAGGTACATTCAGTTAGCTAAGATGGTGCACTGCATACTTTATGGATATTATCTCAGTAAGTCACTTACAAGTATCATCAACCCTACTGGGTAGGGCAGTAGGCAGAATTCTAAGATGACTGTCAAGACTCCCACCACCTGATATTCACCCTTCCTGTAATCCCGCTCCCTGATTGTGTGCAGAATGAGTGTGATAGATATTGCTGCCATTATATAGCAAAGGTAAAGACATTTTGCACATGTGATTATGGTTCTTAATCCGTTGACTTTGAGTTAATCAAAGGATGATTATTCTGGGTAGGCCTGTCCTAATCAGTTGAGCCTTTCAGATGAAGTTGTGGTGGTAAGAGGCAAGAATCAGCTTCTTACCAAAATGGAAAAGGAAAGTTCCATTTTGTGGAGACTGCCACATGGCTGGAAATTGGGGTGAGGAGAGAAGTCTCTAGAAGCCAACCACCTCAGTCCTTCAACTGCAAGGAACTGAACTCTGCTACCAATGACATGAGCTTAGAAGACCATCTTGAACCTCAGATGAGATGCCAACCCTGGTCAACACCTTGGCTGTGGCCTGGTGAGACCCTGAACAGTGGATTCAGTTAAGCTGTGCCCAGACTCTGTACTAATGGAAATGGTGAGATAATAAGAGCAGGTTGTCTTAAACCACCAAGTTTGTGGTAATTTGACACACAACCAAAGAAAACTCACACCTTAGGTTTTATCTGTCACAATTTATAAATAAGAAAACTGAGGCTTAGAAAGTTTAATTAAATTTCTCAGAGTCAAAAAACTGTGAAAAAAAGTTGGAACAAATAATAGTAAGACCAGTGAAAGCGATATGACAAGAAAATATTTTAAAATAATTCAGTGTAGAACTTTGTGTGATGAATTTGAAAATTTCTAGAAAACAAATATATGTGTGTATTTTTATATATCAAGCATATATCTATATCCATATATATGTGCATATTTTCATACACACACACACACAGAGAGTCAACTATGTCAAATCTAAATACATTTCTTAGCAGGAACGGAAGATATAAAAATGCTATCAAAGAACTCTGGAATTGGGATTTTACAAAACTTTCAAGAAACAAATAATTACTAATTAACTGTTATACTATAAGAAGAATAAAAGGAAGTTTACAATATCATTTTATGAAGCTAGCCTACACAATCCAATTCCAAAACTTGAAATAGTACTCCTAAAATAAAAAGTAACAGATAATTATCAATTGTGAATATAGATTTCAAATTAGTAAATAAAATATTTAGGAAGTCTAATTTAGGAGTATAGTAAATGGATTAGATCTCGTAACTAAATTAACATTATGTTTCTGTTACAAGGAGTCTGATTTCACTTTTTGATGTTTGGCTGCTGACAGATTTTGAACCTTACCCCTCTGTCTCCTCTTTGTGTCACACATCTGGGCAAGCTGATAAGAAAGCTGATAAGGAAGGGTCTCTGTACTTTGGAGCCAGCCAGTGCAATGGGTATATTCAATCCATAGAAGCCCCTGTTGTATTAAGTAACCCTCACCCTGACCCCAACCTCTAACCATAGTAATAACCCCAGGCACCTCTCTTTTCCTTATTCTCCCAAGAGATTTTGGACCTGTTGGGTGGATCTGCCATTCTATACTCAAAAAACCTCAATTATGTAAGTAATAAACCTTATCATGCCTCTTGGATTGTGTGTGTGTGTGTGTGTGTGTGTGTGTAACCATCAATCTCAACATCTGAACCAAATTGTAAGTGTGAGTCCATGCTGGCTTTGCTGAGTGTTCATGACAATTTGTAGTGCAGAAATATTTTAATATTGAGATCTATCAATATAATTCATATAATAGTTTTTATCCCAGTAATTCCTTAGGACATTCCATGTGTACAAAAACTCACTAAAATTCAGTTTGGAGAAGATGTCTTTATTATTTTACTAAAAAAGTTGTTTATGTTTTATGCAGTATTTACTGACAGACTCTAAAGGATCAAAGTTCTCTAAAGGATTAAAATAGTTTAACAATTCTTATTTCCCAAGGCCACATTCAACAACATTATACATCATAATATGATTTTTCCTATGGTGCACCCTTATTGAATTGGCTAGTCCTCTCCCTCTTCCTTAAAACTAAATTTGGAATGAATGATGCAAACAAATTAGTGACATTAAAACCAAGATATTTTAAAGATAAAATATTAGGCAAGCCTATTCGTTTTGTCTAAAAATACGAATACTTGATGGAATACACACATACAAACATGATATATAATATACATATAATATGTCACAATATAATATCTATTATACAGCATAAATTATAATATATAGTATACTATGTATATTATGCATACTACATTATATATATCCCACTAGATAGTTGTATGCACAATGAATTAAATCTGCCTATCTATCTGTCTATCTATCTCTATCTAGTGCAACAGTGTAATGCAGGAACTTTAAAGTGCTAAGTTCAGATTGAAAGTCTCCTAACCTGCTAAATATTTTAAGGGAACGATTACATTGAACCTCATGAGTTTTCTGTGAATGTCGTGAAGATTTCAATACACATAATAGCTCTTTAAATCACAACCCATGCAAACGTAATTCTGATATTTTATAAAACAAAATTCTTTCTGCAATAAAACCATGCTTGTGTATTAGAGAGCTGTTGCTGCCACAAGAAAGTGCCGCAAACTTGGCGGCTTGAACAATGAAAATTTATGTTTTCATACTTCTGGAGAGCAAGAGAAACACAACCAAAGTTCTCCAAGTCTTGTTCCTCCACTCCTTCACCTCCAGTAAACCTGCTGTAGAGAATAAGGTTGATGATGTTTGTAAATATTTTTAAAATTAAAGTTACTTTTTAGAATTGTTCAATGTATCTCCCACATTTTCTTTATCCAATCTATTATTGATGGGCATGTGGGTTGTTTCCAGGTCTTTGCTATTGTGAACAGTGCTGCAATAAACATACGTGTGCATGTGTCTTTATAGTAGAATGATTTATAAGCCTTTGGGTATATACCTGGTAATGGGATTGCTGGGTCAAATGGTATTTTTGATTCTAGATCCTTGAGGAATTGCCACACTGTCTTTCGCAATAGTTGAACTAATTTACACTCCCACTAACAGTGTAAAAGCATTCCTGTTTCTCCACATCCTCTCCAGCATCTGTTGTTTCCTGACTTTTTAATGATCGCCATTCTAACTGGCATGAGATGGTATCTCATTGTGGTTTTGATTTGCATTTCTCTAATGACCAGGTATGATGAGCTTTTTTCATATGTTTGTTGACTGCGTAAGTGTCTTCTTTTGAGAAGTGTCTGTTCATATCCTTTGCCCACTTTTTGATGGTTTTTTTAAAATTGTAAATCTGTTTAAGTTCTTTGTAGATTTTCGATATTAGCTGTTTGTCAGATGGATAGATTGCAAAAATTTTCTCCCATTCTGTAGATTGCCTGTTCACTCTGATGATAGTTTCTTTTGCTGTGCAGAAGTTCTTTAGTTTAATTAGACACCATGGAATACTATACAGCCATAAAAAGGATGAATTCATGTCCTTTGCAGGTACATGGATGAAGCTGGAAACCATCATTTTCAGCAAACTAACACAAGAACAGAAAACCAAATACCACATGTTGTCACTCATAAGTGGGAATTGAACAATAAGAACACATGGACACAGGGAAGGAAACATCACACACTGGGGCCTGTTGGGGGGTGGGGGGCAAGGGGAGGGAAAGCATTAGGAGAAATACCTAATGTAGATGATGGGTTGATGGGTGCAGCAAACCACCATGGCACGTGTATACCTGCGTAACAAACCTGCACGTTCTGCACATGTATCCCAGAATTTAAAGTATAATAATAATTGTTTTAAAAGAGCCGGATGCATGGGGTGCTAGCTCAGGACCGGGGGTCTCAGCAGGTGGTCAGTGAGGCAGAGGAGACAGCGGGCCTGGCAGGTGGTGGGTGGGAGCAACACGCTGTCCCTGGGAGGGGCAGCTGCCACTGCTGGACCTGACCCCAAGTTTCTGTATCTCTGGCAGTTTGATGAAATTCCAAAGTGAGAACCACAGTCACGGCTTGGGGTTGGCTGCCCGCTCGTGTCAAGACCCCTCAGGGAGGCTGGGACCTGACCTAAGACTAGTGTCTGTGGCCTGAGGATGGCACATCCCGGGGTCCCAAGGAGAAGAAAAAAAAAAAAAGGATGTCCCACTAATCCTATTTACAATTCTAATATTTCACAAAGGAGTATTTATATTCTTATAGTCCATCAAAATTGAGAAAAAGAAATATACATTTGTTGTCTGGTGAGAGTTTACTTTCTGCTTCAAAGATGGCACCTTCTTGCTGTGTCTTCACAAAGCAAAGGGGGCAAGGGAGATCGCTGGCACTGAGCCTCTTTCATATGGGTGAGAAGGATACTATTTGTGAGGATAGAACTCATGACTTAATCATATAACAAAGGCCCCACCTCTTAATATGATCACATTGGGTTCCAACATATGAATGTGGGGGACAGGACGCCAACATTCAGAACATTGCAGCCAATATGTTCCGTGCTATAGAAGGAGGGAACCTTCTATCATGTAGTCAGCCTCATTGGTTTTAATGTTAAAGAGCTGTGAACAAATTTGAAACACATACTAGAATCCAATGCAAGTGGGCTGATAAAAATAGCACTTTTCTTCTTTTTTCAAGATAATGAAACTGTTAATATGATAGAAATCTGATATATTTTGATAGTAAAAATTCAGCTGTCCCCGAGCAGAAAGATTATTTTCTATATATTTAATGTGATCTCACATCCTCAGATAATGAATTTAAATTACATATTATACTTTGCTGAGAATGGAAATCTATTTGCCTGTCAGGTGATATACATTTTGGTATTTTCCAGACAGCTTCTTTTGGAAAAATAATAGATTCAGACAGGAAAAATCACATTAAATAATGCCACTACATAATTGCAATGGATTTATAGTAGATTAAAATCAAGAAGCACATTAGCAGAATCATTAAATTATGATGCAGGCTCCGTTTTACTTAATACTCTTTTTTTAAAAAAATTCCATTGCAGAGATCTCAAAATAACATCAGCTTTGCTGGTTTGGGGATATATAGAAATAATAAATGTGCCTGTTCTTATTCTTTCCACTTAAACCTATATTAGATTAAATTTCCATGTGACTTACTCTATCAATAAATGTATGAATCTGGAGAGAGATTTCCCTGGGGCAGACATTAGATTGGATTATTTTCTAATGTGAAATGTAGAATTGAGATAAAAAGGACAAGAAAAGAAAAAAATATCTGTGCTTGATCCTCAAAGGGGCTGACAGATACAGCAATGTAACAACATCCTTGGTGAAGACAGCGCCTCCTAGCTCATGTTCCTGTCCACCAGTGTCAACATCAGGGCATAGAGGTTGCACCAGAATTAATGTTGGGCTATGGTTTTATTGTTATATTTGTGGCTTTTAAAATTGTTTTTAGTTTTTCATAATATTTTATTTAGTATTTCTCCACAAAGTAAGAGAATAGTGTTTGGTGTTTGTGCACGTGCATATGTATGAATGTACCCAACTGAGTGTTTCTCTGTGTATGTGTGTGTGGGGGGTGTGAGTGTGGGTGTGTGTGTGGGTGTGGGTGAGAGAAAGAGAGAGTTATATACATAAGACTAGGTGGTTTTGTGTATGACCGTGTGTATGTACTATGTATTCAGATGACTTTGCTTTTCTATCTTAAAATCTATGCATTAGTGTAAATTTGCATTTTTACCTTTAAACTATACTTCCAAATTTCTTTTTATTTGCAGAAAACATACAACTTTTAAAAGCAGATGGGCTCCACCACTGGGGCACCTTAGGCGGGTCCCAGTTGGATGCCACTCTTTTATAAACTTCTACACTTAGTTGATTACAAACTAATTTTTGTTCAAATGTACTCATTTAAAATTATAATGAGTCCAATTAATTCCTCAACAATAATTTAGTTCCAAATAGACCATCAGTTAATATTAAAAACACAACCATAGGAGCTGGAGAGAGGCTACATTGGAAATCATTTCCAAATTGGGAAACAAATATTGATATATCTAAAATTTAAATTTTTTCTCATAAATCTGTTTACAGTCATTGTTCATTTTATGCCAGAAACACACAGGCAATTGTAATTAATCCACTTAAATCGTGAGTGTTGGGTCATGCAGGGCAGTAGGTTTTGATTCACTGACTTGGAAGCAGGAATTATTCTCTTATTACCGACTCAGCCTCAAGAGAGGGACTTCACCCTGGGAGGGTGGAGTTCAGTGGCCCAGATGGAGACACCCTTGGTGCACTCAGAGACAGGTGCATCTGGGAGCAAGAGGACAAATGTGGTATTTCCAATTCTGACCCTGACTAGTCATGGAAGTTGAGGTAAGTCTTCACCCCAGTTTTCTCATCCACTGAATGGGGATTATTATGTCAATTTTTCTAGAATTAACATTGATCAAATGAGTATCAACTGTCAGTGTGTGTGTGTGTGTGTGTGCGTGTGTGTGTGTGTAATGAGGGGGAGTTGTCTGTGCAAGTTAAAAGCCTATGGTAGAAATAGGATCCAGAAGCAGCAGACAGTGGGCCATGGACAGGCCAAGCTGAGAACCCTCTGGGAGAAAGAGAAAGAAACTGTTACACACCTAAGACACCACCCTACTCTGTTTCCCACCCAACCTCCACACATTCATGCTGTAGGTAACTGTGCAGGTCCACCCAATAGAGTGTAGTTAGTGTCTGTCTGTGCGTGAAAGTAATGTCCAGGCAGTTGGCAGGGCTCCATCCATTTACAACCTGTTACACTGTTATAAGACAGGACTGCTTAATGACAATTTTGCTTGCAGAATAGTAAGGCATTTAAAGATCACTTGCCCATTTAAATTAAACATATCTAATCAATGTAAAAGTAATTCCTTAAACAAATTGAGATGAACTTAACTTAGATCAACAATTTCTTCTAACACAAGGAGTCTAGAAATTTTCTAACTTAAAGTAGCCTGTGAATTTTGCCCCTTCCTGGTTCCAGAGACAGTCTGGCTTCTTCCAACCTGCCCCATGTTCCTCCCCTACTTTCCTGCTGAGGTGGTCATTGTTCTTACTGCTCTGGACCTGTTGGGCTTAAAGAATTCCCTCAATCTCATTATTTCCCAGATGTTTGCTCCTTTTTAGAGATTCTTCTTTTTTCTTCTCTTGTTTCTTCATATGAATAATAAAATTTAATGAGAGTCTGTGATATTTAGACACAGAGTGAGGCTGTACGTATTCAAAGTAAATAAAATTAGGTTTCTGCTTCCAAGGTGGTCAAGTGGTGACAATCAACTAAAGCAAACACACCAGTAAACATGTTTTCACAACACTGGGGCATGTGATGACAGGCATGTGCAGACAGTGTTATGGTCTAACTGACCCTATTTCAAGCTTGGGTAGACAGGCTCTGGGTCTGTCACCCTTGATGAGAAGAGGTTGTCCACATGATGGGAGGAGGGTGACCAGGCAGAGTAGCTGTATTAGTCTGTTTCCACACTGCTATAAAGAACTGCCCAAGACTGGGTAATTTATAAAAGAAAGAGGTTTAATTGGGTCACAGTTTAGCATGGCTGGGGAGGCCTGAGAAAGCTTCCAATCATGGCAGAAAGCAAAAGGGAAGCAAGGCACCTGCTTCCCAAGGTGGCAGGAAGGAGAAGCACCAACCAAAAAGGGAAGAACCTCTTATAAAACCATCAGATCTCGTGAGAATTCACTATCACAAGAACAGCATGGGGGAAACTGCCCCCATTATCCAATCACCTCCCACCAGGTCCCTTTTTGGATATGTGGAGATTACAATTCAAGATGAGATTTGGGTGGGGCCACAAAACCTAACTATATCAGTAGCCCTAGTTAGGAAGGGAGGAGGAGGATGCAGTCACTACTGCACTGTATTACATGTCCAAGAAACTAGCAATCCTTCTTCCTCTATCTCTAGCCTCTCTCTCTTTTCCTCCCTCTCTCCTTCTCCCTCCACCCCTAACTTCTCTCTCTCTCTCTCTCTTTCTCTCCTTCACATGGAGAACCCAGGAAACATCACTATTGTAAAAAGAACCAGAAACTGGTAGAACACTCACCTTTAGTCGTGTGCTGGCAGACTAGCTTTCTAGAAAACAATAGCACAAAACCAAAAACAGATTTGTAGGTTTAGTGATTTCTATTATGTTAATACCTCCACCCTGGGTAATTTCAAGTTGCCGATGGTTTAACAACTGCCTTGCAAAAGTCTTCAATATTCACAATCAGTGCTGAGCTGCATCTGACCAGTCCCAGCCCATCACTGCCCCTCCAACAACCATCCTCACACACAGAAACCAGCCTGGAATCTTCTAGCACATCTCAGTGCCTTCTCTTCAGAGCATTCTCCAGTGGTCACTGAATGGTAGCACATGAGCCTTTTGGAGTTCCCAGCTGATGGAGTAACTGACCATTGCAGAGGCTACTGAGTAGGTTGTTCAGAGATGGTAACTGTAGAGGGTGTATGAATCTGAAAATGCGCACAGCAAAGCCCTTTCTCCTACTTTGACCAGAGAAATCAGAATGCTCATTGGAGCATTGGAAGATGAGAATGCTCAGTAGGAGAGTAGACAGGCTGGTAAAACATGAAGTGGAGGGAAGCAAATAGAAGAAAAGCAAACCCTTCCCCGGGTGCATGGCCCCCACAGCCTGGGGGAAACAGGAGGGGTGGGAGAGCCATGCAGTAGGGAAATCTTTCTGCGGAAGATGAAGCTGAGGGATTTTACACAAAACATGAGGTGGCTTCTCAGAAATAATATTCAGGGAAGACCAGATTACCTGTTTGATTAATTAATCCCTAAGAACATAATTACTGTAGGATTTATTCCTAGAAGCTAGCTATCTGAATTGAGATTTGCTTCTGCAACAAGTCAATATGAAGCAGGGAATCTAAGATCATTAGAGACCAAAACTTAGTGCTCATTTCATTTCTAGGGCCCAAGTCCCCTACTCCCTCAATGTGAAACAGTGACTACAGAAAAGATGGAGACCAGGGGAGAACGAACAGCTCCACGATCACAATGGGCGTGGCCTGGGAAGTGTGTAAAGTATAACCTGGGCAAAGGGGCAGATGGAGGTGACCTTTCTTGTGCTTTCTGTGAAGAAACAGAGGTGTATTGGAGCCATGACAGTGCACAGCCAAGGAAAGCTATAGAAACAATAAGGAACTGTGCACATGGCATGTGTAGTCAGGAGCAGCATCACCTGTCACTGGGAGGAGTACAGGGACCCAGCAAGTTACCTGTGAAGAGGGAGGGGAGCTGCTCTATCCCAAGGACTCCCAGCAACTACACAGCTGGCGGGTTGAAAGTAGACCCACATTAGCAGCCAAATGAAGCCAGCTCAGCTGCATGTGCCCCCAAAAGGCAGAGACATTAACTGGGGAGTGGGATAGATAAGGAGGATGGATTCCAAGTGACGGAAGGAAGGGGAATAAAAGGAGAGGGAGAGGAGTTAAGAGTTGAGCAACAGGTGTGAGGAGAGGGCAGGTATGAGGAGGGGGCAGGTGTGAGCAGAGGTGCAGGTGCAAGGAATGGGGCAGGTATGAGGAGGGGAGCAGGGTGAGGAGGGAGCAGGTTCTAGGAGGGGCTGGGTTGGAGGAATGGGGCAGGTGCCAGGAGGGGACAGGTTTGAGGAGGGGTGAATGTTAAGAGGGAGGCAGGTGGGAGGAGGGGGGCAAGGAACCAGGATGGATCAGGAAGAAGGAGAGGGGCAGGTACCGGGGACAGGTTCTAGGAGGGGGCCAGTGTGAGGATGTGGCAGGTGTGAGAAGAAGGCAGGTGTGAGGAAGAGCTGCAGAAACCCGGTTCCTGAGCTGGCAAAGAGAATGTGGGGCTGGTTCTCTAAAACCTTCCCCACTGGGAAATGCTACTTCCTGGGGTCAGAGAGAAAGTGGTATAGTGAGGGTCCCAAATATATTGAGGGAGACAGAGAAAGGAGACAAGGGGAAGAAAAGCTAGCATCTGTGTGTGTTACTCATGGTTCTCCAGAGACACAGAACCAACAGGATGAAAAGCGAGGGAAAGAGAGAGGGAGGGAGAGAGAGATACATAGGATTGATTTATTTTAAGAATTGGCTTATGTCATTGTGGAGGCTTGGCGAGTCCAAAATCTTGGGGAGCAGCCAGGCTGGAGACCCAGGGAAGAGTTGCTGGAGTTTCAAGGCTTCTGCTGGCTGAATTTCTTCTTGCTCAGGGAGGTCAGTCTTTGTTCCAGGAAAGGCCTTCAACTGATTGGACGATGCCCACCCACATTATGGAGCGTAATGTGCTTTACTCAAAGTCCACTGATTTAAATGTTAATCTCCTTCAGAAAAAAAAAAAAAAAAACACCTTTCCAAGATAATGTTTGACTAAGTATGTGGGCACATTGGTCTAGCCAAGTTGATGCATAAAATTAACTATCACACTCTGACTCCCATACAAAACGTGGAACCTGGAAAATGTATGAGACAGAATGAAAGGAAAGGACGTGATTTCTGAGCAATGCTGATGGATGATTCAGATCCAAGGAAATGCCTGAAAGTGTAACACAAAATAATTATACGTTGTGAACAACAGATTTCAGAAAACTGGAGACAAGGCCTTTGAGTTTTTGAAGAATGTTTTTAAAATGATATTTATAATGGAGAAGAAGTAGAAGGAAACTTGAGTTTATGGACTTGCAGGTTTAGTGGGGGAGTTGGTAGATTTGGGAGAACGTTAATTACAACGTAAGTTTAACATTTTATTAACAAACCTGTGAAGAGAAAATGGGGTATATACAAAGACTTAAAATACTTTGAGGGTTAACTTTGGGGGGCTTTGGGGATGCTTTCTTCCCCTTCTCAGTTTGGCACCAACTGAAGACGGATCCAGGAGTGGGAGCTATGGACACCACCTGTGCCGTTGTTCATGCTATCCTAGCTGATGTGTGGCCGCCACTGGCCTTCTTATATTTCACAAGGAAGGAAATTTATGCACAAGTGACAGGAAGGACTCCACAGCCTCAGCTGAGAGGCTACCCCTGAATAAGCCAAAGACACTCTGGGAAGGAGCCTCCGGAGGCCCCAGATCTATAAAGAGGCCAAGTCCAGAGGACCAAAGGCAAGCATGGAAAGTCGTGACTCAGAAGTCTCCCTCTCTTAGAAGCAGGTACATGAGGCCCAGAAACAAGCTGGAAAGGCTTCTTCAACATTGTCTGAGGAACTTCTATGTGAAATTGTCCTTGCCAATTTCCGTGTTGTATAATATTCTCCTACTGCCTCTCGTTTCAAGCTACCAATAATGTCAACCAGCTCACAAATCCCTGAAAACTCACAGGTGGGTAGAAGCTGGCCCTGCACACAACTGCCAGGGCATACTTTATTATGCCAGGGAATAGAGGCCATATTCCCTGCTAGAATCTATGCCATATTCCCTGCTGGAATCTATGCTCAGAATGAGAGACTGAGGTCCTAGGTGGAAGAACTTTGGAAGCAAAAGCTGAATGTAGAATGGAGATATGCAACACGCTTTTGAGAATCCAGTAGATTTCCCTCAGAATTGCTGTGTCCTGAGATGCCCAGAATTCATTATTTGGTGCACCTGAGTTTGATCCACACTTCAGAGAGCAGCCCTTTAATTTTTTGTTAACCATGATAAAGGTGACTTGACCACATCCTGTATGAATTTCTTATAGGGAATCCAAAAGAAATAATTAAATTCACTCTGTTTCTGCTATTAAGAACACATTTCAGGCTGTTCATTCAATTTGATTTATATAAATGTCTTGTATACACATGTATCCATGTAAATGTGAAGCTTTATACTTGCAGAAAGTTCCTTTTGTTAGTATCCAAAGTTAACAAAGACAGCTTGTACCTGGTCTGACAGACTGTCCATAAATGTCTGTAAGTTGGTCATTTTACAGTTATATTATGATTTTCATGAAAATGTATGAACCTAATTGCTTTTGGATTAAAATCAAGCATTATAGATTTTATGTACAAAGATAAATTTAGAAGAAAAACATTTTTAAAATCCAGGAAAATAAGAAGTAAATATAACTGTAGGAAATCTTAAAATTAAGTGTAATAGAAAATTGATCCTTTCTTAATGAAAGGATCAATTGACCTAAAATAAAAATGACTTTCTCTTATTTCCTCTTATTTCCATTGCGTCTTTATGCATTCTAATGCTCTCTCCCAACTTCTCTACTGTGGTACTTCATTATGATGGTTAAGTAAAAAACTAATAAACAATGCCAATCTACCCCTGACCAGCGCATAGCCATTATGCCACAGGCATGAGACCCATGGTGTAGGGAGTATGTCTTGTTCCTTTTGGCTTCTTTCACTCAGCTTGATGTTTCCAGGGCCCATCATCCATGTTGTATCATGGACAGGATTTCATATCTTTTTACTGCAGAATAATACTCTGTGGAATGAATATACCACATTTCATTATCTATTATCATTTATTTATCGTCACTTGATGGCTATTTCAATACTTTCCACTTTTTAGCTCTTGTGAATAATGCTCATGAGAATATGCAGGTCCAAGCTTTTGTGTGGACATACATTTAATTTATCCTAGGCATATATTAAGGAGTGAAATTTCTGGGTCTCATGGTAACTCTCTATGTTTAAATCCACCAGCAGTGGATGAAGGCTCCAATTTCTCCACATCCTTGTCAATGCTTGTTATTCTCTGGTTTTCTGAAACTATCTTAATGGAAATTACCTAGCATCTCGTTCCTATTTTGACTTGCATTTCCCTGACGACCAGTGATGTCATACATCTTTTCCTGTGCGTATTGGTTATTGTATATCTTCACTGGAAAATACCTATTTACATATTTGCCTATTTATACATGGGTCTTTTTTTTTCCTTTTTTTTTTTTACTGAGTTCTAAGAGTTCTTTACACAATTTCTTTTCAAAGCAATTTTATAGGTATTACTTGTGTAATAGAAAATCAAATGTCTATATTTATAAAGTATATTTTGGTTTTGATCTCCAAATTTTCTGACAGAATTGTCTCTGCATTTAATACTGGATTAAGAAATCAAAAACACTGTGCATGATAAATAAGCAAACATACCTGGACCAAGTGTGTTTGGGAACCAGTGGCTGGATTTAAATTATGAAATATTCCCTGTGTATATTTAGACCCTTCTTCAGACAACGTGACCAAAATGAGGCAAAATCAGCTGCACATATGTCACATAAGGAAGAAATGAAAGTGCTAAAGTGGAAGGTATGTGAAATTCTACAGGAGTCATGCGAAACCACTTTTTAACAGATTCGAATTTAACCAAGAATAGTTGAATGATACAGAAGAAAAAAATGTAGTTTTTTGTTTTTATCTTTTCCGACATATTTATGGTTAGGTACATACACATACCTTGTAATGTTAGCCTTGCAAAGGATCTTAAGCACCTTAAGGTCCTACATTTGAGTGCTAAAACCACCTACTAAATGTATATTAATTTATATCACTCATGGATTGCATCGCTCAGTGTTTTTATTCCTCTCAGTAATTAGGCTACGTAGAGACTTTGCTGCCTCTGAGAAGATTTGTATTTCTTGAATATGTAAGCCAGGACTGCCAAGGAAAAGAGGTACTTTGATCTTAGAGACTCTTCCCACAAAATTAACCAAAAAAGAAAAAATCATCTTTCTGTGGAGTTTTTGTTTGTTTAGGACATCTTAAAGAACGTCAGCGATAAACTATTTGAGCCATTTGATTATTTACTATTTTTCCTAAGAGAAAGTAATGAAAGAGAAGAGAAAGAGGGAAAGAAAAAAATGGAGGCCGGGAGGAAGGGCTGATGGGTGCCCAGCATTTCACTGGATGCTTCCACATGCATTAACATTGTTGATTCATTACGACCATCGTTGAAGAAAAGAGTTATATCCACAGCTTATCACTGAGAAAACAGACATGGTATGAAAGAGAAAAAGAATTACTATTTCTTAAAATCCATGTTTATCTTTAAATGCTTAGACAGTAATCACTTAACACTGAAAATAATGAAAAAGGACAATTCTGATTTTTGCCACATAATAGATCCATGTTAAAATTAGCATAGTATAATCTAAACTCCACACTGCCTCAGAAACATGGACCAAAGTAATATCACTGTTTATTTTATTCACCTCTTGTTCCTAAAACGATGAAAAATTCTGGAAAGACAGATAAAGATTTTTAATTTATGCCGATGAAGCGCCTCTTGCCTTTGCCCTGAATATTGGATCCAAATATGAGCTAATTTAAGTTGTAGATTTTCCTCAAGGGAAAAATGAGCGAGGCTGGAGGGGAAGGTGATTGAGGGAGGTGGCGGTGACAGTCTTCAGTTGTCCAGGCTTCCATCCTCTCTTGCCTGCGCTTGGGGGCGCCCAGCCCACATCACTTCTTCCTGGTGGTTAGTCAGTGATTGACTGCCATCCTTGTACCCGGGAAGCCACACTTTAGCCTAAGAATCATTGAGCAATCGCAGTCTAATCTGTTTCATGAAAGGGTGTTTTTTTCATCACTGCCGTTAGTAGGAAATCCTTGAGTGATACGCCCACAGCACTTTTTCTCAATTGGTCTTGCAGCAGCACCAGTGTGGGGTGCTTGTTGCGTCAGAATGTCTCCCCTGGTTTCTGTCCCTAAGCTTTCTCCTCCTAGTTCCTTCCCATTGAGAACAGTGGGTACAACAGTATTTCAGAACCCGCCATGATTTATTCATTAGAAAACGACTACAATCAGAACTGCCTCAACTTCTCCCTTCCTTTCATCTTCTTTCGGAGTGGATCTTCTTTTTCCTTCCAATAATTTGTGTCCCTGAACTGCTGTGGTATGCTGGCTCCTTCCTAATAGATCACGTCTGAAACAAAACTATCAAACAAAATATTGGACAAGAAATAAACCATGACAAGATGGCAAAGGAGGCTGTTTTCACTTTAGGGAGACCATCCAGTTGTCAGTAAGTTATAAAATAAAAATAAATACAGCTCAGCATTTGGGTGCACAAATCACAGACTCTCAGTAGGTCATTTAAGTCCTTGTCACTGCCTGAGGATTCACAAGCTTGGCAGGACCCTGTGATGGAGGCTGCCACGCTCCTGACCCCTGGATTCCAGTCAAAACAGAACTCTTTATCTTTTTAAGCCCTTAGCCATTAGGGGATGGGAAAACATTTTTGAGACCAAGCAACTTAAATCTTCATTTTATCAAGGATTTAATGAACTCACTCAGAAATTGCTCAGTCTCTCCAGGAGCTGACCCTCCCCAAATTCTGTCTTTGGCAGAAGTCCTGGTTTCAGGGAGGATATTTGGCTCACACCTCATTGGAGTGTTGGGAGAACGGGTCCCTTGCCTGGTCTTCGCTAGGGGTGGGAGAAGCAGAACCAATGTCTCCTCTCCCTCACTTCCCACAATTCCCTTGGCCACAGGAGGATGGGCTCCTCTTTGATATCCACCATGTCACCACATAGTGGTCTTCCTGTGATAAGTAGAGGGGAGGAGTTGAGTAGCTTTTTGAACTACTACGGGAAGTTCTATAGACTGAGTGATCCAAGTTTGTTCCTTAAAATTTCTAAGGATGAATTACACAGGAATATGGAAAAGTCCCCGAAATGATATAGCCGGGCTGTGACACTGCTGCTGAGATAGTTTGGATGTGTCCCCTCCCAAACTCATGTTGAAAGATGATCCCCAATGTTGGAGATGGAACCAGGTAGGAGATGTTTAGGGTCATGGAGGCAGATGTCTCATGAATGGCTTGGTGCCCTCCCTGCAGTAATGAATAAGTTCTCACTCTGTTCATTCACAGGAGAGCGGATTGTTAAAAAGAGCATGGTGCTGGCCGGGTGCAGTGGCTCATGCCTGTAATCCCAGCATTTTGGGAGGCTGAGGAGGGCGGATCACCTGAGGTCAGGAGTTTGAGACCAGCCTGCCCACATAGTGAAACCCCATCTCTACTAAAAATACAAAAAATTAGCCAGACGTGGTGGTGGGCTCCTGTAATCCCAGCTACTCATGAGGCTGAGGCAGGAGAATCACTTGAATTCGGGAGGCGGAGGTTGCAGTGAGCCGAGATCGTGCCACTGCACTCCAGCCTGGGCGACAAGAGCGAAATTATATCTCAAAAAAAAAAAAAAATAGCATGGTGCCTCCCCCACCCCTCCTCCCTGACTCCCCGACTCTTGTTCCCGGAATGGGGGTCCCCTCTCCTTTCTCCATGAGTAAAAGCTTCCTGACATCCTTACTGGAAGCAGATGTTCATGGCCTGCTTCTTAAACAGCCTGAAAAACCATGAGCCAAATAAACCTTCTTTATAAATTAGCAAGCCTCAGGTATTCCTTTACAGCAATTCAAAACAGACTAATACAGCTGCCTAAATATATTGCATGCCCTGAAACTACATTTTAATTTATGATTTTCCATTTCTTATATTTTGTATCAGATTCTTCCATGGAGTTGATTTTTTTTTTTTTTTTTAGTCTGGAGAAGTACTCAGAATAATAGAAAAAAAGCATTTTCTAAGTTTTAAAATCTCACTTTTTTGCCCTAATGCTTCCCTCCCCCCCCATGAGGTACACCTCCTTCCTCCTTTCCAAGTCCCAGGCAGCCCCAGGCCATTTCTCTGGGACCCAGCTGAGTGACAAGAACAACCTGGAGCAGCTGCTGGGCTTGTCTGCAATGCCAGGTGCTGGACCAAGGACTGCGTCAGATTATCAAGTTCATTCTCATGATATTCCTATGCTAAAGCTATGGTTAATTTCCTCTTACAGGGGAGGAGCTGGACACAGGTAGTATGTGAGACAGAAATAATAAGTGCGAGAGCAGGGATTTAAAACCAGATCATCCAAATGTATTATCTGAGCACACTGCACGCTCCACTCAGTTGCTTCCTCACTGGAGCATGTTTGTCTATTTCTATGCATGCCGCTATTGTCATTGCTATACTATGAGTGTTCCAGGACCAGGATGTCTGCTTTATTTACTCTATAACTCCAGCACCTAGTAGAGCTCCCGTCCCGTAACAGGAGCCTAATAAATGTGTGCTGAGCTAATGAGGTGCAGCACAAGTTGATGATGATGAAGAGATTGAACCATATCACCCAAGCCACGGGTTGGGCCAGGGCAAATCTGAGGCCACTGAATGTTGCACAAAAAAAAAAAAAAAAAAGACTATCCTTAGTTCTATGGGAGCTAAGGAAACTCAGGGGCATGATTAAAAATTCTAGTTAATGGAACAGACAATATGTAGAGTTCAGAAGAGGAGGATGAAGAAGGCTTAGGAAAACAGGGCTCTGTAAGATGGATAGACTTGCAAAGTGTGAATAAGATTAAGTTAAAAAATAATAGAAGGCACCAAGGAATAGAAAATAGGATTAATAAAAATCACCTGGCCTATGTGAAAGGCCACAGGTTAATCAATGAGCCTGAAGCAGAGATTTGGTGCAGGGTTAGAGAGAAAGATAGAAATAAATGGTGGAGCTGTACTATGCATAGTCCTTAATCCCTATTAGGACTATTAATATACTCCACTATAAATGTGGAGTGCAAAACCTCCATGTTTCGGAAATGTGGAGGATGGGTGGTGGTGGCAGTGGAATTCTGATTTGACTGTAGCAGGTTGGATAATGGTGATAAGTGGGGAAGAGGGAAGGAAGAGGCTGGGAGGGAAGCTGGAGGAATTCAAGTCAAGTTGGGTTTGGTTCAGGCACACTTGGAATGATCTAGGTATGAGAGTGAGTATCAGGGTGATGGGGGGTGGAGGGGAAGAAGTAACCAAAGGAAAAAGAACATGAGGAATTATTTGAATGTGGAGATGGGGCTTGCAGGGAGATCCTGGCACTAAGAAAATCTAACTCAAGGATCATGCTTTTCATGCAACATTTTCACCCTCCAGGGCTACCAGTATCTGTTCAGTAGGATTTCTTTAGACAGGTTCTCTCCTGTGGCCTAGGTCTCATGTGAGAGCAGCCTGTTCTACACAGCAACATGACACAGTTATCAAACCTGCTCTCCCTTCAGCGTAGAGAATGCAGACCACTCAAGAGTGAGTGTCTCCAGTTCTCACTGCAGCCTGCCCTCTTCTCCTAAAGGGGAACATAACCAAATTTGTTTCCCGCTCTAATCTTCTCGATGGATTTAAGAAACTGCCCACTCTAAGTTAAACCCTATAGCAACAAAACAAAGCAAATGTTTCTTCATATTAAATTGGAAGCCATAACCAAAACAACTGTGAGATCTCCATTTAGAAAAGGCATATAATATGTTTTCACAAAATCCTCAAATATATAGTTTAGGGCGAGAAGACAAACTTTGTGATTTCATGGTCTCCATGGATTATAAAAGGTTATTATTATTATTACTATCACTATTATTCTACATTTTAGGACAGGCCTTTTGCACATACTGAGGTTAAGATCTTACTAAATCTATTGCTTGCTTTTGGATCACTGGAATTTAACAAAGACCATAATTACTACTGGTTTTCTGTTCTTTTTATTTTACTTTATCTTAATGTCAACCCTAACCAATAGTCATTAGTAATTGTTTTATCAAATTTGCTCAGGAAAAATGTTATTAATTATTGGCTTTAGCAGCATCAGAAGGCAGTACAACCAACAGAGAAGGACGTTTTCCCAATCACTTCTAAATCCAAATTAATGACACAAAACCTCAGTTTCTTATGATCTACAGCCCTCTCCTGAAATGCCGCCCAGCACCACCTGAGCAAATAGAATGTCCAGATTTGATCTCAATCAGCCAAAGCCCTCATCACAGGAATGAATGGCTCACGCACTTTATACCAGTAGAAGTGTCTGCAAAGTGAACATGGATGACCGAACGCACAGTTGCTTTTTCCACATATGTGTTACAGAGAAGGAAATTCAACTCCTTTCTCAATAGGATGAGGGAATGGGCTTTTGGACTAACTTACGAGCAAATTTCATGTTTTACCCCATGAACTTCTAGAAGTGTCTAGAGCTAGGTTTTAGAAAAAGTTTCAAAGAGGAAAAATTGTGTCTTGGTACATCATAGGCCCAATCTTTTATCACTCCACCCTCCTTCACCTTCTGAGACAAACTCTGCATCCAGAATTTGGTTGATTTCCAGCTCTAGTGCTATTAAAAATGAGACCTGAAAGGATGGGAAATACCCAACTACAGCAACATTCACTAAGAAGTACTCGTTCCCACCCTGACCTTTGCAAATGATCTACACAACAATAACTTTGTGTGAATTACTAGATTATATGGCTGGAACAGTAAGATATTTGGGGCATCCAGAAATAGGGGAAACAATGGGGGAGGCCACATGACCCACTGAGGACCTGGGAATCATATCAAGGAGGAGGCTGCTGGGCCCAGGTCAGCCCAGACACAGAAGCACAAACGTCGGGGATTCAGGTTCCCCAGGTTCCATCGGGGATGTCAGCCTCCACCTGAAACAACTGACCACATAAAGCAGACAGACATGGATTCCATGGGATCTCATTGGGAATGGATCACAGGTTTCAGCCTGACACCCCAAGACGGGTGCTGACAAATGGGAGTGTAATTCTTGACAGCTACTTTTAAAGGATAATATCAGTCCTGAATTTCTGCAGAATGTATTGCTACTGCCCAAGAAACGAAAAGAAAAAATAAAGGCTCTGAGAATGTGGGGTATTTAAATTTGTACCTTTGCGAGTTTAAATTTCCTAGACATTGATTTGTAATTTTTTTTTCGTCAATCAAGAAAGCTCCAGATTTTGAGCCACTTAGACCCTTCCTTTCTCAGAATAATAATGTTTGTTTAGATCCTTGTTAAAGTCTCAATTTGAGAAAGATCAGAGTTAATTTTAGCCGTAATTTGTAAGTTATTTGGCACGGTACTCAAGCACACTGGATAAATGTTTGAAATGCCAGAAGTTTCTTACATATAATGAACACTTTCTTCCCCTCCCTTTTATCCACTTTCTCCCCCTCCCTTTTAGTATGAGAAATTATTTGTGTTCAAAAGAGACAATCATCGTATAGATATGTAAGAATATATTACTATGTCAGCATTAAATGTTAATTTATTTTTTGATGATTTAGATTTATAGTGGTCATCATCTGAGGAGATGGGAAACCTGTTTAAATGGTTACTTGCAGACTGTGTTACTGGGTTCAGTTGAGGGGAAGGGTTAAAAGCATGCATGAATAATCATTTTTAATTTAAACTCTAATATGTGGCTTGATTTTTAATATATTAAATATGTTTTTAATGGCAGGTTGTTATTCATAAGGATGTGGCTTCCTGTTGACATATTTTTAAAACAGTCATTTTTTTTTTTTTTTGAGACATAGTCTCACTGTGTCGTCCAGGCTGGAGTGCAATGGCACAAACTCGGTTCACTGCAACCTCCACCTCCTGGCTTCAGATGATTCTCCCACCTCAGCCTCTGGAGTAACTGGGATTACAGGCATCCGCCAGCATGCTCAGCTAATTTTTTTTTGGTATTTTTAGTAGAGTTGGGGTTTCACCATGTTGGTCAGGCTGGTCTTGAACTCAAGTGATCCACCCACCTCAGCCTCCCAAAGTGCTGGGATTACAGATATGAACCACCGCACCCGGCCACAACTGTCATTTTTTAGTGTCCCTGAGCCGTGTCAAAGTCCTCATAGAGTTTTTCCTCTTTAAAATTAATTGCTTGCAATTTTATGATAACTGAAGTCAAAAAAGGGTATCATTCTTAACATTAATATCCAAATTTTGTAATTTCGCAGTTCAACAACTCATCCTTATATATACATTGATTACTTGGGAAATGATCATGACAGTCTTTTCTTTTCCTCCTTTATATCATTAGAGTTTATCAAGATAAAATGTACTTTTTGGCAAACCACCTAATACTTGCTCTTGAAATTTTATTCAGAAACAGAATTATTTCATCTCTTTCAAAATTCAGTGAACCCTAAACCTGAAGCTTCTACTGGGAAATTCTCAGTGCTTTGGATCTATCATTTATTTAAAAACAACCTACTGAGTTTGTGCCAGACACAGCAATAGAGCAGTGAACAGCCCGATACTTCTACTGCCCTCCCGGAACTCTGGTCCTGCCATAACCTAAACTCTCCTTTATCCTTCAGCACCTGTGCAACTCCTCTCCTCTGTGCAGAATCTCTTACTCAACCTACCTTTATTTCTCTCATTTCAGTATTCCCTGCTGGTTAGGTATATGGTAATAGCTCATTTATGCGAATGAAGATAATGTTCCTTGTTCTTCCCTGAATTGTCTGCTTTATAAGATCATTGTCCTGCATAGATCTCCTGCTGGGGCTCAAGCACACAGCAGAAAAAATTTAGATAAGGAGAGGAACATGGCTTACATTCCGCCTGAAAATCCCTTCATTTATAATGGGAAGTGGCTAAATCCAGAAGATGGAAGACTAGCTGATTTGTCTTTATAGTTTCAAAGTCTGTTGGAAGCAGAAGCAAACACAGCACAGGTGAAGGAAAGTGGTTACAGGCAGTGACCCCCACCTGAACCTGAAGGGCCTCTGCTGGCCCCGGGGAGTGATTGGGTTTGCTGTTCCGTGGCCTCCTTTCCTCTCTCCCAGAACAGTTTCCTGTGGATGAAATTATGTCCCAGAGCTATTAATCTGAGTAGGATGCTCCTTTTCAGCCTCTTGAGCCACAAGCATTCCTTGCTTTACCAACAGAAAACCCTATCAGGAGCCACATCACACCACTGTCCCTGCTACAGGTCCTGCCACATGGGGCGACTGGGCTCTGCGGTGATATTCCCTGGGGAAGCCTTTCCCGTTTCTTTCCCTTATCTTGTTTTGTGGAAAAGAATTAACCCCAATGCTGCATAAAGGAAGGAGATCCAATGAATATGTAAAACCACAAATACCATGAACCGCTTCTTGTAAGTCAAAAGCCTATTCATTTAATAAAACTTCTGACTAAACTCTTAATAAATAACTTGTGTAAACAATTTCCCAATTCTAACACTCATTTTCTATTTTCTTCTCCCCCTGTTGATATGAAGAACTTCAGTATTTTTCCTCCACTTCAGCATCAATTAAAATATGCCTTTACTATTGATTTAGAGTAACTTCAAACCAAAGGAGATTTATATATATAAATATACAAATATATATGAATATATAATATATAAATATATAAATATATATGAATATATAAATATATAAATATATATGAATATATAATATATAGTATACATGAATATATAATATATAAATACATATTATATATTATATATATTTAATATATATTATATATTTATATATATTTTATATAAATATATGTATATATTATATTTTATATAAATATATATGTATATATTATATTTTATATAAATATATATGTATATATTATATTTTATATAAATATATATGTATATATTATATAAATATATATTATAATATATATAACTTATATATTATATATTATATATTATAATATATTATATATTATAATATATAATATATTATATATATTATATATAAATTATATAAATATATATTATGTTATATATAATTATATAAATGTATATTATGTTATATATAATTATATTTATATTTATATTATATTATATATATTTATATTTATATTTATATTATATTATGTATAATTATATTTATATTATATTATATATATTATAATTATATTATATATAAATTATATAAATATATAAATTATATAAATATATATTTTATTATATATAAATTATATATATAATATAATATATAAATATATAACTATATATAATAAATAATATATATAATATATAATTATATATATTATATATATATAATCAGTCAGAAGCTTAGAGTATTATGTTATACAAATGCTAAATTTTCTGGCATAGAAAATACATGGAAAACTTAAGGCTCGGGCACAACTTTAATGATACTTTCAAAGTCTGCAATGCCACTTGGAAGAACATAAATAGGAAAACATATCTTACATTTCCATAAGGAAATAATGAAAATGGAACAAAGAAGCAATGAGTATTGAAAGTTCTACTCCATCTGTATTTTAGGAAATAGCATTCAAATAACATCAAACTATAATTAACCAGTTCTGAGAAAGGATAAGTAAAATGTAAGAAAGGAGTTTTGAATATTTGTTATTGACCTTCAGCATGTTTCATAAACAAGTTATAAGAGATTATTAAAATACCCATGTTCTACGAATAAATCAGGTGTAAAAATGCCTAAACCTGGTACATTTCAGTCTAGAGCTAGGAAGGTGGTAGTTTGCAGGAAGGTTTGATGTGATCATTTCATTAACCATGAAGAGAGAATAAAGAAAATAAACCAGGCTGGAACTTTGTGAGACCCCAATATTAAAAATAGGGAAGAAGAAACTTACAAAGAATATTGAGAAAGAACATTCAGAGGGGAAGAAAAAAAAGTACAAGAGCAGCATACTTGTCATCTGGATGTTAAGGAACAAAAGTGTTTTGGAGGGAAGATGAGGTCATTCAAGTCTAATCCTGCAGTGAGATGAGGAACAGTAATTAATAAGTTTCAGTAGCATTGAACAGGGGAGTGGTTGTTAGCATCCTTGGCAAGGCCAGTTCCATGGAGTAATGGGGCATATGCTCTATTATCAAGGTTGAGGAGTGAGTGATTCAAAGGGAATCATGGCACCTAAAAACTGAAGAAAAGGCTTTGGGCAGTAGGCAAAAGGGGGAAGTAGGTTTGGAGGAAAGTTTTTCTAAGGCAGGAAGTGTACATATAGCCATGTATAAGCTGAAACAGCAGCAAGTGAGGAGGGATTAAAGACATCTGCAGAGGCTGGGTAATTAATGGGGTAAGGTCCCCAAGGAGTGGAAGGGGTATGCAGTGCAAGGACAAGGTGGATGACAGTCTGTGATCAGGGGAGCCTCCTCCACTGAGCAGATAAAGAATGACGAGGGCAGGTGCCAAAAATTGTGTCACTAATTGGGACAGGGCAGCTGTGGAAGAATATTGGCAAGTCCTTCGTGGTTCCTGTATTTCTATGGTGAAGCGGGGAAAGGGAAGGTAGTGTTCTGAATGGGGATGTGGTGGGCATAATAGTATGCATAGTATAAACCAGCGATTAAATCTTAGAACAGGTTTAAATAGGGACTGGTCAGGGAGTAACGAGGAATACATGGTAGGATAGCCAGGTGGTCCTGAGAAAACTGAGGTTGGAGACCATGAACTTTTAGAGATTCTAAACTGTAATCCATCACCAATGTGAGAATAGAGAGAGAAGCTTTGGAGATTTCACTTACACAGAAATGAGGCTTTTTGATGAGGGGCTGTGAAAATCAATGGAAGGCAGAGAGTTGATAGAGTGACATTTGAATGACCATCAATGTTGCAAAATGTGTGGTCCAAATGAAGAGAAAATTGAGTCAAAACTTGAAGGAGACTGATGGGGGTAAGGAAAGAGATCATGGACTAGTCATCTCAATGATCTCTGAAGTGATTCTGGTGGGAGAAAGGGGGTAGAAGAGCTGAGAATATGGAAGACTGTGATTCCCGAGTGAGATATCACAGTTAACAACTATACTAACTAAATATAATGTGGTTTCCCAGATCAGATCCCAGAACAGGAAAAGAACATCCATGGAAAACTGGCAAAATCCAAATAAAGTCTGGACTTTAATTAATAGTAATGCGCCAATGCTCGTTTTTTAGTGTCGGAAAATATACCATAGTTATATAAGATGTTAACATTAGAGAAACTGGATGAAAGGTACATGGGAACTTTCTGTTTTATCCTTAAAACTGTTCTGTAAATTTTAAATTGTTCCAAAATGTAAAGCTTATTTTAAAAAATTTTCAGGAAAATTCACATTTTAAAGAGTAACTAAAAACAGACACAGACACACAGACACATAGACACACAGATGCATAGACACACAGCTGCATAGACACATAGACACACAGACGCATAGACACCTACATCCCAATGTGGTAACATGATTTTGAAGTATCCCTTGTTTTCACACTTAAATCTCCCACAAACACTGGAGTCTGACCATATTCCTCTGAGTAATACCACCCAGCACATCAATGGATTTTTCTGACCTCTTGCTTCTTTATGGATTATGTAGAACTTTTCACAGCTGGCTATAGTGGTGGTGGGCTTGCAAGCAGCTCTCCAGCGGCCCTCACTTCCATTTGCAGTCTGCATGCCTGTGTGCAATCCATCCTCACATTTAATCAGAGTTGGCTCTGTGTTATCAATTAAATTCTATGGACATGTGGCTGTATCTTTAAAAGCATGGCAGCTTCCATCTTGTTTTCTTAAATTGCTTTCTCTGTGGTAAACTAGACACCGTTCTGTAAGTGTATTTAAACACCCTCGTGGAGAGGCCCACACAGAGGGAGAGAAATGCAGGTCCCTGCTCAATCGCCATACCTATTTTACAGCAACGTCAGGAACATGCCTTGGAGGAGGCTCCCCCAGCATCAGTCAGTCAAACCTGCACACGACTTTGGCCCCAGCCAGCACCTGAGTGCAGCTTCATGAAAGATTTTGAGCCAGAACTTTCCTACCATGCTGCTCCTAAATCATTGACCCACAGAAAACATGGGAGATAAGGAATGAGTATTATTATTCTAAACATGAATTTTGGGATGTTTAGTTACACAAAAATAGGTAGATAGTACAGATTTTGGTACATAAAAATGAAGGCCATCCTGTGAGCCATCCTGTGGACCATCCTGTGGAGCTCCATTGCTCTCCATGTGGCCTGTCCACGAGGCTGTTTGAGTATCCTTAAGGAACAGTGTCTCATTTACCGCAGGGAAAGTGATTTAAGAAAACAAGATGGAAGCTGCCATACATTTTATGATATAGCCTCACTCCCATAGAATTGAATTGATAACACAGGGTCAACTCTGATTGCTGCAATAACAGAAATTCTAAAAGATATGGGATGGACATTGGGACCCTGCAGTGAGCAGAAGCTAGAAAAGTTCCTGGGAAATGCGTTAGTGAAATCCTAGAGAGCTTGAAGAGAGTGTTGGCAGAAGCCTGATGCCCTCCAAGTAGGCTGCAGTGAGTACTTAGCATTCATTTGAGGAAAATGGAGGAAAGAGGGCCCCTTTATAAAATTATAAAGCGGCATAGAGTAGAACAAAACTCTTTCCTATGTAAGATGGACTATAGGGAAAAAAATGTACCTTATCACCTGGAGGGTCCATCAAAGGAGGTTTCTAGGCAATGTGTTGAAGGCACTGTCTTGCGTTCTTCGGTACCCATTGCAAAATGTGAGAGACATAGGGAAATACAATCAGAAAAAAAAAAAAAGCTGTTCTATATAAAGGAACCAGGGTTTTTTGGGTTCAAAACTAAAAACTGTTTATCATTTCTGGTCTCTCTAAATAGTAAAAGATCTTAAAGGAAAAGCTTCCAGATGAAGATAGCTCAGAACACTGTGAGTCAAAAATGGTTCACAGGTGAGGTCAAAGGTGTGACTGTGAAGCCTTTTTGTAATATATCAGAAACATGCAAGACGGAGCCTCAAACAGATCAGTGTCCTTCCCAGGATGCAAACGGTATACACCACACATTTTATTATTAAAAAATCACTCCTAAGAATCTTAAGAGCATTGTGCTACAGGGGCCTTACGGGCAACAAAAGGTAAAAGAAAGATGATCTTGATGAGATTTGTGTGTGTCTATTCTCCAATGGAGTGAATCCCTGCAAAATGTACAAAAGACCTACACACATTTTATACAGTTGTAGTAGATGAAACACCACCAGACTGGATAAAAAGGGAAAGAGTCAGTAAAAATGCAAAGAGGCCTTGGGCTTCTCAACTGTTATAAGCAGAAAGCAAACTGAAAAAAACTGAGATGCAAATACCAGCCACTTTTTTATCCAAAAGGTAGAATGACACAGAAGTCAGAACCAAAAGCCCAAAGTTTGGAGCCAAGATCTCAGGCAGTGGTGCTGAGCCCTCATCAAGAAATTGGCCTGATGTGTCCAAATGGATTTTAGAATTACTATGGAGAAGTGACTTAAGTGTGCTTTCTATTCCCCCTTTGAGGATAGAAGGGTCTGTAGCAGTTCCTCTTTTTTTTTTCTTTTTCTTTTTTTTTTTTTTTTTGAGACAGAATCTTGCTCTGTCGCCCAGGCTAGAGTGCAGTGGTGCAGTCTCGGCTCACTGCAACCTTCGCTTCCCGGGTTCAAGTAATTCTTCTGCCTCAGCCTCTCGAATAGCTAGGACTACAGGCGTGTGCCACCACGTCTGGCTAATTTTTGTATTTTTTTTAGTTTAGACAGGGTTTCACCACATTGACCAGGCTGGTCTCAAATTCCTGACCTCGTGATCCGCCCACCTTGGCCTCCCAAAGTGTTGTAGCAGTTATTCTACATAAGTCTCACCACTATGTGTTGGGCACATGGAAAGTGAATAACTTGCCTTTCTAGTTCACAGGCGTTCAGATTTCAAAGAGCTGATATGGGAAGAGCCACTTTCTGAAATGGACCTGATTGGAATGTTAAGATCTGGGCTTCAAGCTGATGCTATAATGGGATGAGACTTGGGTGGGGGATGGAGGTATTCTTGGAAGACAGTGTCAAGAGCTGAGAAGGGTCTGATATGTTACCACACTTACCTGATAACTAGTTAACTTGCCATAGTTTCAAGAATGCTGGTAGAAAACATGATGTCTCCTGGTCGAAGAAAGTGAATTTTTTTTTTGTTACTCCGAGAATAGCAGTAAGTATGAACATCACGTGTCAGTTCCCCTGGCTCCCAAGTGCCGTGAGGACAATGCAGTGAGACCTGGATAGATACCTGTACACAGAGTGGATTGCATTACAGGAAAGGAATACTGAGCTTAGAAACCCCAAGTGTTTTGTAACAGTAAGCTTGCCTGTCCTTAGTCTGGAGAAAGACGTTATCCATTATTACACTGCATGGTAAGCTTGCCTCTGCTTTGCTTCTGAGGGATATATTCTATTTACAGCTATAAGAAGACAGGTCTTCTCTTCTTGAGGGAGAAAGTGTATCTTCCACAGCTGTTCATTATACAACCATCTTTGAAAACAGAGTGTGAAACAATAGGCACTCTCTGCTTACAAGACATGGAGAAATATGAGACTCATGAGGAATTGTCTCCCAACAAAGCACAAGTATACGTTGCATATGAAATAGACATGAGACAATGAGGGAAGGAGGTGGACTATAATAGCTGGTCTCCAAAGTCTTCCAGTGAGCCTGCCCACTAATATTCACGCCATTGTTTAGTTCCCTTCTACTTCTATTCAAGTGGCAATACACGACTAAGACTGTTACAAAGACATTGTAGCTTCTGCCTTGGTATTTTGAATTATTCACTTTAGGGATGAGGACCATAAGGACACTCAGGTGTTCCTGTGAAGAAGCACACAGTGAAAGGAGCTGAGTCTCCCAGCCATTAGCCAGCACCAGTTTGTCATCCATCCAAGAAAGCCCCTTTTAAGTGGACCCCCACCTTATTTAAGCCTTCAGATGCCTGAGGCTCCAGGCACCATCTGACTATAACCTCATAAAAGACCCTGAACCTGAACTCTCCAGTGGATGACTAACATAATAATAGTCAAGGATGAAATTTGGCTGTGAGTGTTATCTGAAGGGAGAACTTATGACTATGGCCAACATTGGAAACCTTGAAGGTAGAGATGCTATCAGATGTCCTCTGTACAACCTTCTACTTAATCTGGGAGTTTTATCTGACAGAGGTCATCAGGCCAGTACTCTCAGTGACCACTAATTTACTAGGACACAAGCCAGACCACCTCATTCTTGGACCATCCCAGTCATTAGAAACCCTCTCTTTATTAAACCAATATGTGACTTTCTATAATTTTTGTAAATAGGTCCCAGTGTTTTCAAAATCCACAAGAATAAATCTGATTCTTCTGTACATTAAATAAGTCTATTGTAATGGTGCATGAGAGAGTTCAACTCCAAAAAAAGAATTTTTTTACCATAAATTTAGTTATATACCTATGCAATCATTGGATTTTCTTGCTTTCTTATAACATAGCAATGATTTTGTAGCACTGTATTTTCTATTAACGGAATTGGATACATGAGACAATACCAAACAAAAAAAAAAATCAAGTGGTCCAATTTATTCAGCTGGATCTGTTTAGCATGCAGTTTGCTTGGCTAAGTGATGATGCTCTGTTAAATCCCAAAGAGATGTGTGCCTTTAGAAACTTGGGGAGGTAGAAGGTTTATCTGGAGCAAAAAAAAAATTGTAAAGCTTTTTTCTTCATACGTTTGGAAGAAGATACTTTAATAGTTTACTCTGTATGTCACATTCTAGGAGAAATCTAGTGAAGTATTGAAGTGTGTGGCTTTAATAAAATCAAGCCCATCATTCCCTGGCTTGTTTTTAGATGTGAAGCAATCCACTCACAGAACAACACTGGGAAGGGGGGGAATTCAAATTATCTAGCAGTGAACAGTTCTGATGATGAATGCAGCATTACCGTGAGGATGATGACAGTAACATTTAATTGAATTAGAATACCAGGCAGACAATTTCCATCAATAATAAATATGTTGTTGAATCAATAACTGCATTGTGATCAATATTACATCATAAGAAAGTAATTGCTTAGCATTTCAATCTAATTTTTAAAAAAATTCAAGATGAATTACAATGTTTTATTTCTCTAAGGAACCAAATCAGTGTTTTGCTGAAGCAATGAAGTTGTACATGGAAATGCTTAGTGCTTTGCTTAGGTTCAGAGAGAAAATTAATAGCAAAACTGGGAATACAATCCTCATCTTCTGGATAGTAAGTTTTTTTTCAGTCTGCAGAGTCACATTATTCTAGTTTATTAAATTCATGACTCTGTCAGCTTATGTCAGGCTCTGGAGAAGCTGAGAGAGATGAATTATAGGAAGTGATGAAACCAATAAGAAAGAAGGGGCTCCCATGGATGTGAGTGGACATGGATTTGTCAACACTTGAAACACTCAGGCGTTTCTTCCCCAAACGACAATCTTGATTATTTCATCTAGTTCAGACATTTTTAAGTATTTAGTCACCAAAGCTTGTATAATCTCTCTCCTGCTGCCATACAGCTTATTATGGTCTAGAGGCAAGGTAGATATGAAACACAAGATCACAAAATGGATCTAACTAAAATTATAATACATTTGGCAAAGGAGAAATAGCAAATTTTGGCAAGGGAGAAATAGCAAATTTTACTAGAATCAATTGTTATGGGGAAACTCAAAAGTAGGAAAACGAGGGAAGTGACAGTTAGTTAATGCATGAAGGATGAGTAGGAGGTAGAGGAAGCATGTCAGAGAACAATCCAGATAGAGGGAAGGTATGAAGGTACTGAGAGACAGGAAGTGATGTTAGAATTTCAGAAAATAGAAGAAAGGGGGAACCCAGGAGATACCGAGCAAATGATTGAGTGGTGGACGCTAAGCCTGAAGCAGTAGATAAATGCCACTAACAGGACAGTTACATCATACAACTGATTTGGATTTTATTTTCTGAATAAGCCACTTGGAAATAAGAGAGGGAATGATTAGGTTGATTGTTTGCTTACCATTTGTTTGCTGTTGTTGTTTTGCTTTTAAATGCTGTTTTGATTGTTATTTGCAATACAGCAACTGGAGAGGAGGCTCATGGAGACAGGAAGAACTGTGTTAGTCTAGGTGAGAGCTGAAGGTGGCTTGGACCAGGGTGATGCTGGAGGTGTTGGAGAGAAGTTAGCACATCCAGAAAGTAGACAGAAAATAAAATTAGCAGAGATCAAGAATAACACTGTGTAAAAGGTGATTCTGAATTATCTGGCATTAGAATGTGGGTGGATATTCACCCTATTTACCATTTTTGGTAAATACTTAGTGAGGTAAGGAGATGGAATAGGCTTTATTCTAATAACTACTATCAATTTTGCTTACTTTAAACAACATCACTATTGCTGTCATCACCCAACCTCCACTCACTCTAGAGAGTAGACAGAAGGCAATGAAGATATTCAAGGGGTTTGTAGTATAATACAATTATTAAATGCCACCTCTATTTAAGTAAATGTTTCTTTATGTTTCTTTTTTTTCTTTCTTTTTTTTTTTGAGACAGTCTTGCTTTGTCACCCAAGCTGGAGTGCAGTGGAGCAATCCTGGCTCACTGCAACCTCTGCCACCTGAGTTCAAGCGATTCTCCTGCCTCAGCCTGCTGAGTAGCTGGGACTACAGGTGTGCACCACCACATCCAGCTAATTTTTTGTATTTTTAGTTGTGACAGGGTTTCACCATGTTGGACAGGCTGGTCTGGAACTCCTGGATTCAAGTGATCTGCCCACTTTGGCCTCCCAAAGTGCTGGGATCACAGGCGTGAGCCACTGCGCCAGGCCTATGTTTCTAAATTTCAGTTACCATGTTTTATCCTCTTGCTAAATTGTAGTGTTCCTGAAACGAGTGTGACCCACATCTTCTGTCTTCTCAAGGAAGTAAGAATGAGAAGAGGGTGGTAAAGGAATGTATTTGTGTGACAATAGGTAGAAATAGGAAGTGGGTGTGAACCTCCCTTCAGTTAACCAATATTGTTTCTGATTGTGTAGCTAATGAAATCATAAAGTTATTTGTTTCTACAAGGTCTGCTTACCTCACATGCGGTGATATAATGTCTGATCACACCCCCCATGTTGGGGTAAACAATCTTCTTCTCTCTTAGTCTGTATTGACTATTTTCAGACTCAAAACGATGGTGCACCCAAGAGGAGAGCCATAGTTTCTCTTCCCAGCCCCAACAGCAGTAACTAACCCACTCTCCTGGACCAGATACTGGGACTGGTCTGATAATACCTCTACCAAAACAGAAACTTATTTTCAAACAAATAACATTTTTGGTTGCCATCAACTGTTCTTCTTTATGATACATGAGGGAGAAAGTGAGAAACAGAGATACAGAAACTGAGAGAGATAAAACAAATATGGTCATATTAGTTTTAATTTTCTAAATTGCAGGTTATAGTCAATGTATTTGAAATTATTGACAATGTTTAATTGGCCCTTTTCTATATATCATAATACTTTTAATAGGGAAAATATTATTTCTCTAAGTGCTGTAGTACCTGCTAACCTGAGAGCAAAATCTGCTAAACGGAGAGTCTCAGTTCTAAAACATTTTGTGTATTAGTTTTAAAATAAAATGTGTAAATATGTCTTATGTAGTGGCACCATTCAGTTATCCAGAGTACTTTTCTTTATCTTTATGATCCTTCTAAAAGTTTTGCCGAGTTTAGATGCTAAAAATTCACAGGTATCTCAATATTGCTCTGTTGTGGCACTGAGTATATCAAATTAAAAATGTAAACTCCACCAAAACATTCTTCTCATGAGATGAGGTATTCCAAAGTGCAATTATTAATTTAAACACTAAACTATGTACACTCGAATGCCTATTGCATATCTTCGTTTTTTCCTTGTTTTGTAGGTATAATTGCTTTCTGTGTGCGAGTACTGGAACTCATTCAAAGGTTTAAAAGCTTATCTTTTTGTTTACCTTTCATTTAATATTTGATTAAATATTTCCAATTGGTTTTTAACAAAGAAAAAACAAGCAAAACTTAGAGGACTTGTTTATTTAGAAAATGTTTAGTATCACTGTAGAAATATAGGTCTATTTACATGGGCAGGTAAAAACTAGAGAGGAGCGTGTGAGGATGACTCAAACATCACAGCTTGTTTTCATGCAATGATTAATCATACTACTTAAAAAATAAAAGATGTAGGAAAAATGCAAAACTGGAAAAGCTGATTAGACAGTAGGCAGGATGAGGCTCTACTGGGCAAAACAGGATGAAAATTCACTCTATTGTGACTTCGCTGGGCAGACAGCCTGTCTTTCTTCTTTCTGTGCCAAGCTACAGAATGTAGATTAGATTAACCAGAGTAATTTTTCCCTGTGACAAACATATTTCTAAAACGTGTAAGGAAATGACATTGGTTTTCTAATTTTAACAATCTCAAAACCTTTCAGAAAACCATGAAAGCTAAGGCTAACCCTTGTCTCTTATGAAAGAATCTGCTATAACCAAAACTATGTATCTCATTAAAAGTTTCAAGTACCTCAGATGGCTGCTTCTGCCTTTGGAATAGGTGAAATAATACACATTTTGCACAATTTCTACCCAAAAATAAAAACAGAAGAAACATTTCCTAACTCACAAAGTCCAGCATTACTCTAATAACAAGATAAAGACATTAAAAGAAAAATGTCTTGTAAAATGAAAAGGAAAACTGCAGACCAATATCTCTCGTGAATGTAGACATGATTGCCAAAAAATATTATCACATTTTATCCAACAATATATATAAAGTATTATACATCATAACCAAGGGAGATTTTTTTTTCAGTTATGCAAGTCTAATTTAACATTCAGAAATTAGTCAATGTAATCCATCTGTAAGTAGGCTAACGAACGTTTTACAATGACTTCATCAATTGATGCAGGAGAAGCAGATAACAAATCCAGTACCCACATGTGATAAAACTGTCAGCTGACTTCGTAACAGGGGAGTTTCCACAACTTGATTTAAATAAATAAATAAATAAAAATAAAAATACAAAAAAATCAAGTCACATAATACTTGATAGTAAAAAACTGGACATTTTCCCTGAGATTGGAAACAAAGCAATGTGCTCTATCACTACTGCTATCCAATAAGAGAAGTCTTGCTAGTGCAACAAGACACAAAAAAGAAATAAAAGGTTTATAGATTGCAAAGGGAGAAATACGGCTGTCTTTATTCAAAGATGACGTGATTATCTACAGAGGAAATCTCAAAGAATTTATATCAAAGAAGCTAAAAAAATTTAACAATCCCTGGAACTAATAAATAAATATAGCAAGGTCACAAAAAACAAATCTAATATAAAAAATCCAAATGATTTTGAGCAAGGAATAATTATAATTTTGTTTTTTTTAAAAGCAATGCCTTTTACAAGTTTGCAAAAAAGTTAGTGACCTTTTTTTAAAAAAAATTTGAATTTACAGAAAATATGTGAAGCTAGTACACAGAGTTTCCATATGCACCCAATCTCTCCTATTATTAATATCTTATATGGGTAAAGTACAATTGTCAAAATTACTTAACTAATATTGATACATTTTTATTAACTAAGTATGTATGTTATTTGGATTTCCTTGGTTTTTACCTACTATTCTTTTTCTGACCCATGATCCCATTCAGAATACCACATGCCTTTAGTCACTATTTCTCTTTAGGCTCCTCTTTGCTGTGCCTGAAAATGGCCGTGGCTCAGCCATTTCCATCACATCAAATCAAGGGTACATACTCTGACCATGACTTACGTATTATTAGTCCATTTTCATGCTGCTGATAAAGACATACCTGAGACTGGGTAATTTAAAAAAGAAAGAGGTTTATTTGGACTTGCAGTTCCATGTGGATGGGGAAGCCTCACAATCATGGTGGAAGGCAAGGAAAAGCAAGTCACATCTTACATGGATGGCAGCAGGCAAAGAGAGCTTGTACAGGAAAACTCCCCCGTGTAATAACCATCAGATCTTGTAAGACTTACTCACTATCATGAGGACAGCATGGGAAAGACCTGCCCCCATGATTCAATTACCTCCCAGCAGGTCTCTCCCACAACACGTGGGAATTCAAGATAAGATTTGAGTGGGAACACAGCCAAACCAAATCAACTCACCACTGTTGTTCATCTTGATCATCTGCCTGAGATAGTGTGTGTCAGGTTCCTCTACTGTACAATTACTCTCCCTTCCTTTCTATACAGTACCCTTTGGAAAGAATGCCCTGTGCACAGCCCACACTTAAGAAGTGTGGAATTATGTTCTATCTCCCTGAGACTGAAATGTCTACATAAATTGTGTGGAATTCTTCTCCAAAAAAAGATTTTATATTCTCCAATTCTGCTTTCTTATACAATCATTAATTTATATCAATATGGAATCATGGATACTTAACTTATATTTTGGGTTTTAATACTTCCTTATTAGTTTTGTTGCTTTAATTATCCAGCTTCAGCTATTTGGGGCTCTTTCAGTCATCTCCTGTGTCTCCTTGACATACCCTCATGACTGTGGACTTTTAAAAACATTTCTTCACTTTATGGCACTATATGAAGCTCTAGGATCATCGAGCCTGTTCCCTGCACCATTCCTAGAACCAGCAATTTTTTCAAGTATGTTGCTTCTTTTTATCTCATAATAGAATTAGAAAACAAACTCTGGGTGATAAGTGTGGTTTTTGCTACTGGGGTGTCATTGCTTCTAGACCTTCTCAGTTGATAGAACAAGGAAATATATGTGTATACTAAACTGTGCATCTCCATATATCTATAAATATCCTTCTATGTATGCATCTATGTGCACAAACATGTAGCTAAACATGAGCTCATACTGATGTCTCCAACTCTAATTCATTGCCACATGGATCATTCATGCCTTCTTTCTTTGCTTTTCTATAAACTTCCACTTCAACATTTAGAAACCTGGTTCCTACCATCTGCCACCCATTTTTGTAATTGTTCCATTCCAGTATATATGTACAGTGGTTTCACCATTGCTAACCTGTGCATATCAACTTTATCAACTAGAGTACAGTGCTTATGTGCAGTTTCCACTGTCTTTAATCTTATAGATTCCACTAATTCCCAATGTTGCTTAGGTTAACACTTTCCCCACCATGCCTATCAGTGAGGTTGTTTCATACATGTGTACACAGATTCTTTTGTCACAATCTGCATTTCATCCTGGGATCCCCTGAACTCCCAAATGTTTTTTAAAAACTTGCATAGATTAAGGTTGGTCTTTGTGCTATCGAGTACCATGTATGATACAAACATAGCATTATTAACTCATAGCTGTATATGCAAAGTTTCACTGCATTAAAAATCCCGTGGGCTTTACCTCATCAACTCTGGCTCAGCCTCAAACTCCTGGCAACCACTAATCTATTTACCATACCTATAGTTTTGCCTTTCTAGAATGTCATATATATGGAATTATTTAGTAAGTAGCCTTTTCAAATTGGCCAGTTTTTCACTTGCAATATGTGTTTAAAGTACATCCACATCATTGCGTAGATAGAAAGCTCATTATTTTACCACTGGAAAATATTCCATTGTTTAGTTCTACCGCATTTTATTCGCCTAATGAAGAATACCTTGATTACTACCAATTTGGGGGCAATTATGAATAAAGCTGCTATTAATATTCATTTGTTCATTTTTGTGTGGACATAAATTTTCAAATCTGTCATATAAAGATGTAGAAGCATAATCTCTGTATGATATAGTATGATAACATTTAGTTTTGTAAGAAACTGGAAAATTGTCTTCTAAGTTGATTGTACCATTTTGCATCTTTGTGATTCATCCTTTAGAGTAATTTACATCTTAAACATTCCACACACTGTTTACTTTCTCGATTTGCTCTCTAAACCCGAAGTGGACAGGTAGGCAACATGCATTTGATGTAGTACAGGAAACAGAGTGCATTTGATTGAGAACCATATCAGTCTGGGTTAGTACCAAAGCATTCTGTCCTAGAGTCATAACCAGGATCCAACATTTCATTCTTAAGGTGTAAGTAGGAAGAGATGCTAGAATGCAAATATTTTATTCTGTTTTCTTTCTCAGTGAGGTGATAATTATTTACAGTCTGAAAAGATGCTGTGGGAGTCAGAATATGAAGGGAGTTTAAGTTTTGTTTGGGTCTTTAGAACTCATAAAAAGCTTTAGTTCTTTCTTATGTTTTAACTGTGTGTTTAGGATATTATTTGTCAAGAACTCCTAAGGGTGAATAACATTAAATTTGTTGATTATACAAAGCATCACCAAAAGCAAAACTTTTCAATACCAGCAATAGTTTATAAACCTGGAAGTCCCCAAAGAGCTTTGAATATGCTGAAATTTGGACTACATGAAAGACTCACTGGATAATATAACTGGTTCTTTTAGAAATTTGTGGAATTATTTTAGGGGTGCATCTCTCCAGGAAAATGAATTAAGAAACTATCCAAGGGCTTTTGGTTTGCAGGCTGATTCTGATAGCAATTAGCCAAAAGCTAATTTTCCTATCCAAAGGTAATATCTACTAATTATCTCTCTATGTGCTCAATAGTACTGGGCATTTTACAAATATTATTTTATCCATTTTCACAAAAATCATGGAAGTTATTATATTACATGGTAATAATAATAGAAAATAATAAAAATTAATAAATAATACTTTACAAATAATAATAGAGTATTTTTTTCCTTTCTACAGATGAGGAGATTGAAGCTTAGAAAGGATAGCTGCCTTGTTTACTCTTTATTCTCTTAGAAAATGACCTACATTGGATTCTGTTTTTCACTATATATTAGTTTTTTTAGAAAATACTTATATAATTAACTTCAAACAGGGGAAGTATCATAAAAGACAGGGTAGAAAGCATGATCACAAGTTAAAAATTAGCCATTCCCATGTAGTTTAGGGAAAAAATAATTGGCTTGTAGATAATTACGTATGTGATTTTCACTACCAAGACTATTTTTTGTGTGGCTAAAGATTATTTAATTATCTTTTTTCTTTTCTTTCTTTTTTCTTTTTTGAGACAGAATCTTACTCTGTTGCCCAGGCTGGAGTGCAGTGGCGGGATCTCAGCTCACTGCAACCTCCGCCTCCCAGATTCAACCAATTCTCCTGACTGAGCCTCCCGAGTACCCGGGTTACATGTGCCCACCACCACGCCTGGCTAATTTTTGTATTTTTAGTAGAAACAGGGTTTCACCATGTTTTCCAGGCTGGTGTTTAACTCCTGACCTCAGGCAATCCACCCTCTTTGGCCTCCCAGAGTGCTGGGATTACAGGCGTGAGCCACCTTGCCCAGCCTAATTTTCAATTCTGAGGAGTAAAATAATCAATCATAGCCAGAAAAAAATGAACCATTTAATTCAATTCTATGCCTCCATTGTGACTGCAACTCACCAAGTACTCTTCTCATTCTGAGATAATCCAACCCACATAAGACACTCTTGTCAATTAACTGTTGGTATTTAATATTATAATAATCATATAATAGTAATGCTTTCTTGTTCATTCATTGTTTATGTGGAGATTTGGGTAAGTTTACTCTGAGCCTTGCTTTTGTTATTTTTAAAGTAGGCTAGCTTTACCCACATTGCAGTTTCCCCAGTGAGAATTTCAGATAATTTCTGCTAAGCATCTAGAACAGTTAACAGTTTCTAGCAGATTAAAGAAAAATCATTTGCAGAAGTGGTCATTATTACACTATCTCTGAGACTATTTTGCAGTCATCAATATGTATATCCCATCAATATATCTTCTGTTGCCTATGAAGCCTTCAACACAAGTAAGAATATAAAAGATATTTAATAATGACAGTTCAATCCATATTCATACATTGATTAATTAATTGTCAAGAATGAAGGATGAAGAAGAAAAATCACCAGAGGATCTTTTGGCTTAAGCTTCACTCTTTATTCCATGTAATAAATTCTTCTGTCTGTCCTGGGTTGACACCTGGGCCTTCTTGAATGTGGCACATCGCTTGGTTGATTATGGATGACTGTGTCAGAGGAAAACAATCTCAGAATCTTCTATACCAGAAAATGCTTTCAGTATCAGGCTCCAAAGACATAAAACAAAACCTGAATTCAGATGATTATTTAGAGATATGCGGCGTATCAGTTCTCATGCTAAGGGTTGTGAGATTAAATTAAAACTGTACCCAAGCATAACCTACTTTAAGGACTGGTCACTTGGAATTTGTGTTTCAAAAAGGAGAAGGGTCTCCTTCTGCATCATAGGATTTCAGGACCCGAAATGCTTGTGAATTTCAAGGGGGACCATGATGCGCAGCAGCAACATGGAAGAGTCACTACATCTCCATAGCTCGCAATTCAAGACTGCCATGACCCTCATGGTGGTTTCTCTAGAGTGGAGGGAGACTGATCTTGTCACTCTTCTTCCCAAAAGGGAAGCCGAACCAGACATAGAAAGACATGGGTCTTAACACCGTGTAGTTCTAAAGCCAGACCCAGTCACTTCGTCTTCCTCAGGTGTTTGGCTCTATATCAAATGCCTGCATTTAATCACAGCGTAGAAACAGTTCTATGTTGGAAGTTGTTTTCATCACTAAAAGGCTCTTTTGAGAGGCCATCGCCATAACAGAAGAATCTGGGTTCTGAAGCAGTGTTGTCGGGAAAACCATGATCATCTTCATGCACAAGGGTGGCACTGCAGATAGAGAGACATTGAAGAAGAAAACCCCCTGGTTGCATTGGGCAGAGCTGTCCAGTGAACAGATTTTGTGTATGTCTCCAGGGAATGAAAATTAACTCTCCTCAGTTGACAAAGAAGGGTGAATATCTTTTTGAAGTCTCCAAAGGGTCCCTGGACCAGATCCTGTGGTGAAGGCTGCAGGGTCTTTCCTGTGATCCCAGCAGCTCAGGGTGAGTCCTCAGACCCCACCAGATTCTGGCCTCCTTGGAAGAGTGGAGTTGTCAGCAAAAGAGGCCCAGGGCTGAGCTCCAGTGTGAGCATGGCAGTTAACAGGGATGCTTCCCAGGGGTTCCTGGCTGCAGAGAAATATAGTGGGCTTATGGACAGCGAGGAGGAAGGAATTCATCCTAGGAGAAGATACCCCTGACCTGGCCTCAGGGCAGATGAATCACAGGAACTAAAACAGATCTCAGTCTCCTCACAGACAGTGAGCGACATTACGTGGACAGAAACAAACTCCAGGCAAGCAGTAAATCAATGAATAAATGTCTGTTAAAAAAAATTTTAGGACGAAGATAAACAGGAATGACAATTTATTTTTATTTTTTATTTTTTTTGTTCTGTCCCATGTCTACTCATACAGAATGAGAATCTAGTCATTTAAATAGTGTTAAAACTGGTGGTATGCTTTTTCAGAACACCCTTTTGTGGTGGCAGTTTCACTTGAGAGACCAAAATGTAAAGTACAAAAGTGTTTGGTGAGCAGAAAGAGAAAGCATGGAGGGAAGTTACTGTCTTGAGGGATATTTCCACTACTCTAGGACTATATAGCTGTCCAGGTAATGAGTACAATGCTCCTAGAATCAAATTCCCACTTTTCTGCAGTGGACTGAATTAATCTCTCATCTTTAATTCCCCTTTTCCAGAATCTCTTCAAATTGTCACATGAAAATTACAGTAAATATGATAAACTAATAAAAGTTGTGGCAGATGCACTCTGAAGTGTCCCTCAAGGATTTATGGACTTGGATCATCTCTGCTTCTGGAGTGGGGCAGAACCTGTGACTTGTTTCTAAGCACCAGGATATGAAAAATGAGATGGGATCAGTCTCCTTTGATTGGGTTACATTATTTAGCAAAATGAACACATATTTCACTTTTTTTCATTAAGTACATTTTAAGGCAAAAGTGATGAGATTTTCAGGCAACTAAGACTGCAGATAAGGTATTTTTTTTCTTTTTTTTGGTCAAGCAAAAGGGACATTATCTTGACTGGATCTTACTTAAAATTGGATGAAAGCCCTTAAAAGAGAACTGGGAACTTTTATGGGTAAATAACAATTCCCAATCTGGAAGAAGCACACTGCTGTGTCATAATTGCATGTGTGGCAGAGAACTGGAGTGGCTTCTAGGACCTGAGGGCAGTCTCCAGCCATCAATCTGGGAGAGCCAGTATTCTCAGTCACACAGTCCAAGGAGATGAGTTCTGTCAACCTCAGTGAGACTCACCGGGACTCCTCCCTAATCAAGCCTCCAGGTGAGTATGCAGCCAGCAGACATCAGGGTTACATCCTGGAGAGACCCTAAGCAGAATATTTGGATAAGCCAAGATAAGTTGGTAGTAATTGGTTGCACATAAATGGGAAACTAATACAAGAATGTTGCAGACATTTTTAAAAAAATCTTGTGTTCTTGATTGAATTATAAAGCACCCTAATTTCATCAGCAGAAGTGAAAATTACCTCTCAGAGAAGTTTCTTATACTTGAAGTTTCTCCTTCAAGAGGTGTAGATTCTATTTGTTTCAAATTCAGTGGTGATTTTTCTTCGCCTAGAAGCACTTTTTGAAGGTCCCATCTATGCTAAATATATGATAAATTATACGGAAAATGTATCCCCTCCATTATCAGATTAAAAACAATGTAACAGTGCAGCAACAAATGATTAATTCATTGATCATGGCATTACTGCCAAGACTGCTCTATAATTCATCAAAAGCTTATCTCACGACCCATTCTTTCTTAAGGTCATTGTATTTTATTTCCTTTCAGTATTCTGCCCATTTGCAACATTATCACCTATTTTGCATTTAGATGAATCTTGGATTGATTCTGAAATACTGGGTGAAAAAAAATGTAATAATGACAACCCCTAAGTAGCAGAGCCACTCCCTGCAGGGTTGATGTGGGGGTCACCACGTGCACTTGAACCTAGCGATTACCAGTCCACAAATAGCAGATTCGTCATTGTACATTTCTGCCAGTGTCTTTTCAAGCAGGAAGGACCCACAGGCAAGACACTGGGATGCATACCTTTTTAATAATTGAGTTGTACAGAAAGGATCACCATCCCATGTTTCATCTTCAAAGATTACCTAGCCTGAGAAGTATCCTCAGGGTTTTTTTGGGGGATGCATGTAAATTATACTTCTCACCTAAATAATCTTGAAGCACACACACACACACACACACACGCACACACACACACACACACATGCAAGCTAAGTGATTGAAAGTTAACTGATCCAATAGAGACAATTTTAATGTTCAGTGATAAAGAAGTTGTGGAGTTCAACTGACTATATTAACCAAAACAAACATTGGATTATCCCATGTGTATCCCAATGAATAGCACCCTTCTACTTGCCCTTGCCAATAGCTCTAAAAAAGTTAGAAAAGGAAGGAAGGAAGGGAGGGAGGGAGGGAAAAAGAAAGAAAAGAAAGGAAAAGACAAGAAAACATAAAAAGAAAAGAAAAGAAGTCGTCAAAATATAACCCATGCTATTGATAGGAGCTAAATCACAGGATGTAGCTTGTGAAAGTTCACTAAATTCCAGAATTAGATCAACTCTCCCATCCTGTCTCAGCACTGGACTGGGGTGCTGCAGATGGAAGCCTGCATAGTAAGACTTGCAGTGTGGAGGAGCCAAGGCCACTTATATTTTCCTTGGACAGGCCTGCTGAAGAGACAGAAGACAGAGGCCACCTGACCATGAGCCCTTATCCTCCCCAAATTGACTAGTTAGAGGAATCAGTCCCCTACCTGGAGGCAAAATGCTATAGAGGTGATCACAGGCCCATCATATAGGTCACATCTAATCAATGTTCTCTTAACACACACACACACACACACACACACACAAGCTTTAACATATTGCTAAATGAAGAAACTCCATACCAGTTTAGAACACTGAGTAGAAGTTACTATGATATGTTGTATGTCATAAATTAAAGCTAAGAGAGTTAATAAGGGATAATATGAGAGATATGCTAAAAATACTTTGTACATGGTATGTAGTCAAACGAAGGAAGACACTGGCAATTGTTAGCTAAAAAATCTGAAGTTAATCATGCAATGCAGAGAACAGAGTGGCAGTTCTTTCTTGAAAGAATACAGAAAATAGTGAGAAGACTGCCAAGTCATGTCTGGGAGATAGATGAACCTCATGCTGAGCAAACACTGTGTGGTCATGTTGACACCTCCATCTCTGCTGGACTGCCGAAAAGCCACCAGGTCACCATGCTGTGAACAAATTGCCTCCTCTGTACCTGGCCCCAAAACCTTCCACATCATGGAGCAACAGGGCCTGTACTTCTCCATGAAATAGCACCACCTACCTCCACCCCTTCCATCCATCAGTCCTCTACCTTGGGGGAGGCTCTAGAATTGGAGGTTTATAGGAGGTTTTGTTAGTCTAGACAAAAGGAAGGGCCAGGGATGCTTTTCTGTAAACATCCTTTGCTTTCGATTTTCTCATATTGTAGGCTCATTAGGCATGTCTTGGGTTGGAAGTGAGTATGAGGTTATTGGAGGACACTATCCCACCAAGCCATCCTTAGCACCATCTCATTTCCTCTCCAACATTATACCTTAGGTTCAGAAACTGCCTCCCAGTCAAGAAAATCCTACACCACATGGCAGAGCATCTCTCCCCTTCTCTTAAAATAATAGCAGTACTAATCAATCAGAATTCTTATTAGCACACTGGAAAGTTGGTTGTTAAACCTTCCCCATGTGCTTCCTCCATGGCTCCCCTGGAAGAGCCATGCTGCTGGCCCAGCCTGAAGCACATCCTTGCTCAATTTGAAGGAACAATGGTGATGGGTTCTAAGGACCATGGAGGCCTGGTGTGACATTAGTTGGCACATAACTGGTATTTCCTGCAGTCAGAGAAAAATTAGTATCAAAGTGGTATTTAAGGAAGTTCTCCTCAGTATCCTGGCCCACAGACTTCAGAAGTAAACTCATTTGGGATACTCAACAACCAGTTATGGGGATGGCACCTGGAGAACCAGCGTCACTCTGTATTAGTTCATTCTCACACTGCTAATAAAGACATACCTGAGACTGGGTAATTTATAAAGGAAAAAGATTTAACTGACTCACACTTCCACAGGGCTGTGGAGATCTGAAGAAACTTACAATCATGGCAGATGGGGAAGAAAATATGTCCTTCTTCACATGGTGGCAGGAAAGAGAAGAATGAGCAAAAGTGATTAAATCCTCTTATAAAACCACCAGATTTTGTGAGAACTCACTCACTGTAATGAGAACAGCATGAGGGTAACGGCTTCCATGATCCAAATACCTCCCATAGGGTCCCTCCCATGACACATAGGGGTTATGGCAACTATAATTCAAGATGAGATTTGGGTGGAGACACACCCAAATTGTATCACCCTTCTACAAGCTCATATTTACAACTGGGAATTAGGTGACACAGCTCACGTTGATGGGTTGAAAGCTCCTTGACTCACTGGGAAGGAGAAATGTTTACAAACATGAACAAATAAATAAAACAGTGACAGATTCAATTAGAAACAGTAAAGCACACAGCAGTCTGGAGGAAGTTTACAAATCATTAAACTTGTTTACTCTATAAGGCTATGCAATTCATTCAGAGTAATTAATCTGAAAGATAATATTAGCTAGAACACATTAGTAATGCTGAGGTATCTAAGTAGCTTAAAAATACCAACAAAAGGAAATGAAAATATACCTGAGAGGAACAAATAAATTCTATAGAATTAGCACACTTATAAGCAGAACCAGTCACATAATTTGTGAAGCCAGCGCAAAAATGAAAATGTATCATTTGACCAACAAGTCTCAGTTTCCCTAATACCAACCCCTATCCATCACTGCCCCTCTCCCCAGTCCTTGATAGCCACCATTCTACTCTGTTTCTATTAATGCACTGCAGTTTATTGTTGTTGTTATTATTATTATTATTATTATTATTATTATTATTCCACATATAAGTAAGACCATGCTATATTTTTCCTTCTGTATCTGGCTTATTTGATTTAGAATGTTTTTCAGGTTCACCCACCTTGTCCCAAGCAGCAAGAGTTTCTTCCTTTTTTAGGGCTGAATAATATTCCATTGTTAATATCCCACTATTGCTTAATTCATGTATTCATTGTTGGATGCTTAGGTTGATTCCATTTCTTGTCTATTGTCAGTAATGTTGCAAGAAATATGAGAGTGCAGGTACCTCTCTTCAACACACTGATTTCATTTCTTTGGATATACACCCAGAAAAGGGACTGCTGGATCATATGATAGTTCTATTTTCAATTCTTTGAGGAATCTCAAGACTGTTTTCCATAGTGGCTGTGCCAATTTATATTCCCATCAATAGTGTATAAGGTTTTCCTTTTCTCTACATCATTCCCAACATGTGATCTTTTGTCTTTATGATAATAGCCATCCTAACAGGTGGGGGGTGATATCTTATTACAGTTTTAATTATGTAGAATGAATAAGTTCTAATGTGTAGCATGGAGACTATAGTTAATACTACTGTATTATATACATGAAATATGTTAAAGGGTAGATATTAAGTGTTCTGACCACACTCAAAGAAATGGTAACTCTGTGAAGAGACGCACACGTTAGCTATCTTGACAGCAGCCATGAGTTCACTATGTACAAGGATTTCAAAACATCGTGCTGCATACATTAAATATATACAACTTCAGTAAATATTCTTAAATGAAAACATGAGGCCTCCTCTTCAAAAGTAAGAAAAATAAGCTCAGTTGCAGATACTCAAATATAGACCCTTTTATATAAAAATATTTGGGTTTTGTTTTTTGAAATGGAGTCTCACTCTGTCACCCAGGCCGGAGTGCAGTGGCATGATCTTGGCCATCTCCAACCTCCGCCTCCCAGGTTCAAGCGACTCTCCTGCCTCAGCCTCCCTAGTAGCTAGGACTATAAGAATGTATCAGCAAGCTCAGCTAAATTTTTTATAAAAATATTTTTCATTAATAATAATTGGAGTAATTTTGTACATAAGTAATACCACAATCATAAATGTATAAAATTACTCTGACTAAAATTTTTTTCATTAATAAAACTCAATCAGAGTAATTTTGTACATAACACCGCAATCATAAATTGCAAAAATAATATTTTGAAATAATAATTGTATATAATATATAAGTAATAATACTTTATTAATGTGATACCTTGCTAGAGCATAAGATTTCAATGGCTACATTTTTCTGAAAATACTTCTACTAAGCCATTAAAACGTATGCACTTAGCAACTTTATTTTCTATTGATATAATTTAAAACAATGTCACTTGCTCTTGGGAAATGTAAGATCACAAATAATTTTTATTATACTAAATTTTGAGTAGACTCAAAATCCTGATCCAACTGTTCCTGAAGAGTATTAAATTGGCTATGACAACAATAGGATAAATACCTAATGAGGCCTTATGAAAAATAAATTTCAGTGCATCTAAAGATGATGATTCTTGTGGAACAATTTTCTGAAAAGGCTTAACTCTTCATACACATCAGCTTTGAGTCTGAATTTAATCTTAAATTTAAATATACACAGTCATATTTTAATGATTTATCTGGCAGTTCCTGTAACTTGTGAAGGCAGTACAAGAAACCCAGAGTGGATTCACGAGTGGTCCTCGTTTCAAAGTGCCTTTTCATGCAATCACTCTATCTTTGATAAGGAGGTAATTAATTTTAAAATTATCTTTCTCATTAATAATGGGTTCATCCAAAGCTTCATATGAATACAATGTTTTTTATCATCACATGCGACGATCTTTAAATATAATTTCTACTTCTAAGGCTGTGGGTATTTAATTTGTAGTTTTGCGGCAGTTTTTCAAATACGAGACTCTAACTCCCTGAAGATCTCTGGTACCTCCCTGACAGGCTTTAGTGACAGTGTTCATGTGTATGCTCTTATTTTGAAATAACTGTACTGAATAAAATAATTTATTTTTACAAAATAGTGTACAACAATTTGGTAAAAATGTCTTCCCAGAGGTCCAGAAGTTTCCACACAGCACCCAGAGTGCAGCATGTTATCTGAGGGGAGGCCGCAGGCAGGGGCTCCAAGACAGACAGGCCAACTGGTCACCCACAGCAGGTCCCAGCCTTGTCCCCACCCAGGCCCCTCTTCTCTCCCTCACTGGCACTGCTGGCATGAATACTCCTGATGCCACCTCACAGGCACTGCACATGCCTTTTTGTGCTTATCTCTTTGTTCAGCTAATTGTCACTCTATTCCATTTCTCCTCTTTCCAGGCACTACGGGTTTGAAGGCGCTGTCTCTGAGTCCTGAAACTGAGGGGTTTATCTGATCAGGTCTGCCTGCCTTGATTGCTTTTGGTCACTTACCTTGTGTTATCATTATTATTGTTTTCCTTTTTCCACGCAGCCAAAGGCCGCAGTAGCAGAAGGTTTCGCGACTGAATGCTCAAACTTAACCTTCAGTGGACACTTTACAGATAACATTCAAAGGTCACCACGGTAACGGTTCCTTCAGTTGTTTTTCAGAAACTTAGGCCAGCTTCCCTCCAGTTCAAACTGCTTGAGACCATGAACCCTTCAACTGAGCCTGTGCAAGTGCCCTACAGCACTTGGACCTTCCATATTTTACCCCAAACTACAAGTGGCGTTTTGATGTTGGAGGGCTAAAAGCTCCATCCTTAGATTACGGTGACACTACTGTTTTCTGTACATATGTCTTGTGAAGTCCCATGAAGCCTGACTGCGCTTATGCAGAATGAACCTGTTATTCATTTTTCACCTTAGAACACCCTACTTTCCTAACTCATAAATATCCATAAGCCTTATTTTCAGGGAGGAGGATTTGAGACCTGTTCTCCTGACTCCTTGCTCTGTGGCCTTGTGAATACATCTATTCTCTTTTGCAAAGCCCATGTCACGGTGATTGATTTACTGCGTGCAGGCAGAATGAACCTGGACATGGCCAATAACAGTACGTTCTGCTCAAGTGCACCTAAAGTGAAAGTTGGGTTCTCATTATCTCAGTGGAGATGTGAGGAGCCTACAGACTGACAGCAAAGGTCACCCCAGCTTTGTGGCCCTGTCCTTAAAGGAAAGGAAACTGAGTTCATCAGATCATTTCCCTCCATTCCCCACTGGAACTCTAGCAGTCTGTGGTCAGCCCCAGTACTGTTATTCAAACCTTGTTATTCTCACATTTTTCTTCCCAAGGGTGGTCAGGCGTCCCGCCTATTCAAGAGTGATGGGTGTGTGAGCCGGAATCTCATTCCCTTTCTCTCCAGCCCGTGTACCCCATGCTCCTAGCACACACAGTTTCCACCATGCCCTAACCAACTGAGGCTCGGGGCACCTTGATAATTTGCACACGCTGTTCCAGCTGCCCAGAGGACCCATCCCCTACTCCTTACAACACCCTAGTAACTCCTAAAGATCCAGAATGAATCCCATCTCCTTTATGTCTCAAGCCCTTTAGTCTCTTCACTCTCAGTCTCTCATGGCATTTGCCATGGTCTAGGTTAGATCATGAGCCACACTCCCTACAATTATTTGTTCACATGTCTTCCATTTTCAAACTATCTATAAATCTGTAATGATTTTGACAAAGAATACAAATGTTCCTTTCATATTTTACTCAAAATATTATCTGCCAGTGACCAACTTTAGCATGGATTATTTTTCTCCCCTACCCCATCTTGCCATAATACACCCCCTAATTAAATCTGACAACATTATTTTGCTTCTATAATTTTGTCACAGCTCTTATTTTTCTCCTTCATTCTCCTTACTGCAATAAACTAGCATAGCATCTTTAGATTTTCATAAAGACTTCAATTTTATTTTCTGCAAAGAAATGTGTTTCAGAAGAAATCTGAGCATCTACAAATCCCAAATTGGAGCTCGAATTAGGTAATAAAAAGTATTTAAGTTTAGAAAGAGAAGAACAAAGGAAAAGCAAGATGTATGTTTATGTCTATTCACGTGTCTGTGTGTGTGTGTGCATATATAAATCAAATACATTGGTCAGCAGACCACCCCCATATCAGCTAGGATCCAGACAGTGAAGCAAACACTACTCTAGTTTTTCCACATATAGGGAGTTTAACATAAAGATCTGTTACATAGGTGTTGGGAAGATGAGAAGGCAGGCAGGTTAGCGTGGCAATTTAACTGCCTGAAGGAGCTACTGTCCCAACAGTAGGAAGCAGTAGAATTTCAAGTAACCAAATACAAGAGGCATTTTGATGGGACTAACATTTTATACTGGGGACTGCCTAGTAAAAGTTGGAACCATGGAGCTCAGGGCTTTCTAGGAACCTGAGCAGCAAGGAAGATGTGGCTGCTACTGGAAACACTCACCAAGGCAGAGAGAGAGGGGGAGATACCCTGGCGCCCCTTCCCTTCTGTCCTTCTGTCTCTGGCCTGTACCTTTCATTGGTCAGACTGAAAGGGAAGCCAGGTAATATGGGAAATGAGTGGGCTGGGATCAGACCCCTGTGATAAAATCATGCAACCAACAGAGCAGGAGAAGCACTGATGTGCACATCCCTATGGAAGCATAGTGGACTCAGGTGCACAAGCAAGCCTGCTTCCTGTCACTACAAAAAAGATGACGAGGCCGGGCATGGTGGCTCACGCCACCAAAATCCAAGCACTTTGGGAAGCCTAGGCGGGAGGATCACGAGGTCAGGAGTTCGAGACCAGCCTGTCCAACATGGTGAAACCCTGTCTCTACTAAAAATACAAAAATTAGCTGGGCGCAGTGACATGCACCTGTAATCCCAGCTACTTGGGAGGCTGAGGGAGCAGTATTGCTTGAACCTGGGAGGTGGAGGTTGCAGTGAGGCAAGATCGCACCACTGTGCTCCATCCTGGGTGACAGAACAAGACTCTGTCTCAGAAAAAAAAAAAAGATGATGAAAGTCTGTGGCAAAGCACAAAACTATCACTCCATTCCCTGCATGTTACAGTTTATTGAAGTGATGTACTCTCTCTATTGTTTTTTTTTTTTTTGAGATGGAGTCTTGCTCTGTCACCCAGGTTGGAGTGTAGTGGCGCCATCTCGGCTCACTGCAGCCTCCGCCTCTCAGGTTCAAGCGATTCGCCTGCCTCAGCCTCCCAAGGTGATATACTCTTATCTTAAGAATTTCACAATATTTTAAGGAAAGGATTGTGCTATGGACTAAATTATGTCACCCTAACATTTCTATTTGAAGTTTTAACCCCCAGTACTCCAGAACATGACTGCGTTTGGCAACAGGGTCTTTAGAACGGTAATCAGGTTCAAATTAGGTCAACAGTGTAAGCCATAATTCAGTGCAACTTGTGATCTTACAAGAAGGGGAAATTGGGACACAGACATGCATAGCGGGAAAACCAGGTGAAGACCCAGTTTAAACTACCCAGTCTGTGATATTTTGTTGTGGTAGCCCTAGCAGACTAATACAGACTCTTTTTTTTTTTTCTTTTTTTTTGCTTGGTTTATGTTTCCATACCACCCACTTCTTTCCACAGGACTGAGATATGATTGCAGCAATTGTTATGTACCCACAGACACATCTGAGTAGCAAGTGTTTTATTATATGTAGAATCCCCCTTTCTTGAGATAATCAAAGCTTTACTTCTCTATGCTGACAAATTCACTTATGACAAAGTGCCCAGAACATCTAAAATTCAGATGAAGCCTGCTGTACTGGAGCATAGGAATGTGCCTAGAACATCTGAAATTCAGATGAAACCTGCTAATCTCACAGTGCTACATTGGAGCAGAGGAATGTGATCCCAGAGATGGAGGCCAGTGGCTGCAGTTACACATGCCTTAATGAAGAAATTGGAGACGGAACAGTTTCCAAGGTCTATCTTTGTATCCTCTAATCATCTCTGTGCCTCATTTCTGCTGCCCTGTGTCCTCCTGGATCGTCCTCTTTAGAACATTCTTCCTCAGCTTAATTCCAAAGAGTATTCCACAAAAACCACCTTTTCTGTCTAGTTTTACAAAACCTTTTCAATTTGAATCCAAGGGCTTGGATACTATGTGCTTTTTCAATGTGATTCCAAGAGCGTGGATACTATATGATTCCAAGACTATGGATACTGTGTTAATTTATAACAGATGAATAAAGATGGATAAAAGACAGTATAACGTTACTACATGAACAAGTTCACAATACTGGATGAGGAAGTAGCCTCTCTGCTATATTTGGGGTTCACAAATCTTGGGGAAGACCCTAAAATGAATAAGGAACTTGCTGGGAGCAAATCCTGTAAACCTTTGCTTCCCTAACCTCTGTCATTAAAATGTGCCTTCTGGTGGTAGGTTATTGATGTTTGCATGCCTGACCCCACAGGCAGCAATCACAATGCACATAAATATAGGTCGGTCAATAAGAAGAGCCTTTCGAACAATTAGGTTTGCAGGTTTGAGGTCTGTTGGGATATCAGAATCTTTAAGAGCACATAATTTCATTGTTGGCTCAAAGCAGTAAAGAGACACAAGAAAAGTTATGAATCTAAAAAACAAAAATATAAAATGACGAACAATGGATGCAGCGACCTTATTTAGACACAGTGAGTTGATTTAAAGGCATTTGTGCATCAGTCTGTCTTCTAATCTGGTGGGAAAATGGCATCTCTGTAAAGAATTGGGTAGCATTAATTTTTTCAGGATTTTCTAATGAAATTTTTCAAGAACACAGCAAACTGAAATAAGTCTACAATGAGTCCGAAAATATCCACCACCTAGATTTTATCATTATTTTATTATACTTGATTTATCAAATCTATACATCCATGTATCATTTAATCCATTTTTAGAAATGCTTTGAAGTATATTGCAGACATCAGTACACAACTTTTCAAATGCTTAAGCATGCATACATTAGCATGATTTCAATATTTATAGATTTGTATTAAAATGTATACACAATGAAATGCATAAGTAGTAAATATAGATTTACGGAGTTTTTTTTTCAAGTACACATACCATAACCTAAACCCCTATCAAAATATAGAATATTATGCTTAGCACAGAAAGTTTCTTTATGCCACTTCCAGTACTACCCCCCAACTACACCCAAATTGGCAGCCATTGTTCGGATTTGTTTTTTCAATAGAGATCAGTTTTGCCTGTTTAAAATTTTGTGTAAACGAAATGGAGCCATATGTTCTCACATGTGTGAGGCTTTTTGTTCAGCATGCTTTTGTAATGCATCCATGTTCTTGCATTCACCAAACATTTGCTACGTTTTTATTGTAGTGTTCCATTGTGGGAATATTCCAATTTGTTTGTTCATTCATTATTGAAGATACCTGGGATGTCGTCCAGTTTTTAACTATTGTAAATAGACCTGCTATGAACATTTTAGAAAAACCTTTTTGTGAACTTGTTTTCAATTCTCTTGAGTAAATAATTAGGAGTTGAATTTCAGGTCATAGGAAAGATATATTTGGCTTTATACAAAATTGTTATGTTACTTTATGTAGAAATTTATATATGTATGCGTGTTATAGCTCAAATTGTTTCAGCTTCGGCCATTGAGAGCTCTTTTACATGGCATCTGTACCTCTTGACATACATATGATACGATGATAGCTGTAGGTTTTATGTAGATGATCTCTATCTGGGTGAGGAAGTTTTAGGCCTAGGTTGCTGAGATATTTTTATCATGAAAGGTGTTGCATTTTGTCAAATGCTTTTTCTCCATCAATTGATATGATTGTATGGCATTTCTTCTTTACACTATTAATATGGAAAATTATATTGATTTTTTTTTGAATACCAGATGAGATTTTCATCCCTAGGAATAAATCCCCATTTGGTGAAAATATATATATATATAGATATGTGTGTGTGTGTGTGTGTGTGTATGTATGTATATATAATATTAAACAACATATTTTGGTTAATATTTTGTTCAGGATATTGGTGTTTATGTTCTTGAGGAATATTGGTCTATAATTTTCTTTCTTTTTTTTATAAGTAATGTATTTTCCTGATTTTGTATCAGGGAAATAGTAAACTCAAAAATGATTTTAGAAATATGTCTTCTATTTCAGAAAGACACTATGTAGAGTTGTTATTTATTCTCTAAAGTTTGGTAGACTCCACCAGTGAAACCATCTAAGCCTGAAGTTTATTTCTTGGAAGGTTTTTAAATAATAGTTCAATTTTCTTTATAGTAGGACTATTCAGATTATCTGTTCTATCTTGGACCAGTGTTGGTAGTTTGTACTGTTCAAGTGGTGTCCATTTTATCTAAGTTGTCAAATGTAAGTGCATAGAGTTGTTTGTAGCTCTGATTATTTACTATCTGTGATACCAGTAGTGATATCCCCTCTTCATTTCAGATTTCTGTAAGATGGATGTTCTCTTTTTATTTATTTATCAGGCTTGCAAGAAGTTTATCCATTTCATTGATCATTTTGAAAGACCACTTTGAGTCTATTAATCGTTCTCTGTTTTCTTATTTTAATTTTTATCATTTTTTGCTGTATATTGTTATTTTCTTCTTTCTTCCTGATTTTGGTTTATTTTGCTCTTGCTCTTCTTTTCTAGTAAGTTAAAGTGTTGACTTCAGACCGTTCTTCATTTCTAAGTGCTATGACTTTCCTTTTCAGCACAGCTTATTTTCATTCTGCATACTGTGATATGTTGCACTTTCATTGTCATTCAGTTCAATATATTTGTATATTTCCTTTGAGACTTCCTCTTTGATCCATGTGTTATTAGACATATGCTAATTAATTTCCAAGTATTTGATGGAATACTTGAAAAAATGGGAAGATTATGAATAACTGGAACCTCGTTTTTTGTTATTGAGTTCTCATTTATTTACATTATAGTCAGAGAGTATACTTTTATTATTTATAAAATTTTAAACATATTGAAGTTTGTTTTATGAACTGATAATGTCTATATTGGTGAATATCCCTGGGGCACTTAAAAAGAAAGTATATTCTGCTTTGATTGACTGAAGAGTTCTGTAAATATTAATCAGATTCTGTTTATTGGTATTATTGTTCAGTTCCTCTGTATATTTTATGATTTTCTGCCTATAATTTCTTTTAATTACTGAGAGGAGGGTTATTGATGTGCCCAATTATGATTGTGAATTTACCTATTTCTCCTTTCAGATTTATTAGTTTCATTTTATTTTTTGACAAATTATAATCATATATAATTATGGATACATAGTGATGCTATAATGATATATGTATACCATGTGGAATGCTTGAATCAAGCTAATTAACATATCCCTCATCTTAAATACTTATCATTTATTCTTCCTGTCTAGTTGCAATTTTGTATCCTGTGATCAAAATCTCTCCATTCTTCTCCTCACCTCTCAGCCTCTGGTAACCGTCATTCTACTCTCTGATTCCGTGAGTTTTTAACTCCTAGAAGCAGAGTGTTCTTTCTTTATGTATTCTGTGTCTCTGTTATTTTGTGCATATGCATGTAGGATTGTTCTGTCTTCTTGGTGAATAGCACTTTTATTATTATTTAATGTTATTTTTTCTGGAATATTTTTCTCTGAAGTCTAGTTGATCTGACATTAATGTAATAACTTCAGCTTTTGTTTGATTTATGTTTGCATGGCTTACATTTTTCTATTCTTCCCCTTTTACTTACACGTGTCTTTATATTGGAAGTGAGTTCCTTGCAGATAGTATATAGTTGGTGTATTAATTTGTTAAGTTTATTCTGATAATCTGTGTGCTTGATATGCTAGCATTTGATCTATTATTATATTATTGGTTTGCATCATTGACTTTTAATTAGATTTAGTTGGTATATCTAGAAGCTATAATATTAGAATTATGTTTGAAATAGTGAAGGAGTATCTCCTTTTATAAATCTTGAAATACATATTTTTGAAATAGTACAATTGCTTAGAGTATTAAGTACAGTTTTACTAAAATATGGCAAGAGCCTTGTAGACTGCTAATGAATACAGGATTTCCTTTGTGATAATGAAAATATTCTGAAATTAGATTTTTGTGAGAATTGCACAAATTTGTGTACTACAAATCAACAAATTGTGTATTTTAAATGAGTGAATTATATGGTGTGTTAATTATATCTCAATACACTGTTAAAATTCAAAGGTAAAAACAAACAGAAAACTGGTAGATCAGTTTGCTCATCACTTTTTTCTAATTTTATTGATGAAATTGGCCCCACAGAAAGCCTTACCCTTGATTTAAAAATGATCTTTAATAAAATAAGTTATCTTACAATTTTCACAAATTGATAGCTCCAAAAAGCATTCATCCTAGATTCAGTGATAGCAGTGGATTTTTAGTCTTTGGATATTTTCATAACATTTTCATTTGAATTTCTTCTCTGTATAAGTAGTGAAAGAGCAAAGAGCATTTGATAATATAGAAAGGTAAGGATATAAGAATATACAAATATTACTTAGCTGAAATGTATTGGACTCTTCTCCCGAAATATTTCACAGGCAACTTAGACTGAGTGTGTCCAACGTATCATAATCCAAGGCAGTAGCAATTTCTACAATCATTTTCTTCTTTATCTCTGTGAGCAGTACCCACTTGTTCAACATTGAACCTTGTATCATCCCTGAGTCCTCTCTGTCACCCCAGCAATGGAATGTGTTTCTGAACTCTCTTGAACCATTTCCTTCTAGCTCAAGTTTATGGTAACTTCATTTATCCTCTGACTACTGAGTGCTCTCTAGCTGGGCAGTTAGCAAAGCCCTGTCTCCTGCAAGCTGAGACCACTCACACTGGCCACTCCTTCACTTCCAAGCCATGACGGGCAATTCCTTGACACCAGACATTTTCCACAATCAGCTTTTTCTTCTTCGAATACTTCCATATCTTCCTGACAGATTTCATTTCTATTTACAAGCCCAGATAAAATCTCGCCATCTCTCTGAAGCCCTACGTGGCCAGCTGGGCTCACCCAGCTCTCAGCCTCAGACATGTTTTATGTTATATTGCACTGACCTCATCTATTTTTTAAAATGTTCCCATCTCCCACTAAACAGTGAGGTTGTTGTGGGCATGCTTTATGTCTTACTCATCTTTGAATGTCTACTGTTTAGATCACCTTTTGCCAGTTGCTGGCCCTGGTAAATACGTGTCCGATTTAAGTTAATTTGATTTTCTATCCATAAGCTTTTCTTAACCATGAAGTCACTGAGGGAGGGATTTTTTCCTAAACATTTTGAATCTCCAAGATTAGTATACGTTACCTCATATAAAATAGTTTTTTAAAATGTTTAGTGTATAAATTGACTAATAAAAATTGAAAAGTATCTAATGTAATTAAAGGAACACTAAATTAACATAGGGGTACCTGAATTTGAGTACCATAACCTATGACTATATAAGTTTTCAACAAGCCACTTTTTCTCTTAGACAGTCTACTGTGTGTTAGCTGAACAGATTCTGGAATTCAACTCTCAGGCTACAGTTCTGAGTCTTCCACTTAACAGCTATGTGACCTTAGGAAATAGCTTAATATAATAGATATTCCCACACTTTGCTTATTTCTGGTTCTCCATTTTGGTCACACTCATGTCCACAATCCTTAGCCCTCATGCAGTTAGCCAGAGACTTAAGATTAGCACTGTCTGGCCAGAAGGCTTCAAAATATTTAAGAATTGGTTCATGACATATACACCATAGTATACTATGCAGCCATAAAAAAGAATGAGTTCATGTCCTTTGCAGGGACATGGATTAATCTGGAAACCATCATCCTCAGCAAACTAACACAGGAACAGAAAACCAAATACCTCATGTTCTCACTCATAAGTGGGAGTTGAACAATGAGAACACATGGACACAGGGAGGGGAACATCATACACCGGGGCCTGTTGGGAGGTGGGGAGCAAGGGGAGGGAAAGCATTTGGACAAATAGCTAATGCATGTGGGGCTTAAAACCTAGAAGACAGGTTGATAGGTGCAGCAAACCACCATGGTACATGTATACCTATGTGACAAACCTGCACGTTCAGCACATGTATCCCAGAACTTAAAGAAAAATGAGAATAAAAAAAAAATTGGTGTATGACACTCCAGCTCTCACCCGGCCACAGTGACAAAAAAGTCATGACATAAAAATTGCATAGACAATTTACACAGATCATAAGTGTGCCACTTTCTAAATTATCAAAAAATAAACACAATTTGATAACCATCACTCAGATGAAAAGTAATAGAATATTACCAGAATTTTATCTAACCAAAAAACCCTCATCACCAGTTCCCAATTTCTATTATTACTTTTCTCATCCTTGAGTTAATGTCTCAGCTTCTAACACCATGGATTCTTTCAGCCTACTCACCTCCTGAATGGTGAGCTGTGCTCTTCTATGGATGTCTTTTTTCACTCAGTGTCATATTGGTTAGATGCATGTATATTGTTTTATGCAGAAGTAATTCATTCATCTTCATTGATGTAGGGTATGCCATTTTATAAAACATCAGAATTTATATATCCACTCAACAGTTAATGGACATTTTAGATGTTTGTAATTTGAGGGATGTGGCTGTCCTCTGAAATGGTTACTGCCTTCAGGTCCTTGATGCCTCCAGGTCAGAAGCCATCCTCAGTACCCTATCAGGTGGTCCTGCGCATCAGAACAAGCAGGAAAGAAGGGTCATACAGTGGTTGCTAGCTAGACAGGGCTCACAGTCTTTTATAACCTAATTTCAGAATGGCATCCCATCCCTTTTGCGGTGCTCTGCGTACTGGCTCCAGCCCATGCTCAAGGGGAGTGGACTGCTCAGTGTTTAACCACGAGAATGTGGGGATGATGGGAGCCATGCCCAAGGTATCTATCACATCATTGGTAGATTGTGGGTCCAAGAATGGAAGCCACCAAATACAAGCTGTGCTATAAAGTGCATACCACTAAGAAAGTAAAACTGCCACCAGCTGTATTTTAAGACACAGTTGACTGTAAGGTCGTTCACATTTTTCATGTTAAAATTGGATGAAAATACGTATTTGTGACTCAGTGAAATACGGTACTCAGATATTTCAATGATCATCTCAACAGCTCCTTAGGAAGCAAGTGCTTCATTTCCTTGCTCTGCTAATGGTGGCACTTTTAATCATGTAAATCAGGAGTGTTAATCTGAAATTCCTGTGATGTGCTGATAAGTTCAATGAATTACTTATTAAGACACCACCTCATGCAACTGGACATCAATATCAATATCAATTTATTTAAAAATAACCATGCAAGGGAACTAAGCTAGGTTAACACTTTCCTGATGGATCACAGATTGGTCTAACAAAGCACGCAAAGTCACTAATTTCTTATGGTACCAAACTTGATTCCATTTACCAGGATATCAATCTCTCTGCCAAAAGACATGGAAAGTGCCTGTGTGTGTGTGCACGTGTATGCTGTCTTTAACAAATGAAGCATAGAATTACTGTAATAATTTTAGAATGGGAAATAAAAATGATATTCAGATAATGTTATGGGAAAAAGTAGGAGTAAAAATATACTCTACATTAGGCATTCATCAGGAACTTTTAACATTACCACGCTAAATTTTTCAATAGAAAAGTGAGAAACTGCTTTAATAAATTGTTGTATATCCATATAACAGAATGCTATGCAGCCATTTAAAATACTGTTGCAAAATAATGTTTGCTAATGTAGAAGGAAATGTTCCTCATGTGATATTGACTGAAAAAAATGTGAATTGCACAAAATATTCACATTTAAAATATATAACTTTTATATAGGCATAAGAAGAGGAGAGAAATATATATAAAATATTAATATTGATTATATCTATTTTCAGGATTATGGTTAATTTGTCTTCTATTTTGGACATAGAAAAACATTTAATATATATTTTTGTTGGTAACTTCAAAAAATGAAGCAGCTTACATATAAGGCACATTAGCGATGGTCCATAAATGATGAAAACAGCCAACAAGATTAATATATAAAGAGCAAATCAGTGTTCATAGCTCATTTGCTATTTTAATTTTTAAAAAGGAATGGTCTCCTTATTTGAAATAACAAAGTAATATAAAAATTATGAATAAATTTCATTTAGATGTTTCCTTCAAATTTAGATATTTTCCTATTTGTTATGGAATCCTATTAAGCAAAAATCAAGTATTTTCTATGTAATTCAGATTTTGCATTGTTTTTATATTTTGAGGTATGCTTTTTGTCATACCTAGAAATTCAATTTAGTTTAGAATTTATGGACAAATGATATGAATCAGCTATTCATAGAAGAGGAAACTTTCATGTTGAATTAATATATATGCAAGTATCTCCAACTTTTATAGTTGCAAATTCAATTGAGTAACAATTCCTTATCCATCATGTTGGCAACATTTTAAAGGTATAATTGTATCAAGCATTGATGAGGATGCAGAGAAATGTTTTTCAGTGATCATAAGTAGGAATGTAAATGGTACTACCACTTAACATGTAAAAATGTCTGGTAAAGTTTAAATGTACATTTTCCTCTAGCCATTCTCTATAGAACATAAATTCTGTACACAGGCACACAAATACACTCACAAAGACATTCATTAAAATATTATTTATAAATCGCAAAAGGGAAGCAATCTAAATGTCTATTAATGTATTATTCAATTAAGATCTGTTCATATATTATAATACCATACTGTAGTTAAAATAAATTAACCAGTTCTAAAGGTATTAACAAAAAAAGTCTAAACATTTTATTATAATACAAAGATTACAGATTCTCAATTAAAGATGACTGAAAGAACAAAGAAAACAAGAGGAGAAAATTGTCAGTAAAACACTTAAAAAAAATAAGGTTGGACTTGGGAAACGTGGGTTTCCAGATTTAAAGGCATCACTGATTGCTGAGCATAATGGATGAAACATAGAGCCATACCGAGGGATGGCATCATACATTTTCGGAACACTGAATATAACAAACAGAAAATGCAGCAAGCTTCCTAAGAGGAAAACAGGTTTTATGTAAAGGATTGAGGCCAAGTGCGGTGGCTCAGGACTGTGGACAGCCAAGGTGGAAGGATTACTTGAGGCCAGGAGTTCAAGACCAGCCGAGGCAACATAGTGAGAGCCCCATCTCTACAAAAACTGTAGAGCATGGTGATTCATATGTGTAGTCCAAGCTACTTGGGAGCCTGAGGTGGGAGCATCACTTGAGCCCAGCAGTTCGAGGCTGCAGTGAGCTGTGATCACAGCACTGAACTTTAGTCTGGCAGCGGAGGGAAACCCTGTCTCAAAAAAAAAAAAGAAAAAAATGATTTCCACCTTAGAATTCTGAAGCAAGTCAAACTACAAATAAAACGCAAGGGTAGAAAAAAGGCATTTCAAACATATATGTTCTCAAAAATTTTACAACCTGTGCACCCTATCTCAGGAAGCTACTAAAAAACATGACCAACAAAATCCAAGGAATAATACAGGAAAGAAAGAAATAAAAGATAAGGAAATTCAGGAAATTTGACATCCACCATTAAAAAGAGATAAAAGGATTTCCCAAACGATAGTGAAGCTGGGGTCCGAGGTTGAGGGGCGGCCAGCGGGCCGAGAGAGAAATCCTTTCAGGCAGCTCAGAGCAGCCAGAAGGCTAGGAGGAATTCACACCAGGCGGTGAGAGTGAGGGTGTGATGGAGCATCCTGAGACATAAGTTACATAGTGGAAGGAGAGGCTGGCGCTGAAACAGTGACAGGAATACCAGTAAGAAAGATAAACTCATTATAATAAACTATGCAAACACATATGAAGAACATGTATATAGTAATAATGTAAATATTAAATATTGATCTAAACAGAATTATGATGCAAGTATATTTGGAAGATTAAACAAAGGAGAATTGGAAAAAAGAAGAGGTCAGGGAAGAAAGATTCATACGAGAGAGGTAAATTCCCACCTTTAATTGTAGGGAGTAAACAGATTACAGCTAAAACTGAAAAATTAAGAAGCAACAATATAAACATAATTATTAATGATGTGGAAATAAACCCCAAAATAATCAACAAAAAAAGTTGAATATATTTTCCTTTAGGGAGAAGAAATGAAGTATATGTTGTGGTGAATTACTGAACTCTTTAAAGGTTGGGCAATATAATAATTTTAAATATTAAAAGCAAATTTTAATATTTAAAATGAATTTTAATAAACACATATAAAACAAAATTTAAAATGAACTTTAGATATTAGAATATATTTTAAATTAATACAAGTAAAAATAAAAATATATGTAATGATTGTATGCACAAATTTTAGTAATTAAAAATAAATTATGAGAATGATCCAGCCTGCAGGTGCACACTTACACATGCACACACACATAGATATGCCTGGTGGCATGCCATAAAGGGTATAAAGCGCAGGAAGAAAAGGGGTAAAGCAGCTCTACGAGAGTCGTGGGCACTGGCAGGCAGGGGAACATTGAGATGGGGAGAAGGGTGCATTCTATGTCTTTCCCAACTGGACTGGTTTTACAACAATTTTATAACCCGTGCCCTTGATCAGAGCATAGATAAATGACAGCAAGTTTGAAGCCATCTCTGGACACCGCTGAGCAGCCTGTGTCTGCCCATCTGAACACCATGGCTGGGGAGGATCTAGGGCTGTCTCTAGAACACAGGAGGTCTCTTTCCTATCCGAGCTTGGCAATTTGGACACACACCTTACCCTCAAAGATCTATCAACTCTATGGTGTACTTTCAGTTCTGTCTGTGAGAAAGTCTGAGTTCTTGGGCAAATTTAGAGCATACCTCTTTAGCTACAATGGCCTGAGCTGGACCTTTCGCCTCCAACCTCATGGCTACAGGGTACAGCCGTGACCCACGTGAACATTTATTTTCCACTTACTGCTGCAACTCTTAACTTACAGACAGAACTTCCCAGGTACCTCTTTTCTTTAACCAGGGACTTCACCCAAACTCTAACATGAACTGCATATGGAAAAATGCCCACAGTGTTCGTCAATGCCTCCAATAAGCTCCCTGTTACTCTGATAAATAGATGCATAGTATGTGTAGCCAAAATACTAATAGCAAAATAATATCAGTATTCATTATCCCCTCCTATACTTGGTTAATTGTCCCGGTCATCCAACATGACCATCCTTTCCCAGACCCTTTTCCAGAATATCACCCAGCCACATACACCTGCACTGCAGTGATAAGAATAATTGGCTTTTACAGATTTAAATTTTGAAAAATTTGTATATAAATATTCCTATAAAAATCAATATGTCTACAAGCCAAGCCCCAAGTGAACATGATTTATCACACTTACACGTTTGTAACTATGTATTGTGGATGTTGGCATGGGCGACCATGGCTAAGCCATCCCTTTACAAAATGATGCTCTCCCCAGAAAGCACTAATATTGTAATAAATCTTTGCATTCTCTCTTATTGCATGTGTAGCATTTTCAGTCTTGATATCTGAACCACATTTTGGGGAGAGAGGCTGATATGGCTTACACAGGGTGATCACAAAACAATCTCCTCCTCTGGATGAGATTACATTAAATTAAAAAAAATACTCTAAGGAGAAAGCATTTGCTTTTAAGAAGACAACACAGAAAAATACTTACGTGTGCTCAGATTGGTAGAACCGTATGACTGAAGGCAGATTTATTTCTCAGACACCAGGGCGGGGAGCTGCTCAGGTGAATGGTGCTCCTCACCTCCAAGGAGTGGCTCAGGGCTGCAGTCTGAGAGGTAGGGCAAGGCCCTTCTCCGCTGGCCATGTGAGGGAGGCACTAGGACAGCATGTCCACCACTTAGAAGTAATGCCTGGGAGAAAGGATTCTCAGAGATCCCTCGTCCTTTTCAGTGTAACCTTTAGGCACATAGAAGTGTACAGGACCTTGGGGCATTTTAGATGATGGATCTCTACTAAACTAAGAACATCTGGATTTTCTTGTTTACTGACCACTAAAGAGCAATCAGACGACAGATGTTCTGAAAAACTGCCAACCTGGACCGAATCAAATTGATGACTTGTAGAGGGAGAATCAACCTCCATTTTCTAACCTCCTGGGCCAACTAGGATTCCTCAGCACGATTGCTTTTCTTTTTCTTAAAGCACAGATTTAACTCATTATGGGCATGTTGTTGTTTGACTAAAATCTGAGTAGGGAAAATTTACTTTGAGAACACTAGTTGCCTTAGTATTTTAATAAGCTTTTGAATTTCCAGTTCAGGTTAAAGAAAGCAAGAACAGTTTTTGTGACAAGCAACTACCTCAATGTATGCAGTTTCCAAATATAAAGTAAGACCAATTTATATTATATAGAAGTATACAAGAAAATAAATTCCCTAAACCCAATGAATTGTGTTTATATATATATATATATATATATATATATATACACACACATACACACACATGCACAAATATTTTTTGAAGCAAAGAGAAAAATTCTGAAAATTAGAACTAATTAATTGCATTCCTTATTCAGAAAATACACTGAGAAACCTGAATCCAAAATAAAAAAATAACCCTGCTTCTGTTCTAGATGGAGTTATGTGCATGAACAGGAGTCAGGCTTCCTGAACTGCAAGAAGACCGCATTTCCTTTTTCTCACCCACTGCAGGTCAAGTTCTATCAAAGAACTGTGGAATTACAGTCCCTACCTCAACTCCACCTCAGTCCCAACTACTAATCAGAGGAGTTCAGAACTCCATATCTAGAGTGGTTATATATTTTATCTTCAATTAAAATTACCCCCCGTTTAACCTAAACAAAACTTCCCTCTAATATCAACAAATTTTATCTCTTTTCTTGTTATAAAACAATATGAGTAAACTAGAATGAAAAGAGACATGTAAGTAGTTTTTGATAATGAATAAGAAAGCATATTTTAAAAATAATAGAATTCAACAAATAGCTAGGAAAAAACCACACATGCTAGGATCAATATTAATGGGTTTGTATGATTTACCAAGCCAGAGAAATTTAATTAAATTAAAGATGAAAGTGATAAGAAGCTGCATACTTTTTATATTCTATTTTTATTGCAGCTTATTAAGGAAACATATGGACAATTCAAATGTAGAATATGAACTTTTCGAAATTTATAATAAGGTTGCAAATCAAAATGATGTATTTAATAAAATTTCCTATTAAATTTTCAGTTTTTCAAAGAGCTCCTTTCTTTTGTAATGCATCTCTTGTCAGTAAAATTAACCAAAGCTCAGCAGGAAATCAAAATAACTTTTTTCGTGATTAATGTTAAGACGCCATGATGCCAGAGCAGGTTTCACAGAGATGCAATATCCATTCAGTATCCAACAGAGGTATATCCCTGAGCTGAATAGACCCTGAGTCCATATACATTGATGTAGGTCACATTTATGTTGGTATTCAAAGGGATTTCCGAGATTAATTTGTTAGCAGTTGTAGACTACCAAAAGATTTTGTTCTTTTCTCACATTTTTTGGATTTTAAAACTCAGGAAAAAAATCAGAGTGAAAGCCTCTGACATAACAAATTCAGTATGGAGCAAAACAGTGCAAAATAGTATCCAATAAATTTTCCTACACTGTTCATACTATACACCCTAACTCTTAGACCAGCCTTGTGGAAAGTCTACTTAGTTCTAAGACAAATAGCCAGTACAAACAGCCTGAACCACTTTGCATGCCAAAAAGACTATCCATTAGGGTGACTTTTAACAGTGGACGAAGACCAGTGGTCCCTTGACATGTGTGACAACCCCCATATAATTTAACATCGTAATCAATGGTGGTATTGTGTCTATATCTGACATTCAGCCTGTTTTTCCAAAATTTCTTTTTTATATCATTGACAAAGTTTGTGACTTCAATCAGCAAGGACTCCTATAAATTCACTGGAGGTATAAGAAATCATTTTGAACACATCATGGAGGAATGGCTCCATCTGACCATCCAGCTACTTCCTTCTCCCTGCTTCATGTCCAGGTTCACTCCCTGCTTCATAGGATTGGGGGCATTGTCTGAATGGAGGGAATTCTTTATGCCTTAGTGTATAGTTAGGATCCTCACATATTAAGACTAATAAAGGATTATATGCAAACTTCAAAGTGCAATTCCAGTGGCTCTAGCAGTGGAAAGGGGCCTTACAAATACAAAGTCTAATGTTTAAAAAGACAGTTTGAAAACCTGTCAGTGTTAGCACAGACAAAAGAGTCCTATCTCAGATGAAGTGGGAGTAGAAATTAAGACTAATTGTGATGCTTTGGAATGACGAAGGGAGTGCTGGGACTTTGTGGCAGACTCTGACAACCACAGAAACAATATGAATAAGATTGCAGCTAATGGTTTATTCTGTCATATTGAAAAGGTTAAAATATGACTCAGTGCCACTGACTCTCAGCAGCAATCTTTCAACCGATAAAGTTCATCATACTCACTTAGGAAGAAAATGTATAATAATGACACCTCTATACTTTTGTATTTAAATCTGTTATTGCCTGTGCTTAAATCCTTAAATTCACAAAATAGACCTTTCTTTCATCGGAAATTTGACAAATTGAGAATGGTGTTAATAAAGACATATCTATTTTCCAGATGTATTTAAATTATATTTTCATTTCGTATCAGAAAAACAACTCTCAAACTGTGTTTCTCCTCCACTCTCACCACGCAACAATGACCCCATGAGACTTCTGTGACCAAATGTGTGCAGATTCTCCCCCACTGCCAAGTGGCTGGGTGTCCCCCAATTCAATTCCAACACTGTCCACCTAGAGAGAGTGTCCCATCCCGCAAGTTGAAGGTTCAGTCCCCAAGATTGTTCCTTTCTTCCTCCTAGTTGTAAGTTTGGGCCTCCAAATCTTGTGACCAACTGGCTTCAAGTTGAGGTCACCAAGACACCCTCTTTGGGTTTGATTAATTTGCTAGAGTGGCTCACAGAACTCAGAGAAACACTTAACATTTACCAGTTTACTAAGAAGCGTCTTTGAAAGGATATAAGTAATCAGCCAGATGAAGAGATACATAGGTGTGAGGTCTGGAAGGGTCCTAAATGCAGGACCTTCTGTCCCCATGGAGTTGGGGTGCGCCACCCTCACAGCACGCAGATGACTTCTTCACCTTCCTGTCGGCCTCCACATGTCCAGCTCTCCAAAAGCCCTCTGAACCCAGTCCTTTTGGATTTTTATGGAAGCTTTGTGACATCAGCATTCCTTCCCCAAGTATAGGGTACAGGGCGGAGCCCTCTCAGGGAAATTTCTTAAGATCCATAATCAGAAAGGTGAGAGAAGATTAAAGTCCTGCTTTAGGGTAGGAGAAAGAAGGCAGTAGAGAGATTCAGTTTCCTGAGGTCTGTTCCTGCGAACTAGCACACCCAATATAATAACAAAAGATTTTAACAAGAGCTAGGGGAGTTATGAGCTAGGAACTAAGGACAAATATATATATATATATATATATATATATATAAAATAACACAACATCTTGTTTTTAATAAGTCAAATTTTTATAATTTAGACTTACATGGAAAAAAATTTTCTTGAGCCAAGTGTTTTTTCTTTCAAATGAAAATTGAGCTTTTACACTGAATATATTGGCTCCTGAGATTGAGAGAAAAATGTAGATCCGTAATTCTTTGTCTTTTGTCAGAGAAGGTCAATAATAAATATGTCAATCATTTGGGATACAGAAGTCAGTCCATGGAAAAAAGTAGGGGGAAAGCATTTAGGCCCAGCAGCCTCCACAGCCAGTCCTTGGGCACCCTACACAGGAAGCCAGGCTCCATCCCTCCCACCAACCAGGACAGGTCAGACAGCATGCGACCTGTGAATAAATAAATGAGTGCTGAAATGAAGAAACAGTAATGACAATTCTTGGATAACAAATAAATTTCTTTCATTTAGTTCTTAGGAAAAGATTATCTGAAGAAGACTCCTAAACCAAAAGTCACTTAGGAAAATGCATCCTCAAATAGAACTTTAATCAATCATATCTCAAAAAAATGTGAATTTGGGAGTAATTTGTGGCATCTGGCTTTTATATTTGATTCTGAATAATGCATTTGATTTTTAAACACTGAGTCTGCAATTCATGCTTTCTCTTTCATGAAGTTTGAAAACCAGTAAATGAATATTTTCCTTAAACCTACTGTCATCTAGATAATGATAGTCACTGTTGTCATGGTCCAATCTCATTTGAAACTCCCTTCTGTTTTGAGGAAGAAGGACCCAGGTCCCTGGGGCATCCTCAGGGTCTCCGAGTTGGGCAAATTTCAGGGTCCTGGCCTTGCAATCCCTGCAAGAGAAAAGCCCAGAACATGACACACAGTTCTCAAGCAGCTCTCACACAGCAGCAGCTAGAGTTCCTAGTTTTAGAGTAAGTCTAGGTTCTGAGTGTTCTGGCTCTTCCTGAAGTCTGGCGTGACCCTGTAGCTCAGCGTATTGAACAAGCAACTTGAAGTAATGGCTCTTATGCCTCAGAAGCTAAACAGTACAGTCTGCCATGGTTTACAACTCTCCAAGTTCCCTTATATTGAGATCAAAATCCCCTTTCTGTGTGTTTTATCAATGTGGATCTCTCCTCTGCTGCAGCCTCCCAGGTGGATGTATTGCACAGTATCTGGCTGAATAGCCTCCAAGAGGATTGGGGAAATAAATGCTCAGAAGTTTTACTATCTGCAGGATTCTTCCAAGTGGCTCACTTCATCTCTGGATTCAGAGGAGAGGTCCCCAGTCACTTGTGTACGATGCAAAGCTGTCAATAATTTGGTCAGATTAGACTTGGCAAGATCACAGATCTGAATGCAAACAGATGGAAGCCTGGATCCACAGCACCAATTTCTAGAGGGATGCGGGGTAATCAGGCAGCAGGAAGAGGGGAGAGATAGCTGCGCTCCCTTCCTTATCCTGCAGACCCTACTCTTGTACCCCAGGACACTTCCCTTCCCAAGGCACCCTTGCTTCTTGGTGGCCCTTTTGCTTGACAGTCCATGGTTATTTTAGTATCTGCTATTCTAGGGCTCTCTTATCCCCCACTATCTTACTCCCACCCACCAAAGCTGGTATTTATGCATATGTTGGGCTTCTTTTTATTGCTTCTATAAATTTAGTCAGCCTAGGTCATAGCCTTTTAATATTTCCTTATGGGTTATGATAGCTAACATCTGGAAAAAGAGGGGAATAAGGGCCTTTTAATTTTTATCCTAGTTTCTGTGAAGCGTAGATTATTTCTTCCATTTTTCTAAATATTTGATAATTGATATTAAAAGAGGAGTAAAAAATCATGCTACAGTTTATGTAACTAAACTGAAATTTCTATGCTCAGCTACCCCAGGAATTAAGAAGAAAATATAACTCAAGCTGTCATCTAGCCAGTATGTTGTGCTTTTCCAATTTACTCACCTGTTCATGTGAGTTCACAGCCGAGGTGCTATCGTGATGAACCTGGACTTTCTCCACTCTCTGAGGCTCCCTCATGAGGACACTAAGGAAAAGCAACACATTTCACAGGCATGAAGCAGGGAAACTACTGCATTTGCTGGGTCTAGAATTAGTGGTGATGGTTGTACAGCTTTGTAAATGTAGTAAAATCCACTGACCAATAGACTTTAGGAGAATAATTTGACGGTATATGGAATCTATCTCAGTTTAAAAAGGATGTTAAGTTAAATTGCACTCACTAAGTGCAAAAATTACTCTTTTTTTATATGAACTGGAATATTTATTGGATATCATTGGGGAGCTGGAGGAAAGAGAAGGAAATTCTCAGAAATACCAAACTTTTAATAGTCAGGAAATTAAGAAAAAAATTAGAAGTTATAAGTAAGAAAGGCGCAAATGAATATATCCAATGTCACTATGGCAAAAATTAATTCATGAGCTAATTTCCAATCACGAGGTCAACCAGTAGGCTACAGCCCTCTTTGAGTTCATGTCACTTTGCTATTAGTCGGATTAAAATTATCTCCTCCTTGTGCTACTTCTCAATGTAGAGGATGATCCCCTGAGAAAAGTCCTGGAAGATCTTCTTCATCCTGGAAAACAGGACAATAGTTAATGCTGTAACTCCCTCTTACTTCTCATACCAGTTTTTTTAATGTGTTAAAAAGTCTCCCGGGACCTCATTGTGCAAATACCAACATTCTTGTATTAGGAATGTGTCCGTCTACCCTTAGCTTTATAGTTCCAAATAAGCCAAGAAACAGAAAGCCTATGGAAGCGTGAATGCATCCAGTCCACTTCTACGATAATTTCCACCGCACACATTCTTGATAAAGGCTTTAAAATGGAAAATACGCACGCTTTAAGGAAATGGGTCTCAAACTTTCCCGAGCATCAGAAATACCTGGAAGGCTTATTAGCACAGATTGCTGAAACTTCCCTGAGTTTCTGATTCAATAGGCCTGGGGAAGAGCTGAGATTTACATTTCAAAAATACCAAGTGATGCTGATGTTGATCTAGGGACCACACACTAGAAACTCTGATTTAGGGAATGGAGGACATTGAATTATATGTCATTTTTTTCCTAAAGACACGGAGAAAGAGAATCTTCTCTTCATTAAATAATGAACTGTATCATGCTTCTCTCTTCAGAATTTTTTCATCTGTTCCAGGGCTTAGTTACAGGCTTGCAGAGACTATGAAACTCTAGTTAGAGCTCTAATGATGAGGTTGTCATTTGCTTGCTAATCCACTTCCTCCTTACCCTGGATCTCAGTTGGGAAGAAGACTGAATTTAGTGGCCCCCTCTTCATTTCTATTTTAGAATTGTTTTATCTTTAGCTTTCCATAAAACTGCTAAATCACCATTAGAGGTTGTATGATTCTTATTCTATTACTATTACTGAAAAATAAAAAAAATCAGTAGATTAAATTAAAAGCAATTTTTTTGCAACTGTCTCATATGTTATTGCTGTTTTATTAAGGGAACAGCCTGGCTTCCCTCAAATCTCTTTCTGCAGTGTTCATCAGTACAGCATTTCGCTTTCTTTTTATTGGTCAACTTGATGATTATTCTGTCTGTCTCTAGTTTTTTGTTTGTTTGTGTGTGTGTGGGTGTTTTGTTTTTTTGTTTTTTTTTTTGTTTTGTTTTTTTTGCTATTTTTCCAATTTGATTTGCTCTGAGTCACTCTATCCAGCTCACCAGGCCCTTTCAACAGACAGAAAGGATTCTTTGTCAGGGTCTCAGGGCATAGTTTGGAACTTACGTGAAGTCAGCTGCAGAAGCAAATGCTTTTCAATTGATCTCAGCTGTCTAAGGAGCCGGCTCTCTGTGCTCAAGGAGATAATAGCACCCTATTAATGTACAGTAGTTCCCCAGTGAAAGCCTGACACCACGAATAGTACTGAAACCTAAATATACTACATTTTTTTCCTATATAAACATACCTGTGATAAAGTTTAATGTATAAATTAGGCACAGTGAGAGATTATCAACAATAACCAAAATAAAAAGAACAATTACAACAATATTCTGTAATAAAAGTTATTTGAATATGATCTCTCTCTCAAAATATCATATCATACCACAGGTAACAGAAACTTCAGAAAGTGAAATTGTGGACAAGGGGGACCCTACTGTATATATTAGGCACTTCTGCATAAACTACAAATTAATGCTGGAGAATACATGCTCATTCCTGTTTATATCAGGCCAATGATTATTGGATTATAATAAAATATTTTAAAATGTGGAGAAACTTATGATAGAGAAGCTTTGTGAGCTTGAAAACAGAAGAAGATGCAAGTAAGCCTGCGGTCTGTCCCCTACTGAGGTGGCTCACACGAGGTAATCTGAGAGAAGATCAGCATTCCATTTACACAGGTTAGCTGTGTTACAAACATATGTCTTCTCTCTTTCTAACCAGTCTTTTCGTTCACCCTGACTCTCCTCACTCCTGCTTTTGCCTTTGCTCTCTTTTTCGGCTTTCCTCATCTTATTTTCCTTTCCACACTACTATCAGATCATAGTCTCTTGAAGTTGTTAGAGTCCATTTTTGTAAGTGAATCTTACAATTTTACAAGTTTCACATACAACTCCCTACAGTATCATGGGTAACGCACTTGCTTCTTATATTTACTGAAAACCTGACATCATTATATAACTTTTAAAAATTGCGGTTGTGCCCATGGATTTACAGAAGGAGTTTTCGGCTTCACTGTGTGCCAGAATTACCTGGAAACCTGGTTACAACTGCAGATGCTGGGCCTCCAGCCCTGAGAATTTGATTCTGTAGGTCTGAGGTGAGCAAGATGTTTCTAATGCTGAGTTCGAGTAAATCAATCTTTCTTTCTCCTCTCTTTTTGTCTCTTTCTCAGTTTGATTGGATTTGAAGTAAACAAAAGTTACTATTCTTTCTCTAGATAAACAGAAAAACATTGCTCAAACAATAAAATTTATTATATCTATAAAATAATTTCTACATGCAACAAATCCACATGGATTGTAGTAATAAGAAAAATATGAGGCCAGTATTCCACTCCCTTGCAGAAGGCAGCATGATCCAGAGGAAGAGAATTAGAATGGAATGGCAGGAGGATTGGATGGTATTGTTTAAGAATTCTGTCAATTTAATAAAACTTTTAAAAAGTATTTATAGGCCGGGCGCTGTGGCTCACGCCTGTAATCCCAGCACTTTGGGAGGCCCAGGCGGGCGGATCATGAGGTCAGGAGATCGAGACCATCCTGGCTAACACGGTGAAACCCCGTCTCTACTAAAAATACAAAAAAAAATTAGCCGGGCATGGTGGCGGGCGCCTGTAGTCCCAGCTACTTGGGAGGCTGAGGCAGGAGAATGGCGTGCACCTGGGAGGCGGAGCTTGCAGTGAGCCGAGATGGCGCCACTGCACTCCAGCCTGGGCGACGGAGCGAGACTCTGTCTCAAAAAAAAAAAAAAAAAAAAAAAAAAAAAAGTATTTATAAAGCTATGAATGCTTAAAAGGGGAAAACTATCATATTTAAGTAAATATAAGGGAAATAAATAGAAAAATATAATAATAATATCACCTTTAATAAGGTGATTGAATACAAGAAAAATACAGATAAAGCAATAACTCTTCTTTATATACAGTATGTACAACCATTTAGAAATAGATATAGATTTCTTTATCTACAGTATGTACAAGCATTTCCAAATCACAATAACAATAAAACTATAAAATTCTTAGAAACAAATATTTTGCAACAAAACAGGCACAGATATATACAAAAAAACTATCATATTTCAGAGTTCATAAAAAATGCCCCAAGGGTCCCACAGTGTCACACAGACATCAGCTCTTCCTCTATGAATGCCCAAGTTTTCACAAAATGTCATCACCTAAATGACTAATGTGTTAAACTGAAGAAATTAAGCCTAAATTAGATCTACATTAATCTGTTAATTAAAATAACCAATGATTTTTATTCCAAATATGAGTTGGAGATCTCCGCATTCCAGATTCCTGGGCACAGGAAAAATAATCCACGTACAAAATGATTCAAGTGTCTATAATAAGTGCAGCATTTCAGAATCAATGGGTAAATTATTACATATTGAAAAATTGGTTCTAGAATAATCAGCTACTCATTTGAAAGAAACTAAGTGTTTACACCAAAAAAACCCCATATGCAATAAAGATTTAAGTGCTAAGAAGAAAATTTTCTGTACAAAAATTAGCTGGACGTGGTGGTGTGTGCCTGTAGTCTCAGCTTCTTGGGAGGCTGAGGCAGGAGAATCACTTGAACCCGGGAGGTGGAGGTTGCAGTGAGCTGAGATCTCACCACCACACTCCAGCCTGGGCGAAAGAGAAAGACTCGATCTCAAAAAAAAAAACAAAAAACAAAAACAAAAAAACAAAAAAAAAAAGAAGAAGAAGAAAAAGTACATTTTCTAGAGTAAATTAGAGAAGAATATTTTCACTTTGGATTAGGAAGTATTTTTCAAAATAGAATAGATTTCCCCTTCATTTCAGAAGGAATGAAGGGGAAAAACAACAGATTTATTGTGCAGCATTCAAAAGCTTAAACACACACACACACACACACACACACAATATAAACAAGAAACAAGACTAAGGTACAGAAAGTAAAAAATATTAAAATATTTATAATTTGTCATGTATAATATTTATCTATGAAAAATTATATACTAATAAGAAAATTAAATAATCCATATCAAAATTCAATCAGAAAAAAATCAAGCAGCCTATTTTTTAAGGTAATCAAAGAATATGTACCTCAATAATAATCCTAAAATGCAACTTAAAAAGCTATCTATTTTTGCCTGTTATAGTGGAAAATTAAAAGGTTGATCATATTCAGTGGGTAACAGGGAAGAATATTGGGTAATTCTCATTTTCAAGCAGACCTTGTAAAAGTGAGCATGTATGCAAGCTTCCTGGAATATAGTTTAGCAGTGCCTCTTAAGACAAAAATGTATACATAATTGGCATAGTTTGCCTGTGTGTCCCGACCCAAATCTCATCTTAAATTTTAATCCCCACCTGTTGAGGGAGGGACCTGGTGGGAGGCAATTGGATCATGGGGGCAGTCTCCCCCATGCTGTTCTCGTGATAGTGAGTGAGTTATCACGCGATCTGATGGTTGTAAAGTGTGGCACTTCCTCACTCTCACTCTCTTCTGCCACCCTGTAAGACGTGAGTGCTTCCCCTTTACCTCCTGCCATAATTGTAAGTTTCCTGAGGCCTCCCAGCCATGTGAAAGTGTGAGTCACTGGGGAGGGGCCATGAGGGATTAACAGAAACAGCTCTGGTCTGCAGCTCTCAGTGAGACCAACGCAGAAGGCAGCTGATTTCTGCATTTCCAACTGAGGTACCAAGTTCAGATCTCTGGGACCGGTAAGGCAGTGGGTGCAATCCATGCAGAGCAAGCAGAAGCAGGGTGGAGCGTCCCTTCACCTGGGAAGTGCAAGGACCCATAAGACCTCCCTCCTCCAGCCAAGGGAAGTGATGAGGGACTGTGCTACCCGCCCCCGGTACTACACTTTTGCCATGGTTTTTTGCAATCCACAGATCAGGAGATTCCCTCATGAGCCTACACCACCAGGGCCCCGGGTTTCAAGCACGGAACTGGGCGGCTGTTTGGGCAGGCACCAAGCTAGTTTGTTCATACCCCAGTGGCACGTAGAACCCCAGAGAGAGAGGATAACCATCCATTCCCCTGGAAAGGGGGCTGAAGCCAGGGAGCCAAGTGATCTCGCTCAGTGAGTCCCACTCCCAGGGAGCCCGGCAAGCTAAGAACTACTGGCTTGAAATCCTCACTGCCAGCCTAGCAGTCTGGAGTCCACCTGGAAAGATTGAGCTTGGTGTGGGGAGAGGCATCCGCCATTACTGAGGCTTTAATAGGCGGTTTTCAGCTGACAGTGCTAAGGAGAATGGGAGGTTTGGTCTGCGGGGAATTCACCACAGCGCCGCAAAGCAAAGAGATAACAGCTCTACAGCTACGGAACCAGCCCCCACAATTTTGTAAGCCACTTTTCTGTAACAAATCCCTTCATACATCTCCTACTGGTTCTGTTACTTTGGAGGAACTTCAACCAATACAAAACTAGCACACAACCCAAATATCCATCATAAAAATAGTGGAGAAATGCATTGTTGTACATTCACATATAGGCACCTGCTCATCAAATAGGAAGGAACACATTATTGATACACAAAACAACATGTATGAATCTCACAGACATGCTGAGCAAAAGAGTTTCGATACAAAAGTGTGCATACGACGTAGTAGCATTCATGGGAAATTTTTGAACAGGCAAAATTAATCTATGGCAGAAAAAAGGATCAGTACTTAGATTGCATCGGGAGCAGAGGAATTCACTAGGAAATAGCTCAAGAGATCTTTTTTTGGAGATGGAGATGTTGTATATCTTGATAGCAGCACAGTGCATGCATTTGTCAAAACTCATCACATTGCATGCTAAGAATTTCTTCACTTCATTATATATCAATTTTACCTAAATATATTGTAAATAAATATTGTACTCTATTTGCTAGACTTGATTTTTATAGTGGTGTATGTCAACAGTGCTGAAACTAATCATAAGTAAAAATCAGACCTACTGAATTTAAGAAATATTCAAAAAAATAACTGGCCTGCACTATTGAAAAATAACAAGGTTAAGAAAGTCAAAGAAAGGCCAAGGCATTTCTATATTGAATGATGTTAGCAGCAATTAACCCAATTCGAATTGCATCATAGATTAGGGAAAAAATATATATATAAATGCTACTACTAAGACACTTGAAAAATTTCAATGAGTTATAAATCATACAATATTTTATCAAAACAAAATTTTCTGATTTTGATCATTGTGGTTATGTTAGACAATACACAATGAAGTATTTAGAGGTAATGGGGCACTATGTCTCGAAATTGATTTAAAATGGTTCCAAAATAATACATATAAACATATGTGTATATTCATATGAGAGGGAGAAAGAAAAAGTAAATGGGGCAAAATAAACAATTTCTGATCTTGGGTAAAGGGTATACAGAAGTTCTTTGTACTAATCTTGAAATTTTTCTGTAAATGTGAAATTATAGCAAAATAAAATTATAAAAGTAAAATTATAAGATTCATTTTTTAATGGAGGAAAAGGGAGTTCAGACAGCATTTCAGACTCATAGAAACAAAGTTGTTTTCTGTGGGAAATCACTTGATAATGCTTTTAGTAGCTATAAATGTATAACTATAAAATATATTACTATGCATTTGCAGTTTTTTAAATTAAATCTAGATTTCACTGGATGCAATAGTTGTTATGGTTTTTCTCTCTTAATCACTGCATAATTATTATATCTAGTCACATCTTTTACTTTACACGTTGCACTTTTTTGGTCTAGCCACACAACTTTCACAAAAAGCAGCTGCTATGCACATACCAAGTTTTACTTACTCTGTTAGCTAAATGTCCATTTTTTTTCACAGTCATGCTATAGCCAATTGTTTAAGAGCTGGCTACAGTCACATTCTTTCATTAGTAGGGCTTGCCTTTTTTTTTCAATTTTTTTTCATTCAGGTTGTGAAATACCTGCATTTGCAGACTGTACTGGCTCTGGTTAATTACAAAGAAAACTCATTGATAATTTTAGATGAGAACAGTGCTGAACATAAGATGTATAGAGGTGAGTGCCTGAGGAAGGAGACTTTAACAAGAGTGGTGATTAGAGGACTCACTGAGGAGGAGATCTGTGAAATAAGGACCTTAGCATGAGACTGGAGAGTGGCAACTTGGGGAATAGCCTTCCACCACTGCAAGACCCTTGCTTGGCTTTAGTGAGGTTGATACTGAGAAAGTCCACATGGCTACAGCAGAATGAGAAAAGAGCCAGTGGACTGAGATGAGCCTGAGAGATGATGGAATGACCACAGACCATGTGGGACCGAGGAGAGCATGCAGAGGCACGTGTATTTCATTCTAGGTGGAATGGGGAGTTCCTGGTAAAATTTGGGAAGATATTTTGGTGATTCTGACATACTTAACCACATTCTTTAGTTTTCCATGGCCTGTCTGAACAACTGGCCTGTGTTTCAGAGAAAATGCTTGTACAACTTTGTGTGGGTTCCCAAGATGTCTAGGCATGAAGTCAAAGTTTCTTGATTCCTCCCATTTTTTGAATACCTACCAACAATACTAGCGCCACTCGTCATATCTCCTAGCCCTTTCCTTAGCTTAGATAATCCAAGGGATATCCAGTTCCTTCCAACTATAACAATCTAGTAGACATAGACAGGAAATGCCAGGAATAAGGCTGAGCTAACACCACCACCACCTTCACCACAACTACCACCACCATCACCATCATACTCCTTAACACCATCAACACCATGAAAAGTAACAGCCCACAATCACCCTACCAACAACAACAATAACAACCACCACCACTGCACCACAACCACCACCAATAACAACTGCTCATCATCATCACAGCTGATCACAATGATCTCTCAGCTCCAGGCTGCAGTGTGAGCACCTTCACCTGAACACCAGACTAGGAAGACTGCCTCTCCTGTCTATAAACTCTCCTGGCCATAAGGAGAAAATTTTCAGTGCTTTTGCTATTGGATGTGCCATTCCTTAAAAGAAATGGCAATATTTTTGCTAAAAGTATAAACATACTTCAGTGGGTTACACATTTAGTTATTAGTATTAAAGTTGGACGTGCCAGCTTACAGTGGATATTGAACTGAATTTCATTCTGTCTTTTTTGCTTTTTCCATTCCCACAAGTGATTCTCCTCTGAATGTGAACAGGATGAGCCCATTTAATTTTATGAACTTTATGTGGTTGAAGTTATTTTGTTCCATTGTATTTCAATTATTTCTGTCTGATGAAATAAAAATGTGGCCACATTTCTAAAGACCAAATCTAGATCGTTGCATACAAGGGTTATTTTTGTTTTACAAGATAAAGATAAAGGCACACGTATGTTTATTGCAGAACTATTTACAAGAACAAAGACTTGGAACCAACCCAAATGCCCATCAATGATAGACTGGATAAAGAAAATGTGGCACATATACACAATGGAATACTATGCAGTCATAAAAAAGAATGGGTTCATGTCCTTTGCAGGTACATGGATGAAACAGGAAGCCATCATTCTCAGCAAACTATCATGGGAACAGAAAAGCAAACACCACATTTTCTCACTCATAAGTGGGAGTTGAACAATGAGAACACATGGACACAGGGAGGGGAACATCACACAATGGGGCCTGTCAGGGTGTTGGGCAAGGGGAGTGAGAGCATTAGGACAAATACCTAGTGCATGTAGGGCTTAAAAACTAGATGACCAGTTGATAGGTGCAGCAAACCACCATGACACATGTATAATACCTATGCAACAAACCTGCACACTCTGGATATGTAACCCAGAACTTTAAAATAAAATAAAATAAAAAGTTTTTTTCAAGTATATAAAAAGGAGGTATAATTAGTAGTGCTGTATTCTGGAAGAAAAATGCACATAATGTAAGAACAGAATCCTAGATAAAACTAATTTATTAACACAAATTAATTTCATACAGAGTTTTCCAGAAGACCTGCCTTATAAGCCTTGTGTATTTTAATGACAACTGCTTGAAAGCATTGGTTTCTCTCGTATGCTGAATTATGATGTTATTTTTGGGAGGTGTCATATTAAATACACACAGACAAAATTCATTAACTTGAAACTAATTTATTTAAATAAAGCTAATCTTTATTTAAAGTTCTTGAAATATAAGAATGAACAAGAGTCCCTGTTCTTAAGGACCTATGATTCTAGACTCCAGTTCTTTTCTGTGTATTCTAGAGGAAGAGATAACCTACAATATGGTTTGCATTTGTGTCCCCACTCAAATCTCATTTCAAACTGTAATCCCCAGTGTTAGAGGATGGGTGTGGTAGGAGATGATTGGATCATGGGGATGGAGTTCCCTCTTGCTGTTCTCATGAAAGTGAGTTCTCATGAGATCTGGTTGTTTAAAACTGTGTGGCAATTCCCCCTTCACTCTCTTCCTCCTGCTGTGGCCATGTAAGACATGCCTCCTTCCTCTTCATCTTTTGCCATGACTGTAAGTTTCCTGAGGCCTCCTAAGCCATGCTTCCTGTACAGCCTGCAGAATTATGAGTCAATTAAACCTCTTTTCTTAATAGAGTGCCAGATCTCAGGTAGTTCTTTATAGCAATGTGAGAGCTGACTAATGCAGCCTATAAAAAAATTACTAGTCTGGAGCCAGTTTACCACTGAGATAGATGTGAAAAATAAAGGATAAAACAAGAAAGTTGATGTGTTATGCTCATTTATAAATATAATCAGATATTATAAATGTTTTGTTTTTAACTTAATAATTTTCAAGACACTTTTCATGTTACCTCATTTGGTTCCCATATTTAAGAAAATTGATATAACTTTCATATTCTGGAAAGAAAATTGTTCAGAGGACCAAGGTTACATGACAAGTGTGAAGCCAATTAGCAGTAAAAATAAATGACAATATGCAGAAAAGGCCTTCAGTAAAATTCAACATCGCTTCATGTTAAAAAATTCTCAATAAACTAGTTAGTTACAGAACATATCTCAAAATAATAAGAGCTGTTTATGACAAACCCACAGCCAATACCATACTGAATAAGCAAAAGCTGGAAGCTTTCCCTTTGAAAACCGGCACAAGACAAAGATGGCCTCTCTCACCACTCCTATTCAACTAGTATTGGAAGTTCTGGCCAGGGTAATCAGGCAACAGAAAGAAATAAAGCGTATTCAGATAGGAAGCGAGGAAGTCAAATTGTCTCTGTTTGCAGACGACATGATTCTATATTTAGAAAACCCATCATCTCAGGCCAAAAGCTTCTTAAGCTGATAAGCAACTTCAGCAAAGTCTCAGGATACAAAATCAGTGTGAAAAACTCACAAGCATTCCTATATGCCAACAAGAGACAAGCAGAGAGCCAAATCATGAATGAACTCCCATTCACAATTGCTACAAAGGGAACAAAATACATAGCAATACAACTTACAAGGGACATGAAAGACGTCTTCAAGGAGAACTACAAACCACTGCTCAAGGAAATAAGGGAGTACACAAATAAATGGAAAAACATTCCACCCTCATGGATAGGAAGAATCAATATCATGAAAATGGCCATACTGCCCAAAGCAATTTATATATTCAATACTATTCCCATCAAACTACCATTGACATTCTTCAGAGAATTAGAAAAAACTACTTTAAATTTCATATGGAACCAAAAAAGAGCCCGTATAGCCAAGACAATCCTAAGCAAAAAGAATAAAGCTGGTGGCATCATGCTACCTGACTTCAAATTATACTAGAGGGCTACAATAACCAAAACAGCATGGTGCTGGTACCAAAAGGGATATACAGACCAATGCAACATAACAGAGACCTCAGAAATAACACCACACATCTACAACCATCTGATCTTCAGCAAATCAGACAAAAACAAGGAATGGGGAAAGGATTCCCTATTTAATAAATGATGCTGGGAAAACTGGCTGGCCATATGCAGAAAACTGAAACTGGACCCCTTCCTTACACCTTACACAAAAATTAACTCAAGATGGATTAAAGACTTAAATGTAAGACATAAAACAATAAAAACCCCAGAAGAAAACCTAACCAATATCATTCAGGACATAGGCATGGGCAAAGACTTCATGATAAAAATGCCAAAAGCAATTATAACAAAAGCCAAAATTGACAAATGGGATCTAGTTAAACTAAAGAGCTACTGCACAGCAAAAGAAACTCTCATCAGAGTGAACAGTCAACCTACAGAATAGGAGAAAAATTTTGCAATCTACCCATCTGACAAAGGTCTAATATCCAGAATCTACAAGGAAATTAAATTAATTTACAAGAAATATCTAACAATCCCATCAAAAAGTGGGCAAAGGATATGAACAGACACTCGTCAAAAGAAGACCGTCACATGGCCAACAAACATGTTAAAAAAAGCTCAACATCACTGATCATTAGAGAAATGCAAATCAAAACCACAATGAGATACTATCTCACGCCAGTCAGAATGGCCATTGTTAAAAAGTCAAGAAACAAGATATGCTGACAAGGCTATGGAGAAATAGGAATGCTTTTACACTGTTAGTAGTAATGCAAATTAGTTCAACCATTGTGGAAGACAGTGTGGCAATTCCTCAAGGATCTAGAACCAGAAATACCATTTGACCCAGCAATCGCATTACTGGGTATATACCGTAAGGAATATTAATCATTCTACTCTAAAGACACATGCACACATATGTTTATTGCAGAACTATTGACAATAGCAAAGACGTGGAACCAACCCAAACGCCAATCACTAATAGACTGGATAAAGAAAATGTGGCACATATACACCATGGAATACTATGCAGCCATAAAAAGGAAAGCGATCATATTATTTGCAGGGACCTAGATGAAGCTGGAAGCCATCATTCTCAGCAAACTAACACAGGAACAGAAAACCAAACACCACATGTTCTCACTCATAAGTGGGAGTTGAATAATGAGAACACAGGGACACAGGGTGGGGAACATCACATACCTGGGCCTGTCGGCGGGTAGGGAGCAACAGGAGAGAGAGCATTAGGACAAATAGCTAATGCATGTGGGGCTTAAAACCTAGATGATGGGTTGATAGGTGCAGCACACCACCATGGCGCATGTAAACCTATGTAAAAACCTACATGTTCTATACATGTATCCCAAAACTTAAAGTAAAATAAAATAAAAATAACAACTAAAAATTAAAATAAATAAATAAATGACAATAACACCAACTATCACAATGGCAATCTGGCCACAAGAAAATGCTATTTAAACTGCAATGTCCGAACTTTTGGACACAACTGTAATGTAGATATTCACAAATTTTTAATCAATCTATGATTTTCGTTTACTTTTCACTCTCCTCCAGTAGGTAAGAGAAAATACACACGCAATACCAATTTATATTATTCATTTATCTTAATATTTAAAAACATAAATACCTCCCTGAGTTGTCATTTTTAAACCTCATTAAAGAGAAAAAAAATCTTCCAAGAGACCTTAAAACTCAATGTCATGCCAATCTAATATCAAAATCATGAAGGAAATCTTACTGAAACACATGCTCCTCACATATTTATCTCCATTGCCTTCTATGCCATGCAGCCAGGTCAAAATATGATGGCTGGTTTTTGCATATACAAAAATAGAAAATATAATTCTTATACATTTCATCTAACTTCCACCCTAAATTGACTAAAGAGAAAAAATATTCTCTTTTTAATAGTTGAGCCCCTTTTCTTTCTTCAGCTTCTTTTTACACGGTTCCTTCTTTTTTTTGTTTTCTTTTGTTTTGCTTTGCTGTCCTTTCTGTTCTTTCCATCCATGCTCGATCCTCATCATTTTCATTATCTTCCTTTTTTCTCTTCCCTTCTTCTCCTCTTATTACTTGTCTTTATTCCAGAACTGGTCTATGTATAATATAGACATGTTTTTAAATTAGTCCTTTGATAAATAAAGTGTTATTATCTATTGATGTCAAAGGCAGAAATTTAGCATTTTTCATTCCTTTTTAACTTTTTCTAACGTGGTTGGCTTTACATCTATTCATGTCTCTCTCTAATTTCATTGTTTGAGTGATGTCTGTGTTGTTATGAAGGTGAATGCTCAGGTAAGAAGGTAGGAAGTGAGTAGAAACATCAATGATTGTTCTGGTTCAACATACTATGAAGTTCTTCCCAATTCCTACCCAAACACATATTTGGAGAGACATAGGTTTTTGGGTATGTCCCACATTCCTTTTGGAAAACATCTGCACCTTATTTTCAATCCATATGCCTCAGGCAGCGATGACCCCAAACCTGCAAAGGCAGAGGGGAAGGAATAATTAGAACCAAGTCTAAGCCTGCTTTAGAAGGTTACCCAGGCCTCGACTAGACAGAACCAACCAGAGAATTTGTAGGCCCTAGTGCAAAATGAAAATGCAGAGTCCCTTCTTTAAAAATTGTTAAGACTCAACGTAACAACAGCAGAGCATTAAATGAAGCCTGGAGTCCTTCTGCCGTGGGGCCCTGTGCAATTGCTCAAGTTGCAGGTTCATGGCCTGCCCTGACTCCAGAGCCTCCTTGCAAATATATACATATTCTTTGAAATTTTAATTTAATTGGACATCTTTCATTTTATCTGGCTATCCTTCTATAGGCATGTGACTCAATTCTGGCTGTGAGAACAGAGGGAAAAATACCTAAGGGATTTCAGAAAACATCTTCCTCCATGATCATGACAAAAATAATGAGTCATCCCCTTGCCCACTCTCCATTCCTTGTATAGTAACAGAATTTTTAGCTGGGACAGTAGCCCCATGATATGGACTACATTTCCCAATTAAACTCCCAGCTAGGTAAGATGACACCACTAAGTTCTGGACAATGGTTAGTAAGCAAAGAGTCAGCAGCAGCTCCTGAGAATCTTCCTCAAAAGACAGAGACCTTTTGTTCTTCTTACTTGTTTATTTTCTTCTCCCTGCTTTTATGAAAGTAAGTATAATTACTGGGCCTCCAGTGACCACTATGGATCATGCAATGAAGACCAAACCCTAGTGATTGAAGAGTATAATAATGGAAGAAACATAAAACCATAATAAATTGATTCATAATAGTGTAAGAACATCTGTGCTTCCATCAACCTGCTAATACTATTTCTTGTACATTTAAGCCACTGTGAAATTTAGATTGTGAATGCATACATCTGAACCTAACCTTTATTAATATATTGATAAAGAGAAACCAGTAAACAAAATATCTTTTCTTCCTGGCTTTTCATGTAGTTGCATGAGCATATGATACCAAGGATGGTGGCAATCACCTTGCAACCATGAGGAGCCAACCCTGAGAGATGGAAGCATCCTCACTGACATATGTCAAATAGGACACAGCACCCGAAACAGTTACATAGCAAAAAAAAAAAAAAAAAAAAAAACAGTCAAGTGCTGGCTAGGAGAGGTGCTCCCAAGACACATTTTTATGTTGCCGCTGCTTTCTTATAAATAGTGTTCCCTTTTGTATGTTGAACATAGTAATGTTTCTAAAGTCCTGTCTCTCTCACTCTCCCACTGGAATGAAAATGTTTATCATTCTCAGTCCTCTTTACAGTTGGGCAAGACCTTGGAACTGTCCTGGGTCATAGAAACTGAGCAGGAGTACCATGCCTCCTTCCTGCTTCCTGGCTGAAGTTGGCAGCAGCGCACACTGGTTCTCCTGTCTCTCTACCTCTGCCCCTGGAATGAGAAGTTCGTGCCATACAGAGGCAGCACCTCTATTGTCAGGAATAAGGCCTCCTGCCACTGCATGTGAATATGTTCTGTGAGTGAGAAATAAATGTAGATTATATGAAGCCCCTGAGCTGTTGGGGCTACTTCTGCCTAATTTATACCTGGACAAATATATGAGGTAGCCCATATTGACGTCAAAATAAAAAAGTCACCTGTGTTAATAATTACAAATTCAACCAGTTCATAAAGTGATAATTGATAAAATAGAAGCTCCAAGGGCAGTCTTTCTTCACAAAATTAACCACTATTATGTTTCAAAAAAATATTTTATGCAGGCACAAATATACATATATACACACATTATATATGTTTGGAAAATACATATTTTTTGAGAAAGGAAATACATATTTCTTAAAATTTTTATGAATCCAAAACTCCACACACCTTGGCATTGTGCTTTTTAAAATAATCATGTATCTTGGCTATATAGTTATATGTCATTTTTTAAAAATGCATTGCATAGATAAAACCTAGTTAACCAAGTAGTTGTGGGAGTTTTAGGAGAGGAGAGCAATCATCTTTAATAAAACCTGGTAAAATAGGTCTTTGGGTGTAGATTTTACTTAGTATTAGTCCTTTTTTTTTTTTTTTATTGAGACAGAGTTTCACTCTTGTTGCCCAGGCTGGAGTGCAATGGTGTGATCCCAGCTCACCACAACCTCTGCCTCCCAGGTTCAAGCGATTCTCCTGCCTCAGTCTCCCAAGTAGCTTGGGTTACAGGAGTAGCTGGGGTTACACGCATGGGCACCATGCCCGGCTAATTTTTGTATTTTTAATAGAGACAGGGTTTCTTCATGTTGGTCAGGCTGGTCTCGAACTCCCAACCTCAGGTGATCCTCCTGCCTTGGCCTCCCAAAGTGCTGGGATTACAGGCGTGAGCCATTGCACCCGGCCTAGTCCATTTTTTTACTGCTATGAAGAAATACCCAAGATTGGGTAATTTATTTTAAAAAAGAGGTTGAATGGACTCACAGTTCCACATGGCTCGGGAGGCCTCCCAATCATGGTGGAAGGTGAAGGAGGAGCAAAGTCATATCTTGCATTTTGGCAGGCAAGAGAGCATGTGCAGGAGAACTGCCCTTTATAAAACCATCAGATCTCATGACACTTATTCACTATCATGAGAACAGCACAGCAAAGACCTGCCTTCGTGACTGAATTACCTCTACATGGTCCCTCCCATGACATGTGGGGATTATGGGAGATACAATTCAATATGAGATTTGGGGGGGGACATAGCCAAACCGTAACACCCCCATTTAAAACACACCTCACTGTGACAATTGATTCCATGTGTTCAGGACTAGAATCACAGCATCAGTGAAGAAGCCAAGTATCTGCCAGAGAATTTGGCCCTCAAATGAATTTCTCCATGGACTTTTAAATAAATTATTTTTCTTACCTCATGGCAAATGTTTAAAGAAGATTTTACATTAATCTTTAGCATTAAAAATTAATCAAGATAAATGAAGGACTCATTACTGGAGCTGAAGTAGACTGTTTTATCAGAAAGTCACCAATCTCAGATAATTACACAGAATTTTAAACAGAAGGAAAGAAAGTGGAGCTTGTTTGGGAGGTGCTTACTTGCCACCCTATGTTTAAAGGCAAGAGCGTAGAGATTGTTTTTCCACTTTAAATATTATAATATCACCTTAAAAAATGTACATTGTTTTGTTCAAAAATCCCTTAATGAACTACCAAAATAATCTGGAGTAAGGGATGCTTCCTCCTGGGTCCATGTAAGTGTAATAAATACTGAAACCAGGCTCAGATATAAGCGCTATCTCCCTGGTAGGCCTGAGCTAACAGGGAACTATGTCCTGACCAAGGTGCCACAGCCACATGGATATGTTTCAGGAGGCAAATTTAAAATAATTTTTAGTCCCTGATGGGAGTTCCAAGGCAAGGGCATACATGAGTGCTTGTACGGGAACACACACGGAAGATGACGATTCTAACCTAGCATCTCAGTGAGGTGCCCAAAGCCACATTTTGCAGATAGACGAAATTAGAGAGCAGGTGCTTCCTCCTCCCTTTAAATAGGAATGAAATGATGTCCCAGAAGGGGGTCCTGTGGAGAGAGGCTGACAGGAAGGGGGAACACAAGCAGGTGGTTACAAGAACTGAAAGACTTGAGAGCAGCAGGAAACAGAAAAGGGAGATAAGTAAACACCAGCCCTTGGAGAAGCCAGAGCTGCTTGTCTGATTTCTCCACCAAGATCTGTGCAGTGAAGTCTAAAACCCTCTTTCCACACTCTACAGAAGACCCTGGACAACTTGCATCTCATTTATTTGTTTTAAAAAAAATAGTTCAGGGGCTCACTAAAAGGTCCCACTGGATTGAGGATGGAAGTGGGAGGAAGTGAAGTAAGGAGGAGGGAAGGACACAATGAGGAAATAGTATTTACTGCACGTGGGTACTTGCGAGATGTCGTTGATAGTCACCACTGTGGGCTCCCAACTTTTCCTCTAGACTAAAACTTCAGCTAATTCATGTGCGACACCTGAAATTCTAGAATTAGCCATCATTAGTCGTTGCTCTTTCCAGACTAAAGCATCATACAGCCAGAGTGCATAGCATATTTGCTCACGGGCCCATTCCCTAGATGATTCTGTCCCTGCAACCCCTGCCCCCACCCGACTCCCCCCAACTCACTGCCACCCAAAGAAGGCAGGGCTCCAAGGAAGCAAGGCACAAGTTCCAGAGAAGGAATTATGGAGAAATGAAGATTCCTGCAAAGTCAGAGGGGAAGGAATAATTAGGACCAAGTCTAAGCCTGCTTTAGAAGGTTACCCAGGCCTCAACTAGACAGAACCAACCAGAGAATTTGTAGGCCCTAGTGGAAAATGAAAATGCAGAATCCCTTCTTTAAAAATTGTTAAGACTCAGCATAAAAACAGCAGAGCATTAAATGAAGCCTGGAGTCCTTCTGCCATGGGGCCCTGTGCAGTTGCTCAAGTTGCAGGTTCATGGCCTGCCCTGACTCCAGAGCCTCCTTGCAAACATCTAAGGAGAGTCTTGGGATACTTACTCAGAATAGATGGTGACGGATCAGGTTTGAGGTAACACAGGAAGTACGTTCACTAAAAGCCTCACACAATGCTTTAATTTTCTACTGGAATCTAGAGAGGCCCCCTTAAGGAGCTCTTCAGTAGCAACATTGCCTTTCCTACCTCGGTGTGAAAGATGACCTGGGAGATTAAACCCTACCACAGTGAGATAATTGCTCCTTGTGATAACAGCTATCTCAAAGGGCAAGTACCTCATTAACCTGACTGTGTAAGCATGGTAAACTACAGGAGCACTTCAGCAGAGGGGCAGGAAAATTAAGAAATTCAATAACTATGCTTAATAGCACCTGGATTTAATAAGCCACAAGAGATACAGCAGGACACATAGTCCTTCAATACAACACCTACCCAGAAGGTGAGAGTTTCTAACCAAGAGGAACAACCCAAATAACAAATGTAATCCCCTAGACAATATTTTAAAAAAAGATGCAAAACTGAAGCAAAAAAATTACTTCCAAATCAAAAAAGTCAAATGTCATCACTGCAAATATTGTAATTATGTAATTCAATCATTTCAACTTCTCCCAATGTAACTCTATGACACCTCTTCCCTCCACTGCTGTTGGGCTCAAATGGCTTACAAAGTGATTTGGTGAATAAGTCCCTTGCTCATTATGTAACAAAACTTAAGAAAATAGATTAAAATTAGTAATCAGGGAAACGTCTGATATGATTTTGATCTGTGTCCCCACCCAAATCTCATGTTCAGTTGCAATCCCCAGTGTTGAAGGTAGGGCCCGATGGGAGGTGATTGGATCATGGGGGCAGTATCTCGTGGTTTAGCATCATCTCACCTTGGCACTTTATAGTGAGTGAGTTCTCACAAGATTTGGTTGCTTAAAAGTGTGTAACAACTCCCTGCTCTCACTCTTCTTCCTGCTACTGCCATGAGAAGATGCCTGCTCCAGTTCTACCTTCCCCCATGAGTAAAAGCTCCCTGAGGCCTCCCCAGCCATGTTTCCAGTACAGTCTGTGGAACTGTGAGCCAATTAAACCTCTTTTCTTTATAAATTACATAGTCTTAGGCATTTATAGCAATGCAAGAGTGGACAAATACAATGCCACATTATTTTGTGTATAAAATGAAAATTATGATCGCAGTTTGGCATTATTTATTCTCTTTACATAGCACTCTCTGTTTTCCAGTAACATTGGCAAAGATTCTTGGCTGAGCATATTTCTCCACTGAAAGATCAATGAAATCGTACAAGCAAGCGTATATGTGAATCCGGAATGAACACCACTCAATTTTACATTCAAGTTGGTCTTGCTGTTTTTCACAGACACATGACGCTTGTTTTCAGAGGACAGTGGCATTGCTGTTTTCCCCAGAGGCCCATGGGTAGAATCTGAAGGTGAAGGGGGAATAAAGAAAGCAAAAGTTTTGTTCTGTCTCCAGATGGGTCCTCGCCTCGTGAGGGTGGCCTCCCTGCCCCGCTTAAGACTCCTGTGGAGTTGGATGGGTCCTCACCTTGTGAGGGTGGCCTCCCTACCCCACTCAGGAATCCTGTGGAGTTGTCCTTTTTTCTCACCATGGTCAGTTCTCTTGCTGTATTCGAGTTTGTCCATAGATAATGTTTGTGCATTATCCACTAGGTACCCTCTGAACCCTCGGCCAAAAATGGGGCATGCCTGCTACATCCTTGGGTAAGAAGAGTGTGATGGGACCTCATGCGAGCCCACCTAGGATGTCGGGGGGCCTCAGTGTCTGTTTTCAAGTGAGTAGCATCGCGTGACAGAGACTGAGGTCTGAGGAGCCTATGACAGGCCCCATTGTGGTGAAGCGGGTGGCCCATAGTCTTTTAAAGAACGGTGAGTTTTGTCATGAAACCAACACCCAACAAGCTGCAGACAAGGGGTTTTACTTAAAACAAATGTGAGATAAACCCTCCTGTTTCCCAAAAGTTATAACAAGTTTTAGGTCAAGATGGGAGAACAGAACTCTTTGAAATAGAGATGGAGTGATCAACTATGACACGGAATTGGGAAATAAGAATAACCAGGAAGACAGAAGAGTAAGTAGATCTTCGACGCCTTCGGGGATAAACATTCCTATTAAAGACACTCTTCTCAGTAGAGATGTTACTAGAATTGAAAGCTCAATACACTCATTCATTCTTCAGTATGGAACAAGCCTCTGTGAAGTCCCAGAACTCCTACCTATGTTGAGGATGCAGTGGAAACACAGTCGTTCACAATCCCTGCGTTTGTGCAGCCTAACTCTGTAGAAAGATGGTCAATTAAACCCATATTTATACAAAATTCAATATCCATCAATTACATTATTTCTCACTACCTTATCCTCAGTCTCCAAAATTAAGATCGATTAGATTCACTGCCATAGGGGTGAAAGCAGATTAAATCAGAAAGTCTCTTTGCCAATTATTTCAACTTGTCTCAGTCTCTGTTTTCTCTTCTGTAAAATGGAGATACTCATACTTATTTGCTCTATTGTTGTGAAAATAAGCACATGGAAAATGACTAGAATGTTGTCTGACATATGGCTTACACTCAATCTGTTACAGCTTTATCACCCAGAGTAGTTTTTTGTTTGTTTGTTTGTTGTACTATTGTTTTGTCTGCACATGTCTGGAAGACTTACCAGACCTATTTCCACCAACAGACAAGAGAGCAGGAGATGACAAAAAAGAAATGGATCTGAGATGGAGAACATTTATTTAAATCATTTATTATCCAGACACCTTACAAGCAAGGTCCAGAAAAATGGACTGCTATTTTAGGAAGACTGTGAGTCTGGAAGTGATGACAAACAGAGAGAGGTTGTTTATTTTCTGTGTGTCAATATCATCAAGAAAATGGGTATTTACTTGTACTGTATGATTTTACATGTGAACATTCAGGGAATCAGGCTTAAAATGTCTTTGAAGGTGTTTCCAGGGTTAGGACACAATGTCCAGACTTTGCTCTTAATGCTTCCTGTTGTAACGTCAGTAACACAGGCAAGAAGCACCTGCTGCTGGAAGTGCTGACAGCACCAGGTGCAACTCGCAAATCTGAATGAATGTTTTATTAAAACTTGTTTAAGGAAATTGTGCCCAAGGAAACATGGTTTTATACTCTTTCTTATGAACTCATAAAAGGAGCAATGGGTGATATACGGTGAACAAATAAAAAATTAATGAGAAAAAATTCAGGAGTTCGGCCTGATAATATGTGAAGAGGCAAGATTCAGCAGGTAACAGAAGATATTTTCTTTTTCATCGATGTGGGCTCTTTTTATTCCTAATCTCCCTCTTAACATGCAGTACACTTGACAGTAAAAATGCAGTAAGCTGTGCTGCATCTTTAAACATTAATAAACTTATATTTAAATAGTGCTTTGGACTCTAAGTGTTTTTGCAACCCACAGACTCTTCAAGTGTTGGCAAATGCATAACTAACATCCCTGAACTCCCCAAGAACAATTAAGAGAGAAATTGTAGAGAGCTTAAAATACAGTCTTCGACAGATATCCATGCCTAATTTTAAAATGCATTTCATACAGATTATACAACTTTGAGCAATGCCATATTTACTTAATACTGCATCATAAGCATTGTCAATTATTATTAAATATTTTCTAGATACACCAAAACAACACAAAAAGTATTTTAGGATTTACTATTCATCTAGCCCTTACAGAACCACAGGCTATGAGATTTTTACTTGTAGGCAAAGCCCAAAATAATTGTGAGTCAACCCTGACTAAGTTGCTGGAAATATGAGGTTCAACTGTCTCAGAGGGTGAGACCTCTGTGTCCCATGTGGCCAGTGGACTGTATTTTCCCTCTGGATCTTTGAGATGTTTTCCAATTGAGTCAATGGAGGCACGAGACCTCAACCTAGTTTCCTTGCTGGGCACACTCTGTCTGTATTAGCTTGCTTGGGTTGCCAGGACAAAGTACCACAGGCTGAGTGGTTTAAACGAAAGAAGTGTATTGTCTCATAATTCTGAAAACTCGAGTCAAAGATCAAGATGTTGGCAGAGTTGGCTTCTTCTGTGGTCTCTTCTTGGCTTGCAGGTGGCTGTCTTCTCCTTGTGTCTTTCCGTCATATTCCGTGTGTGTGTATCCAAATTTCTTCTCCTTATAAAGACACCAGTCATAGTGGATTTGGGCCCACTCTGTGACCTTATTTTATCTTAATTACCTCTTTAAAGGTCGTATCTCCAAATATAGTCATATTCTGAGGTTTTGAGCGTTAGGACTTCAACATGTGGATTTGTAGAGGGCACAATTTATCCCATAAAATCCCCATAGTGAGAAAAGGAACCCAACAATGCCAGTTCCTCATTCTTCTTATTCTTCTTGTTCTTTTTTTTGTTTGTTTGTTTGTTTGTTTGAGACAGAGTCTTGCTCTGTTACCCAGGCTGGAGTGCAGTGGCCTGATCTCGGCTCACTGCAATCTCTGCCTCCCAGGTTCAAGTGATTCTCCTGCCTCAGCCTCCTGAGTAGCTGGAACTACAGGCACGTGCCACCATGCCTGGCTACTTTTTTGTATTTTTAGTAGAGACAGGGTTTCACTATGTTAGCCAGGATGGTCTCAATCTCCTGACCTCGTGATCCGCCCGCCTCGGCCTCCCAAAGTGCTAGGATTACAGGCGTGAGCCATCACGCCTAGCTGCCAGTTCCTCATTCTTATGCTGCCTATGCCTGGTGAGCCTTTTCCCAGTGACCACAATACAAACATTGACTTCTGATACATACATACCTATAATAAAGTTTAATTTATAAATTCGGCATAGTAAGAAATTAACAACAATAATCAATAACAATTTTATAATAGAACAATCATAAAAATATACTGTAATGCAAGCTATGTATATCTTCCCTCTGTCTCTCAAAAACTTATACTGTACCGTGGGTAGCTAAAACTGTGTAAAACAAAACTGCAGATTATGTGGGACTCCTATATTTCTAAGGTATTTGTTGTAAAATCTCTTATTTCTGATTGTAATAATTTGAGTCTTTTTTTAAGTTAGTCTAACTAAAGTTTGTTGATTTTGCTTATCTTTTCAAAAAACAACTCGTAGTTTTATAGATCTTCTCTATTGTCTCTATTTTACTTATTTCTTCCCTGACCTTTATTATTTTCTCCATTCTACTACCATTTGGGCATAGTTTGTTTTTCTTGCTTTAATTCATTGAGGTGAAATGTTGTTCACTTGAGTAGTTTTTTTTCCTTAATGGAGGCATTTATGGCTATGAATTTCCCTCTGAGAACAGACTTTGATGCATTGCATAAGTTTTGGTATGTTGTTTCTAGTTTTGTTTGTCTCAAGATTTTTTTTTAATTCTTCTTCTGATTTCTTCTTTGACCCATTGGTGGTTCAGGAGTATATTTTTTAACTTCCACATATGTGTAAATTTTCTAATTTTCTTCCTGTTATTTCTAATTTCATACCATCTAGTCAGAAAAGATAATTGATATGATTTCAATGTTCATAAATTTTCTAAGACTTGCTTTCTGGACTAACATATGATCTATCCTGGAGAATGTTTCATGTGTGCTTGAAAACAATATTTATCCTGGTGCTGTTGGATGGAATATTGTGTCTGTCTGTTAGATGCATTTGTTCCATAGTGTATCTCAAATCTACTCTTTGTAAACTGATCGTCTGTCTAAATGATCTATCCATTTTTGAAAGTGGAATATTACAGTTCCTACTCTTGTGAAATTGCTCTCTACATCCCACCACAGTTATGTTGAGTTTTGTTTAATATGTTTAGTTAGTTTAATGTTGAGGGCATGTATATTTAAAATTGCTACATTCCTTTGATTAATCGATGGTTTTACTATTATACAATGACTGTGTCTTGTGACAATTTTTCAATTAAAGTCTACTTTCTTCTGATATAAGCATAGAAATTTCTGCTCTATTTTTGATACCTTTTACTCTCTTTAGCATGGAATATCTATTTCTGTCTCTTTACTTTCAATCTATGTGTGTCCTTAATTTTAAAAAGAGTCAAGAAACATATTGTTGAATTATTTTTTATCCATTGAGCCATTCTATTATTTTTGATTGTAGAATTTAATTCTTTTACATTTAAAGCAATTGTTTGCAGTTAAAAACTTAACTATTGCCATATTGTCAATTGTTTTCTGACTGATTTGTTCTGCTTTTCTTTTTCTTGTTATCTTTCTTATGCTTTGATAATTTTTTGTAGTGCTATGCTTTGATTACTTTCCTTCTCTCTTTGTATCTACTTCAGGTTTCCATTCATAGTTCCCATTAGGCTTAAATATCTTATAGTTATGGCATTCTATTTCAATCCAATAACAAATGAACTTCAATCATGTACAAAAACTCTACACTTTAATTTCTGCCCCCCGACTTTGTTATCCGTGTCACAATTTACATCTCTTATATATTATGTATCCATTAGAAAATTATTAAAGCTATATTTATTTTGTATTTTAACTTTCATACTAAAGTTAAAAATTACTTATGCACTACCTTATAACATTTTATGAATTATATTCTTACATATACACTAAATTTTATATTTTTATATCCTTTTGGCATTCTTTGATTTCAGTGTGAAGAGCTCTATTTAGCTTTTTTTTTTTTTTTTTTTGTAATTTACTTCTACTAGAGATGAACTCAGTTTTTGTTGTTTGGGAAAGTAATATCTTTTCATCATTTTGGAAGGACAGATTTTCTAAGTATAGCGTTATTAGTTTCAGAGTTTTTGTTTATTTTTCTTTTTTTATTTCCACATTTTGAATAGCATCCCACTTTTCCCTGGTCTGTAGGGATTTGCCTGAGAAATCTGTTGATATTCTTATGGAAGTTCCATTGTATGTGATGAATTACTTTTTTCTTGCTGTTTTCGAAATTCTCTCCGTATTTGACTTCTGAAAGTTTGATAATAATGTGGCTTGGTGAAGACTTTTTTGTGTTTGGTGTTCTTTGGGCTTTATTAATCTGATTGTTCATTTCTCTCCCAGATTTGGGAAGTTTTCTGTCATTATTTCTTTAATCTTTCTGACCATCTCTTTTTCTCTGAGAATACTATAATGTGCATACTTATACACTTGATACTTGATAGTCTCCCATAAGTCTCATAGACATTAATTCACTTTTTATTCTTTTCTTATTTTTGTTCCTCTGACTGGGTTACTTAAAATGACCTGTATTCAAGTTCACAGATTCTTTATTCTGCTTAATTTCATTCATGATCACAACACTCTATAAAACCTTTAATTTATTCATTTTGTTCTTCAGTTTCAGAATGCCTGCTTGGTTCTTTTTTATAGTTTCTCTTTATTCAGCTGCTGATTTTGTTTGTGTATTATTTTCCTGATTTAGTTTAATTGTCAAAGTTTTTCTGTAGTTCACTGAGCTTCCTTAAGATAATTATTGTGAATTTTTGTCAGGTGGTTTGTAGATCTCCATTTCTGTTGTGTGTGTGTGTGTGTGTGTGTGTGTGTGTGTGTGTGTGTGTCTGTGTTTTCCTTTGGTAGTGTTATGTTTCTCTGATTAGTTTTGACTCCTGTGACTTTGTCATGGTGTCTCCACACTCAAGGTAATGGACACCTCTTGAAGTCTTCACTGACTGGTTTTGGTAGGAAAAGTCCTTCACCAATCAGCCTGATATGGTTTGACTCTGTGTCCCCACCCAAATCTCATCTTGAATTGTAATCCCTATGTGTCAAGTGAGGGAGGTGATTGGATCATGGGGGTGGTTTCCCCCATGCTGTTCTCATAATAGTGAGTGAGTTCTCAGGAGAGCTGATGGTTTCATAAGCGTTGACAGTTCCTTCTTCACACACTCACACTCTCTCTCCTGTCACCTTGTGAAGAAGGTGCCTGCTTCCTTTTTCCTCCATGATTATAACTTTGCTGAGGCTTCCCAGCCATGTGGAACCATGAGTCAATTAAATCCCCTTTGTTTATTAGTTACTGAGTCTTGGTAGTATTTTTGTAGCAGTGTGAGAAGAGAATAATACACAGCCTGTCCAATATTCTGACTAAATATTAGGATCCACGAATGGGCCTTCTCTGAAATGGTCAGTCAGGTTGGCTTGCTGCTGGAGTGTTTGGGTGGGCTTTCATGGTGCATGGGTCAGTGATTAGATGAGAGATGGGCTTGGTGCCTGGGTTCACAGAAGTCAGCCTGGTTGATACTCGGGTCTGCAAGGGCAGGCCTGAAACTTGAATGCTTAGGGCTAGACCTGAAGCCTGGGTTCACAGGGAGCCAACTTTAGCTCTGGGGTAGGCCTTAACCCTGTGTCTATCGGAGCTGTCCTGGCACTGTGACAAGTCTGGTTGCTAGGTTCGATGGACTGCACCTGATTGTAAGTCCACAGGAACTGGCCTGGTGGACTTAGAATCAAAGTTCACTGGGGTGGGCCTGGCACCTGGTGCATAGAGATGGTCCTGGATTCTGGGGTTATGAAGATAGGAAAGATGATCTTAAACAATTAAAAACAATAAAGTTTTTGGGAAAAAAAACAGTTGCTTTGCATGATTTTATTTTTTAAATTCATCATAAATCTTTATACCTACAAGTCACTTAATATCATCTCATTGAAAAAAGCTAGTAACAAAACAAAATATTTTAAACAGGACATTGAGATAAATTAACCTTGTTAGGTAAAATGTGGTTTTGCAGCTAAAGTGTAAATTTTCTTTGAATTCCATTGATTGAGTATCCTACAGATCAATATATGAGTTATTAGCTTCTGGGGTTTTAAAAGTTTCTTTTAGTTCTTGGCATAAATAAATCATAATTCAAGCAATTCATCTGTTAGGTTTTCTAAAGTAAAGTTGATTCTACAGGCCAGAAATGGTAAATAGTAGAGCTTAAGTTTGCTAATATGATCTCTCAACTTTGTAATTACATTTCTCTTCTCAGAACATCATTCCCCGCCCCCTGCAAAAAAAAATGTTATTTTCTTGCTTGCTCTACATGCTATGTTAAAAGCCCTCCAGCTGACTCAAACGGGCAGCCAGTGCTGGAAGCAATGAATAGTGTTTGCCATCAAACATTGCCTTGAATAAGCCCAGGTGTTGCTGAAGAAGCACAAGTCAGACTTACTGAATACTCATTATCATTTTACTTAAGCCTGGTTTAATGCATTATTAAAAAAAATAGTAATTGTGATAAAGTATAGTTTGAGAAGATTTGGAAGCTCTCAGATGATATGAAAATGTTTTCCATTTATGATTCAGTATTAGGTAAATATTTTCTTAAAAGGCAGAAGATAAAAAGAGCTTTCTTGTATATACAAAGAGGAAATTTCTTACATCTGTTTTAAACAAAACAAAAAAACGTACGTATTTTCAGTATTTGCAGCACTTCTTAGTGTTTGCAACATATCTTAAAAGCATGTATAAATCATTGACTCTGCTGTGAAGATTAAAAGTTTTGTGTCTGTGTGTAAAATACATACACAAATACAGCACCTTAGAATGGTAGAAAATTTTAAAATATTATATTATCATGATGTATCAACAACTATAAACAAGTTGCTTGAGTTAATAAACGATTATTCCTAAGACACCTGTAAAATGAACCTTCATCATCTGGGGATAGATATTTAGCATGTCACAAAAGCTATTTTAATCTGGCCATTGCTTATGCCTCCATCATTATTGTCTGCCTTCAGCCCTCCTGCAGCCCTAGTTCTCTCTGTGGAGTCCTTGCTGTCTATTGAATCTGTCAACTTCCCTTTCTGTGTAGTTCCTTGCTCCCTGATTCCCCTCTTCTCCTCTTTGCCTGACTAGCTGCCCTACACCATTCACCTTAACTGTTTTTCCCTCCCTGACTCTGGGCTCCCATAGCACTCTGCTTGTCTGTCCTTCACTAGACTCTCAAGGTTAAGGACCAATATGCCATCTCTATATCACCAGTTCCTGGATTGTTACAGTACACAGAACACAAGTTCTTTGTTGTTAATTACTTTTAGTCATTTTAGTTATTTGGAATTAACAAATAAATATGCAGCTATTAATTAAACGACGCACAGCTCTTCATATGTAATGTTGTTTCTACCACAATAATTCTGGCATTTGGAAAAAAATAGAGACATTTGTATCAGAACTTATTCATTTTTTAATTAAAATAGAACAAAATCAAAACTCTGGCAATAAATCTAATTTTGAACTTATAATTACAAAGTTTAAAGTTCATCATTTTGTCAGAAATAATATCTGATAAATGTATTCCAAAGTGAAATAACCACATTAAGCTAGGGCTTAAATTAAGGACAGTGATTTATATGAAATATTCATGAAATGTTATTTTTGAGTTGGAATGATATGTAACCATTTTTCTATTCCTTTTAAGGGCCGAAAGCTCTTGATAATATGACTTCAAAGTTTGAGTAAGCTGAGTTGCTCAGATTTAATAGTGTTCCTACTCCTTTTTCTATAGAAACTCTATTGGGAAGTAAGAACCAGACGGCTTAGTAAAGCTAAAAAAGTTCCAAACATCCTTATTTTTCGAACAGTGTATATATTAGAATTTATTGTGACAGTGGTATTTTAAAAGCCAAATGACAGCTAATTGGCTTCTCTGAACAAAGTATTTCAAAGTAAATGTCCCTACCTGACCACACATTTCAGAATGACCCTCATATGGAAATTGATGACAAGCAAAACTTAAATGTAAAACAAATATCTAACTTTTATTTAGTATTTTAACAATATACATTAGCAGCTAGTGCCAGGCATTATTCCAGAAAAATTTTCGTCTCTGGAGGAGACGAGCTCATCATGGGGTAAGGTGATTTATTAAATAGGTTCCATTTCACAACTTCATAGACTAGTCAGTACCTGCTTAATAATTACATCTTCCTTAAAATGTTTAACAACAGCAGATGCAATTTGAAACTGAATCCAAAAGAGAAACTACCAAGGCTATGGACTCCCATGAAAAGAAACAAAAGAAAACAAGCCTATGAGGTACATGGTAAAGGAAAACAGTTGTTCATTCTGCTCAGTGACTATGCTTGCTTTCCCAACACTTCCTATACTAACAGCTTGTTGTAATATTTCCCCTTTTCTATTCTTAGTGAGACAGACTTTGGCCACACAAATCCTAACACACTCAGGTTATTGGCAAGAAACATTGCAGTTTCCACTTGGAGATCAGGTATCACTCTTATCCTTGTTGTGCACACAGAATATTTTTCTTAGAATTTTACAAAAATATATGCCAAAATGAGAAACATTTGCCAAAATAACAGTTAGGAAGAAAATGCAGTTGGGCTCATTTTTCTTTTTTTATTATAAAGTGATGGGTACATTATGTTGCAAACCAAAAATAAAATTTTAAGCCTCCCAATCAATTGAATGAACCCCTCCTCTTGGCCTTGGGGATTCCAAAGAAACCTGAAAAGCTAGCTCAGCCCATTAGGGGAAGGGGAGTCAGACGTGACTTATTATACTCTCTTCCCTTTGGAATTTAGGCACATCTTACCAACATGGACATTAAAATAGAGATCTTAAGACTGACATAACAGACTCATTGTAACAGTAAGATATCAAATTACAACCTGACTCTTGTATAGCATTGCATGAGAGATAGCAGGCCTGAAAAAAATCTAAATGTTTTACCCCAAAATGTATTTCTTTGACATCTGTTGAAATGACCCTGCAAAGCTGTCTCTTGCAGGGGAAATTTACATTGTATAGAGAATCCTATTCCATTTCCAGATCTTTTTCTGATCCTGAAGAGATTAACTGAGAGTCTCGCACCTTTTCAGACTCTGAAAACATTTGCCATCTATTGCCTCTGAGGATGGCCATCTATAAGGCCTCATCTACATAATAAGGACATTGGTCTCCACAACCCCTTATGTTAACACAGATATTCTTTTCTATTGATTCCAGGTCTTTAAATAATAACTTAAATCTCTCAATCACTAGCCAATCAGAAAATCTTTGAATCCACATTTGACCTGTAAGTCCCTTTTGTCAAGTTGTCCCATCTTTCCATACTGAACCAAAGTATACCTCACATGTATTGATTGATATCCTAGGTCTCCCTAAAACCTATAAAATCAAGCTGTAACTCCACTATCTTGGGCACATCTTCTCAGGACCTCTTGAGTCTCTGCGGTGGGTCATGGTTCTCACATTTGGCTCAGAATAAATCCCTTCAAATATTTTACAGAGCTTGGCTTTTATTGTCAACAATATTATATGGAAGAAAAAGGTCAGTGAGTTTAAGAAAAAACAGGCATATAAAATCACATATATTCCATTCATTTCTTGCGGCAGTGAGAGGTGGTGCTTCCTTTTAGTGTCCCAGAAAAAAAGAAAAAGAATAAATCTCATCACCAATTTCCAGTGAATGTCCACAATAAGTCCTTATTCCAAGTTTGCCTTTTGAAAAATTAACTCCTTCTCTCTAAGATGCACTTAGAGGGCACTAAAGAAAGCCCATTTACTTTGAAGAATGTCAGGATACTGCTGGGCCCACTTGCAAAGCCTAAGTACCTGTGCAGCAAGACCTAACACAGGAACGCACCTGCTGTAACACTAGCTGTGTTTCCCCATGGATTTCTAGGGAGCAAGGAATGTGCTCTGTGTTTTTTTTATACCCCAGCTCTTGTCGGGGTGGATCTACAGGGCCTTAAGACTCCTGAAAGGAAAGCTCCATCCACAAGTTTGACACCCTGAAACTTGGCACTCAGATGAGGTACAACCTGAAAAGGCCCTGATAAAACCTGACGAGCCCTCGCCTACTCTGCCCAAACATTCACATATGGGCTCCCTGTACCAAGGCCTTTGGCTCAGTGGTCACTAAGCTGGCTTTGCAGTCAAGCCCCCTGGGCTCAAAGGCCTCCTCACAGCCTTATTCTGCCAACTCTGTGGCTCTGGATCAGCCTCTCTACCTCCCCATACCACAGATTCCTCACCTCCAGTTGGGATCCCTTCAGAAAGTTATTGTGAGATTGCAGAAAATAATTCCTTAGAAGGTCATAGCATAAGGCCAATTGTCAAGTAATGTGAGTCATGATAGTTATTGCCAAGTCATTGTATGCACACAACACAACTTAGTGAAAAGAAAGAGCAAGAGGACTCCCTGCCTGGCTTCAAGTCTAAGCTTTTACAACTTCTCAAATACCCCTTCTCTGTCTCTGAAGCAGAGGAATGTGATCATGAATACCCCTGATAATAATTATGTTACCTTCAGGCTGTACATATGGAAACTTTCATGCCAGATGTAGTCCATGACCTTAAAGGCAGAAAGAAAGGACTCGGTGTGCTTTCAGAATGGGCTACAAGCTTGTGTGTCTGCTAGCTCATGATGTCTCCAGAGGCCAGAATGAATCTTCGATTGACTCTTATAATAGATGGAGCCAAGATAATTTGTTGTGGGGGAGGAGACTAGCCCTGTGGTTTAAAGGTGGGGGGTAATTTATACCAAGAAGAACCTACAAATCCACCGGGCGCAGTTGCTCACACCTGTAATCCTAACACTTTGGGAGGCCGAGGCAGGTAGATCACTGGAGCTCAGGAGTTGGAAGCCAGCCTGAACAACATAGCAAAACCCTGTCTCTATAAAAAATACAAAAAAAAAAAAAATTCAGATGTGGTGGCATTCGCCTGTAGTCCAAGCTACTTGGGAGGCCGAGGTGAGAAGAACCCTTGAGCCCAGGAGGTAGAGACTGCAGTGAGCCAATATCACGTCACTTTACTCTAGCCTGGGTGACAAAGTGAGACCCTATCTCAAAAAAAAAAAAAAAAAAACCCACAAATCATGAAAGAGTATGTTGGTTTGAGTCATTTTACAGTAGACTAAGTATTGCTTTCTATTTCTCTTCAGGATTTCAATAGGTTATAACTACCATATTTGATAAGTATTCAGTTATTTTCAGAAAACTGGAAGTTACCTTCTACTTTGTATGATAACCATATGTGTATATTCTCACTGTATGTAAATGAAACTACCTTTGCAAAAATTATAACAGTAAGAAAATTATGACAGTGAATGATATGACCTAACTGACTCCATTTTGCCTTTAACCTCCAAGCTCCCCTAATTTTTTTCCTGGACGTAGGCTAAACTAACAGTAGGAGGAATTTAGTTTATAGTTTAACAAAAGATGATAACATCTCCTCCACAAAACCGATCCCCTCTTTGCCTAGGAACCAGACTGCCTTTGTGAAAGTAACATATTATCCAAAAGATTAAAAATTATGGCTCAGGAGTCATGCAGTCACAGGCCACAAGATCTCTAACCCCCCCAATTGCTCCTGTTGATAACATTACTGTCATAAAACCTAAGATTGGTGTTTGAGATATTTTTCAGGCCCTGCATTCCAATAGATCAGTTGGTGCCCCTTAGATCAGTAAACTGGCTCATCTGGTCTTATGGCTTCTACCCAGGAACTGACTCAGTGCAAGAAAACAGCCTTGACTCTCTGTGATTTGTATCCCTAACCCAACCAATAAGCATTCCCTCTTACCAAGCCCGCTGCACGCCAAACTATCTTTAAAAAACTACAGCCTCCAAATTTTGGGGGAGGATGATTTGAGCATTAATAAAGCTCAAGTCTCCTGCTTAGCTGACTCTACATGTATTAAACTCTTTTCTCTATTGCAATTCCCCTGTCTTGATAAATTGGCTTTATTTAGGCAGCAGGCAAAATGAACCCATTGGGCAGTTACACGTCATTTTACATGTGATTTTTAGCTATTGTCCTTATCTTTCTTTTATAAATGAACATGAGGAATAATTGTGTGAATTGTGTGTGTGGACATCGGAAATGAGGGGAATAATATTGCTGATATGGGGAAAACATAATTAAAAGCAAAATTTTCTTCCCATCCAGAAAAAACTCCCCACAAATGTAGCAGAGAAAGAAAATGGCTTATTATTGAATGAGCATTAAACCAGAATGTGATGCATATCATAGGTAGTCTACTGAGAAATTGCAAAGACAAAGAAATCTTACCATTTTATATAGCTAAACAGACATATTTTACATTACAAACATGTTTTCAAGATAAACAATAACTAGTCCTCAAGAAAGAGGACTTGACACTAACATTTGTTACACATAATTTATCCTAGATTCACCTGGTAATTGTGGTCACCATCTGTGTTAGCTAATTGGCTTTATTCAAAGGAAAAATAAACTATTCATATATTTATGACAGGAAGTAGTTATACAACTGGGAGCCAGGTGTCCACAGAAGTTAGGCTCCTACCCTCCCACAGATAATTGGAGATAAGAGTGTTATCTTTGATAATTATATTTCAAAGGGATGGCTCCCAGTTTTTTGAGAGAGATGTTACTGGAATATAAAACTGGCAAAAAGATGTATTTAGCTTGTAAAAAATTTACATGCATCTCAAAGAGACAGAGAAGGAAGCTATAATCTTGAGTTTTCTAAAATGAATCCTCTAAGAAGTAGAAGAAGGAGCTGTCTCTCCCTTTATTTTTTATAGGGTGAATTAATTAACCCTTTCATGTTTAATTTGCATTTGCTCTTACCTTTAGTGGTTGGGACAACAAAAGACAATGTAGGGTACTGAATTCAATTAAGTTCAATAAAGATATTTAAAAGTTAAATTGGAACTTAACCCTTTATGTAATGAAAGAAATCAAAATACTGTACCGCAAAATACACTTTGTAGACATATTTTGAGATGAATGTTCAGAGAACCAGCAAACAGAAGTGGCCTTGCAAAGCTGTCTTTGGTGGGGGAGATTTGGTTCTGTGCAGAATCTGCAGTGATGCAGCCAGGCCTTTTCTTGTCTGGATTTAGGGAAGGTTAACTGACAGTCTGACACCTAGAAAGGTCTAAAAGACACACTTACAATCTATTCGGTCTAACAGCTGCTACCTGTGAGGTTTCATCTACATAGCAAGACCACCTTGGCCAGCCACGCTTCCTCTTCTCCCTCTCCCAGAATCTGTTTACCACGATAACCTGTTTTGCCATGATCCAAGCTCCCATTCTTTCTTCCTTATGTGCACATTAATAAATCTGTATGTCATATTAATCTCCTTTTGGGAGTTGATTTTTCAAGCAAACCTTCAGAAGGCAGAGAAGCTTTCCCTTGGCCCATGCAAATATATTTAAGATCAATCATTTGCTCCTGTAAGGGTTTTAAGAATAAACAGCATAAAGTTCACTTGGTACAGGAGTCAAAAAATAATTATAATTATAATGGAAATTCAAGTGTAGAGTAGAACTTGAACAAGTGCAAGCCATTTTTGTGGGGACCATCCTTGAAATCAAACAATAGTAGTACTTAATCAATGAGATATTCTACTGCAAAAATCATTCTTAAGCACTCATAAGCAATACCTCTGTTAAATAGGCACAAAAAACATCTGGAACTAAAACTCTAAATCAGAAAGTCAAATTCTATGCAAAATTTCCAAGTTCAGGCAATGCATAAAAATTTTCTAAACAACAGTTTATTTAATTTTCTAAACAACAGAGAATTTAGAAAGGCAAATGCCGACTCTTCAGCTTTTACTGTGAATACTGATTTGCTCCTGGCCCTTTGAAATGTGTCACTAGAGTTATGATTAATTATTTAGAGGCCAAAAAATGCCCTTTACCTGTTATCCTTATGAAATGGAAATTACGAAGTCAGAAAAAATAAGATAGTGATTAAAAATAAAGCAAAAACAATGGTTAGTGTTATTAGTAATATCTTCAAAGTTAGAAAATCCAGGATGGGAGACTTCCTTAAAATTGAACATTCTCAATGCTGATACTTATGAAACATTTTTTTTTTTTTGCTTCATGTGGAGAAATAATTTTTTAATCAACAGTACTTGCATGAAAGCAGCTTTGAGTTTTCAGAAGAGAACGGAACTACTTCAAAGCAGGGCCTGCTGCTCCGAATACAATATTGTCTCATTCACATAAGGGTCCCCAGCTAAGCAGCAGCATTAGCCAAGGTCAAAAAAGAGGGGTGAGCATTCATTACATTTTTTATACTAAAATCTTATATTTAAGTCAATCTCTTAACAATCTTAACCTGAAATATAAACCTATGAACATCTATTCTTCAAAAGCCAAATAATGATCCTCTTCACTTTATCTTACCTGAGCCTGAACAAAATGTCAATATTTTGTTTCCTCCGGAGAGTGATGAGGGCTTTCAGAAATCAGTGGGAAGTATTGAGGTTGCAGAGGGTCTGGGTGGAAACAACAGAGTGAAACTTTTTTGCTGTAATAAGGTTCTCTTTGGTTGCTGTTGCTGTTTATACCAAATCTAAATATAAGTAGTTAAGAAATTGTCATGAAATACAGAGTTGACCCTTGAGCAATGCTGGGGTGAGAGACACCGGGCCCTCTTGCAGTCAAAAAGCCGCATGTAACTTTGGATTCCCCAGTAACTTATCTACTAATAGCTTACTGTTGACCCAAAGCCTTACTGATAACATAAACAGTTGATTAACACATATTTTATGTTATGTATATTATATAATGTATTCTTACAATAAAGTAAGCTACAGAAGAGAAAATCTTACTACGAAAATAATAAGTTAAAAAATACATTTATTATTCATTAAGTGGAAGTGGATCATCATAAAGATCTTTATCCTTGTTGTTTTCGCATCAACTAAGCTGAGGAGGAGGAAGACAAGGGGTTGGTCTTGTTGTCTCAGGGGTGATAGAGGTGGAAGATATGGAGGAGATGGAAGAGGAGTCAGAAGAAGCAGGCACACTCAGTGTAACTTTACAGAAATACATCATAATTTCTATCTGAATTCCTGTCTTCTCATTTCTCTAAAAATGTTTTTATACAGTACTAATTCTTCTTTATCATTTGCTTTAATCTTATTGCCTGTATTGTAGAAGGGTCCATGTCATATGAAAGAAGTCAAAAGCATTCTTGAATAACTGGATCCTTCCTCCCAGAGTGTCTAAAGTCAACTTGTTTCCTGGCCCTGCATCTTCTATGCCTTCCTCCTCATCATCTGGCACTGGTTTGAAAGCACTCATCTCCATCAAATCATCCATTGTGAATTTCTCTGGTGTGGTGTTTATTAGGTCCTGAATTAATCCAAGACCCATATCTTGAAACCCTTTACCCCCACCTTTTTATTTTTGCCATATGCACAACTTCTTTTATGATTTCGTTGATTGGCTCAGTCATAAATCCTGTGAAGCCATGCACATCTATACACAGTATTCTCCAGAAGGAATTTGTTGTTTCAGGCTTGATGGCTTTCATGGCTTTTCTATAACAATGATGGCATTGCCAATGATGTAATCATTCCAAGCTCTCATGATGTTCTCTCTATCGGAGTTGTTTTCCACATCATTGACACTTCCTTCCATAGAGTACCACGTGCAATGAGTTTCAAGTGTCCTTATGGACCTGATAGAAGAAATACAAAAATTTGAAAATTTTGGAAAACCTAAGATTGCCATCCACTATTTAAGATGCTTGAAAATCAACTGTTACTTGCCCCCTTAAACATATGATGTGCTTCCTTCTCTGGGGAGATTTCCTTAATGTACTTGGTGGCAATGTTTAAGAAAGCAGTAGTTAACACTCAACTTTTAAATTAAGCTTTCTGTACTAATAAAATCAGGTGACAGATAGGTAAAACATTCAGTTTTGTTCAAAACTAAACATAAGGAACATAAGCCCACAACTTGAGCATAAAAGAGATCTAGAGCTGCACTATGTTTCATTGTTTCTTTTGTATGTTGGTTTGTTTGTTTTTGTCAAATCCATATGTTATCATCTGCCTTTCAGAGAGTGGTTTCTACCTATCTAAATCCCTAGGAGGTTTAATTGGATACATTATTTAAGATTTTTCCCAATTTATGAATTAGCATTAAATTCCATGGAACTGGTACCCCACTAGTGCCAAGAGTAAGGTCCCTCTGAATAAAATGAACATTAATTTTTAAAAAGGTTAATTTTTTTTTAAAGTCTTTGGTCAAGACAAAAGTCTTGAAAGCTGTCCATGGGAGAAATTTTTCTGTTTAGCTTTACCTTAAAGTCTCCAACAGGTGTGCAGTTCCAAAAGTTTGAAGGGTCCCTTTTCAACTGTGAAATGTGGACCCAAGTTTCGAGGCCCTGAAGCTTTACTGTAGTGTAGGTGGTGAGAAGGACTTGATATGTGTGAAAGGAAAATAAATCTTGAGGCCACCAAATTACTAAGCTAAAGGGAAAAGTCAAACTGGGAACTGTTAGGGCCAACCTACCTCCCATTCTATTCAAAGTCAACCCTCTGCTTACTGAGATAAATACATATCTGATTGCCTCCATTGGAGAGGCTAATCAGAAACTCATAAGAATACAACCATTTTTCTCTTATCTACCTATGACCTAGAAGCCCTCTCCTCACTACAGGTCTTCCTGCCTTTGCTTTGAGTCATCTCGCCTTTCCAGACCAAACCGATGTTCATCTTGCATATGTTGATTGATGTCTCATGTCTCCCTTGAATGTATAAAACCAAACTGTGCTCTGATCATCTTGGACATATGTCATCAGGACCTCCTGAAGCTGTGTCATGGGCACACATTTTCTTGGCCTTGGCAAAATAAACTTTCTAAATTAACCAAGGCCTGTCTCAGATTTTTTGGGGTTCATATATGGTTCTTTCCAAGGAGGATCACTGGTGGTCTTCCTCTAATGTCATTTCCAGAAGACCCAGTCTCTAATTTCTAGACCATAAAAGGTTTGATTTTCCTCAGTTGGTGGATCAGGAAAAGCATCCTTTATCTGGTGAAAATACACTTTGACATAATGCATTAAAACCTTACAGAATTTAGTCATATCAGAGTTTACAAGAGTGAGAGATGCAGGAGGTTCTAATATTAGGGACAAGGCCTTCCAGTAACTATTTCATGAAGGGTAAACTTAATGCTTTTCAATGGCAATGGATCTGATTGCCATTAAAGCCAGTGGTAGTACCTTGGGCCATGGCAACCCGATTGACTCGGTTAATTTTGCCAATTTCAGTTGTAAGAAACTACTTGTTCTTTCAGCCATTCCAAAAAATTGAAATTAATAAGGACAGTGGTAATGCCACTGTGTCCCTAACATTTTACTTAACTTCTTTGTAACTTGCTCAGTAAAATAAGTTTCACTGTTGCTGGAGATTTTTCCAGGGATGTCCCATGAAAGAAACACATTTTCTAATAATTGTTTAGCTACTGTCACAATATCAGTTTTTCTTCATGAAAGAGCCTCTACCCAACCAGATAACATGAAAAATATTACAAAAACATACTAATACTCTACTGAGGGTCATATCTAAATGAAATCCATCTGTAAATGTTCAAATCAGGTGGCAGAAATATACCACCTAAGGTTTTTATTGTTTTCCAGGGATTATAAATTTGAAAAACCAAACATTGATTTTAAACTGTTTTAGCATTTTGGAAGTCACCGCACCAATATTTTTTCATAATTTGAATCTTTTGTCTGTTCTATGATGATTTTTGGAGTGCAGAACTTTTAACAATGGAAGTTTCAAAGACTGAAGAAGGGCCAGACAACCATCCAGTTCCTATATGGGTCCACATCTAACATTGAATTTACATCCTGTTAGATACCAATTTTGTTTTTTTTTTTTAAATCAGGGCCATTGCACTATTTATTAAATAAGTCATCACAAGAGAGTTGACTTGGATCAATCTGACGGAGTTCATTCAAATTGCATACTCCAGCAATTTCAACACTAGTTCATTTAACACAAAAATCTTCTAAGGCATTCCCTTGATTTTCCGATTCATTTCTACACGTGTGAGCTTCAAACTTAACAACGTCAATCTGTAATTGTAACAGGATAGCTGTAAAATCTACTACTAGTAGTAGTAGAGGTGAGAAACCCTCATTGTTTACATAACATGCCAAAATCATGTAAGACCCCAGAAGCATATTTGCTATCTGTATAAACATATACTGACTTGTCCTTAGCTGTATGACAAGCTTGGGTGAGAGCAATAAGCTTCACAGGTTGAGGTGACTTAAGTAAGAGTTTCCTTCTCTATTAACTCATTTTTGGTGGTAACATCATACCTCAACTGATATTTTTCTTCTGAGTTTTTGGCATAGAACCCATCAACAAAACGTATTAATTTAGGATTATCGTGGAGCAGCTCATAAATCTACAGGAGGGGACACTATTTCTGATATTACATTTACACAGTTGTGGTCTTCACATCGTCAGGCAGAGGTAATAGAGTAGCAGGCTTAGATGGGTTTCAGCATTTTTGATGAAAGGTTAGGAGACAAGAGAAGAATTTCTAAGATGTTAGTCTATTGGTAAAAAATGCTGAGTCTGGCTGGAATTTAATAGACTTTCCACCTCATGTGGGACTTGCAAATTAAGTTCATCTCTTAAAACCAGGCAGTTGCTTCTATCAAGTAGGTTGCTGCTGCTCCTGCTTTTAAACAATTAGGATATGCTTCAGTTATTGGTTCTAATTGCAGGCTATATTATGCCATGGCCCTGTTTCCCCCATGTTCTTGGGTAAGAAATCTTAGTACCCAATTATTACATTCATGAAGGGAACAAGGTAAAAGATTTACTGTAATTTGGAATTTCTAAAGTGAGGGGTGGTTTTGAGGCCAATTTCATTTGGTTAAAAGTTGGTGCATGACTGTCTTTCCAAGGTTAAGACCTTAGGTACTATATTCTAGTGAGTTCATAGAATGGTGAGGCCATAAAGGAAAAATTCAGGACTCAGTATCTGTAATATTCTATAAGCGCAAGAAAAGTCCTTGTGTTGGGTTGCAGGGCAAGGAAAACTTTAGGTAGTTTGTATTATTTCAGGTGAGAAGGAAATTGCTTCAGCAATCAAATTGTGTCAAAAACAGTTGACCTCTTCTCTTGAAAACTAAAGTTTTATCATCAAAGTCTTGTGACCTTTACATGCAACTTGCTATAAAAGGTAAATTGAGGAAATTTCAAAGCACTCTTTAGTGGCAGAGTGCATAACTACAGGTCATTTACATATTGAGTATGAGTAGAATTTCCAGCACTCTATAGGGTTAAGTCCTGATGCAATGCCTAGGAAAACTACATTAATCCTTGTGGCATTACTATCCAGGTGAACTGCTGATTTTTCCAAGTAAAGCAAATAAGTATTGACTCTATTTATGAACTGGAATGCTAAAAAAAAAGGCTGAGCAGAGGTTTGCTACTGCAAACCACTTCGAATCAGTGGGTATATTAGACATTAAGATATCACTATCTGGGACTACAGGAAACCTTGGTATTACAATTTTATTAATTGTCTGTAAATCTTGAATAAATCTCTAAGCTTGTCCATCTGGTTTGTTAACTGGTAGGATTCGAGTGTTACAAAGACTGGTACACAGAATTATAAGTCCTTGTTTAATTGACTCTTCTACCACTGGTGAGAGCATTTGAACTAATTTGAGTTTTAGTGGATACTGGGGTAATTTAGGCAAGGATTTAGAACGATCTATTTGGACTTTTAAAAGTTCCATACTTTTAATTATTTCTATATCAGTTAAGGAAAAGGCCCATAAACCTTCAGGTATTTTAGAAAAGATGCAGGTTTATAGGCCTGATTTTTGATCTTACCAATTTCTGCCTGTAGAGAGCATAACCGTTCTGATTGAGGAGAGTCAAAAACTCTAAGATTACTTCTCCCTCATAGAAGAATTTCATATGCTCTGTTAGCAATGAAAGTGATTCTCACCCTAGCAAATTTACTGGGGCAGTATCACATAGCAGAAAGGTACATTTTTCTGAAAATGGCTGCAAAGTAAATTGGATTTGTTCAGATATGGAAGCCTCTTGAACTTGATTCAAAAGCGCCACCACAGAAATGACCTTTTTACTCAGAGGGATTTGTTGATCGATTTAAGTGGAGTTTATGGTAGATAATGTGGCTCTCATATCCACCAGTATTGTACAGGATTGCTCATTTATTTTGACCCTGTTTCTTCAGGTTTATTTAAGGATATTGTGGAGAAAAATGGACGTTAAGTTGGGGAGGGGGCAAGGGCAATTTACAGGAGACTCCCTGAGGGCCTCCACAATGTCTATTATCACCACAAGGGCTAAGATCTCTTGGGCTGCCTCTAGGGGAGAAACAGTCTGGTCTAAATGGGGGAGGCTTATGAGTGGACTGATATAAATCTGGACAATCTCTTTTCCAGTGTCTTTGTTATTTGCAATAAAAGCAGATATCCTGGAGTACAGAATTTCTTATTCTCTACCTCTTGGTTGTGATTTAAAAGAAAAACAAGAAGGCCCCTTTGGTTTCGGACCCCGTAACCATAGTAACAGGACAGACATAAGCTTGTTACCCTTCTGGGGTTTTGTTCTCACTCTGATGTCCTCTCAAAATGTTCAGCTAAGGCTATCCATTGAGTCACATCTGTCACTACCCATCTAAGTTTATGTTTTTAAATTAAACTGTTGAGTTAAGGACAGGATCTATTTATAAATAGATTAGTTAATCCCATTTCAGTACCTGCAGAAAAGACTGCTTGCTGTATGTTGAGCCTAGAACATTTCAAATACAGTATTTCTGAGTTCTGTAATCTAAAACTGGGTCAATTTTTTGTTTTTGTTTTTGTTTTTTGGTCTGCAAAATTGAATGATGAACCAATTATTTTTCTGTGAAACATATGTAGAAATTGAATCTAAAGGATTTTCAGCAATTTTCATAGCTCAGTTTGGCCCTTCTCATAAGGGGGTGTGGGGGGATCTTTAATATCCTCCTTAGGTCTGTCCCAATCTGCTGCTGTCATCCATTTCTGAGCTTTGCTAGGTCCCAATGTCATGGGAATAAATCAGTAGAGGTCAGAAAGCCCTGGATCGTAAGCTCCTATGATGATTCTAAATTCCTCAATACATTCTTGAGGATGTTCCCTTGAGTCAGGGAAGTTCTTTACAATGACTCTATGCTCAGTTTTAGACCACAAAGTAAAAGGTGATAACAGCCCAGAGGCCTGGCTGATCAGGTCTTACTTTGTAAGGCGTCTGTCTAACTTCTCTGTTCTCATCATCATCAAGGTGAAAAGGTCATTTAGAAAAAGATTAGTGGACTCAGAGAATTTAGGTAGAGATGGATAAAGAGAAGGAATAGTTGGGGTTAGTTCAATCAAGAGTACAATCCTCTTCTGTTATGTCCTTAGTCTGTGGCTTAAACTTTTTGTTTGCTTTTTCTGCAATAGCAATTTTTCATTCATTTAATCTTTTAGATGCCTTCACATGCCAATTAAAGAATACACGAAATTGCTTTTGCAGGCTTTTTGGTCACCCCTTTTATAATATGCCTTTAAATACACAATTTTGTTCAAATTAAAACTTCCAGCCAGGTGTGGTGGCTAATGCCTATAATCCCAGCACTTTGGGAGGCTGAGTTGGACAGATAACTTGAGGTCAGGAGTTTGAGACCAGCCTGGCCAACATGATGAAACTCCATCTCTACTAAAAATACAAGAAGTAGTCAGGTGTGGTGGCTGGCTCCTGTAATCTCAGATACTTGGGAGGCTGAGGCAGGAGAATCACTTGAACCCAGGAGGTGGAGTTTGCAGTGAGCGAAGATAGCGCCACTGCACTCCAGCCTGAGCAACAGAGCAAGACTGTTTCGAAAAGAAAAATAAATTAATTAATTAATTAAAAAAAAACTTCCCTATTGTGGCCATCTGAATTCTACATTGTATTTAGTAAGGTTAGCCCAAATTTTAAAAATGACATACGTTCTTGGGTTCCTAATTTTATACATAAAATTAGCTGGAATCGGCTGGGCGCGGTGGCTCACGCCTGTAACCCCAGCACTTTGGAAGGCCGAGGTGGGCAGATCACAAGGTCAGGAGATCAAGACTATCCTGGTTAACACAGTGAAACCCCGTCTCTGCTAAAAATACAAAAAATTAGCCAGGTGTGGTGGCAGGCGCCTATAGTCCCAGCTACTCGGGAGGCTGAGGCAGGAGAATGGCGTGAACCCAGGAGGCAGAGCTTGCAGTGAGCAGAGATCACACCACTGCACTCCAGCCTGGGCGACAGAGCGAGACTCCATCTCAAAAAAAAAAAAAAAAAAAAAAAGCTGGAATCCTAGAAGGTGTAGTTCCAAACTCCTGTGATTGAGACAAACTCATTATCACAAATGTCACTATCTGAAGTTCCAGGCCTCTAACTAAATCTGAACCAGTTAACTATCAAATCCAATCTGATCCTCCAGTCATTCCAGCTAAATATTGCTTTAAAAAATTGCTCAGAACACAATTGGTGGAGCTCAGAATCCACAATAATACTTGTCCATGAACTCCAGTTACAAACGAGAGCAAGGAGCACAGTGGGCTCCACAGTACCTTGCCTCCTGGTCACCTGGTGATCCTGAGAGTCACTGGAGTTTTACTTTGGATCCTCACTTTTGACACCAGATCTGTTAAATCAAACAAACCAAAACAAACCTTTAAACAAATTAAATTTAATAGGATCTAACAGAATCTAATTAAGCAAGAAAAAAAAATGATTCTTGAATCAGGCAGTTCCCAGCATCAGAACACATTCAGAGAGACTCTGGGGCTGCTGCATGTTTGGATAAAACTTATGTACAGAAAAAGGAAAGTGACATACAGAAAATGGAAGTAACCTCCAGAAACAATTGGATTAGTTATAACTCAGCTTTTGCCTTATTTCAACAATAAACAGTTGGTTGCCTGTGAGTGGATGAAGTCTGGTTGCTGGGTTTGGCTGAAACTCAGCTATTTTACAGAAGCACACACCTAAATTAGGTTTTCAGTTTGCATATATTGCAGTTTGTACAGGATAACTAAAGAATGTGATATGCTTAGGCTTTGTGTCCCCACCCAAATCTCATCTTGAATTATAGCTCCCATAATCCCCACATGTTGTGGGAAGGACCCAGTGAGAGGTAATTGAATCATAGAGGAGGTTTCTGCCGTGCTAGTCTCATGATAGTGAGTAAGTTCTCAAGAGACCTGATGGTTTTACAAGGGACTTCCCCTTTCACTCGACTCTCATTCTTCTCCATCCTGCCACCATGTGAAGAAGTATGTGTTTGCTTCCCCTTTCACCATGATTGTAAGTTTCCTGAGGCCTCCCCAGCCCTGGGGAACTGGGAGTCAATTAAACCTCTTTCATTTATAAATTACCCATTCTCTGGTATTTCTTCATAGCAGCAGGAGAAGGAGCTAATACAGAATGCAAGTATGAAGTCTTTATCAGGCCAAATTTTAGTTTGATTTAACAAATATTATATAGCAAAGGATGCTCTTTTAAAAAAAATCAAGGTACATTTTTAAGTAATTTTTTAATATTCACTTCTCAGTGAAGAATCAATACAGATTAATTAGCCTTGAGCAAACAAAATGCTTCGATGCCTATGTGCCAGGATAAGTAATGACCAGAGGGATAGGATTCATGCTATACTGCAATCTGTTAATTCTTCTGAACAGGTGTTTAAACACTAATTTGCTCCAACATACCTGAAAAAAAGTAATGATTATTTGTTAGAAGACATACAAAATGTTTTTGAATGTGTCTATTTACTCAAAGTAATTTTTATAATTTTTAAAAGTTTGTGTTTAATTGGATTATTTTCACAAATTGGACATAACTTCTCTCATTTTCTATCTTAAATTTTTCTAAAAATTAATAACCGTTTTTAAATGTCCTTATCAACATGTGTAGAGCAGTATAATTGCTTAATAAAGTTTGAGGCCTATAATAACAGCTGGGGGAGTAAAGGTCTTGTGGAACATCTTTCTTTTCTCTTTTCTTTCTTTCTTTCTTTTTTTTTTTTTTTTTTTTTTTTTTTTTGAGACAGAGTCTCTCCTGTCACCCAGGCTGGAGTGCAATGACGTGATCTTGGCTCACAGTAACCACCCAGGTTCTAGAGACTCTAGTGCCTCAGCTTCCCGAGTAGCTGGGATTATGGGTGCACGCCACCACACCTGGCTAATTTTTTGTATCTTTAGTAGAAACGGGGTTTCACTATGTTGGCCAGGCTGGTCTCAAACTCCTGACCTCGTGATCTGCCCACCTCAGCTTCCCAAAGTGCTGGGATTACAGGCGTGAGCCACCACATCCGGCCGGGGACATCTTTCTTAAGTGTGTGTGCAGAGAATGTTAGACTCAAGTCTTAGCTCTAAATTTGTCTAGAAATATAAAACATAGATCCAATAAATATTGCATAAATGCAAGTCTCCAGTGCTAAAAGTCTCAATAAATGTTACTCAAATTTTTTATTTATTCTGGCTATTTTGTTGTTCATTAGCATTTCTTTCTACTATTAAAATGGTAAAGAAAAAGCTAAATTCTACTGATTTTTTCCTACCCTTACAGCTTTAGTAAAGTATTATTTTGAGTCACTATAATCACAGAATAGACCAAAATGAATTTTTAAAAAAGTCTGCTCAGGTAACTACTCTTGATTACAGTTTTACATTTTGTTCATTTGTTGGAATTGAAAACAGGTTTATCTGGTCAAAATCCAGATGGCCTGAATCTTCTCTTCTACTCCTGTCTCTCAGCCTTGATGTTCCTTCACCCCAAAATAACCCATGTTATTGGTTTCTTGTGTATCCTTCACAGATACCCTCAAATAATTTTTGGAAGAAGGTGGGTATAAACAGAAAAATTAAATCACTGTGTGAGGCAGCATCATCTTGGGAGAAAGCTGGTCCTTGTGTTAGCAGTGCTGGAAGAGGGGTTAGAGAGTATTTACTTTAACTTTTTCATTTCACAAATGAGAAAATTGAAGACTAGAGAGAATACAAAGCTCTCATCCAATGTGGCAGAAGGCGAGGGCACTGCAGAGTCAGGATTCAAATAGAGATCGTGAGATTTCAAGTACTCTTTCCACTACACAAAACTAAATTAAATCACATTTTTCTTAACTGTCAAAGATTTATATGTTAATTTTGTGTTCAATCTAGAATAATAATGGTGATGATAATGATGATGATAAAAAGAACATACCCAAAAATGCAAACATGGATGAGAAAGAAATCTTTAGAAAAAAAAAATGTTAGATAGGGAAAAGAAAAAAACAAGTGTGATATTGCAAAACTCGCTGAGAAAGTAACTGGCAGAAATTAAAGAGTGTTAAAGAAAATGATATGGTTTTAAGGAATATGGAAAAAAACATTCTTTATGCAGAAAGCATTGCATATGAAAAAAGAATGCCAACATCCTTCCCAAATTGAATCCTCTGGACCACAGAAGCAACACAAGGAAGAAAAGTTGCTGGAAGGATGGCTTTTTCCAAGCCTCATGTTCTGTATAAAGACCTAAAAAGCAATGCTTCTCTGGCCTTCTTTCTGCTACCACTGTGTTTCTTGTAACCTTGGCAGCTTCATTCGACAAATTCTTTTAGGCAGACATTTTCTGTCCATCTACCCTAGGAGTGATGGAAATAAGTACTAAAACACCGTTCTCCCTTCAGAACAAAAATCTCTCTCAAGCAAGTCTCATTTTAATTTCACATTCTACAGTATACCCATGTGACAAATATGCCAGCCTTTGCTAAGACCCATGGAGAGTTGACGTGAGCAGTGAAAGAGAAACGTCCTTCAAAAGGGGCAGCCTTTTAATGACTACTGTACAATCAGAACCCTGGCTCAGAATGAGCCGAAATAGCCACAGCTGAAGGGTCTTTGTAGCAGTTGCTTCATAGGGTAATTGCGAGGGATAAATGATACATTACTTTTAAACAATTGTTTAGCAGGGGACCTGGAACATGAATTAAAATTTGTGTGAATGTGCTTTTTTCCCCCCTCAGCATTAGTTTCATATTTTGAATCAAACGGTGTGGAGAGTGCCCCAAGCACATCTTAGACTTTTCCTGCCAAGAGTCACGGTAGCTTTCAAAGCCCCATGCACTGGCAATGCACTTAAGGAAAGCTGTGTGCTATAGCCAGCTGCATAAAAAATGGTGGATAATTAGAATATATGGTAGTAGTCTAGGCAATGAAAGTTCAAAAAATATCTGTAATTATATAATCATATTCACTGCCAGGAAGCACTCAGTACCACTCAGAGTATCTCTACAATCCTCTTATGATCTTGACAACCTTACTCCCTTACTCTAATGTAATCTCTAAAATTATTGACTTATCCCTGCTGGAAACCAAAGAATGACAGGCTACCTAGGGGAAGACTGGTAGGTGAATTTCACCAATATGACAAAGACAAAGGACATCCAGTACTTCCTTACTGGTATGGGTAGATACATTCACTACCTAGGGAGAAGCCTTTCTATATCTAACAGAGAAAGCTTCTGAGGTAATAAAAGTATGAATTAATGAAATTATTTCTCACTTTAGACTCCCTGAGTACCTCTAGAGTGATAATGGCCCCTTGTGCAAGGTGGCTGTCACCCAAGGGGTCTCAAATGCACTATGCACACAATATCATCTTTATTGTGATTGGAGACCACAATCCTCAGGAGACGAAGACAAATGATATTATCAAAAGACACCTCAGAAAACTGTCTCAAGAGACTCATCTCCCCTGGATCACTCTTCTTCCCACAACCCTACTACCTGTTTGAAACACCCCTTTGAAACTGGGTTTAAGTCTCTTTGAAATGATGTATGGATGGCCTTTTCCCGCTAACAATTTCTTGCTAGACCAAGAAACCTCTGATTTGATTAAACATGTAACTGTGTTGGCCCATTTCCAACAGGAACTGAAACAATTGTTGGAGGCCTAACCCTGTGAACTAGGGCCATGTCTATTCAACCCAGGGGACTTAGGACTGGTAAAGGCACTTCTTTCCTTTCTCTCTCTGTAGGCCCAGAGTGGGAGGGACCTTACACTGTTCTTCTTTCTACTCCTATGACAGTAAAGGTCACTGAAATATATTCTTGGATTCATTATACTTAAGTAAAGGGGGAAACTGACAGAATTACCTCTGTTGACCCAGAAGAGCACCCAAAATACCAGTGTGTATGAAGAAATTGGAGACCTCAGGCAAACAATCACAAAGATAAGTGTCAATAATTAACTTTCCATGAATATCCTCTTTATGGCCTCCCCTATGCTTGCTGTTATCACCTTTGTTCTGTTCCTCACCATCAGGCATGTTTACCAAGGACCCCTTAATCCTGAACTCCCATGGGATTATCTACTTCCGTAAACAGTTATCTCTCAAGTTTAATTGCCCCCTATAAAGATTTAATTATTTTTCACCAGAGTGAAACAGCTCTGGCCACAACATTGTTTTCAGAATGATTAGTCTCTTTTACTTCTTATTTCTGTTATCTTTGGCACTAGAAATTTCCTTTTAGCTCCTCTTTTTATAATGCTAATACTTGGCCCATTCATACTTAACCTTCTTGTAAAATTTGCTTCTTCTCGCCTAGAGACCATCAAACTCCAAATGGTTATGCAAATGCGCCTTGGGTAATGGCTTTCACTGGAGACCCTTAGATAAACCTCTGAGAGAAATCTGACTGCATTTTCCCAAAACAATGCCCCCTGTCGGCATGAAGCAGTAAGAGCAGTAACTGTCCTTATCCTAACGTCAGTTAGATGTACCTTTTCAGAGCGGAGATTGATAGCAGCAGGAGGGAGAAAAATTCCTAGGCAGACAGGGACAGGTCCCCAGTAAAACTCAACCTTCAAACCAAGGACAATTTAAAGCCTGAAAACAGGGTTGGCAGTCCAGGTAGAGTCCATGATCAGAGTGAGAACTTCTTCGATGCCTTTTAGCCAATCAAATGGGGCTTTTTCCAGGCCTGTCCATGGACCAATCACCTCACATTCCCCCATTCTGAGCCCATAATTACCCCAGACTCAGCCACATGTGGGGCTATTCACTTTTGGGCCCCCTCTCACACAGAGGGCCACCCACTTCAGGTACCCTCTCATGACAAGAGATGTTTTGTCACTCAACAAAACCCTTTTCTACGTTGCTCACTCTGTAGTGTCCATGTAGCCTCATTTTTCTTGGATGCAGGACAAGAACCCAAAACCCACCAACTGGGAGGAACAAATGAGAGCTGTAACACGAAGAATCTGTAACACCCCCGCCCCCCTCCCCCAGACCCCATTTGCTTATCTGTGGGTGGTGGGAAGGAGAGAGAACAGTAAAAGTGCTTGGGGGCTCAGACCTTGGGACTCTGTGGGCAAGAGCCATAACACCGCTTGGGGCTCCGCAGTTGCTGTCATCTCCTAGTTTACAGGCTCCACCACATTCCCTCATCCAGATGCCAGTACCCAAGGTGGAAGCAGACTGCAGTATGCCCAGCCCACCCACAGGCTGAGCACAAAATCCAGGCTGGTAGCATGAGCTGAGTACAGGCTGCCAGGCAGAGTAGGTGAAGTGAGCCCAGCAGCAAGCATGGAGCCAAGAGAGGCCCAGGCAGGGGTGCCATTGCCACCGAGATTTCCATGTGGTGAAGTGGCACAGAAGGAATCCTGTGTCAACCATAGTGAGAAATGTACCATATGTATTCTGATAGTTGACTAATTTAACAGTCAAAAAATTAGAACTTAATAGTAAAAAATGTATCACAAATCAAAATTGCTGGAACATACTAAAATAAACACTAAGAAAGAAATACATAGTTTTAAATATTTATGTTAGAAAAGGCTGATAACTAAGGAGTTACATATACATATTAAGTTAGATTAGAAATCAAATAAATGAGACCAAAGAGAATGAAAGATAATTAAGATAAAATTAAATAACAATGAAATAGAAAACAAAGATACAGTAGAGAAAATCAATGTATCTAAAAGAAGTTTATTTTAAAATACTAAAGAAATGGACAAAATAATATAGGCTAATAAGAAAAAATCTAAATAAAAACATTTAACATGAAATATTAAATGTAAAAAGGAACAACAGTTTTTGTTCTTAAATTATAAAATATAACACAAGTAGTATGAACACACTTATGACAATAATTTAGAAAACAGAAATTAAATGAAAAATTTTCTGGGAAAATATCACTGTGTTGTTGATCACCAAGACCACCCCCAGGTTTGATGATTTGCTAAGTATACTCACAGGACTGAGCATATAGCCATACTTCTGCCTACAGTTTATTATAGTGAGAGGATACAAAGCAAATTCAGCAGAGAGAAAAGGCACATGAAGTGAAGTCCAGAGGAAACCAGGAGCAAGTTTCCTAGAGTTCTCTCCCTGTGGAGTCACATAGGATGACACATTTGATTCCTCTAGGAATAAGTTGTGATAGCACGTGTGAAGCATTGTATACCAGACAAGTGCTGTCTACCTGATTTCCATAAAGAAAATTCTACACTGAGTTTTACACTGAGTTCTACCAAAATTTCAAAGTATAAATCATTAAAATATCTTACAAACGCTTCCAAAAATTTAAATAAGTGGTTTTACTCCCCAAATCACCTCATGAGGCATAAATATGCTTAATGTTAGGCAAGAAAATTATAGAAAAAATATACAGGTAAATCTTATTCTCAAAATTATGAACATTAAAAATACAGTGTGTTTTTTAAAAGCTTACAATAACAAAACTGAGAAATTTCCCACTTAAATCTCATCTTGAATTGTAGTTCTCCTAATCCTCACATGTCATGGGAGGGACGTGGTGGGAGGTAATTGAATCATGGGGCGGTTATTCCCATGCTGTTCTCCTAGTAGTGAGTGAGTTCTCATGAGATCTGATGGTTTTACAAGGGGCATTTCCTCCCTTGCTCAGCATTCTCGTTCCTGTTGCCATGTGAAGAAGGACATGTTTACTTCCCCTTCCACGGTAATTGTAAGTTCTTGAGACTGCACCAGCCCTGTGGAACTATGAGTCAGCTAAATCACTTTCCTTTGTAAATTACCCAGTCTCTGGAAGTTTTTTTTATAGGAGTGTGAGGACAAATTAATACAGTAAATTGACACCTCAGAGAGTGGGGTGCTGCTATACAGATACCCAAAAATGTGGAAGTGACTTTGGAACTGGGTAACAGAGTTTGAAACAGTTTGGAGGACTCTGAAGAAGACAGGAAAATGTGGGAAAGTTTGGAACTTTCTAGAGTCTTGGAGTGCTCAGAAGACAGAAAGATGTGGGAAAGTTTGGAACTTCCTAGACACTTGTTGAATGGCTTTGAACAAAATGCTGATAGGAATATGAATAATAAAGTCCAGGCTGAGGTGGTCTCAGATGGAGATGAGGAACTTTTTGGGATCTAGCATATAGGTGATTCTTGCTATGCTTTAGCAAAGAGACTGGCAGTATTTTGCTCCTGACCCAGAGATCTGTGGAATTTTGAACTTGAGAGAGATGATTCAGGGTATCTGGCAGAAGAAATTACTAAGTGGCAAAGCATTCAAAAGGTAGCAGAACAAAAAAGTTTGGAAAATTCCAGCCTGACAATGCAATAGAAAAGAAACACTCATTTTCTGAGAAGAAATTCAAGCCCACTGCAGAAATTTGTATAAGTAATGAGGAGCCGAATGTTAATCATCAAAACAATGGGTAAAATGTCTCCAGGGCATGTCAGAGAGAGACCTTCATGGCAGCCACTCCCATCACAGGCCTGGTAGCCTAGGAAGAAAAATTGGTTTCATTGGCTGGGCCCAGGGCCCTTTCCAGGCCTAGCCCTGAGACATGGTGCCCTGCTTCAGCTCCAGCCATGGTTAAAAGCAGCCAATGTACAACTCAGGCCATTGCTTCAGAGAGTGCAAGCCCCAAGCCTTGGCAGCTTTCAGGTGGTTTGGGGCCTGCAGGTGCACAGAAGTCGAGGACTGAGGTTTGGGGACCTCCGCCTAGATTTTAGATGATATATGAAAATGCTTGGATATCCAGGCAGAAGTTTGTTGCAGTGGTGGAGCCCTCATGTAGAACCTCTGCTAGGGCAGTGCAAAAGAGAAATGTGTGGTTGGAGCCACAGAGTCCCCACTGGGGCACTGCTTAGTAGAGCTGTGAGAAGACAGCCACCATCCTCCAGACCCCCTGATGGTAGATCCACTGACAGCTTGCACCGTGCACCTGAAAAAGCCGCAGACACTCAAGGCCAACCAGTGAAAGCACATGGGAGAGGGGCTGTACCATACAAAGATAGAGAGTCAGGATTGCCCAAGGATATGTGAGCCCCTTTGTATCAACACAACGTGGATGTGAGATATGGAGTCACAGGAGATCATTTTGGAACATTAAGGTTTAATGACTGCCCTATTGGATTTCTGACTTGCATGTGGCCTGTAGCTTCTTTATTTTGGCCAATTTCTCTCATTTGAAATGGGTGTATTTACCCAATGCCTGTACCCCCACTGTATCTAGGACGTAACTAACTTGCTTTCGACTTTACAGGCTCATAGGCAGAAGGGACTTGCCTTGTCTCAGATGAGACTTTGGACTTGGACTCTTGGGTTACTGCTGGAAGGATTTAAGACCTTGGTGGGACTGTTGGAAATGCATGATTCTGTTTTGAAATGTGAGGCCATGAGATTGGGGAGGGGTCAGGGGTCGAATGGTATGGTTCAGCTATGTCTCCACCCACATTTAATCTTGAATTGTAGTTCCCATAATCCCCACATGTTGTGGAAGGGACTTGGTGGGAGGTAATTAAATCCTGGGGGTGGCTACCCCCATGCTGTTCTTGTGATAGTGAGTTCTCATGAGATCTGATGGTCTTATAAGAGATTTTTCCCCCATTTGCTTGGCACTTCTCCTTCCTGCCACCATGTGAAGAAGGATCTGTTTGCTTCCCTTCCACCATGAGTGTAGTTTCCTGAGGCCTCCCTAGCCCTGCGAAACTGTGAGTCAATTAAACCTCTTTCCTTTATATATTATCCAGTCCCTGGCAGTTCTTTATAGCAGTGTGAAAATGATATAATACAATGAGTATAACATTATAAATATCCTTTAAATCAGAAATAAGATTTACATAATTACTGTTAGCACTTACAGTCAACATTATACTAGAGGTACTTCACAATGTTGTAAAATTTAAAAAATAAAGACAATGTATACATGAAGATTGGAAATCAAGAAATACAACTCATATTTTCAGACAATATGGTTTTCTATAGATCAAATCTAAGTAATCTACAGGTAAAGTATTAGAATTCATGAGCAAGTGTCTCAAATTTAATAAATATACAATAGCAATACATAAAAGCCAATCACATTTATATACATTAGTAAATATAATTTAGAACATGCAACTTTCCAAAAGATATAATTTTAAAACAGTAAGAGATGTTATATCTAGGAATAAATTAACAAATATGTATACAGCCTATGTAAAAACATGTAAATTTGTACTGAAAGATATTTAGAAAAATCTGTATAAATGGGGAGCTATAACTTGCTTAAGGACGGAAAGCTGAAAAATGATAAAGCTTTCATTTCTAAAAAAAAAAAAAAAAAAAGGAAAAAAGATTCATTGGTTCAATAAAACACCAATCAAAATCCCAAAAGTGTTTTTTGAAAAACTTGATGAGCTACTTTTTTGTTGTACATTGAAGGATGAAGAACCAATAATGGGTAAGATATTTTTGAAAAGATAAACATGATTTTCCTATCATAATGTAGAAAAAAATGCTTAAACTTACAACCAAGTAACTTAGTAACTAAGAATGCTAATTAAACCCACAATTAGATACCTTACCACCATTAGTTTGGAAAACAAAACATCTGAAAATGTCAAGATCTTAGTGACGATAGGTATCAATATGCTGGTTGAAGTAAGTTAGTAGAGGTGCTTTTAAAAATCATAACGTTATCTTGTAATATAAACAAAACATCAGTATATCTTATGGCCCAGCAATTCTGTCCTTAGAGGCTCACTACAGGAATGTGTATGAATACTGAAGACATGTATACAAATGTGTATATGAAGAAGTGTTGTTCATAAAGGAGTGCATTGGAAACAAGCTGAATATGCATCTTCAAAAAATGGACACTTAAATTTGGACATACTTACACCTTGGAAAATATTCATCAGTAAAAACAAATTAGGTAACTATTACATGCACAAGCATGGAGGATTCTTGTGGAGAGAAGCATGATCTCATAGGTAAGCCCAGTGTAAGAAGTCCGTTCCTGAAAATCATCTAAGCTGGCTATAGGAGGACAGGGCCCACGAGGTGTGAGGAGCATGTCCATGGGAAGGAGCAGCTGTACTTGGGTCAAAGCTTGAGGTGGGTGGGAAGATGTCCATGCAAAGGAAGGATGACTGTCAAAGATTGAGCAAAGTCAGAAGCCTGACCATGATCGGCTGGTGTGGAATGTCAGAACCTAAGACGGATGTGGGCATGGATGGGGTTGGTGTATCAGAGCCTGAGCATCAAAAAGAGGGTTTTTCTACATTCCCTCGCTCTGTGCATTGAGATGAGAGCAAGGACACTCCAATAACTGTAAGCACACTTAGATCCCAGATTTTGATTTAAAATATCATTCTTCATTAAAAGAAACAAGGGCTCTTTGGAGAAATGCCTAGCAGGGGTAGGGTACAAGTACAAGATCTGTCTGGTACTTCTTGAGTCAAAAAACAAGGAAGGAAGGACTGAAAGAATGATGGCAAAATATCAAAAAGACAAAGGAGCTCACATGAATAGTCTCCCATGGGCTAAATCTGGAAGAATTTGAGCATCAAAATATATGATAGTGGTGGGTTATAATCCAATGAATGAAATAAACCACCGTAAGTCCTATTGATATGAACAACTAATGTAAAGTTTCATGAGGAACATACTACATGCATAGTTTTAAAGACCTTCTCCACAGAATGCCTGTTTGTTACAAAGGAAAATAAAACAACTTTATAGCAGAGTAATCTGGAGGACACCACCTTAATTAAGTGATCAAAAATGTACACCACAGGCACTGGAAGAGACATGACAACTAAGTATTGATTCTATGATGATTAGCTGATTGATTAGTTGACAACTAATGTATGATTCTAAACTGATCTCTTCTACTTTATATAAAGGGCATTATGAGAACAATCTTTAAAACATGAATGGAGATCAAGGATTGTATGGTAATTATGCATCAACATTAATTTCATGATTTTGATTGTGCATTGCCCTTAAGCAGAAGAATGTTCTTGTTAGTAGAAAATACTAAATATTTGGGGGTGGTAGGGCATCAGGTTGGCAACTTACTTGAAAATGGTCTAGAAAAAGTTATTTAAGAGATGAAGGAAAAAAAAAAGAAAAAGTTACTTTATACCTGCATTTTTTTTCTGTAAATTTGAGTTGCCTTCAAAATTTTACAAAAGAAAGAAAAAAAGGGAAGGCAATGATAACCATAATACATAGGTAACTGATTTGCTCTGGGGAATGGTATAAAAAAGATAGGATAGGAGTTTTAAAAGCCTTAAGAAAAATACAACGGCAGATTTAAATTCCTGCCTGTTGCTAAGTTGGGTAGCAAATTCATGTGTGTTCATTTTAATATGTATCATAACTTAAATGTATGTTAAATTTCATGTTCTGCCTGTATAAAATATTATAGTGATTTAAAAACTTGCATTTTAAAGAGCATAGGATTGGGAGCACAACAGACCTAATTCTGAAGCCTGGCTGTGCCATTTATTATCCACATGAACTTGGGCAAGATACTTAAGCTTTCTGAATTTCAGCTTCCTCACCTAGAGAATGAGAATAATGAAAACTGTGAAAGGAAATTAAATTTGGGGACCCTAAACTCATTTAGCCAAAGGGAAAAGTCAAGCTGGGAACTGGGTCACACAAACCCACCTCCCCCTTTTGGTTCCTAAATAAGATGGCTACAAGATGAAAAGCTACATGCCTCCTCATATTTTGCCCACAAGGAAATTCCTACTGGCCTGTTAAAATTTCACCATGAGAATGGTAATTGACAGCTTATCTTTACAGGGGCAGTTACCCTGGCCCACCAGACATAAATGCATATCTGATTATTCCCCTTCCCCATTTTGTCTGTTTATCTTACGTAAAATGCAAATTCCCTACATTTTTCCTCTGCCCCATTTGTTTCTGTCATCTTATGTAAAAAATGCAGACTCACTGAGCCAAAGGCATGAGTAACTATTTTTCTCTAGCCCCCTCTTACATGAAAATTGTGTACTTCTCAATTTCCTACCCTTTCCTCTTTAAATTCGGAGCCCTCAAAATTATCTTCGCAGAAGGGCATAGACCTGTCTCCTGGGCACGTGCTTAACGTTGGCAAATAAATCTCCTAAAATGATTGAGACTTGTCTCATCATTTTTCTCAATTGACAGAACTAAGTCATGGAATTGCCTTGAGGACTCAATAGACAATATACATCATCAACACCCTTTACCCAAAGCCCACTGGAACAGCCCTATAAACAGGTTGGGTTTATTCCTCCTTGCAATTAGTGAGAAGACACAGCATAGGGAACCAAGGGATGTCTCAATAAGATGGTGTTATAAAGAGCCTCTTAGAGAAACTGGGCTTTGGTTGGGTGAATTGGCAGAGCATCTAAGGAAGTGGGGGCTTGCTCTAGATTGGAGGGTGTCAGAAATTATAGATTTCTAGGTGAATCTATAACTGAGTATCTCAATAAATATTATCCATAGGGAGGACAGACTAGCATGAAGATAGAGCTATAACTGGTACAGTAGCAGGCACTCATTTGGTGATAGGAATGTTTAGAATTTTGTGTTGCAGAGTGACCTTGTTATTGTCTCATTTTGTTATGATTCCAGACTGCACTTTTTTGATATTCTGTGAGACTGTACATGCCCAATGGCAGAACACAAGAGTCTGGCCATGAACATCAGACTAGCTTGTATTGAGGTCTAAATGTGAATGTCAGATCAGTTCTGGATGTCAGGGGCTGTTTTTGTTTGCTTTCAACATAAATATTTGGCACAGCGTTTAGCACCTGAGTACTTTTAGCTCGCTTAATAAGGAGCTCTGCTAAACTCTGCAGATCAAGCACACATGAGTAGCTGTACCCCCCTCATAGCATCTGAGCTGGATCTTCACCTCTTTGGCTATGTCTCTTATAACAATGATAGATTACACACACACAAACAGAAAACAATAAATGCTAAGTTAGGTTGTTTAGACATAAATAAACTAATCTATGTTAGCATTCTCTCACTCTGAAAAATTGTTGTAATAGCAACATGTTTCCTAACTTAAGAAAACCATGATTCATAAGCTCTAGCCATGAATATTTAAGGGTTGTCAAAGGCAGTATTTGGATTTCCTTTAAGTATCAGCCAGTAATATTTAAAATGAAAAATGTTAGCATTTAACAGAGATGAAAATTTGGAAAAATCATTTAAAAACACCATATATAAGAAGACTTTTATTAGCAATTGAGTTAATGCCCTTCTGCAGATGGGGAAAGTTTATCATGTCAGCTGAAGTATTTTAAACATACTTAAATTAGGTTTTTAGGGTTTTGAGGTAATAAGCCACTTTAATATGTAGGTACTTTAAGCAAAACTGCACCAACAGAACAACTTACAGGCTTCCTAGACTAATCTGGATGACTCAGAACAGAAGGCACTTAGGAACACCTGGCCCTGGACACATGGGAGTTACTGGGCTGTCAGCAGGTAACTTGGGGTATTGGTTTTCTACTCATTTAGCTCTGGATAGGAGTAGATCTAGCTTAAACCTTTCAAGTTTACGAATGCTCACTTAATGCTTAAAATTATAAAATGAAGGATTTACTAATACCTCAGAATAAAAATAAAGTTGCCACTAATGATCCTGATTTATCTTGGATGAATTTTAAAGAGGGGAGTATAATAAATTATGGTCAGTAGAGTTAAAAATTATTTAACAGGCTGGGCGTGGTGGCTCATGCCTGTAATCCCAGCACTTTGGGAGGCCAAGGTGGGTGGATCACGAGGTCAGGAGATTGAGGCCATCCTGGCTAACACGGTGAAACCCCATCTCTACTAAAAATACAAAAACATTAGCTGGGCGTGGTGGCGGGCGCCTGTAGTCCCAGCTACTCGGGAGGCTGAGGCAGGAAAATGGTGTGAACCCGGGAGGCAGAGCTTGCAGTGAGCCGAGCCCACGCCACTGCACTCCAGCCTGCGTGACAGAGCGAGACTCTGTCTCAAAAAATATATATATACAAATTTTTGTACTCAATAATACCCACACGAGACAGTGTTCACTTTACGCTAGGAGCTATTCTAAGTGCTTCTTCGCAAACTGACTTATTTATTCAAATAATGCGGTAAGGACTCCCATCATCCTCATTTAAAGATGAGAAACTGAGGCACTAGCCAAGTCACGATTAGTACGTGTCAGGGCGTTTTCAAACCCATGTGGTCTGTCGCTAGAGTCTATGCTTTTAAACCACTATGCTCTACTGCCCCTCTGAGGAGCCACGGTTCCTATTTTGTGACTCTAGAACCTGATTTTTCCCCCCATCATGATGATGTAGAAATGGATGCTGAGGGCCAAGAGGTCATAGAAAGCAGTGCATGTTCTTTCAGATTCTTTAAAAATTATTGTACCTATAGTTATGTCCCCCTTTTTCATCATGATGTCTATTTCTGCTCTTTTTCCTCAGTTTTTATTAGTCATTTTAATAACAGATTTAGGTTTATTATTTTTTAAAATTTTTCTATTCTGTCATTGCCTGCTTTTTTCTCATTTGTTTCCTTCTACTGGCTTTATTTCATTATTCTTATTTAGCTCTCTAACTTCAAACAGATTTTTAACTTTACTTTTCAATGTCTTTTTCTCTTTTTTTTTTTTTAATACAGGGTCTCACTTTATCTTCTAGGCTGGAGTGCAGTGGCAAGATCATGGCTCACTGCATGCTTGCTCGACCTCCTGGGCTCAAACAATCCTCCCACCTCAGCCTCCCAAGTAGCTGGGACTACATTACACGCCTGGCTAATTTTTGTACTTTCTGTAGAGACCAGATTTCGCCACGTTGCTTAGGTTAGACTCAACTCCTGGGCTCGAGTGATCTGCCCTCCTTGGCCTCCCAAAATGCTGGGATTACAGGTGTGAGCCACCATGCCCAGCCTCAATATGTCTTGAACTCAAATACCCCTAATAATCATGGCTTCTCCTTCTCCTTGATTCCTCTTACAACCACCATGTCAGGTTTTTGTGCCTACCACTCCACAAAAATAGCTCCTCATTCCCCATGACCTGAATGCTGTCAAATCCTATGGATACTTCTCAGTTCTCCTCCTACTTGACCTATCAACTGTAATAGACTCAGTTGCCCATAAGTTCTTCTTGAAACACTTTATTGTTCTCTAGTGTTTCATATTCTTGAGTTTCCTAACTGGCCATTCGTCTCAGTCTTAGTTGCTACTTCCTCCTCCTCCCAATTTCTCAACCAAAATCCTCCTCCAGCATTCATTTCACCACTCCCTTCAGTATACAACAGAAATATAAACATGTAATGATTGGTGATAATCATGTTCTTGATTCATTTGTGTTTAAAACAACTGAAAAGGAAGAATAAGTTTTAAAACTTTTTATTCAGATTCAGAATATTTTATATTTCAACTAAATTTTAAACTTTCTAAATGAAAGTTTACAACTTGAAGTTCACACTGCTGTATTGCTTTAAAACTTAAAAGCAAATAAACTTTGTCAACTAAAATCAAAGTAACCAATATCTGGCCTGCCTGTCTCTAAGATGGCCATGCTGTCACCGCATTCATTATTCACAGTCAGTGACCCTTAGACCAATGCTTACACAAGATTTCTTTCAAATATGACACTGTGGAGATGGCCACAGGAGGTACTACAAAAACCAAGTGCTCGATTACCACTTAACATGTTCAGCTTGAAATGACTGCTACCTTTGCCTTCAATTCCTTCCCACACACCCAGGTATACAAATATCTTTTATACCAAGAGTCCTTGTGAAAGTAAATAGAGGGAACTCCCAGGGATAAGGGAGGGCAAAAAACAGGAAGCACTTGAAGCCAAAATCTGGAGCAACTTTTAAGAAGGAAGAGACGTCCGTCCTATTTTCATATCTCTGCATGGATCTCCCATGGAGAACTTGAGTTAAATGTAATGATTACACGTGGCAGAAAGACAACTCTCTAGCACAGTGTTTCTTTCACATAGGCTGCTACATTGATTCCATAAGCTCAACAATTTTAATAAAAAATATTTCTGCTAAATACTTTATATTCATCATCATAAAAAATGCACAGCCATTTGAAAAAAGGGCAATTACCCTAAATGAATATTGCCAAAGCACAGATCAACTTTATATAGGATTTCTTTCCTTGTTTCTGAAAAATCGCAAACAGAACTGGCAGACTTTATTTAACAAACATTGATTTTGTCCAGGCATGGAGTTTAAATTTTAGTGCATGTGCTGGAGGCAGGGAGAAGTGATGCGAGAAAGTAAAGCAACGACAGGTCATGCGGGGACCAGTGCTACAAAGAAACTAAAGCCAGGGGAAGGGTTGGGGAGGCATGGAGTGGGGTAGGACTACTAAATTTAGACAGAATGGGGTGCTAGAAAAGGTTGACTATGCTGTGGTAACAAATTAGCCCCTGAACCCCAGCGGTGTAGCATAAGTTTATCTCTTACCCACATTCTACGTCCACCACAGGTCACCAGTGGCTGTGCTCTAGTCATTCAGGGACACAGCTGGATGGAGGCTGCACCATCTGAGACACGGGGCACCTCCCTAGTCCTGCCAGAGCCGCAGTAGCAGTGGACCAGAGCTGGAAAGTCACACATGGAGCCTTAAAGTCTTTAAGCAATAAGCCACAACTAGTACCATGGCCCCACCTACTGCAAGAGGGCTGAGAAATGGGAGGAGTTCATAGCATGAGCAATCAATAACTGTCACTGATATCCAGGGAAGTCGTCTCTGACACAGGGAAATCTAAGCAAAGACCAACTAAAGAAAGAAGCTACACAGAAAGTTGGAGACAGGATGATGTCATTTATGATTCCAAGAAATATTCTGTTTGTCTGCCATTTGTTTCCAGTGAACAACCACATCAAATCTTTAATTTAGATATTTTGATAATTAAATGCATTAAAAATCTGTCTCTATTTCTATGCTTAGTTCAAGTAATAGCTTACCTCAGTGATTTTAACAGTCTTACATACCATATAGTATCACTGCCCTTACATTACATCCTTCAATAATTATCCCCTCCCGAGTAAAATCATAATACAAGGGCTGACAAACTCATTCTTGATTGACACACATCTCGACTCCTCACTCATTTCTTCTCCACATATTATTATTTTCTCATTACTTACCTAAAATTTAACCTTATAGATAATGAAAAGGGTTCTGAACATTAAGAAATAATAGAATAGTTATAAATGGAGGAAAAAGTTTGAATAAAAAAGTTTCTTAAAAGGATAGTGTCACTTGCAAAAATAGCTCTTTGAAATACAGGTTCCTATAAACATTTTACACGCATTAAGATATTACTCTTACACATACTGGTAACACAGACACTATACATATTTGTCTCCATTTTAGGAAGAAATGAAGCAAGGCTATTTTTAATAATAAACTTAGAAACAATTCATAACCCCTAGTATTTGCATTAACCTGCAAATACTAGGCAGCACACCACAGCAGAGTGTAACTAAAACCTAAAATAGTGTTTCACTTTCTTCCACACCTACCTCTGTGCGCTCATGCAAGTGTTTTTATTTTGCTTTGCATTAGATGCTTCTGTAATACAGGCATCTGATTCACCCCACATAAAGCTGTTGTAAGTAATCAATGTGAGAAAGTCTACTTATTGTTAAGCATATTTGTATATTTTTTACTAGTTATTTCATACTTGCCCTGAAAGAATACACATTCAAAAAGCTTGAAATTAGGCAATGTCAGTCTCATCAAACAAAACCAGCATTGGAAGCGAATATTAACAAATATCAGAATGAAATTACAAAATATACATCTCCAGCCTCATAAAACATGAATTTTATAAGCACTTTCATAAACATAAGAAAAATAGCTTTGACAATAACTATTTGAAAACATTATTATTAATAATCTTGTATACTGTACATGTGCACTTAAATGTAATAGCACCAACATTCATTATATTATGAAGGGGATACTTTATAAGAATTATAAATTATTTTTACATGATTAAATAATTTTGGCAGAGTAAGTCCGCAGGACTTAAATAACCAGTCAGCCTTAGTATCTACATCTGGACCAGGAAGCCTTTGTGTTACAGACACAGATTCCCTGTGAAGTTCTCCAGGGTGTAAAGAAGGCCCCAGGGAGGTGCCGACGGGATGTGAGGGCTGCCTTTCAGCTCAGGCGAGCCTGCAAGCAACAGGGCAGTTTGGGAAGGGTCACAGGCACAGGAAGGGAGCAGTGGGCAACCATTGATTACATCAAACCAGGATGGTTTCTTCTTTTTAAAGAAACTTTTGTTGAGTGTTTACCCACCCCCATCCACACAAATATGCTCTCTAGGAAATGTGAAAGTATAAGCTTCAGAAAAATGTTTTTCTCATCCTTTAATTTCTGGTTTTATGATCAAATGTTCCGAAGACACTGCTTCTTTTTGCTCAAAATAGTTGACATTGTCATTGCTTCTAGTTTTTCAGCTCCTACTATGCTTACTATGTCCATGGGTGCCATTGACGTCTTTGGCTATTTATCATCTCTAGAAAAGAAAAAAAAACATTAAAATTTTAGGATGTAGGATTCACAATAAATCTCTTACCAAATCCTCCTTAAATCCCTAAACTCTCTACCTGGCTCTGACTCCAGGATCACCCTTTCAGTTCTTTCCATGTTTTTCTTCGGAAAATGTAGTTTCCTAACCTTTCTACCCACCCTTCTCGTCTACTCTTAGGTCTGCAGCCACAGTGATAGTTCTAAGTTGCAAACCTGATCATGTCCTTCCAGTACTTAGTCTTTCAAAAATCTTCCTACTTCCCGCAGAGTGAAGCCTGAACTCTTTAATAGGCATCTAAGGACTTGGACCCGGATCCTGTTAACCTGTTAATTCATCTTTGCCTCTAACTCCCTCCCTTCATCTTTCAAGGCACAGCGCAGGACTTAACTCATTGTGAAAGTACTAAGCCTTGATGTATCTTTAGGAAAAACACACGTATACACACACACGCATGCAAAGAGAGGAAGCATAGCTTAGTGGTTAACCTACATAGACTGCAACTTGCTTAAATAATCCAGTATTTATCTATGTTTTAATAAAATTGTTTTAATAAAAATATATGAAATTCATCTATCTTTTCTCTGGAATGCTTTTGCCTGTTCAAAGATTATACAATGCTCCCGTATGTTACAGAGGAAGCCGTCCCTTCATTTATAAAAGACAGTTAACACATAGCACAAAAACTCTAGAGTAGGATGGATCCGCAACTACTGTACTGGAAATATGCTAAATTAGGGTTCTGATTAGAGTTAATGGAATTAACTTGGGTGAGAGAAAATACTCACCATTAATCTAGGGGTAACAGAGGAGTTAAACTCCAATTCAGAAACAGAGCAGTTCAAAATCAGAATCTAGAGTCAGCCTACATGGGCTTGATCTGGGAATGTGCCCTTTATTAGACGTGTAACCTTGGGCTGCTGCTTGACTGAATAGGTCTTCGATTCCTCATGGAATGAATATAATAAGATCTGATGAATGCAATTAGACAGTGCCTGAAACAGTAGTCTTAAGTAGGTATTTTTGTTGTCCCACTTTTTGAGAAACAAAACCAAAGTCAATTCAATTAAAACTGCAGGTTTCTTGATTTCATCCTAATACTTTGCAAATTAATCACAGAACCCAAGTGAAATTGCCTAGACTCTCAAAGAGTTCGAAAAACATTTCTAATACACTCAAAATTTTCCTAGTTGACGTTCACAGATTATCAAGAGTAAAGCACCTTCATACAGTTTTGATCCTCACACTGTCTAAATCTGAGGAGCTGTCAGGAAAGACATGTAAGGAGAGATCTAAGCTAAAACTCAAACCACACATGAGGCTTTTCAACTGTGACCAACTTGTAGTTAAAATTCAGTTTATGCTTTTCTGTCCACCTAAGAGCAAATTAAACCTTTAAGAAAGCAAAGGATAAAATCATTGTTAGCTCAAGCATTAAAAAAGAAAATAACTGAATATATCTTCTTCAACTCTCCACCCCTAGGGATGAGAACTGCACCTGGCAAACAAGAGGACATTCAACACGTAGTAGCTGTTAAAATGAGTAACTCCCCAAAAGCACTATTAGAAGGCGATATAGTTATTATGACCAAGTTCTGCGGAAACATGGTGTTGAAAACCTTACTGAAGCTAACAATGTGCGTCACCTTCCAGGAGCCACACACACATCCTGAGGGCTTCCCAGATCAACCCCTCATCCCCGCGACAGAGCCACAATCCAGCACCACCTTCCCAGGACTCTCAGCTGAGGCCCCAGCCCCCGCAGGCCCAGGGACGACGCGGCGGGCAGGGCACATGCCTGCGTCGGGCCAGGTGGAAGCTCGGAACGACCACAGGCCCCCGGGGCGCGCCCCTCCCCGTCACGCGCCCCGTTTCCCACGTCCACGCATGCGGTTTCCCCAGGCCTGGAAAGCGTCTAGAGCCAAAGAGCCCAGGGGCTTGCCCGCGCAGAGGCCGACGTGGGGCCCAGGGACGCGCTCCCGGGGTCCTCCCCGCCGAGCCCGCAGCCAGCACCCGGAGCGATCCCCCGAGCCCGAGGGGCGTGGGAACCACGCGCGCAAGCCGGCTGCCCTTCCAGTCCCGGGACGCTTCCCCATCAGGCCAGTGCTAGGCGGGCGGTCGGGACCCGGGGATCGCAGCCTCCGGAGCGCTCACCTGGGTGGCGCAGGCCAAGGACGCCCATGGACAGCGCGACCTCCTCCCATTCCACACACGCGCCCACGACCAAAGTGCGCATGCTCGACACCTGGGACCAATAGGAATCTCGGTCCGAGGGTAGCTGGGGCCAATCACAGCGCGTCTGGCGTGTGGGCGGTGTCTCCTCGTGTTACGCGTGCGCGGAGGGGCTGCGCTACCCGGTCTTGGGTTTTTCATCGGGGAGTGGGAGTGGACTGAAGGCTTGGCCGCTCCGCCTCACTGAGCCGGCTCAGCCAGCGCAGCTGTTCCTGGAACGCCAGTCCCTTAGGATGGGAGGTACTTTCATCTCGAAGAGGGCCGTGGCGTCTGGAGCTTCCCTCCCTTCTGTCCTGCTGAGTCATCCCCGCGTCGCCTGCGAGGCCGCGAGGCGTTTAGGTCTGGGCAGGCCGCCTTTTCCCCATCACGAGATCCTGTTATTTTACTGTTTCATTCTTTTTCTCACTTTCCTATTTGTTAAGCCAAACTTTTTCCTTCCATAGACGTGACCCCTTAGAAGGCTACCCATGCCTCGACATATCTGACATTTGACGTTTTACTCAAATAATTTGCCAAAGTCTATTGCCTTTTTTAACTTCTATTTTCTAAAGCTAGTTTGATACTAATCAACACAGTTTTTTCAACAAGCATGTAAGTGTGCATATTCTAGACATGCGCGGCCTGAGTTTAACCCATCTGCTACTAATTTGTGTTGTCTCGGAATATTATCTAATCCCGTGCTTCAGTTCTCATATATAAACTGAAACTTTATAGATTCACTGGTGGCCTGTAAGCCTGGCCTGTAAGCCTTAAGTTGAAACATGGAGCATATCAGAACTGTGCCTGGCACGTGGTGAAATGTTCAAAAGTTAGTATTGTTATTAGGTGCTGGGCACTTTTCTAGGCTTTGGGATATAGAGATCAATGTCCCTGATGTCCTGGTGTTTATAATTTATTGTGGACACTTTGCTATTTTTTTGGATACAGATCTTTATTTTCATAAACATGGATAATTTTCATTGAGTGCAGTGTGATCTCAATTGATACTTTTGTAGTATTTCATCATTATGCTTATATTCTTTTTAAAATTTAGGTACTGTTGAGGGAAAGTGAGAATGACATGATTTTGATAACATGGTAGAACCTTTTTCATTCATCTGGTGTTGCCACACTGGGGCTCTGGGTGCTTTATGAATCATGTTCACAAGTCATACTTGTGTCTGTCCATGGTTCTTTTCACTACAGCCACCATAGTTCAGGGTGAGATTTTTCACACCGACTGTAAAGATTTATCTGTGGAAAATGGTAATGAGCTTGCCTGGTTGATGTCCTGTTGTTTTCCCAAGTACATACTTGGAAGAGAGTGAACAGAAGACTAAAACGTGGGTCAACAGATGTTTTGCAGTGAGCTAAAAAATAATTGACTTCACTAGAACAACTGCTTGATATTCTACAGCAGTTTTGCAGGTTTCTGAAGTGGAAGAAGCAGATAGTGATGGAATGCTGCTAAAAGAAATATAAGAGAATAATAACACCCTTGGTGCTTGTTAATTTCATTTTGAATTTTTTTTTTTTAAGTTGTCAGTTACATGTTTGGTGACTGCTTTGAAAGTTCTGATTCTGTTGCATGTGGATCCACAAGGTAGCTTAGGAAGCCTGATGGCAGAATACAAATTGTCTTAAAAGAGTTCATAGGTATTCACAATCTTTGTATTGAAGAAAGTATGATGAAACTCCCCAGGTCCAGTTAGGGCAGCACTGGGAATGCAAGGTGAGAAATTGGAAGAATTTACCACACACAAAAAAATGATGTGTCTGTATTAGTCCATTCTTGTATTGCTATAAAGAAATACCTGAGACTGGGTAGTTTATAAAGAAAAGAGGTTTAATTGGCTCACAGTTCTGCAGGCTGTACAAGCATGCTGCTGGCATCTGTTAGACTTCCAGGGGAAGCCTCAGGGAGCTTTTATTCATGGTGGAAGGCCAGCAGGAGGAAGAGAGAAAAGTGGTGGGGAGGTGCCACAATTTACAGCAACCAGATCTTGCAGGAACTTAGTATCAGGAAGTCAGCACCAAGCCTGAGGGATCTGCCTCCACGACCCAAACACCTCCCACCAGCCCCCGCCTCCAACACTGGGGATTAAAATTCAGCATGAGATTTGGTGGGGACATATATTCAAAACGTATCAGTGTCATTTTATGAAATATTCTGGGCTAAAACAGTGGATCTACAAGCAACTTTTAAAAAGAAGATAATTAACATCTCTCAGTTGACAGTTTCTAACTTGAATCCTAAATAGGCCAAGTGTGCAGCAAGCTTGTGGTTTTTGATCAGACACTACCTGTGAGCTCTCTTTTTCTTAGTTCTAATAAGGAAATAGATACTAAGTCTTAGAAATTTTTAAATACTTTGGGCACAATAACATTTTTTTAAACAAAGACCTAGAGCAACATGTTGCTGGACTTTCTGAGCAAAGAAAGTCAAGTGATATAGAAAACTGACTCCTGGGCCAGGGGTGGTGTCTCACGCCTGTAATCCCAGCACTTTGGCAGGCCGAGGTGGGCAGATCACGACATCAGGAGTTCAAGACTAGCCTGGCCAATGTGGTGAAACCCATCTCTACTAAAAATACAAAAATTAGCCGGGCATGGTGGCATGTGCCTGTAGTCCCAGCTACTTGGGAGGCTGAGGCAGCAGAATTGCTTGGACCCGGGAGGCGAAGGTTGCAGTGAGCAGAGATTGTGCCATTATATTCCAGCCTGAGCGATAGAGCAAGACTCCGTCTCAAAAAAAAAAAAAAAAAAAAAAAGAAAGAAAAAAGAAAACTGACTCTTTCAAAATCCATTTTGAATGTAATAGCAAAAAGTTGTTTTCCCCCTTGCAAATTACAGGCATATGTCAGAGATATTGGGGGTTCAGTTCCAGACCACCTCAATAAAGTGAATATCACAATAAAGCATGTCAGATGAAGTCCTAGACAGCATCTCATTCCACATAAGGCTATTTTGCCTACACTGAGAAGCTGTTGTTTAGTGTAGCCACCTTTATCAATGATCTTAGCTGGATCTTCTGGATAACTCGTGGCAGTGTCTACACTAGCACTTGGTGCTTCACATTGCACTTTTATGTATGGAGACAGCTTCTTTCCTTAAACCTCATCAGCCAATGTCTGCCAGCTTTAAACTTTTCTGCAGCTTCCTTATGTCTCTCAGTCATCATAGAAAAGAAGAAAATTAGGGCTTTGTCCTGGATTAGACATTGGCTTAAGGAAATGATATGTCTGGTTTGAATCTCTCCAGACCACTAAAACTTTCCGCAGATGAGCAGAAAGACTGTTTCACTTTCTTATTATCCCTATATTCCCTGAGGTAGCACTTTTAATTTTTTTTCAAGAACGTTTCCTTTGCATTCACAACTTCGCTACCCATTTGGCACAAAAGGCCTAGCTTTCAACCTATCCAGCTTTTGACATGCCTTCCTTGCGAAGCTTAATCATTTCAAGCTTTTGATTTAAAGTGAGAGACTTGCAAGTCTCCCTTTCACTTGAACACCTAGAGGCCACTGTAGGGTTATTAATTGGCCTAGTTTTAACATTGTGTCTCAGGGAACAGGGAGACTTAATGGGAGGGAGAGAGATGGGGAACAGCTGGTTGCTGGTGCAGTCAGAACACACATATTTACCAGTTCAGTTTAAAGTCTTCTATGGGTGTGGCTCTTGGTGCCCCCAAGCAATTATAATAGTAACATCAAAGATCACTCGCCACATATCATCATAACAGATATAATAACAAGAAAAAGTTTGAAATAGTGTGAGGATTACCAAAATGTGACACAGATACACAAACTGAACACATGCTGTTGGAAAAATGGCGCTGATAGACTTGCTCAATGCAAGGCTGCCACAACCCTTCTATATATATATATATATGTATATAAAATACAGTATCTGTGAAACTCAATAAAACAAAATGTACAATAAAACAAGTATGACTGAATAAACTTTTAGTACCTCAGGTTTTCAATTAATAAAATCACCTGGGAAAGTCAATTACTTGCCATGAAAACCTGCATTTTGTTTGGAAAACTAGAAAATACGTGATTCCCTCACTTTTATTCTTTTCATGCATAATATTGTTAAACTCTTAATTCATGTTCACTGATCAGATATAATCATCTGACTTATGCTAAACACATTTAGCTCTTATTTTCTTCATTAGTTTCAAGATGAGCTGGTTATAACTTAGACTAGAATAATTAGTGTTTGAAATTTTGATGTTTCAGAGTCCAGGAATCCTTATACCCAGCAATGTTTTGACTTTCTTTTCCATAATGGTCTAAAAAAAGTCATGTGGTAAAGCGTTTGAATTAGAAGAAAATAGTTAAAGAAACTTAACTATTTTATGGAAAGGGAAGCAGGCAGTTTCCAGAAGAGCAGGATCTTTACTTACCTAACTAAAGAGTTGCAATATAATTTTGGAGATAATATTGATAATAATAACCACAATAATATATGTTAGAATCTTTCATGAAAGAGCAAATGTCTAAATGTCACTTTGGACATTTTCTTAAGAGGGTTAGTTTATAATTTTATATCAAATCAAGTCTACCTAGATACTTCAGATGACTGGATCTCAGTTAAAGGAAATATATACTGAGGATAAATAAAGAAAAATAGATCATATTATTTTGGAGATAAATATTTATAATCATTGAATCATGCAGAAAATTATTTAAACTAGCAACAGAAAATTCTTATATATCAATGTGAAATTTTGGGGGAACATAAAAATACAAATCAGTAAAAAGGAACTTAACATAGATAAGCTTTTCTTAGAGGTGGCAAGGGAAATTGACAAGGGAAACTTCTGATTTTAAGTCACAGAAAGTATGCGAGTTTCATTTGATCCGATATAAATGCTTCATTGTCAGGTTGAGAGACAGGACAGGAATGGCAAGAAAGGCAGGAATGAGGGATCATGGATAGAAAAGGCTCTGAAGTTGGGAAAATTGAGTCTGGGTCGTTTCATCATCAGATAGTTCTGTCAAGAAGGAACAAGAAGAAGGAAAGAAATGGTATTATTTTCTCACTTAATGCCCATTCATGTCAGGCCACGTACCAGGTACTTTCATTACATGCCAACCATGTGACTTGGGACAAGTTAATTCCCAAGTCACAGTTTCCTTGGAGATGATACTAGTAGAATTGTGTGAGAATTAAGTTACTCAATACATGTAAAACACAAACATGGTAGCACATGTTATTGAATACATGTAAAACATAAACATAGTAGCACAAAGAAAGTATACTGTAACTATGATAACGATTATGTCTGATTTTGTCACACTATGCTGGTGCCTCACTTTATCTTTGGGGTCTGTTTATTCATCAGTAAAACTCAGGGAGAGGGGGGTTAGGTGAGTTGATCTCTAAGATTATTCATAAAATGTTCTGGTTCTTTTGTTTTAGAGAGCGGAGAAGGCAAAGAGGAACAGACTGGGAAAGAGACTGGATAGATTCTAATATGGTAAAGTACTCAGTTAATTAGTCTGTCTACTTGGAGGCTAGCTTTAAAGCATTTTTTGCTCACTTTAAAATCAGGTAGTTAGTTGATTTCCAATTCTTATCAGATCTGTGCTATTGAAAATGATGTTTTGGACCTTTAATCTAAGAGGTTTGTAGACATCGTTTTGATTGGAAGGTTCATGAACCTTCAGAAAGTGTAAAGTATGTACCATATACATGTATTTTTCTGGAGGCAAGCTCTACATTACATTGTTTTTAAAAGCATAGGTGACTCCCCTTCTAAATCTTAATAATTACTGACTTAATCCCTTCTACATATCCCATTCTATACCCCAGCATTTCTTTCATACCATTTACGGTGGGACAAAAATACTTTTATACCGTGACTATTGTCACAGTATACACAGCTCTTCCCCACACCTCTTTGTTACCCATTTTCCAGTCTGGTCCTTTGACATTTTGGATTATCTGCACAATCTATTAGCTTATGTACATAGATATATACCCCTGATAATTTCCTTCCAGGAAAAGGAACACTTGGGGGCATTTTTTGGAGTTCTACCCACAGAAAGTGTTTACCTTTGCCATAGTCCTTCACGGTTCCTGAAGAATGGGGCTGCTGAAGGGTTTTCTTGGATGGGGCAGTAATCTCGCAGTTCTCCACTTTAGGTGATGCCAGCATGTTACATAGAATTATCAGTAAACGAGACTCAGCATTTTCCTCCTCCATCAATATGTTACAGTATGCTTGCGTTGAGAGACAGCAGTTAATGCAGCAAGAGGAGGAGCCATGCAAATCTGAGCCTCTTACTTTTACCTTTAGGTCTTGCTTGAGACCAATCTCGTATATAAAACTACAACTTGTAATGGAGTGCTGCTATACACACGTTTCATTACTTGTTTTTTCAGACATTTCCCAGTTCTTGAAGGGCAGAAGAGGTTGAATGGTTACTTAGTGGCTCAGAGTCAGACATTCTATCTCTACTAAGGTCCAGTAGCACACCAGGAGCTATCAAAAGAGAACACTGTGTGTGCAAAAGATGACAAAGTTTTGCTCCAAAATCCTGAAGTTTTGCATTGTGCTTCTACAGCGACCTCTCGAAGGTTCTAAACAGCATTTGCATCTGCCACAAACATGTTGAATACTTTTGGATCTGCTAGGTCATGAGGCCCCAGTAGCAGATCAGTTTGTATGACAGCCCAGACCTATATGTAGAGCAGTATTTTCCTCTGGTCACCATTCAATACTGATAGCCTCTAAGATTTCCCATTAAAGAGGTAGCACACTACAGATCCAAAAAGGCCTTCGCCTTATATCTCAGTGTGCCCTCTGAACAGTGGACCTCTCACCAAGACATCTAAGAAGGTGGCAGTGCCTTACAGTTTTAGGTATTTATTCCTGTCCTTGGTATACATGTGTGTCTGTGGTCAGGGTGTCTGGGATATTTGCGACTTTGTGCTTACTAGGTCTGATCAGCACTGTAGAAGGCCAGCATCATGTCCCGTGGAATGCAGAGGTCACCAAGATTCTCATGGATATATTATTACATAGGACTGCAGAGTTGATATAGTCTGGAAGTTAGACAATTTTGCAGATTCTGCCAGCTGAAAGCAAACTGTTTCAGTACACTTCATTAAAAAATATAGCCATAAAAGCATTCACCAGATTTATAGCCACATACCTGGTAATGGATTGTGTTCATTTTTTTCAATGAAATGAACACACACACACAACTGAACAGCAGTTACCACTGGAGTCGCCATATGATTAAGTTTATATTCTATTGCCATTTTCCAAGATTCAAGTCTCCTGCACAGCCCCTGCGTCCTTTAAGTTCCTGATGGAGGCGCTAATCTCCACATCTCTTCCATGAGTGTGGTTATTGCTTTTATTACTTTGGTAGTAGAGACAGTTCAACTTCATATTTCTTCTGTAATAGTCCTCAGTCAACAAATCAAGAAACCCGTATAGAAATATTTCCAGGGCTGAGTATTTGGATTCCAACTTTGCATTTTGGAATTGGAGAAAAAATACCACAGAATAGATTTGGGGACCTTCTGGCCCCATGTGAGATAGAACTGTGCTAAAACTACATTAATCAATTCTGTAAACTCCTACTTTGACTAATGAACCATAACAACACTTTGGGTTCCTAAGAATAAGTATCTCTTTAGAGCCTATGAAGAGCATTTATTTCTCTTCCACAAAGCACACTGACCTGGTAAAGAGTTTCAGGTACTTTGGAAATGAATAAGAGGAAGATTTAAATTCTTAATTTCTGACAGTGTAGTATTGTTCCTTCCCTAAAGAGATCAGGCTTCCATTTCATTCAAAAGGCTCTTGGGCCTGTGAATAGGGCTATAAACTCTATTGCAGTGATTCAAGTGATACATCAATTTGTTTACTAGACGTAAAACCTCTCTGTTTGATTATACAAATAAACAATTTAAAAGGCTTCCATTGGCCAGGCACAGTGGCTAACGCCTGTAATCCCAGCACTTTGGGAGGCTGAGGCGGGTGGATCACGAGGTCAGGAGATCGAGACCATCCTGGCTAACAGGGTGAAATCCCGTCTCTACTAAAAATACAAAAAAATAGCCAGGCGTGGTGGTGGGCGCCTGTAGTCCAAGCTACTCAGGAGGCTGAGGCAGGAGAATGGCCTGAACCCGGGAGGCGGAGCTTGCAGTGAGCTGAGATCGCACCACTGCACTCCAGCCTGGGTGACAAAGCGAGACTCCGTCTCAAAAAAAAAAAAAAAAAAGCCTCCATTTTCCAAATCTTTCTCAGAGTCTTTCTGTGAACTGTAAACTTGATTTTTAGCCAACTGCAATGGCGTGTGCCTCTGGTCCCAGCTTGAGAGGCTGAGTCAGGAGGATTGCTTGAACCCAGGAGTTTGAGGCTGCAGTGAGCTACAAATATATACTGCCTTCCAGCCTGTGCAAAAGAGTGAGAACCCATCTCTAAAAAAATAAAAAATAAAAGTATTTGAGTTTCTCAAGGAACTGGGAAATATAGTTTATAACTTTAGCCAAGTTGATGCAGCACAATCCAGCAAAAGATAGGTGCATGGTTGATCACAGTTTAATATGATATGCACACTCACACTGAAATTCATGCAAAACTCGATGGTATTATACAAGAATTTAGGACTTAAAGAAAATCAGAAAATGACACCTGGAGTGATTTGTGGGCTGAATTTTAGAAGGAAAATAGGTGATGGGAGTGATGGAAGAGCATTTCCGGCAGTATTCCAGATAGGACATTGACAAATGATGAATAGTTTACCGTAACTGGAATATGCAATGCATTGCACGCAGAGTAGATACTTGAGCTGAGGCTAGATCTGACTTTTTCTGGCGCGGTTTGAAAAACAATCTCTAGCCCAGCAATTGTGCATGCATTTTATGAAGATAATTTAGGCTGGTAAAAATTTACCTACACTCATCAAAATAGGAGACACACATTAAGATTTTAATTGAACATTGATTCCATATTTTGCATTGATTAAATTCACAGGAGACATTGCAACAGTTTAATTAAGTTACTTTTTCCCAAACCATAATGTAAGTGGTCAAATAGTGTTTTAATTATTTGAACAACTTTCTTTTTCTTTTTTTCTGATTAGTTTTTTTTCGTGTTTTTCAGGAAGAATATTAAAACTAGATACGGATTTGTGTGTGTGTCTGTGTGAAGTGATCAGTTATTAACGTGTGAAATGCTTTCACTTCTGTCTGTATGAACCACAGAGCAGGCCTTCACCTTGAGGCCTAACAGGATTTAATGACACAGGATTGTGATGTGTTGTGTTATATGTCAGCATAGGTAGGACATAGTACCCAGTTTTGCCAGTTTTGGGTCAAACACTGGTCAAATTGTCGCTACGAAGACTGTTTTTTTTTTTAGATGATATTAACATTTCAATCAGTAGACCTTGAGTATAGCAGTTACCAACCATAATGTGAGTAGGCCTCATCCCACCAGTTGAAGGCATTAAGATAAATGACTCAGGTTCCCCAAGGAAGAGAGAATTTTGCCTCCAGACTGCCTTCAGGCTTGAGGCTGTAACATCAATTCTTTCTTGGGTCTTCAGACTGCCAGTTTAACCTGCAGATTTTATGCTTGTCAGCTTCCAAAATTGTGTAAGCCAATTCTTTAAAATAAAATTTCTCTCTATATATGCATGTCTGTTTCTCTGGAGATAACTGACTAGTACAAAAATAAACCAAACATTGTTTTAAAACATCAAGTTTAAAAGCATTTTTTGTGCACAAAGAAGTGCTGTTTACTTTTTTAAAAGAATTGTGAATTTGAATAAATCATTGATAACTTATAATCAAGACTGGATTATTTATAGTGTTGGGAACAATATTGGCATGCATAATTGAGTTTAAACATGGTCTCCAAATTCAATTTTTACCAACAGTTTTCAAACCATTTACCAACAAATCAATTGACTCTAAAATGGATAGATTTTTTCCCTATTTTATATTATTATAGGGCTACAAATAACTATTGAAATAGCAAAAATATTGAAATGAAAGGGAAGAAAATATCATCTCCAAGTTGATGATAAGCACTGTATAAGAAATCTAAGATTAAACAAAATAACCAGATGCATTGGTTTACATCTGTAATCTCAATGCTTTGGGAAGGTGAGGTGGGAGAATTGCTTGAGGCATGGAGTTCAAGACCACCCTGGGCAACATGATGAGACCCCATCTCTACATAAATCAATTTAAAAACAAACAAATAAAATTTAACATGGAATATACCTATTGGAAAAATAAGGCAGTATTGTTATCATAGCAAAAAATATAATTGTACAAATTTATGGTTGTTATGAGTTGAATTGTGTCCCCTAAAAATTCACATGATCAAGTCCTAAACCCCAGTACCTCAGAATTTAACTTTATTTGGAGATTATTTCTTTATAAAATGAGAAATTTGGAGACAAACCCCAATATAGGGAGAATGCCATGTAAAGATGAAAGCAGAGATAAGATTCTTCAAGAAAGCCAAGGAATACAAAACATTACCAACAAACCACCAGGAGCCAGGGAGAATCTTGGGCCAGATTCTACTTCAACTCTGAAGCTACCATAATCTTGGATTCCTAGCTATGACACAATAAATTTCTGTGATTCAAGCCACCCAGTTTGTGGTACTTTGTTGTAGCAGCCCTACCAAAGTAACTTAATAGTACGAATCAATTTTTCTTTAATAAACATAATGAAGAAATGTAATTGTTAATTTCCTGATTATTCAACTAATCTCAGAATTATTCTAGATTGAGTATCCCTTATTTGAAATGCTTAGGACCCAGAAGTGTCTAGGATTCTGGATATTTTTGGGGGTGGATATTGGAATATTTTCATAGGCATGCTGAGATATATTAGGGATAGGACCAAAGTCTACACATAAAATCTATTTATGTTTCATAGGTACGTTATATACCTAGCCTGAAGGTAATTTTATATATTTTAAATAATTTTGTGCATGAAATAAAATGTGTGCACACTGAACCATCAGAAAGCAATGGTGTCAACAATCTCAGCCATCCACATGGACAGTCTGTGGTTGTTTGTCATCCCCATCATTCCTGACTTTGAATTTACATGCTATCAATAAGCAATCATTTCTTTACACTTATTCACACATAAGTAATTAACAGTAAAAAATATGACATACCATTAGTACAGTGAAAAATTAATGTGTTCAGGATAAGTAAGCAGCACAGTAGCACCCCCAGAACACTTGTATCAGCTGTTAAACAACAACAGCAACAAGCAGCAGGCATTCAGTTTCCAGTTATGATGTGGCATTTTGTTTAAAATATTACTGTACACTGCATTTTACTTTATTTTTAGGTGAAAACATCAGAAGCAGTTCAGGGACTAGGAAGTGGGAACTCTAGAGATGACAGACATTCTGCTGGGTGGTTTTTAAAGTTTCTTCCAGAGTCATCTGCCTCATTAACAACAATTTTTGTGGAAGAAGTCTGTCTTTGATTTTATGAACTCACGTGACTCCTTGGTCTGTTACGAATGCACAATGCTCCAGTCCTTCAATAAGCCCATTACATACTTTCACCATGTCATCTATAGGTGCTTTTTCTCCAGTGTAAACATCATCTTCGTCATCACTCTTACAATGCTCACCTTGATTCAGAACCATTTTGACCATTCACATCAGTCAATGAATGAACAACTGAAGTGTCATCATGGACAGTAAAAACTTCTTCCATATCCTCTTCTTTCAGCCTACTGACAGACTCGGAAGGTGTATATTTCACATATGGCAGGAGGTCAGACTTTTTTTTCAACTTGACATACAGAATCCTTCAAAGTCACTACCTTGTTCTTCATCATCACTGAGCATACCTGCAGGCCAGATATTGCACCACGCATGCACAACTGTGTCTCTAGTTATTGTGTTCCAAGTGTTGGAACAGTATATATGGCATCTTTCACGCCAAACTCTTTTGAAAACTTTCCACACCCATGCCCCTGTTCCCTGCTGCTAGCCTGCTGTTCAAGAAAGTGTTTTTATATTTACTCTTCTTCTGTATATGGTGTGAAAGGAAAATAAATCTCAGGACCCCCAAATCACTAAGCCAAATGAAAAAGTCAAGGTGGGAATTGCATCAGACAATTTGCCTCACATTTTATTCCTAAAGAAGATAGCTACAAAGATAAAGAGAGAGAGAAAGAAAAAGAAAGAGAAAGAAAGAAAGAAAGGAAAGAAAGAAAGGCAAGCAAGCAAGCTACATACCTTCCTCACAATTTGCCCACTTGGAAATTCCTTGTGGGCTCAAGATCTTTACCCTAAAATGGTTCTGTTGAATTTTATCCTGACAGTGTAAATTGATAGCTTATCTAAACAGTTGCAGGACAAAGGACAAAACCGAAAGTCATCCCTCTGCTCACTTAAGACAAATGCACATCTGAATGCTTCACCTGATGTAAAAGTGTGATTCACTGAGCTACATGAAAGCATGAGTGACTATTATTCCTCTACCCACCACCCCCCCAACCCCCCCTCCCTGCCAACATGTAAATTGTGTATTCAGTGAAAGGCTGATCAAACACAAAAAAGAATGAAACAATTTGTCTCTTATCTACCCACAACTTTAAAAGATGTATTCCTTTTTCCCCAATATCCACCCTTTCCCTTTAAATATTGAAGCCCTCAAAATAATCTTTGGAGAAAGGCACAGACATGTTTGCTTGGTGTACATATTTAACCTTGGCAAAATAAACATTCTAAATTCATTGAGACCTGTCTCAGATACTTTTGTTTACAAAGGATACCCTGGTCACATGGTTGAATTAATGAAGTCACATTTGGGAGAAAGTACATGGCATAAATATTTTTCATGAGAATTTCAGCTGGAACGAGAGCAGTGCAGTTGTCAAGGAATAACAAAATATTGCAGTTGTCATCTAGTCCAGGTTCCCTGCAGTAAGCATGAGCCACTGGTACAAAATGTTTGTAAAACCAGTAAGAAAAGATGGCCCTGGTGATCCATGCCTTTTATTAGCATAATAATGGGCTGGTAAGAAAGTCACTCCTGAAAACAGCAAGGATACAAGTTTTGCCTATCGCAACAAGTTTACATGTATGCATGCCTGCGGCATACGCTCATCCCAGAATAGCTGTTCTGTCCTTGGCATCCATCATTCCTGTAGGGGCTCTCTCATCAGCTGTAGCCAGTGTCTTTCAGGGGCATTAAAACCAGAACAATGATATTTTGTCAGCATTATTGACTTGTTCTGGCATCAGATTTTTATCACTGATGACCTTGGCAAAGTCATCCATGAATTTCTCCACTGCTTTGTGATTAGCAGATGCTTTATCACCACAAATATTTAAAAATTTAATGCTGTATCTTTTCTTAAATTTCTGTAACCAGCCTATTGATCGCTTACATTTTCTTCAATTTTTGGTTCATCATGATAAATACTCACTTGTTTTGTGATCAATATACCATTGAATGTCATGTGTTTACTGCAATACTGATAGATCCACTCTTTCTATTCAATACACGATTAAGATCTTCATTTTTAGATTTATGCAGCATTTATCTATTTTTTTAAATTAACTTCGGTTGATTATTTTCAGCAGAGAACTTCCACGATTATTTTTCTGTTTCTTAGGGTCATATATAATGGTCATTCTAACACCAAACTCTTCCATAAGATGTGTCACATTTACACTGCTGCCCAGTTTCTTCAACAGCTTAACATTCTGTGCTACAGACAAATACAAATGCTTCCTCTTTTTCATATCACTGTTACCCATGGGATATTGGCAGGCCGTTTTGACATTTCTGACAATACCTTTATACCACAGATCGGAAAATAAGTAAAAATACCCAGAGGGATATGTGTGTAGATCTTGGCTCCATGTAGGATATCATGGGGAACTGCTGATGGTGCCTCTGTCCTGCACACTTGCCATTTAATTACCTTTGGTGGGCATACTTCAGTGGAGAGATATGGGCATTTTCAGAAAATATATATTGCAGCCGAAGGGGACTGGGAGTGTCTTTTTTTCCCTTTGGGATGCTGAATAAACTGTTTTGTGCATCTGCATTTTAACTCTTAACTCATCACCTGAGCTCACACGAGGTACCAAATCAAAATTATACATATTTAATCCTGAGAAATTATGTCTGGCAGGGTACCACATGGCTCTTTCATATAAAGAATACAAACTATATCTCCAGAATCATAGAAATAAAGACATTAAAAAATATAATATGTTTAAGCTTAAATGTTAATTTATCATAAATTGAAGATCTATTTTTCTTTCTATTCTTTAAACTCTGTTATGGTTTGGCTCTGTGTCCCTACTCAAATCTCATCTCCAATTGTAATCCCCATGTGTCAAGGGAGAGACTTGCAATCCCCACGTGTCGAGGGAGGGAGGTGATTGGATCATGGGGGCAGTTTCTTCCATGCTGTTCTCCGGATAGTGAGTGAGTTCTCATGAGATCTGATGGTTTTATAAGGGGCTCTCCTGGCTTCACGCATCTCTCTCTCTCCTGCCACCTTGTGAAGAAGGTGCCTGCTTCCCTTTTGCCATGATTGCATCCCATGGATGCAAAGTGATAGTGCAGTTTCAGGTACCACATTCATCAAAGCAAGAGGAAATCTTTCTTCTGTGAATTCACTTCTAGAACTCCCCAGCAGACCATTCTTCACATCTCCTTGGACATGGCATTACACACCTACCCTTACACAAGTTATCGTCAAAAGGGACAGGATCCTCTTAATTGAATTAAACCTAAATTTACCCCAGAGCTATATGAGGGAGAGTTAGATACCTGAAAAATTGAGGATTTACCTTGCCCCAAGAAAAGATGGAATAATATGTTTGGTATAGACAACTAATTATTATGGCTCCCAGGATCTACTATGGAAGTACTTGCTACCTACATGGGAATGTGTAGAACATTGTGAAGATAAGGGGATGGGGAAAGAAATGAAATCCTATACCCTCTCTAGTCCCTTTTATTATCAGCTGCCTTTTCTTGTCTTGTACTTCTAGAGACATTTGACACCTTCCAGGTTCCCAGAAGCCAACAAAATAACCCACCATCATCTATGGACTCGGCATGTTTTCACCTCTCAGTGCAGAGGAAGAAGCGTTGTTATCAGCCCATGGCCAATTTCTTTCTGTGTGCTCTCTTCTCAAGGAATGCGTTGCTTTGATTATCTCTTCTTGCTGCTGCAGCTACTTCTCTAATGGCTACTTCCTATTAATTAATTTAAAATCATGCTCAAATATTTTAATTTTTAAGCAATACAACTAACAAGCTAAAAACAATTCACCTGTTTTGTTGTTGTTGCTGTTCTTGTGAAGAAAGTTAAAAAAGGCATATTCTCTTTCTTAGTTTTCAACAAACTCTGAAACTAGGAAGAAGAGTCTAGCAGATGGAGATGAAGTAAATTTTGTTACTTATGGAGCTGCTTAAAGGAAAGGGGTTCAGGAAGTGCCATGAGAAGCAGTAAGAAGCTTTAAGTCTTTCTTGTTTCCTCATTTTTAGTGAAATATTGTCTCTTTTCTATAAAATCCTCAGGAAAGGAAATAAGCAATCCATCCTATCACCTGTCTCCTCTTCACATCCAAGTTTCTTGAGAATGATGAGTAATCTTAACTACTGCCTTTAACAACTTTTGAATATCCCAGTTGCTGCCCATACCTCTGCATTTAGTTTCTGATCCCCATCACTTAACTGAAACTATCCTCCCTATATGAACAAGGTCTAACTACAAAACTCAAGGAATTTTTTAAGTCATTATCTTAACTGGCTTCTTGGAAGGATTTGGCTTCGCCAACCATGCTTTTCGTCTGGAAGTATCTTCTCACTCAGAAAATGCCACTGCACCAGTCATAACTGGTTCAGGTCCTACATTTCTGCACTTGCTCAGTTTGGGGCTCGTTTCTTTTGCCAGAGCTATAAGCATGTTGGTTTCCTGAACATTCCATTCACATCTGCCTGGTCTCCCCTCCCACTCTTCTCACTTCAGAAGCTTTTTTTGTGTGTGCTTCTTATTCATGCCACAGCTTCCCCGCTCCACTGCCACATGTGTACCTCTGAACCTGCCTGTATTATTTCCAATCATTAATAAATTCTTCCACGGGAAAAGCATTATGGAATGGGTGTCTAGACTTTAAGTTGGACTAAAAGCCTCTAGGGGGCTGTCACTCACCATCATCACTGATATTTGTAAATTTGTGAGGAACAGAATTTCTTGTATTGGGCATTGTCCAGTGTTATGAGCCCAACCCCAAAATTCCCAGTACCAGCAACTTGTTAGGCACTTTACCTACTCAATCCTTCAATCTTCCTTCTGTCATTTATCTGTTCATCCAACCACCCATCCATCCAGCCAGCCATTCATCAATTCATCCATCCATCCATCCATCTATCCATCCACCCACCCACCCACCCATCCACCAAGTTCCATTTCAGCAACCATTCCTTTCACAATTCTTAGTGCCATAACTATAAAATCTTAAACTGTGGTTGTCTTACTACTTGACTGTGACCTTAATTTTTCCAGAGCTGCAGGTGCGACTTTTCAGACTTTCTTGGCCTTATCATTCTTATGTTCATCATATGACATTGTCTCCTCTTCCTAAAGGGAAATAGAGGCTCTCAAGTTGTTATAGGATTACCATATATCCTACTTTGCCTGAAAGAGTCTTATTTATATGTGATTATTAACACTACTACTGCTTTCGTTGGCCAAAATGTCCTGGTTTGAACAACAAAGCATGTTTACCTTAAGTGTAGACACATTCAAATCACTCTTCTTAACTGAAAGCATCCCTTTCCTAGAAGCATACAAACAACTGCATAACAAACAACCACAAGCCTCAGAGGCATTCATTAACAAAGATTTGTTTTGTTCATGGGTTTGTGGTGTTCATCGTGGTGGGTTGGCTGATCCTGGCTAGGTTTACTCATGAATCTGTGAACACTTCCAACTTGGCTGATCCATGGTGGTCTTGTTGGTATGATTGAGGTGACTCAACTTTCTCCCCTGCAGCTGGTTAGGGCGTGTCCCCTGGTAAGAGCAGCAGCATGAGAGAGCACGTAAAAACAAGCACTTTTCCAAGACTTATGTCAAGTCTGCTGTCATCCTGTTGGCCAAAGCAAATTCCACTGTCAAAGTCAGAGTAGTAGAGCTCTGCACAGTGATGTGTCAAAGGACATGAATATAGGGAGAGAGTAAGAATTGGAGCGTTTGTGCAGTCAGCCAGACGATGCCTGGAAATGCTTACTGTGTTCACATGCACCTCTCCTTTTGCCCGATAGCCTTACTGTGTTCACGTGCACCTCTCCTTTTGCCCCATAGCCTTAGAGAACGTGGTGTCCCTCCTTCAACTTGAGGGCTGTCTTTGAATCTCTTCTTGCTCCATAGAATCTCTTCTTGCTTCTCAAGGAAAATGCACTTGGTTGGTGGGAATGGTATTCTGATTTAATCCCTAAAAATATGGGATTGGAAGAATTACATAAAGAATACTCTGATGCAACAGTCTTAGAGAAGTTTTAGTGAGTAACGTAGGCACAAAGACTGTGTCTTCAGAAGATGTTTACAAGTTACTTTAGTCTGTGGGACATTCACTGATCTCAGGTCCTCTAGACTCCCTTGTTCCCCATGACAAATGCACTTGGTTGGCAGCGATGGTATTCTGCCCTGTCAAATTGCAGGAAGTCTTGGATAAGAGTTTACTAAGCTTCTTACAATCCACCCACATTGTCCTGAAAGTCCAGCATGAGTAACTATCTTTCAATGGGTGCAGAAACATCCCTCTTGGAAGCCAGGTTACTCAAATCTAACATTTGAGGTTCAGGTATAAAGCTTTACTACACCGTACATGCTACCTTGCTCCGTTGGCCATAGGTCATATAACAACGTACTCTTCATTACACATGCATAGTTGCACCTATCTATGCACTACAGACCAGTCTGCTATCCTCAAGGACTAGGAGAGCATGAGCAATGTCAGGCACATCCACTGCTCACTCTTGCTTTTTCAGTTTTGTTTTTTTCTTCCTCTTCATGGGCCCCTTTGCTCTAAAGTCAGTCTACTTTTTCATCTTTAGCTCTTGCAACTGCCTCACTTGTATACCACTCCATAAAGGAGCAATGTGTGGTCTCCTAAATGTATCATGGTCTCTCTTACCTCTGTTCCTTTACAAATGACATCAATTCTGACTTTAGTTTTTTTGTGCCTCTTGGGTAATTCCTGCTGCTCCTTTAATTCTCCATTGAATTTTCAGTTTTCCCCAGACTTCATTAGGTCTTTGTTACTCTTTTATCAGCATCCTAAATTATGGTACTTACCTCTACAGTGTTAGAACTCTTAGTCAATCCTCTGCTTAAAACCTATAGTACCTGCTAGGGTTTGGATGTGGTTTGCCCCACCAAACGCATGTTGGAATTTGATCCCCAATGTGGTAGTGTTGAGAGGTTGGCCCTAGGGAAGGTGTTTTTAGGTCATGGTGGGTGGATGCCTCATAAATATATTAATGCCCTCCCTCAGGAGTGAGTTTTACCTCTCACAGGAATGAGATCGTTCCAATGAAAGTGGGATGTTAAAAAGAGTCTAGCTTCCTTAATTTCTCTCTCTTTCTTCTTCTCTCGCCTTGTGGTCTTTTTGCATGCACCTGTTCCCCTTCCACTTTCCAACATGAGTTGAAGCAGGAGGAGACCAGAGAGGCGGCCCAGTCCTGGAGTTCCCAACCTCTAGAATCATGCACCAAATAAACTTCTTTTGTTTATAAATTACCCAGCCTCAGGTATTCTGCTGTAACAATACAAAATGGATTAAACCAGTTCCCTATTTCAAATTTGGTAAAACCTGAAACCTTTCCCCTGGGCTTCCCAATTTCTCTTTGATACTTTCCCCTTTTACTCTTCATTCTATTCACTAAGCTTTAGCCATACTGGCTTTCTGATTCTTTTTGTAAAATGCCAGACATTTGTATTTGTTTTTCCCTCCATGTGTAAAGCTTTTCCATTCAGTATCCAGTTGGTCAAATTCTTCAACTCCTTTAAGTTTTTGCTCACGTGTCGTTTTCTGAATGAGCACATATTCAGTATTGCCACTCCCCATCTAGCATTCCTGAACTCATATTTTTTTCCATAACACTTATCAATTTCTAACATACCCTATACTTTTCAAATTTTCATGATGATTGTAATTGTCTCCCATTACTATGAAGCAGGTTCCACAAAGCACTTATATTTCTATGGCTTTTATTCATCAATCTATCCTGAAAGCTGAGAACAGTGCTAAGCAATACTATTTTTTGAATAAATTAATTAATGACTGCTTTATGAACTCCTTAATGAGTAGAGTGACACCTTTTTCATTTGTGTGCCCAGCACTTTATTAAAAACCTAAATATAGTTCACACTCAATCAATAATTTTAGGATGAATATATGACAAATGGTCTTGATAAGCAGCAGAAATATGAAAAAACTTGTTAAATGAAGAGAAGGGAAAACTATATTACTGATGATCCAAAAGAAAACAACAGATTAATCTGCTTTAAATGAATTGAGGATGAGAACACTGACAATTTGACTTTCATAATTCTTTGTAAACCCTATTTTCAATTGTTTTTAATTAGTTATTTACTGAAGAAAGTGGGTTGTCCAGGTGTGTCACTGGAGAAAACAGGAACCCCAAATAATGTGTTTAGTAATAAATCTAAGTTTCAAAGTCAGATCCCTTCTCTGTGCCAAAATCTCTCTTAAAAACAAATGTATGTGCTTAGGGATGTACCTATACTGCTTTAATACCTTAAAATGTTAATCAGTTAATAACCCTTTTTTAAATGATTATACAAGAGAGTTTACTATAAAGAAGTAAATGTTTAATGATTAATGCCTAAAATAGAGATACCTAAAATAGAGATGCTGTAAAACTTGCCTTCAATAAAATGAAAATTGAGGAAACAGTAATCATATTTCCAAATTAGAATGTAAAGTTGAGCTCCTGAGTGAAGACTGAGCTGTATGCCTTCAAAAGAGGGAACTATACCCCTTCATCAATGGGAACTTTGAACAATTGTTTCACCAGTCTTTACTAGCTCAACATGGACATTAGTATTGTCTACCCCAAATGATCCTAATTTATTTTCTGTTTGTCAGTAAACTAGTATTAATCTGTCCCCAGTTTTCACAATGAACTTCACTGTTTTTTCTCTTCTTAGGGTCATAATCTCAACTGAAATAATCTAACATGACATCCACTTACTTATCATGTATCTAAAAGTATTCTTACTGCAATAAAATCATTTTATGAGCTATTTTTTAAATAAAGGAGACTCAAACATTGGCTTAAATTCTCCTGGCTTGAAAAGCTTTGAAGATGTGAAATAAACTCTCTTGTGGTTTAAAAAAAAAACAGTCATTAACTTTCTGGTGATTAAAGATAATTTGCCTGGAAGAAATAAAAATCCTCTCTCTGTGCTTAATTGAAGGAGAAATCATTTCTGCTTGACTTGAAGTGTTTTGTGGAGGTCAGCACCTCTCCCTGTGAGCAGGCACTGACTCTCACCAGCCAAATAACAGCCAGGCTGGGGTGACTTTGTTGGGCTCTGTCCCAGGACAGTGAGAGCCTGTTTGGCAGGGTCCACACAAGAGTTCCCTGGAAATGTGAAGCATCTGCCCTAGGTGCTCGCTGGTCTGATTACATTTACTAATGCAGATGATTCATAAATGGAAGTGGCAGTCACAGAACAAGTGAAATAAAGACAAATGGAGATTGGGAATAAGATATATTTGTGTAAGAGATCCTCAGACTTTAACACAAAGAGAAAGAAGGACTATAAAATAAAAACAAAGACCAAGAGTAGGCGCCTCATGTTTCATTAGTAACTTATTAAAAATATTTGGGTTAAATTTACATATTTAAAATTACCATGGATTAGTGGGCCCTTCTTGTTTGTCAGCTGTCCCCCTTCCCCCAGCAAAAATATCATGAAGGTAAAGAAGCAAACTTGTGTAGCCTCAAACCTAGGAAAATCTGTCACCTAAAAGATGCAATTCACATGAATGCTGCACAAATAAGGTATGCCTCATTATACATTATACAGAACTTCAATGTATTGCATAGAATTGTGTTATCATTGATCTATCAAATCAGGGAAATCATTAAGTGTTGCTTGTCTGAAGATTAATTCTAAGAGGAGTAAGTCCTGGTTTACACTTTTCACTGTCCTGGCATAAATATAGAATGCTGTTTCCCACTCAAAAGCATGCCAGTTTGAATTGTAAATTATATTGTCACCCTACTTATGAAATACTCTGGTCTAGGTGTTTCAGCAAATATGCTCCAAAAGACTGCAATATTTTTTTCCAGTAAATGTCATGTCACAATTAATCATTCAACACTGTACTTTAAGAAATTATTTCGAGGTGCTTCTGCCTTTTCTTTACCCTGGTCCAGGTCTATCCTTTAGTTTCTCTGAAGCAGTTTCTTCCCCAAATAGGTAGGCATCAAGACTTAAGCAATGAAATGGATTATTCTCTAGCTGAAGATTGAAGAGGACATTTGATAAACAAAATAATGCTATAGTTTAATATATTCCTTCTGTTAAATCTTATTTTTAATACAAATTTAAATCTTTGAACTATATTGCTTTGTGTAAAATATTTCCAGAATTCTTGAATTCAAGTTAATGCAGTCAAAATTGTTTTCTTTAACCTTTCCCTTATAAATATTTTCTATGCTCCTTTTAAAATTTTTATTTTTATTTCAATAGTTTTGGGGGTACAGGTAGTTTTGGTTTACAGGGTGATATGGTTTGGCTGTGTCCCCACCCAAATCTCATTTTGAACTGTAGCTCCCACAGTTCCCATGTGTCATAGGAGGGACCTGGTGGGAGGTAATTGAAACATGGGGGTGGGTCTTTACCATGCCATTCTCATGATAGTGAATAAGTCTCATAAGACATGATGGTTTTATAAGGGGGAGTTTCCCTGCACAAATTCTCTCTTGCTGCCACCGTGTAAGAGTGCCTTTCAAATTCTGCCATGATTGTGAGGCCTCCCCAGCCACATGGATCTGTGAGTCCATTAAACCTCTTTTTCTTTATAAATTTTCCAGTCTCAGATGTGTCTTTATCAGCAGTGTGAAAACAGGCTAACACACATAGATAAGTTCTTTAGTGGTGATTTCTGAGATTTTGGTGCACCCATCACGTGAGCATTTACACTGTACCCAATAGGTAATTTTCTATCCCTCACCCTCTTCTCAGCCTTCCTCCCTGAGTCCTCAAAGCCCATTATATCATTCATATGCCTTTGCATCCTCGTAGCTTAGCTCCCACTTATGTGTGAGAATATATGATATTTGGTTTTCCGTTCCTGAGTTACTTAGAATAATGGCCTCCAGCTCCATCTAAGTTGCTGCAAAAGACACTATTTCATTCCTTTTTATGACTGAGTAGTAATCCATGGTGTATATATACACATTTTCTTTATCCACGTGTTGTTTGATGGAGACTTAGATATGTTCCATATCTTTACAACTGCATATTTTCTACACTCTTAAGTGCTATTTATGATCTTTCAGGCTAACTTATTTTAAAAAATAAAAGCAACATTCATTTTTAATTTAAAAATATAATCAGTAAACATAGGCCATACTAAATAAAATAATTTTATGAATTACTCCTAAATGCATGTTGTAAGGAAACTTACATATACCAGCAGGCAACGAATAACAATAATTTCTTTTTCAATCTTTTTGTTGTTCATCATCTCAATGCCAAATGTTTCTGTAAAGTTTGGATTTTTTTCTGAATAATCTCAGTGACTATTTTACATTACCATTTTGGAAACAAAGTTGTAAAACAAAATTCTTAAATTAGGTATAATTTCTCTTTGTACATGAATTTTTATAAGAAACTGTGAAATTCACAAGTAAATATGCTATCCAAGCATGTGTGATGAAAGCTGTATCTCCATACATATGTCCAGGCACACACACATGAAATCATTCCACAGGCTGACATATGCTTATGCCTATTTTCAGCCTTGCTTAGTTAGCACATCTTCTGCTCATGTGTATCCATAAGAATAATGTACAAACGCACCCTCAGATCTCTCACTCACATTCATTGTTAATTAGAAAGTGGTCCCTGCCACTGTGGGAGGCTGAGGCGGGTGGATCACAAGATCAAGAGATTGAGACCATCCTGGCTAACATGGTGAAACCCTGTCTCCACTAAAAATACAAAAATTAGCTGGGTGTGGTGGCGGGTGCCTCTAGTCCCAGTTACTCAGGAGGCTGAGGCAGGAGAATCGCTTGAACCCGGGAGGTGGAGCTTGCAGTGAGCTGAGATCACACCACTGCCCTCCAGCCTGGTGACAGAATGAGACTCCATCTCAAAAAAATAAGAAATAAATAAATAAATAATAAGATAAAGCAATACCTACTTTATAACTTCTTTGATTAACTCAGAATTGACACAAATTAGATTTGTGGCAAATTGCACATTAGCAAGAAACAGATTTTTAAATATTTAAATAAAAGAAAACAACTTGGATTCTTTTTTATTCTTTCTGGGGAGATTGAAGCCTCTCTTCTACCCCCAAATCACACACACACTGTATCTGTAAAATGCAGGCCTATGGAGGTACTTTCTATCTGAAGGTTCCATGGTTCAGTGGTGAGTTTAAAGATTATTTCCTTTTCTTCCTGTCTTTCGAAAAGGATAAGGATGCTACTGGCTTAGTTTCAAAAGTCTCTTCTGTCTAACAAATGGAGCTCCCTGATTCAACTGAGGACTGCAGTCAGAGGCCAGGCATTGTCTTGGAAGGCCACACTGCAGGTGACCGATGTGCTCCTGAATGTCAGTTGCTTCTTGACTACAGTAGCCTGTATGTACTTAAACACGTTATTTCTTGCCTACTTCATAGGATAACATTTGTTTGACTATTTTTATTAAAATCATACTTAGTTAAAACACCCTAAAAATAAATTTGGGAGAAAGGCAAGCTCAGGGTGCTTTGGAGACAGCAGACAAGGCTTTTCTATGGAAGGGGAAGGATGTGGGGACAAATCTACATGAGAAATATGAACGGGGGGTGCCTTCATGGAGTGGAAAACAGACACGCCATAGACACACTAAGGTACTCATTGCACACTGAGGTCACGGTGGGCAGTACATCAAACACCATCTCTGGACCCAAATCACATGCTCTCCAACAGTGACCTTGTTTAATAAGCTCTTTAGTGATCGCCCCTTCCTCCTCCCTTGCTTGTTCTATGATGTTCCTGAGAGCTCTTAGAGCAGCAAGTTGAAGTTCCCTCTGGACATTTTTCTTCTCCTTCAGTGACTTCTAAAACTCTCCTCAGCCAATCCCTATAAATACTTGCTCACCATTCCACATGTCAGTGTGGGACTCCATCTCTAAGAGCTTGCCAACTTGGGATCCAAAGCCACTGGAGAGGAATCCTAATTCTGTTCTTGAGTATTGTTCAGATAATTCATGTGTTCTTGACTTACTTCGCTTTTCTGTGTACTTTGGATGCAGAGGCCCTGGGTCAGATGGTGCAAGTTCAGACTGTGGTGCTAGACACTGAAGTCCAGTTCATTATTTCTGTCTTTAGGTGAGTGTATGTGAGTGTATTATTCTCAATGTTACTGGCTCCTTTTATAGGGAAATAATGCGTTTTAATTGTTCTACTAATTATACGTCCATTGGTGCAACTCAGCTTCACCTACCAAAGCACATGTCCAACTCAATTGCCCCAACAAATGCCTAGTTGTCCCTGAAAATGTGTTCGAACAGGTATAGTTGTTGTCTACACATTTCCATTCATTTTGAACACTGAATATTGTTGCTATAATTATTCTTTTTTTTTTTTTTTTTTTTTTTTTTGAGACGGAGTCTCGCTCTGTCGCCCAGGCTGGAGTGCAGTGGCAGGATCTCGGCTCACTGCAAGCTCCGCCTCCCGGGTTCACGCCATTCTCCTGCCTCAGCCTCCCAAGTAGCTGGGACTACAGGCGCTCGCCACTACGCCCGGCTAATTTTTTGTATTTTTAGTAGAGACGGGGTTTCACCGTTTTAGCCGGGATGGTCTCGATCTCCTGACCTCGTGATCCGCCCGCCTCGGCCTCCCAAAGTGCTGGGATTACAGGCGTGAGCCACCGCGCCCGGCCTGTTGCTATAATTATTCTAATTGCCCTGTAAAATTCTGACACTTGCTTATTAAATGGGAGGTAGAAATACAGAAAATAGAATCAAATCCAGTTGTTAGACTTTTAAAAAATAAATTGAGGCCCAGCACGATGGCTCATGCCTGTAATCCCAGCACTTTGGGACGCCAAGGCGGGCAGATCACAGGGTCAGGAGATCGAGACCATCATGGTGAACATGGTGAAACCCCGACTCTATTAAAAATACAAAAATTAGCTGGGTGTGGTGGCACATGCCTGTAATCCCAGCTACTTGGGAGGCTGAGGCAGGAGAATCGCTTGAACCCAGGAGGTGGAGATTGCAGTGAGCCAAGATCATGCAACTGCACTCTAGCCTGGTGACAGAGCGAGAGTCTGTCTCAAGATAAATAAATAAATAAAAAATAAGTAAATTGAAGTGTTCCACTATGTAGGTAATGTCATAGACAGGTTCAATACATTATATCATCCATCAGAATGTTGTGCAAGTAACATTTGAGGTGGAGGGGAAAGTGTCTCCTGACATCTAGAAGTTGGCCTAACACTCACAGCTGGAACAGGCTATTCTCCTGTTGGACATAAACATTATCAGAATACGAACCTCAGACAAGGTTACTCTGAGACTATAGTAAGACAGAGTGAAACAAAGCAAAGCCACCTTATAATTCTGTTGAAGCAGAGACAAAAACAAGGTCACTGTGCCACCCGAGAATGGCATATACTCCCTGCTCTCTGCTAAATGAGTGACTGCTATTTTTTTTTTTTACCTCATCAACCTCCAGCTTTCTAACAACATCTAATCCAGAGCAAACTTCTTAGAACCTCCCCGAATTACTTACCCAAATCCAAATCCTATAATAGGTTCATTTTAACATTCCTCCTGAGACACCCACGATTCTCCCTGGTATGTGTTCACCTAACTTGCCTAACCACAGGTGTGTTCCTGGAGGTCTTGGCTTTGTTTACTTGTTAAAAAAAATAATTGAAAGTCTATGTAATTCTCAAGTTTCTCCTGAGTTTGCTCAATTAACAGCTTTGCAGAATTTTGTCAGCTGTATCTTCCTGCATTTAAGTTAATTATGAGGCAAGAAAGTTGCAAAGCAATGGCCTCTTCTCAACATCCTTTCCTTCCCTAAATGGTTTCCCTAGCAACCTAGAAAGAAGAGAGTAAGAGTTGGTCCTCAAAGCTAACAGAGTCATCAGGCACTGTAATCACTGTAATTGCTAAAGCAAATTTAGGTCACTAAAATCACTAAAGTGCATTTTATTTCAATTTTCTAGAATAAAACCTTTTCCAAGTTATCCTCAAAAGTGCTAAAATCATTTAAAAATATATTCAGATACCTGTTTGAAGGCAAAATGTTTTCACATCCTGCGTAAAACAAACATGAATAAAGATATATAATATTTTATCTTTTTTTCCTCCTTTGCCCTAAGTTTTCATACAGAAAAGCTCTTTCATTTGTCAAAGACCTTATGTCACCAGTAATGAAGAATTTCTGCTGGTTATAATATGGAAAGACGTGTATTTTTCTAAAATGTGTAGCAAATTGTGCTGATCATTTTTGATGTTAGCAATAGCCGGTTAATGTGAAACCTGATTAACACAGTCTGCTGATGTGTTTTATTCACACCAATATGCCATAATTCAGAAGCTGGATTCTGCCACGATATTCTGTGTAGGGTTACTGTTGGCTGAATTGTGTCTTCCCCATCCCCACCCACCGAATCTATATGTTGAAGCCTTAATTCACAATGTGACTAAATTGAAATAAAAAGCTAAAGTTAAACTGATGACAGCGGTGGGCTGTCTGGTGCACTGTTGCCATCATGCAGGCCACTGCTGGGAGGGCACGGGGAGGAGGCAGACAGCTCCCACTCCAGCAAGGCCGCTGCGATGGGGCCAGGCCAGGTTGTGCCACTGGGCGAGGGAGAAGCTCCGGCCACCCATGAGTGCTGGGGCCACAGGGGGAGCTCAGGGCAATGTTGCCCCTGCCCCAGGCCCAGCAAGGAAAAGGAGACACTGTCCCAGGCTGTGAGGGTGCACAGCCGAGTGTGGTGCTCCATGGAGCCAGGCAAGCCATGGACAAGCATGAACCCTGCCCCTTCCAAGTTGTCTGGATGGAAGCTCCCTAGTTGCAACAGCAGGCTGCTCAAGGCAAGGCTGCAACCCTGGCACCCCCGTGCTCTCAGGAGCCGGGAGTAGGCACACAGCCCTGCCCTCCTGGGTGGGACTGCAGCCGCCCAAGTCGTGGCTGCAGATCCTGGCCTCCCACTCCACGGAGCAGGCGGGAGCCTGGCCGCCATTCCCCCACCCCCATTTGCACAGCTGCAGCTGCCCAAACCGGGGCTGAAAACCCAGGAATCCCTGTACCCTTGCAGGCACACAGGTGCCTGCTCCTGCTGCCTGGCGTCTCCCCACTACCGGCACCAGCTCCCATCTCTAAGCGGAGTTGGGGCCAAGCCTGGGGGACTGTCAGAGCCCTGCTGGGTGTGCGCACGCTTGGGGCAGTCCTGACATGTTAGCGCCCTGCTGCTTTGCCCCCCTCTGGACTTTGGGAACGGAAGAGTGCAGGAAAGGAAGCTGAGTGGGGGCTGAGGGAGGCTGGGTGCTGGCCTGCAGGTGCCCCATGGTGCCAGCAGCCTGGATGCCATGGATGGCCCCGGGAGACAGGTTCCTGGGCAGAAGGGGGCAGGTGCCCAGTGAAGCCACATCTTCCAGCCGGCATAGTCCTGATGCCTGGGTCTGGCCTGCCAGTCCTGCAGAAGGGAGGGAAAACTCATGGTGCTTCTTCCTAGGCCTGCCCACAGCTTCCCATGGACCATTCAATATGTACTTCACCCGCTGAGGCCCATAAAAGCCCCGGGTTCAAGCAGAGCAGGGCAGAGGATGCAGAAACTATGGGTTATCAGCTCCAGAGAGGAGATACTGTCTCCACTGATAGCTGGAGACAAAGGGACGACCTGCTGGCAGTGCAGAGAGGACTCACCCTCTCCAGGGCCTCCTCTCTGCTGATAGCTGGACACTCCAGATGACCTGTCTACAAAGAGGGGCTTCCTACTGTGGGTCTCCTCTAAGCTGTTGTAACACTCAATAAAGCTCATCTTCGTCTTATTCACCCTCCACTTGTCTGCATATCTCATTCTTCCTGGACACAGGACAAGAACTCTCTCAGTGGCACCACTGGTCACAGAGGTTTCTGGCCAGAAAAGTGACACCCCAAAGATCCCATAACAAAAAGAGGTAATAAGGGTGGGGCCTTAATCCAATAGGGCTGATGTCTTTATATGAAGAAGAAGACACCAGACCTCACTCTCTCTGCATGTGAGAACACATAGAGGAGGAGTTTCACCAGGAGCCAAGCCCTGCTAGAACTTTGATATCAGACTTCCAGCCTCCAGAACTTTGAGAAAATGAATTTCTCTTGTTTAAGCCACCAGTCTATGGCATTTTGGTATGATTGCTTGAGCAGACTAATATAAGGGTGATCATTAAGCTGTTCACAGTGACCCCTTCCTCATTCACTATATTAAGAACAAGTGTTGTCTAAGTGGCTCATGCCTGTAATCCCAGCACTTTAGGAGGCCCAGGTGGGTGGAATACTTGAGGTCAGGAGTTCGAGACCAGCCTGACCAACATGGAGAAACACCATCTCTACTAAAAATCCAAAATTAGCCAGGCATTGTGGCACATGCCTGTAGTCCTAGCTACTGGGGAGGCTGAGGCAGGAGAATTGTTTGAACTCAGGAGGCAGAGGTTGTGGTGAGCTGAGATTGTGCCATTGCACTCCAGCTGGGCAATAAGAGTGAAACTTCGTCTCAAAAAAAAAAAAAAAAAAAAAAAAAAAAAGCGATTACCGTCTTAGAAAACTTTTTACCATTTAAGACAAAACAGAGTATTATAAAGATTTTCATTTTTACTGTTTTTTTCTCTACTTTATATTTCCCAGCCTTCTTAAGCTATGAATTATGTACAATAGAGTTCTCCCAATTTAATTGTGTACTTCATAAAGTTTCATCAATTGTATGTAAGTGTGTAACTACCACCCAATCAAGATATAGTACATATCCTTCAGCTAACATATTTCCAGTGTACCTTTGTAATCAATCCCCTACCTCTAATCATCAATACTGAAAAGGCAAGTATTAATCGCTTTCTGTCACCACAGACATTTTTTTCTAAAAAATGGTGGTGTAGGTCCACAAGTGGAAGTTATGGGGACAGAGAAGTGTAAGGTTATTTTATTTCTCAACTTTCATGAAGAAGTAAAAAGATGTTCCTACGGGAACATCTATACTTTTTAAATTTGTTTTTTGATAACTTCAAGAAAGCCCACAAAACAAATTTTAAGTTTCCCTTCTGGGATAACCAAGGAAGTTCCTAAAACTTCTCTTCCTCACAAGTTTACAAGAAATAAACAGAGCATTAAAAGAAAGACCATAAGATTTCCAGTGGGACAGGTAGCATATTCTTCTCTCTTTCCCTGCTCCTCCCTGTAAAGTACAACTGTAAACCCTGGAAATAATTCAGGACACAAGCAAAAGAGGACTCTGAAAAAAAAGAAGAAGAAAATGAGCTCGTTTGGAACCCCAGTGATATGGTTTGGCTATGTCCACACTCAAATCACATCTCAAATTCCCATGTGTTCTGAGAGGAACCCAGTGAGAGGTGATTGAATCCTGGGGGCAAGTCTTTGTCATGCTGTTCTCATGGTAGTGAATAAGTCTCATAAAGAGGAGTTCTCGGCCAGGCATGGTAGCTCATGCTAGTAATCCCAGCCCTTTGGGAGGCCGAGGTGGGTGGATTACCTGAGTTCAGGAGTTTGAAACCAGCCTGGCCAACATGGTGAAACCCTGTCTCTACTAAAAATACAAAAATTAGCCAGGCCTGGTGGCAGGCATCTGTAATCCCAGCTACTTGGGAGGCTGAGGCAGGAGAATCGCTTAAATCTGAGAGGCAGAGGTTGCAGTGAGCAGAGACCATATGATTGCACTCCAGCCTGGGCAACAAGAGCAAAACTCCTTCTTGAAAAAAAAACAAAAGAGGAGTTCCTCTGAACAAGTTCTCTGTTTGTTTGCCTGCTGCCATCCATGTAAGATGTGACTTGCTCCTGTTTGCCTTCCACCATGATTGTGAGGCCTCCCCAGTAATGTGGAACTGTAAGTCCAAAAAACCTCTTTCTTTGGTAAACTGCTCAGTCTTGGGTATGTCTTTATCAGCAGTGTGAAAATGGATGAATACACCCAGGAATACAGGAATCACCCTCAGACTGAAAAGGAGAACTTTTCTTTCAGTACTTGAAAAATGTTGCCCCAGTTCCTTCTGAATCTCATGGGTTCATGTACAAAATCCACTGCTATTCCAGTAAGAGTACCTCTGTAGATAAAGTGTTATTTCCCTCTGGCTGCTTTCAGTATTTTTTGACTTATTTTTCAGAAGCAAATTATGATGTGTCTTGATGTAGATTTTTTTGTGTGTTTGCTATAATTTGGATTTTCTTTACTTCTTGAATCTGTGGTGGTATGTCTTTTAACAGGTTTATGATGTTTTTCGGCATTATTTCATTAAATACCATTTTAGTTCCACTTTATTTCTCATCTTTTATGACAACAAATATGTTGGGTCTTTTGTTGTTGCCTCACAGGTCCCTGAGTCTCCGTTCCCTCATTTTTGTTTTTCCCAGTCTATCTTCTCTCTGTTGTTCAAATGGGGTGAATTCTATTCGTCTGTCCTCAAGTTCATTCTCTGTTACTTCCACTCCTTTATTGAGCTCATCCAGTGAGTTGCTTACTTTTTGTTTTTTTTTAATTTGTCATTGTATTTTTCAGTTCTATAATTTCCATTGACTTTTTTTTATAACTTCTTTTGCTTTAATGAGATTTTTCTATCTTTTCATTGGTTCCAGAGAATGTATAGTAAGTTGCTGAAGCATTTTTATGATGGCTGCTTTAAAATCACTGTCAAGTAATTCCAACATGTGACTCATCTTAGTGTTGGTATCAGTTAATTTTTTTTTTCCATTCAAGTTGCAATGTTATTGGTTCTCAGTATGATGGGTAAATTTGTGTTGTATCCTGGACATTTTGCCTGTCATGTTAGAAGACTCGTCTAGTGTAACTATCTTATTTTAGTAGGCAGCCACTGTGATCAGGTGTAGTATGCAGGACCTGTGATGTTTTTGAAGGCTGTGATTCCAATGACAGTTTACTTTTTATTTCAGCAGGTGTCGCTTTATCTGCTTGGTTTACGTAATGCCACCTGAGCCATCCTAGTCCCTGCTAGTGCTGCCTGATGGAGTAAAAGGGTCTCCCCAGACTAGATGCAGGCTGTCTCTCTGCAGGAGAGAGGAGTCTTAGGCCTGCAGGCACCAAGAGGATTCCCTGGATGGGTACTTGCTACAGCAAGATCCCTCCTGCCACTGGGGATGTAGAGGACTTCCTGAGCTGGGTGCTGTTACCCCTTGGCTGCACCAGTGTTTCGGGATGGGGGAGTGGAGTCTTAGTTCAGTAGAGTCGAATAGTCTTCCTGGGCCAGGTTGCTCACTGTCTGGGTTGGGTTTCCCTCTCTGGTTCCACCTGCACCTCAGTATTTCCCAACAGAGGAGGGGACTCTCACTTGCAGGAAAGAAGAGAGATTCCTCTGTCTACTTACTGTCGGTGAGGGTCCTTATCACCCCATTGCTAGTGATGTTGAGTTTGCCTGATGTTGTCAGTGAGGGAGGAATACTTAATATGGGGGGAGGAATGGACGTTCTGTTGCTGCGTTAGAGATCAGGGAGTACCAGACCTGGGTTGCCTTCTGCGGGGTGGAGGGTTGGATGACGTCCTGCCGCTGTGCTTTTCTCCAATCCTGATGCCCCAAACCGGATCCCCTTCTTGCCACCTTTCAGAAGTCTCCCTTGGTTGCTTCTTACATTATCCCCAGGGTTTAGAGTTTTATTTGGTGAAGAAAACAGAGAGAAATGGGTCTAAACCATCTTCTCAATATCAAAAGCCCTGATTTGCCTAAATGGATTTTCACAAATGTGCCGTGAGTTTTGACTTAGATGCCATGCCTTACGCAAAAATTCACTCGGAATGGATCCTATACATCGATAGAAAGCAATCGAAATTATAGAAACAACAAGCATAGGACAAAAATTAGGAATTCAGAGTTAAGCAAAAAAACTTACATTTCAGATTAAAAACATAATTCATAAAAGGAAAATTGATTATGTATCATAGAATTTTTAAAAATTGATATGTAAAAATATCCTGTTAAGCTAATGCCAAAGAAAGCTATATGCTGGGAGAAAATATTTATCAACCATGAATCCAACAAAGAAATAGCATAAAGAATGTATAAAGAAATCTCAACATGCAATACACACAAAAGCAAAAAAAAAAACTTACCAGCAAATGGACTAAAGACATGAAGAGCTATTTCACCAAAAAGGATATACCCATGTCAAATAAGCACATGAAAAGAAGTCTGAAATATTTTACCAGTAGAGAAATGCAAACTAAAGCCATAATGAGATTTCACTACACACCTGTTAGAATGGCTAAAATAAAAATACTTACAACAGCAAATGTTTACAAGGATTCAGAGAAACTGGATCACACATACATTACTGATGGGAATGTAAAATTCTATAGCCAAAAACAGTTTGGCAGATTCTTAAAAGACTAAACATGTAACTGACATACAACTCAGCAACTGCACACTTGGGCATTTATCCCAAGCATACTACTCGGCAATAAAAAGGCACAAACTGGGCTGGGCGCGGTGGCTCACGCCTGTAATCCCAGCACTTTGGGAGGCTGAGGCGGGTGGATCACGAGGTCAGGAGATCGAGACCGTCCTGGCTAACATGGTGAAACCTCGTCTCTACTAAAAATACAAAAAATTAGCCGGGCGTGGTGGCGGGCACCTGTAGTCCCAGCTACTCGGGAGGCTGAGGATGGAGAATGGCGTGAACCCGGAAGGCAGAGCTTGCAGTGAGCCGAGATAGCGCCGCTGTACTCCAGCCTGGGCGACAGAGCGAGACTCCGTCTCAGAAAAAACAAACGAAAAAAGGCACAAACTGTGGACACATTCAACAGCATCGATGCAACCACAGGGAATTATACTGTTAGGAAAGCCAATCCCAAAGATTTGGAATACTATATATGATTTTTATATAACATTCTTGAAATAACAAAATTATAGAAATGGAGAACAAATTTGTGTTGCCAGGAATTGGGGTGGGGAGAGAGCGGGAGATGGGCATGGCTATGCAAAGGCAACAGGAGAGATCCCCGTGGGGACTGAGCTGCTCTTCATCCGGACAGTATCAATGTCAGTATTCTGGTTGTAATACAAAACTCGTTTTGCCAGATTTTACACAGGGCAAAGGGTATATGGGACCTACCTGTATTGTTTATTACAACAACATGTGACTCTACAATGATCTAAAAACAAAAAGTTTAATTAAATAATCAAGGCCACATTGTCAATCTGATTACTGATAAAAGACAACCTGAAACATGCAACTCTAGGTTTGTTAGTCAAATGGTTCCTTATACTGAATACAGCATTAGACAGATTTATTTAAAATGTTATAATAGTACGGAAATTATTCATGCACAGTATTCATCCCAAGTACATCATTAATATATTAATATGATATGTATTATATACAACATTCATATATTTTATGAATTGTTGTAATTAATATGCTATATTATATAAATATAGCATATTAGATCATGTATTTATATGACACAATTAGTATATAACATAGAGCATTGTATATTAACATATATATCAGCATGGACCCAGGAATATTTATTTTATCCATTGAGTTATAATCCAATTCGTTTTTATTTATTTTGTGGCTCAAACTGTTCCGGCTTTGAACATTGAGAGCTCTGTTGATATGTTCTTACATCTTTTGGATATACTCCCATCTCCATCCTTCTTTTTTTTTCTTTTCTTTAAACACTTTCTGTAATTACAAGACTATCCAGTATAATCTTTTGTTTTCCCCGTTTTAATTGTAGAATAAGCCATTTCTCTAGGAAACATTTGTTTTTGTGTTGGAGAATGGTATTTTGAAACCAAGATCTGGGTGCTAGATGTGCTAAATTCTACGGGGTGTAGGTAGTTTAATTCCCTTTAAGTAGGCAGAGCTTGTGTGTGTGTGTGTGTGTGTGTGTGTGTGTGTATCATAGATATATATATACATATCTATGTTTATGAATAACAAGAGAGAGAGAGAGACAGTGAAACTGTGTTTATTCTGATACCCTTGACCTTAATCTAGCACTATAGAGTTCATTCCGTTTCTCCTCACTGATTACTCAAAATTTCTTTCTTTCTTTGAGAAATCCAGAAATCAAACTTTCACATGATGTACAATATATTTATTTGTTAAACCCTAGTATTCGTCAAAAGTATCTTCATAATTGCTAAAGTGTAACCCCGAGAGACACACATTTACCAACTACAGCACAGTGTCTGTGTACAGGCTTTTTTGACTTTAACCTTATAGTATCCACATAAAAAATGTTTTTCAAAGTTACTCAGGTGAACTCCTTTCCCACCTTAAGATTATATCATAAACTTGTAATGAGATACATTCATCTGTCACAGTCTGCATTCCATCCTGGATTTCTCCTAACACGCTGGTAAATTTTTCTTGATACAATAAAAGTCAAACTTTATGAAAGAAAGTTCGATGGCTCCTCAGAATTGAATACAATCTTGTATCCTTCACGACAGTCCCCTAGAGAACAGAACAGTCTCATCCCTGTGAAAATTTCCTTGTGTGCCCCAGCCCCTTACCTTACTCTTCCTCAAACCCTGGCGAACAGTAATCTGTTTTCCTCTCCCTATAGTTTTGATTCTTGCAGACCATAACGTAAAATGGATTATAATATGTTTCCTTTGGGACTGACTTCTTTCACTTTAGCAACATACATTTAAGATTCATACATGTTGTTCGTGAACGGTTTGATCTTTTTTTTTACGAGTAGTGTGCCATTTCTGTCACATAAGGTCATCTGAGTTATTTCCATTTTTAGGAAATTATGAATAAAGCTACTGTAAAAATTCACAAGTAAGATTTTGTGTGTATTCGAGTTTTCAATATACGTAAAAGAAAATGCCAAACTGTTTCAGAGTGGTTTCACACTATTGGATTTCCACCACCAATGAATGCAAGTTTCTGTTGATCCACATCATATCTGACAATTGCTAGTATTAATTTATATATATACAGCCACTCTAATTAAGGTATCTCATTGTGTTTTAAATGTGCACTTCCCTGATTACTAATGGTTGTGAATATTTTTTCATATGCTCATTTGTCGCCCACATATTATCTTGAATGAAGTGCTTCATCAGATATTTGCAACTACTTTTATTGAATGTTTATATAATTGTTATGTTTAACAGTTCTTTATATATTCTTGCTACAATCCTTTATCTGATTACGTGATTTGCAAATATTCTGTCCAAGTTTTTGGCATGCTTCTCTTTTCTCTTAGCAGAGGCTTTCACAGATAAATTTTTAGGTTTGATAAAGTCTTTTTTTTTAATTTCGTATATTGTTCTTTTAATGTTATATCTAAAAACTCATTTCCAAACTGTAGATCATGTGGATTTTGTCCTACATTTTCTTTTCAAAGTGTTATAATTTTACAATTACATTTAGGCTTATTATTCATTTTCAGTTAATTTTTAAGACATTAACTGGATTAAAAATGAGAAATGTATAAGAAATGCAATATGTGTTGAAGTCCATTTTTTTTTCACATGCTGGTTCTAGGACTATTTGTTTAAAAGACACATCATCATGGATTTAACATTGCAATTTGTCAATAAGTGACTGTATTAGTATGTATCTATTTCTGGATTCTCTATGCTATTGATCTATGTGTTTCTCTTTTGCATAATACACTACTGTCTTAATTACTTTAGATTTATAACAAGTTTTTAAATCAGGGATTGTACATTCTCTACGTATCTTTTCCTTTATCAGAATTATTTTGGATATTTTAGTTGTTTTGCCTTTCTATATAAATTTTACAATTATCTTTCTAAAAGCATTGCAGGTTTTTTCTTAAAGAGGACCATACTGAATCAATAGATTAACCTTATTGAATCCATAAACATGGTATATATTTCCAATCCATAAACATGGTATACATTTCTATTTAGATTTTCTTCCATTTCTATCATCTATCTTTTGTTGTCTTCAGAATGCAAAATTTGTACACCCTTTTGTTAGATGAATACATAAGTATTTTATTTCTGGTGCTATTTATAAATGGTAAGTATATTTTTCTTTTTTCTTTTTCTTTTTATTGAGACAGAGGCTCACTCTTTCACCAGGCTGGAGGGCAGTGGCATGATCTTGGCTCACTGCAACCTCTGCCTCCTGGGTTCAAGTGATTACCCTGCCTCAGCTTCCTGAGTATCTGGGACTACAGGCACGCATCACCACTCCCAGCTAATTTTTTGTATTTTAGTGGAGACAGGGTTTTACCATATTGGCCAGGATGGTCCCACTCTCCTGATCTCATGATCTGCCTGCCTCAGCCTCCCAAAGTGTTGGGATTACAGGTGTGAGCCACTGTGCCTGGCCTATTTTTTTTGTTGTTTCTATTACCAATTATTTATTGCTGGTATATAAGAATACAATTTGTATTTTTACATTAACTTTGAATCCCCCAACTTGGTAAATTCACTTATTAGTGCTAGGTGCTTTCCTATAGATTTTTTTGGGATATTCTACATAGGCAATCATGCTAAGAAAGACTGTTTATTACAGAATATTAGAGTTTATTACAGAATATTATAGACTGGGCAATTTATAAGAAATATAAATTCATTGGCTTACAGTTTGGGAGGCTGGGAAATCTAATATCAAGGCTTCAGCAAGTTTGGTGTCTGGTAAAGACCTGTTCTCCACTTCCAAAATGTTGTCTTGAACTTTGGATCCCTGGGAGAGGGGAAACACTTTTCCTTATGTGGCAGAAAGGCAGAACAGCTAAAAGGTAGCCCACTCCCCCAAATCCTTCATAAAATGGCATTAAACCACTAATGAGGGCAGGGACTTCACAACCTAAATATCTCTCAGTAGGTCCTACCTCCCAACACTGCCACAATGGCAACCAAATTTCAACATGAGCTTTGGAAAGGGACAAGCATTCAAACCACATTAGCTGTTAAATAGGAGTGTGACAGAAGACATATTTGTCTTGTCCTTGATCTTGAGAAGAAATCATTCAGTCTCTCATAATTGAGCCTAATGTTAGATGTAAGGTTTTATAGATTTCTTTTACTAGGGAAAGGATGTTCCTTCTAGTTCTAGTTTTCTTCTAGTTTTAAAATCATTAATAAAGATAGTAATTTGTGAATGTTTTTTTAAAAAATTATTGAGATGATTATATGGATTTTTCTACTTAGTTTGTTAAAATGTTGGATCACAACTATTGATTTCTTCACGTTGTGCCAGCCTTGGCTTCCTAGAATGAATCACACTTGGTGTTGATGTATCATCATTTTATATTGATGATATCAATTTGATAAGTTAAGAATTTTTGCATATTTATTCATGAGGAATATTCATTTGTATATTCTTTTTTAAAAAATACCTTTTTCTGGTTTTAGTATTTGAGTAAAACTGGTTCCATAAAATGAGTTTAAAAGAGTTTCCTCTTTTTCTGTTTTTCAAGGATATTGTATATAATGATATTGTTTCTTCCTTTAACATCTGGCAGAATTCAGCAATAAAGAAAATTTGTGCCTGGATTTTTCATTCTTTTCAATTTACTTAATATATAAGGTGCCTTGAGAATAAATATTTATTTTCAAATGAGGTTCAGTAGTTTATTTCTTTCAAGAACTTGCTCCATTTCATTTGAGTTGCTGAATTTATGAAAAAAGACCAGAGTTGTTTGTAGAAATCCTTTTTATCCTTTCATTGTCTCTGTATTCAACAATAATTTCCCGTTTTCATTCCTGATACTGATAATTTGTATTCGCTCTCCCCCTCTTGCTCCATTCTGGCTTGAATTTCATAAATTTTATCTTTTAAAGAACAATATTTTTACTTTATATGTATAGTATTATGATTACTAATTTAAATAACAGTAGATGGTAAGAATAAATGGTGAAAAATATATTGTTACATTTTGAGCAATTAAGAATAAGAAAAAAATTGTATTTTATGTTTATATATTCCATTTAAAAACTTTTTCTTTATTGTTTAGATCCAAATTTATTACCTATATCATGTGTTTTTTCCCGTGCTTTGGAGAAAGGAAATTTACCTGTTGCTATTTATTGCTAACTGACTTATCTATGTAAAAGGAATACATATACACACACACACACACACACACACACACACACACACCCCCCACAGTTTCTTTATCCACTCATTGATTGATGGGCATTTGGGCTGGTTTCATTTTTTTTTTTGGGGGGGGGTTAGAATCTTGCTCTTGCACTCAAGATGGCGTGCAATGGTGTGATCTCGGCTCACTGCAACCTCTGCCTCCTGGGTTCAAGCGATTCTCTCCCCTCAGCCTCCTGAGTAACTGGGATTACAGGTACCTGCTATCATCCTTGGCTAATTTTTGTATTTTTGTTGAGACCGGGTTTCACCATGTTGGCCAGGCTGGTCTTGAACTCCTGACCTTAGGTGATCCACACACCTCGGCCTCCCACAGTGCTGGGATTACAGGCATGAGCCACCGCGCCCAGCCTAGTTGAATATTTGTATGATTGCAAATTGTGCTGCTATAAACATACTCATGCAAGTATCTTTTTCATATAATGACTTCTTTTCCTCTGTGTAGATACCCAGTAGTGGGATTGCTAGATCAAATGATAGTTCTACTTTTAGTTCTTTATCTCTCTGCTAAAACTATTTTTCTCATCTTTCATATCCTCTATCTTTACCATTACAAATGTTAACATATTAATCATAGGAATTTTAATTTCCCTGCCTGTTAGTTCCAATATCTATGTTATCTCTGAATCTGATTCTGATCATTGCTTTATTTCTGTGGACTGTATTTTTTGTTGTTCCTTTTTTTTGTAAGGTAGACACACACATTCACACACAATTTGGATAAGCTGTACAGGATAGTGGATACTGAAATACCTTCCTTAGTGCTTGAACTTGAGCACCCTTTCCTTCTGTTAAATTATTAATTGGGTGATTTGTACTGATGTCATCAGGAGACAAACTGGATTTGAAGGGTTTTGTTGTGACTATTACCCTCAGGGCAGCCTAGGCTTCAAGTTACCCTACAAGATCTTTCTCTAGTTTCTGTGTTTAAAGTGTCAGTTCCTTTGCCAGTGAGGTTTTCTTCATGACTCCTGCTGGCCCTTCCGTGGGCTCATGAGTTTTCCCTTTACGCTGCTTGACAGAGATAATTTGTCTTCTGCAACTCTCATCGTTGTGTTCCTCTGTTATTTTTCCTGAAGCGTTATTGTGGGGTTGCAGTGGAGAAGGACTAGCTCTGACATTCTGATTAAACACTGTGGAACTGGTGCCTGGAGCATGGCCTTCACACGAGGGGCTCCTGCCCTTTCATCTGTTGTGCTGGGCCCCAGGGGTAGAAGGTATTTTTAATTACTATTATTTAAATTTTCCTTTCTGTTCCCCAGCTGTACTGGTTTCCATCAGTATCTCATGTCACAGCTTTGTGCCTCTTTCCCCTGGAGATTAGGCTGTGGTTGTTGATGTTTCCTACGGGAGATAGAAGGGGTGGGTCTGGATGAACTTTTAATAGTGGCTGCTTTTCTCCTCCTCCAGCTGCAGTGGGTTTGTACTGTGCTGTGCCTTAAGGAAACAGTTTTTGTTGTTGTTTCATCTACAGATTAAGGCTTGTTACCATATAATAAATGGGGGAAATAACTCTGGGAGAGTTTCTCCTGTTCTTGCTGTTCTGCTCCACTCCCCAGCACCATGAGGGATGCTCTCTTGGGACTCCCCCTGAGCCTCCTGTGAGCTCATGGTGGGGTTTCTGGAGAGGAAGCTTGCCAGCTTCAGGAGCTTCACAGTCCCATTCTAGCCCATGCTGAGCCTGTAGCAATTTAGGAACTTTGTAGCTGAATTTTCTGTACAGCGTATGTAGGATTTGATGGTGTCTGTCCAGGCAGGCAAATACTCCATTTCTATTTGGCTCTGCAGGCTCCTCTCTTTGTCTAAATTTCAGATTGCTTGTGCTTGTTTGCCCTGTGCCTTGAACTTTCTGATAGGTGCAGGAAGTCATCGATTTGCAATTTGTTCAGATTTTTTTTTCTTTCTGTGTTAAAGTAACCTTCTTATCAGCTTTTCCCATGTCCAAGCTGAAAACCGACATCTATAGTGAACTTTTAAATTATTGATGTTTTTATTGTAAAATTCCTCACAGTAAAACTGAGTGAATCAATAAACTTTTTCATTCCCTACCAGATCTAGGAAGTCCTTACTGGGTAATCTCCCCTTCTGTCTACATTTTTAGGCTCACAAGAAATCACCTTGTAAAATCAGTGTCACAAAGCACAGCCTCTGAGAGTTGATAAAATGGAAGTAAGACCACACAGTACAACGAATAATTCGTGCAGAAACGTGGCTCTGGTTTCATGTAAGAGGCTTGCTCATCTAAGCTTTCACACTTGGATAGAAGACAAGATTTTCAGATTACCATACTTTTTGTATATGGTAGGTATTGTATTAAATATTGATGAGAAAATTTATGTAATAGCACTATATATTATCCATGGGGACTAGCAGTCATGCACAAAGTACATAAAAGTATTAATGTATTAGTGCTGATGGTCAATACTTACATTGTAGTTAAAGTGCGTGCCACAGAGAATACAGAGACTAGTTTAATTGGAATCTCAGCTTTGGGTGTTGATGGTGAAGCTTCCAGGTCACAGATAGGTGAGAGACAAATGGTTGCATTCTTTTGAGTTTCTGATTAGAAGATCTGGGAAGAAGTCGGTCAGAGAGCCTTGGGCCAGAGTTTCAGGGGCTCTGAGAGTGGCTGCCGGGCTACGTAGACAGTCCAATTTCTGGTGGGGGTCCTGCACAGATGGGACATGGCTTAGGAGGAATCCTGGGCTGCAGGCATTCCTTGGCCCAGTGGCCAGATTTCCAGCACTTGAAGCAAGATCCTGGGGGAGGAGGTCCTGGAGGAACACCTGGCCACTGTGGTTTAGGCGTTTTGAAGTTCTTGTGTGCTGGAGATGTGGCTTGGGTTTCTTTCAAAGTGGAGGCACGTAATTGCAACTCAGAAATACGTTGCCACTTGGCTACCATTTCTCTGTTATTGTACACCTCGAAGGCAAGGTTAATTAATTCCCGTTGTGGGGTTTGAGGGCCGGAATCTAATTTTTGGAGCTTTTTGTAATGTTGGCAGTGGACTGGGTAATAAAATGCATATTGAGAATAAGACGGCCTTCTGGCCCTTCTGGGTCTAGGGCAGTAAAGTGTCTCAGGGTTGCTGCCAAAAGGGCCATGAACTGGGCTGGGTTTTTGTCTTTACCTTGGAAGTTTATTTAAGTTTGTCATAATTAACAGCTTTGTAAGCTGCCTTTTGAAGCCCTTCAACTAGGCAGGAAATCATATAATCTCTCTTAGCTGTACCTGGGGAGCCTGTCTGGTATTCCTATCGGGGATCTTCTCCGGGAAGTTCCCTGATGCCTTCCTGAAGGTCTGGCTCATGATGCCAGCAGGTGTGAGTGTGAGATTGGGCTAGGCTATAAACTCTATCCCGCTCATCTGGGGAAAGGTTAGAAGTTAGGATGATATTTAAGTCACTCTAAGTTAAATTGTAGGACTGGGTTAAATACTGGAAATCCTGTATATATTTAGTGGGGTCTGATGAGAAGGGGCCTAAGTGTTGATTAATTTGGGAAAGGTCTGATAGAGAAAATGGTACATGAACTCTGACAATGCTCTCAGCTCCAGCCACCTCTTGAAGAGGAAATTTTTGGGCAGGTTGGGGAGTATTTGCTGCAGAACAAAATTGTAAGCCGGACTGGTGTGGGGAGGGGAGGTGACAGAAGAGTTATAGGGTAGGAGAGCAGAGGCTGAGGAAGAATTGGGACTTGATTCAGCCTGCCGAGGAGTGGCCTGGGGAGGGGGAGAGAGGTCAGAGGGGTCTGCAGAAGAGGAGGATTCAGAGGACTCAGCATCACTTGGGGTTGGGACTGACGAGACAGGCGGGATGGAAAGAAGGAAGATTTGGGACGACTCGCCTTGGGAGCAGAGACTAAGGAGAGATCAATGTGTAAAAGAATGCCTAGATGTCAGGCACCTCAGATGATTTGCCCATTTTTTGACAAAAATTATCTAGATCTTGTAGGATGGAGAAATTGAAAGTGCCATTTCTGGCCATTTAGAACCATTATCAAGTTGGTATTGGGGCCAAGCAGTGTTGCAGAAGAAAATAAGATGCTTAGGTTTTAGATCAGGTGAGAGTTGAAGAGATTTCAAGTTTTTAAGAACACAGGCTAAGGGGGAAGAAGGAGGAATGGAAGGCAGAAGGTTGCCCATAGTAAAAAGGTAAGTTTAGAGAAAAGAGGGGTAGAGACGTGGTGGGGGGGTGTGACACTTGCCACCCAAAAGAGATAGTACTTGCCACCAAGGTGGAGGATCAAGGCAGGCGTCCCTGCAGTGATTAAACACCAAGGGAAGACTGCCTTCTCCAGTCTATGACCAGCACCGGAGTTTTGGGTTCAGGGATAAAACGCTTCTCCTCTGTCTCTACCAGAAAAGGAAAGGAACTGAAATTAAGGGAAGGGAGAGACTGAAGGGTAGCATTGAAATTGAAAGGAGAAAGAGGTTGAGGGATAGTGAGAGAGGTTGGAGAAGAGAGTAAAAAGAGGCCGCTTTCCTAATTTAAAATTGGTGAGGTGTTTCTTAGGCCGGTCTGAAGACCCAAGGTCATAGGTGGATTATCTCATGGAGCAAAGAGCAGGAGGACGGCGGATTGATCTCCCAAGGGAGGTCCCCTGATCCGAGTCCTGGCACCAAATGTCAAGCGAGTCCGTGTGAAGAGACCGTCAACAGGCTTTGTGTGAGCAACAAGGCTGTTTAGTTCACCTGGGTGCAAGTGGGCTGAGTCCGAAAAGAGAGTCAGCAAAGGCAGGTAGGGGTGGGGCCGTTTTAAAGGACTGGGGTAAGCAGTGAAAAGTTACAGTTAAAGGTAGTTATCTATCGTCAGCAGAGGAGGGAGTCACAAGGTGCATGGTGAGGAGATCATAAGACTCATTGTCCAGAAGAAGAATATCACAAAGTCGATTGATGGATCAGTTGGGGCAGGGCAGGAACGAGTCATAATGGAATGTCGTAAGGTTGGTCAATCAGTTAAGACAGGAGCTGGCTCTTTCAATTCTTTCATACTTTATGGTTGCCTCAGGCCATCTGGATGTATACGTGCAGGCTTGGGCTCAGAGGCCTGATACCATGATTTAAAATGTTATTATGAAATTTGATATAAGGCCAAGTATTTTTAATATACTATGATTTAAATTATTTCGTAAAACCTATTATAAAAACCAAGTATTTTTAACTATACTATGCTTAAAACTGTTTGATTTTATAACAGGTTAGAGGTACATATTGTGGGAGACCAGAATATATCTCCTCAAAATATGAGGGTTTGTTGAGCTGAAGACAATTAAGAAGAAAGATATAGCAAAGCTCTTTTCCCTTCCTCTGTTTGCCTAAAAGTAGAACATAAATTTGCAAAGACAAAAGCTATTCTGCCCCATCTCTACCAGAGAGAACAAACATTAACCACCAGAGACTTATCAGCTCAGAGAAGACACCAGAGGTATCTGCAAATAAAGCTCACCTTTTAGTTTATTCCTATATTCTCTTTGCACAGTTTCCCATGCTTAGAGGCCTAAAATTGCTTTCCTTTGTCCTGTTATTTCTCTACAAATTCACTGTTGTTTGCTGAAGGTGCTATATAAGCCTGAGTCCTAAGCCATTGCTTTCTGTTACCTTTAGTTGAAGTTTCTCATGCACGGCATGCCCAGCATACATTAATTAGCTTGTTTCTGTCTTTTTAATCTGTCTTTTGTTATAGGGGTCTGTCTCAATTACAAATTTATGAGGATTGACAAAATAAATTATATTTCCTTCTTGACATTCTTTTAAAGTAAATGGTGTTTGTGTAGCATGAGATGAAAACGTCCCACATGCTATAAAATGACATTTAAAAATCTGAAGAATTAGAGAATGTTGGAGTTGAATGGAGTTTACATACCTGGTTCAATACCTGACTTGATGTTGCAACCTTTCCGTGGCATCTCACAGGTTAGGTAAGGAGGCTTCATGAGGTACCATCCTGTACCCAGTTCTGGCTGATCACTAAGAGGATGGATCTTATGTTAAGTGCTCTTATCACAAAAAAAAGTAATGATAATAATGAATATGAAGGTGAGAGACAACTTTTGGTGGCAGTGGAGAGATTCAAGACATGGATCATGGTGATGGCTTTGTGAACACAGAAAATCTGAGACAGGTCTCAGTTAATTTAGAAAGTTTATTTTGCTAAGGTTGAGGATGCACCCCTGACACAGCCTCAGGGAGTCCTGGAGACATGTGCCCGAGGTCACAGCATGGTTTTATACACTTTAGTGAGACATAAGACATCAATAAATATATGTAAGAAGTACATTGGTTCAGTCTGGAAAGGCAAGACAACTTGAAGCAAAGACAGGAAGACTAAATGGAGAGGAAGCTTCCAGGTCACAGATGGATGACAGATAAATGGTTGCATTCTTTTGAGTTTCTGATTAGCCTTTCCAAAGGAGGCAATTAGTTGTGCATCTATCTCAGTGAGCAGAGGGATGACTTAGAATAGAATGGGAGGCAGCTTTGCCCTAAGCAGTTTCCAGGTTGAGTTTTCCTTAGTGATTTTGGGGGTCCAAGACATTTTGCTTTCACAGTTTTGTGGAAGTGTACTTACCTCCAGACTCATCAATTTGTACGTGTTAAATTCGTACAGCTTTTTTCAATGCCAATCATAGCTCAATGTGGTGTTTTTTCAAAATAATACAACCAAGTATTAGAATGCCATGTTATAAATTGTAGTTTCATATTGTTATGAACTAGAAAATTCATTTCTAACAAACCAATTTATAAGAAACTCTGATGAGAATCAGCCATTACTTGTACCAGGATTTTAAGTTAATGAAAATAAATTTTAAAAGGATTATGGTTTCCTGATTCAGTTCTCTGCTCCAGGAAAGCTTAACCTTTGTTTTCCCCCTATGCGTTTTCGGTTCTTCCTTGACAGAATACATTGATACACTGCCAACCTCTGCAATGTAGCTCTGAATTAGATTCTCAGCAGTGGTCAGGTTTTCTTTTCTTTATAGATGCCACTTTCTTATTCATGCTTTTGCTCTACTTAAATATCTTTCTCTCTTTATTTCTCTTTTTTCTCCTTCTTTTTCTTCTCATCTCTCTTTCCCTCATTCTTACCATGCAAAATTTGACATGATATTTCTCTGATTTCTAGCATGTTTATTCTCCAATTAGGTGTATTGTATATTCTAACATACAGTAATAAATGAAGGCAATACATCAAGTGTTATGGTCTGAATGTGCCCTCTCCAAAATTCAGGTGTTGCTAATGTGATGACATTAACAGGTGGGGCATTTAAGAGGCAGTTAGTCCATGGGGGCTCCTCCATCACGATTGGGACAAAGGCCCTCATAAAAGAGGCTTCAGACAGCCATTGGCTGGCTTGCCTTCCTGCCTATGTCATGTGAGGACATTGCATTTGTCCCCTCTGGAGGATGCAGCAACAGGGCACCATCTTGGAAGAAGAGAGTAGCCTTCACCAGGCACTGAATGGGCTGGCAACTTGATCTTGGACTTCTCAGCCTCCAGGACTATGAGAAATAAATTTCTGTTCTTTATAAATTACTCAGTCTAAGGTATTCTGTTAAAACAGTACAAATGGACTAAGAAGCCAGTATAGACTTTTTATAGCCCATGTGAATGATATTACAGTATTATATGCACTCTAGATGAAATGAGCATAATTTTATTTTCATGGCCTTATAGGCCCATTCCTTCAACAAGGAAAGTCATAAATTTGTATTATGTTCTAGCTGCATTTTTCAATTTGGGTACCCGATTTATCAAAAATATATAATAATATGCACTTAGACAAATAGCTCCCAAGTGACTTAAAATATGTTGAGGAGCCTCTATGCATATGCTGTTTAAATCAAAGTCAGCAAGAACATCCACTCTATGTTTTTTTTTTCACTTTTGATCATCTATCTTTATGATGGAGCTGAGAAAGTCTGTAAAGATAAGGTCAACTCTAAAATGGGAGAAATGGATGGGAACTTCAAGAAAAATGGAGAAGCACACATGTTTGCACACTTCAGTTACACATTGTGACTTATTCAGTTTCCAAGTCACCCTCCTCTAGGTGGGGTGGCCACAGTCAGCTCTGGGTGTCCAGGTACCTGGTTCCAGTAACATGGCCTGTCTGCCCTTGCAGTGCAGCACTGTGGACCAGAGCCTGGACATTAATCTGATGAAGAGGGACTTGCAGGATGTTCAGAAGTTCATTCTGATGCGTGAGGTGGTGCAGCCAGTGAATACAGTGCCCTCCTTCATGAAAGACAATAGTCACATTTCCCATCTGGCCATTGATATTGTGCAGAGCAGAGACATGCTTGTCCACACCGTCCGTTTGGCCACAAGTGGGAGTTCTGCCCTCATCCGAGGAGTCTTCTACCATCTTTTGATTTGGGGCTTTTGATTCTAAATGAGCAATTTCAGTTTCAAGCTTTTCATCTGCCACCTCTCCTTGCAACCAGCAAAACCCACAATACTCACTCATCTTTGTCATCTTCTATGCATCTTGTTTACAGTTTGAATTTTTATCTTTTCTCATACTTTGGTCATATTTTAATTGGAAAGACAATACTTTGTGCCCTCACCATTGCTTCTTAACTTTTCAAAATAGCCATTTCCCAGCAAAACCATTTAGTTTAAGTAATTTAAGATAATACAGCACTTTGATATTGTGCTTTAAAAAAAAATCCTGTAATCATATGGTAATTTCTGATTGGTTCAAAGACAATACTTTTTTGTATCATGGTCCATGGAATCAACTTATCCCTTAAGGACAAATAACAGAATGTCTTATGGAAAATCTAGGGGACAGGGCTCATCAAGTTATGACATTTAGACCTGTTCAATTTCCAGAGTAACTTAGAGTGTGGCAGGGGAGTTCCACCTCTTCTTTGTTAATTGCTCATATGCTGAGGATACTGAAGACTGGCTTCAGGGATGCCCTTTCAATTTTGCACACTTGTCCAGCCTTTTCCTGTGTTCAGTCCTCTCACATCGGCCTCCCTTGGCCTGGGATTGCGTCCACACCCTCCCTATTCCCACCAGTTCTTTCTGCAGCAAACAACCCATTCACTCTTCCATTTCAGTTTAACGGACACTTTCTCAGAAAACAAAAAAAAAATCATTTTTATCCTAATAATATGTTTCTTTGAAAAAACTCACTTTGTAGTTGTACATTTATTACTTGCTTTGTTCTATTCATAAAGTTGCTGCTATCTACTGAAACTTTACTATTTGTGTAGTTCATTGGAGGCACCGGGGAGTAAACTGGTGAGCACGCAGGCATCTCCTGGCCTCTTGGGGCTTACATTCTAGTGGGGACAGCAGAAAATAAACAGACCAGCCAGTGAGATGCCAGAAAATGATGGCGAACAGACACAGTGGAAGCAGACATGGCTGCAGGTGCCAGGCAGGCTCCTGTACTCTCTGATCAGCATCAGTCTCTGCCAGGAGGTGATGATTAAGCTGAGTGCAGACTGAGCAGGAGGAGTCAGCCCTGCATCCATGAGGGAAGTGGCCAAAACACTTCCCTCATGGGAATGTGGGACTAGCCAGCTGAAGGCCATGCCACTGAGCAGTCAAGTAAGAAGAGGACAGAGGTGAACACCGGTTGGGGCAGATGGAGGCCACAGCTGCCTCTCAGGGCCAGCCTGTGGGAGGAGGAGGAGGGGCATGGGCCAAAGTCAGGCGGACACAGCTGCTAGGAGCAGCTCCTCCAGAAGTGATTGAGGTAAGGGATGTGGAGGATGGATGCCACATCTGGAGGGCATGGGAGGTCAAGCAAGAAATTTTTGTTTGCTTTTTGTTTGTTTTAAGAGGAGAAAAGGAATTACCATTTCCTTGTCTATATTGCTCACTCCTGCAGGCAGGAATTCTATCTCTTTTCTGCCATTTTTATCCTTAAGGTCCCCCAGAATGCCTGGCATGGAGCAGGTTTGCAGAGTGAATAAACTAGAACTTTCCATAAGTGTTCCTAGTTTTTCATCACAAATGTTTAGGCTAATGCTACAGAGATTAGAGCCATATCCTTGTAATTCTAGGAGGCAGTGGAGGTTTTCATCAATACCTAAATAGGCTGGGGAGTGAGGAGAGATGGTGTTGGGGCGACGGGGCTGCCCCTGAGCAGGTCTGAGTGAGTCACTGCAGAACTTCAACTTAGCAAGATTTCTTACATCCATAGGCTTCTGACCCTTTCCATAACAGTGGCCACGAGAAGGTGAAGTGCGTGTCCATTATGTTTATAATGAGTTGGTTTTGGAGGTTTCTGATAATTTCTTACGAAATTGGAATTCATTAATTTTAGAAGAGTCGACTCATTCTATTCATGAAGAATGGAACACTTATTACTAAGAACAGAACACTTGTTTCAATACACGTATTTTCTCACACTTTCTCACACTATTGAAAATATTCCTGTACAGGTGGTACTATATGGGAAGATTTTTATTCCAAACAGTGTGTGTGAACAGAATGTAAATCTAGTCAAACAGAAGATCTTACATAAATTATACACTCCTACATAAAAGTAGAGTCAATATCAGTTGCTTTTTATATAATGCAACCATCTAGAAGTTTGGTTACAGAGTTTGTTTTGGATGGTCTCATGACTGGACTGCTGTCCTCCTGACCACTACAGTGAGAAGCTCCCGGCCCTTAGCAGCAGGAAGCATTCCAGGCTGTCTGATCATACCCAGGGTTGCAGTGGACTCATCCATAGGCTTGTTTGTGTGTTAATTTTAAATCCTTGGCTATTTACAAATTGAAATTATGTAGCACACAATGTCAAGATGTTACTAATTCAAATCATAGGCTGGGATTCAAATCAGTCCGGGATTATGGATGAAGATGCTCTACATAGAATGCTACTACAGTTTCCATTTCTCACTAGTCAGTTTGTTTGCTAACTCAAAGGGAGGGGGAGTTTGCAGTGGGAAGAGTTACCTTCCTGCAGGAAACAACCACGGAGATGCACAATCCTATAGGAAGCCCTGCCCCAAATCCTATGTGGTAACTCAGGGCAGACCCCCAAAAAGTTTTGTGGGAAGCTGGATTCTGAGATAGCATTTAAGTTTGTTTAGACCAGTTTGACAATTCTAACTTCATCACCTCTATAAACAAGTTTCATGTTTTCACTAATTTTTAGATTTTTCCATTTTAGCTATTATAGCCATCTTAATGAATTTTGAGGTGGATGTCATCTTTTGCAAGAATCAGTTTGGAATCTCAGGCTTGGAATTTAGAAAAGGAATCCAGGTTTAGAAATAAGTGTATTTTCTCACACTTTGATTTGACTTGAACAAAAATAAATTGGAGAAAATTTGCCAATGGCCATGGAAAAAGTTGGTTTATATTACTTTTCACTGTTATAAAAACAGTAAAGTGAATTAGACCCCTGTTGCTGGTGCAGCTAATGTGCATCTTGCTGCTCCTGTGACGTTTCCCCCCTGCCACCCGCCAGCTGGACAACAGCCTCCCCAGACACGTTCTGGGTCAGCTTTCTTGCTGCATCCATGTGTCTCTCTTGTTGGAAATCCAACCAGGGCCAAGTAAATCATCTGGGCCCTGATTGTGCAGATATTTTGGCAACTTCTTGGAAGGTCTTCATAGAGAAGAAGGCACAATGGCAAATGGTAACTCCTTTAGAATGTCAATGACTGGAGTTCTATAAGTTCTGGGTCTTCTATGCAAATGGTGGCTCTGTTCCTCTCTATAAAGATAACATTAAAGTTATATGTGCCATTTGTGTATTCTGAAAATCTTTTCCTTACTTGCCTTATAGAACCCTGAATCTTCTGCCCCTTCTCCTGGCTCTGTGATTATTCTTTTCCTGACTCCACTTCATCTGCCTTCCCCTCACATGTTGCTGTTTCTCTGGACTCTCCCCATGGAGAGTTAAGGGGAGCTTGTCAGGTCAGTGTAGAAGGGTAATGCCTGGAAACCAAAAAAGCCACCTCAGCTTTGTTGGTCGACCAGAGGTCAGTATGTGACAGTGAGTGCCATTGATCCTCGTTCACTGCGTGTTGCCATCTCGTCCATACTAACCATATGAATGTGATTAGGTGATCGTTCTGTGATAGATGGCTTCCAGTACAGGGACAGGCTTTTTTGTCTTTTTCTTTTTTAAAATCTTAATTGCATCCCATCAAAAAGGATATGAATTACGGTAGATTTTGCTTTGTGAAAAAGTGGTAATAACAAAACTGTTGTATTTTACTTTGATGTGTTAAGTTCTTCATCTTAAAATAAAACAGAGTAAGGCTCCTTAATTGTATCGTCGCACACTGTGGTTGAGGGCTCATTGCTCTAATATTACCTAGTCTGCAGTAAAGTTTAGCCTAAGATGTAGTTTTCTTGAACTCCAGACAGAGAGCTTAATTAATAAAGAAAAAAAGGGTCACAGTTATGCAGCGACTCTGAATACAGATTTCTGTGTCGTTATAGGATAATATATAAATTCAATAAATATTTAAAATAAAGTTGTGCTGCACTTGTAAGCTCTGGCTGTTCTCCACCCTTAAAGGTTTTGTGTTAACTGTTAAGAGGAAGTCACTACTGTGTTAATCAACAATGATTTGATGCAGAGGGCTGATTACGCCATATGGAAATAAGACAAAGCAATAAAAAACAAGACCATGAAGTGGGGGCGGGAGTGGCATCCATTCATGGCTTAAATAAAGTGCCTCAGTGGAATTGCATGTTGACCATGAGCATCAAAACCTGACTCCTAGAAATTCTTGGAAATAAGAACACAGTTCTTCCTTGTCATTTTATTAATCTCTCTTCTATTTAGAACTTTGTGGTGCTAAGATTAAATAGGTTTTAGGAGTACTCAAATCTAAGGAATTGGAGAAATCTGTGGAAAGAACTTAAGGAAATGCATATCTTCACTGTTCGATAAAGATGAAATTAGTGTTTTTTCACTGTAGCGTGCTCCATGATTTACTTCCCCCACCAACCTTCCCACCATGATTTTGGATGGCTTATTACTAAATCTGGAATGTTAAAAAGTGTCAAATAAAGTTGGATATATTAATAACTATACATCCATATTGTTTTTTTCACAGACCTTAAAAATATAGAGAGCCCCTTCTGTTTATAAATGTATGCAAATAGCTGACACAATTTGAATAGAATAAAACTTGAAAGATAAACACTTATTGGGATTCTGTGATATTAAATACAAAAGTAATGGTTTTTCACAGTTGAGATAATAAAAGAATAGAAGAGATTGAAGTACTAATTACAAGCCTCCCAACAAAGAGAAGCCCAGAACCAGATGGCTTTCTGGCTGAATATACAAAATATTCAAGGAAGAATTAATACCAATTCTTCTTGGAGTCTTCCAAAAAAACTGAAGTATAGGGAATACTTTCAAACTTATGCTATAAGGTTAGCATCACCCTGATACCAAAACCAGAAAAAGGCACCCCAAAAAGAAAGCTATAAGCCAATGTCTCTGATATAGACACAAAAATTCTTAATAAAATACTAGCAAATCAAATTCAACAACATATCAAAAAGATTATACACTAAGACAAAGTGAGATTTATCCCTGGGATACAAGGTTAACTAAACATTTGCAAATCCGCCAATGTGATACATTGCATTAGTAGAATAAAAGATAAAAACCACATGGTCACTTCAATAGATGCAGAAAAAGCATTTGATGAAGTTTAACATTATTTCATTAAAAAAACCCTCAACAAAATAGGTACAGAAGGAAATTTTTTCAATATGATAGAGGCCATTTATGAAAAACCTAGAGCTAACATAATTAATGGTGAAAAGCTGAAAGCTTTTTCTCGAAGATCCACTGCAAGGCAAGGGTGCCCCCTCTAACCACTTTTATTCAACATAGTACTGGAAATATTATCTAAGCTATAAGACAAGAAAAATAAATAAAAAGCAACCACATTTGAAGAGAAGCAGTAATTTTGTTTGCAGATGACATGATTCTACATGTAGAAAACCCTAAAGACCCAATAAAAAATATTAGAACTAATAAATGAATTCAGTAAGTTCCAGGATATAAAAATCAACACACAAAAATCATTTGTATTTTTTAAGGCATAGCAATCTCTCTGAAAAAGGAATAAAAAACAATAATTCAATTTAAAATAGCATCAAGAATAAAAAATATTTCACAATAAATTTAACCAAGGAGATGAAAGAGCTCTATACTGAAAACTGTAAAACATTGATGATGGAATTTGAAGAACATGCAAATAAATGAAAAGATATCCCATATTTATTACTGGAAAGAATCAATATTATTAAAATATACATACCATCTGAAGCAATCTACAGACTCAATGTAATATTTATCAAAAATTGAATGGCATTTTTACAGAAATAGAATAAAAGACAATTATAAAATTTATGGAACTACAAAGGACCCAAAATAGCCAGAGCAATCTTCAGATAGAAGAACAAAGTTGGAGGCATCATATTTCCTGATTTCAAATTATATTATAAACCTATAGTAAACAAAACAGTATAGTATGGACACATAGACCAGTAGAACAGAATAAAGAGCCCAGCAATACCCACAAGCATATAGAGTCAACTAAGTTTTGACAAGGGTACCAAGAAGACACAATCGGGCAAGAATAGTCTCTAATAAATTGTGTTGGGAAAACTGGATCACCGCATGGAGAAGAATAAGAATGCACTCTCATCTTACACCATGTACAAACATCAGCTCAAAGTGGATTAAAGACATAAGTGTACCCTTTACTATAATAAGTCTTAGGACACAAGCGTATGCTCAGTCCTGTGAGTTCTCTTAGCAGATCACTTAACCTAGGGGTTATCTAGGGAACCCCAGACACAGACACAGGAATAGAAGAACATTGTTGTGCTTTTCCTTCTTAAATTAAAAATATTAACTTACATATATCTGATCAATTATTTTGTAAATTCTCATATATAATTGTATTAAAAGATTAGTCAAATATATTATTTAAGACATCTGGAAAAGCACTAACCTATCTCTGAACACAGACTTGGACACTGAACTAAAATGGACTATGAGGTCCTTACTCATTAAGGAAGAAACTCATTGGCCAGTGTGGTCAGTATAGTTTGTATTTTGGAAAATATTCTTCTAATTGTGATTGTAGTTTGTATGTTAAAACTTCTCCAGGTTGCAGAGTTAGTTGATGGATATGACAAACAGGACAATTAAACGATAGCTGACATTTTAACTATACCAGAAGCTACATATGCAGTATCTCATGTAGTTTTTCAGCAACCTTCCAGGTTAGACACTACTATAATCTCCAGTTTACCAATGTGGACACTGAGGTCAGAAGAGAGTAAGTGACCTGCAAATGTCACTCAGCCGGTCAGTGGCAGAGACAAGTCTCATGGCCAGTGGACGGCACAGCTCCTCTTATGCTCATCCTGTGACAATTGCTCTGCAATGGGAGCCAGCCATGGCAGCCAGCGGAGATGCTGCTGAGGAAGACAAGCTTGCATTATCAATGCCTGTCATCAGAAGACAGAAGGGACGCTCTTCCCACTGCTCAGTGGCCGAGGGCTGCCTCTCCTATCTTGAGTGTTTATGCTGCGTATCTGCAATCAGGAGAAAGAAGCAGGGTGAGGTTACTTGAACTTTAGTTTGGAGAGGGAGGCAGAGACTAATTAGATAAATGTGTAAAATGCCAAGCTTCTGACACCTTTTCCTTTCCCTTGCCCTCTTCTCTCTCAAGCTCAGAAGTAGCTGATGAGGGGTAGTTTGGTGGGGGAAAGAATCATTCCTTATCATTTTCTTCAATCAGCTCCTGAATTGTCCTAATCATCTTCTCTGTTATTGTCCTAATAACACAACTGTGACATAAAAAAGAAAATTAATTTCCCTTTTATCAAACTACTCTGAAATTTCATTTTCTCCGAGTGCCATCTATTTGATTTTGGAAAGAGCCATCTTAACGTTGTTTTGATGATTTAGAGAACACCACAAAAGTGGTTCTGAGGATGGAAAAATTACTCATGAATGATGTGGACAACTTTCAAATGAGATGAGTAAATTTACCTGGCTCTTGCATGTTTTCTTGTTAGGCAATATTTCTCTCCACATTTAATTTGTTTTCAGATGTTGTGAGTACTTTAAAGGCTAATTTATTGACTCTGCATGTTGGGGACCCTGAAGAACATTTTCGGAGAAGGGAAACAGTATCACCACAGTTTTAGAAATAACATACATGCTAATCTGAGTCTCAGAGCTTTGCCAGTCAACCATGGCAGGATCTCATCAATGATTTCTTTCCTAGAAACCATTTGGCTTCTCCCAGAGTTTCTGCAACAAACACTGTAGGGTCCCATAGGGTTTTGATAGTGTAGCAGCACCTAGAAGCCCTCTGATCTGTTTAATCTGTGTCTAGGCATTTGGCCAAATGGCAGCTAACATATCAATGCACACACTTAGTGCTGCAAGTCAGCTGCTCTCCAGTTAAAACAAGAAAATGAAGGAAAAAAACCTAATGATTCATGTATTTTAAAAAACCTCTTGGCCGGGAACGGTGGCTCGTGCCTGTAATCCCAGCACTTTGGGAGGCCGAGTCAGGTGGATCACGAGGTCAGGAGATCGAGACCATCCTGGCTAACACGGTGAAACCCCCATCTCTACTAAAAATACAAAAAATTAGCCGGGCGTGGTGGAGGGGCACCTGTAGTACCAGCTTACTCGGGAGGCTGAGGCAAAAGAATGGTGTGAACCCTGGAGGCGGAGCTTGTAGAGAGCCAAGATCACGTCACTGCACTCCAGCCTGGGCAACAGAGTGAGACTCTGTCTCAAAAAACAAAAACAAAACAAAAACAAACAAACAAAACACCTCTTGCTGCTTCTAAAACTGGAGTCCATAGGTACATAAGTGTTCCTTCTCATAATCACTCAGCTTGTATACTGTGGCGATTTGCCCATGAAATGGCCTATGTAGGCACTGACCATTACTGTCGTCACAGCCTGTAGCTGGTATCCAAGCAGCAAGTGTTGCCAGATATTGAATTAAAAAATAAAAGACTAAGTGCTTTGAATCAGAGAAAGCCTGTTTTTATAGATCATCCCTTAGATGTTGAAAGGAATAGAGAATGAACAGTGGTTGGTAACTTCAAACAGAGGTATAACAGTGAGTCTGGGAGAAAATGTCGCATTATTATTACCATTAGCTCTAGATTGAGCACATGTATAAAAGGTTACAACCTTAATACACCAAATACTCCGTTCTTAGCATTAGTATTCTAAAAATTGCAAGGGCTACATTTCCTTTCCCTGCCTCTTATTAGCATCTTTGCCTTGGGGAGGATATATAATTTAGATAGTCAATGGCTTTAAATAGTGCTCAAAGTCATGAAACCAGGGAAGGAAAGTGGAGAAAGAAGGCAACCAAGGACTGAACCCATAGCAACACCAACATTTACGACTTTACTGAGAATGACAAGTCAGCAAAGGAAATCTAGTTAAACAATGAGTGAGGTCAAGGGGAATTTAAAACAATGTGTTGGCAAGGAAAACAGAGAGCAGCATTTCTGAAAAGATTCACTCAACACGCACTTTCACAAGAAATTGACTGAGCACCTATGATGTGCTTGGGATTCAGAAATGAACAAAATAAACAAAATCTCTGCCCTCATGGAGCTTATTTTAAACAGAGACAAATAACTCAAAATAAAGTTAATTGAAACATTAGATGTGGAAAAGTAAAGCAGAAATAAAGAATGGAGGGCAAGGACTTCAGTGTTAGAAACTCATGCAAGATGAAGAGAGTAAGGGTCCAGTAAATTTGAAAGTTGTGGGGAAAATACCCAGGGAAGGTATTTTTCATGGAAGATCTGGGGTGGAGACAGACTGGAGTGAGTTGAGGAGGGACTGAGCTCAGGAAATGTTAACCTGTCTGGGGAACCGCTTCCAGATGATGGACTCTGTGGGGGCGAGAATGGGGGAGAGACACAGCAGAACAGATGAGGATGCTAGGTGGGCAAGGATCTTTTACTGTGGACTTTAGCTTGTATTTTTTTTTTTGCACTTGCCACAGGGAAATGCACCTGTGAAATTTCTAGCCTCCCTCAACCCTCCTCACCATCCATCTTCACCTGCTCAAGATCATACTCCTCCCTGGGCCTTGGAGGAGCCCCTGTTTCTATCTAGCCCATCCCTGATCCTCTGAGATTCAGACCTAGAGCCTGGGCCAAGAGGCTGAGGGAAAGGGGAGGACTTGGCTGAGGGGCTGAGTTGGTCCCCCGAATAAAGTACCAAAGGAAATGGAGAGAAGGTGCAAGCTAGCGAAGAAGGGGGTGACAGCATCACATTGTTGATAGGGTGCAAGGGGACTGTCATTTGAGAAAAAACAACCACCAGAGAGGCGAGAGAAGCAATGACAGACAGAAGCATTTTCAAGGGCCATGACTGAGATCCATTGTGTTCAGTGGTTTTCAAGAGGTGTGAGGTAAAGATGAAATTCTATTTTTAAGAATTTTGACTTTGTCTGGGTGCAGTGGCTCACACCTGTAATCCCAGCACTTTGGAAGGCCGAGGCAGGCAGATTATGAGGTCAGAAGATCGAGACCTTTCTGCTTAACACGGTGAAACCCCGTCTCTACTAAAAATACAGAAAAAAAAAAAAAGATTTAGCCAGGAGTAGTGGCACGCACCTGTAGTCCCAGCTACTCAGGAGGCTGAAGCAGGAGAATCGCTTGAACCCAGGAGGCTGAGGTGGCAGTGAGCCAAGACTGTGCCACTGCACTCCAGCCTGGGTGACAGAGCAAGACTCTGTCTCAAAAAAAAAAAAGAACTTTGACTTCTTAAGAACTTTGACTTTTTAGAGTGTTACTATTTTCAGTACAGATTAGAGTCCATGACCTCTGAATCTGACTTTTTTAAAGTTTACAACTACAGATGGGCATCATTTCACTGTGAAGAAAGAATGAGGGAGCTAGAGAGAGGTGTCCCCAAGTAGGGGAGGCTCTGAGGGACACAGCAGGTAAGGTTGGCCTAACCTCAAGGAAGAGAAAGGAGAAGCCCTGATGTGGACAGGGACCCAGAACCCACACCTATCATCTTCACTTAGTCTTTTCATGAACACCAGGAAGGAAACATGCCAGGGACCTTCCCCATGTTCCCTGTCTTCCCTTCCAAAAATATTTTAAATATAGAACATGGCCTTTTTACAGTTACTTGCTACCAATCATTATTAATTCAGAAGTCAGTATGACTCCCACAGTGATTTTGTAATAAAAGTGTTCTATGTACTCTAGAAATGTTGGTATTAGACTGACAACTGGCTCAACAACTAACTCAACAAATGCTGAAATCCCATTCCTCACTTTATCTCTCTGTGTAGTTTCTTACAGCTCCTGATTCAAGCCATTTAACTCGAGTTCTCAAAGAGGCTAGACTGCTAAGTGAGGGGCAGGCTGTGTAGTGTGACGGGTACCCCACCAGGTTACTTAAGCGTGTGTGTCTGCTGCCTGAACCTGGAAGGCCAGGCGGTGAGCCAAGGCCATGGTGCCCAGCTGAGGAGCAGGTGTCTCTGAGAAACCAAATATTCTGGAGTATATTTGAAAACCTACCAAGAAACACAGTCTCATTGTTCAAACACAGTAGGCAAAGAGCCAGAAAATTCACTTAAAAGCAGTTCACAGACAGAAGGTGGCACAGATTTCTAGAGCTGTCCTGCCGCCCTCCAGGAGTGCCCTGTAAGTAAGTCCTAATAAACTCAGCTACTCACCAAGCTGTGCTGGTCCATGTCATTCTTTGGTCTCTCAGCTCCTTCCCAGTTTGGGGGGATGTCGCAGTCCTAAGTTTTTCTCATAGCAGGCTGTAGCATTTTCCTTGACTAAGATGAATGAGACTTGAGAGGATAATAGGATTTTGCAGACCCCAATGAGATCCTTTCAGACACTGAAAATTAAGTAATGGATTTATCTCACTACCAAAAATTCTCTTTCTCAACATTTATATGCAATTTGCAACTACCTCAGTGTCATCAACAAACAATGAATTGTGAAAATTCTCACATTAAAATGTTTTCTAGTATTGAAATGATTTACTGTCATGGGAATTTATAAATCTAAACTTAATTTAAAACTTGTTCTAAATGTTTTCATATATGTAAGGGGTTACGTATAAAAGAAAAGGGAAAAGGTAGGATGAACTTCATAAATTATATAAAATTTAGTTGATTTTGAGTTTAATAATGTAATACATTTTCAGTTAATAATTCCAGTGAGTACTAACAATGGAGCCAACTCTTAATTATTTGTTACAACTTTTCTGCCTTTAAACCATCTCATTGACAAATTTAAAATAAAATCTGGCTTTCTTCTGCCTCCTCTGAACTCCTAATTAACCTGAATTTAAAGAAAAAAATTAGTTTTCTATTTTTTTCAGGCAAAAAATTAAAAAACATGCTATTAAAAAACAACTTATGTATGTCATACTACTTCAATTGTGTTAAATAACTATGTTGTTTGATTAAATAAGAACAATTAACTCTTGAATTATATTATGCTTTGCATTTAAATATGATTTCTTGATAATTTTAGTAGCTGTATAAGCCTAGTTCCAAATCCACAATACCTATGAGGCTATACTCTATAAGTGTGTCATTAGCCTAATTCATTCTAAAGGGGATGTAATCAGCTTCTGTCATTATGGAGTAACCAACCATACTGTTTTCTTTTTGGGTTGGCTTTCTACCTCTTTGCCTGTCTTTATCTGAGATCTATAGACTGTCAACCTTTCTCTCTAGTGTTTCTCATGATCAATATTGATCGAAAGTTGCCCAGGTGCTAAAGCAGTGTGGTCTGTGGACAAAAAAAAGAAAGAAAGAAAGAAAGAAAAAAGAAAGAAAACTGGCTCGTCTTGTATATAAATCCTGCTCGTCTCATATAAATCCTTTAGGTTTAATGGAAGCTGCTGGAGTTTAAGCACAACTCTCATCAAACCTACCAACTTTTTGCTTATACAAAAAAACCATATATTATTGTCTCTGTTCTAGATAATGATGTTGTTTTCCAAAGAAATTTTAATGATGTTTACCCAAATATATTTCTAAAGCTCAAGTCTAAATCAAAGTTTTCACTTTTATGGGAGAACCGTGGGATCTTGCTCCTCACAGAACATTTATAAGGCAAGTCTAATGTAGGTACATGTTTGTTGAAATTAACAATTTTGAAGCAGACTTAAGAATCCCTAGCAGTTATTTTTTTCTAAGATCATTCACTTATGAAAAGATCTACTTATCTTCTAATTGGAAGATGAATCTGCCAGTGTTATTATAAAAGGATATTTTCAGTCAATCCATTGGTAATAAAGATTTCTAATTAAAAAAATTGTTCTCCATCCCCTTGCATTTCATTTACTGTGATGAGACACACTTTACAATTAATGTTTGTCCATTATTTCTTTCCATAGAAAATGCTGGATATGTCTTCAAAAGAGTTTTATCCAATTCTATTTTTGTCACTGAAAGAGGTGGTATGGTAAGATTCTACTGTAAAGTTGAATGTAATTGTATCTCCTAATACATATTATGAGGTTGGATGATAATTTTTAAAATAAAACTCAGGAGAGAAAATGCTACCATTGATTTATTAACCACTAGGTCTAGTTTCTTCTGACTGTATTTTGGTACCCACTAATCAGTCTCTCTTGATCTCCCGCTTCCCTCTACCATTCCTAGCCTCTGGTAACCACTAGTGCTTGGATTTAGGTGGTGAGCCTATGTCTCAATTTTTTTATGTAATGGTCATGCATTTACTCATAAAGTAAAATTAGAAACAAACTTTGGCCACTTCAGTATGAGATTTTCAGTCTTATCTCTTTTGCCTTCATATAAACTCAAATTTAACGTAGTTTCTGGCATCTGTATAAATATTAAAGCTAGAAATAAAATTGTAATTATTATAATTGAATGTATTCAGTAACCAAATAAATTCCATCTGCTGGAAGATTGGTTGTGACCTGTGTATAGTGCTTGTGTTAGTGTTAAAAATTAGAATTTTTATGACCCTTAGTAACCAGGGAGAAAGGTAGGCCCAGGGCTACCTGTCTTAAAGAGTCAATGACTGAGGACAGGCAGGGTGGGTGCCATGAACCACATGAAGAAACAGGAGATGAGCATGTGCTGGACAGGACCCTCTACACTTGGGAATGCTGTTGGAATTCATTGTGGTTACCATACCGAAGTGCAACAACTGCACAGCCCTTAGTCATCAATGAAGGTCAAGTCAAGGAACCTATTTCAGAAAGTACAAACTGAGTGAAAACACAAGGACATGTCTCTCAGAAAAGACTCTTCCAAATGTTCAGGCGAGGAATATCAGAAATAAAATTCAACCCACATGACAACCTAGAGCAATTTGGGAAGTCATCTACCACATTTTCCCACAGTTTCAACTTACTGATACAAATTAGAAGATTTTAAAGTCACTGGTTAAGTCATCTTGCTTTTCTTGCTCTTTGACTTTGTCCTTTGTAACCTGTATTTCTCATTCAATTTGGATGTAATAACTATAATCCAAAGGAAGTTTGGCAGTTTTGTAACTGTCTCTTAGAATTATAGCTCCTCATAATTTCTGAATATCTGTTTATATGATTTTAATATTGTAGTCTAATGACTCAACTTCAAAACATCACTCCTGCTATGTGACTTATTTCACTGTCACTGAAACAGTCAGTGAAGTCATTTCCCATTCAATAATTAAGCAAGATCCTTTCAAGAGCCTTTACCTGATCATCTGTTTAGTTTTGATCATATTCTTTTGATTGTGAGGAAGTGATACGTACTTTGGTTGCATAAAGTACTAGGCATAATGCAAAGAAACATGTTTCTGCTCCCACAGTTGATGTTCACTTGTCTCTGCTTCTTAGTTTCCTCTTCTAAAAGAGAATCTCATTGGCCCACCTCATCGCTGTCATTCTGGTTCTGCAGAGCTTTCCAGTGGAGGTCACGTGGAAAGCTGCTGGTCAGCTTGTGGCCATTCTTGGGTAAGGGTCAACGACTGACTGGGAGAATAGGAGCAAAGTTACACAGGACAAAATCAGGGACGTGGTTCTTCAACAGGAGCAGGGAAGATAACCTCAGAAGAGGGCCATGGGCCTGGCATTCAGTTTAGCAAGGTTTTAAATGGAAACACCTGAAGGTCTATTGGAGGCCCCTCCCCCACCTCAACCTGACACTTACACCCACTCCTGCAAAACTCTGAAGATAAGTTTTAATGTTAATGGTTTAAAAATAAAATATATCTCCTACTGCTGCAATCATTATGACTGTTTACATTTTAATGGGGAGGGGGATATTTTTCTCTGGTTGAGCTGCACAAGTAATTGCATTGATTATTTGCTTTATGTCTGGTTATTCAGACCTGCCTGAATTTATTTTCCATTTGCTCCAGTGCTCCATAAGTAAATGTCTACACTGAAAAAAAAAAGTAATGTAGTAGAGGGGAGCAAAGGAAAAATGCTACATATTTTATGGCATTCAATAGGTAATTCTCTCCATGAACCAAAAATGAATAAACAAACAATGTCCCAACTTGACAACATTAAAAATCTAAGGGCCATAGGCCAGGTGCAGTGGCTTATGCCTGTAATCCCAGTACGTTGGGAGGCCGAGGCAGACAGATCACTTGAGGTCAGCAGTTTGAGACTAGCCTGGCCAACATGGTGAAACCCTCAACTCTACTAAAAACATAGAAATTAGCCAGGCATAGTGGTGCACACTGTAATTCCAGCTATTCAGGAGGCTGAGGTGGGAGAATTGCTTTAACCTGGGAGGAAAAGGCTGCGGTGAGCCAAAATGGCACCACTGCACTCCAGCCTGGCCGACAGAGTGAGACTCTGTCTTAAAAAATAAATAAATAAGTAAAACATAAGAGTCATTGCCATGTCTCTTTGAAGCCCTTATGGATTTAACAAATTCCCTGTTAGGTGAATCCTTCGGAAGGAATCTTTCTAAAGTCACCTACAGGTGGCGAAGTGAATGCATCTCTCCCATAGAAGACATTGCATCTCTGACACTCAGTTATTTAGGACTACTAGGGGGAGTTTTATAATTTTTTCTCTTACATTTAGGTGGATGATCCATTTTGAGTTAATTATTGAATATGATGTGAGGCAATGATCCAACTTCATTCTGTTGCACGTGGATAATCAGTAGTCCCAGCATTATTTGTTAAAAAGAATTTTCTTTCCCCATTGAATTGTCTTGGAAACTTTGTCACAAATCAATTGATTATAAATGTGAGAGGGTTTATTTCTGGACTCTCAATTTTATCCATTACTCTATGTGTCTGTTCTTATGTCGATACCATGCTGTCTAGATTTCTATTGTTTTATACTTTTATATTGGGAAATATGAGTCCTTCAACTTTGTTTTTTTTTTCAGGATTGTTTGCTTATTCAAAGTCCTTTGCATTTCTATATGAATTTCAAGATCACTTTGTCAATTCAAAAATGCCAGCTGGAATTTTGACAGGGCTTGCATTTAATATGTAGGCCAATTTGGAGAGTATTTTCATCTTAACATTATTAAGTCTTCTGATCCATAAACATCGGGTGTTTTTACATTTAGTTAGATACTCTTTGTTTTCTTTCAAAAATATTTTCTAGTATAAGAATATAAGTTTTACACTTCTTTTTGAATTTGTTTCTGATAATTTTATTCTTTTTGATGTTATTATAAATGGAATTTACTTCTTAATTTCATTTTTAGATTGTTCATTACAAATGTCCAGAAGTACAATTGACTTTTATATGTTAAGCTTGCATCCAGTAACCATGCTAACCTCTTTTGTTAGTTCTAATAGATTTTTGCTGAATACCTTAAGGTTTTTTTATATACAAAATCCTGATATTTGCAAATAGAGATAGCTTTACTTCTTTCTTTATAATTTGGATACTTTTAATTTTGTCCTCTTGACTAACTGCACTGCTAAAACCTCCAGTACAATGCTGAATAGAAGTAATAAGTATGGACAGCCTTGTTTAGTTGCTGATCTTAGGGAGAAAGCCTCTAATCTTTCACCTTCAAGTCTGATATTAACATTTTAAAAAAATAGATGCTCTGAAATTGAGGAAGTTTCCCTCTATTCCTTGTTTGCTGAGTGCTTTTATCATGAAGGGATCTCAGATTTTGTCAAATAATTTTTATGTATCAGTTAATATGATCATGTTTCTCTTGTCTTTATTTCTATTGGTAAAGTGTATTGCATTAATGAATTTTGATATTAACCTCCCCTGTATTCCTAGGATGAATCCTACTTGATCATGGTATATGATTGCTTTTATATGTCGCTGTTTTGGGTTCACTAGTATTTTGGTAAAGATTTTTGTGTCTGTATTCAAAAGAGATATTTGTCTGTAGTTTTCTTTGGATGTCTTTGTCTGGTTTTGATATCAGCTTAAACTGCTTTTAAAATAAACTTTCACAGGGAAGATGAGAGTTAAGGGTTCCCTTAAATAATAAAACAAAGAGATTTGACAGGCATAGAAATAAAAGAGTGATGTGTTAACTGTTAATATTGTAGCTCCCACTTTGAATCCATTAGAGGAAATGGGCTATTTCCAAATCATCATGCATTACTTAGGACACTTCCATTCTCCTTTCCACCAGGATGGAAATTGGAAAAACAGCTTTATAAGGCTGCAGTGATTAACACCAGCCAAATCTAAAGATAAACATTTCCTGGGCATATGGAAAGCAATGTTTATCTCTTGACTGTGTTTCAGCATAGAAAGTCGTATGTTTTCTTAACGTCTTTCTTTTTCTCTTTTTTATATTTTCCTTCTCTCCCTACCTCCCTCCCTCCCTTCTTTCCTTCCTTCCTTCTTTTTCTTTCCTCCCTCCCTCCCTTCTTTCCTCCCTCCCTCCCTTTCTTGCTTCCTACTTCCCCCCCTTCTCCTTCCCTCCTTCCTTCTTTTCAAAAGCAGCAGCTGCATAATCCCACAATTAGAGACTAATCAGATTATTTTTATCTTGGTTTATAATATTTTCATTCCCTTTTTGAAACATGTAATTAGCCAAAATATACTTCTTGCAATTTCTTTTATGGTTTTTAAATGGAGTTATTCTTACTAAAGGATATTCCTAAGGATGTTGTTAGGTAACACCATAGCTGTCATGAACATCAATAATAAGTTGAAATAATGCTTAGGATGGGTAGAGCTAATGTCTCTTAGAGCAGCTGTATGATGAGAAGCAATGTTCTTATGATTCTCTCTGCCTTAGCCTTCAGATAAGAAAATGCCTTTTCAGAGATGCTGAGGGCATGATGCTTTGCTAATGAGACATTTATGAAGAATCAATGCAGTCTTTACTAACTTCCTGAGACAAGAATATCTGAAATTGTAATTATGAAGAAACTGATCCTTGGAGACCAAATAAAAGTCAATATGAACAACAAAAAAGTATTTTTTTTTCATTTTTCCATCTTGGCTGACGTTAGTAAGTGCTAAATCATTAAACAGTTGGAATGAATGGAAAGCAGATGCTTGTTCATCTATTTACCATCCATCATTATCATCCTCATTAGCATTATGTTAGCTAAACCCACGTATCAAAAATCTTGATGTTCAAGTATGTCCTGTGCACGTTCTGGATTTCTGAATCCAGCAAAACCCTAAAATATGTTTAACATTTGAGAACAATTTTGAGGTTAAACCAGTGTTGTCATTGTAGACCCAATTTCCTGCTTTTAATTCAAATACTCAGCCCCAGAAAAATATAATAAAAGTAACTAAATGTGCAACCCTTTCATACTTAAAATGAAGTCGAGAAAGTCGAAAGGAAAATTTGGATAAGAAAGAGGATGTCTTTCCTGAACTAGAAAGTATGTGTGAACATTCCTACACTGTCTTTTTTTTTTTTTAAGTTTAAAACCAAACACATTTCCATTTAATGACAGGAATTTAAGCAGAGACCCGAAGTGGAATCAGCTTCACACAGCAGTAAATACACAGTAGAGCAATGATTTTGGCTTCAGCTGTCTGGTTCAGTGGTCTGCTGGAATGTCATACACAGGTTAAGTCACACTGCAGATTATTTTCTAGCTGTGGCCACTGGCTGTCACTTCTAGCATAGTAGAACTGTGTTAGGAGGAATGGGAAAAGTGAGCTCCACTTCTCACCATGTTCCACCTCTGCCTGCCAGTTTCTCTTTGCTCCCATGTTGGATGCGGCAGAGATCACCCACCAACTGGCCCAGGACAGACAAATAGGAAGGGTCCAATCACGCTGTTCTCCAACTACAGCCAGACTCACTTCCACAACAGTCTCTGTGGCTTTAGCCTGGACTTCTTTACAGGAACCCAGCTCTGACACTGGCAGCTGCAGAGGGTAATAGGACCTCCTGCTAAATGAAGGAAGTTGGGTGAATGAGTGGGTGAGCTGCAGGGTTCACTTGTGAAGGAACCAGGAGTGATAAAACATTGAGCGTTGTCTACAATTAGCAGGTGGCACGTAAAGTTATAAAGGTTTGAGCCCAGTAGAAGTTGATTTTAATTGTCACAAATTAATGTAAAGGCTTTTATCGACAGCATTTTTCATGTATTTTTGCCAGGAATAAAACCTCCAGTGGTTAATTATTTGAATGCCTAAATATCTTTCTGGAATTTTAGGGGAAACATCTGACCCTTCATATTGTAAGTGTTCTCTAAGCTTAATTAGTGGAATTTAGAGTTTCATTTAAAGATTCAATATGAACATTTAATTAATTTCTAAAATCTGACTTTGTCCTCTGCAAAAGAACACTGGTTCAAAGTGAAAAATAGTTTCAACCGTAGAGACCTTCACTTGTCCTTGGTAAATTGGGTCTTTAAAAGGCAATTTTCATAATGAGCTGCTGCTTTTTGAGTTAAACTATAATTTTTTCCTCAATTAGAAATTGTATTAATTACATAGTGTTGGCATTTTTCAGTATCTCTGGGCAGCATTCATTTCTCTCTGCATGACTTGGATACAAGCCAGTTGTCTTGGGATTTGTTGTGTTGCTGACCTGCAGTGGTTCACCTGGAAGCTTGTCTTTGGGACCTTCTAACTCTCAGAGTTGGGGCCCCTTCACCCACACCTCTAGTTCCTCCAATTCTGGGGCCCTCCTGGCCTTCACCTCTCACCCAATTTGAGTGACCTGGCCTTTGACATCTTCTCTTGTGATCAGTCCTTTGCTCTGGTGCCTGAGCTTTGTCCTGTGTCCTAAGACACATCCCCATCTAAGGAATCAGAGCCCCTCCTGTGCCCTGTGGTTAGTGCCCACTCCTTCCCGCCTCATCTTCAGGCACAGACCTCTGTTTCCCCTGGTCCTCTGCCTCCTGCTTTCTGCCTGGATCCATGGCCACAGTCTATGTGGTTGGCTAAAGGATGTATAACCAGGGTTGAGACTGGGCTGCCTCTCAGCCACCTACATCCCAGTTAGGGAAAGCAGTGGATTTGGTTAAGGCTCTGTATTAGTCTGTTCTCACACTGCTAATGAAGACATAGCTGAGACTGGGTAATTTATAAAGGAAAGAGGTTTAATTGAGTCACAGTTCCACATTGCTGGGGAGGCCTCACAATCATGTTGGAAGGTGAATGAGGAGCAAAGTCATGTCTCACATGGTGGCAGGCAAGAGAACTTGTGCAGGGGGACTCCCATTTATAAAACCATCAGATCTCATGAGACTTACTCACTATCATAAGAATAGCTTGGGAAAGACCCACCCCCATGATTCAACTGGGTCCCACCCACAACACATCAGAATTATGGGAGCTACAATTTAAGATGAGATTTGGCTGTGGACACAGCCAGACCATATTAGACTCATAATTTGCCTTCTGCACAGTAAGAACTGGGCTGGGATACCTCATAGATCATAAACAAATCCGCACCCATGAAAAGATTTAGAGAGTCACACAGGAAAGTCAACAGAAGCCAGAGAGATGAGGGTCCTGGACTGCATGTCATTAGTGTGGATCCTTCAGCTTCACATCTCAGCAGTGGGTCAGAACTTAAACCTATTGTTTCTCTGCATGAATGTTTAAGAGCATATGTCATGCCTGACCCTCAGATGTCAGCTAAGGCTTTCTTGCTTCCCAGATATTGGGCTCCTTATTTCTTTTATGCCTAGGATGTCCACAGTCCTCCCCATTATTTCTCTTATCAATCCCTAGGGTTAGACTCACCAAGTCCTGTCTACGCGAGGCGGGATGTGCTTCTTTCACTGTTGAACAAATGCAGTCTCAGTCCTCTCACTTGTTCCTGTTTTCAAAGAAACAAACAAAAACAAACAAGTTACATCAAGCATCACATGAGTTTCGAAGCTCCTACTGAAGGTTCAATGGTGGCAGGGAAGGGTTTATAGAGCAGTAAGCAGTTTTCTGCCATCTCCCTGGCTTCCATTCTCTACCACTCACTCTTTTCTTCACTCTTTCTGTTCCTTTTACCAGGAAGGCACCAAAACTACTCCCTGGTCTTATACAGAGGCTCCTGTCTTGTCTGACCCCCAATCCAATGTTCAAACCCTGGTTGTAGAGGTACCATTTCAAATTTGGCTCCAGGCATTGCCCAAGAAAGTCAGCACACTTCCTGAGTTCTGCTGTGAATCACAGTGTGTTGTCTTCATCCTCTCACCTGTTACCAACACATTCCTATCGTAACATATTAGCATCTAAACGTAGCGGCCTACCTTGTTACTGTGTATGTGTGTATCTGCAGGTGTCTGTGCATATGCACAACGTGGCCCGAGTGACCCGCCCAGCTATCTTAAAATGTAGTTTAGCAAGGGCCAGTAATTTACTCTTATTTGTATTTGTTTGTGTCTTTTGAGTTCAACACAAGTTATCTGTTTTATTAATAAATAATAAATACATAAATAATATGGTATTAAACATATGTACTGAATATAAAGTAATGAAATGAAAATGTTATGTTACCTCCCACCCAAATTTACCCACAACCTCATCAGCAGTTTTGATGTCTACTCTGAACGCTCTTCCTACCCATTGTCCTCTGCTTTGGGTAACGATTATTACCCCCCTTTCTTTTATGATTTTGCCACATAAAGACATGGTTGCAGTGTCACTTAGCATTGTGTGGTTTGACCTGGAGGCAAATGGAAAGATATACATTCTTGTGTGACTTGCTATTTTTCATTTTTATTTTGTCATGCAGATAACCAAGATTTCTTAGTCTTCACCACTATACAATGTCCCTTTGTAATCCTGAATTTCATGTTATTCCATTGATTGTCATATGTGATGTTTCCAGTTTTTTGCTAGCACCAACAGTGCTGCTATGGCTATTTCTGTCCAGGTCTCCTGGTGTAGGGATTTTCCTAAGTCAGGGCTTCCCAATGATGACAACCACAGGAAATAATATTGTTTGTATGGTTCGTTGGGAAACAAAGCTGTTTGTGATGGCTGCAGGAGTAGAAGCCTTCTCCAAGTTGGAAGGCATCAATATCTTGGTGTACCTGTAACACTTCCTGGACCTAAGGGCTGAGCAGGTGAGTGCCAGGTGTGGAAAGACTGGTCCATCAGGGCTCTGAGTACTAACTCTGCTACAGCTTTCTAACTTGTGTCCAAACTCTTTTCACAGACCTCAGTAGTTCAATTACATTTGAACCAATTAATTATATTGTGAAAGCACGTATATGCAGAACCCTTCTCTGGATTCCAAATATAACATTCGCAGTTACCCATCACAACTTTATATGGTTTTTATCAAATGCTGAAGAATCAAACCATGTAGGAGCTTTGAGCATTTCTGCCTCTATGGAAGAGATGGGCTGGGACAGATAGGATGAATCACTGACTCCAACACAATGCACCACCCTTTTAAATGATACTGAACCCTACATGTCCACAAGCCATGGTCTCTAATACTTTGGTCAAGCCAACCTCCCTTCCTCACATGCCCTCATTTTCTTCTATGTTTGGCAAATACTTGCTCATTCCTCAAGATACAGTTGAAAAGTGTACGCTTATAAAAAAGAATGAGATCATGTCTTTTGTGAGAACATGGATGGAGCTAGAGGCTATTAATCTCAGCAAACTAACACAGCAAGAGAAGGTCAAGTATCACATGTTCTCACTTCTAAGTGGGAGCTAAGTGATGAGAACTTATAAACACAAAGAAGGGAACAACAGACGGTGGGGGCGACTTGAGACTGGAGGGTGGGAGGAGGGAGAAGAGCAGAAAAGATAACTACTGGGTATTGGACATAATCCCTAGGTGATGAAAAAAACAAACCCCAGTGACATGAGTTTACCTGTGTAACAGACCTTCACATATACCTCTGAACCTAAAGTGAAAGTTAAATAAAAAATGTAGGCTTTCCTCTCTCCATCATCTCCCCATAGACAGATTATGCATTTTCAGATCCTGGAAGCTCTGCCTCTAGCCCACTTTCCTAAGTAGTTTGTGTGACCCTCCCTTTCTTCCTTCTAGGCTACATCCTGGTGGGAGGCAGGACACTGAAGTACTTAGAACCCCTCAGAATGGCCAGATCCTGCTCATGCTTGGGCTAGAAGAATGGAACCTTTGTAATTCTGGACTTGTAAATGGAAACACATCACTTACTGTGAACCACATCCCAGACAGACATGGGCAGGTGAAAACAAATTCTTCCAGGTAACTCATTTTTTTAAAATCAGAGGAAATTGGTGGACATTGAGTCCAGCCCCAAATATTAAACAAGCTTCTGAGTTTGATATTTTCGTAGCAACAGCAGTTAAATAGGAACATGACCCAAGTTATGCTCTCAATTTTCACTAAATGAATAAATGAACTAATTAGTATTTGTGTCCAAGGGCAATTGGTTGGCAGTTCTGAGTCAGAAATAAACAGAAGGACAGGGTCGTCTGAGTGGTCCACCTGCAGACCTAAAGAGCTCATGGGTCCCACCTTGTCATGAGGCAGCCATGTCTTTGTGCTTGGGGAAACAAGAAGGAGGACATAAGTCCTGATCAGAAGCCACGTCAAGGCTGCTCTGCTGTGTTGAAGGGAGGGGAGGTAGGGTTACTTCTGACAACACCAAGGTTTTATTTGTTCAGGAAAAGACCAGAAACAACAGAAGAGTGATGTCAGGTGAGTAAGCCAAACTTGGCCAGGTGTGTCATTCACATAACATGCATATTACACACTTTTGCTTCTGGAGGGAAAATCCATTAATAAATGCTAAACAATAGGATGCTATCCAGTGTATTCTGCATGTTTACACACCATTGACATCATCCAATTCTCTGAACAAGACCATCCGTATTATGTATGTATTATTCATGTGGTTAATAAGCATGGACAGAGGGCACATTGTTTACTAGGTTAAGCTCAGGCTACACAAGAAACATAAAAGGTAGTCCTTAACTTTAAAGCATTTACAATTATAGTCCAGGGTGTGTTTATATCTGGCCATAGGAAGTCTTTAAGGATGATGCAAATTTGTTCAAAGGGAACTCTTCAGATTATGGTTAATGCAGTGGGAGTTCAGACAAGGATAAAACTGTTATGAAATGGAGGATCTAGAAACAATGTAGTGTAGAGGGCAAAATATAAGCTTTAGTTCTGGACATGCCTGTGATCATATTCTTACTCACCTATTATAAGTTACATGACACAGTACATTTCTAGACCTCTGGAGTTCCCAGGTTTAGTATCTACCAAGTAGAATTCACAATATCTATTCTGCAGAACTGTCAACGTGAATAAAAAGAGAAGATGTATCTCCACGGCCTGTCACCCACTAGTTTGAGTTCTAGTATCTTCCCTCCCTTACCCCACTGGCTTTTTCTGATTTGTAAGTGCGTTAGATTTCTTCTGTGTTTCAGTGGGTCTGCTCATCCAGATGTCCCCATTATAGGTTGGGTTCTCCAGGAGGAAGACAGGGATGGAGCTAGAAGCACAAGAAATTTTGGAGGAGTAATACCTGTGGAAGGAAAAGTAAGGAAGAAGCAGAATTGGGCAGAGGGAGCCATCAGAATGTGACACAGATCTGTCAAAAGGTTCTCCCAGGCCAGTGTGGAACTTTATGCAAGGTGTTTCTGCTGGAAGAGTTGAACAAAATATGGCTGGGAGCTAAACCAACTATTTTTCCCAGCTACTGGCTGTGGGCATCTATAAGAAGCACATTCCCTGGCAACTATCACCACCTCAGGCTGAGGGCCACCCCCAAGAATATATGACCCAGTTAGGAGGCTGAAGGAGTTAACAGCTGGAGGCTGTCAGCTAACCAGAGGCCCTGTAGCTGGCCAGAGTTGAGCCTATATGATATGTCTTCACATCTCCCCCTAAATGTTTGGTATAACAGTTTCAGTCTCCTAAATTTTCTGGCTTAGTATGTGGGACTGAATTAGATAATGGGGAAAATCAAATGAATTATCTAATCATTAATTGAATCTCACCTATAATTCTCTCAATTTCCTCTCATGCTTTAGACATGAGTAGTTTTCAACTATTATATTTATATTTCATAGATCTCAAGAGCTTTTAAAAACCACCTGTTCCTACCATCTACCAGGAACAATTAATTTGGGTCTCTGCACATGAAGTCAGAATCCAGGCATTTATAATGTTTTACAGCCCCAAGATGAGTCTAAGATGCAGCCAGGCAGAAGGTCCACTGCATCTACTTAAGGTTATGACCTATTAGGGGTGCCTTTTCATGCATGGAAAGAAGAGCTTCCAGGATGAAGGAAGGGCTCTTGGCTACGGCATCCTCATCCTCCTCACCAGCATGGTAACAATGATGAAGACACAAAAAGTGCTTCCCTTGCCTAGGCACTGTGCTAAACACTTTACAGACTTTACATAAAGGCTTTAGGAAGTTAAGGAATAGTCACCAAGACTCAAAGCTCCTTCATCATGGACCTCACTGTTGGCATCTTTGGTGATGTGGACTAAAATCAATAGCACCTAATTGTTGGTCAAAGGATCATTCTAGATCTTTGAGTTAGATTTACCTGGAATTCTTGTTGATGACAGTCTCCAGGCCCACTGCAGACCTCCCAAATCCCAGTCTCTGGGGCTGCACCTGAAAGGTTCATCTCAGCCTTCTCCCTGAGTAGCTTCTCTAGTCATAAAGCCTGGGAACCACTCTGCTGTATTTAGGGCTCTCCTCCTGTCACGCCTTCCTTTCAGATCCCTGCCCCACCCCACCTCACTTCAGCTTCTCACCTCTTGGGCAGCTTTCAGTGGAGTGGGCAGCAAGAGAGGTGCATAGAAAGTTAGGGGTCACCTGTCTGCTCTGGACACCTATACACAATAGAATTTTTAAACATGATTATTCTGCTGTTCCTTGGTGATAACCAGGAAAATTGAAAGATAAATTTCAACCCTGAGCGCAAAGATTGACTTCCCAGGCATGACTCTACACTTGTGAAATCCTTATGTGTTCATTCATTAAGGCTTGATCAATAGCCTAGTGTGTCCATAGAGTATGAAGGTGTCATGGATGACGATTCGACTCAGCAAGTCATGCAAAGAAAAGCTTACATCACACAAAAGACAGACATTTAGCCTGCGATTGACCCAATACAGTATCTTAATTGAAGGAAGAATACCTTCCGTGAGCACACGGACTTTGGGAGCACTGAGCTGGCCTGGGAGGTGAGAAAAGGTTCCCCCTCCACCCAAATCAGAGGCCTGGGAGCTGGCTCTTGGGGGATGGGGAGATGGCTGCCTGGCAGAGAGAGCACAGAACATGCAAAGCATGCAGCTCTAGAAAGTCTTGGGGTGTTCTGGAAAGGGGGAGACATTGAAATGACCTGCAGTTGTGGGTGAAGAGACAGCAGATGAAACTGAAAGATAGGATAGTCAGATTGAATATTTCATCCTAGCAAATGAATTCAGAATTTTAGATGCATGGACAGATTTGGTCCAAAGGGAGATGTTGATCTCCATTTTGGATACACTGAGTTCCAATTGCATGTGGTAGGTCTAAGAGTCAGCTGGAAATCCTTCTATGAAACCTGAGAAGGTTTGGATCAGTAATAGGAGCCTCAGGTTGTCTCTGAAGCCGTAGAAACGGGCAAGATCATGTCTGAAGAAAGCGGGAGAAAACTCTAGCTACCAAATAGCTTGGAATGTCATCATTCCAAGTTTACAATTGGTATAATACAGCAACTCCGAAAATGACAAATTAACTTTCTTATTCCATAGAGTACACAGTTCTCTTTTTTCTTTCACATTAATGATGTGTAAAAGTGCTTTGCATAGATTTTTCTCAACCATCCCAACCCACGCTAATGGGACCAGATGCAGTATAAATTTCACTGCTGGGGGTGAGAGGGTAATTTAGACTCTGGATGCCTGCCTGGTGACTGTCAGAGCAGGGCTGCCAATGTTACCAACTGGGTGGTTGCTTTGTAATTTAGATACAATAAATCTAAGGCAAGTAATTTCCCTTCAGAACCTTGAATTGCCTCCTTAACAGAATGATTTTCAGTCTGGCTGAAGTTACATTTTAAGCTATGGGGCTGGAAGAGCTTTTAGAAAGGATACCCAGAGGACTCTATTGATTGCACTCTTGTTTTAAATACAATTGGGTTTCCATTCACAGGAAATGTAGTGGCAAATGTCTTTTATGCTATCAACTTATGATTTTGAGTACTTAAAGGAGTATTTTGCTTTGTGTTTCAGTAAGGCAGTAGGAGCCTCTGTAAAAGAGATATCATTTCCCCTCCTGGTTTATGTGTGTTGACTATTCATAGAAGCAGGGAGCTTGTTGATTTTAGACAAAACTTGAATAGGACTTACCATCTGCATGCTAAACAGTAGCAGTAAAATAATAATAGAAAATTCTTATGCAATGTGTTCTGTGTGCTAGGCACCACCCAAGCAAACACACAGATAAACTCACTTAGTGGCCCCCAACCCTGTGAACTGGGCACTGGGGAGAAGGAGACACAGAGATGTCAATGAACTGCTCTTGGCCACACAGCCTGTAAGTGTGGAAGCCAGGAGTCTAACTTGGGCTGTTGGGTCCCAGGGTCCACACATTGTACCAGGTGCTCTGCTTAAGAACCTACTGTGTGCCTGACTCTGTTCTGGAAGCCAGCAAGGTCACAGTGAATAAGGCATTCTAGGTTACCCAGCACCTGATTTTCTGGAACTTACATGTCAAAGGTGTGGCATAGGGGAATGTGGTTTGAAATAATGCCTTAAGATGAAAGAATGCTGCATGTAATTTATGCCAAATAATGTTTGAAATGGTTAACATAATTTTTGGGGAAATACAAGCCTTAGTCAAAACTGATAATTGAGCTAATTAAAATCTCCTTTTCAAGCATATGCTAGCCAAAAGACCTGTTTTCTTCTTTGAATTCCTCTTTGCTATATAAAGGTAATGCTGAACTCCCAGTGCCAAGACCAATTTAATTCAGTTGCTCATTTACAAGTTAAGAGAAAGAACTTTCCTTAACATATTAGCTGTCTGCTGCTTTGGGATAACGACCAGCTGAATTGACGAACTTTATATAATGATCTGTTGCTATGGTGATGAGTTGCCCAGTGCGTGGAAGAGGGTGTTTCATCATTACCTCCCTGATAATCTTGGAACTGTAACAGATACAAATACGAAACCTTTCCTTTTACTCTGCAGTGACTCTGCGTTGATGAGACAAACACCAGAAATGTATCTCAGATACACCAGTGAGGAGTCAAATAGAAACAAAAATAATACCTCTCCAGGCTCTACACAATTTGAAATAAAGCAGTTTAGCTTTCTGGGTTAGTAGCCTCAACATCCACAGTGAACTTCTATGCCTTGCCATAGGTAACCATTGTCAACGGGGCCACTTATTTCATATGCAGGTATAACTTCTGCACAATTAAGAAAAAGTACAAATGTTTCTTTAAGGTATTAGAAAAGCAAGAGAATAGGTAAAAATAAATCAATGAATTTTGTATATACTGAATGTGAATGTTTAAAAGCCCCACCCTATGCATTTTGTTTTGAAGCCTAGAGGAAACATACACCAGATGAGTCAAATACCAGATGTTCTCACTTATAAGTGGGAGCTAAGTAATATGTACTCATGGACACAGACTGTGGAAAGACAGTCATTAAAGACTAAGAAGTGTGGGGGAACAAAATGGGAAGGCTGATCAGAAATTACTCAATGAGTAAAATCTGCATTATTTGAAAGATTGATATAGTAAAATCTAAGACTTCACCACTACACAATAGACACATCTAAGGAAATTGCACTTGTACCCCTTAAATTTACACATTTTTTTAAAATCACCAAACTGTCTTCCAATGGCTGCACCATTTTGCATTTCCACCAGAAAAGGATGAGCATTTCTGTTACTACATATTCTCATTTTTGGTGTTGTCAGTGCTTTGGATTTTGGCCACTCTAATAGGTGCATAGTGGTATTTTATTGCTTTAACTTACAATTCCTTTGTGACATATAAGGTCAAGCACTTTTTCATATGTTAATTTACTATCTGTATATTTTCTTTGGTGAGGTATCTGTTCAGTTCATTTTTTAATCAGGTTGTTTATTCTCTTATTGTGGAATTTTAAATGTTCTTTGTATATTTTCATTAGCAGTCCTTTATTAATGTGTCTTTTGCAAATATTATCTCCATAAGTCTGTGCCTTGTAACTCATTTCCTAGACAGTGTTTTTGTTTTGTTTGTTTTTGTTTTTGTTTTTGTTTTGGCAGAGTGGACATGTTACTTTTAATGAAGTCCAGCTCATTGATTATTTCGTTTCATGGATCATGTCTTTGGTATTGTACAATTTAGTTTTTTAATGAAAAAATGTACTGAATTATGAATACAAATTGTTTAGGTATGCTCCCAGGGATTTACAAGGATTCATAAAGTTCCTGACACTTAAGCTAGGTTTGCTGCATGAAAATAAAGAAAATGTATTTGCAACATATTATGGAAAAAGCCTGTACTGTCACTTCCAAAAGCACCTCTCCCCCTAAATTTGGTCAATCACTCCCGTGCACACACTCACCCACACATTTAAACACAAAAGCACATATAAAAACACTTTTTGATTCTACCCAGCTATTATGTAATTGAAGCAAATAGTAACACAAAATAAACAAGAGAAAGTGAAAGCAGACTCTTGTAGCCAGTCTTGAAGTCCAACCATCTTGGCTACCCCACGGGAGCTGTGGGAATGCTCTCCAAATTCTGTGGATGCAGGTTCAGATCCTGAAGAGTGACCCAGAATGGTAGGTTACTTATAAAGTCTTATCCATACATGACAGAGTTCAACTAAATTATTTCTATATTGCAGAGATATTTTAATGCAGTAATTTTCAGAAAAAGAGTTGACATTCATAATCAATAGTTAATGTAATGAGTTGGAAGAAACATTTAAAATTTAATATAACATAATAGAATAAATAGGATAGAAAATATGATGGTAAATTGTACATATGGAAGGTAACATCTCTTTGGAAATCACACCACTGCACTTCAGCCTGAGGGAAATAGTGAGACCCTGTCTCAAAAAAAAAAAAAGAAAATTTTGTTTCTCTGTGTTAATGTAGGTTTACTAGTTGCCAGGTGAGATGCAGTTGTTATTGAGTACAGAAATTTTTTAAAAAATAAAATAGAAAACCATTTTTTTCTGAGCAATAAACATTACGTTTACGGAATTTGAATACGCGCAGAGATGCGTCATTTGGGGTATTTGTGCATTTTCCCCTGTTTTTGACTTTCAGAATTCAGTCGAATCTTGCTGATATAGCAATGTTTGGTTGCACATAAGACACCTTTATGTAACAATTTACAAAATACATGACTTGATACTCTCACCTTGTGGGTTTCTCAGGAGTAGCTGTTGACCCTTCTTGCATTTTTTCTAATTCTGCCAATAAAATCCTCTTTAACAGGTAGGTTTCCCTTAAAGAAACAGAAAATGGGGCAAAGAAGTGACTGTATCTTCATTTTTATCCTTGATTGCTATGGAGAGGAACCTGTGGAAAGCGGATCTACAGAAGTTCCTATAATCCCCTGTATTATAGAGTAGATAGGATACCTCAAGTGTGAGCTCTTCTCTGAATAAAATGACCAGTGATGCTTTTCTTTCCTTCTCTGGCTCACGGACACAGCTTGTTCTGTTCACCACTCCTGGTGAGTGCTTTCATGTCTCTGACTTGTGAAAGGCTCACATAAGCCCATTGTGTGCCCTGTATCCTGTTTTTTGTCCCTTGACATAGCTGAGGCTGTCTTCCTTGGAAAGCTTTCTCCTGCAGGCAGAGTTGAGCTTTCCAGAAAGCTTTTGTATTTCTTCTAGAGAAAACTTCAGGATGAGATGACCATGATTATGGCTGAGATTCATGAAGCCCACAGAAAAGCCAAGATAAATAGCACAGGGCTCTGAGCATGGTGAGAGATAAAGTGGACTGTCTATGTCAGGTCAGAAACCAAAGCTGGTATGAACTGACTGCAATGACTAGGTTCCAGGAAGCCTGTTTGGATTGGTTGTTTCAACGATTTGTAGTCTTTTGCTGCCTATATCTGACTACTGTTTTCTTTCCAAAGATATAACTGTAAACTTTGTATCAGACTCAGTTTTATTTATTTATTTATTTATTATTATTTTTATTTATTTATTATTATTATACTTTAAGTTTTAGGGTACATGTGCACAATGTGCAGGTTAGTTACATATGTATACACGTGCCATGCTGGTGCGCTGCACCCACCAACTCGTCATCTAGCATTAGGTATATCTCCCAATGCTATCCCTCCCCCCTCCCCCCACCCCACAACGACCCCAGAGTGTGATGTTCCCCTTCCTGTGTCCATGTGTTCCCATTGTTCAGTTCCCACCTATGAGTGAGAATATGTGGTGTTTGGTTTTTTGTTCTTGCGATAGTTTACTGAGAATGATGATTTCCAATTTCATCCATGTCCCTACAAAGGACATGAACTCATCATTTTCTATGGCTGCATAGTATTCCATGGTGTATATGTGCCACATTTTCTTAATCCAGTCTATCATTGTTGGACATTTGGGTTGGTTCCAAGTCTTTGCTATCGTGAATAATGCCGCAATAAACATACGTGTGCATGTGTCTTTATAGCAGCATGATTTATAGTCCTTTGGGTATATACCCAGTAATGGGATGGCTGAGTCAAATGGTATTTCTAGTTCTAGATCCCTGAGGAATCGCCACACTGACTTCCACAATGGTTGAACTAGTTTACAGTCCCACCAACAGTGTAAAAGTGTTCCTATTTCTCCACATCCTCTCCAGCACCTGTTGTTTCCTGACTTTTTAATGATTGCCATTCTAACTGGTGTGAGATGGTATCTCATTGTGGTTTTTATTTGCATTTCTCTGATGGCCAGTGATGGTGAGCATTTTTTCATGTGTTTTTTGGCTGCATAAATGTCTTCTTTTGAGAAGTGTCTGTTCATATCCTTTGCCCACTTTTTGATGGGGTTGTTTGTTTTTTTCTTGTAAATGTGTTTGAGTTCATTGTAGATTCTGGATACTAGCCCTTTGTCAGATGAGTAGGTTACGAAAATTTTCTCCCATTTTGTAGGTTGCCTGTTCGCTCTGATGGTAGTTTCTTTTGCTGTGCAGAAGATCTTAGTTTAATTAGATCCCATTTGTCAATTTTGGCTTTTGTTGCCATTGCTTTTGGTATTTTAGACATGAAGTCCTTGCCCATGCCTATGTCCTGAATGGTAATGCCTAGGTTTTTTTCTAGGGTTTTTATGGTTTTAGGTCTAACGTTTAAGTCTTTAATCCATCTTGAATTAATTTTTGTATAAGGTGTAAGGAAGGGATCCAGTTTCAGCTTTCTACATATGGCTAGCCAGTTTTCCCAGCACCATTTATTAAATAGGGAATCCTTTCCCCATTGCTTGTTTTTCTCAGGTTTGTCAAAGATCAGATAGTTGTAGATATGTGGTGTTATTTCTGAGGGCTCTGTTCTGTTCCATTGATCTATGTCTCTGTTTGGGTACCAATACCATGCTGTTTTAGTTACTGTAGCCTTGTAGTATAGTTTGAAATCAGGTAGTGTGATGCCTCCAGCTTTGTTCTTTTGGCTTAGGATTGACTTGGTGATGCAGGCTCTTTTTTGGGTCCATATGAACTTTAAAGTAGTTTTTTCCAATTCTGTGAAGAAAGGCATTGGTAGCTTGATGGGAATGGCATCGAATCTGTAAATTACCTTGGGCAGTATGGCCATTTTCACAATATTGATTCTTCCTACCCATGAGCATGGAATGTTCTTCCATTTATTTGTATCCTCTTTTATTTCCTTGAACAGTGATTTGTAGTTCTCCTTGAAGAGGTCCTTCACATTCCTTGTAAGTTGGATTCCTAGGTATTTTATTCTCTTTGAAGCAATTGTGAATGGGAGTTCACTCATGATTTGGTTCTCTGTTTGTCTGTTGTTGGTGTATAAGAATGCTTGTGATTTTTGTACATTGATTTTGTATCCTGAGACTTTGCTGAAGTTGCTTATCAGCTTAAGGAGATTTTGGGCTGAGACAATGGGGTTTTCTAGATATACAATCATGTCATCTGCAAACAGGGACAATTTGACTTCCTCTTTTCCTAATTGAATACCTTTTATTTCCTTCTCCTGCCTAATTGCCCTGGCCAGAACTTCCGACACTATGTTGAATAGGAGTGGTGAGAGAGGGCATCCCTGTCTTGTGCCAGTTTTCAAAGGGAATGCTTCCAGTTTTTGCCCATTCAGTATGATATTGGCTGTGGGTTTGTCATAGATAGCTCTTATTATTTTGAGATATGTCCCATCAATACCTAATTTATTGAGAGTTTTTAGCATGAAGGGTTGTTGAATTTTGTCAAAGGCCTTTTCTGCATCTATTGAGATAATCATGTGGTTTTTCAGACTCAATTTTAAAACACATTCTTTAGGAAAGTCAGTGTTATCATCACCTATTAATATTTTAACTAAAAATAATTTGTTTAGTGTTAATGGCTGTCCATATCAATGAATGAAATTTGTTATTAAAATCAAATTAAAATGTGAAAAATTATTATTGCATTTAATGGGTGTAATTTAATGATAAGTCAATAATAAATAGTTTTTAGTATGTAAAGACAAGTCACTAATTAAAATACTATTATGAACATCATCTACATATCTTTGCATGTAGTATGAATCATTGAGTATCTTTGGAAAGATATACATAATGAGCATAAGTAGGTACTTTGTAGTTCACATAGATTTGTTTGTTAAATTTTCTTATTTAAAATAATTGAATTATAATTGTAGTTAAACCATTTGTAATACATATTTATGGGCATCATGAATTGTTCTTACAGGTTTTATTGAATTTAGTTGTGGTATATCCAATACAATCTGTATACTACAGTAAATTCTTTTCTTCTTAAGGCTGCCCTCAACATTTTTTTCACATCATTATGCCTCTTTGACACTTCAAGGAATCCACAGAGCACCTAAACTGCTCTTCTCACCCACCTCATTATGCTGTTCCGATATGACCTGTGGTTCCTGCGGTCATGGTGGTTTCCTAGGACTAGAGATGTTCTTTACACTCAGCTAACCTGAAATGGGTTTCATTCAAAGCCAGCTGAAACCTCTTCTTTTCCTGGAATTGCTTTCTCTACTCTCCTCTGAACTCCTGTAGCAAGATTTATCACTTACTATGTTGTGCTGTTTGGTTATATGCATCCCTTTCTATGGTGTGTTGTTACTAGCATTTGTTAATGTGCTCTTCCTCCCCACACTGCCAGACATTTATATTAATTCTTTTTTTTTTTTTTTTTGAGACGGAGTCTCGCTCTGTGGCCCAGGCTGGAGTGCAGTGGCACGATCTCGGCTCACTGCAAGCTCCGTCTCCGTCTCCACGCCATTCTCCTGCCTCAGCCTCCCGAGTAGCTGGGACTACAGGGGCCCACCACCGCGCCCGGCTAATTTTTTGTACTTTTTGTAGAAACAGGGTTTCACCGTGTTAGCCAGGATTGTCTCGATCTCCTGACCTCATGATCCGCCCACCTCGGCCTCCCAAAGTGCTGGGATTACAGGCGTGAGCCACCGTGCCTGGCCATTAATATTATTCTTTGAGTCTTCAACATGTGTCACTCACTGTGCCTTGAACATACAAGTAGTCAAAAAATTATTACTGATTGATTCAGATGCATAGCTGGACTGCTTTGAACCACTTAATAGTAAACATTGTGACCTCATGTTGCTTTATTAAATAAAGATCACTAGGCATTTAGGGATTTAACAATTTCCATATAAACTGTTTTCAAACACCTCTGAAAATCTATAATATGTAGTAATTTGTAATTGTGTTGAGGCATAAATTAGAAAATCCATTGCATCCCATCTTAAAGAAACTTTATTGTTCTCAATGAATACAAATAATTTAATTCTCAAAACACACTTATGAGTTGGTTATTACAGAAAAGGAAACTGAAGAAAATAAACCTCCAGTTGGATGTGAGAACTTAATAATTTGTGAACAACTTGAGATGTGTTACTCAGAAATCTTGTTGGCATATTGTTTAGGGATTTTCAGTCTTATTTCTAGTAAAATGATTTCAATAACACAGCTTCTGACTGCTGGGATAGAGTCCAAAATGCATGTTTACATGGAGCTGGAAATAAGACAGCTCAGATCTTTGGAATTAGAAGTGCAACTGATATATATATATAGATATATATATACACACACACATATATGTAGAGAGAGAGATATGTATATATGTACACATATATACACATTAAGATATGTATGTTACTGATATATATATATATATATATACACACACACACAAACACACAATTAATGGACACCACCACCATTGTAATTATAGTATCAATATAGAAATAAATAATAGTACTTGAAATGTGGCTTTTGTGAAGCATATGGGAAGCATTTCAATGTTTACGAGTATTGCTCTCCAGCCATGGCTGCAACTCCCAGTAAATATACTTGTATTTCATTTTTCCAATGCAACTACCATAGATAACTGCACAATTCAATGGTAATGATAGTCACATGTATTAAATTGGTTTACAATAGCAAAATGTGTAATCATGGTTGTAATACATTGAAATAGGTGTTTTGTTTTTAATTTTTTGACATCAAAAGTTTAAAATAATTTCCTATTGTGTTTGGACTACTTGATTTAAATAGTTTGATAAAAGTTTTTTAGGATAGCTGTGACCAAGTTTTTTTCTGTAAGGACTGGCTAACTTGCTTTCTTCCGTGGGTCCAGTAATTGGTCTCTTACCTAAATAAGATTATTAGAGATAGCACAGGCCTGTGGGGTGTGGGGGACAGACCTTTTGTAAATATACATGGCCATAGATAATACAATTATAAAAAGTTTATTTCTTTCACATATAACCCTGCTTTTGGATTTTTTTCCTAAGAAAATACTCCATAGAATCAAATGATTATTTGTATGAAGATGTGTATTAGTAGACCACTAAAAACCTCTGCTACCCTGAAAATAGGCTACTAATATAAACAATAATTAGTACCTGGGGAGATGATATGGCAGTTCAGGGCAGCTGGAGGTTTACTTTGGCCATATTTAAAATACACGGAAACAGTGGAATGGGAGTGCTGACCTGCAGGCTCTGAGACAGCACAGCTGACAGCAGAGATGTGAGCCAGCAGGACGGCCAGTATAGTGGGCACTGGTGGAGTGTGAACTGCTCTGGTCTAAATATTTCAGGCTGGACGCAGCCTCCCTGGGGAAAGAACCTTGGACACAGTCGTTCATTTTTAATTTTCTTCGTATAAAACTGAAATGCCTTCTACCTGAGAAACAGCCAAGTTGTCCTACTAAAGGCTATGATCCCACTTTCCCTATTCCAGGCCCTAAGTAATAGTGCATGAGACAGCACAACTTTTCCTGTCATCATCATCCCCTGTTTATCAATCATGTGTGAGTTAATTAGTGTTATGTAAATACATGTGACAGCAGAATAGACTGAATAAACTTGTGGAAAATACGAAACATGAAAATGGTGCTATTTGAGTTATGGGTTTATGTGTTTTAATATTCTGTTAAATTAAAATGTATTGCAAAATTCTGGTTTAAACTGATTTTTAGTAAAACTAAACTAAGAAAAATTAACAAAATTGAAATTTAATGCACAGGAGAGGGAAGAGAGAGTAAAATTGGTCATGGTATATGTCACTACCAAAAACAACTCAAAGTGTGTGTTCTCTCAGTAATTGTACACGTTGACCTTTTTTTTTTTTTTTTTTTTTTAGTTGGAGTCTCACTCTGTCGCCCAGGCTGGAGTGCTGTGGGGCGATCTCGGCTCACTGCAAGCTCTGCCTCCTGGGTTCACGCCATTCTCCTGCCTCAGCCTCCCGAGTAGCTGGGACTGCAGGTGCCCGCCACCATGCCCAGCTAATTTTTTGCGTTTTTAGTAGAGACGGGTTTCACGGTGTTAGCCAGGTTGGTCTCCATCTCCTGACCTCGTGATCCGCCTGCCTCGGCCTGATCAGGTGCTGGGATTACAGGCGTGAGCCACCGCGCCCGGCCCACATTGACATTTTTATATGTGGGTGGCTGTTCCTCTTTCTTAACGTCAAACATAATTACATTGACTAAGTTGACAATTTTAGTTCATTTTATTGTTAAGCAGTAGTTTTCTACTTTTCAAAATGCATGCTTACATGGTTGGGAACATACTATAACTCACCGTTTTTTCTTTTTCAAATTCACCATATGGTCTTATAACTATAATGTAAAAGCACTATTCATTTCAACTGCATATTATGGAAATACCATAAATTACTTGATCACTTTCCTGTCTTTGGAGAATGGTTGGTTTTAATTTTTATTGTTATAAAAATACTGAGAATAATGTATTTGTATTTAAAATTTTTTATTTGTTCGAAATTCACATTCATTCTTCAGTATAAAAACCGTATAGTAAGTCAGCAGGTATTCACTTTTGCTTAATTCTTGATATTCTCTTCTAAATCACCACCTGAAAGAGCTGTGCTAATTCAAGTGCATGAGAAGACCAATTTCACTGCATCCTAGCATTGGGAGTTAGGGTATGTCCCACAATGTATCAAACTAGCTGATGCATGAGTGATTTTAATCTGCTTTCTCTGATTAGTAAAGTGGTTAATCATTTTCCCAGGTATTCATTCATGAGTTCCCATCATTGTGGGCCATCTGTCCCAAGAGGTACACTGCTCTCTAACATCAGAGGTGGGCACAGATGTCCACTGCAGCCTCCTGCACACAACCCCTGGGGAGGTTGATGGAACCCTGGGAGGAGGCGCCTCCATCAGTCATCTCTGTGCCAGTGTGTACACCTGCAGTGCAGCTCCAACTCAGATGCACAGAAGAGGCATGCTTATTCTCTTGACTCATCTAACAACCATATAACAATCCCTCCCTGAGGAGCATCCAGTGGAGAAAGGAGGGTGGCAGAGATGCCAGATTTAATAATGTTATCTGCATTATGAAGCCATCTCTTCTCCAGAAAACATTTTAACATAGAAATATTGATGTATGTGGATGATGTTTCAAACTAGAAGATCACTGGCCCCACCAACTTTTTATTGGACTTGTTTGTATTCTGGAGACTCATTACAAAGTTGCTAGGATTTTTAAGTGTGGTTTTCTCATATTGCCTGATATGGTTTAGCTGTGTCCCCACCCAAAACTCATCTTGAATTCCCACATGTTGTGGGAGGGACTCGGTGGGAGGTAACTGAATGATGGAGGCAGGTCCTTCCTGTGCTGTTCTCATGATACTGAGTAAGTATCCCAAGATCTGATGGTGATTATAAGTGGGAATTTTCCTGCACAAACTCTCTTCTCTTGTCTGCTGCCATGTGAGATATGCTTTTCGCCTTCTGCCATGATCTTGAGGTCTCTTCAGCCACGTGGAACTGTAAGTCGATAAAATCCCTTTCTTTGGTAAATTGCCCAGTCTAGGGTCTATCTTTATCAGCAGTGTGAAAATGGGCCAATACATTGCCATCCTTAGACGTGTCTCTCTCATTGTATCCAAGGAAAACAGTAGTGAGGCTTTTCCTTAGATGTCAAATACATTGTTGGATTCTGGCTTCTCATCCCAGCTCCTTCCTGAGGAATTGACAATGCTGAAGCACCTCTTGCTTTTTCTTAGTTGGAAGAGTCATCAGCTTGGGAGTGGACATGGAGAGAACAGAGAAAGCTTATTGGATGGTGTCTTAGTCCCTTCTCACACTGCTATAAAGAACTACCTTAAAGAGGTTTAATTGACTCACCATTCCACAGGCTGTACAGAAAGCACGGCTGGGAGGATTCAGGAAACTGACAATCACGGCAGAAGGTTAAGAGGAAGCAAGCCCATCTTACCATGGCAGAGCAGGAGAGAGAGAGAGAAGGGAGAAGTGCCACACTCTCTTAAACAACCAGATCTCATGAGCTCTCACTCATGATCATGAGAACAGCAAAGAGGAAGTCAACCCCCGTGATCCAATCAGCTCCCACCAGGCCTCTCCCACAATATTGGGAATTACAATTTGACCTGAGATTTGGGTGGGGACACAGAGCCAAACCTGTGTCAAATGGGAAGTATCCACCCAGGCTCTGAGCCAACCAAGGGGCCGAGATGGTTCAGTCATTGCTTTAATAGCAAGTAGGGATGCCTGGGATTGGTACCCTCTACATTAGATTCTTAGTTAAGTCTTCATAGTTTAGGGACAAGATTATCATCAGTCACAAAGAGTTTCATGTTTTTCAAATAACACCTCTTGATGACTATTAAATCCTCAACTGTGATGAATTATCAAGCCAGAAGGTTCACATTTGTTCTTTAAAGAGCAAAGCAAAATAAACACCCACCACCATTTTAGCCTTTTGTGTAGATCACAGCATGGCACATAATTAATGACCTCCTGATGCCATGAGAGTTGGCCTTTCCATGCTCATAATGTTCTGTCTTTTGTCTTTCACTTTCATCTGGCCCTCTTTTTCAGTTTTCTTAACTTTCCAAATTTCTACTAAGACACTCATAAAAATGATTTTGAATTTATTTCTTCTTTTTACCTAAACGTTAGACTGTTGATAAGAATAAGGCAATTTATAAATAGTGATGAAATTAATTTTATTTTTCTTAAAATAAACACACTGAGGTATATAGATAGTATGTATTTAAGTAAAAAATCAGTTTTAAATATTTTATCTCTTTGTCATTTTATTGAAATTTAGTCCTATTTTACATATTGCCTAAAATTATCTTACTTTCCTAAAAAAGTACCTTCATGGCCAAGTCAATGTTTTATTCTGAGCATTAATACATAAAAAAAATGGTGTAGTTTTGTATTGAAATACCTTATCTACATTAATTCCTATAATGATCCACATCTACAGTTAAGACAGCTGTGTTATATTAAGTTTTGAACTCTGTATAATTATATTACCTGAGGTGATTTCTGAGTGTGCACTATTTGTATCTATGTTGAATTATGTCTTTTAACTTTACTATAATGTTATAATCACCATTCTAACTAGAGTGAGATGATATTTTATTGTGGTTTAGATTTGCATTTTCCTGATGATGAGTGATGTGGAGCATTTTTTCAAATACCTGTTGGCCATGTGTATGTCATTTCTTGAGAGCTGTCTATTCAGCTAATTTACTTATTTTTTTAATAGGATTATTTGTTTCGTTTTGATTTTTTTTTTTTTTTTTGCTTTTGAGTTGAATTTCTTGTATACTCTAGGTATCAATCCCTTGTCAGATGAACAGTTTGCAACCATTCTTATTGGAACTAGTGAGGATATGGACAGCAATGGGCCTCCCTTCGCCCTGGCTTCCATCTCCTAAGACTTCATCTTTGACACAGGGATTATTTAAGAGTCTGTTCTTTAAATTTAATATATTTGGGGATTTTTCAGATATCTTTCTGTTATTTATTACTAGTTTAATTCAGTTATGGCTAAACAACATACTTTTGTATCATTTCAACTATTTTAATTGTGCTGAAATTTTATTATTATGGCCCAGAATGTGGCCTGTCTTAGTGAATGTACCACGTGCATTTGAAAAGCATGTGTATTCTGCTATCCTGGGATGTAGTGTTCTGTAAATATCAATTAAGCCAAGATAGTTAATACTGTAGTCCGAGTCTCCTCCTTTTCCTCCTCCTCCTCCGCTTCCTCCTTCCTCCTCTTCATCTTCCTCTTCCTTCTTCTGCTACTTGCTGTATCAGTTAATGGAAGAAGAGGGTTGTTGCTTCCAACCACAATTGCAGATTTATCTATTCTTCTTTTCAGTGATATCATATTTTGCTCCTTGCATTTTGAAGCTTTTTGTTTGGTTAGTTGTTTTTTAAGTGTGCGTACATTAAAGATTTTTATATCTTCTTGATGAATTTACCTTTACCACTTGTAGAACCCTAGTCATGCTGGAAATATTCCTTGGTCTAAAGTCTAGTTTGTAAGATATTAATATGGTCACTCTTGCTTCCCTTTGATTTGGGTTTGTATAATAGGATTTTTTAAAAAAATTATTTAATCTATATCTTATGTTGAAAGTGGGTCTCTCATAGATCCATACTCCTAGATATTGCTTTTACCCAATATAACAATCTCTGTCTGTCAATTGGTATATGTTAATTATTTATATTTAATATAGTTATTTATATCATTTGGTTAAAGTTATCCTTATTGTGTGTTGCTTTGTATTTGTTTAATTTGTTTATTGTTCTTTTTTCTTCCTTTTTGTCTGCTTTTAAAATAATCAGATTTTTACAAAATTATATTTTTCCACTATTGGCTTCTTATTTATATCTGTTTTAATTTTTTAAACATTTTTTCTGCTGGGCGCGGTGGCTCACACCTGTAATCCCAGCACTTTGGGAGGCCAAGGCAGGCAGATCACCTGAGGTCGGGGGTTTGAGACCAGCCTGACGAACGTGGAGAAACCTCATCTCTACTAAAAATACAAAATTAGCCAGGCATGGTGGTGCATGCCTGTAATCCCAGCTACTCGAGAGGCTGAGGCAGGAGAATCGCTTGAACTCAGGAGGCGGAGGTTGCGGTGAGCTGAGATTGTGCCATTGCACTCCAGCCTGGGCGACAAAAGCGAAACTCCCTCTCAAATAAATAAATAAAAATTTTTTCTATTGGTTATCATAAGATTTACTATATAAATCTTTAGGTAATTAGAGTCTATTTTCAAATAATAACATCTGATTTATTGATAGTGTAAAAACATTGTAGTAATATACTTTATATTTTGTGCTGTTTTAGTATATTTTGTTTACATATTCTGTAAACATTGTTACGGTTCTATAAACATATTCTACATTATATGTTGCTACAATTTTTTATTTAGTCAATTATCCTTTAGAGATATTAACAATGTAAAAATGTATTTTATGTTTATTGTCATTTTTAACCACTTCCAGATGCCTTAATTTTTTGTGTCTAAGTTCCTCTCTGGTATTGTGTTTCTTCTGTCAGAAGAATTTTAAAAAGTATTTCTGATAGCACAATTCTGCTGAAATAAGTTGTCTCAGTTATAGCATATCTGAAAAAGTCTTAATTTTTTTTCTCATTTTTGATAGATATTTTTCCTGGGCATAAGCTTCTCACTTTACAGCTTTATTTTGTTGTGGTTGGTTGGTTTGTTTTCCTTTTGCCAACTTAACAATGTCACTTCTTGCCATCTGACTTGTGTGATTTCTGATGGAAGTCTGCTATAAATTGTGTCTTCGTTCTTCTCTATACAATCACCTTTTCTCCTCTGGCAGTTCAGCAGTTTGAATATGGTGTATCTAGGTGTGCGGTTTTATGTTTGTTTGTTTGGTATTTGTTTCTGCTGAGCTTCTTTAACTTGTGGTTTGAGGTATTTCATTATTTTGGGAAAAATCTCAGGCCTCATTCTTTGTCTTTTTTCTCCTTTTGTGGCAGCCCAGGCTCTTTAATTTTATCCTTAACAGTGCAGCTTTCAGTGGATGTATGCTGCTTACACAGACAAGTTTTGCATCAATTATACTCCTATTTTTCATGTTTAGAGTTGTTAAGTTTTAAGAAATGTATATAACTTTATACTATCATAAAAATCAATAATGCAATAAATTAAATAAATAATATAAACAAATTAATTGAACAAATATTGTAATGGAAATGAGTCTTTTTTTGCATAATTGCCACCCAATTCTGTGGATTTCTTCCACGTTATGTATCAAAAATTATGTGGTGGTTTACCATCAAAACTTCATTTTACTAATCTATATCAGCTCATGGCTTATGTTTTCCTTCAGTGTTTTTGGAAACAAATAATTGGAAACCACCTAATTTGCAAAGGCATTTGTTGTTGTTTTTTTTATTTTTTGCACGGGGCATATGGTTATTTAGTTTTTCAGTTTCTAGAAAGTGCAGTTGAGCACTTTACCAAGACTAATTAACTCTATATTCAACTTGTGACTCTACTTAGTCTGTTTGCTTGATTGAAATTGTGTTATTTTAAACAAGCTGGGAAGTTTGAAACATTTTAATTCAATACACATTTGCCAATAGCGTATTCTTTGGCTAAGCGGTTTTTTTTCTCATCATATTCTTAAAATACATTTATTCTCTAATACCTTAGAGCTGCACATTTACTTGATTCACTTCAAGTAAAAAATCCACCATAAAATTAAATTGTATAAGCCAGAACTTGTTATCAAAGCAGTTGGTTTCCCTGCAGTACCACTGATGGGATTTGCTTCAGGTGCACCAGGTGTGGGCGACAAAACCTGGACAAAACCCAGTCTGCTCCCAGTATCCCCATCTGCACATTCCAGTGTGGTCGGTTTCCCTGCAGTTTTAGCCTGGGATCTAGCTTAGCTTCTCTGTGGTATCCTTTCAGTTTTCCCTTGACATTCTGAAAGGGAGTCTGCTGGAGAACAGGCTTGCTCCTTAGAGTTCAGCTGGACAGGTCTCAAAACTTACAAGGCTGAGGGGGAGCTAATAAGGTCCCAGGTTTGTGATATTGTCAGATGAGGTAATGGTTTCTCACTAACATGAAATAAGATGCTATGTCACATTTGGGAACATTTTCAAGGTTTTATTGTATTTTGTTACTACCTACCATTCTCACTGAAAATACCCTCAATAAAGCTGCCGAATAAACACAATCAGGAGATGTTTTCTGTGTTTCTCAGCTCATCACGCTGGGATTTCAGTCTAGGGTTTCACTGTTGGTTGCTTTATGTAGAATTAGACATTTGCTTTTAGCCTCACAAAATAGTTTTAATCTTTACATTTTTTCTGCACATTTACAATATGTTCTTGTTAATGATTACTGGGTAAGAATCAAAATTGGAAATTTCATATTGCTTTTAAGATTCTTATTCTGCCGCACTGACACATATTTTTTCTTGTTTTAATTAATGGAAACATAAATAGCTTACAATGATCTTTTAATTAAATTTTATTAAGGCTGTAACAGGTGATATCACTTCAACAGGCAGTTTACTGGGGGAGCTTTTTATAAAAATCCTGAAGCCAGATATTGGTAAGAGATTAACATTTCAACATATAAAATCAACAGATTTATTAAGTTTTACTGGGTAGTATTACAACCTAAAGTTAAACCAAAGAGAATCCGCCCTTTCTTTCTTCACTGTGTTCTGGTTACCCATGAATATGTCACTTCCTTTGCCCTGGAGAGTACAACTGAACAATGATGTTGATAAAGCGGGCTTTGTTATTTGTGAAACAATCCTGTGAGGGAGGCTTATGCCAGATCCATCACTGTTTAACCCGACTTGATAGGTGGAAAGCCATTCATGGATTGAATTGCTTTCAATCCCTGCTATTTCAGAAACTTGCACATGTTAAGATTGGTTGGAAGCTTTTAAACCCTCTAAAATGTCAGACGATTTGGGCAAAGAGTTCTTCCATTCGGTTGCGCTGCTTCAAAAATAAGGACACTCTGCTATCAACTACCACCTGCTATGACTCCTCCCAAGCTGAATGCTCAGGGATGAAAGTGAGGACCCAGCTCCTTTGCTCTGGTTATAAGTGTAAGTTGTGCATCCAAGCACAAATTTGCATAAAGCTGTCTTCAGGGAAAATCGGGATGGAAGTTAATATATTTAAAACATTTACAGAAGTAGTATTCATTTGACTAATAGAAAAAAATGAAAATCTAACAAATGAGGTGAATACACATTTATAGCATAAAAACTGTAAAATCCAATGTGATGTAGTATGGATGATCTAGTTCATAACAGATTATGAAAGGGATTTATTTTAGCAGAGACTAGCGTAATAGAAAAATGGATAATTCATGGTGAAACAATGATTATTTTCAAATGCAAAATGAGAATAAGCTATTGTACATCAAAATTAAGATTTTAAATTTTATTGCATCCTAAACTCATTGGTGACTTTCAGTGCTCTAAAATGCTAGAGGCCCAAGAGCTCCAGTAAAATTTCATGAAAAAAATATTCTGGCAATTATTTGGTAAAAGTCAGTAGAGTGTTGAGTACAGCAAGACTGAAATCCCAAGAATTTATTCAGTATTCCAGTATATAAATATTTGTAAAACAAACAAACAAACAAAAAAAAGGAAAACCAGAGTCACCAAAGTAACTCACTTGCCATGCCCACTGTTGCTTGTGACCAAGCCTGACATGAAGGGACTCTCAGCAACACATTTAGTTTGGGTAGGAGGAGGGGGATCAGACGGAGATGCTTTCTCACAATTGCAGAGGATTCAGACTTAGGGGTTGGCAAGGGCTTTCCTTTGAGCAGTCTCTTCCAGGGTAGATTCTTTTTATTATTATTATTATTATTATTATTATCATTATTATTATTATTATTATTATTATTATTATTATTATTATTATTGAGACGGAGCCTCGCTCTGTTGCCCAGGCTGGAGTGCAGTGGCGCGATCTCGGCTCACTGCAAGCTCCGCCTCCCGGGTTCAGGCCATTCTCCTGCCTCAGCCTCCTGAGTAGCTGGGACTACAGGCGCCTGCCGCCTGGCTAATTTTTAGTATTTTTAGTAGAGATGGGGTTTCGCCGTGTTAGCCAGGATGGTCTTGATCTCCTGACCTCGTGATCCGCCCACCTCGGCCTCCCAAAGTGCTGGGATTACAGGCGTGAGCCACCGCGCCCTGACCAGGGTAGAATCTTGAGTGAAAACCAGATGCAAAGGGACAAAACCAGTGCAGTCATTTATATTTTCCTAAGACTTCTCGTCAGAGGTGCTGCAATTTCAAAGGGTGACACTCTAGAAGATCCTGGTGTGATTTGTCTCACAGGACTACTGTAGAAGGACAGCTTAAAGGAAAAAGAAACTTCTAAGAGAAAAACAAAATAAGGCAACTTGTTAGCAACCGTGAAATGCAGCCAGTAGACGCTTAAGACTGTTTGAAAACCCCTTACTACATGCACCTTCAAGTTTATCCTGTAGTTTTTGTCTTGTTTCATGTTGTCAATTTTTTTTTTTTTTTTTTTTGAGACAGTTTCCCTCTTCTTGCCCAGACTGGAGTGCACACGGCAAGCTCCGCCTCCGGGTTCAAGCAATTCTGCTTCAGGCTCCTGAGTAGCTGGGATTACAGGAATGCACCACCAAGCCCGGCTAATTTTTGTATTTTTAGTAGAGGCGGGGTTTCTCCATGTCGGTCAGGATGGTCTCAAACTCCCGACCTCAGGTGATCTGTCCGTCTCGGCCTCCCAAAGTGTTGGGATTACAGGCGCCAGCCCCTGAGCCCTGCCAGTGAAATTCTTTTAATAAATTGTATCTTCAATTTTGTTTTGACTCTTTACAACTGGAATTTAAAACTTTTATCCAGAATTTACTCTCTCCTAATTAGAAGAGTATCTCCTTTTCCCTTAGCAAACAAAGATATACAAGAAAGTGTTACTTTTTTGTATACCTATGATATACCGGCTTTTCCAGGTCCCTGCAAATGTAATTATGGTTTTTGCCATTTAAAGTAATGGCAAAAACTGCAACAACGTTTGCACTAACCTAATAAGATTGTCCAAAGGTCTTCAGCTCAGCTTTGTGTGTTGGGACAATGAAAGAATATGGTTTTTAGAGGAAAGTCTAACATTTTTCTTTTATTTAAAAAATTTTAAAGCAAAGAGAAAAGAAAGAATAGCCACAGAGTATATACCTAGGTTATTCTGATACTGAAAACTCAGATAAATGTACTCTCATTATACGACAATCTGCCTGATTAATTGATTTTCTCATTCTCAAGATCCTTAACCATGATCTATCAAGGAATCTTTCTCTGAAACTAAGAATGCATCCCCCCCTTCAAAATGAAACTTTAAGTTTGACACTACTTTATTTATTGATTTGTTTTACTCAACATATTCACACAAGTGACAGACCTTATATTTGTCTTTATAAAAACCATACATATAAAACCATATATATATGGTTTTATATATATATGGCCTTTCTCTCTCTCTTACAAACCACATATATATAATATATAATATAGAGAGATTTTATATATATGTATATATGTAGCCTTCCTCTCTCTCTTACAAACACCACCACATTCATCAAGTCATTTGGTAGCTCTCCCTTTGATAGTAACAATGTCTTCTCAACTTATACATATAAACCTGGTCAGGAATATTTCATCACCAGAGCCACTCATTCTTAATGTTGAAGAGGAAAACCTACATTTTTGAGTATCGTTTCCTTGGTCTGCATTCAGTGGTCCTCCCTGGTTCCAGCTTCAGCGCATTCCTGACATTTAGTTATGCCAACAGCCAGTTAAATTGCAATCTTACTATTTGGAATTTGGCATTTAAAACCATTCCTCTGATTATGTATGAAAGCTCCACATTCAATTTGGCTTATGTTTGCTTCATGAGCTCTTTCACCTGATGACTCACCTGTCTGTTAGCTCAGACTCCACACTGAATCATAACCGGCCCCTGAAAATTCACAGGCTTCTTGGCCATCAGAAGATGATATACCAATCTCTGGAGACAAGTCCTCACTGCTTAACTCTGACAATGCTATTTTATTCCCAGAGCTTTGTGACCTTCTTGATTTCTTAAAAACAGTGTTGGAATTCATCCTTAGTATAGCATTAAAACAATTATTCCAGTTTCTTTATCATTTCCTTTCCTTCTCGTAAGCAATGGTTTTGCTCCATGGTTACTATTAATATTTCTACCTTTCAGCCTTCTCTAAAGCATTACAAATTGCTCAAGATGCCTCACCCTACTGATACCTTCAATGTAACATTGTATTCTACCTTTTATCAGGGAGTTTTTTTCTGAAGTGAGGTAAAAAGAATTTTTACTTCCCAGAATTTGCTGTCAGGAAGCTACATTCCCCAAATTACTTTTCATAGCTACTAGACATGATTTGTCCTTATTTTGGTGACATATATGTAATTCCAGAAATTAAGGAATTCCAGGAATTCAAGGAAATATATGTCCTTTGGTATGTAAAAGTCACAGTGAACCATAGATTAATATAGTGTTTTTTGGCCTGCACACCCTGGGCTTGTGTGCATAACCTTATGTACACCATAGGTTGTGAACACAAACAATCAGGAGAAGATATTTGCAATTCCTTCTGCATAGTGCCCTGCAGGGTTAAGACTTTATTGACAATGATGGCACTAAAAGTAACTGACTTAGCCCAAAAGATAGGAACGTTTGCCTCTTATTTCTAAAGGAGGATGCTCTGGGAAGGAAAAGGAAGAAAAAGGTATTCTACTGTTTCCTAATCTGTACTTAGTACCTAAATTATAAAATTTAAGTCACTCTTTAGATTGTTAAATATACTTCACAAAATTTTGCTGTATTCAGACAAATCTATTACATACTAAAGGCAGTAAACTGGAGAATCTCTTTTTCTTATTGCATTTCACTTTTCACATTAGAATTTTAGTAAAAATGCATTTTCCATTTGAAATACTAAGGAATGCAGAGAAGTTAGACTAACTATAGAAATAAACAAGATTTTGGATATGTAGCTAAAGGCAGAAATATAGGAGTACACTTAGAAGTGTGTTTGAAAATTGATAATATGATGATTACTCGAAGATAGAAATTTAATTTCTTATTGAATAATTGTTGGAATTTTTTCAGAGGTTGTCTGATAGCATTCTGAGGAGTTTATAAATACATTTGAAAATATATAACAACCTAAATACACGTTTAGCATCCCTAACCTAAAAATACAAAATCTGAAATTATTCAAAATAGAAAACTTTTTGAGCACCAACATCATGTCAAGAAGTGTAAAATTCCACATCTGATCTCATGTTCACAAACTTTTGTTTCATGCACAAAATTATTTTAAAATATTGCATAAAATTATCTTCAGACTATGTGTATAAGGTATATATGAAACATAAATAAATTTCCTGTTTAGAGTTGAGTTCTATTCCCAAGATTTTTCATTATTATATACATGCAAATATTTTTGGTCCCAAGAGTTCCAGATAAGAGATAATCTGTAATACATAGGATGGGTCTTTTTTCAAAAATCTCATGGTTTACTTTTTCTTTAAACAATAGAAATATGTTATATATGTATGTATGTATCTATCTATCTACCTGGGTCAGGGGCAAGAGAGAGAGAGAATACTTTATTTGTTGACTCAATAGTTCTAATGCCACTTTTTTTTTTCTTTTTTTTTTCTTTTTTTTTTTTTTTTTTGTTGTTGTTGAGACAGGGCCTCACTCTGTCATCTAGGCTGGAGTGCAGTGGCATGAACCCGGCTCGCTGCAACCTCTGCCTTCCAGCTTCAAGCAATTCTAGTGACTCAGCCTCCCGAGTAGCTGGAATTACAGGTGTGCAACACCACACCTGGCTAATTTTTGTATTTTCTGGAGAGAGAGGGTATTGCCATGTTGGCCAGGCTGTTCTCAAACTCCTGACCTCAAGCAATCTGCCTGCCTCGGCCTCCCAAAGTGCTGGGATTACAGGCGTGAGCCACTGCACCTGGCCCCACTTTGTTTTTTATTTTGTATGTATAGAAGATCCATGCTTCATATAACTGTTTTTGTTTTTTGAGACAGAGTCTCATTCTATCGCCCAGGCTGGAGTGCAATGGCATGATCTTGACTCACTGCAACTTCTGCTTTCCAGGTTCAAGCAATTCTTGTGCCTCAGTCTCCTGAGTAGCTGGAATTACAGGTGTGCACCAACACGCACTGCTAATTTTTGTATTTTTTATAGAGACAGGGTTTTGCCATGTTGACCAGGCTGATCTCGAACTCCTGACCTCAGGTGATCTGCCCACGTCAGTCTCCCAAATTGTTGGAATTACAGGCGTTAGCCACCACACCTAGTCCATATAAATGTTTTTCTTCTATATGTTCCCAGTGTTTGTGTGCCTATGTGAAGAGTTTTATCTAGTTTCTCCTGCACAGGAAGATCCATCCTGCATTGTGAGTATAGCATTTTCTTCATTGTCATGCATCCCATTATCTGTGCACATACAGAATGGAGCACCACATCTGCCTCCTGTATGGTGTGATCACTCCAAAAACAAAAAGCCCTTCCACGCAGAGCATGCCCACGTGTTTAACACCCAGTGCAGGGTTGGAGAGTGGAAAGATAGACATGGTGAGGAGCCTGCTCCTTACTCTCAGCCCACATTCCAGAGCTAGGAGTCTGGAGTCAGGACACATTAAGATTGAAAGTTCTTTTATAAATATTAAATGTTCTTTTTTTAAAAAAGAAATTATTAACATATAATTGACATATAAAAAGCTGTACATACCTAATATGTAAAACTTTAAGTGTTTTGATATGAGTGTACACCTATGAAACCATCACCAGAATCAATACCAAAAACATCACTCCAAAAGTTTTCCTCTGCCCTTTTTATTTCTTATTGTTATTTTTTATAAGAACACTTAACACAATATCTTAAAGATTCTGCAAACACCAAACGCTTTGCAAATACAAATGCACATACTAGATGCTCTGCGTAGAGAAAGTAAACTGCAAACACTAAATTCTCTACAAACATGAATGCTCTGCATACACAATGCTCTGCAAACACTAGATGCCCTGAATACAATAGATGAATAAACTAGATGCTATGAATCATGTGAATTCTTCTTTTTAATGAGAATTTCTGGAGGAAATCCTGGAAGGTTAGAGAAATGAATTAAATGTTAGCTTATGGATGACCTAGCACAGAAATTCCTCAGTTCTAACATCTAATCTGAAAAAAAAAAAAACTAGGTTGCTTAATTCTTGTCACTGCTTTTGGTTTAGGAAAATTGGAAGGAGCTCTCCACACTGAGTCCACACAAAGGTACGGAACATAGAGTGATCCTGACACGCTGTGTGGACCAGGTAATTCTAGGAAGTCAGAGAGAGTTGGTACCAATTCAGATGGAGTAAATCCCAAATTATGGCTTTGTTTTGCTCTTGCCTTTGCAGATCATATTTCTTTTAACACCTTAAACTGTCACAAAAAGTTCCACTTGTGCAAGCTCTTTTCAAAAGGCCCGCTGTTGCTCTTCCTACTTCTTCTGTAAGAATGACTGAGCATTGATGTCTGCCAAGTGTTTCCTTCACTGGCCTTCCCCTGGTGCTGGCTCCACAGAATGGATGCAGATAGACATTGGCAAGTGTTTGGTGGAGAAGATCAGCATGAGAAGGTCTGGCTCAGTCTCTTCCTACTGATCTTTCCAGTTGACTTTTGCAGCACTTCCATCCTTTGGTTTGCGAGGCTAAGCAATGGTTTTGTGCTGCTGCAGAGCCTGTTTTTGTGAGATCCAAGAACCACATACCCCAGATAGCCTTGGGAAATTCAGAGAAAGAGAGTTACAAGGTGCTTTGTCCGACACTACCCCAGGCCCAAGGATATGTCTGTTATTAGGAATTGCAATTAGATTTCTTTCTCTTCACTCTGGCGAAGATATTGTGGTAGCTTCATATAATCTATTACTGACTATGGAGATAATTCTTTCCTTGTCTGCCTAAACTAACCTTAGACCAAGAATTATCTTAGTCTATACATACATATATAAACATATATATACATGTACATAAATGCATATACACATATATGTGTAATATATTTATTGACTTTTCACATGCTCAAGTTTAAAACTTTTTAAAAAATAAATATGAAGATAATTTATGGTAATTACCATGAACATCTGCATGTTCTGGTGCAAAAAATAATCAAATGTGGTAACTTTATTCTTTGCTAAAGCATGTCACTTTCTATACCGCGGCTTGGTGTCTGACAAATGGAGTCTCCAGCCCCATGAACAATTATCTCATCTGCTGGGAAACCACAGGAATGATATGAACAGAATTGATCTTCTTGCCCTTTAGTTTCTATGAGCTTTTCAGTACCAAGAAAGGTGAAAGCATGCTGCATCATATATTTTCATTGCTTATTGGCATTAATAATTGCATCCATAAAATTTTAATATAAAGAAAATTATATTAAGAGTATAGCATATCTCAAATGCAGACATGCATATGTTTTATTTTGATTAGAAATGAAACTGCTTAAGCTCTTCTTCAAAATGGTAACATATTTGTTGTTTAATTGATGTTTGTATTAATTGACTTAAAGCTTATGAAATAAATGCAAGAACAGTTTTCTCATCCAGGAGAACTTTACATTTTCTCCAATAAGAATGCTCTAGTTCAGGTTTTAGGGTATTTTTCCCCAACTCCCTTTGTGGAAGTTTACTTTACAGCAGTGTTGTTGCTGCAGAGTCAATCTATTTACTTATAGCAGAAACAAGAAGAGAAGTGTACTTTCTCACATAGCTTTTCTTACTTATTCCAGCTTCTGTCTTGTGGACTTGGGTCCATTGAGAATGTAAACAGGTTGAATAATGCGCTGAATTTCTTTGGATTGCTTAGAAAAAATGTATCATCTCAATTAAATGCCTAAGATTATTATTTAAAAAGAAAAGTCATATACATTTGGTAACATGATAGATATGTGTATTCTAGTGGCACTTTACAAATCTTCAGCCACAAAGCATGTTTGCTTTGAAGGGGACCTTTTATCTAGAAACTAGCCAAAAGTCTAGATCATTTATTACTTTGGAGTCATGTATTTGATATTTTGTTTGCCAATATCAAGTTGTACAACAAATCAGGTGCTGTTTCTGCATCATAGTCTCCTCATCTGCAAAAGGGGTGATGGTCCCTCCCTCCCAAAGGCACTGTGAGTTTCAAAGTCAGTGACGTGTGTGAGGTTCTGGCAGAAGGTCTCACATTCAGAGCAGTTTGGTGTGAGTTTCCCTTCCTTTTCTCATTACTTCAGTTTTTATTAAAACACTTAACTCACTTAAACCCTTAGGTTCTCATATAAAACGATCAGGTCTGCTCAACTAACAATGACAGGAACACTAAAATTGTCAACAACTAGGAAACAAATTGAAGATAAACTCATATAGAACATAAATTGTTATATTATTGCAAAAATATTGCAAATTATTGAAAATACAATACATGAAAGGAAGAAAAATTTTGGACATTTATGCTGGGTAATTGAATTTTTTCTCTATATGCTGTTAAGCTGAGTCTCTTTCAAAAGTTTAGCAGACATATTAAACCATAGAGGTGAATGCTGGGTCAGATATATCAAAGCATTCTAAACACATAAACAGTGTTGGTATCTCAAAAACGAAATCCTCTATTGCAATCTCACATAAAAGGCAAAATAGTTTGTCAAAAGCTATGTTCAAAGATATCAACATGGAACATAGAATAAATATGAATCTTCTTGATCAGAACGAATAACCACATATGACTCCTAATGATCAAACTGAAAGACTTTAAAACCAACACCTGCTGGCAAAGGGACTCTGTGAAGATTCCAAAGTGATACAATGAACTATGTATTGTTTAGTGTCAAATAATGTCACTGAGGATACAAGATGGTAGTTTTCCTACTGTTAACATAAACCCTAACGTGCTTCTAGAAATCTGTTTTACTCTAACTCGATATGATCCGCAGCTAATGTGATAAAGTGAGTCATCCAAACCAAAAGCTGAAAAAAGTCAGTCATTTATTGAGAAAGACAGTTGACCCTCAGTGGCTTCACAGTGAATGTGTAACTGAGCATCTAATGAAATGACGGGATTCTGGGGGTAGCCCCAAATATTCAAATGTACCTGGGAGAGAAGACTCACTCCAATCCTTGTCCTTCCAAAGCCACTGTGTACAGTCATGCAGATTGTAAATTGAATAATTCCAAGGGGTGTTAAAATGTCCTATAGATGTGAGTAGCACCCCTGAAGACGGGCAGTGTACCCTGGGCACCACTCCAGCCCTGACTCAACTGCATTCAAACTTAATGAGTTCTTCAAAACCTCAAAGACATATAGGGTCCCACCTTCCATTTTGAACTGTGTCCTGCATCATGGGAGTGGGAATTGTGAGTGGTAACCCTACCTCTTAGCTTGAGTCCCCCTTAAGGAGAGCCTGAGACAAGGGCTTTGATCACATAGTTTATTAGGGAAATGACTGTGCTGCACAGGTGGGAGGAATGAAGAGAGTGAGGCAGAGAAGATGGCAAAGCCCACAGCAAGGTTCATTATGTGGGTAGCAGAGTTTGATTCCCCCAGGACTGCTGAGACAGATGCCAGTGCCTCCTGCAAGTGTCCATTTTCTACAGAATCCCTGTTGGCTGACATTTTTCCTGGGGAAGGGAGTGAGGCTTCAGAGAAGTCTGCAGAAGAAAACAAAAAAAGGCATATGCTTGAGATGAACGCTGCAGCCTGAGTGTAAGCCTACAACGATTGTCTTCCAGAGTGGCAGCTGAAATTCCAGGTGACTGGAATGTGCCAAGCTTTCTGTCAAGCATTTTTATTTGGTACAGCTACTGTCCAACCTGCAAATCAGTTCTGGCCAGTGAACCACGAGGGGCTCCTGTGAAAAGTGTTCTTGTTTCTAAGAGAAGGTTTCTTTCTTCCTCTGGGATGTGTTGCAGTGTAACATTGGAGCTGCTGCCTACTTACTGCCAGCCAAGGCAGGGATGCTGGCTCCAGAAGAATGGGAACAGAAGCTGAGCAGAGAGGCAAAGCTGGGTCCTTCTGCCAGGAGCCTCTTTTCCTTAGGACTGGCTGATATGCTAGATCAAAAGTTCACTACAATTTATGCTACTTTGAGCCAAAATCATCCTAGTTGCTATGCCTACTCCCTCCCACTTGTCACCCTCCTCTTTAGCATCACTTCTGTTCCAGATGCTCAGCCTAGAGGAGAGGGTAGGGGACCACCCCAGCTTTCTCCCTTCTTCCCCCTATTATAAAGTTAATATTTTGAGGAAATTCAGTCAATTAATATCTAAGTTTGAAAGAAATGTTCTTCCTTAATGAAAGCTTATACATGATAGCTGGTGGAGATGATCTAAAGATGTTTACGTGATAGGTTTCCACTAATGCAACAAATCATGTAGATTTTCATCCAACAGGTCACAGTACAAACTCTTTAATTGTATAGTTGTTTTAAAATGCATTTACTTATATTTCCAACTATTTCTCTGCAAGAAAACTATCCATGATTATCCTAGGTGAAACAAGAAATTACATCTTTATAAAAATGGAAATTCAAAATATGCTTTCAGTATTTTGAAGTATCTCAGTGTGAAGTTTCCAAATATGAAGAAAAGTGGTTGAGTGAAAATGCCAAATTTTGTAAAAAGAACCCTGAGAGTCTTGAGAAAGAAAATATCAATACACATAATCATCTGGTACAGCAAATAGCCACAAAACTATACATTTTCTGAAATTCAGCATCAGAAGTTCTGCAATCAAGTGTAGAAATGATGCATGACACAGATGGGGAGAAGAGAAAAATGATGAATTATGGGAATTAATCCATCATAAGTCTGCCTCTAGGAAATATAAATGATCACATGCAGTATCTAGGAATTACAATTGCAAGTTGAGAGCTGGAGAATTTTCAAAAATATTTATTTATTGATAGGGTCTATGGGATAACTTTCATTGACTTAAAATATATTTTCTATTTTTATATGTGCCTATAATAGTTCAAATATATGAATTGCAAAATTAAGTTACTTTCAAATATAACAGAGGCTTCCTTTTGTAAAAGTGAAGTATGTGTGTATTTAATAAATTTTAGGATAAAACAGTCCCTGATGAGAACAACCAAAATTCCCAAATTTTACTTAAGGAAACAACACAAATAGTCCTCTCAGTCATACGTGTTTCAGCTAAATGGCTATGAGCTTTAAATTTTGTTTTATAGGTTCATGTGAAATCAAGCAACACACCTAACAAACAGTCCCTGTTTTTAAAGATGCCAGATTGTTAACCATTATATAATGAGTAATTAAATTCACCATCGAAAATTAAAACCTTGATTTAAGTTAAGCAACTCAGAGAATCCTCTTTTCCAAATGTACCTACCAAATGCACCTAAAGTGAACTTCAGTACTTCCCTGTGGCCCTTCTGACAGTTCTGGGTTAATTTTGGATCACTTGGGGAATAATTGATGAGTCATTTTATTCATTTAATGTCCCCTCCAACTTGAGCACTTATTTTTGGACAAGTTTTGAAGTTCAAAATGTTCACTTATGATTGAATCAGATACTTGTCACTGTGATTCAAAGAGCAAGTTCTCCTGGAGAGGTGTTGCTAGTTTATACTTCAAAAATATATTCATTGATTTATTTTTCCAATATTCCTTTTCTCAGCTTACTTTTGTTTTCATTTAATTTTCCCTTTCTATCTTTTTTAAGTAGGAAGACTTAAGGGAAAGAAAAGTGAAGAAAGGGCTTCACTTGAGACCTTTCTTTTTTTCTAATATAAGCACATTATCTCAATCTGTTTGTGCTGCTGTAGCAAAATACCTGAGCCCGGATAATTTATAAATACATAGAAATGCATTTCTCACAATTCTGGAAGCTGGAAAGTCCAAGATCAAGGCACCAGAAAGTTGGGTATCTGGTGAGGGCTGCTGTTTGCTTTCAAGATGGCGCCTTGTTGGTGTGTCCTTACCTGACAGAAGAGATGAAAGGGCCTAAGCACCTACCTAGCATCCTCTAGCTCTCTTCTAAGGGCATTTATCTCATTCATCGGGGTGGAGTTTTTATAGCCTAGTCACCTCTCAGAGGCCCCACCTTCTAATACCATCACCTTGGTAATAGATTGCAACATAAGAATTTTTGAGGGACATATACATTCAAACTATACCACACTAAAAACATTGCTTTAACTATATTACACAAATTTTAATATGTTGTGATTTTTTTGATTAGCATACTATTTAATTTTCAAACACTTTGTTTTTTTTTCAGATTTCCTTTTGTCACTGATTATTATTTAATAGTTTAATTAAAGAAAAACAAAATTTTAATTAATATAATTTATTTGTAATTAATTGGATCAGAGATACAACTTGGTATAATTTTTATTCTCTTAAAATTATTTATACCTGTTTTATTGCTCAGAATTTGTTCCACAGCATGTGAAAGAATTCATGTTATACTGCTGTGGGGTAGAATATTCTGTATATATCATTAAGATCAAGTTTGTTGATAATATTGTTCATGTTCTTCATATTCATACTCATTTTCTGTCTACTTGTTCTATCAATTATTGACAAAGAATGTTGAACTCTACAACTATAATTATAGATTTGTTTACTTATCTTTTCAGTCCTATTTGTTTTTGCTTCCTGTACTTCAAAGCTCTGTTATGAGGTGCATACACATAATTGCTATATCCTCATATTGAATTGACACCTCTAGCTTAAATAATGTTTCTTTTCATTCTTAATAATGGAATTCTTGTTCTAAAAAGTACATTGACTTTGATATAGCTAATCTGATATTAATATAGTCATCTCTTTTTGATTAGTGTTTTCATGGTATATATTTGTCATCTATTTATTTATAACCTATTTGTGTTTTTACACTTAAAGTGAGCCTCTCGTAGAAAGTTTATAGTCATGCCTAAGTTTTCATTTAATATGAAAATCTCTGCCTTTTATTTAAAGTGTTCAACCATTAACATTTACTGTAATTCTTGATAATTAGGTTTAAATCTACCTTGCTGATATTTGTGTTCTAATTTGATTATTTTTTCCTATTGTCCCGGCACTGGATTCTTTTGCAATGCTCACATTATTATATAGTTTCACTTTATCAGTATTATTGGTATTTGAGCTAACTCTTTTTATTTGTTAATGATTGTGTCAGACTTTATAATAATGTATTTTTAACTTATTACAATCTACCTTCAAAGAACACTATACTATATAGTTTAGGGATTCTTACAGCAGAATATTTAAATAACTCCCCTGACATTCTTTGTGCCATTTTGCCATATATTTTATTTATACATATGCTCTAAATTTTACTAAAAATTGTTAATATTTTTGCTTTCCACAGTCAATTATACTTAAATTATACTGAAGAGATTAAAGTGCTATTTAAAAATGAGAAAAAAAAAGTCCTTCACACTTATGCCTGTATTTACCATTTCCAATGTTTTATGTTCCTTTGCATAGATCCAAATTTCTATCTTATGCCATTTTCTTCTTATTACAAAGCTTTATTTAATATTTCTTGTAGTGAAATTATTCTAGTGATAAATTATCTTGATGTATTTGTCTAAAAGTCAGTTTTTTCCTTCAATTTTGAAATTATTTGTAAATAATTCTAAATTGACAGTATTTCTTTCAGCTCTTTATGCATGAATGATTGCTGTTTTCTAGTTTGCATATTGTATGACAAGAATGTCTTCTGTATTCTTATTTTTATATGAATGTGTGTGTTTTCTTTGGCTGCTTCTAAGATTTTTTAAAAAAATATTTGGTTTTCAGCAGTTTTGTAATGGTGTGCTTTGGTGTGGTTTTCCATCATTTTCTTTTCCTTCTGCATTTGTTGAGCTTCTTGGATGTTTAAACTAATGATTTTCATCAAATTTATAAAAGTTTTAGCTATTAATTTCTTCAAATTTATTTTTAGCCTCCCCTCTTCTCTCTAGCTTGGATTGCTAGATGTTATCTTGCAGCTCATTGGCACTCTGTTCTCTTTTTTCTTAACCTACTTTTTTTTCTACAATCATCCTTGTGAATGTCTCCATAGCAATGTCTTTAAATTCACAGTTCGGTTTTTCTGTAATATCTAATCTTGTGTTAAGTCTATCCAGCACTTTTTAAAATTTCAGATATTGTATTTTTTATCTCTAAAGTTCCTTGTGACACTTTTGTATATTTTCCAGTTTTCTGTTTATTGTCCTATTTGTCACCCAGGCTGGAGGACAATGGCATGATCTCGGCCCACTGCAGCCTCAGACTTCTGGGTTCAAGCAATCCTCCCACATCAGCCTCCCAAGTAGCTGGGACAACAGGTGCATGCCACCATGCCCAACTACTTTTTTTGTATTTTTTGTAGAGACGGGGTTTTCCCATGTTGCCCAGGCTGGTCTCAAACTCCTGAGCCCGAATGATCTGCCCACCTCAGCCTCCCACAGTGCTAGGATTACAAGCATGAGTCATGGAGCCCAGCCTCTGTTTTCTTAAATATGGAAAGAACACTTGACAGCTCTGACAGTAGGTTCTATCTTATCCATAGATTCTGTTTGTTTTCCCTATTAATTGGTATTTTTCTGGTTATTGGTCACATTATATTCTTCTTTGCATACAAGGAAAATGATATCAGATGCATGCCATTTGAGCTTTACCCTTGTTGCGTGCTAGATGTTTTTGTGTTCTACTAAATATTATTGAGCTTGTTCTGGAACAAAATTATTTGTCCCATGTTTGAGTGGCAAAATCATTTGCTGGGGCTTCTTCTCCTGGCTGATCCATGGAGCAACTGGCTCCTGGGCTACCGGCATTTCATGAGGTTACTCATACACCTGTTTAAAAAACAAATTCTATTACACACTGTAAACTTAGAGTCAGTTTCATCTTTTTGAAGCTTGGTTTTAAGTTTTTTAAAGACAGCCTGAGAGCAGCCTTTATAGCAGGCTAATTTATTCTTACCTCTAAGGCAATACCCATCTAGTATTCTAAGTATTGCATTTAATGCCGTAAATTTCATAAGGTCTTTCCACTCTAGCTGGTGGGAACACAAATTATTCCACCCCTGTGTGAATTCCTGGAGTTGTTCTGGCTATTCCTTTCCAGTTGTTTCTTCCCCACCCTTGGTTATGTTCCTATCTTGCATGCGTAACAAGCAGTCAGCTAAAAATTTGAAGAGACTTCTCTGGAGCTCTCTGAGGCTTTCTCATTTTGAAACTTCCTTCTGTTTGGCAGTGTGCAAGATAGATGCCTTGACCTCTCAAACTCTTATCTCTGTGTATTTATCTCAGTTAGATAGCTGGGTTCAGTTTGGGTTCCTCCCTGCTTCTCTGTGGGCTGGAAGACGCCTTGAAGTACTAATCAGGTGCAAATGTAGCGCTCACCCGGATTGTGTTCCACTTCTCATGTATCATAGTCCTGTGCTGTTTATTGTACAATGTTGAAAATCGTTATTTCATGTGTCTTATCCAGTATTGTAGTTGCTTAAGGTAGGAAGACATATTAGTTTGCTAGGATTGCCAGAATAAAATTCCACAGACTGAGTGGCTTAGACAACAGATATTTATTTCTTACAGTTCTGGAAGCTGGGAAGTCTTAAATCAAAGAAGCAGCAGATTCAGTGTCTGGTGAGGATCTGCTCTCTGGTTCATAGATGGCATCTTCTCATTGCATCCTCACATGGTGGAAGGTACAAGCAAGGTTTCTCCATTCCCTTTAGTAAGGGCACTAATTGCATTCATGAGGGTCCCATTCTTATAACCATAACTACCTTCCAAAGCCACCTCCAATACCATCACATTAAGGGTTAGGATTTCAACGTATGCATCCTGGGAGACACACAGACATTCGGCCTATAATATCTCCAAATGTTTTCTTTTTGATATGGAAAACAAGATTGTGGCAAGTTAGGTAAATATATATTTAATAGAAACTATTAAATTTCTAAAGGAAATGGTAGAGCATTTGGTGAAAAACTAGACAATCCAATCATCACTGAAAAACATTGGAAAATGCTATGCTGCTCTAAGGGCTGTATCTCTTACAGCCATAAAGGAAACAGAAAACCTCATTAGAGGTTTGTGTTCTATGGTTTTTAAAATGTCTGCAAGAGATCAACCACAGACTTTCAGTTTTTAGTTCTTCTTTGGGCAACAGATTAACTGTTTTAATGAGATAAGACTGAAACAATTGATCTGCTGCCTAAAGAGGAACTAAAAACTGAAAGTCTGTGGTCCAAATCTCAGCAGGACTAGATGCCATCGTTGCTTATAGAAGAGGCTTGTGCCAAAGAAGAATCCTCTACCTGTGTCACCAGGTAGTTCTCAGGAACATTTAAGATCAATAAAGTGGTTCAGATAATGAAAAATTAATAAAAATAATGAATTTGTAAAACAACTTCATATCTATAACCAAGAACTCTACAGAGAGCCACAGTTGGGATTTCTTCTCCTGGCTGATCCCTGGAGGAGGTGGCTCCTGCGTCATGGGCATTTCATGTGGTTACTAATGCTCCTTTTGTCTGTTCAAAATTTCTTTCACACACTGTATACCACCCAGAGTCTTAAATCCTTCTATGTAGCTGCTCACACGACAAATGGTCAAGATCATGACTTAAAATCAAAATTCTGAACAAATGCAAGAGTCTCTCTTAAGACCCAATCATGATATATTAACATTTGGCAACATCACTACCATTGATGCTGTGAAAACCTGGAAAGAACATTTTAGGGGGTGAGGTTGAAGAGTCGCATTCATGAGTTGCTAGATGTTATCTTGCAGCTCATTGGCACTCTGTTCTCTTTTTTCTTACCCTACTATTTTTTACACCTGCTTAGTACTTCAAGGTGCCTTCCATCCCATGGAGAAGCAGGGAGGAACCCAAACTGAACCCAGCTATCTAACTGAGATAAATACACAGAGATAAGAGTTTGAGAGGTCAAGGCATCTATCTTGCACACTGCCAAACAGAAGTAAGTGATTTATATTTTATGGAGTGATTCTGTATTTTTATCTTTCCTACATTTTTTAAGTGCCCCATTCTCCCCTTTCTGGAAAATTCCAGTTTACCTCAGTAAAAGCTAATTTACGTAACTAAATGCAATTTTCTCAAGAAAATGTTAAGTCACCTTTTGTACTTTTGTGCTTGGTCATGCCAGCAGGTATATTGTTTTGCTGGCAGATCACATTTCAGGATAGTTTATTTCCTAAAACCTTACAAAACTCTTCTCCTGTTTAATCACTGCAAAGTTTGTTTGGAGACTGTGTCTCCTGGTGTGCATCAGTCAGTAAAAGGATCTTTTTATTCATTCAGATCTTGATTACCTAAACAGAGATGATACTTTTTTCAACTTTTATTTTAGGCTCAGGGAGTATATGCAAGTTTGTTACATGGGTAAGTTGCATGTCACTGGGGTTGGTGTATAAATGATTTCATCAGCCACATAGTGAGCATAGTACCCAATAGGTACTTTTTCAACCGTTACTCTTCTCCCACCATCCTCCTCAAGTGGTCCACAGTGTCTATTCCTTCCATCATTGTATCCACGTGTACTCAATGTTTAGCTCCCACCTATAAGTGAGAACATGTGGCATTTTGTTTTCTGTTCCTGCGTTAACTTGCTTAGGATAATGCCCTCCAGCTGCATCCATGTTGCAGCAAAGGACATAATTTGAGGTTTTTTTTTTAATGGCTGCATAGTATATCATGGTAGACATGTGCTACATTCTCTTTGTCTAAACCACCATTGATGAGCATCAAGGTTGATTCTATGTCTTTTCTACTGTGAAGAGTGTTGTGATGAACATACACATGCATGTGTCTTTTTGGTGGAATATGTTTTCCTTTGGATATACACTCATTAATGGGATGATGGGTTGAATGGTAACTCTGCTTTAAGTTCTTTGAGGGAACTCCAGACTGCTTTCCATGGTGGCTGAACTAATTTACACTCCTATCAGCAGTATATAAAAATTCATTTCTTTCTGTAACCCTGACAACATCTGTTATGTTTTGACTTTTTATTAATAGCCATTCTGACTGGAGTGAGGTTGCATCTAGTTAGGGTTTTGATTTGCATTTCTCTTACAATCAGTGATGTTGAACGTTTTCTTCACATACTTGTTGGCTGCATTTGGGTATTCTTTTGAAAAGTGTCTATTCATGTTTTTGCCCACTTTTTTTACAGGGTTGTTTGGGTTTTCTTGTTAATTTGTTTAAGTTCCTTATAGATGCTGGTTATTAGATCTTTATCAAATACATGGGTTGCAAATATTTTCTCTCATTTTATAGGCTGCCTGTTTACTCTGTCGAGAGTTTCCTTTGCTGTGCAGTAGCTGTTTAGTTTAATTAGATCCCATTTGCCAGTTTTTGTTTTTGTTGAAACTGCTTTTGGCGTCTTTGTCATGAAATCTTTGCTGGGTCCTATGTCCAGAACAGTATTTCCTAGGTTGTCTTCCAGGGTTCTTATGGTTGTAGGTTTTACATTTAAGTCTTTAATCCATCTTGAGTTGATTTTTGTATATGGTATAAGGAAGGGGTCCACTTTCAGCCTTCTGCATATAGCTAGCCAGTTATCACAGCACCATTTATTGAATAAGGAATCTTTTTCTCACTGCTTGTTCCTGTCAATTTTGTCAAAGATCAGATGGTTGTGCATGTGCAGCATTATTTCTGGGCTATTTTGTTCCACAGGTCTATGTGTCTGCTTTTATACCAGTACCATGCTGTTTTGGTTACTGTAGCCTGGTAGTATACTTTTAAGTCAGGTAATGTGATGCCTCCGGATTTTTTTCTTTTCGCTTCAGATTGCCCTGGTTATTTGGGCTCTTTTTTGGTTTCAAATAAATTTTAGCATTTTTTTTTCTAATTCTGTGAAAAATGTCATTGGTACTTTGATGGAAATAGCATGGAGTCTATAAATTGCTCTGAGCAGAATGACCATTTTAACAATATTAATTCTTCCTGTCCATGAATATGAAATGTTTTTCCATTTGCTTGTGTAATCTCTGATTTCTTTGAGCAGGTGTTGTAATTCTCATTGTAGAGGTCTTTCTCCTCATTGGTTAGCTGTATTTCTAGGTATTTTATTCTTTTCATGGCTATTGTGAATGAGACTGCAGTCTTGATTTGGTAGTCATCATTGATGTTGTTGTTGTATAGAAATGCTACTGATTTTTTTTTAACATTGATTTTGTATCCTGAAACTCTGCTGAAGTTGTTTATTAGATCAAGGAGCATCTGTCCAGAGACTATGGGGTTTTCTAGGTATAGAATCATATTATTTGCAAACAGGGACAGTTTTATGTCCTCTCTTTCTATTTGGATGCTTTTTATTTGCTTCTTTGGTCCGATTGCTCTGGCTAGGACTTCCAGTACTATGTCGAGCTGGAGTGGCACGAGAGGGCCTCTGGCTGCTCTCTCTTTCTCTTGCCTGTTTTCTCCTTGCTTGTTTCCAGTTTTCAAGGGGAATGCTTTCAGTTTGTGCCCATTCAGTATGATGTTGGTTGTGTGTTTTCCATAGAGGGCATGTATATATTTTGAGGTATGTTTCTCTTTTTTTTTTTTTTTTGAGATGGAGTCTTGCTCTGTTGCCCAGGCTGGAGTGCAATGGCGCGATCTCAGCTCACTGCAAGCTCCACCTCCCAGGTTCACTCCATTCTCCTGCCTCAGCCTCCTGAGTAGCTGGGACTACAGGGGCCAGCCACCATGCTCAGCTGATTTTTGGTATTTTTAGTAGAGACGGGGTTTCACTGTGTTAGCCAGGATGGTCTCGATCTGCTGACCTCATGATCCACCCGCCTCAGCCTCCCAAAGTGCTGGGATTACAGGCAAGAGCCACTGCGCCTGGCCAAGGTATGTTTTTCAAATGCTTAGTTTGTGGAGGATTTTTAACAGGAAGGGATGCTGATTTTTATTGAAAGCCTTTTCTGCATCTATTGAGATGATCATGTGTTTTTTGTTTTTAGTTCTGTTTATCTGGTGAATTACATTTATTGCTTTGCATATGTTGAACCAAACTTGCATCCCAGGGATTAATCCTACTTGATCTGGGGGATTAGCTTTTTGATGTGCTGCTAGATTCAGTTTGCTAGCATTTTATTGAGGATGGAGTTTGCTAGTATTTTATTGAGGATTTTTGCATCTATGTTCATCAAGGATATTAGCCTGAAGTTTTCTTTTGTTGTTATGTCACAATTAGGTTTTGATATAATAATGATGCTGTACTCATAGAATGGGTTAGGGAGAAGTCCCTCTACCTTAATTTTTTGCAGTCATTTCAGTAGGATTGGTACCAGCTATTGTTTGTATGTCTGGTAGAATTTGACTGTGAATCCACGTGGGTCCAGGGCTTTTTCCGTTTAGCAGGTGATATGGTTTGGCTCTGTGTCCCCACCCAAATCTCATCTCAAAGTGTAATCACTAAGTTTTGGGGGAGGGGCCTTGTGGGAAGTAATTCAATTATGGGGACGGACTTCTCCCTTTTGTTTCTCATGATAGTGAGTGAGTCCACGTGAGATCTGATAGTTTAAAAGTGCATGGCACTTCTCCCCTTTGCTCTTTCTTTCTCTCCTGCCACCATTATAAGATGTGCCTTCCTTTTCCTTTGCTTTCTGCCATGATTGTAAGTTTCCTGTGGCCTTCCAGCCATGCACAACTGTAAGTCAACTATACCTCTTTTCTTTGTAATTACCCAGTCTCAGATAGTTCTTTATAGCAGTGTGAAAGTGGACTAATGCAAAAAATTGGTATTTGGAATGGGGCACTGCAATAAAGATACCTGAAAATATGGGAGCAATTTTGGTACTGGGTTATAGGCAGAGGTTGGAGGAGTTTGGAGAGCTCAGAAGAAGAGAGGAAGATGTAGAAAAATTTGAAACATCCTAGAGATTTGTTGCATAATTTTGACCACAATGCTGATAGTGATATGGACAATGAAGTCCTGGCTGTGGTGGTTTCAGATGGAGATAAGGAACTTTTTGGGAACTGGAGTGAAGGTCACACTTGGTATGCTTTAATTAAGAGACTTCTGACATTTTGCCTGTGCCGTAGAGATCTGTGGAACTTTGAACTAGAGAGAGATGATTTGGGGAATCTGGCAGAAGAAATTTCTAAGCAGCAAAGCACTCACATGAAGTGACCTGGTTGTTTTTAAATACAAGTCTATGCTCACATGCATTCATAAACAGATTGGAACTTATGTATAAAATGGAAGCAGAGCATTAAAGTTTGGAACTTCTGCCCTGACCATGCGGTAGAAAAGAAAAACCCATTTTCTGGGGAGAAATTCAAGCCTCTGGTTGCAGAAATTTGCATAAGTAAAGATGAGTTGAATATTAATAGCCAAGACAAAGGGGAAAATGCCTCTGGGGCATTTCGGAGATCTACACTGCAGCCCCTCCTATCACAGGCCTGGAGGCCTTGGAAGAAAAATGGTTTCATGGGCCAGGCCTAGGACCCCGTTGCTCTGTGAAGCCTTGGGAAATGGCACCGTGGGTCCCAGCCACTCCAGCTCCAGCCATGCCAAAAAGGGGCCAAGGTACAGTTCAAGCCATGACCTCAGAGGGTGCAAGCCACAACCCTTGGTGGCTTCCATGAGTCAGGCCTGCCAGTGCACAGAAGGCAAGACTTGAGGTTTGTAAACCTCCACCTAGATTTCACAGGATGTATGGAAACCTCGGGATGTCCAAGCAGAAATATGTTGGAAGGGTGGAGACTTTATGGAGAATCTCTACTAGGGCAGTGCAGAAGGGAACTGTGGGGTTGGAGTCCCCACAAAGAGTCCTCATTGGGACACTATGACATGGACCTGTGAGGATAGGGCTACTATCCTCCAGTACCCAGAATAGTAGATCCACTGACAGCTTGCACTGTACACCTGGAAAAGCCACAGGCACTCAATGCCAGCCTGTAAAATCAGCCATGGGGGCTGCACCCTGAAGAGCCAAGGGCATAGCTGCCAAAGGCCTTGGGAGCCCATCCCAGCATAACATGGGTATAAGACATGGAATCAACAAAGATTATTTTGGAGCTTTAAGATTTAATGACTGCCCTGCTGGGTTTCAGAATTGCGTGGGACCTGTGGCCCCTTTGTTTAGGCCAATTTCTTCCATTTGGAATGGGAACATTCACCCAATGCCTGTACTCCCTTTGTACGTTTAAAGAAACTAACTTGCTTTTCTATTTTACAGCCTCATAGGTGTAAGGGACTTGCCTTGTCTCTGATAACACTTTAGACCTGGACTTTTGAGTTAATGCTGGAATGAGTTAAGACTTTGGGGGGACTGCTGGAAAGGTATGATTGGTTTTAAAATGTGAGAACATGTGATTTGGGAGGGGCCAGAAGTAGAATGATATGGTTTGGCTTCGTGTCCCCAACCAAATTTCATCTCGGATTGTAATCCCCACACCACATGCTGTGGGTGGGGGCCTGGTGGGAGGTGACTTAATCATGGGGGCAGACTTCCCTCTTGCTTTTCTCATGATAATGAATGAGTTCTCAAAAGATCTCATGGTTAATTTGTGTGTGGGACTTCCCCGTTTGCTCTCTCTCCTACTGCCATGCAAGATGTGCTTTCTTCCCCTTCACCTTCTGCCTTGATGAGAAGTTTCCTGAGGCCTCCCCAGCCATGTAAAACTGAGTCAATTTAACGTCAGTTCTTTATAAATTGCCCAATCTCAGGTAGTGCTTTATAGCAGTGTAAAAATGAACTAATACAGGTTTTTTTAATCTGATTCATTTTTAGAACTTATTAGTCTGTTCTGAATTTCAATTTTTTTCTGGTTAATTCTTGGGTGGTGGTATGTTTCCAGTAGTTTATCCATTTCTTTTAGATGTTCTAGTTTTTGTTAACAGGGGTATTCATAATAGTCTCTGAGGGTTTTTTTTCCCCCCTGTGGCTTCAGTGGTAATGTCCTCTTTGTCATTTCTCATTGTATTTATTTGGACCTTATTTTTTTATTAATCTAGCTAGTAGTCTATTGATCTTGCTTATTCTTATGAAGAATAAACTTTTGGTTTTATTGATCTTCTGTATGGATTTTCACATCTCAATTTTGTTACATTCAGCTCTGATTTTGTTTATTTCTTCTGTTAATTTTGGGGTTGGCTTCCTCTTGTTTTTCTAGTTCCTCCAGGTATAATGTTAGATAATTAATTTAGGATCTTTCTAACTTCTTGATGTAGGCATTTAGCAGTATAAACTTTCCTCTTAACTTTGTCTTTGCTGTGTCCCAGTGATTCTGGTATATTACATTTTTGTTTTCATCAGATTCAAAGTTTTTTTTAAATTTATGTTTTAATTTCATTCTTTGCCTCAAAGTCATTCAAGATTGGGTTGTTTAATTCCTATATACTTATATGGTTTTGAGAAAGCTGCTCGGTATTAATTTCTATTATTATCGTGCCATAGTCTGAGAGTGTAGTTGGTATGATTGCACTTCTTTGAATTTTTTGAGAATTGCTTTATGGATGTATGTGTGGTCAGTCTTAGAGTATGTGTCATGTGCTGATGAGAAAACTGTATACCCTGTTGTTGTTGGGTGGAGTATTAGATAGATTTCTGTTTGGTCCGTTTGGTCAAGTGTCAAGTTTAGGTCCTGAATATTTTTGTTAGTTTTCTGCCTCAACAATCTGTCTAACATTGTCAGTGGGTATTGAAATCTCCCACTATTATTTAGTAGTTATCTAAGTCTCTTCAGAGATATCTAAGAACTTGTTCTATGAATCTGGATGCTCCAATGTTGAGTGCATATACATTTAGAATAGGTAGGTCTTCTTGTTGAAATAAATCCTTTATCATTAAATAATGCCCTTCTTTGTCCTTTTTGATTATTGTTGGTTTAAAATCTATTTTGCCTGAAATAAGAATAGCAGTTCCTGCTCTTTTTGGTTCTCCATTTGCTTGATAGATCTTTCTCTATCCTTTTACTTAGAGTTTATTGGTGTCACTGCATATCATATGGGTCTCTTGAAGACAGCACACAGGTGGATTGTTCTTTTCTATCCAACTTGCCACTCTGGGCCTTTTAAATAGTGCATTTAGCTGATTTACATTCAAGGTCAATATTGAAATGTAAGGATTTGATCTAGTCACTGTGTTGTTAACTGTCTGTTATGTAGACTTGATTGTAGAGTTGCTTCGTAGTGTCAGCAGACTATGTACTGAAGTGTGTTTTTGTGGTGGCCAGTATCCGTCTTTCATTCCCATGTTTAGCACTCCCTTAGGAACCTCTTGTAAGGCAGTTCTGGTGGTAAAAACTTCTGTAACATTCGTTTATCTAAAAAAAAAAATCTTTCTTTTGCTTATGAAGCTCAGTTTGTCTTGTTATAAAATTCTTGGTTGGAATTTCTTTTCTTTAAGGAGGCTGGATATAGGCTTCTAATCTCATCTGGCTAATAAGGGTTCTGCTGAAAATACGTTGTTAGCCTGATAGCATTCCCTTTTTATGTGGCCTGCCCCTTCTCTCTAGGTGCCTTTATAATTATTTTTTCTTTTGCATTGACCTTGGAGAATCTGATGACTACGTATCTTGGGGGTGGTCATCATGTATAGCGTCTCTCTGGGGGTTCTCTGAATTTCCTGAGTTTGCATGCCAACATTTCTAGCAAGGTTGGAGAAATTTTCGTGGCCAGTATCTTCAAATATGTTTCCAAGTTTCTTGCTCTCTCTCTATCTCCTTCAGGAATGCCAATGATTCATAAGTTTGTTCTCTTTACATAATCTCCTATTTCTCAGAGGTTTTGTTCATTTTTAAAAATTCTTTTTTTAAATTTTTTGTATGCCTGTGTTGATTTGAAGAAGTGATCTTCAAGTTCTGAGATTCTTTCCTCAGATTGGTCTATTCTATTAATGCTTCCATTTGCACTATGAAATTCCTGTAGTGGGTTTTTCATTTTCAGAAGTTTAGTTTGGTTCTTTCTTAAAATGGCTATGTTGTCTTTCAGCTCTTGCATCATTTTACTATTTTCCTTGGATTGGGTTTCAACCTTTTCCTGTATCTCATTGAGCTTCCTTGACATCCAGATTCTGGATTCTATGTCTGTCATTTCAGCCACTTAAATCTGGTTAAGAACCATTGCTGGGAAGCTAGTGTTATTTGGAGGTAAAAAGTCATTGTTGTTTTTAGAGTTGCCAGAATTCTTGTACTGTGTTTTTTGTTTGTTTTGTTTTGTTTTTCCCCTCATCCATATGGGCTGATGTTCTTTTAACCTTTAAAGTTGCTATCCTTTAAATGGGGCTCTTTGCTTTAATATTATTTGGTGCCCTCTAGGGCTTGGCTGTGGTATAAGCTGCATTTAGTTGATTGGTTTCATTTCTGAATCTTTTCAAGGGAGCAAGGTTCTGGTCAGCGCTCCCAGGCTGCCTGCTCCAACCCTGATGGGGGGCTGGGACCAGGCCTGTTTCTTTGTTCTCTGGCCCTTCAAGGTCAAGCACCTTCTGTGCTGGAGGGGCTGATGTGTTCTCAGTCTGTTGGCATAACATTCCAATGGGAGCTGCCAGCAAAAATGCTTCGGTGGGAAGGTAGTAGGGGGCCCATGGGAGAGCGCACTGTGGTTGGGGGGTATAGGAAAGCGCACATCAGTAGGGTGGCAGGGCAGCCGTGGGTGAGTGCACATTGGCAGAGAAGCATGGGGGTAGCAGGCATGTGTGCACCAACAGGGTGGTGGATGGGCTGTGCATGGTAGTGGAGCATTATAAGAAGGCTGCAAGTGCTCCTGCAGGGGAAGGCTGTAGATGAGTGCACACCAGCAGGGATCTGCCTGCCAAAGCGCTCTGAGGGGAAGGCAGGGGCTGCCAGTGAATGAACTATGGCACAGTAGCTTCTGTCAACTGTTTCAGCAGAGCAGCTGAGGCTGTGCTGAAAAGGGGTGTGGCCAGCTAGGGCTCTTGGGGGAGGCTGGCACACAAGGGATCTTCAGATCAGATTGGCCCCAATCTGTGGGAAGGGCAGCCCTGCTCTTTCCAGGTCTGGCCTCTAACAATGGCTAATGCCACCTACAGGACTATGGTGAGCCTCAGCCAGGAATGAGTCCCAGTGCTCAGCAACCTTGCGCACAGTTCCCACCTTTCTCCCCTTTCAGCCCCAGGGTCTGCATCCTCCCTCTGTCCATTCTCAATGCCTTCTTTCTGAGGATTTGTTCAGAGTGTACCTGTCTACTGGGTGGTTTAGTCTCTCCTGGTGGGAGATGCTCTTTCTGGCTGCGTCTAGTCGGCCATCTTCCAGAGATTATCCTTGAAGATACATGCTAATTATGACAGGTAAACAAAGGGTCTGTATGAAGGGCATTTCAGGGAGAGAAAGGTTTGAGATAATTTGGTATATTAAGTTGACGAAAAGGTTGACAAAATAGAGAAAACAGAATTTGATGTGCACAACTTAAAAAAGAAAATGTGGAACAGGCAATCTGAGTATGGAGTTAATATGATCTTTTCTCCTTTGGCTTTAGGACTTCATCTTTAATTACCTTTCTAACTCTATTTCCGTGGAAATTAGATAAAGGAAGAATTTCAATGACATCAAAAGACAATATTGATTATGGGGAAAAAGACCCTTGACTGGCAAATTTCTGCAGCCTAAGAGAACTAAATAAATGCCTGGCAAGATGCTAGAGCTATGGGCTTCCCAGAGTGTGGTGACTCTTGGTGCTGGCATGTTCTTACAGAGACCTTGGAAGCTGTAACTGTGGAATTGTAAGACATTTGGCTACTGTGCAACATGAGGCTTTTAGGCCAGCGAGGAACCTCCACTCATATATGAATCTCATCTCTCTGCACCTGAGCTCTTACATGAGTCAGGGGTAGAAAGCAGCCAAAAGAATGCCCACCTGACTGCTGAAACAGTTGCAGAGACTGATGCAAGAGCTCCCATAGGTCCCCTGATTCTATCTTGCTTGCTGTCAAGAATTATGAAGTCTCCGAAAATTTCCTCTACTTGCAAACTAAGAAGTTATCCTTTCACAGTTGTGTAGATGCTGGCAGAGGATATGAGAGTTCTAGGTTAGAGACAAAGAGATTCATTTTCATCAAGGCACAGCAGGAAGCATTACCTGCATATTCACACAGGTTTTGAATCCTCCAGCCCCCAAGGGGCATCACAGGTGGGTCTGGGTAGATGCTGTGCATGCAGAGGTGGAGAGTTTGTCTTACAGCTGATAAACCCAGAGCTCAGGAAACATCAATTTTTTAAATAATGGGCAGCAAGCAGATCTGCCCAACTTTTACATTATCTTATTACATTGGTGGCAAAACAACCCCATCTTCTGCTCCAGAGCTAGATACTGTCTCTGTCTATCAATTCTCTTTGCTAGATGTAGTAGTCTGCATCCAGTCATGAGATACAAATCATACCACCGTTAAAAAGGAGATGTTTAATAAAAAGAATTATTAAATTTGATTAAAGGCTAACTATACAACATAAGAAAACTCTATATGGTGCCCTAAGGCTAAGGGAGAGCACCCAAGGAAGAACAAACTCAGAAGGAGTTAGGCCTCACTGAAAAAGGCATAGTTTAACCAGCAGATAGTGGAGAAGTTTTCAGTGTTGCCAGGCTGGAGCTGGTCTGGAGTTGCTTTTGAAAATATCAGAATCCTCTCTGCCATGCAGGAGGGAGTGCAAATGAACAGCAATCTGCACAGGCAGGCAGTGGGATCCTGGGTGCTGGTGGAGGCAGAGAGCCTTCCAATACATGGATTTCACAAGGTGGTGGTGGTGGGAGGAGGGGTTTGCAGGAGGGACAGAAGGTGACATTCAGGTGCAGGTGGCCACATGGAGACTTGCAGAGGGAGTCCTGGCATCAGCACAGTCAGGAGGCCTTGGAATCAGGCAGATGTTGGGGGATTCTGGTTTCTTGGTCAAGATGGTTGTGGAAAGGTTATTACCAGGCCAAGTCTGCAGGATGCAGAAAGACCACATCCTAACTGTGGCTGTGGCAGACCCTCCTGAGGTCCTCACATCTACATCTTCACCTCGCTCCACACTGGAATTGTAGGAAGTCTTTTCCTCTTGCAGAGTCCCAAGTGTCTTCTACTAAAAGCCTCAGAATCACACTGGCTTTCAAGGAGAAAGGTTGAAAAGAATCCCATTGTTTATCCTAGAGCAACATTGCAGAGTGCATTGGAACCGCGTGGCCATCCATGGATAACCAGTGCGTCACACATCGTGCTTGACAAGACAGTCACAACAGAAGGTGTGTGTGCAAGACGTGCAGAAACTCCTTGGAGAGCTGTCTCTTCACACTCATGCTGTGGCTTCTGCCCTGTGTAAGCACAGTGGGTGCCAAGCATGGCTCGTGGTGATTCTGCACATCTTAATTTAGTTGGACCTAAGAATATCCTTCAGTGGGTATTACAAGTACATGGTGGCAGACCACAAAGAGATACAGATGCAATGCTAAGTCTTTTATCCTGAAGATGATCAAGGGTCAGTTTACTACAGTTCCCTAAGGAATAGTGGTTACTAGCTTAAGTGTGATGCTTTTTACAATTGAAAATGAAGTGTAGGTATAATACTAGCAAAGAGTAATAATATAATATCTTTTATTTCCACTATGTGCCAGGTAGTATATTTGGATTTTTGTTTCTTCGTTTTTGGTAGTTGGCCCTCACAGACACATGTAGCCATATTTTTGCAGAGAAGGAAATAGAGGCTCAGCAAGCAAGTCAGGAACTTTTCAGCATCACACAGTTAGGAAAAGAAGGAGATGGAAGCAGGGCATTCTCTGTGTCCTTCCACCTGAGCAGCTAACACTGATGGCCTTTCCACAGTGCAGGCTACATAAAGTGTGTACATTTCAAACTTTCAAAAAATAGAAGCAGGAAGAACGCAGAATGAAAATCGCTGGGGCTCTTGGCCTATGTTGATTAGTACCCCTGACTGTTGATCACTATTCCTTTCCATGTTTGCCTGGAAGATGGCCTGACAGCACCTGTCTACAGTACAGTATTGAGGCACACAGGACCTTGGAAATAAAAGGGAATATTACAAATACTGCAGAGACACAAGGATTAGTTGTTTGTTTGTTTAAGGTAAGCAGAGATGAGCAATTTGCTTTTCGGATTCCAAAAAAGATTTGTTCTCCTTCTTTAAAGCAGCAATTCACGCCAGAGACCTAAGTGAGCTGTCATTTTCTCTGAGTGTTTTCTTTTTTTCATAGGCACCAGTCTACATCTCCTGGCTGACTAACGCATCAAACAAAGCAGGCTTAGGTAAATTGAAAGAGAGAAGCTCTCCTGAGTCCAACTTATGTTTTTCTGGCAACAACTGAGCTCACTCGATTAATACTTAAGGAGAGCACTGCATTGAGGCACAAGTGCTAGCCCAGCCAGGGATGCTCTCAGCCATGGCTGCACACGACAATCATCAGAAAGCCCTTTCACACTGGGCAGGGTGTGCTGCTTTTTAAGTATTCCTTGGCGATTTTCACCTGCAGTCCAGGTTAGCCATTGTATAATTTGAACAGCACTGAAACTCAGGAAAAATTAACCTTCAGTATCTAATATAATCGGGTTTATTCAAGAGTATCCTTTTCTGTAAAATAGAAAATTAATAAATTATCTAGCTTTGAAATCAGGTTATCCTAAATAATAGACCTGCAATTTAAGGAATTCTGAGTTTTCCAAATTTCTTGATGACTATGATGTTTGGTCATTTGCAAATAGCTAGGCCTTTTAGAAAAATCTGAACTGTCTCTTTGGAAATTGTCAGTATCAAAATGGAGTCATTTATGTTAAAAAAAAATAAAGAAAAAAAAAAACTCTAACAAATAGAGCTGAGGAAAGCTATCAAGAAAGAGTTCTCATGTTTGTATGCCTGACAACAAAAACTATCACAAAACATTGCAAAAACCACATCCTTGCACAAACGCTTTCAGGAACTTACACCAAAAAATACTTCTGCGAGGACATCACCCCAAAAACTGCTTGTCCAACCTTGGAGTAGCATCATATTTGTTATTGATCAACATAGCCAAGAATAATCATTTTAAAATAATTATGTAATACTCTTCATTTTTTCTTTAAAAGCATAGCCTTCCTTTACCTCCCTGAATGTGTACATAGTTTACTAAGGCACACATGTGCCCTTTGCAATGCCCATGCCTCAATAAATATCTTTTACTTTTAGAGAGCCTCTCTCTGTTTGCTATTTAGGTTGACACATCCATGTTCAATATTTTTAAGTTAATGTTAATTGTGTCAACATGGATGTTGTGATCACATAGAGATTAATTATGTTCAGATAATGAGCTCAGCTTCTACCACCAACTTCAGCACTCTTCTACTACCTCCTGCTGGAGATGGCCATGCAAAGTGTTGCTGTTCTTAAAAGTCTGGCATGCAAAGAGAGAAATAAATAAATAGAATTGTGATTTAAAGGTTTTTTTGTTTGTCTTTTAAGGAACAACTTTCTGGGAGCCAAACATGCCATAGCAAATCCAACAGATCATTCAGCAAATTTAACTTCATGATCTTCAATGTATTACTTCGGTAGATTTAACCACATTTCCCAAAGACTGACAGGTTCATTTTTTGATTCATGATCTACTTATGCCAAGACCTTCTGCTTTTTTTTTTTGAGACGGAGTCTTGCTCTGTCGCCCAGGCTGGAGTGCAGTGATGTGATCTCGGCTCACTGCAAGCTCCACCTCCCAGGTTCATGCCATTCTCCTGCCTCAGCCTCCCGAATAGCTGGGACTACAAGGCGCCCGCCACCACGCCTGGCTAATTTTTTGTATTTTTAGTACAGACGGGGTTTCACTGTGTTAACCAGGATGGTTTCGATCTCCTGACCTCGTGATCCACCCGCCTCGGCCTCCCAAAGTGCTGGGATTACGGGCGTGAGCCACCGTGCCCGGCCTACTTATGCCAAGACCTAAAAGAAACTTTTAAATCCCTATTTATTTCATTAATTGTCTTGTAAGACAATTCATGAAATTGACCTGTAAGACAATGGGTCAATGAAATTTGAAGTAAATTTGTACTCAATCTGTTAACCACATCTTACAAGGCTCATCCATCCCAATGCCTTGAAGAAATCTCTTGTCACAGACTGCCTGCTAATCGTGGGGCATGAAACAACTTGTAAGAATATGGCAACATAGAGATTTGTGGAAATTAAATGCCTGCTCTTTTAAAAACCTGACTGTAATTAGTTTGTCTAATTGTTTAAGGTCAGAATATCTTTGATATGCCAGCTCCCAGTAATTTCACTTCAGGAATAAAGAAAAGAAAAAAGAAACCTGAGATAAAGATACTGATTCCTGAAGCAAAATGCTTGTCATATATTAGAAACGGAAAAATCTTCAATTAATAAATAACCAACCATTGAAACTTACATCATGAAAAAGTTGTGTTTGTTTTATAAAAATTGAAATGTTGGATAACTATTGAAAATTAAGAGAATAATTTTGATTGAGATGTTGAAAATAATTATTTAATACTATAATTATTCATCAATTCTATAAATATTACCCTTTTTTCCAGGGAGTAACATCCAGAAGAAACAATTAGTAATATTTCTTTACTGCTTGAGTACATTTTATCATCAGATGGCCAATCATATAACTGGGTTTATTCAAGAAATTTTTTTCTGTAAAATATAAAGTGAATCACCTATCTAATTTTGATAACAGGTAATCTTAAATAATAGACCTCATTACAGAGTCATGTCCATGCAAGTACTTGTTATACAAGCAATGTGTTTACACCCTTCACTTTGGACTGCATGAACTCAGGTATCTTCATCTGTGTGCAACAGAAAGCCCAGGGAGCAGCAGCTTAAACCATAAGAGCATATACTGTTTACCTGAAGAGAGAGAAGGTGGTTCCAAGTGCTCTCCAAAGCCCCATGATGTCAGGACATGGGTCAGCATCTCTACAGCTCTCCTGCTTCTCTCTCATGGGTGCAAAGTGGCTTCTCACATCTCAACATGCCAAGGCAGGAAGCTGGGATACAAGGGCAAGGAGAGAGCTCCTCTCTTCTACAGAGAAGGAAACATCTTTCCCACAAGCCTGGCACCCTGCCCTTCACTCTCCATGTGATGGGACCACAAGGCCCCTCCCAGCTGCAGAATGTTGGGGAAGAGGGTGCCTGATTCTCTGGCTTCTGTAGCTGGAGGCAGGCACTGGAGAAAGAGATGGGAATGGCCAATGGGTAGCCATTTCTATCGTGATACAGTCAAATAACAGGACTTTTAAAAGGAAATAATTTCTTGAGAATAGCAGAGCACACCAGTATGCTCGAATAAAAATGGTAACTGGATTTCCTGAACTGTTAAATTAAACATGCATTGCTGATTTCCTCTTTCTGCAGCTGCTCTGCTTCTAACTATCCGTCTCTTCTGTCTGTGGCTCAAGATCCATCATCTTTAGAATATAAAATCCTTCTTATGGTTTTATTTGTCCTTTGTTTGCTGGTCCCTCCTTGCCTGCCTTCAATATTTTTGGCTTTCTTCCCTTGCTTTGCTGGGATGTGTGATTTATCCTATCACCGGAGATCTCTGTGAGAAAGTACTGGATGTTTATTTGCCTGCATATGTCAGAAGCTCCAGGCAGGGCTGCCTCGTCCCACAACTTCAGGGGAGCCATTCATTTCCATGTGCCTTGCACAGCCTGTGCGGCCACAATCGGCAGCACTGAGTTTGGGCAACAGAGAAATGGTTTCACTGGAAAAGACACAGTTTTAAATTCCCCTTTCCAAAATAAATCTATTTTCAGCATTATCACTCCCACTGCCTCTACCTTGGCTTGTCTTTTTGAGTCTTCTTTGAATATCACGGTCACCTCCTAAGTGGCCTCCCTGTAATCAGTCTTTCTTCCCTTCATTCTACCCTACAAATATCTATTGCCTCCCACTATACGCAAGACATCAAAACTGCTTGGTGCAGCCTTCAGGTTACTTTTTTGGCTTCTGGCTTGAATTATTTCTCTGTGCCCATGAGCCATCTCACTGTCACTCCAGTGAGCTCCTCAGCTCCTCACTCCCTCCCTACCCACTCTGCCTGCCCATTTCTTTACCCACTCCTGCTGCTGGGATAATGTCCTGCCCAGTTTTCTTCTGAACTGTCCATCTCTAGTGAGCAGTGGGCATTTCCTCCTGGGGAGCATACACCTGAATTCTACAAGCCAGCAGCACCCCAATTTTGCTTTGGAGAATTTCACAGCTCCAAACATGTGCAGTCTTGGTAAAAAGCCATCAAAGTGGGATGTCCTTTCTTGCCAAGGGTGAGACTCAAACCAGCCCAACCACATGCTCTCCTTGCACAGAGAGATTCGGGCCCCAACCCTGTGAAGCGGATGCACCTGGTGACTGGGCTCTGAGGACAAACTGTCCACCTTGTGTTCACCGCTGACCGCCAAGCCCTGCCGCGGGCTCCCCAGGTCCCTCTGGCACATGGCTGCTTGGCGTCATCTCCTGCATTGCTCAAGCCATTCCTGTGCATTGCTTTTTGCACCACTTTTTTCTTGGCCAGTGCAGGAGTTTGTGCATTCCAATAAAATCCCACACTGGCGTCCATCTGAAGGCCCAGGAGGACGGCATCTTCTAGGGAGACAGAGCAGTAATGAAGGAGCCTCATCCCCAGGTGCTTAATGCAGCAGAGTCTAACCTTCAACCCAGGACTACTGCACTGCAGACTCTCTTAGAAGCCAGAAATCAGCTTTCTTACTGGAGCTGCCATTACGGTGGATCTCTGCTCTTGCAGAGAAATCTAATCATGCAGGTGGTGGGGTAAGGGGATAGGCTACGAGGAAGATTGGAAACAAATCGTGGGGTAAAGGTGGTTGTGGGCCACCTTTGGAGTCTGGATCTCCGTGGGTCAGCAGCTGCTGTTTTCCAGCAAAAGGAAGCAAGGTTTGCTTTAGAAGGAGAGTGGCCTCTCCTACATAGAGGAAGAGGGTCTGGAGGCAGACGCGCTGGCGGCAGCAAAATGAAGAAGGAGGCGTGCCTGAAGGAAGTGGACTTGGGGTCAAGATGACATTAGATGGGTCACATTCAAGAGTGTGCTCCAAGGTAGACTCAGGGTTTTCTAGAATTAAAGAGAAACAAAGGGCGAAATACAAAGGCAGTGCCCCTTTTGAGGCCTGGTCTTCAGCAGAATTCAGGGGAAAGCTTCATGGGGAGAAGAGAGCAGGCGTGGGGAGAGGAGGCTACCTGTGAGGCTTCTCTCCATGCCCTTCCTGCCACAGAGAAGTTGCTCCCCCTCTAAGACCTTGGCTGCCCTCCCGGATGAGGGAGCAGCTGCCCTGGCTCGGCTTTCAGGGACCAAGTCCAGTGTTCTAACTGGGCTGGGCTCCACTCAGGATGCCAGATCCAAGGAGCATGAGTCCATAGAGGAGGGGGCTCTGAAGCCAGGGAGGCAGTGCTGGACCAGGCCACTCCTGAGCAAGGAAAGGCTGAGGAGGAACTGGCCAGCTGCAGGTGCCCACAGGGCGGTACTCAGGGAGGTGCAGCTGCAGGCCTCTGCAGGAAGAGCTGGACTCCAGGGCTCCTTCTTGATTGGGGTTCAACCCTAGAGCAGGTTGGAAATCTGGATCTCCAGCCTAGGAGCAGGGCTATCAAGGGCTGAGCAGGACAATAAGTGAGTGGCTGCCTGGTGGGGGTGCCCTCAGGTGTATCATGTGCCCACCAGGAAACTACAGTGTAAGCTCAGCCGATCATTTGGGTGAATTGGAAAATGACTCCAGGATGAGAGGGAAGAAGCAATTCGGTGGCCCTGTGGGGACACAGTGCTGTCTCCAGGGTTCTGCTGGTTCCTATGTCCAGGCATGATAACTTCAGGGCACACTCAGAGTGGACAGTGTGGCCTCCAGCATCCTCACGGCCTCAGTCAGGCTGACCCAGGCACTGGTCACACCTCAGCCTGCAGGTTAGTTTTGTAATTTTGTGGGTCTTGAGAAAGGTGAGGTCTGATGATTTATAAGTCATAAGAAAACTTGGTTTGTTTGCTTTTTGGAATATTCAGAGAAACTTTAGTAAATGTATCAATGCTTGTAAAACAAAGCACAGGATGGACAATGGGATAAAAAGTTTGAAACAAAGATAAATTCATAAGAACGTATGCAACTGCTTGTTAAGGGCTTCGCAAAGTCTCCTCTAAGTGTACTTAGGGATCCACAGTGGGGCTCACTGTGTTTGCAAACAAGTCCTCTGCAGGAACCATCAGGAGTCTGAGTTTCACAAAATCACTTAAGATCTACTCAAATACAATAAATATTTTTAAAATGTTTATTAGCATAGGTAACGGTGAATGTGTTAAGAAGGAGTTATAGGAACCAAAAAGCCCACATCGCTGGGGTGAAAATATTATTTCCAACGTTCCAATTCTCACCTCTTTACAGGTTCCATGAAGTGAAGCCTGACTCCTGGACTTTTTCTCACCAATTTTTGATTTGAGCCCCATATACCATCATTTGTTCCTTTCATGAGTTCATAAGAAAGAGCATAAAACCATGCTTCCTTAGGCACAATTTCCTCCGACAAGGAGGTTGGGGACAGTTTAAATAAAACACTAATTCAGGTCAGTGAGCTGCACAGGGCACCCAGAGCTGTTGGCTTGCTTGCTTATCCGGGGACAGATGCTAAAGACCTTAAGGAAGGTCCTAACTTTGTGCTGTAATTCTCCTGGGAGACTCAGACAGGCTTTGGTTTTCTGCTGCCTGTCCAGAGGATAATTGTTTGATACAACTTGTATATTATCTATGGACAAATTCAGATGGCCAGCAAGAAAGTGGACAATGGCAAGGAAGAGGAGATGGTGTCTAGAAAAACCTAGGGACCCCCAAATGGGCTTGGTGGGCCCCCACTGCAGGGTTAGGGTCCGTCAGCAGATAAGGCAGAGCAGAGACCTCTCCTTTGATTCCTTCTCCACTCTTAGGTCCTCCCCAACAGATCTCCTGGGAAAACAGCACTGCCACCATCCTCTGAAAACCAGTCTCTTCATCCACTCTTTACCACCGACAGTGCCAACCTTAGAGTGGGAAATTGAGGAGATGTTAATTCAGGATTCAGGCTTGAGTTTGCTTACAACAATTTCATTGATGTTTCAGAAAAAAAAAATATGTCCCTTCAATTATCTTTGTCAATGTTACTCAAAAACATGGAGCCACTCTTCAAGGTTAAGGAGAGTGAATCGTGTAAAATATTGATGAAAATTTCATTTCATTCCCCCAAACTGCCTGTAGCAATGACTCCGTTGCTAATTGTGCGTCATTTTGCCTGAGGGTTTTGTAACTGGTGAGTCAGTGAATCCGTTTTCACGTGGTTTGTCTGCAGAAGACCAGGCATCTCAACAGTCAGGACCTCTGGAGGTAAGTTAAGCAGTTACATGGGAAGAAGTCTAAATGATTAAATTACATAATTATAATAATTTCAAATTTGGTAAGATTTGACTCTGTTTTCATAGGAAACTAATTCAATTGCTTTAATTTTACATATTTTCTTTTAATATGCTCTTAAGCAGTTAAATTTGCTCTTTGAAAAGTGGGGCTTCCTTAGAATTCCTCCTAAAATGTATCCTATTCAAGGGTTTACTTTATCCCTTGTGGTGTCTTTAGGATACAGGTGCTAGTAATTCATGTTATTTAATTTCTTAACTATGTATGTGTTTCCTTAAGTGCTGTATAGTTTCTTGTGCTTAAGCAGCCAGGTGAATGAGGTACTTTACCCTTTGAGATTACATTTATTGTAAGGAACAATTCTCTCGCCTTGCTATAGTTTATCTCAGTCAGTCTTCACATCAGGATAGGAAAGGAAGGGCTCTCTGGGGAGGCGTGGTTTATACAGGGCATGAAAGCAATGCGTGCGAGGCTATCTTCACGCATCCCTGGATGCCTGATGCCTAAAACAAGCATCACCCTGCTCCATTTGATGATTTGGAGGAAGGTCTTAGAGTTGGGGCCAAGAAGACTTTGTGAATTAGGCTTAGATTTAGTCCTAATTATTCCTTCACCTCTGCTTTTCTCAGCTGGTACTAAACTGCCTTATTCCCTCACTAAAAGTGGCAACTTATTCCTTAGGCAGACCTGAGACCAAAAGGCTTAAAAATAGGTAAAAATAGTCTCAGAGAATGGGCTTGTTGACGAGTGTGTTATCCTCTCCACTCCTGCTGTATGAAATCCTAGGCTGTAAGTTAGAGGTAGAAGCCCAAACTCAGGCCTGTGCACCTGATATGCAACTGAGGCCAGACACTCACACACAGGTGCTTGGAGATACAGAAAGGCTTATTCTATTTGGCCAAAGTGAGGAGGTAAGAAGGCAAGAGCTCCTAATCCACCTCAACAAAAAGCAGCAGTAGGGAGTTTTAATGCAGCTAGAGAGTAAGGGAAGGGAAATTTCAAGGAATCGGGGGAAAAAAATCTATGTTTCTTCAATCTTAGATGACACCTTCAGTAACCAGACTTCTGGGCGTCAGCAGCTGGCTACAATGTCCTTTGAGCCACTCATTGCTTCCGCAAACTTTTTTTTTTGTGGGCCTGATTAAATTTTCATCACTTTGGTCATTTTCATTATCTTGGTCACTAAAAAATGCTGGGTGCTAAATCCCCAAGTGGCTCAGTCCCACATCATGATAAATTCTTGGACTTCAGGTATCAGGTGAATTGGAAGATTGTTTGTGTTTTGTGGTTTTTTTTTTTTTTTTCAGTAGAAAAAAATTAGCAACCATAATGGTGGCTGCCAACACCACCTTGCAAACTCTTAACTCTAAATTAGACTCTCTCTCTCTCACCCGTTCATTCTTGGTATCTCTCTTTCTCTCGCTTCCTTTTTCCCCTTAGTGCTGATGCCCAATTCAACATATGTTTAATGGGCCACTAGGTCATATGAAGAAAAATGAAACAACAAAACCCTGGGTTTAGTCCACAGGCAGTGAGCCCAAAGCAGCACAGAAGTCGGGGAGGCAGTGCTGGCTGTGGACTTGCGCCTTCTGCCCCTCCCGTACCTCTCAGGAGCAATCTCTGTTCTATTCCTTCCCTCTCCCTGGTTTCCTTCTTTCCTTCCCCACTTCTTCAGCTCCTTTCACCAAGTTCCCCTTTTGTGGAACCATTTGCGCATGATGTTATCTTTCCCATATTTAGTGTGAGGGGAAGGAAACCCCATCTCCATCTCCATCTATTTGCAAAACCTGACTTTGGGAATCTCACAGAGCCCTTACCTCCCAGCACCTGTCTTCTTCCTTTGGGACATTGTTTCAAATACCCCTCTTCTAATAGATGGATGTGGCCGTGCACTTTGATCAAGAAACGATTACATTTTAACACATGCCTAGAGCTGCTTCCCACCTCCCAGCCTAGACTGTGGTATTTACCACCTATTTATGTTAACAACAGAGGAAGTAGCCTCGAATCCAGATAATGCTAGTGGCTTATTAAGAGACTTTTGAATGGAATATCTGCATTTTAGCAGTTTCTTATTGAAATGCTCAAAATTGAAATGTGATTTTCCTGTATTTTGACAATTACAAACGAAGTAGAAAGATTGTATCTCCAAAGGAAACTTCATGTCTTTTGGAATTTGCAAACTACCTTAAGTCATCTAAAAATATCTTCTTCCTGATAAAAGTTTGCCTTAGCTTCAGTAATGTATGCTTTAGTTGTTCTCTTTGCTGGATTTCTGTTGCTGCCTGATAAGTTCACAGAAATTTATTGGTTTAAAATACACTCATTTATTAGCTTACCTTTCTGTAGAAGTCCCGCACACAGGATAATGAACATAAATGATGAAAATCATATTTTGAAAAATTGTGATCTCTCATTGCAAATTGATCCTAAACTTCAGACATTTTAGGTAACATAAAAGTCACCTGTGGCCAGATGCCCTCGTGCCGTTTGTTGCTTTGTTTTGTTTTTAATACCAAACTGGCTCTGAATCATGTAGTTTATCAAGCAAAGGGCTTGTCTTGCTTTCAGTGCGTCCTGCATTCCCCCACTGTGGCTCTTTCAGGTGCTAGTCTGGTGCTCTGTTCTACATTCCCCCTCTGCTTGAGTCCAAAGCAGTGGGATTGAGGACCTGGTCCTAGCGCCAGCAACTCAGCTTCACTGGGAACTTGTTAGACATGCAAATTCTCCAGCCCCACCTGCTAAGTCAGAAATCTCAATGTGAGAGCAACATGTTGTTTGACCAACCTTCCAGGTGATTTTGATATTTTGATGCACACTAAAGTTTGGGAACACCTTATCTTCAACCACAGGCCATTGTGTGCAGAGACTCTTGGTTCTTCTTCTAGAACAAACATCTTGAAGAAAGTTAACCTTATTTAATATCTGTAAGGTTAATAATTTACCTCAGTTATGCATATTAAATATGGCACCACCCTAAAATCAGCTCACACTGCCCACACCGAATGTCATGTTTGTGTATGCAGATATTCACTGGCAAGTGAAACTGATGCTGCCAAACAACGGGGACTACTACAGCGGATGCACTGTACGGGGCATGTCTCCTGACAAAGTCCGTCAATCGGCCACGGCACCTTTGTCAAGAATCAGTTGACTTTTCATGTTGATCTACCTCTGGAATCTCTAGTGTTCCACGGATGTATTTGTCTATTCTGTCACCAAAACCACACTGACTTGATTACTGTAGATTTATAGTAAGCTTTGAAATTTGGTAGTCGGTAATCTAACTTTGTTTTTCTTCAATATTGTGTTGGCTGTTTTGAGTGTCTTGTTTTTCTATATAAACTTTAGAATCAGCTTGTTGACATCAACAGAATAGCCTGCTGGAGTTGCATTGGATCTATAGATAAAGTTAGAAAGAATTGGGCCAGGCCTGGTGGCTCACACCTGTAATCCCAGCACTTTGAGGCTGAGGCAGGTGGATCACCTGAAGTCAGGAGTTCAAGACCAGCCTGGCCAACGTGGCAAAACCCCATCTCTATTAAAAATACAAAAATTAGCCAGATGTGGTGGTGCATGCCTGTAATCCCAGCTACTCAGGAGGCTGAGGCAGAAAAATTTCTTGGACCCAGGAGGTGGGGGTTGCAGTGAGCGGAGATCATGCCACTCCATCCAGTCTGGTGACAGAGCGAGATTCCATCTCAAAAAAAAAAAAAAAAAAAAAAAGCTTAATAATATTGAGTGTTCCAATCCCTGAACAGGTAATATCTCTCCACTTGCCTAGATTGTTTTCTTTTTTTCTTCATTGTTTTACAGTGTCTCCATACAGATACTGTTCATATGGTCTTGTAAATTTACGTATTTCAGTTTTCCATGTTTTTTTAAGTGACAATTATTCTTTACTAGTATTTAGAAGTACAATTGACTTTTGTACATTAACTTTTTGTTTTACAACCTTGATACACTTGCTTACTGGTTTCAGGAAGTTTTTGTTTGTTTCTCCTTTTGTTGTTTATTTTCTAGTTTGTTTGGAATTTATATATAATCATTTCATCTGTGTATGAATCATAGACAGTTTTATTTTTTTCTTCTCAATTTGCATATCTTTTATTTCTTTTGCTTGTATTTTTGAAATAGCTAGAACTTCCGGTACCATGCTGAGTTAAAGTGATTGAATGACACATCATTGTCTTATTCTCCACATTAGAAAGAAGATACCTAGTGTCTCACTGTCAAATATGTTGTTAGCTCTTAGTATTTTATACGTGCTCTTCGTCAGGTGGAGGAAGTTCCCAACTATTCTTCGTTTTCTGGGAATTTTTATCATGACTGGATGTTGCATTTTCTCAAATGCTTTTCCTGCATTAATTACTATGTTTGTTCTTCTTTCATTGTTCTTCTTTAGTCTGCTGATGTGGCAGATTACATGGACTGATATTTAAATGTTGAACCAGTCTTGCATACCTGAAATAAATCCTGCTTTATCATGGTATATAATTCATTATAGAATTGTTGGATTCAATGTGCTGATAGTATGTTGAATATTTTTGCATCTGTGTCCATTAAAGATATTAGACTTTAGTTTTTATTTCTATAATAAAAACTGGGCTTTATTGGTTTTGGTATTAGGATAATCTGTAAGAAATTGTAGAGAACTGGTATATTTTTTAAATTAAATATTTGGTGGAATTCACCAGTTAAAACATCTGAGCCAAGTGTGGTGGCTTACAACTGTAATCTCAGCATTTTGGGAAGCCAAGTGGGGAGGATCACTTGAGCCCAGGAGTTAAAGCTCAGTCTAGGCAACACAGTGAGATCCCTTCTGTACAAAAAAATTTTTTAAAAATTGAAAAAGAAAGCATTAACCAGGCACAGCGGTGCATGAATGTAGTACCTGCTACTTGAGAGACTCAGCTGGAAGGTTCACTTGAGCTAAAGAGGTTGAGACTACAGTGTCTGTGACTGTGCTGCTGCACTCCAGCCTGTGTGAGAGAGAGAGACCCTGACTCCCCCCAAATTAAAAAAGCACCTGAACCTGATAGTGTTTTTTTTTAAAAAAAGATTATTCATTATTGATTCAATTTATTTAACAGATATAGGGCTGTTTAGGTCATTTACTACTTTTTTGAGTTTTGGCAGTTAATAGCTTTCAAGAAATTGGTGCATTTCATCTATGATATGAAATTTGTTAGTATGGTCGTTCATAGTACTCTTTTATTGTTCTTTTAAATCATAGAATTACAGAAGTAATGACCTTTCATTTCTGAAATTGTCACTTGTGTCCTTCTTCTGACATTTTCCTGTTGAGAGGCTTATCAATTTAATTGAACTTCTCCAAAAACAGCTTTTTGGTATCTTTTCTGTTCTCTATTTTTGTCCTGTTTTTTTGTTTGTTTGTTTTGTTTTGTTTTTCCCCCCATGGATTTCTGCTGTATTTTTTTAAATACCATTTTCTCTTTTTCTGCTGTTTTGGGGCTTAAATTGCGCTTACTTTCTGGTTCCCCAAAATGAAAACTTACTTTATTGATTTTAGCTCTTTCTTCATTTGTAATATACACATGCAACACTGTAGCTTCCCCTCGAATTTCACTACATCACACACATTTTAATAAATTATACATTTTGTTTTCCTTAATTCAAAATACTTTATAGTTTCTCTTAAAACTTCTTCTTTGACTTTGGGTTAGTTAGAAATTTGTTAATTTTCCTAACACTTGGGAAATAATCTAGCTATTTTTTCCATTATTGAGTTTTAGTTTAATTCTACTGTAGTTTGAGAATATACTATAAGCTTTGTATCCTTTTAATTTTGTAATTGTGTGTTTTATGGCTCAGAATGTGGTCTGTCTTGCTAAATGTTCCATATGAGCATGAAAAGAATGTATCTGCTGCCATTACCAGATGGAATGTTCTATAAATATGGTTATGTTGGAGCCCTGTTAGTGTGGTGGTAATGCATGCAGGAGAAAGGTTGTTCTGTACACAGGTGATTAAATGTCAGCTTTAGTCACCCTGTATCTCAGATCTGTGACCTTCACCAATATTTTTCCATCATTTAGCCTGCTCCCCCTTCCTTCTACTTCCTCCCCTGACTGCAGGGATCTCCATATATTTTCTCGAAGCCCTGACTTCTGTTGACTGTTTTTCTGCCACTTAGGAAAGGCAGGAAGGCTTCAAGATGCTGGAGTGGAATGAACGTCAGTTCCCCAGTTGAAATACAGCCCTGGCCAGTTTTTTTCCTCTGGGGAATAAGTAGTATTTGGATTTGCTTTCAAATGCCTCACATATTGTCAGAAAATCTCAAAGGGCTGTTGCTCTAAATCTCCCAAAATTATTGGAGTAAAAGCAATGCAATCCTGGAGAACACCAAGGACTCTTACACAAAGAGGAGAGGGGCACCCTATTCTTGCTTTGGTAGCCCACAGTACATCCTCAATGCTAAGAGGGCTCTGGAGCATAAACAGACTGAGGAGCCAGGGAGACCATGGTGCAGGTAGAATTGTTGATGCCACCTAGCAGAAGTGTATTCATTCTTGAGCCTTTCTATTGGTTCATTTAAAACACTGTAAATGAGTTAGTTATACACAAGGGGCTGGAGGCTTTTATAAAATAAATGGGATAAGAAGTCAGAAACCAATTGTGTCAACTGACTGGTGACAGCTAGAATAGCTGGGGTTGACTATGATGAAAATAACTGAAAAAATATCCAACATTCAGCATTTGCTTGTCTATCAGCTGGGGGGGTGGTGGTGTCTGAATTCAGCTCAGATTAGAGCTGTTTTAGGCCACCTTTTAGGGAAGAGTTGCTTCTTCTTGGAGCTCAAACAGAAGATACATATTTATGCCAAAACCCAGCAACAAGGATCCTTCTTGGACATCACCTAAATCTCCCAAGAAGGATGATTAATCATTTCCTGCCCAATAATGACAGAGTAGTATAATAATTGATTGATTACAAATAGACTTAAGTAAATTAAGATAATTCTTTCTTTGATCATGATCTATAGACAGGCAAGAGGTGAGATAATAGGCTTTAATTTAGGTAGCACATTGGCATTGTATACAGGGTTGTCTTATCTTGGAACAATTCATAGTAAAACCTAGCTTTTATTGGGTGGGTCCAACGGAAAAACACTTTGAATAACCTCCTTTCTCTCCCTTGCAAAGGAGAAGGCTGACTCAGATTCAGTAATGGGAGGTGCAGTGTGGGATGGGGCTGGAGGCAGGCCCAACAAATTGTGGTGTGGTATTATCTGTCATTGGTGCCGGTTGTAAACTGGTCTAAGCAGATCCATCATGAATAACTAGTTGGATCTTATTGGTAAGTGTGTAACCACCAGTAGTCAAAGATTGGTGGGGTCTATAGTTTTCCTTCCACACATCCTTGACTTTGGGTGAAGATAGATCAGAAAATGAGATGTGCTACATGTAAAAACATGTACTTGATAAATGTTTAATTTAGCAAGCAGGTCCAGAATAGTCATGCATCCTGGTTAGTAAACTCAGTAAATCCCTAGTCCTCTGTCCTTTTGGGTAATCCTCCATAGCTAGTATGAAACCTTCTCTTGGAGCGGACAGAACATTTTTCTGGAGACCAATCTAGGTATACATCTAGTCAGCTTCCAGCAGCTGGTGACCTACATGGTAAATACAGTCCATGGGTAAATACAGGATGGTTTCAGAGTTAGGCTTTGGGCAACTTCTGAAGGCTATAGCGTGAGGTACTCATAGGATTCTTACAACTGGTTCTGGTAGGAATAAGGATCGTGTCGTTATGATATTGAGCAGTCCTCATATCTGAAACACTACTAATTTCACCAAATAAAATCCAGTGTTTTTAATACTAATTAACAAAATATATCTGATTTTCACTGGAGAGACAAGGAGCTGAAGTGCTTACAGTTGCTACTTCTGGAGTCAATCTTTTAATCAAATATTAGTTAACTATGTGGATGATGCTGTCATGCTAGCAGTAGCTGATGAAGCCTTGGATGAGGAACATAATAACTAGCATGGGCATTCTCCTTTTAACATATATAACTGATTTGTATTAACTCAATGTTTAAAATATGGTAACTACAAATAAAAAAAATTCAACCATAAATTCACAGTTCAACTAAAGAAATTAATTTCATTCTTTGTGTCATGTTTTTATATTTGATTAATATAAATATGGATGATTTGGATATTATTTAATAACAGACCACACACAGTGTAGGACTGTAATTTTTTCCAGATATATCTCTGCTTCCTTTACCTATGATTTCTCTTTCCCCTTTTTAAAGATTTATTTTGTTCTCTATGTGATTCTTCCATTTATATTCTATTTGCTTAGAAGAGTTCACTTTGTGGACAAAATTAGTCATATACTAAGAACTTAATAAGTCATCTACTCCAGACATACAGAGTTTTAAAGAAACCCACAGAAGAGGTCAATTAGTGGCATCTACTCTGTGCATGTTTGTGTGTGCATGTGTGCAGATACGGGTTGAGTATTATTTATAGGAGACTGTGTTGTAATAGGAATTCTGTCTGCTGGTGGCATAGACAAGAAATTACAATGATTTATTTTCTCTGATATAAACAAATTATGGAGGTTGAAAGTCAAGAACTAGTTTTCCAACTTCTGCACCACTAGGGAATCAATCTATTCTCATCTTTCTGTTTTGATTTTCTAAGTCAGAGGCTGACATGCTTATATTTGCCTTGAGGTCCAAGATGGCTATTGGAGCTCCAGCCATCTCGTTTGCGTTCCTCATGAAAAGGAAGGAAAGAAGTACATAAAGTCCTTTACACAGATGTCTGTTCCTGTTTTCAGCATATTTTCATGTCTTACCAGTGTAACTCCCTAGCTAGAAATTAGTTTCAAGGAAGACTAGGTACTTTACAATCTTTTAGCTTGGGTGTATCACCGCCATTAACAAATTCAGGGCCCTGTTGTCATGGAAGAATTGGAGAAAGATCCTGGATAGGCAACTAGCTGTTTCTGCTGCAGTGGACTTCCCAGCATGCTTCAAGTCAACTGTCATGGTGGGGAGGGCTGGCCTTGTCTCTAGGGCTTCATCCTACCTGAGGTCAACTCTAGTTGTAGAGTGGCCAGTAAAGCTTTTCTGTGTTTGAGAGCCCCTTTGGAGGGATTGGATATCCTTCTTTATTCTGTCCACAAATAACTACTAAATGTCCAACCATAACCTGGAAATTCTCAGTCCCCTATGTTGCCTTGGGCTGCTCTGCTCTGGGGCAGTCCCAGTCCTCACTGATTTGGATCTTCATTCCTATGGATGATGCATGATGTGCTTGGAGGTTGGAAAATTACCTGAGCTAAAAGCACCTTGAGTAGCAAGTCAGGTAAATAAACCAATGTTGAAGGACTGCTTCTTACTATGAAAGGTAAAATAATATAAAGACAGGTGTGCTGAGGCATAATGATGATGGAATTCTCAAAGCAGTGGGGCCAGGGACAGGCAGATATAAGTGTCAAAAAGCCACCTGTCAAGCTGTGATTAAAATTAGTGGCTGCCATTTGCAGACAGAGAAATCAATGCTAATGACTCTAAGATTTGCCTTTCAGGAGGAGGCAGGTGGCTCAGGCCCTGCAGAGGATGTCTCTGCACAGGGGCATGTGGAGCTGTGAGTGTGTGGGGAGCTGTTGTTTTCCTTTAGAGAGTTATGCCCCTGGGGGTGTTGGTGCAACTGGAAATGAGGTCAGACAGTCCGGGAACCTCTGAATAAGGGTAAGGGATAAAGAAATATTTATAGCTGTATATGCTTTTATTTGTAATATTTAATGTTTGCATATGCATTTTCATTTGTAGCAGAAAGCTGTATGCCTCTACTAGATAGAGGAACAAAAAACTTTTTCAAATACCACGGTAATAACATTCTTTCCAGGAAAACAAATTTGAGTAAGTAAAGCCCTTTTCCCTTTATAAAAAAGAAACAAAAATAAGGAACCAGGAAGAATGATAGCTCATTCTTGGAATCCTGAGAGGGAGGCAACAAATTATACATTTAAATAAAAACAGTCAAAGGTGTTCAAGTATTACACTTTAAATTTGAAAATTTTTTTGAAGTTAAAACCTCTGTTTTTATTTTAGTAGTTGAAGTGTTTAATTTCTATCTCCAAAAGTAATCTATATGTTCTTGAAGATCAATAATAAAAAAAATCCTCTATTTTTCAAGGTAAATACTCATCAAGATTGAGCATACTAAAACTGCTTCTCAACTGTTCCCCCTTCAGCCTGTATAGAAATTCACAGGACACCGACACCATTTCATCTTCCTTTGACTTCTGTACGTGGTAGAGGGCCACGGGCATGGAGCCTTTAGTCAGCAACCTCTGCCTCTTGCTCAGGCCTCAGGTTCACGCATCAGTGTGGGATACACACTCTAAGCCAGCAGCACCCTCAGCCCAGCAGCCTCCGCGAGTGAGCTGGGGCCACAGTGTGTGATTCCGCCAGTGGAGGGAATAGTGGAGAGGCTTTGTTTATGACCTTGTTTTTTTTATGGAAGACTAGTTGATAGGGTTGGTTTGGTTTTCCTTTCTGTCTCACAAGTAAACTTTTCCATATCTTGTGAACAGTAGTGGAATGACAACTGGAATATCAGTGCCTCTGACAATCGAGGTGTAAGGCTTTCTGTTCTCTAAAAGTTTCATTCAGAGATAGGAGTGAAAAATTTCAGGGCCACTGCTCTTGGATATAAAACCTATCCCATTGGGCGGAGTTCTTCCGTCTCTGAAATTTCAAGATGGGATGGTGCCCGCTGTGCTCCTTCACTGGGGAAGCCTCTACTCATGGGGCCCTGGGCCCAGGTTCTGTGTGAGTGTGTGTATGTGTGTGTGTGTGTGTGTGTGTGTGTTTCTTTCATCACTTGTCTTTCAATTTCACCAATCTAAAGTATATTTCTTAAGGATCTGAATAAGTAATTCATGCTAATGTCCTAATGGAATGTACATTTTAAATGAGAGACCCCCTTGGAGCAAATCTCCACTTTTACAATCTACGTGTTTAACGATTTGGTGTTGCTGGGGAAAGAGAATTTAATCTCATATCTATCCTCACCTCATGACTTACTTTTCATAAACAGTTTACTAATGAGAATGGAGATTCGGTTGTTCATAATTCTGTCACCCAAAATAATCATTTGTTCTGTGCGTACTACCACTTTCCGAGGCGACTGTGCTTCCAAAACTTTTTCTGTAATCAGAATTCTATTGATCTTAGACAATGCAGCATGTGTGTGTGAAGTATGGCAGCAACTTAATCTTTTGAAAAGTTGTGGTCCTGCCACACCCATTGCTTTATCTCCATCTGGGTCCTGCAAGTGCCTGATACACCGTCAATGTTACATGAGTATTATCCATCCACTGGCTAACCTAAAACTATAACAACAAAAGAAAACAAACCCAAAAAAGCCAGAACAAGCAAACACAACCAGAAACATAAGAAAAAACAGTCCACATGTATCATACCCAAGATTTCAAACTTCTTCACAAAAGTTTCCAGAAGAATAATTTGACCCAACTATGCAGAAACATGTTATCATTTTTTACAAACTCTAAGAGACAGCAACCTCATTCCTGTTCCCTCCCCTTATCTCGCTGAAAAACAAACAAGCACAGAATCCAGCCTAGTAAAAGGACACAAACTTTTTTTTTTGCAAAATGTAAATGCCTGCTCTGAAATTGCAACTACTAATTTAACAACAAATATCAACAATAGTAATTCTTTTGTGGGGAAAACACATGTCTGTTGAACAGAAACTTACTCAGCAACGACCATCTGGTAGGCACTGTCTCAGGCACTAGAATATAGCAGTAAACCAAGCAGACAAAATTCTACATCCTTGCGTGCTACAAATAGACATATAGGAAAAACTGCATATGTGACATGTAAAATGGTGGCCCTTGTTAAGGGACAAACAAAGCAGACGGTGTGGGTGAGGAGCGTAATACTCTGATGGGGGAGGGATTGGAGAGGGTGTGAAGCTAATGTGAGAAGGAGCATTTCAGGCATAGAGAGCAGCCAGGCCAGAACCCCAAGTTGGGGTGTGTCTAGAGAGCCCTGGGAAGGGTGAGAGAGTAAGGGATCAAGATGATAAAGCCTTTGAAGCCATTTTATGGACTTCCTTTGTGCCCTGCATGACACAGAGACCATTGAAGAAGACTGATCACACAAGGGACATTTTCATAAATTTAACAGATTTTGGGTTTTGTTGGAATAGACTGCAGGGAGGAAAGGATAAAGCAGAAATACCAACAACCCTAAAACACGATTGCAGTAATCCAGGCAATAGGTGCTAGTGCCTTGGCCCAGAGTGGTTGCCGTGGAAACAATAGGCAGTAAGATTCAGGCTATCATGGGAAGGTATTGCAGACAGAATTGCATAACAGACTGGTCATACGGTCTAAGGAAAATAACGATGTGTAGAGATACGCCGAGATCTTTGGCTTAAACAACTGGAAGGTAGAGTTGTCACTTTTTGAGATGGGGAGACACATGGATATCTAGCTGAAGGATCCAGAAGAGCTGGAAGCTTGCAAAATACTTTTTTTTTTTCAGTCTTCTTTGAAAGTTAATGTAGGGAGTCATGTTTAACAGCAGGTTCTGCAGCCCTTATTACAGAGACTAGAATGAGACCAGCACAGAAGCAAACTTGGTATGGTGGGGCAAGAGAGCTAGCCATTTAACATTAACTTTATATTCCAACTAAATCAACTGATGGAAGGTCCTCCCTGCCAGTCTGCATTACCTTCCCCAGGTAGTCTGAATCTTACCCCGTCTCATCGTCTCCATGGCAACCACTCTAGTTCAAGGCACCAGCACCAATTGCCTGGATAATTGCAATAGCATCTAAGGGATTGTTGGTATCTCTGCTTTAGTCCCTCCTTCCTGCTGTCTATTTCCAACAAAACGGCTCCTGGGTCTTCTGCAGTGGGTGTGCAGTGAACAAGAGGCAGAATCCCCCATCCTCCTGCCCACCAAGTCCTGGTGCTTCCAAGACCCCTGAACCGAGCCAGTCTCCCCTCCAGGCAGCCTGAACTCTGTTTCTGCTCGGGAAGGTCCTTCCTGTCAGTCATGGGGAGCTGACCATGGTACCTACTGGGAACAAGAGGATCTCAATCATATGCTTCTTTAAGGAATGCAGCTGAGCTCGTTGGCATCATTTCTTTATGGAAAATGAATTTCATGCATACATGAATCATTATAAGAAACTGAAATTTTAAAAAATCTGTAAACTCTTTTTCATTCCTGAGAAAACTTCAGAAAAATGGGTTTTAGAAGTGTTAAAAAGTATTGTGTCTTGAGAAGCTGTATTATGTTACAGTCCACAAACCATCTACTTTAAGTGCATTGGGAATGGGAATGCATTTCTATGACACTGATGTACTCTTGTGAAATGCAAACTATGTTTCTGTTTCATTTTGGCCACAATACGTTTCTTGTTAGTAGTGAATTTATGAGTCCCAGCTGGAATGCAGCATGGTAGGACAAGAAATGGAAGATTTGATGGAGTAGGTTGCTCACTAATTCTTGGTAAAGATCAAACATGAGATTGAAGAACACATGAATTGAGTAGCAGGTTTCTAGAAGACTGGAATAATCTCTTGTCTGAATGCCTATTTTGTCCCCTCCAACTCTTCTCATAGCCACTTGGTGAGGCATAAAGTCATTGTAATAGAACCTCAAACAGTTTATTTAATAATCAGAGTCAGGATGTGAGAGCAAATCTCTGTTTGATAAGGCACTGTTAGATGTTGTAACAGATCAACTCCAAATTTCAGCAATATAATACAACAAAAGTATGCTCTGGTTCTTGTAACAGTGCCACATGGGTGTTCCTGATTGTGGGTGGGACCAGAGGGCAAGAACAGGGAGGGCTTGAAGGACACAGGCTGATGGAGGCTTCTACATCTTCAATATGGATTTCCTAAGGTCCTACTGGGCATTGCCTCTGGTGGGGGAGGAAGAAGAGAGCATGAAGGAAACAAGCATGTTTTAATTATTGGTGAAAATTATTTACATAATTCTTACAGCAATGGGAGCATCCAAAGGTTCGGGGAGGGAAGACTATTGGAAGACAGGGAAGAGAAATCGGGCACCACTTAGATCATTGAGACAGTGCAAAAGAGCAAGAGGAAAACAATTTCATTGCCATTTTGCCTGGGCAATTATTTACACACATGTTCTTTGTTCTTAATAAATTTTATTTCTGTATCTATTCACATATGATTAGATCATGTTCCCTGTATTTTTTAGCTTGGGAGAAAAAAAAGCCATTCAAACATAATGGAATAATAACTATCAGTTCTTAGGGTCTCTAGAAGATAGATGTAAAGCTTCATTTTTTTTCCTCAGAATTTTTGAATCTGTGTTCTGAAATGAATGTAAAAGTACCTTCACAAAAACGTAAGATTAAAGTGTTTATATGTTCTTACATCCATCTGTATAACCACAAAATTGCTCTTTCATCCAATTGAATAGCATATCTCAATCAAGTAAGCGCAGGGAAAAGAAAGGGAAGGGAAGAGAAGGAAAGGGAAAAAGGACGTATCAAACAATGTTGAACCTAGAAAGAGTAATGAGGTAAATTTGAAGGGGATACTGGCAAGTGAAGCAGCTTCAGATCTGTCTGAATTTATTCTTGCTGATGGAACTGCTTCCTCTGCTTAAGGCCTCCTTGGGTAACCGTCCAGCTGGCTGCAGTGCTGACTCACAACTAGACTCACAACTAGCCTCACTCTATTCAAAAATATATGGTAATTTCTTTGCACGTTCTTCATAGCTGTTCTCTCTTCTGTCATTATGGCACTTTTCCACAGCCACAAACTGATTTATCACAAACAATTTAATGTATTCTCAGTTCACATCCCCAGCAAGGTGAGTATGGGGCTGGCATTCATCTGTGTAAAGTGCAGGACAAAGAACAGGGCATCCTTGGTCTCTGATTGCTGGAATCACAGTCCCCTGTGTGATGTTCTGAAGCCCACAGATCTTATTCCATTGCTTGTTTATATTCTAGACCTGAGACAATGCATCATAAGAACAAACCACTAAATGGCCATCCGGCCGCTCACACCAGCGTCTTTATTTCTCGTTGAGAGTTTTGAGTTGAAAAAGAAAAATAAATTGAAAAAAGGTACACAAGGTATAAAGATTTCTTCTTATATATCTGAAAGCTCCAAGTAAGGATAAAATAAAACTTTCATTTTATCTGTGGAGAATGAATTATTGTTCTACCTCGTAAGTGCCAGTTAAATTTGGAATTCACCTTTAATCCCGTGTCATCATTTTTTAGCATAAATCATTAAAATAAAAATTATTCCAAACACGTTATACATTTTATTGCTTTCAAAATCAGTCTCTATAGGAAATATTTCTAGGTTAGCACCGTAACTCTTCATAAACAAAACCTTCAAGTCTTGTTTAAATATGTGGCCCCAAATGTTATGTATTTTGAGGTCTTGCTTTTGCTTTTTAAAGTTTTGCATCCCTGCCTTTGCTGCTAGCTCTGGGTAACTGTGTTTTCTTCAATAGTCTGTCACCTTCAGGCGTCTCCTTCCAGCCACTGTGGCCTTACAAATCACTGAACTGGGGAGGATTAGCATCAGTGTGGAATTAAAGCTGAGGACTGATGATGAGTCCTCAAAACAGTCCTGGATAAAATGAACAGAGAGTCTGGGCTAGAATAAATTGTTTCTCAGCAAATTTATACATGATAAAGACCAGGCAGGTCAGGTCTATTGGGAACTTTTGTGCTTTATCTCAGAACACTGACTTTGCTACCATGGTTTTTAGTTTAATGGAATTCACAGAAAAACATTAGTGGAAGGGAGAAGAGTTTTTTCATGAAGGGTATATCACTACACCAAAAGTCACATTAATTTTATTTAAAAAATTAGTCATCTTCATATTAAGAAATTTAAGCCAAACTCATTGCTATGTTTTGAGTTATTGGCTATGGCTATATGAAAATGTTAGATGTGAAAGAATGCAATATTTTAACCCATTTTAAATAAATTGTTCATTTTAAAAAAAGGACAACTAATACAATACTGTTAACTCATCTCCAAATCTTATTAAAATTATGGTAATTGTTTTGGTTCAAGATCCTGTCCATGGTTCAAATTGCATTTTGTCATCATGTTGTCTTAGTCTTCTCCTGCAGTCTGGGGTAGATCCTTAGTCCCTGAACACATCTAAAGAGGAATTTGGTTTTATTTCTTCTGGGAAATACAGAGTTAAGAATGTAAGTCTGTCACATCAGTCGATCTGGGGTTCTGGCCTTAGCTGTCTTCTGTAGCATATTCTATAAATCACTTGATCTGTATGTATAAATCCAAGTTCATATAATTATTAGGTGATGGAGTTGGGCAACTTTATAGGCTTTCAAACTTTTTGCCAGCAAGGACAGTTTTTTTATTAGTTTTATTTTCTGCCATGAAAAGATTTGGTTTATTTTCCCAACTGTTTTACTTTGTTCATCTCTGTTAACCAAAATGAAGTAATACTTAGAAAGTAATGGTATGTTCTTCGTAATATGCAAAATTTTACATTTGTATTGTTCAGTTACCACATGTGTTCAGAGAAAAGAAAATCATTAACTCAATATGAAGTGCAATAATTTTGTAAGTTTCTAAGACATAAACTCAAAGCTTAGTAAGTGATCCAACTAGATTACTTATTGCTGGAGAGTACTTTTAAAAAAGTATATCTTTGTTTAAGTGTTATCTATATTTATGCAACCAACATATGTTTAACTACATGCATTAAAAATCAAAATTATATGCTTGTTGAATAACAGTGGTGACAGTGGACATCCTTACTGTGTTCCAGATATTAGAGAAAAGACTTTCAGTTTTTCCCCATTCTGTTCGATACTAGCTGTAGGTCTTTCATATACAACTTTTGTTGAGGATTGTTTCTTCTACACCTAGTTTGTTGACTTTTTTTATTATGGATGGATGTTAAATTTTATTAAAGGTTTTCTGCATCAACTAAAATGATCATATGGTATTTGTACTTCATTCTGTTGATATTATGTATCATATTGATGGATTTGCATATATTGAACCATCCTTTCATTCCTGGAATAAATCCCCCTTGGTCATGATAAATGAAGTTTCTAATGTATTGTTGACTTCATTTTGCTAGTATTTCACTGAGGATTTTGTATCAATATTTATCAGAGATATTGGCCTGTAGTTTTCTTTTTTTGACATGTCTTTGTCTGGTTTTCTCACCACCTCCTGTATTTTTTGGAATGGTTTGCGTAGAATTGGTATTAGTTTTTTCTTAAATGTTTGGTAGAATTCAGCAGTAAAGCCATCAGGTCCTGGGTTTTTCTTTAGAGAGAGACTTTTTATTATAGTTTTAATTTTGTCACATATTATTGGTCTGTATCAGTTTTGAATTTATTCCTGATTCAATTTTGGTAGGTTGTATATGGCTAGGAATTTGTTCATGTTTTTTAGATTTTCCAATTTATTGACATATAGTTGCTCATAGTAGCCACTAATGATTCTTTGAATTTCTGCAGTATCAGTTGTAACTTTTCAAAAAAGCAACTTTTGCTTCATCGATTTTTGTATATTTTCTTTAATTTCAATTTTATTTATTTCTGCTCTGATTATTATTATTTCTTTTTTTCTAGTAATTTTGGGTTTGGTCTTATCTTGATTTTCTACTTCTTTAAGATGCATCATTGGGTTGTTTATTTAAATATTTTTTTCTATTTTTTGATGCAGGAACTCATACCTATAAAATTTCCTCTGATTATTGCTTTTGCTGTATCCCATCAGTTTTGGTATGTTGTGTTTTCATTATCATTTGCTTTAAGAAATTTTTCAATTTCCTTTTTAATATTTTCATAGATACATTCGTTATTCAGGAGCATACAGTCTACTTTCCATGTCTTTGTATAGTTTCCAAAGTTTCTCTTGTTATTAACTTCTAGTTTTATTTCATTGTGGTCAGAGAAAATGCTTGATATTATTTCAATTTTTAAAAGTGTTTTAAGACTTGTTTTGTGACCTAACATATGGTCCATTCTTGAGAATGATCCCTATGCTGAGGGAAAAAAAAATGTGTATTCTGCAGCCATTAGATGCAATGTTCTGTAAATATCTGTTAGATCCACTTGATTTATAGTACAGGTTATGTCTGATGTTTCTTTATTGATTTTCTGTCTAGTAGGCCAGTCCAATGTTGAAAGTAAAGTATGAAAGTCTCCAGCTGTTATGGTATGGGTGTCTATGTCTCCCTTCAGCTCGAATAAAATTTGTTTTAGATATCTGGGTGCTCCAGATTGGAGTGCATACATATTTATGATAGTTATATTCTCTAGCTATATTTACCCCTTAATCATTATGTAGCGACCTTCTTTGTATGTTCCTACAGTTTTTGTCCTGAAATCCATTTAATCTGACATAAGTATAGCTAGTCCTGCTATTTTTTGGTTTCCATTGGCAAGGGATATCTTTTTAAATTTCTTTATTTTCAGTCTATGTGTGTTTTTATAGGTGAAGTTTGTTTCTTGTAGGCAACAGATTACTAGAACTTGTTTTTTATTACATCCATTCATCCACTCTTTGGCTTTTCATTGAATAATTTAGTCCATTTACATTCATTGTTATTATTGATAAGTAAGAGCATACTCTTAGCATTTTGTTTGTTTTCTAGATGTTTGGGGGTCTTCTTTTTCTTCTTTCTTCCTGTCTTCCTTTTAGTGAAGATAATTTTCTTTGTTGATATGATTTAGTTTCTTGCTTTTTATTTTTTTGTGTACCCATTGTATTTTTTTTTGTTTGAGGTTACCATGAGGTTTGCAAATACTCTTTTATAACCCATTATTTTAAGCTGATATTAACTTAACACTGTTTGCACAAACAAGCAAAAACAGAACTAATAAAAACTCTATACCTTAATTTTGTACCCCTGCTTTTTAACTTTTGCTGTTTCTATTTATATCTTATTGTACTATCTATGTCTTGAAAAGTTGCTGTAGTGGTTATTTTTGATTGGTTCATTATTTATTCCTTCCACTCAGGATCACAGTAGTTTACACACCACAGTTACAGTGTTATAATATTCTGTGTTTTTCTGTATACTATTACCAATCAGTTTTGTACCTTCAGATAATTTCTTATTGCTCAATAACATCCTTTACTTTCTGATTGAAGTACTCCCTTTAACATTTCTTGTAGAACTGGTCTCGTGTTCAAGACATTTCTCAGGTTTTGTTTGTCTGGGAAAGTGTTAATTTCTCTTTTATGTTTGAAGGATATTTTCACTGTATATACTATTCTAGGATAAAAGTTTTTTTTTTTTCCTTCAGCACTTTAAATATGTCACTCCGCTCTCTCTTGGCCTGTAAGGTTTCCAATGAAAAGTCTGCTGCCAGACACATTAGAGTTCCATTGTATGGTATTTGTTTCTTTTCTCTTGTTGCTTTTAGGATCCTAAAACTAAAAGTCTTCAGGTAGTCCTCTTTAGGTTAAATCTGCTTGGTGTTCTATAAGCTTCGTCTTCCTGAATATTGAAATATCTCTATAGATTTGGAAAACTCTCTGTTTTCCAAATACCTTTGAAAAAAACTTTCTACCCAAGCCCTTTTCCTATCTCCTCTTTAAGGCCAATAACTCTTAATATTTAACTAACTCTTTAGTATTAATATTAACATCTCTTTAATATTAATAACTAAATCATATCAACAGAGAAAATCATCTTCACTGAAAGGAAGACAGAAAGGAAGAAGGAACAACCAGAACAACCCAAAACAACCAGAAAACAAATGACAAAATGGTAAGTGTATGCTTTTATTTATCAATATAACAATGAATGTATATGGACTAAAATATTCAATCAAAAAACATAGAGTGGCTGAATGAATAAAATAAAAACAAGACCCAATAACTCAGCCTTGTGAGGCTGTTTTCTAGATTTTGTTGGCATGCTTTATTGTTTTTTATTATTTTTGCTTTTGTCTCCTCGCACTCTGTATTTTTAAATAACCTGTCTTCAAGTTCACTGATTCTTTCTTCTGCTTGATGAATTCCGCTATTTAAAAAACTCTGATGCATTTTTCAGTATGCCAGTCGCATTTTTCAACTTCAGAATTTCTGCTTGATTCTTTTTATTTCAATCTCTTTGTTAAATGTGTCTGATGGAATTCTGAATTTTTTCTCTGTGTTATCTTGAATTTATTTGAGTTTCCTCAAGGCAGTTATTGTGACTTCTCTGTCTGAAAGGTGACATGTCTGTTTCTCCAGGATTTGTCCCTGGTGTCTTCTTTAGTTCATTTGGTAAGGTCATGTTTTCCTGGATGGTGTTGATGCTATTAGATGATCTTCAGTGTCTGGGCATTAAAGAGTTAAGTATTATTGTAGCCATCACTGCCTGGGCTTATTTATAGTCCTTCTTCTTGGGAAGCCTTTCCAGGTATTTGAAAGAACTTGGGAATGTGATCTAAGCTCTGTCTGCTATAGGGGGCACCTCAAACCCAGTAACACCATGGTACTTGCAGACTTGTAGAAGTACCACCTTGATGGTTTTGGACAATATCCAGAAGAATTATCTGGATTACCAGGAAGAGACTTTTGTTCTCTTCCCTAACTTTCTCCCAAGCAAACAGAGTCTCTCTCTCTCTCTGTTCTGAGCCACCTAAAGCTTGGAATGAAGTGAGACAAGCACCCTGCGGCCATCACCACTATGACTGTGCTGAGCCACACATGAAGCCAGCACAGCACTGGTCTTACCCAAAGCCTGCTGTAATCACTCCCTGGCTACTGCCTCTCTTCACTCTAGGCCCTAGGGTTCTACAATCAGCCTATAGCAAAGCCAGCCAGGCCTACGTCCCTTTCTTCAGGGTGACTACATTCTCTAGGTTTTGGTTTAGGTCCAGAGGTACTATCCAGGAGTCAGGGACTAAATTAATAAGTGTTAGACATCTACCTGGTGTTCTGCTCTATTGTGGCTGAGCTGGCACTCAAACCACAAGACTCAGCCCTTTCCACTCTTCCTTCCCATTTCCAAAGTCAGAGGAGCCTCACCTCATAGCCACCACCACCCCAGTCCATGAGAAATACTGCCAGATTAACTTTGATGTTCCCCTAAGGCAGAAGGGCCCTTCAGTCAGCTTGTGGTAAATGCTGCCTAGCCTGGGACTCATGTTTCAGGGCAGTGGGCTCCCCTCCGGCCTAGGGAAGATGCAGAAACGTTGTGCAAGAATCAAGTCCTGGAATCGGGGTCCCCAAGAGCCCACTTGGTACTCTAACCCCCTGGAGCCCTGCTGGTACCTAAGGTGCAAGACAAAGTCTCCTTTACTTTTCCCTCTGCTTTTCTCAAGCAGAAGTTTTGCCCTGTTGCCTCCACAGCTGGTAATGTGTTGCATCTCACCTGAAGGCAGTAATTCTCAGAGGCTCACCCAGTCTCCTGAACATTTACCTGGGTATTGCTGGTGGCAATTTAGAACCCAAGGGTTCTTCACTTAGCAGGTGATAAATGCTTCCAAGACTGGGTCCTCTCCTTCAAGGTAGTGGGTTACCGCCAGTCCCAGGGTGTGTCTAGAAATGTTATCTGTTAGTTAGAGCCTGGAACAGGGACCTCATGACTCTGTTCAGTGCCCTATTGAGAGACAGGACTAGCTGGATTTTCTAGGCTGATTAAGAATTCCTAAGCCTAGCTGGGAAAGGTGACCACACCCACCTTTAAACACAGGGTTTGTAACTCAGCTCACACCGGACCAATCATGTAGTAAAGAGGGCTCACTAAAATACAAATTAGGCTAAAGCATGAGGCAAAGAAATAGTCAAATCATATATCGCCTGAGAGCACAGGGGGAGGGACAATGATCGGGATATAAACCCAGGCATTTAAGCAGGGAGCGGCAACCCCCTTTGGGTCCCCTCCCGTTGTATGGGAGCTGTTTTCACTCTATTAAATCTTGCAACTGCACATTCTTCTGGTCCGTGTTTGTTATAGCTCGAGCTGAGCTTTTGCTCGCCATCCACCACTGCTGTTCACCACTGTCCCAGACCTACCGTTGACTTCCACACCTCAGGATCCGGCAGGGTGTCTGCTGCACTCCTGATCCAGGGAGGCGCCCATTGCCACTCCCCACAGGGCTAAAGGCTTACCATCATTCCTGCATGGCTAAGTGCCTGGGTTTGTCCTAATCGAGCTGAACACTAGTCGCTGGGTTCCACGGTTCTCTTCTGTGACCCACAGCTTCTAATAGAGCTATAACACTCACCGCATGGCCCAAGGTTCCATTCCTTGGAATCTGTGAGGCCAAGAACCCCAGGTCAGAGAACAAAGGCTTGCCGCCATCTTGAGAGTGGCCCACCTCATCTTGGGAGCAGCCTGCCACCATCTTGGGAGCACTAAGAACAAAGACCTGCCTGGTAACACTATTCTGCTATGGCTGAGCTGGTATCCAAGACACAAGACAAAGTCCTCCCCACTCTTCTTTCTCCACTTTTCTTTCTTCCCTTTTTTTTTCTTCTTTTCTTTATTTCTTCTGAAACAAATGAAAAAACGAGATAGGCTGCTGACCCTTGGATGGGGTTTTTGTAGGGGTCTTTTTTGTTGTTGATGATCCTGTTGTTGTTGCTTTCTGCTCATTTGCTTTTCCTTCAATAGTCAGATCCGTCTTCTGTAGGGCTGCTGCAGTTTGCTGAGGGTTCACTTCAGGCCCTATTCATCTGATTCTCTCCCGTGCCTGGAGATGTCACTCAAGGAGGCTGGAGAACAGCAAAGAAGGGTGCCTGATGCTTCTTTTGGGACCTCTGACCTTGAGGGGCACCAACCTGATGCCAGTAGGGTCACTCCTGTATAAGGTGTCTGACAACCCCTGTTGGAGGGTCTCACCCAGTTAGGTGGCATGGGGAGCAGGACTCATTTAACAAAGCACTTTGTCCCTTAGTGGAGGAGGTGTGCTTTGCCTGGAGGAAACTCTGAGCTACCTGGATTCCTCAGAACTACCAGGAGGAAATGCTAAGTCATCTGGTCCACAGAGACTGCAGCCACCCCTCCCTGTAGGGGCTTAGGCCCAGGGAGATACAAATTCTGTCCCTGAGCCTCTGGCTGGAGTTATTAGAGTTCCTGCAGGGAAGCCCTGCCCAATGAGGAAGGATGAGTCAAGGTTAGGCCTGAAGAGGCACTCTGGCTGCCACAGCCTGTGTGTTGGGCTGTGGGGACAAGTCTTGAGGTCAAGTCTTGGGACCAAGCTGTCCAGCCTCCCTGGCTCCAGCAGCGGAAAAGTGCAGTCTGGAGCTATGGAAATGGGTGCTGCCCTGCCCCTGCCCTGGAAGCTTAGTGTGTTAGGCAGTGGAGAGTCCCATTGCTGGCTGCTGCCTCTCCCACAAGGAGCTCAAATGGCTTAGAGAGCAGGCAGCCACAGCCAGTGCTGGTTGCCCCTCCCACTGGGCGTTTGGTAGGCTTAAGCAGATTCCAGCTGAAAGGCTCTAAGAATCTCCAAGTTTCAGGGTTGGGATGCTAGGCCCCAGCGGCACGGGTTCATGCGTGGGATCTTTTGATCCATGGGTTGCACAGTTCTGTGGGAAAAGCAATTTCTCTGGCTGGGTAGCACCTCACTCACCACCTCCCTTGGCTGGGGGTAGGGGATTCCCCTGCCCCCCCCTCTCTCTCTCTCAGGTGGGCTGCCACACCACACTGTTTTCCTTCTCTCCATGGGTCACACGAGCCTTCTAGTCAGTTTTGATGAGGTAACTTGGATACTTTGGTTGCCGATGAAGGATTCACAAGCTTATTATGTTTTTTTCCAGTGGGAGCCTCTGAAGGCTGCTGCTTCTAGTCAGCCATATTGGCCCGGCTCTCCTCTCTTCAGGGTGAAGGAGGGGGTCTCTTTTGGAGCCCTAAGCGGTACAGTGTGGGGTTAGGGGAAGTGTGAGGTCATCACTTCCTTGACTATGCCAGCTGGTGTCTCAGTGTGTCTCATGCTCCCCTAGCCTACTGCCTCTGGGCCTCGTTCAGCCCTAAGGCTTACCTAAGAGTTGCAGTCCTGATGGCCTAGACTGCCTTTCAAATTTACTTGGAGACAGAAAGCACTTTGGCCCCCACTGATGAGGTTTGTGGGAATTCAAGTTTGGACCCTGGGACCACTGATTCCCGTCTGGCTAGGGCTGGTTTAAATGCTGAGTTTAGTCCAGCTTTCCTTTCTGCTCTAACAGGACAGTAGAGTCCAATGCCTCACAAATTGCTGTGTTCTGCCTGCCCTGGTGCCCAGACATGCCCTCAGCATCTTGTTGCTGCTGCTAGGAGTGAGGGAAGAGTGGCATCAGAAATTAAGGACTGTTTTCTCTATGTCTCCTGTGGCTCTTTCAGTGATATGGAGGTAAAAAAGTACTATGAGTACTTATCTGTTTTTTAGTTCTTATGAAGGTGTTTTTTTTTTTTTCTATGGAGACACCTAAGTTAGTGTCTTTGTGAGGGAGGCAGATGATTGGTGGAGCCTTCTATTCAGCTATCTTGCCGTACCTCTTGATATGTAAATTATATATCAGTAAAGTCATTATTAAAAAAAAAGAGCAGAAAGACACCCAGGGTTCTTACTATATGAGCAACTTCCTAAAACTCACTTAAGAACTTTTAAATAAAATTATCTGGGGATAGGACTCTGTTATCTGAATCCTTTAAACAGTTTCTCTGGGGATTCTGGTGTTCAGTGTAGTTTAAAGCTGCTCTAAAGTAATTGTAATAACTGTAGCCTATTTTAAAGAATATATTCAAGTTAAAATTTCAGCAAATGTAAGAAGCAAGTTTGTTATTCATGACATTATATGGAGCTGTATGTAACGTGTGAAATTGTACGATTTACATACAAAAAATATTCTAAGGAATTCAAGAGATCATGATCTCATAGCAGTGCAGAGAAAAAAAGAATGGGAATGTGGAAAGAAAGAGCCAAAGCAAGAGAAAGAAGAAGAGGCAACTGTGGGCAAGTGTGAGTGAAAAGACCAGTTAGAAACAGAGAAGACAGAATTCGTGCAAATGGAGTGTTGGTATTCGCTCAGATTTTTGGTATAAGCCACTTCAGACAGGGTACAGACCTCAGTCTTATTATCACCTGCATTTGTCTTCGAGTTTCCAGAACCTCTCATAACCTATTGTAAGTTTCTCCAGAGTTTCCTTTTAAAATCCAACCATTATTAGTTTGATGTAGATGGACAGCATTTGCAGGCAGTAATGTGTAGCTTATGCAGAAGTGGATGCCGTCTGTATTCACAAGGTGCCATTATTTCCTTAAGCACCAGGAGCAGGCTTCTTAAATAAATTGGCAAGGATTTATTTTGGAGGCTGACTTTAAACATGTGAGCTGTGCTCTGGGAACCAGATAAAGAATACTTTCCATTTGTGGAAAAGATTTGGTAAGCGGGATAGAGGAATTCTGAACACAAATTATTTTCAAAATAAATTACAAATAAATAAAACACAATAAAGATAATGTATTAGTAAGTAAATAACTGATTTTTCTTCTCTTTTTGTAATATATGAAATAAGAATAAGACAATGTCCAGATGGTAACTTAACAATTTTATAGCAAGCTAAAATCAAGACTCTGAAAAATAAATGGATAGCCTGAAACACGATTGCCTTCCCAGCTGAGATCCAGAATAAGGAGAAACAAGGTTAGCAAGGGAATGACAAGCTCTATTTTGGTCTGGTTTTGTAATGTATATAAACTTTTAAATATTCTTGGAACTACAAAAAAAGTTTTGAAGAGAGAAGCATAATAGTGTTTCTTATATCATGAATAGAATATTATCTTCCTTAGTGTCTCATGAAAGGAATAACATGTAATTTAATGCTGTCATTATCTAAAGTCGTTCCAGTGTGTGGTTTCTAGACCAGCAGCATTAACATCTCCTGGGCATTTGCTGGAATACTCAGGCTCCATCTGAGGCTTACTGAATGGGAACACAGGGGACAATCCCAGCAATCTAACATTTAACCAGCCCTCCAGGAGACCTGTGCCCACTAAATTTGAGAATCATGCCTGTATATTCATTTAAGCTTATCTAAGGGCTGTGTTAAAAAAAATACCATGCAGTTAGAGTTCATGGATTTAGAATTCACCAGGCCAACAGTTTTCTGCTTTTCTAATCTCTCTGGAGCTATAAAGTGGAAAGTCAAGATGACACCTTCCTTACCATGGAATATTGCTCTTCTGCAATGATGCCCTGAGAGAATTTTCAGAGCATGAAGAGAATAGGTGTAGAATGCTGGAAGAGTCATACTATTGGAAATAATCCCGTTATTGAGACTCAAGAGGATTTTCCAGGGCTTTTCTGTGAGAATTACCCTTTTTACCCTGAAGTAGTATATGAGGAAGATAATTTTAATCAAACACAGTCTAAACTGACTTGAATTCAAAGAGGATTGCAGCCTTCTTGATAGCAGGCTCGGGATGCATATAACAAGAGGAATAGCATGAGCACTCACGTTTGTCTTGGTGATGTCATATAGTTTCAGTCATTTATTTCTTATTCAGAATGTGCCATGATGTTTCTCTTAACTCCATGTCTGTCAGGTGTTTGGTGTCTTTGGTAGATCTCCTCTCCCTCATTCCTGGAAAACATGTTGCTTTTCCTTAGCGTCGTTGGGAAGGGGCTTCGGTGAGGAGAACAAGCTTTCAGGGGCATCTTGACAGGACTTTGAGTAGAGAACCACAGGGAGGAGCGAGTCAACCTAAAAAGAAAAACCTCAGCAGCACCAAGTAAAAACAAGACTTGAGTTATAATTTGCCTTTTGATTCCCAATGACATATGAAAGGGCAAATTCCAGTCCACTCATGCAATAATCAAGCCAAATATTTTTTCTTGTTTTGTATAGATGCTCAAAAATTTAGAAAAAAAATTACTAATACCCTACACTTGATGGAACTAAGAGAGAAACTATTTAGAAAACCCCAACATTTTTCCTCTTCTTTCAGATATTAGTTATTCACATTTTTTCAGGGGAAATGAATGGACTATGAAGCAGGTTGACCACATTTCCAGAAGAAATTTTAAAAAGCAAACCCTTGAAGTATATGTCAGTACTCATTGTTACTGACAGTTAGAAGGGGACAGGTGAAGAGTGGGCTAGGGGAGCTGCCAGAGCAAATATTAAAATAAGGACCACTAGCTGTCAGGCAAGAAGGCCATGGAGAAGCAAGGCTGCCTTGGGAAGGAAAATTACCTGAAGCACAGAATTGGGTCTGCAGGATAAGGAAGGGAGACCAGTTGTTCCTTTTGTCTTTCTACTCCTGGCACAGGCATGTTCTTTTGGGAAGCATTTCTATGAATATAGGCTTCCACCTCTTTGGATCCAGATTGTGTAGAGACTTATCTGACTTAATCACTGACAGCTTTGACTTCTACACAAGTAACTTGGGACATAAGGAAAAGCCACTTCTCTGAACCCAGATGAGGTGAATCACTGGGAGAATTCCTGAAAACACAGTTTATCAGCCAGTTTACCCAGAGAATTAGAGCCAAGAGAAGATGGATGGATAGATGGTAGGTAGTTACATAGATACATAGTTATATACATAGTTAGATAGATACATTAGATCGATAGGTGATAGATGGACAGATAGATGATAGACAGATAGATGATAGATAGATGGACAGATGATAGATAGATAGATAGATAGATAGATAGATAGATAGATAGATAGATAGATAGATAGATTTTAAAGAATTGGCTCACACAATTTTAGGGATGGAAAGTCCAAAATCTGTGGATCAGACTGACTGACTGGAAAATCAGGCAGGAATTCTATGTTACATGTTACAGTCTTGAGGCAGAATCCATCTTTTAGAGAAAATCTCAGTGTTTTACTCTTTAGGCCACCAATTGTGTGAATGAAAACCAACACACCAAGTAAAGGTAATCTCCTTTATTTAAATACATTGATTTTAAATATTGGTCATGTCTACAAAATACCTTCAAAACAACATAGAGACTAGTAACGGACCGAACAACTGGGTGCCACAGCCCAGGCAAGTTTACACATTAAAATTAACTATCATGCACAGGCAGACTTCTGGAACTTTCCCTGTCTTTCTGGAGGCCACACTGGAAGACACTGTCCAGCACGTCCACACAGAGCGAGAGAAGTTTGCATCAGTATTTCTGCATGGAGAGAGGCAATCCTTGCTCTTTTCTATCTGAAGAATGAGTAAGCAATTAACTCAGTATTTTCTTGTACTTCAGCAGTTGCTTAAAAATGATACTACAGGCTGGGTGTGGTGGCTCACACCTGTAATCCCAGCACTTTGGGAGGCTGAGGTGAGTGGATAACCTGAAGGTCAAGAGTTCAAGACTAGCCTGGCCAACATGGTGAAACCTCGTCTCTACTAAAAATATAAAAAATTAGCCAGGCGTGATGGCGAGCACCAGTAATCCCAGCTACTTGGGAGGCTGAGGCAGGAGAATCGCTTGAATCTGGGAGGTGGAGGTTGCAGTTAGCCAAAATCGTGCCATTGCACTCCAGCCTGGGCAACAAGAGTGACACTTCATCTCAAAAAAAAAAAAAAAAAAAAAAAGAGATGCTACATTTCATATAATTTTGGGTTTTGAGTTTGACATGCTTTGGTTTTTCCTGAAGTGACAGCCATCATTTCTTTACCAGGAAAAAGAGAAAAAAAAAGAAAAAGCCATTTTCAGAAAATTTTCTATATCTTTTTATTTGTCATGCTTTTAATCTATCATTTGTAATCATTTAAACTTTTTTTCAAGGTTCATAATTTAAATGGGACCAATTAATTCATATTGGAACTCAAGGTCTCCCTAGCTTTCAGCAGCACTGTCCATTCTATCAAGTACCTACTTCCCCCTTCCCTTCTGTACAGCCTCCTGAGAGGTGAGCCATGGACTCTCATCTGCTTGTTGCTTTGTAGATCAGCTGTTCCCCTTTCATATTGCAAATTTCTGTGTTTTTCTTATACATGTAATCAATCATTTCTTGATTTCCTTTTCTTTTTCTTGCAGAGATTGCTTCATTTTTTGAAGTATTTCTTTAAGTGGCTTTGTAAGAAAGAAAGCACTACTCTGAATTAGTACATATCTTTAAATGTTTTCATTCTTACCTTGTGTGATGGTTTGCCTACCCTTAAAATTCTAAGCTTAAAAACCTTGCCCCTCAGAACTTTGAGGGGTAACACAAATTGATTTAATGTTGTCTTTCAGTAATCAAGGTTTGTTTTAGGAACTATGGCAACAGCGTATTTTTAACAAAGTAGTAATATACATTGCATTTTCAAGAAATAGATCTATTTTGAAAGACAGGAAAGATGACTTTGTTCTATTTAGACTTTCACCATTTTAGAAAATACCAATATCAAAGGCAAACCTTTTTGCATTGTATAAGTGGCAAAAATACCTGTCTGAATGTTATATTTGCAGTTGATGAATTCCACTATTATATGTAGATACGAAACCTCTAACAACTTCACTGTCTTCCAGTAGAATTGTACCCAAGACTTTGTAAATTGAGCTAAATATAATAATAAATTACTTACTTCCTTTTTTCTCTTTTGAGTTACAGTTAAGACATTATACTGATTTTTTAAAATTGTCCATGCGTTACTTACCATTTTATACATTTTTTAATGTAATAAAAGAAGTATTACCAAGAATTTGTTATAAAAAGAAATTATTAGTTCTGACAGGTTTATGAGTCACTTTTTTGAGATAGACATACCCTGCACCACTTCTTCTGTCTTTCTGCATCTTTCCATCTTCTTAACATTTGTCCAATTATATTATCTGCTGAAGTCTCCCTTCTAGACTTCATTATTTTGGGTTTATGCCTTTCAGAAACTCTGTTACTATAACTTTAATGAAATATCAGCAAGAAGAAGAGACAAACAGATGTGTTCAGTCTTGGACCAGAAGTTCTCTGATGCAATGCTATTATTGTTCATTTTTGCGTTAAATACTTCCCCTAAGCTCAAGATGAGGTAGCTGAAGGAATTAGGCAATGTCTGGGGCCTCTTTAGGGATCTTTGTCCCAAGAACAATGGGAGACAATGGAAACATTTTGGGGAGAAGTATGACACAGGTGTTTAGGGAGGTAGCTGGGAAACATAGGAGCTAGTACTTTGTGGTCACATATACTTGAGTTGATGTCCTGACTCTGCTACTGAACAGATGTGGCTCTCTGCAGCTTCCTTCACCACCTAAAGCCTCATTTTTTCATTTGTATAGTGATGCCAATAGTACTCACTCCATTTGCTTGGTTGTTATGTAAACTAAACTTAAAATTTTGCATATAGCTCTAAAACAGTGCAAATTACATAAGTACTTAATAATTGTCAGCCACATTATTATTTCCAAGAAAAGGAGCATCACTAAACACAGTGCTAATATAGAATGAACATAAGGCTGCTTTATTTTTGTGTAGACCCTAAAATAGTTAAGTAAGTATTACAATTTTCCCAGTAGCTGGAGTAGAAATAGTTGATGGCAAACTGAATACAAAACATATTCTTCCTTTTCAGTCAGAATTAAAATTGTTGGACATATTATGGTAACTAGTCAATCTTATTCCATGGGTTCACTATAACTGGCTGATTTTTAATCTGTAGGCCAAAATCAATGCCTTATTCTGGGTGAGCTGAAGTAAGCTGAAGGAGGGATGTCAAGGTCAACGTTATAAAGTCACTAGGCCTAAGGAAAGCCATATCACAGCATTTAAAGCACGAGATCGGTGATTGGAAAATCCAAGTTTGTACATTAAAGCTGGTATTTTTTTTAGTGTTATCAGTTGAAAAACAATATAATATTTTCAGGTGGTATGTAGACACTTTATGTATTGGCAACTATCTACTAATATGTCTACTTATTTATGTATATATTTTTGTTAGCCTAACTTTGGTGACTCAGAGGAATTCCAGTTGGAATAAAATTACTGAAGGTATGTTTAAAGCCAATAATAAGTGCCAGCTCAATCAATTTCAGCTGATAATTTTCTTGAATGATGAACAAAGGATAATATTAATATTTTATGATTATTACAAATATATTGGAGTAGAAATTTTAGCTTGTTATAATATTAATATATCATTGAATATATTCTCAATTTAAAGGGATCTTTTTTGTGTCTACTGCCTCACATTTTCCATTTGAATCCTGACTTCTCTTTTAGCCCTTTTACATCCCTCTCCTTTGAACTAAATTTTAAGGATTATGTGGTGATCTCATTGACTATTCTCTGTCATAGTTATTTTTTTAATGGCAAATATTTTTAAAATAAACTTTTGTTCTTTGGTTTACTTACAAAACCATCCTCATGAAAGCTGTACAATATTTTAAGTGTAGTGTGGCCAGTGTGCCCTATGTTTGCCTGAAGTGTCTCCTTTGAGTCACCCTGTGGGACTCTGCTAAAATTAAAAACTCAGTGTAGGTTTTCATAGATTTTACTCTAGAGGCATCTGTCTTTGATTTTCTTAATTGCTCTTTTTATACAATGCTACATTCTATAATTCTGGCAAAGTCACAAACGGAGTCAGTCAAGGGCAGTGAGTTACTGCTTTATCTGAAAGTGAACCAATAATTGGAGTGGCACATTTATAATTTCAATTTCATCAATAAGAAGTCTAAGGGAGATTTTTTAAAACTACTTTTATTGTTAATGTTTTTAAAATTTTAAATTGCCAGATAACATCACATGATTTTATTATGTAAAATATGTATACATTATGCAATGCTTAAGTCCAGCTAATTAACAAATGCATTACCTAACAGTTATTTTTGCAGTGACAGCACAAAACAACTACTCTCTTCATATTTTTCAAGAATATAATAAGTCATCATTAACTATAGTCACTTTATTGTAAGAGAGATCTTTTTAAATTTATCCCTCCAATCTAACTGTTATTACGTATGCTTTGACCATCTCTCCATCTGCCTCACCTCCAAGCAACCCCGCTTCTGCTAAGCACCATTGTATTCTCTACTTCTATAAGATCAACTGTTTTAGATTCCACATATTAGCAAACCTTGCAGTATTCATGTATCACTAGCTTATTTTCCTTAATATAATGTTCTCCACGTTCATCTATGTTGTGGGAAATGACAGGATTTTATTCTTTTTTTATGGGTGAGTAGTATTTCATTGTGTATATTCACTACATTTTTATTATTTTATTCCTTGGTGGACACTTAGGTTAATTCTATATCTTGGCTATTGTGAATAGTGCATATGGGAGTGTAGCTATCTCTTCAACATACTGATTTCATTTCCTTTGGATATATACCCAGTATAGCGATTGCTGGATAATACAAACAATCTTAAAATTCCTAGGAAACCTCAAAAGACTTCAAGTAACCAAATCATTATTGAATAAAAAGGATAGAGCTGGAGCCATCACACTAACTCACCTCAAAAACTTCAAGACCTGACTACCTGACTAGAAAGGTATAGTAACACTAACAGCATGGCACTGGCATTAAAAACATACATTGACCAACGGAACAGAATAGAGAGCCCAGAAATAAATCAACACATTTACCACCAACTGGTTTTTGAAAAAGGTGGCAAGAACACACATTAGGGAAAGGACAGTCTTTTCCATAAATGATGTTGACAAAACTGGATATCCATATGCAGAAGAAAGTGATCAGAAAGAGTATTATTATAAGAAAGTAATAATATATTTTACCATATACAAAAATCAATTCAAAATCGATTAAAGACTTAAATGTAAGACCCAAAACTATGACATTTCTAGAAGAAAACCTAGAGGAATTTCTTCATGACATTGGTTATGGGCAAAGATTTTCTAGATAAGGCCTCAAAAGCACAGGTAACAAAAGCAACATTGTACAAACAAAATTACATCAAACTAACAAGTTTCTACATAGCAAAGGAAACAATCAACAGGTTGAAGAAACAACCTACAGAAAATAAGTGCAAACTGTACATCTGACAAGCGGCTAATACCCAAAATATACCAGGAACTCAATTCAGTAATAAAGAAACAACTTGATTTTTAAATGAACAAATGAACTGAATAGACATTTCTCAAAAGAAGACATACAAACAGCCAAGAGATATATTTTTAAAATGCTCAACATCAGTAAACATCAGAAGAATGCAAATCAAAACCACAATGAGATATCACCTTTTCCAAGTTAGAATGGTGATTATGAAAACAAATAGTATAGTGTAACAGAAGGTGAGGTTGTGGAGAAAAGGGAATCCTTACACAGCTGGGTGGGAATGGAAGTTAGTAGGGAGGTTCTTCAAAAAATTAGAAGTATTTTCGGTAAAATAAAATTTCATGTAAGTGAATCTTTGTGGAAAATAACTACAATGTATGGCTGTATTCCCTAAGCACAGGGCTGTGTATGTGGCAGCGACTCACTGTTTATTTGATGAATGAATATTTAATAAGCCTTTGGAACAGACAGAAAGGGAGCTCATAGGAGGAAAAAGGGAGTAGAGAATACTTCGTGGGGCAAGGGGCAGCATCTCATGGAAGCTGGATCCTACTGGGAAAGCAGTATTTGTGTTTTCCTGTGAAGATCTTGGTGCAGGGAATGTTCTGGGTGAGGAGAAGGGAATGGCATTCGTCTCTCACTCATTCTAACATTATTGATTGTTTCATTAATGGATTCAATTAAACACATTAATTACTAGGTAATCAAACACATTAATTACTTGGCTACTAGGTTTTATACACTGTGCTTGAGTTGGAAAAACAGAGTCAATGTGTAATGATCCCAGCCTCCATGTGACAAATTCAGTAGTTCGGGTACTGTACCGCCATTTTATTTTATTTTATTTTATTTTATTTATTTTATTTTAATTAATTAATTTATTTTTTGAGACGGAGTCTCGCTCTGTTGCCCAGGCTGGAGTGCAGTGGCGTGATCTCGGCTCACTGCAAGCTCTGCCTCCCGGGTTCACACCATTCTCCTCCTCAGCCACCCGAGTAGTTGGGACTACAGGCGCCCGCCACCACGCCCAGCTAATTTTTTGTATTTTTAGTAGAGACGGGGTTTCACCGTGTTAGCCAGGATGGTCTTGATCTCCTGACCTGGTGATCTGCCCCCTCGGCCTCCTAAAGTGATGGGATTACAGGCGTGAGCCACCACGCCCAGCCTCTACCACCATTTTATTAACTATCCTTACTGCACTTGGCCCACACATGTCCTGTGATTTGGATGATGGGCAGCAGGTACTTCCCTGGAGCTTGGAGAGAAAGAGGAGCTACTTTATAGGCAGCAGAAGGCTTGACCTGTACTGGTTTTGGACCTGATTCCCCCATTTTTCTGATCCCATTTGCTTTCCAACATTACTAAAAAAATTTACTCAAAAACTTCCCCACCCCTCATGACCTCATCATGACTTCATTCACTTTCCCCAGCCTGTTTATGAATTACACACACACACACACACCTGTCATTGCAGTGGGATTTTGTTTAGCAGGCAGAAGATGCATGTTCTCCATCTACTAGCTCGAAAAAGAGCAAAGCTTTTGATTTTGCCATGTGTGTTTTTAAGCTGCCTATCTCATCAATTCATGTCTCTGCAATAGTTTTCCATTAAAGTCTTCTGTTTATTTTAGTTAATCAAAATACCATCTGCACACACTGATAATTTCACTGCTTTCCATCCCAATTAATACTTCATAATTCATTTTTATCTAATCATGTTGGCTAGTATTTCCATAATAACATACTTGTGATGTTTGTTTGAGACAGAAATTTAATACCATAGTAAGGAGATATCATTCTACTCCTATTTTACTTAAAAAATAGGAATGTAGATGAATTTTCTTCTAATGGACTTTGTAGAGGACATCTTAGATTTGCTCCTTTTACTTGATAATATGTTACACTTTTCTCATATGTCTAAAGGTAAGCACTACTAAGACATTGTTAAGCTAAAAAAAATACTAGAGAAAATTATCCCCAAATATGTTCAGTTTACTCAGAAATGAGAAAAAAGGATTATAATCTGGAATGTACAGAAAGCAAACCACCAGTGCATCCAGTGAGGGAAGGATAAAGAGAAGCTTTTATTAACAAAAAGGGAGAGGTTCTCATGAACTGCTTAGAAACAGATTTCATGGATTCTAGAGGCTCAAAGCCAGAGCTGTTGTGAATTTATTAGTGGAGATGCTACTACTGGGCAAGTATTCTTTTGAGAGCATCTTACCAGAATTACTGCAGTCCTGAAGAATGTCTAGTGATAAACCTTATCAAAGCAGGAGATGCACGAAGGATGTGAAGGGGTTTCTTGTAGTGTTTTTGGAAAGTCCTTGGGAACTGTTCTTAGACATGTACACATGAGTCTTCTCTCCTCCTTGCCTTCCTGGCCCTATTTTATCTGGGTCTGACAAAATTAATTTCATCCTGATATTGGCAACTTTCACAGCACTGTATATTATTGTTTACTATCTAAATTAATTTTCTAGCGTTTTATTTAGCATTTTTATATCTCTATTAATAAGTGAGACTGTTAGGGTTTTTCCTATTTTCATGTTATCTTTATAAACTTTTTATTGCATTTTTTGTAGCTAAAGAATTAGCTACTTTTACCATCTGTATATCTAATACCAGACGTCTTCTTAAGATGGAATTGTGAGAAGGTCGGATAGAAAATTGACTCTAAAGAGTCTCTTTGAATTTCATTCATATAGGCTATACCATGAACATGCTGATAAAACTACCAGCTGGAAACACACACACTACCTTTCATAAAAAGGATCGATGATTCAGTAAGTAGAAACAAAAGCACAAAAAGCAGAGCCCGGATCATGAGGTCAGGAGACGGAGACCATCCTGGCTGACACGGTGAAACCCCGTCTCTACTAAAAACACAAAAATTAGCCGGGCGTGGTGGCGGGTGCCTGTGGTCCCAGCTACTCGGGAGGCTGAGGCAGGAGAATGGTGCGAACCCGGGAGGCGGAGTTTGCGGTGAGCGGAGATTGTGCCACTGCACTCCAGCCTGGGCAACAGAGCGAGACTCCATCTCAAAAAACAAAAAAACAATAAAACAAAAAAAAAGCAGAGCCAAGAATCGCAGGGAATTTATTCCCAGTCTTGAAATCCAATCAAGAAGTTCCCAATATTTTCCTGACTGGGTTTCAGAGCTGCTTTAGCCTAGTGATTCCTTTCTACCTTCCATTCTCCCCTTTTGCAATGGTCATGTTTATAGTAGTTTAGGATTATTATCATACACGGGCCCCACCACCCACTATCTCTCTAGGTTCTCAAGCTCACAGATGGGGAGGAATTTTTCTCTAGGAGAATAATTCACCCAGTAGCCTCATCCATGCCTTGACTTAATGTAGACAGAAGATGAGATGCTGGTCTCTAGTCAGTGCAAGTGTTTTCCCCTTGGAAGGCACATGAATCATTGGGGCCAGAGGGCAGATTGTTTCCAAGCAAAGGATAAGATAGCCTTCATGATTCCTATAGTCTGGCTGTATAAAGTCCACTCCTTGAGTGTGAGTGGGACCTTGTAATTTGCTTCTAGCCAAGAGAATATGTTAAAGATCACAGGACTTTGCAGATGTAATTAAAGTCCCAAATCAGTTGATTTTGAGTTCATCAAAATCAGGGAGACCTTATTTCAGTGGGCCTGACTTAATCAGGTAAAAGGACTTTTAAAAGGTACTGGGCCTTCCCTTAAAACAAAAGACTTCCTTTGCCAGCTTGATGAGACAAGTGACGTGTTGAAAAGGAACCCACGACAAGCACCTGCAGAATGCCTCTAGGAACTGTCTGTGATCTCAGGACCTGAGAGCTGCCTCTAGCTGACAGCCAGCAAAAACCCACATGGAAAGTATTTATACCAACAACCCAAATGAACTTGGATAAAAATGGGTTTTTCCCCAGTTAAGCCTCCAGATGAGAATGCAGCCCATGCCTGGACCGAACCCTGGCAAGACTCTGAGTAGTGGATCCAGCTCACCTGCGCCTATATCCAGACCCATAGAAACTGTAAAATATTATGTATATTGTGTTTTAAACCCTGGAGGTTGCAGTAATTTGTTATACAGCAAAGAAAACAATACATAGTTGTTTTTTGAAATGTTGTAACTCTGAAATAATAAAATGAAGAATGCACTCTAATTATTAAAATTTTCTTAAGATGGCAAGAGAATGCATTAATCAAATAAGAAGGTATACAAAATTCAAAAATAACCAAAGGGTGGCAAATTGTAGGTAAATCAGTCATTAGAAAACTGAGCAGAAGTCAAAATTATTATTAAGCAAAATTTGTTTATAGGGAATAGGACTGTGTCAATAGATGACAACAGCATGTGATTAATGGCTAACTAAATAATATTGTCGATGAGACTAGTGGAGATTCCCAACACAGAGCGTTAATGTGGCCAAAGTACTGCAGGAAGAGAGATAGAGAAGTTGGCCCCAGCATCTAGATGTTCAGCCCTTAAGGATGATATAAGCCTCAATGGCCTTAGAAGAGGGAGGAACAATTCTAGACAGAGGAACACACCTAAGAAGTGTCACATTTCCAAGTTTATTCTTACATTTTGATTTGTTTACATATTCCCTGAAACAACTTTGCAATTTTTCAAACTAGTACTACTTTAAAAAATTATCTATTTCTTTATGGGTGTGCATATGTGTGTGATGTGTGCGTGTGCATATTCACATACATATATAGGTGCATTTGGGTGTAAAGTTGCAAATCTTTGAGGTTTATTGAATTTAATCATGTGAGTGTGTACTTGCCTGTATATTTAAAAACTGGATAAATTGTGGTAAGTTGCTTGTCATAAATGTCATTCTACTTTTCCTTAAGTTCAACAGGAAATTCAAGAAGCTTATAAAATGTCTGGGAAACTAGTATAGTCTAAGTGGATTTCCCTTGCTTTGATTTCAGTGAAGTAGCCAGGTGTCTATTTTAAGCTGAATTTGTGCTTTAAGAAAAAGAAAAGAAATAGTGCTAAGGAATTCTCATTGGCCCAGGAGGTTAGAAAGAGATATTAATTCTACCTCTACAAATCATCAATTTGATTCGGTCCAGGTTGGCAATTTCTCAGAACATCTGTCTGATCACTCTTTAGTGGTCAGTAAATGAGGAAATCCAGATGTTCTTAGTTTAGTAGAGATCCATCATCTGAAATGTCCCCAAAGTGCCTGTAAGCCCCTATATATGTAGAGGTCATATTCAAGTGGACGAGGGAACTCTGAGAATCTTTTTTCCCAGGTATGGCTTCTAAGTGATGGACATGCTGTCTTAGCACCTTCCTTACCTGGTCAAGTGGAGAGAACCCTTAACCCTACTTCTCAGACCACACCCCTGAACCACTCTTCGGAGGTGGGGAGCACAATTTACATGTGCAGCTACCTGCCCTGATGGAAATCAGTTGAGTAGGGAGTCTGGGAAATGAACCTTTGTTTTTGTTCATACAGCTCTACCAACCCAAGCGTTTATGAGTATCTTTCTGTGTTCTCTTCTTCCAAGGAAATGCTTTCTTCTGAGAATATTTTCTCCTTAATGTTGATCTCATACTATGAAGGAGATTTAGGGTAAATGTTTCTAACAGAAGGTCAGTTGTAGACAGATATTAAAATGCATTAGTCTAAAATTGCCATTTTTTAATGAAAAGCAGATTTTCTTTACCATCATTTTCTATGACTAAAATACAGAAAAGGCAAATGACTTAGAGTCGCTGAAATACATACTGATAAGTGGTCTAGGAGGTTTGAATATAAAGTAATAATTCCAATATGGGAGTCCAGCATTTAGAAATACCAGTGCCTGCATAAATACCATTGTGAAAAATTCTAAAATTGTCACTCTTTAAAACTTATTATTCTTAGCCTTGTAATACAGAGGTCAGCTTAGTGATGTTCTGTAAAGGAGATTTGAAAGGGATGGTGCTTTAAGATACTTATGACACTTAACCAAATATACGTCATGCTAATATTATTTTGTTTTGGGAGGCCTTAAATACATTGCTCACGATGAAAGTATTTAGGGGTGCTTCTTGGGTATTTGCAGCACTATGTGGATATTTTCTCATATTTGGCTCATTTTGGAGTAACCCTTTGATGGAAACATTACCCTTCAGAAGTTCTTTTTAAATCAGAGCAGCAGCAGTCTATAGAGTACACACATCTATGATGGCTTCAATGGTACTAGGTGATGAGAATTGTTCAGCTCAATTATAATCTTAGGGGACCACCCTTGTCTAGGCAGTCCATCATTGACTGAAATGCTGTCATGCAGCATATGGCTATATATACATGTATCTTGCATTTATCCAAATAGTGTTTTCACAAGTATTGTTTTATTGTTCTATACTTTAGTCCGTATACTTTAAACTTAGCTACTCAGTATGAAATATATTAGGATTATTAAAACATTGTTTTAGAGCAACTAATCTACCTCACTTTTGCCAGGCTTCTGGCTCCAACTGAGAAGGGCAGAGCTGTATGAAAGTGAATACGTTTAAATTGTGTAGACCAGTGCTAAGTGAAAAGTATGAGACTCCCAGATTTCAAGCTCTCTGGCTCTTTGGTAATCATTTCTTATCCTTTGTGTAATTCATCAAAGCTTTTAAATAAAGGAATTTTCCAGTTTTATTTAAACTGATATCTTTTTTATTCCTGTGGTATAATTCAAGGGGAAGTCAGGAATGATTCCTCAAAAGAACATTATTTGAAAAACAAGCAGAATATTTAGTGCCATTAAAGCCACTTCCATAAAATTTCAGGTTTAAGAGGGTTTGAGGAAGCATCTGTAAAAATCTTTTGCCGTCCCTTGCTATTATTCAATCTTAGCTTGAAGATATTACACAGAAAGGAAGGATTATCCTTTTTATTGAAAACTTCTTTTTCTCCAGCCACATATGGTCATTTCATTTGCCAAGAGAATATGTCATCATAAAGAAATACCACAAAGAATGAACATTTGAATTGCAAATGCTTAAAGCAAAATGTGTAGATTTTGTTTGAAATATCAAACATTTGGATGAGGGGCCACTGACTTAATGATTGATTCCCAAAGGTGTTCAAGAGTAATTTTTGAGAAAAAAAAATAAAGATGTCCATTTTAAAACCAGAATATCATATGCTTAAAAAGAGATTCATAAGGAAAGAAACAAAAAAGCAAAACCTTTATACTAGTTCTGTAAATTCTGCAAATTCTGCTTTAAGACAAGTGTTTTTAAGTGTTAAAAAATAAAGAAAACTGAGTAGTGTTAATGTGTGTGGGGGGTGTGGTTTTTTTTTTTTTAGTAGTAAACTCATTTTAGCTTGGATGATTAGTACTTAGTAGTCAATTTATCTGTTAGTTGTTGGGTTAACTTGGGGTTCATATTAAAATTTGACATGTATGCATATTTATATAATTTATAACACATTATGTGTTGTTACAATCACACACTAATTCTCTATGGTGGTCATGGGGTGCACCATTCAGATCTTACTTTAAGAAACAGGCTACAGGGAGCACCATTGGCCAACAGCCTCACCACTGAGCTCACACTGAGGCCATGCTCCCATGGGCTGCTCCCAGACATAAGCACAGCAAAGCTACTAGGGCAGGCTGCTGCTGCTTGACGCAGGGTTTCTCTCCTGGGTCATCTCCGTCATGTACTCCCATTGACAAAGCTCAAACTTTCTCAGAGCAGCCCTGCAGTGGGGTGGCTGCTGCCCAGCCTCCTTCCTTCTCTCTCTCCTTTCAGAGGTATCACAACTGATTGCAACTTACTTCTATTCTCTCTCCCCAGGGAATGCCAGGAATAATTCAGAATCTATGTAACACATTCACATTTTCATCATTTACGGCCCAGCCATTACTTATTCCCTGAGTATTTAGAATTTCTCCCCAGGATTAACATCTCTTATGTAATAAATTACCGCCGTGTTAACAGAAGGGAAAGGTCTGATTTCTGAATTGGTCCATTGCTGTTTAGCATTATTTCTACATCTAAATCCATTCAATTCATATCGAAATCACTATGTCAGACTTTGGAAAATAAATCTTACTTGTTTCAGAGCTATAGCCATATACATTATATGACATATACTGCACAGAGGTCCAAGATAATAGGATTGATGTGTGCTGATTTTCATGTTATTTTAACTTTCTTATCTCATTAGTTGATATATTTCTGTTAACTTATTTCATATACATGTTTAAAAATAATTTAAGAAATACTGCTTAAATTACTATCAAAGAAATCTGGGTCATTTTTCATAATTTTCAGTGAGATAAGTAATGTGTTTATAGCTATATAAACTAGGGTTTGTAGTATTTGTGTGAGCTGATTTTTATTGCACTTTTACAGATGGTACTTTTCTGGTGATGAAGTCACTATGGGAAATTTTCCCAGATTTGACATGCCATGAGTTTGCTGAATGTCTAGACTTCCACAGTTGACAGACCTTACAATCTACACATTATGTAAGTCCTCAATGACCTTACTGTAAACACTAAGGAAAAATGAAGATATGGTTCCTGAAAATTTAGATAAAGACATGTGTAACCCATAAGAGATTCTTGGAAGAATATAAATCAATTTCCATAACTACTATACATGTATATGTCTGTTGATTGAGCATATTTTTTAAACATGTTTCTTAGTAAAATAAGGAAGAAATACTATATAAAATAAAAGAAATATTAAAAAGCTAGCACACTTTTCTAACAGTCTTGAAAATTTTCAGAATATTATGCTCTTAAAACTGCCCCAATCATAGTCTATTTAAATGTATTCTATTCATGGAAAACAAGGTAAATAGAATAAACCAAGGTTTTATAAATGGAAACAAATATTGCATTGTACTGAGCTGGTGGAGAATCTTTTTTCAAGCCTCTAGCAATAACATGTAGGTGAGCTGATCAAAATTTATGGCAGACACACTCCATGCATGAAGTTTATTACTCATTAGGGGATGTGATTACATTCCAACTCTCAAATCATCAGGAAGGTGAAGTTATGAATCTTTCAGTAGGTGGATGATGTTTTGTTTCCTGAATTCTTATTCCTCTTCCAGTTACAATGTGGCACAAGAGTCATAAAAGTTGTCTCTTTTTAATATATTTATTGACTTCCAGAACAAAACAAACCTGTGCTCCCAAATTATCACAAACAAAAGTCAGCTGTAGATAAAGTAATGGTAAGTTTTAGATGTAAACTTGTAGAGCTGTTAAACCCTGACTTTTCTAAAAGTAATTTGATTAAATCTGAAGATATTTAGTGTTATGTCTAAGACATAGGGTAAACTCCATGGTGGTAACATTGAAACATCATGACTGTGATGGTAATCGTCTGAGTTCCCATCCACACAGACAGTTCCAGTAGAGACAAATGGCAGCCAAGGGCATATACATAGAAAGGGTGTATTTCAAGATATTTTCAGGAATTTTACTCTTCACTATTTGAAAAAATAGGCCCTACATTTGTTTTCGTACTTGCATATGTATACCTTTTTATAAAGCCAATCATAGTTTAGTAAAATACAGATATTTCTTCCTTTTGAAGAAATAGAGCAGACACCGAGCTAAGGTCTTTGCAGAGAGTTTCAACTCATTCCATAAAAAACTTGCTCGGGAGTCATCATCTGCATTTCAAAAGTGAAAATCTGAGCCCTGAAGAACAAATGGTGCAAGCAAATTTTCTACATTGTCTGAGCTTAGATTTGGAGTCAGCTAGAGCTGGTTTCTTAGCTCCTCTGCACTTTCCGCTGTCTTGGGTGGTCCCTGAGGCCAGGACTCCAAGGATACCTGCAGAAGATCGGTCGAAGTGGTGTTGGAAACATCTTCTTCTTAACATTCCCATTCTTTCCCAGCCCATAAGGAAAATGAAACAAACAATAACAAAAAGCAACAAAAATAAGAGGGAGAGAGGGAGGGAGAGAGAGAGGGAGGGAAGGAGGGAGGAAGGAAGGAAGGAAGGAAGGAAGGAAGGAAGGAAGGAAGGAAGGAAGGGAGGGAGAGGAGAGGGAGGAGAGGGAGGAAGGGAAGGAAGAAAAAAGAGCCAGCGGTTTGTTTCCCAAGGGAAGATATTATGAACTGTTATTAGAATACTTTTTTTAAAAATTATACTTTAAGTTCTAGGGTACATGTGCACAACGTGCCGGTTTGTTACATAGGTATACATGTGCCACGTTGGTTTGCTGCACCCGTTAACTTGTCATTTACATTAGGTATTTCTCCTAATGCTATCCTTCCCCCCCTCCCCGCACCTTACGACAGGCCCCAGGGTGTGATGTTCCCTGCCCTGTGTCCAAGTGTTCTCATTGTTCAGTTCCCACCTATGAGTGAGAACATGCGGTGTTTGGTTTTCTGTCCTTGTAATAGTTTGCTCAGAATGATGGTTTCCAGCTGTATCCATGTCCCTGCAAAAGACACGAACTCATCCATTTTTATGGCTGCATAGTATTCCATGGTATATATGTGCCACATTTTCTTAATCCAGTCTATCATTGATGGACATTTGGGTTGGTCCCAAGTCTTTGCTATTGTGAATAGTGCCACAATAAACATACATGTGCATGTGTCTTAATAGTAGCATGATTTATAATCCTTTGGGTATATACCCAGTAATGGGATTGCTGGGTCAAATGGTATTTCTAGTTTTAGACCATTAAGGAATCTCCATACTGTCTTCCACAATGGTTGAACTAGTTTACACTCCCACCAACAGTGTAAAAGCATTCCTATTTCTCCACATCCTCTCCAGCACCTGTTGTTTCCTGACTTTTTAATGATTGCCATTCTAACTGGCATGAGATGGTATCTCATTGTGGATTTGATTTGCATTTCTCTGATGGCCAGTGATGATGAGCATTTTTTCATGTGTCTGTTGGCTGCATAAATGTCTTCTTTTGAGAAGTGTCTGTTCATATCCTTTGCCCACTTGTTGATGGGGTTGTTTGTTTTTTTTCTTGTAAATTTGTTTGAGTTCTTTGTAGATTCTGGATATTAGCCCTTTGTCAGATGGGTAGATTGCAAAATTTTCTCCCATTCTGTAGGTTGCCTGTTCACGCTGATGGTAGTTTCTTTTACTGTACAGAAGCTCTTTAGTTTAATTAGATCCCATTTGTCTATTTTGGCTTTTGTTACCATTGCTTTTGGTGTTTTAGTCATGAAGTCCTTGCCCATGACTATGTTCTGAATGGTATTGCCTAAGTTTTCTTCTAGGGTTTTTATGGTTTTAGGTCTAACATTTAAATCTTTAATCCATCTTGAATTAATTTTTGTATAAAGTGTAAGGAAGGGGTCCAGTTTCAGCTTTCTACATATGGCTAACCAGTTTTCCCAGCACCATTTATTAAATAGGGAATCCTTTCCCCATTTCTTGTTTTTGTCAGGTTTGTCAAAGGTCAGATGGCTGTAGATGTGTGGTGTTATTTCTGAGGCCTCTGTTCTGTTCCATTGGTCTATATCTCTGTTTTATTACCAGTATCATACTATTTCGGTTACCATAGCCTTGTAGTATAGTTTGAAGTCAGGTAGTGTGATGCCTCCAGCTTTGTTCTTTTTGCTTAGGATTGTCTTGGTAATGCGGGCTCTTTTTTGGTTCCATATGAAATTTAAGTAGTTTTTTTTCCCCCCAATTCTGTGAAGAAAGTCATTGATAGCTTGATGGGAATGGCATTGAATCTATAAATTACCTTGGGCAGTATGGCTATTTTCACAATATTGATTCTTCCTATCCACAAGCATGGAATGTTCTTCCATTTGTTTGTATCCTCTTTTATTTCATTGAGTAGTGGTTTGTAGTTCTCCTTGAAGACGTCCTTCACATCCCTTGTAAGCTGGATTCCTAGGTATTTTATTCTCTTTGTACCAATTGTGAATGGGAGTTCACTCATGATTTGGCTCTCTGTTTGTCTGTTATTGGGGTATAGGAATGCTTGTGATTTTTGCACATTGATTTTGTATCCTGAGACTTTGCTGAATTTGCTTATCAGCTTAAGGAGATTTGGGGCTGAGACGATGGGATTTTCTAAATATAAAATCATGTCATCTGCAAACAGAGACAATTTGACTTCCTCTTTTCCTAATTGAATACCTTTATTTCTTTCTCTTGCCTGATTGCCCTGGCCAGAACATCCAACACTATGTTGAATAGGAGTGGTAAGAGAGGGCATCCGTGCCTTGTGCCAGTTTTCAAAGGCAATGCTTCCATTTTTGCCCATTGAGTATGATATTGGCTGTGAGTCTGTCATAAATAGCTCTTATTATTTTGAGATATGTTCCATCAATACTTAGTTTATTGAGAGTTTTTAGCATGAAGAGCTGTTGAATTTTGTCAAAGGCCTTTTCTGCGTCTATTGAGATAATCATGTGATTTTTGTCGTTGGTTCTGTTTATGTCATGGATTATGTTTATTGATTTGCGTATGTTGAACCAGCCTTGCATCCCAAGGATGAAACTGACTTGACCATGGTTGATAAGCTTTTTGATGTGCTGCTGGATTCGATTTGCCAGTATTTTACTGAGGATTTTCACATCGATGTTCATCAGGGATATTCGTCCAAAATTCTCTTTTTTTGTTGTGTCTCTGCCCGGCTTTGGTATCAGGATGATACTGGCCTCATAAAATGAGTTAGGGAGGATTCCCTCTTTTTCTATTGATTGGAATAGTTTCAGAAGGAATGGTACCAGCTCCTCTTTGTACCTCTGGTAGAATTCGGCTGTGAATCCATCTGGTTCTGGACTTTTTTTTGGATGGTAGGCTATTAATTATTTCCTCATTTCCAGAGCCTGTTATTGGTCTATTCAGAGATTCGACTTCTTCCTGGTTTAGTCTTGGGAGGGTGTATGTGTCCAGGGATTTATCCATTTCTTCTAGATTTTCTAGTTTATTTGCATAGAGGTGTTTATAGTACTCTCTGATGATAGTTTGTATTTCTGTGGGATCGGTGGTGATATCCCCTTCATCATTTTTTATTGCATCTATTTGATTCTTCTCTCTTTTCTTTTTTATTAGTCTTGCTAGCAGTCTATCAGTTTTGTTGATCTTTTCAAAAAACCAACTCCTGGATTCATTGATTTTTTGAAGGGTTTTTTGTGTCTTTATCTTCTTCAGTTCTGCTTTGATCTTAGTTATTTCTTTCTTTCTGCTAGCTTTTGAATTTGTTTGCTTTTGCTTCTCTAGTTCTTTTAATTGTGATGTTAGGGTGTCAATTTTAGATCTTTCCTGCTTTCTCTTGTGGGCATTTAGTGCTATAAATTTCCCTCTACACACTGCTTTAAATGTGTCCCAGAGATTCTGGTATGTTGTGTCTTTTTTCTCATTGGTTTCAAAGAACATCTTTATTTCTGCCTTCATTTTGTTATGTACCCAGTAGTCATTCAGGAGCAGGTTGTTCAGTTTCCATGTAGTTGTGTGTTTTTGAGTGAGTTTCTTAGTCCTGAGTTCTAATGTGATTTAATTCTGAAAATGATTGGTCCTTGGTTTTTCAGGTATTTATAAATATTCTCAGGTAACATCACTGAGAAATAATTCACAGTGTTTAGGAGCATAAAGAAACATCCATGAACTATTCTTTGCTTTCCAATTATTTGGACTTCAGCTTAACTAGGATTAACAGTATCATTTACTAGGTTAAGTTCCAGTATATGGCAGCTCTTATTTCTAAGATCGGTGCCCCCAACTCAATGTTGCTGAGCCATCGAGAACTGCCAGCTAGACAAATGGAGACTGGGTCATCAATAATACTGGGAGCAACTGTGGAGACCATTGTTTCCATGACCAGCTTAAAATATTTTGCAAATATTTTGTTTCTGGAAAATGTCCATCTATTAGAAAAATACATGTTTTTCTCCTCTGCATGTTTTTACTTGATCCTTAGAAATTTACATGATTTCAACTTTTAAAAGGGGAAAATAACACACATGTTGAAAATAGAAGTCTTCTGACTATTGAACCAAGAAAACTGCCAAGGCCAGTCACTGGAGTGTGGCTAATCCCATCAGAACTGTGGGGTCATCACCATGATTGTCATTAGTGGTGGAGAAATAAAATAATTATTTTACAGGAGCTGAGAAAACTGCCCAGGCACTGCCTGCATCATGTCCACCACTGCCCAGCTTCTTGTTATCCAGACTCTTTCCTGACTTGCAATTATGTCACTTGTGCCTGAAAGTACAAAGATATTGGGGGATGGGGGGTGAGGGCAGTGGTGGCTGCTATAGGGATAAAATATTGCAGTGTGTCTTGAAGGAAGGGTGATGTTACGAGGGGTGCTTTTAGATTTTCTGCTCCAGGAGAGCTCTGCAGGATTCCTTCAGTGAGACAGTCCTCATGGTTTTCACAAGGCAAAGAGAGGCATACAGTTTAAACCTTCCTTTGGTTATTCCATCCTAGGTCACTGAGATGTAATGCTAGTACACTCAGGAAGGAGGGTAAATAGAAGAAACTATGGTTATTGTAGTAGAAAATGCTTTAAACAGGGTGCTCATAGCTTCCCGCTACACGATTGAGGGTCCATGCCTCTCCTTTTCCTCCTCGTCACTGTGTTGTCCTTGTCTCTGTAGGATGGCCAGTGATGGGTGCTTCCAGAGGCCCATTGAAGGAAAATTTCAATTTTAAAATAAATGTGTTAGTGGTGGCTTTATTTTACTTTTTAATTTTATTTCAATAGTTTTTGGGGGACAGCTGGTGTTTGGTTACATGGATAAGTTCTTGAGTGATGATTTCTGAGATGTGGGTGCACCTGTCACTCAAGCAATATATACATTGTACCCAACATGTAGTCTTTTATCCCTCACCCACTCCCAGCCTTCCCCATGAGTGTCCAAAGTCCATCTTATCATTCTTTTACTTTTGTGTCCTCATAGCTTAGCTCTCATTTATAAGTGAGAACAAATGATACCTGGTTTTCCTTTTCTGAGTTGCTTCACTTAGAATAATAGCCTCCAACTCCATTCAAGTTGCTGCAAAGGCCATTATTTCATTCCATTTTATGGCTGAGTAACATTCCATAGTGTATATATACCACATTTTCTTTATCCACTTGTTGGTTGCATTTAGGTTGGGTCCATATTTCTGCAATTGTGAATTGTGGTGGATTCATTTTTAAAATGTAAAAAAAAAATTTCTACAAAAATTTTCTGTAACAATATAGTAGACAAAGAAGCTTTGCTCTTAAAATAGCACAACACTTTATACAGAAATTTGTTTTCTCACCAAAATATAAAACTAGGATGATGAAGAAGTTGCTTTAAATCAACTAAGGATGTCTTAATAGGCAATTGGTTTAATATTCTTACATTTGTATTTTTTTAAATCCTTAACTTTTTAATTTCCTTTCCCCACTGTGATTCAATAATGAAATTGCTCATGAGTTCCTAAAGATTCTGATATCCCAATAGACATCAGACCAGCACATTTAATTGTTTGGAAAGGCTCTTCTTATTGACTGACCTATATTTTTGTGTAAAGTGATTACTGCTTATAAAGGATGAGACATATAAGGATCGATATTACACCACCAGGAGGCACATTTTAATGACTGCGATCAGGGAGTTAGAGATGTCTGAGGTTGATCCCAGCAGGTTCCCATTTCATTCTGGGTTCTTGGCTAAGATTTTAATCATTCCTTTCTGGTTATCCCCTTGCCCCTCCCACCCAGTGTTGAAGAGGCTAATTCCTCCCAGGGTGTTGTTCCTTTGCAACGTTGCTTCACCATCTCCTCCCCTGGCCTGGACTTAGGCTGCACACCCTAAGAATCCAAGGTAACAAAACACATAACCCGGGGGTTTAGTGGCCTGAGAAAGAACATTTTACAGGGCACAGCCCAGGAGGACATATGAAGTTTATGGGAAGATGTCAGAGAAATGAGTAAACAAGAAAGAGGTGGGAAAATAATGAATCAAATGATTGGCTCTAGGAATCACACTTCCTCAAATTTCCTCAACAAGAAAGGAAATTACGCAGTGTAGGGCTCCCACTTGTGAGGTCACCTACCCGTGACCCTATCCCTGACAACAGTGTCACTCTGGCTTGGTGAGGTCAGCACATTTCTGCATTCCTAATGTGTCTGGGCAGTGTACTTGGCAATTAATTCATCAGAAGTGAATTTGAATGCAGACTGAAGCTTCAGGGAAGAGGAGGTTTCCTATATGATTAGAAAACTGTATCAGACTTTTCTTATCCCAGATGTTGGATAATTTTGCATATAACATAGTGTTTTCCACTTAAATTGTTTTTTTAACATATCAGTCGCTGCAGTCATACACTGGATCAAATGAAAATGAGGGGAATTGGAGACAGAAGTAGGAATCCTAAAGAAGACTGAATCTTCAGCTGGGCACGGTGGCTCATGCCTGTAATTCCCAGCACTTTGGGAGGTAGAGGCGGGTGGATCGCCTGAGGTCAGAAGCTTGAGACCAGGCTGGCCAATATAGTGAATACCCGTCTCTACTGAAAATAGGAAAAAAAAAAAAAAAAAAAGGAAGAAAGAAAGAAAGAAAATTAGCTGGGCGTGGTGGTGGGCGCCTGTAATCCCAGCTACTAGGGAGGTGGAGGCTTAAACTCGGGAGGCGGAGGTTACAGTGAGCCAAGATTGTGCCATTGCACTCCAGCCTGGGCAACAAGAAAAAAGCGAAACTCCATCTAAAAGAAAAAAGAAAAAAAAAGACTGAATCTTCTTTGTGGATCCACTTCCTTCTGGTCAACCTCACTCTCTGTGGTCCCCACTTCCACCAGGCGGTCTCCATAAGACAATTCTAGATTCTGGATTCTGGTTATTTTTCCCCTTCCTATTGCTCAGTCCCAGGGATGTTAGCAGCTTTCAAGTGTTTATCAACACCCTGGGTTGCTTAGCATTTGCTTTCTCTTTCTTCTTTCTCATGTGCTACAGATCCCTGTACTGAATTTCTCCTGTTTGAACTCTCTAGAGTGGTGCCTGTTTTCTTATCTGGGCCCTAACTCATTCAGAGAAAGCCTATGGGAGTTAACTTAAGTAAGTCAAGTGTAGTCAAGAGCCCAGTAAGTTGGGGCAACCACTATTTATATACATCTGTATTTACATAATCTGTTGAGGCTAGAGAACCTCAAATTGTACATTGCAAAACTCAGTGGCTTAAAATAACATTGATGTGCTCAAAATGATACAATTTGGCAAGGGCTCATTGAACACAACTGAACTCTGCTCTGTATGGCCTCAATTGGGATGACTCTACTAGGATTAGAAGTTCCGTTTCCAAGATGGCCTCACTCCTATGCCTCACTCCAGACGGCTGGCTGGGAGCTCAGCAGGGACTGAGGGTTGGATCCTTGGTTTGCCCCACATGATGTCTTTACAAGGCTATGTTTGTCTTCTTGCAGTATGGTCATTTGAGATTAGTTCAAATTCTTAGATAATAGCCAATTTCCCTTAGAGCACAAAAGCAGAAGCTTCCAGGTCTCTTTAATGCCTGAGCTCAGAAGTCCCAGAACATGATTTACCTTCAGATTAACCACAGGGCCAGCCCAGATTCAAGAGGAAAGGAATTTGATTCCATCTCTAGATCAGGGATGACAAAGTTACATTGTGAAAGAGCATGTAGGGTTGGTAATATGTTTGCTACCATCTTTGTAAACATGATCTACCAAAGCTGATTAAATTTAATGCATTTATTTGTCCAGTTTTTCTTATCGATAGGGCAACACTCCATCAAATTCAGCTTGGTCTAGATACAGAAATTTATTCTCCAAGGGTATCCAACTTTGTTCTAATTCTTCCTCCTCTAATGCAAATATTCTTTCCTTCTCCTCACAATATTATCCTCTATGTGGATATTTTTCTAAAATACATCTTCTAGATTCTTTTCTCTTCCAGGCCCCCACTTGTTTTGTTTAGCCACCATTGTCTTTTCTCACTTAACTAGGCATCAAAATGTATTTATTTATTTATTTATTTATTTATTTATTTATTTATTTATAGAGATGGAGTCTTGCTCTGTTGCCAGGCTGGAGTGAGGCTGGAGTGCAGTGGCACGATCTCGGCTCACAGAAACCTCCGCCTCCCAGGTTCAAGCAATTGTCCTGCCTCAGCCTCCCAAGTAGCTGAGACTACAGGCACACGCTGCCACACCCAGCTAATTTCTTTTGTATTTTAGTAGACATGGGGCTTCACCATATTGCCCAAGCTGGTCTCGAACTTCTGAGCTCAGGCAATCCACCTGCCTCAGCCTCCCAAAGTGTTTGAATTACAGGCATGAGCCACCGCACCCGGTACCAAAATGTCTTCTTTACATGCATCTACAATATTACTTTTCCTCTCTTAGCTGTAGGATCTTCTCTCTTTCCTCATCTTTCTTGATACCTTCTTTCTATCAGCTTTTCCTGAGGTCAAGAATGCTTCTCCTTTCCTGGTCCTTGCCTCAATGATTCCCCTTCTAAAGGAGGGTTGCTTCCTTACACTATACAAAGATCTTGTTGAACCCAAGAAAATTATTAAGTGTGTTTTGTGTGCAGTGGAGGTGATAGTCAAGGTCTCCGTAATATCATGCACATTATTTAGTAAGACTAAAAGAGAAAGTCAATTACAATAGTCTTGTAAACACCCTCAAAATGTCCTTGGGCTTATTAACAATACCAATGTTATGGGCAGCTTTATCAACTCATCTTCAAATGAGTGGTAAAAAGAATTATGGTATCTGCTTATATCCAAACTCCCTCACATATGTCCCCCACAAAAATTATGTTCAGTGTTGTACACATACTAAATTTTGAAAAAAAAGTACATATGCAAAAGGTGATTCCTCACCCTACATATTAGGAATGGGCACATCTTGGGCAGAGGTTTCAAACTCTCTTGGTTCATGGTAGCTGTATCACCTCAATTGTTTCTTCACGGGACTCCTAGGGCAAAATAAATACCTACAATTCAGTTAATTATACAGCTAAGTACAAACAATTTTGTAAACATTTGAATTATGATAAGTTACCACTATTGCACAGAATGAATTTCCCAACCTTGGAATCAGATTGGATACTGCCATATTAATTTCCTGCTCCACACTGATTTTTGATGCAGTACTTTGCTATTCCTGAAACTCAGATTCACAAATACAGAATATTACCAAAAGTAATATAGTCATTTAATGTTAACATTATAAACTACAAATTATAGATTAGTAGTTCCTGTGGGGGTTAGACAAATATCACTGTGTTTCCCTAGAAATTGTAAGACATGCCTTGGTACCCTTGCGAGTTCCTTCAGTGCCCCAGGGAACCTCAGCGTACAGTTTGGGAACTGTGGCTGCAGAGCAGTAGTTCTCAACCGGGGGTGATTTTGCCCCCCAGGGGATATTTGGTTGCCACAACTTGGGGAGCAGTGTTACTGGCATGTAGTGGATGCTGGTAAACATCCTGCAATAGAGAAGACTTCCACGCAACAGAGAATTGTTAAGCCCCAATATCAATAGGGGCAAAGTCCAGAAACCTGTTTTAAAGGGTCAGAAATGGTGAGCATATCAGTTAAGGAAAGAAGTTTTGTCGTTTTGTTTGTCTGTTTTTCTATTTTCTTATTTTCCCTCCTTTAGGATCAATCTCTGATCTCTCACAAAAACTGGGAAAGGTCATTTTTTTGTGTGTCAGCTTGACTGGGTCATTGGTGCCCAGATATTTGGTCAAACAATATTCTGAGTATGTCTGTGACGGTGTTTCTGGATAAGATTAACATTTCAATTGATAGAAGGAGTAAAACAGGTTTCCTTCCACAATGTAGGTGAGCTTCATCTAATCTGTTGAAGGCTTCAGTAGAACAAAAGACTGAGTAAGAAAAAAAAAGAAGTCATTTTCTGTCTGACTGTCTTCAAGCTGGGTCATTGATATTTTCCAGCCTTCAGACTCAAATTCTGACTGGAACTTACACTATTAGCTCCCCTGATTCTCAGGCCTTCAAATTGAGACGGAACATACTGTTGGCTCTCCTGGGTCTGGGTTTTGTAGTCTTTATATTCGTATGAGCCAATTCCTCATGATAACTCTATCTATCTACATATGTACCTCCTACCAATTCTGTTTCTCTGGAGAACTCTCATATTGAACCAGTATAGCCCCCTGCTTTGTGAAAGTAAAAAGAAAGGAGAAAAAGGATGAGATTATTGAAGAGAAATATCTAAAGTTGAATAGGACTTTAGTTCATCAGTTCAGCTGTGGCTTCTGTCTTACCCAAAACCACCGTTGGTTAAAAAAATCAATACCGTGAGCTAACACACAAAAATAAATCTAGTCCTTCTTTCCTCTTTCAAATTTTGAATACCTTTTCATACTTGCTTTGGGGGCTCAACTTTGAAATTATAAATCTCCTGTTCTCCAATTCTTTTCTCAATATTTTACTTTTCATAGAGAAAACGTATGAAGGCTTCTTTGTAATCTTAAGGAGGCATGAAAAAATATCATTAAAACAACATGGCAAAAAGTAAACTAGAGCTGTGACAAAATTATGGAGCCACAATAATGTCAAATAGGGAGACACTTAATATATTATGATATGATGTGGTGGAAGAAAAAAATTCTAAAAATTATATGCTGTGGGTGATCCTGGGGAGACCATATTTGGGTAATATATGGAACACTTACGTCTCTTTTCCAAGCCCATGTAGAGTTGGTAGGTGATCTGGCAGAGATAGAAGTGCAAGCAAACCACGGTAAAAGTGGTCCATGGTCTCATAGAGACTTTTACAGAGGCTATGAGGGATAGAAGATGATGAAACGGAGGGATTTGGGAAAAAATTTCACAGAAGGGTTGGAACTCCATCTGGGTCTTTAGGAGTTGTTAGAGTGTTGTAAGGAGATGTGGTAAGGATGCTCTGGGCAGCTGCACAGCATGTACAAAGCAAAGAGCTGCCAAGAGCATTGCTTGTTTAAGGACTAATGAAAAATTGTGTGCTGGGAGCATGGGGTACATGGAGCGGAGAGGTGGAAAATGAGATCGTGGTTCACATATCTGCCAATCTTGAATAAGCAACACCCCTGACCACTTTGGTATAGAGAAATTGTGTGAGCAACAAGGTTTACACCAGTCATCAAGAGTTGAGCTTGGGTTGAGATTGGGAGATAATGGGCTGAGGATGGAGTTGGCATGACCTCACTCCAGGTTCTGATTAGCACAGTGGCAGTAGTAATGACAGACACTTGGAGTCAGACTCCTTAGCTTACTGCTCCACTCCTCAGCTTACTGCTACACCCCAGTTTGCACCTTAGGTGCACCTGATGCTGGCACAGAGACATGCAGAGAAATTTCTTCTTCATCTATAGCGTCTGGAGAGAGTTAGGGCAGGGGAGACAGGGAAATAGAAAAACAGAGTAAGAAGCAGGAAGTCTGCTTGAGCTTTTGAGTCACAACGTTATAGGTGCCCATAATCCACAGAATATACTTATTTGATCATCTCAGGTATCATTCTCCTTGGAAAATGATTTTAAATTGCTCAGGCACCTGAACAACACAAATAAATTTTAACTAATGTTCCCTTTCAGATTAATTACTCTGAATGAATTGCATATTTATAGAGTAAACAAATCTAATGATTTGTAAAATTCTAGCCTGCTGTGTGTTTTCACTGTTTCTCCTTGAAACTGCTGCTGTCTTTTGTATTCATTTATGTCAGCAAATATTTTTCCTCCCAGGTAATAAAGCTATCAATTCATGAATCTGGGCTGAATGGAGACTAATTTTTTATTTAAATGTGAGCATTGTAGAAAGGTGATGATGGTTCTCCAGGTACCATCTCTAGAGCTGTGTCCCGGACACGTGAAATTGATAAGTGCCATATCCCCCCTCAGTCTGTGTGGCAAGATGTTGAGGAGAGCTTTCTCTTTTTTTTGAGAAGGAGTCTCCCTCTCTTGCCCAGGCTGGAGTGCAGTGCCTCGATCTCTGCTCACTGCAACCTCCGCCTCCTGGGTTCAAGCGATCCTCCTGCCTCAGCCTCCTGAGTAGCTGGGATTACAGGCACGTACCACCATGCCTGGGTAAGTTTTTTTGTATTTTTAGTAAAGACGGGGTTTCAGCATGTTGGTCAGGCTGGTCTCAAACTTCTGACCCTGTGATCCGCCTGCCTTGGCCTCCCAAAGTGTTGGGATTACACATGTGAGCCACCACGCCCAGCCACAGAGAGCTTTCTTTTTTTTTTTTTAATTTTTTTTATTATACTTTAAGTTTTAGGGTACATGTGCACATTGTGCAGGTTAGTTACATATGTATACATGTGCCTTGCTGGTGTGCTGCACCCACTAACTCGTCATCTAGCATTAGGTATATCTCCCAATGCTATCCCTCCCCCCTCCCCCCACCCCACCACAGTCCCCAGAGTGTGATATTCCCCTTCCTGTGTCCATGTGATCTCATTGTTCAATTCCCACCTATGAGTGAGAATATGCGGTGTTTGGTTTTTTGTTCTTGCGATAGTTTACTGAGAATGATGATTTCCAATTTCATCCATGTCCCTACAAAGGACATGAACTCATCATTTTTTATGGCTGCATAGTATTTCATGGTGTATATGTGCCACATTTTCTTAATCCAGTCTATCATTGTTGGACATTTGGGTTGGTTCCAAGTCTTTGCTATTGTGAATAATGCCGCAATAAACATACGTGTGCATGTGACTTTATAGCAGCATGATTTATAGTCCTTTGGGTATATACCCAGTAATGGGATGGCTGGGTCAAATGGTATTTCTAGTTCTAGATCCCTGAGGAATCGCCACACTGACTTCCACAATGGTTGAACTAGTTTACACTCCCACCAACAGTGTAAAAGTGTTCCTATTTCTCCACATCCTCTCCAGCACCTGTTGTTTCCTGACTTTTTAATGATTGCCATTCTAACTGGTGTGAGATGGTATCTCATTGTGGTTTTTATTTGCATTTCTCTGATGGCCAGTGATGGTGAGCATTTTTTCATGTGTTTTTTGGCTGCATAAATGTCTTCTTTTGAGAAGTGTCTGTTCATGTCCTTCACCCACTTTTTGATGGGGTTGTTTGTTTTTTTCTTGTAAATGTGTTTGAGTTCATTGTAGATTCTGGATATTAGCCCTTTGTCAGATGAGTAGGTTGCGAAAATTTTCTCCCATTTTGTAGGTTGCCTGTTCACTCTGATGGTAGTTTCTTTTGCTGTGCAGAAGCTCTTTAGTTTAATTAGATCCCATTTGTCAATTTTGGCTTTTGTTGCCATTGCTTTTAGTGTTTTGGACATGAAGTCCTTGCCCATGCCTATGTCCTGAATGGTGATGCCTAGGTTTTCTTCTAGGGTTTTTATGGTTTTAGGTCTAACATTTAAGTCTTTACTCTATCTTGAATTGATTTTTGTATAAGGTGTAAGGAAGGGATCCAGTTTCAGCTTTCTACATATGGGAAGGACCTCTTCAAGGAGAACTACAAACCACTGCTCAAGGAAATAAAAGAGGATACAAACAAATGGAAGAACATTCCATGCTCATGGGTAGGAAGAATCAATATCATGAAAATGGCCATACTGCCCAAGGTAATTTACAGATTCAATGCCATCCCCATAAAGCTACCAATGACTTTCTTCACAGAATTGGAAAAAACTACTTTAAAGTTCATATGGAACCAAAAAAGAGCCCGCATCGCCAAGGCAACCCTAAGCCAAGAGAACAAAGCTGGAGGCATCACACTACCTGACTTCAAACTATACTACAAGGCTACAGTAACCAAAACAGCATGGTACTGGTACCAAAACAGAGATATAGATCAATGGAACAGAACAGAGCCCTCAGAAATAACACCGCATATCTACAACTATCTGATCTTTGACAAACCTGAGAAAAACAAGCAATGGGGAAAGGATTCCCTATTTAATAAATGGTGCTGGGAGAGCTTTCTTAAACACCACTTTGTCCCTAATCCTCTCCTGCCTGCAGGAGTTTCTAACCAGATTCCAGGTGGTTGTGATCCTTAGAATATGATGCCATTGGCTCTTCACCTAAAGGGACTTTGCCATAGCCTGACCAGCAAGAAGAATGCTCTGGGAGAGCCCTGAGTGTATGTGGAGAGGGCTCCACAGGTAACCCTGCAGTGTGTGTGTTAATACCAATTCTGATTGTTATTATCATTATCAGCACTATTATTCTTTTAAGAGATGAAGAATAATGCTAAGTTATGTGGTTTACAAGCTGGCTGAAAGACCATGGGTGGCTTGAGGGGAATTAAGTCCTTCCATAATCACCAGAGACCATAAGCAATTATAAAACAATTGGCGCTGTGTGTGTTTTTATCAGCTCAGCCAGGGGGTCCTCCGGTTGCACAGAAACAGTTTCATAAAACATCAGCAGCAGATAAAGCCACTCTGATGATTATGGAGAAAAAAACAAAAACCAACCAACCACACACACACACACCTCAGCAATCACCTCTGAACACAGACAAAAGTAATAATGTTGCCCAAATCACAAAACCGCATATGACCAAACATCACTCTCTCACAGCCACTATGAGTGATTCCTGCTTCCTCACACCTGGATAGGATTCCCTGGGAGCGCCAACCACAGAATCATCGCTGCTTTCTGATGGCGTTGTCCAGAGCACAACGGTGGTTCCTTGAGTCATTTCCAAAATCTCATATGCAAACCCACATCCTTTCAAAGCCCCTGTCACTGAGATGCCATGGTTCTCCATGCCATGCTGTCTCCCTTGCTGCAATAAAGCAGTACATTTAACTTTGATGAGAAGCATATTTCTTATGGTTTTTAGCTGCAGGAAATGAAGATACTTCTCCCTGCCTCAAGACATGCCAAGCTAAATCTACAATATAAGGGGGTTTGATCAGAAGCACTTTCAAGATAAGAATAATAACCCTAGTCCTCCGCCTTGTGTCCAGAGAGCTGCCTCCAAGCTTCCCCCACATAGGAACTCTAGAACCTCCCCTGAGATCAATCGTGATGGAAAGATGTAGAGGGTGGTGTTAGTCCCTGAAGAAGTCTAGATCCCCTGTGTTAGTTTGGAGAGGAGATTGGCAGGTACAGAAAAAGTTGGCTGCTCCAGCAAAGCAAGCTGGGACTGAGGGCCAGGAGCTCTCCCTCCTGCTAGGGACTGCCTGGCCTACAGAGGCAGGCTGCTCCCTCAGTGCAGGCTCGGGATTCACCTGTTTCCAGGAGCATGTTTCTCTGATGGGATGTTTGCCCAGCTCCTCCCCTGTGTGACCCTGAAATGGGTGCTGTCCCTCAACTATGCCTGGGCAGCCTGTTCACACTTTCCTTCATTCCCTAAAGACAGAACTGACATTCTGCTCTGTGTGCTCGATGGCTGATTTTAGCTTTTAACTAGGAAGTGATTTCTTTTGCCTATTCTCAAGGCATAATTTATCAAAACATCTTATGTCACCTCTACGTTCTTCGTGATCTCAGCCTTAGCTTTGACATACGACATGAGACATCACAATATCACCACCCTATCCTAATCTGGTATGGAATCTCCCTGTTTAGTAACAGGTTGAACCTCAGCTGTTTAAGAGAATATTGATTGAACCATGTCTGCATAGCTGTGGCAACAGCTTGCTTCCATCTCCTGGTGTTTCCTTCCTGTGACTAGAACCCAGTGGGTGTAACTAACTGTGCCTTGTCTTGGCAGAGGTGAGTGACTCCTCTGCTCACTCTGGGGAGAGTAATGGCATGCTCAGCTGGGCTCTGTCCTTTTCTCACTTGAGAGTGGATTTACCCAGGGAAAGCATGAGGTCACCTGAGCTCCTTTACTCTGCAAGTCTTACTGTGCGGGTCCCTCGCTGGAGCCTCCCCACTCCAACACTAGTTGGTACTAGAGGGAGAAATCAGTTTAATTCTGGAACTCAGGGAATAGTCTCTATGGCTCTCAGCCTAAGTGACATCTCCAATTTACCTTTGTCTGCAATAAAGGTTATGTGGTTTGTTTTCTTTTTCAATTGGCTGAGGGTTTGTAAAGTGTTATATATTGGGCATGTATTGCATAGCCCAACATACATGGTTTAGTTAAGGTAATTGATTGAATCTTCTTGTACATCTACCACTGAGCATTATTGAGAAATATGATTTACAAACATTCCCAAAAAAGCTGTGGGCTACTTTTAAGGCTAATTCATGTTTAGAGTGAAGCAAAGGACAGCAGTTTTTTCTGAAGACCCAATTCTGAAACATATATGCAATTCTGTCATGATGCCTCCGGGTCATTTCTTCTTTCAGAGTTCCTCGCACACATACCCTAAGAATGTACTTAATGGATGGGTGATCCCTGGTTCCAGGTGTAGGGGACCCCATATGCCATCATCAAGGGACTGCTCCACCTCTGTTTGATTACAAACCTTGCATTCTGTTTATTCCAGTATTTTGAGTAATTCCCAGCCTCATCTAAATGCAAAAGAAAAGGGGGTAGCTTCACAAGTGGGTAGAAAGTGAAAAGAATGACATTAAGGATCCTCTAAGAAAGAGGTCACAGCACGGCCTTCTGATGCGATTAAGATCAGTGCCAGCCATCATGACATCATGGTGACTCACTTGCTGATGCCCTATTACACTGCTTTAAGCCCAACAATATAGTTTCACTAAGAAATCTCACAGGATGGGAAAGGTGCTCCTGGAGTTCAGGGGCTTTAGGTGAGGCAATGTTCACTTCTGAAACTGAAACAAGTAGAAATCTATACTCAATGAAGGACACCAGCTGATGGCAAAGGGAGCTTTCCCTGAGAGGTGTTTGTGTTGTCCTGCCGACGGGGCTAGGGTGTCTTTCACGAGAAACACAGGGTGACATAAGATAAACAACCAATAACCTTCTTAATGGCATAATATGTTGCAATAATTACTTTGTTGTCAAAAAGTTAGGATGGGGAAAGTTTTCGACTCTAGGGAGTGAAAAGGAAATTGCTGAAGACTTTGAGTTACCCAGTCTCTGCTAGGAAGAAATTTGAAGGAATCAAATGTTTTGATTCTAGAGTATTGCTACTCGTTATAGAGGCAGATAACCATCTGTAATGTGTGGACTGGTGGAAATATCTCATGAATCTTCCAATTTTTCCATTCTAACAAGTTCTGCTCACTAAGTAACTTTTCATATGACATTATGATCTCATGAGTGAGCTTATACAATGGAAGGGAGTGTTCTCAGAAAATCCATGGTACTAGAAATACTACCACTTTTAACCCCATCATAAATGACTACATTCTCAGTCTGGTTTCCCTTCATACTATGAAAATGTTCTAGGTTGAGGTTCTCCCTCCAGACATCACCAAACGTCAACAGGGTTTTGGTGATGGAGATATGTCCCAACTGAGCAGATTGCCTGGGGGTAACCACCTAAAGAAGAAGAAAAAAGAACCAGCACACACACACACACACACAAACACACGCACACACGTAAATATAGTTAGGACCAAGCAGAGTGCTTTTCCTGTCCTGCAGGTACAACCTCCTTAAGAACAAGAGAGAACTAGCCCCCACCCCTCACCTCCACAGGAGCCACCTGACATAGCAGCTTTGGTGAAGTGGCCCAGTTTTTCTCTCAAGGCTTGTTGGCTGTGCCACATGGTGGGTGGGTCCCTATCTGGGATTCCCCAACATATCAGCTTCTAAGACACAGAGCCTCAGCCACCGTGGTCCTCCCAGGCCTTGACTCCAGCCTTTCTGATCAGAAGTTTTGGTTTCTGGCCCACCCCTCACCTCCAACCTCTTTGCAATCACAGGAGCAAATCATTTTGATGGCCGTTTTCCAACTGCCTTTTGCTTAGCCTCCTCCAATATGGCCACTTTGCAGGCTGTGAAACTTCGTATTCTTTTCCATTCTTTTCATCTCTCGGGTACATCCTTAAGGCAGGACAAGCTCTCGAAAGCTGGCCGGGGGAGGGATATGGTACTTTTTGTTCTCTGTGGTTCTTTCTTTAGGCCACTGGTTGACTTTCTGTCACCCCTTTCCATCCCAGTTTTCTCTTTAATATTCATGCTGACTAATTCCATCTTCCCCTTTTCCCATGAACAGACACATGACTAAAATTCTCCAGATAGAAGGAACAGTCTTGCAGTTGATAGTATTTTTTCTGAGGAAGTTTTTATATGTAAGCTTTTTGGAATATTATGAAGGTCTTCACTGAGCTTCAGACTTTGTGTGTGCTGCCTTGATATCAATTTAAAAGATCAAATATTCTTCCAGTTAATATCCTTGACACATAACCCTCCTCTTAGTAGATGTGGATGCTTACATTTATGTCTACTTACAACGAAATGAAGATTAATTTGTTTTCCTTAGGGCAAGATGAAGAAAACTATCAAAGCCACAGGATAAGAAAATAATTTCTGTAATACCTCTGAGTAAAATGAAAACCTTAGTAAGACCAAATATCTAATTCTAATAATGCAAAATAGACTTCAGTAAAAACAATTGTTTGGAGCTCAACTGGGAAAGTAGGAAGATAACATTTTCAAGAGTGGCAGCCAGAAAAGATGATTTCTTGTTTTATTAGCATAGTAAAATGCCTTACATCACCTCCTAACAAGAACTCAGAAAGTTCTCAACCTGCATTACATTGCATTTAAGTGGAATTCCATGAAATAGAAATGAAAGAGCCAGTTTCAATGACTAGCTACCTTAGAATATTCAACCTGCCTCCAAAATTGTTGCCCATGTGTAGGAGATTTTCTGGAAAATACCATCCTGCTTCCACAATATGCCTCAACTGTCTTCCTATTCCCATTCCCATTCCATGTTCCATTCTTATGAAACTCTAAGACTGAGTCAGTAGACCCCCAAACAGGTTGTGTCTGAGTATACTTTTAATGTAGTCTCACATTGCTTTGCATGAGGATTGAAATGCCATGTATTTCTAAGCAGGGATCACATTAAGGTTTTGGTTCATGTCATTGAAGCTTGATAGTTAAAGCAATCTCTGGAGTGAAAGATCCTATGTTGGCTTTTGGACAGCCCTTGGGCATGAGCAAAGAAGGTAGGAGTGTCTACCTGGGACGAACAGAATGAATTAAGTGGAATAGAAACTTTGGCTTCTCCCAGAGCTCTTCTAGTGATTTTTCTTCTTCAGCCTCCATTCCTTGACAATCAATTAATCAACTACATGCATTTATCAAGCTCCAATTATTAAATATCTATTATATTTCTGTGCGTGAGTTTCCATAGACAGCAAAAGAAACATTAATGAGAGATAATGATGATTATAAAATAATCACAGAGGTGAGGTGACTATGGCCATGTCTGCTTATTAATTTTACCTCCCATGGGTTATGAAGTGTTCTAGGTGTTTCACAAAAATTATCTGTAGTTTTCATGGAAAGACTACAAGATGGCTAGTATGAGCCCCATTTTAAATATGAGAAAATCAAAACTTAAAGTAGTTAAACTTACTCAAAGCCTTTAAATAAATAGGGAATGAATATAACAGTATCACTGTGATATTAACCATGATGATGTTAATTATCATCAGGTAAGGAGTAAGTGCTTGTTATATACAAAGCAGACTTCATGCAATTAAGAGCCTAGAAAAAGAGGCATAAGACTCAGTATTTGTCCTCCAGGGTACCAAACTCATCATCAGTTAAGGTTATAAAGTATACATATTTTCAGGCCCCATCCTTGACTTAATAATGATACCAACAATCTTCACCCAGGTGGTTATTCTGCATATGAGGGAAACATGAGAATACAGAGAAACAGAGGTGACCCTTAAAGGAAAACTATGTGAAAGGTCACATAGAATGGTTAGAAGAGCTCTACCTAGAAATAAGTAAATTCTTTGAAACCAATGAGAACAAAGACACAACGTACCAGAGTCTCTGGGACACAGCTAAATGTTTATTGCGGCACTATTCACAATAGCAAAGACTTGGAACCAATGCAAATGCCCATGAATGATAGACTGGATAAAGAAAATGTGGCATATATACACCATGGAATAATATGCAGCCATAAAAAAGGATGAGTTCACGTCCTTTGCAGGGACATGGATGAAGCTGGAAACCATCATCCTCAGCAAACTAACACAGGAATAGAAAACCAAACACCACATGTTCTCACTCATAAGTGGGAGTAGAACAATGAGAACACATGGACACACGGAGAGGAACATCACATACTGGGGCCTGTCAGTGGGTGGAGGCTAGGGGAGGGATAGCATTAGGAGAAATACCTAAAGTAGATGATGGGTTGATGGGTGCAGCAAACCATCATGGCATGTGTATATCTATGTAATGAACCTGCATGTTCTGCACATGTATCCCAGAACTTAAAGTATAATAAAAAAAAATGTTCAAGAAAGATGAAACACTAAAAAGATCAATGTAACAACAACAACAACAACAACAGAAAGCTCTACCTAAGTGCACAGGTCTCCCTTGCAGATTCTGTCCCTAAATATAAGACCTTAAATTAATACTTTCATCTCCATGAGACTTAGCTTCCCTGTCTGTAGGTGGGAGAGGTACAGGTTCTATCTACTTCCCAAATTGGAAAGATTCAATAACTGTGTATGTGTTTTACATACTGTAAATGGTAGCACTGTTGTCCATCCTGTAGATAGTAATCCAAGGTTCATCTAGAATTCAAATATGCCATTTAGGGGAAAGTCAATTAGAGTGGCAGTCTGCTTTGTGAACTCTCTTTTGCTGGTGCCTGAGGATGTGAGACTGCGAGAGACGACTCATGCACACTAAATGTACCTTGACTCGACAGTGAATGCCTGCTCCTGTCTTACAATATCATGTAGTGCCTGTGAAGGTTGGAAGTTGTGGTGTTGTCAAGATCCATCAGGATGTTTCCTCTCTGGTTAGGCTGCATGGGAAACAAAGTCATAATCAAAAGCCATCTATTGATAGAATATGAGGTCAAAATATTTTTTTTTTTGAGATGGAGTTTCACTCTTGTTGCCCAGGGTAGAGTACAATGGCACGATCCCAGCTCACCACAACCTCTGCCTCCCAGATTCAAGCGATTCTCCTGCCTCAGCCTCCCAAGTAGCTGGGATTACAGGTGCATGCCACCACACCCAGCTAATTTTGTATTTTTAGTAAAGACTGGGTTTCTCCATATTGGTCAGGCTGGTCTCAAACTCTTGACCTCAGGAGATCTGCCTGCCTCAGGCTCCTAAAGTGCTGGGATTACAGGTGTGAGCCACCGTGCCTGGCCAAGGTCAAAGTATTGAAAGTTCATTGGAGTTTTTAGAAATCTTGGCTGGGCACTGTGGTTCACACCTGTAATCCCAGCACTTTGGGAGGCTGAGGCGGGTGAACCATCTGATGTCGGGAGTTTGAGACCAGCCTGGCCAACATGGTGAAACCCTGTCTTTACTAAAAATACAAAAATTAGCTGGGCTGGTGGCAAGCACCTGTAATCCTAGCTACTCAGGAGGCTGAGGCATGAGAATTGCTTGAACCCAGGAGGCGGGTGTTGCGGTGAGCTGAGATCGTGCCGTTGCACTCCAGCCTGGGCTACACAGTTAAGAATTTATCTAAAAAAAAAAAATCTCTCATGTACACGTGCCTGTGTGAGAATGAGAAGGGTGTTTGTTGAGTTGAAATTAGAATGCGGAAGCTTAATTGTCTTGAACAGTTCAGTTTCTCAGGTAAAGATGGGACGGTTTCACCAATGGGATCTGTAAACTAGAACAAATTTATTTATTTATTTATTTATTTATTTATTTATTTATTTATCTATCTAGCTACATGAAAAATGGCCTTGGTAGTGACATTGGATCCCTAAAAGTTTGATGGCTCTTTTTTTTCCCTTTAAACTGGATGAGAACTTTTGGCTCTGAAATTCTGTTTCTTCCTTTGTTGTTATGATACTTCCACATTTTGGAGTTATATTGATTTTTAAAATAATAACTAAGGCCCAAAAACAGCATTCTGTACTAAGTTATCTACCCGTATTATATACTCAGACAAGATTTTTTTTCTTAAAGCTCAATTTCTCTACCTGTGGAAAGAAGGAGATAATATCTAAGTTATGTTATTGTTTTTCAAATAAATGAGGTAATGTATGTAAAGAATTCAGTACCATTTTGGAACACATAAAATGCCATAATTGGTAGATATTCACTGAGCATGGGAAAGTTAGTTCTTTGTTTGTTGCCTGTAACTGCAGCCTTTGGAATACAGGAAAGATTCTGAATTCATTCTTGTATTAGGCCATTCTTGCATTGCTCTAAAGAAATACCTAAAACTGGGTCATTTATGAAGAAAAATTTAACTGGCTCATGGCTCTGCAGGCTGTACAATGACACTGACATCACTCACCTCAGGGAACTTTTAATCATGGCAGAAGGAGAAGCAGGAGCAAACACAACACTTGGCGAAAGCAGGACAGAGACAGAGCATGGGGGTGGGGGATAGTGAGCACTCGCTGCCACAGAGACAGCACCAAGCCAAGAGGGATTTGCTCCATGACCCAAACACCTCTAACCAGGTCCCATCTCCAGGACTGGGGATTACAATTCAACAAGAGATTTGGGTGGGGACAAATATCCAAACTATATCAATTCTCTTTTAGAGAACTGTCTTCATCTAAACTCCATTAACTTCACCAAGGCCAGTCATAATACGTAGTCACTTTTCTTTTATCCTGATCTACTTTTAGAGAGTTCAAACCGTTTGGTAAGCTTTTGAGTTACAAACTGTTGCTGATTTTGAAATTTTTTTAGATTAACTAATGGAATGTTATTCACCCTTAGAAGTTCTTGGCAAATAAATACACCACACACACACATAGCTAAAACATGAAAAAAAAAATAGACTTTTTCATGAGGTTTAAGTCCCCAATGAAAACTGAAACTTTGCTTTATGCTCGTCCTCACAGATGATTCTTTTCAGTTTGGAAACAGTTATCAACCCCTTTCGGGAACAAATTGAATGATGTCTTTGAATTCTAGCATCTCTTTCTACATCTACCCTGAGGATGAAAGTGACAAAGACCCCAATCAAAACTTTAGATCTTGGTTATAGCTCAGGGAGAGAAAATGTCAGTATTGACACTTAGACGGTCTTCAATCGAAGCTCTTTCTCTCATCCATTTAGTGGGCTGCAAGGTCCCACTTGAATAGAATTACATTCAGAGAGTAACTGGACTTTCAGTGGTATTTGGGAATAAATCTAACCTGATGGTAGAACAGTACAAATTTACACAATTACACTGTCTTAAAACCTTTTACAAATGACTTTTCAATGACAGATTTTTGTCTACAATTTCTATATACTCCAGAGTAATTTTCTTGGGCTATGTGACTGTGTTGTGATATTGAAAGTTATTTTAAGGTCATGGGAATATACTATGCCTATTTCAGTGAGGGAGGAAAGTGCTGCCCTCTCAGCAACTATTCCTGTTGCTCCAGCCACAGAGCCCCTTCTTGCTATTGGGAAGGACAGTGCTGTCCCATTCTGAATGGGGAACATCGATGGGAATGTCTTTTTGCTATCTGTCATCAGTAATGAAGAACACTGACTAGATACATAAACAAATCATAGTTATATGTCTTAGTCTCTGTCCCTCAGAGCCTATAACCATATGCATTAATGTCAGCTGGAGATGTTAATGCATGATTTCTCTTCTCCATCCCCATCCTGGCTCTAACAATGGAGGATGCACCCAGTGGTTTAGATGAACTACGTAGAGGAAAGCCATCCAAGATGGCCCTCTGTTTTGTGATAACTTGGGCTCTCTTTCCTCTGCCCAAGGAGATTACACCCTAAGAAACTTCACTAATTCAGCCTCGCTAATATACTCAAGAACAGGTGGGCAGTAATTTGAACACTCTTGATTCAATGGATTAAATGGTTATTTATTTTTATTCTTTGGTAATTTTAAAAGAAACTCCTCTATTATGAATGAGTTTAAAAATGGAAAGTGCATGCTCAATTAGAAATTCATATCGAATTTCAATATCTCAACACAATTGGTAGTGAACATGACATTTGCACAAAATGTTTTCCCGTCTACCATGGAAGTTTATAGTGATACTTCTGATCACCTGAAACCCAGAAAACACAAATCTGCTTAAGATGAATAATCGTCTACTCCAACATCCATAGGTGTTTTAAGTAGAGTGTGTCCAAAAACATGAATAGGCCATGTGCCACTGTAACAGTTGGATTTGCACATTGTTCTTTAGACTATGCTTTTTTGTTTAGGTTACATGATTGGTTCTCTAAATTAGTTTGTTCAGTTTTTATTCCAAGTTTCTGCTTACATTAACGAAGAGTGAAACTATTGATATTAATGTGTTGTTGCCTCTGTAAGCAGAAAAATATTCCCAAGAAGCCAGTTTAACACCAGCATCATCAGAGGTTTCAAATACAAAGTCAGATACTTCGAATTATGAGAAGCATTTTTCATCGAATACATGGGTTCAAAGTAAAATTTTCTCAATGTAGTTATCTAATTGGGCACGAAGTAATTCCTGATTCTCTGAATCAATCCTCCTATTTTAGTCCATTTGGGCTTCTGTAACAAAATACCATAAACTGGGTGGCTTATTAACAATAGAAATTTATTTCTCACAGTTCTAGAGGCTGGGAATTCCATGATCAAGGTGCCAACAGATTTAGTGTCTGGTGAAGACCTGCTTTCTGGTTCATAGATGCCACTTTCTCATTGCATCTTCACATGATAAAAAAAAAAAAAAAGGAAAGGTAGGTCTCTGCAGCCTCTTTTATAAGAGCATTTATCACATCCAACAGTGCTCCACCCTCATGATCTAATCACCTCTCAAGGCCTTCTTATTTTATTTTTTATTTTTTGAGCCAGAGTCTTGCTCTGTCGCCCAGGCTGGCATGTAGGCGTGCAGTGGTGCAATCTGGGCTCACTGCAACATCCGCCTCCTGGGTTCAAGTGATTCTCTTGTCTCAGCCTCCCAAGCAGCTGGGATCAGAGGCGCATTACCAAGCCCAGCTAATTTTTGTATTTTAGTAGACACGAGGTTTCATCATGTTGGCCAGCTGGTGACAAATTCTTGACATCAAGTGACCAACCCGTCTCAGCTTCTTTAAGTGTTGGGATGAGAGGCGTGAGCCACCATGCCCAGCCCCAAAGACCTTCTTAATACCATTGCATTGGTGAGTAGGTTTTAACACACAAATTTGAAATTAGGAAGGTGAGAGGAGAGACTGAGAGGGGATCACTTAAACCAAGGTGGAGGCAAAGCCAGGCATTCATATTTTACAGTCCCATGTGAAACAAGGTGACCATGAGGACATCAGTAGCTTTACTCATTTCACCAGCTCCAGAATCAGATGCAACAATTATCAGTACACGAATGACCCCCACTCACCTGCTGTTCCTACATGGTTACAGGTAGCCACATAAGTAGATTCTATCTCAAGTCTCACAGCACAGATGACAGTAAGAGAGGGCAATGCTCCTAAAGTAGAATAAAATATTTTACCAAAATAAAGATGAGATTTAATAACTGGACAGATCCAGGATAAAGCTGACATTTATAAGGGGGTACTAGGACATCATTAATGAGCAATTCCTCTCTGGTGTCTAAAACAGTAGCGGAGATGAACATCTGATTTCAAAAAGAAAAAGTTGACAGTGATTATTTAAAGGAAGCCTGTTCTGTGTTTGTACATCACTGAACAAACCTCTATAGTCATATTTTTATGAATATAAATGGCATTACAATCCACCTGGTGTCTAATGCCAGATAATTCAGAGTCAGCCTTTCCACTTCCTTCTTCTTCATCTCACAAATCCAATAAAAAAATCACATTCTGATTTTACTCTCTGGATATTTTGGATGTATTAACTTCTTTCGAATCACCATTAGTTGGTTCAAACCACTATCAGCTGTCACCAGGACTAATGTAATTGTCCACTAACTGTTCTCCCCACATTTATTCTTGTTCCTTTGCATATATCCTATGCAGTAACCAAAATAATATAAAGAAGCAAAAAACAAAAACAAGCAAACCAAAAATCTACATTGCTCTCTCTTTATTAATATTCACTTTTTTTTTTTGAGACAGAGTCTTGCTCTGTTGCCCAGGCTGCAGTGCAGTGGCACGATCTCAGCTCACTGCAAGCTCCGTCTCCCGGGTTCACGCCATTCTCCTGCCTCAGCCTCCTAAATAGCTGGGACTACAGGCACCCACCACCATGCCCAGCTAATTTTTTGTATTTTTAGTAGAGATGGGGTTTCACCATGTTAGCCAGGATGGTCTCGATCTCCTGACCTCGTGATCCACCTGCCTCAGCCTCCCAAAGTGCTGGGATTACAGGCGTGAGCCACCGTGCCTGGCTCATATTCAAAATTTTAGTGAGAGAAAGATTAGGGCCTAATGGGCCTGGATATCCTGGTCTCTGTTCACTCCAACTACATCTCTCATTGCTCATAAAGTCCCATTTGCCCTTCTTATTCTATTTTACAAAACCCCCAGCATTTCCTCCCCTCACCTACTTCCCTCACAGCCATCCTCTACCTAGACATTCCTCTGCCAGGCTCCACCTAGATGAGTCCCACTCATCCCTCATATCTTAACTAAATACAATTTTTTTTTATTTGCCTACAATTCAACCCACCCACGATCTTATGGAATCCTGTAGCACCTGCTGTTTTCCCTTTGTGATATCTGTGTGATTATGTGTTTGTCAACCTCCACTTCTTTTTTTTTTATTTTATTATTATTATACTTTAAGTTTTAGGGTACATGTGCACAATGTGCAGGTTAGTTACATATGTATACATGTGCCATGCTGCTGTGCTACACCCATTAACTCGTCATTTAGCATTAGGTATATCTCCTAAAGCTATCCTTCCCCCCGCCCCCCACCCCACAACAGTCCCCAGAGTGTGATGTTCCCCTTCCTGTTCCATGTGTTCTCATTGTTCAATTCCCACCTATGAGTGAGAATATGCGGTGTTTGGTTTTTTGTTCTTGTGATAGTTTACTGAGAATGATGATTTCCAATTTCATCCATGTCCCTACAAAGGACATGAACTCATCATTTTTTATGGCTGCATAGTATTCCATGGTGTATATGTGCCACATTTTCTTAATCCAGTCTATCATTGTTGGACATTTGGGTGGGTTCCAAGTCTTTGCTATTGTGAATAATGCCACAATAAACATCCGTGTGCATGTGTCTTTATAGCAGCATGATTTATAGTCCTTTGGGTATATGCCTAGTAATGGGATGGCTGGGTCAAATGGTACTGCTAGTTCTAGATCCCTGAGGAATCGCCACACTGACTTCCACAATGGTTGAACTAGTTTACAGTCCCACCAATAGTGTAAAAGTGTTCCTATTTCTCCAAATCCTCTCCAGCACCTGTTGTTCCCTGACTTTTTAATGATTGCCATTCTAACTGGTGTGAGATGGTATCTCATTGTGGTTTTGACATTTATGCAGCCAAAAAACACATGAAAAAATGCTCACCATCACTGGCTGTCAACCTCCACTTCTAAACTGTGAATGCTTGTCTGGGTTTATAATCTCTATGTAGAAATCCCAGTCTTTTTGAGTGCTTATAGGGGAATCAGCCAGACATGACTACATGTAACCTCCTTGTTCTCTGGTGTTCTTATATTTCCTTTATGTCATTAGTTCTCAAATGTTAGGATGTATCACCAACACCTGGAAGGCTTGTTAAGATGCAGATTTGGGGATTCCACCTCCAGAGTTTTCTATTCAACAGATCCAGGGAGTAAACTCTGAGTTTGCATTTTAACCAGCTCTTAGTGATGTTGATGCTGCTACTCTAGGCATCCCAGTTTGGAAATCTTTGCCACAAGGTCATTTTATCTGCTTCTCCACAGCCTGACCTAAGCTGATAGAGTTGCTGGCAATGAATGCTTGTGGAACAAGCACAACAACTATATTCTAAGAGACAAAAGCTATATTCTCAGTTTTGTCCTTGATTTGTCTCAGTGTCCTAAGCAAATCACTAAAAAATAACTAAACATTAGCATACACAATTTCATCTTTCAGCAAAATGCTGACCTAGCTGCTTTGGGAAAGAACATATTACAATCCATTTTGGATCTTCAAAATTATATCTAAGTGCGCAGCAATTACTGCATTAGGATGTGATATCGATTGCAATCCAGCTATCTTATTGACCCAACAACATATTAATTATTGACAAAAATTGTCTGCCTGAGATTCTAATTCAATTAAATATTATTGTCATCGTCCTCATGGTACAGTTGCATTCATCATTAAGACTGTTCACTACTGGACAGTTTGAATGTCCTCCCCAGTGTTGCTGTGTGAGTAGGTTGCTTCACAGCTAAAATCAAGCAGAGAATGATAAATATGCTACCTATTAGGAAGTGAACGTGTCTCTATTGCTTCACTAGACGTCTCCTGTTGACTTAGAGTTCCAGCCCCCAGTGCAGGACATAAGGAGACCAATGTTTTGTCTATTAAGGTGACTTCTTTAAATTACAAGAAAAAAACCTGAGATGAGCATAAATCTTCTCTTTTATTGGGTTGCTACAGGCACATATCTCTTCTGCCTGAAAGACAGTATTATTTAACAAACTGAACTAAAAGTTCAAACTGAATAAACCAGGTGACTTGATTCTGTTTGTGTCCAACATTGTTAGCAGAAGCTACCGTGTCAAAAAGCCATTGCTATGACATAAGAAATCAAGCGAACCCAGTGGTTTTTGAAGACACAAATACATTTATATATTAAGAAATATAATTGTGTTGACAAATTCTTCCATGCTCCATCACATACAGAATAAAACTGTGTGTGTCTTTGTCTGTATAAACCACATCCATCTAGTATGGCACTGCACTCTCTTCCTGGGAATTTTTAAGGTGGCTGGCCACTAGATTCAAACAAATAAAGAAAGGTAAACCATTGGAGGCAGTGATCACTAAGAAAAGTTTTCATCAACTCTCATTATTATTGGACAAACATACTTCTCCTGATGGGTTTCTGATTTGGGGATGCTGAATTGAGATTCTATATGGATGACGGGTGCAGAAGTGATAGTTTAAAATTAGCTGCTCTTTCTTATTTTGATGTAATTCCCTTCTATAACAAGTTTGTTGAGGATTTTTACCATAAAGTGATTCTGGATATTTTCAAATGCTTTTTCTGAATCTATTGAAATGATTATATGATTTTTTATTTTAATTCTGTTTATGTGGTATATTACAATTGACCCATAGCCAACATCATACTAAATGGAGGAAAGTCGAAAGCATTCCCCCTGAGAACTGGAACAAGACAAAGATGCCCATTTTCCCTACTTCTATTTAACGTAATACTGGAAGTCCTAGCCAGAGCAAATAGGCAAAAGAAACAAATAAAGGGCATCTAAATTGGAAAAGAGGAAGTCAAACTATCACTATTCACTGATAATATGATTGTATACCTAGAAAACCCTAAAGACTTGTCCAAAAGGCTCCTGGATCTGATAAATTTAGTGAAATCTCAGGATACAAAATCAATGTACACAAATCAGTAGCACAACTATACACCAACAACAACCAAGCTGAGAATCAAATCAAAAACTTGATCCATTTTACAACAGCTGCAAAAAAAAACCTAGAAATATGCTACAAACACTGCTGAAAGAAATCAGATTACACAAACAAATGAAACACATTCCATCCTCATGGATGAGAAGAATCAATATTTAGAAAATGACCATGCTGCCCAAATCAACCTACAGATTCAATACAATTCTCATCAAAATGCCATCATCATTTTTAACAGAACTAGAAAAAAAATCCTAAAATATAGAACCAGAAAAGAGCCTGAATCCTGAGCAAAAAGAATACTGAGCAAAGTAATACTTAGCAAAAAGAATAAATCTGGAGGCATCACATTACTGGACTTCAAATTATACTACAAGGCTGTAGTTACCAAAACAGCATAGTACTGGTATAAAAATAAGAAATTTAGACAAATGGAACAAAATAGAGAACCCAGAAATAAAGCCAAATACTTACAGCCAATTGATCTTTGGCAACACAAACAAAAACATAAATGGTGGAAGAACACCCTATTCAATGAATGATGCTGGAACGCTGGCAAGCCACATGTAGAAGAATGTAACTGGATCCCCATCTCTCGACTCATATAAAAATCAAGCCAAGCTGGGCCACAGACTTAAATCTAAGACCTGAAACCACAAAAATTCTAGAAAATAACATTGGAAAAACTCTTTTGCACATTGGTCTTGGAAAATAATTCATTACTAAGACCCCCAAAACAAATGCAACAACAACAACAAAATAAATAAATGGAACCCAGTTAAACTAAAAAAGGTCTGCACAGCAAAAGAAATAATCAGCAGAGTAAACAAATTACCAACAGAATGGGAGAAAGCCTTCACAAACTATGCATCCAACAAAGAACTAATAACCAGAATCTACAAGGAACTCAAATAAATCAATAAGAATAAAACAAATAATATAAAAACAAATAATCCCATCAAAAAGTGGGCAAATGAAATGAATAGATTATTCTCAAAAGAAGATATACAAATGGACAACAAACACGAAAAAAAAGTGCTCAACATCACTAATTGTCAGAGAAGTACAAATTAAAACCACAATGAGATACCATCTAACTCCTCCATGAATGACCATTGTTAAAAAGTCAGAAAACAATAGATGTTGGTAGGGATGTGGTGAAAAGACAACATTTTATACTGCTGGTGGGAATGTAAATTAGTACAACCTCTAGGGAAAACAGTATGTAGACTCCTTGAGGAACTAAATGTAGATCTCCCATCATAGCACTGTTTCTGCCCTTCGTCTGATATTTAACTTTCTGTTTCTGAACGATTTCACTGAAGATAATGGTCTCCAATTTCATCCATGTTGCTGCAGAAGACATGACTTCATTCTTTTATGTGGCTGAGTAGTATTTGATTATATATATTATATATACCGCTATATATGTATATATTATATATACCACTATATATATTATATATACCACTATATATATATATAATATATATATGTTCAATATCCATCTTTCCTATATATATATATATAAATATATAGTGGTGTGTGTGTGTATTGTGTGTATATATATATATACACACACATATACAGTGCATATATATACACACACACACACATACCACATTTTCTTTATCCAGTCATCCATTGCTGGACACTTAAGTTAATATCTTACATTTATAATAGGAATTATTGTGCTGTGCTGATATCACTACCTCCTTTTGTGACCTGGCTAATTCTTCTCTATTAACCTTTGAAAATAAAAATAAGATTCTACTTTTATAAAAATTACAAAATTAACATAACACAACCCTCATGTCTCCCCATTCTTTTTCGTGAAACCCTTATTCCTAGTTACATCAAAGCTGGAAGCTTCCCCAAGAGTCCAGGCTCTCTCTTTTCTGCAGCCTTTGTACACCCTATGTTTCTGCTTGGAAGGTTTTTTCCTTGCCCACTCTTCACCTGAATCACTATATTCTCCTTTTCTAACACATCTCAGGCGTGCTTCCCTAAGGAAACTTAAAGATGTCTGTCCTTAACCTTGCCAGTAAGAGCCTATGTGTGCACGGTGATTGCTAGGTTATTTTGCTCCTTTTAACCTTTAGTTGGGATGCAATAATTATGCAAGTCTGTGGGATACAGAGTGATATTTCTATATGTGTATACAATGTGTAATAATCAAATCAGAGTAATTAGCATATCCACTACCTCAAACATTTATCATTCCTCTGTGGTGTGAACATTCAGAATCTTCTCTTCTAGCTCTTGGGAAATATACAATAAATTATGGTTAACCACATTCCTCCTGCAGTGCTAGAGAAGACTAGAACATATTCCTCTTATCAAGCCATAAATTCATATTTGTTAACCCACCTCTCCCTATCCTTCCTTCCTCTTCACCCCCTCACCCTTTAGTATGATACTCTCCACTTTCATGAGCTCAACATTGTTTTCAGCTCTCACATATGAGTGAAAACATGTGATATTTATCTTTCTGTGCCTGACTTATTTTGCTTAACTATTTGTTCATGCCCGTAACTAGGTGGTGAAGTCTTTAAATGAAGAAATACTGCCACCAATATTATATCCACAGAATGTGGCTTAATGCCCAGAACAGATTCAGTACTCAGTAGATGTTTGATCAACGAATGAATGAATTAGCAAATATGATTTGAATCATATATTGTTGGTTAATAGGAATGTTCCATTACTATACAAATAGAATGAAGGTATAAACCATACAGATTCTGATTCATTACTCAAACAATCTCCAAATATGCTGTTTCACTTTTGCACATATTTCTACTTTTAGCAATTTGTGCAAGAAAACAATGAAAACTTGTATTGCATGTGCAATACAAATTAAAGGAGAGAGTGTCCACAGAGTCCTTAAGTGACCATTTACCATCTGGTAATGATCAAAACTTAGTGACTCCTTGGATTCCAAGAGTTGTATTATGTGTGTATGAATGTATGTTCATGCTGGTTCATCTGTGCATGGTACACATAGCATCCTTGTTCCCTTCCTTAATACCCACAGAAATAGTCATTTTATACCTGAAATTTTACGATGCCATAAGCATGAGATTCACACATAATTTGTTCTGGATAATAGTGGCTGCAGAATGAGCTTAATCAAGATATAGACTCTGCAATTTTGATGTTTTGATTCACTGCACCGAAAATAAAGCCTGTGGGGCATTCTGCAGTGCAGGGAGTATGGGGGCAGCGTGTGGTCTGTTTCCCTTTCATCTGTATGTAGCACAGTAAGGCTAGAATCAAAGCCAGATTGATGTTTCATAATTTGTTTCCTATTCTAACCATGTCACCTTCCCTCTGCCTACCTTCACTAAGGTATGTTTCTTGTGATATGACGTCTAATCAACAAATTACCTTTCTTATTCCCAAGCATAATTTATCAACTTACTCCATTCTAGTTTATTTTTGTAACATTGGTTCTTATTTCTTAGAACAACTCACCTTAACAGCTATTCCTTCTGAGAAAACATATATGAAGACTTGGGTGATATATCACTCAGATAATCCTCTATGTCTCACGAACACATTATTGGAATTGGCTAGTGGCAGCTTCAGTTTTTGTTTTCATATCTTCTAAAGATACATAAGGCTAAATTTTGATAGTTTACATGTGTTCTCCTTTTTCACTCCCTCCTTATAGAAATTAGAGATATTTATTTCTTACGATGTTCTCTCAGGGTTATTGAAAACTCCAACAGTATCACTAAAGTTCTATTTAAGCCCTCTGTTTTCTATGCAATTACTTATTCCAGAGATTTTAATATTTCTAGAACTGAAACTCTGAAACTCTGTGCTGTTTTCTGAACCATTTTATTAATTCCTACAAAGAATTTAAAGCTACTGACTCACCATACTGCTGTTTTACTCAGAGTTGGCTTAAGGATACCCTAACAAACAGTTGACAAGGATGTTACATTTTTTAACTAACATAAAAGGAGAGAACAAAGGACTAGAGTCATCCTTCATAACAGTAAGAAAAGAAGCTGGAAAATAACTATTGGAATGGCACCATGGTAAATGCAATTGTATTTACTATACTTAGTTTGATTGATTTAACTGGGAATATTGTTTAAAGGAGAATTTTCATACTACCTCATTTGTCTTGAAATGAAATGAATATATTTTATTTTTAAAATTTGACAATATTAATGTTTTTCTTTCCACATAATTCCGTATTTGTCTTTTCTTACTCTTGTAGGGCACTGGCTCATTTATTCGTTTATATTAGTTTTTTGTGATCTGTTCATATGATATTCATACATACCCTCAAAGACACACAGATGTACACAAAAAGTGAGTAATTTCTTTTTATAGTTTATGGTATTCCTTTACATGTAGGTTTACTTAAAATTTTTCGTGGTTTCTCCAGAATTGGCAGTGTACGTTTTTAAGTAATTTAATTTCACTTTCAAATAACCCTAAACCACTTCACATGTAGTACCGGTACCTTACAGCTGAGTGCTCAATATTCCTCCTTCCTAAAGCTTATGGCATGGCTGTGTTTCATCTCGCTTGTCTGTGTACTATGGTCACCCAATGCATTGTTACTCTACTTTGAAAGTTTCTGATCCTGGATTTCACTCAGTCACAGGTTAAGAGATTTAAAACCCCTCCTTCATCAATTGTATTGTCACATCTGTCAGCCTCCTACCACATTTTCTCAAATTCATTAAAGAATACAAAATTGCATATGATAGGAGGAATAAGTTCCAGTGTTCTATTGCACTGTAAGGTGACTATAGTTAACAATAGTATACTACATAGTTTCAAGTAGCTAGGAGGGTAATGAATATTTCCAACACAAAGAAATGATAAATATTTGAGTTGATGGATATGCTAATCACCCTGATTTGGTCACTGTACATTATATTATCAAAACATCCCCATGCAGCCCATAAATGCATACAGTTATTATGTATAAATTTGAAAACTTAAATTAATTAATTAAAAGATAAAATTAAATAAATAAAAAAATTTTAAAGACTGGATTTGGGGAATCTCAATGGTAACCCTTAGATGGTTGGGAAGGAGAATAGGAGGACTGGTTTGTCTAAATCAATTGGCTTTGGGACATGCTGCAGGAGCTGTGTGTAGATAGTCAGTACACAGTGGGAGGTTCATAAGTGTGTATGAGTCCATAATAGAGACAGAGGGAGAGAAAGTGAGTCCTCGGCTATTAAGAAAACCAGTAAGGCTGCTCCAAGTCAGACCTCTTAATTGACACAGAGGACAGCCAGCCAAATAGATTAGGTAGAATACCTAGGTAAAGAGAGTATCCAGTTTTATGTTTACTGAAAGTCATATTTCTGTACATTTCATAGTTGCGTATATTTCTTCACAAAACTTTCACAAAAGCATTGGGAGTTTAGAATTGTGGTGGGGTCTATCATTTTTAAATGAAATAACTACAGATTTTTCCAGTGAAAATAAATGTAACTCTCACAGAATTTCAGTAAGTTTGGATACATGGCATAAATATGCATGCATAAGAAAATATACTATGGAACTAAAAGACTCATTCTAATCTATTTTGTAAATTGCAATGTGTATTACCCTACTTAAAAGAATCTTCTAGTGATAGGCAAAGTACAGCTTGCATTGCTATTCTAGAGAGTAAGATCTATCATGTAGAAGTTTGCTATTTGATTCAGGTAGTGATGTAATTTTACTATAAAAATGTCAGAGCAAATGTTTTATGAAAGCAACAAATCACTCTACATCCTGCTCACTAAATCATCTGGGTAGGTCTACAACAGGAACTTGGAAAGAAATGTTGAGATATTCAACATAAATGTATATGTATACTGAAATATTTCATTTGAATTCCATTTGAAAGTGAATTTCTGCACTGTGTTAACCAGTCATTTTCAATAATGTCTTACTTAAATTAGGTTGAACTTTGAGCAAAGTCAACCATTCACGGCAGGATCATGCATTTCAGTCAACCACAACAAAACAATAATAACTACAAGTCAGGTAGGGTTTTAGAGCTGCCAAGAACCTTACAAAGAGTTGGATTTAAGGTTTCTGCACAGCATATTGTTACTGGTAGACTTGAAAACCAGGAGGCGAAGAGTGTTCTCAGGGGTCCTTGAGCTCTCACTTTCTTATTGACACAACAGATGAAGTCCCAGGACCATTTCTATCCTATCATAGAGGTGTTTATGTTCTACATGTTGGCTTCAAGTCATCAGAAGAGAATATTCTATGTGTAATTAGCTATACTCATTAAAGAACAAAGTGTGTTTCTTAAAGATGTCTGTTGAAAACAGTTAATGATTAACATACAAAAAATTAGGCTTATCTTTACTAAAAAATCACTGGCAGAAAATAACGCACTCATTGATAATAAATGAAAATTGGAATAATACAGTGTTAATTAATGAAATCTTCTAACTAGTGGGGGCTCATCTCTTGTGCTTCATCACCCGGATTCTTTGAGGGAACTGACTGACTTGGGTGAATACTGAGGCTCTTGCAACCAGGACAAGAAGTGCCTATGTCCCTTAGGACAGCATCTGGCAGGACCACCCACTCATGCCTCATATCTCTGTCCACCTTGAGTACAAGCAGGCTCCTGGGCACTCTGTTTGCCTTTAGTTTTTCCGTACCTTTCTACATACCTTATTCTTTCCATACCTTTCTACATATCCTGAGATGTGAGCCATCCTCTGCTCTCCTTCTTAGCAGATCCTTCCTTGTGCCCTGGTCATTTTATCCTCTGTGATTGGTAAAACTCTCCTTGAAGTCATTTTTAAATTTCTTTATTCGTAACTCTGAAACCTAATTGCCCATTGAGTACCCATTTCTCAGAAGAGGATTCTTTTTGCCTCATACCCAACACACCTCTAGGCCAGAAAGAGGGGTCGAGGTCCTCCTAGCTTCCCTGGGCTGACTCCAGACCCATCTTCTATCTCCGGTTTTCAAAAACCACTGCTTCTATGAGACCAACACCATTAAAATCCAATGCTACTCTTCCAAAATCACCACCATGCTCCATGTTGCTATACAGCACTCATTTTTTTTTGTTTTTTGTGTCACCACAGTTGATTCTGCTAAACCTCATGTTCTCTGAGCATCTGTGGCTTCACCCCCTCTTGCTTTTTTGGCTTTCCCCTTACCCTCCTGGCCCCTCTTCATTTTCTCCACCTCTAAATGGAGAAGTTGAAGAGCTAAATCCTGGATTCCTTCCTCTTCTCCCTTGAAATTCTATTCCTAGATGACGGACTCTGTTTCTGAGGGTCTAAATAATCAATATGACTCTGGCTCCATTTTACTCTTGTAGAAAATTTTCCCAATAAATCTCTTGCACATCTCACCCCGTGTTGCAGTCTACTTCTTGGAGAACTTGAACCAGCACAAGAGATGTGAGGACTATTTGGACTAAACCAAGATAGGGCTGCTGAGAGCTCAAGAAAACACCACTAGGGCCTTTGGGTAAGTGTGGGCTTTAAAAGAGACGTGACTGTGCCACATGGTGAGGGCTCCAGAGGCAAGTTGCTATTGCTTGACTTAAATGATGAGGGCAATATCATTCATCCGTATACTCTTGCACACAGGACAGCAACAGACTGGTGAGCCATACAGACTTTAGTGAGCAGGTGCGACCAAGGAAAGAAAGCAATGAGGGTAAAGAAATAATTTTTCTGTGTACTGGGTTTTAAGGAATTGATGGACAGAACAGTATTTGTGCCTTTGAAAATGCAAAGTGGCTGAATTGTGGGTTTAACACAGAGCACAGAACATTAGGGAGTTCCAGGCTTAAAGTATCAGTGCCAGTCCTGGAGTGCTACTGGCAGTTGCAAATGGAAACAAAGATCCTTAATGGAAAAGGAATACCTCCAATTAGACCTAACAATTCAGACATCTACCACAAGACGTTTCTAAACTTTCACAAAGGCAGCAAAATCCCTGGATATCAGACTGAGTAGAATAAGAAATTAGAATTTAATTTCTTTAGACTGTTAACTTGAAGGAGCAAGGCACATGAATCTTAACTTAAATAAATTAACTTTCAAGGTGATTTAATCTTTGAACTTTAACGTCTTTGTAAAATTTTAAGAATGGGAGGGGTTTAAGATTTAAATTTGAAGTCAGAATTTTATCATTGAAATGTTTTTATATATTTTATTGTTGAGTTTCTTAATGTTGTAATTGGAACTCTTTACAGAATCACTGGTGGACTATTTTGACAATATGGTATTTGGAATGGGAAGTAGAATAATATTTTTTTTTAACTTTGGATCAGTATAAGTCCGAAGTTATTTTAATTATTGTATTTTTCAGACCCATTTCAGGAGCTTGTGTGGGACAAATCCATGCTGCCCACTACTGTTTCCAGGGAAAACCTAAGTGAAATATTCCAGGAAACAGGGTAGTCACCAGGGGATTGAGGTTAGGAAGTTGAGAGTAGGATTGTCATGATGGACTGTTCTTCCCTTCACAGCAGGTAGAGGCCCACATCCCAGGTCACCACAAGCTTTTACTTTAACCCCAGTGAGTTGAGAGAATGGGAGGCTGGAGAACATTGGTGGGGGTAGGTAATATACTGAAAGGGAGAGTGAATATTTATTATCCTGCCTTGGTGTTTCCTTTCATGTGAAGATGGCTCTTTGGAGCTATCCTATGGTGTCTCTCCTCCCGCTCATACATTCCTCTGTATGGGAAAGTAGGAGAAACTATTCTGATATGTAAGACTGATCTCTCAGGATCTGCTGTCTGCAGGGACCACTTGCTGTCCTCCACTGCCCCCGCTCCACCTCCTTTCCACCGTGGGGATGCCTAAGCTCCAGCCATGGCAGGGTGGAACTTCTACCTGAGCCAGGAGTCTGATGTTAGAATCTCATTTTGCTGTCACTTCTGAGATGCATTCTCCAGCATCACCTCATCCCTATAGAGAGCTGCCTCATGGGAGCACATTTCATGATTTTCTTCATGTAAGAGCAGGACACAGTCCCTGCTGCTCTCTTCACTGGGAAGGGCTGCAAAGCTGGAGATGTGGTCACAGCACAGTTGGCGTGCTCAACAGAGGCCCCTACTCTCTTCTACAAGCCATTACACACAACACGAAGTACAATTAACCTAAAATTAGCCCCTCGTGTATGTGGGCTTTGAGGATTGGTAGAATTACTGATATATTGAGTGAATTATTCTAAGAGACTTTATAGCTTCACAGAGGGGGAATTAAAACACATGTCGTTATGTAGGGAAACATGGAGAGTTCAGACAAACATGGCAACACTTCTTATTACATTTTGTCTCAATAAAAAATGATTTTCATGGCCTCAGATAGCATCTTATATAAGAAGTGGAAGGGCGTTACAGGGCTGATTCAAAATAAGACTTCATGTTTTTATGTTGTTTTATTTATTTCCTTATATGATAGGAATGAGAAAGGACTGAATCATATTTTGAGAGAATTGTTATGGAATTTGGTAATAAAGGGGATTTTTGTCACTGAATTGCTCAAAGCTGTTTTGAGATTATTTTTGCTATAGTATTATTAAAGCCACCTGTGATCCAGCTAAAAACAAAGACCTGTGAAGCTCCACTTGGCTTCAGGTCGTGGTACTTCCTGGAAGGCAGTCACCATCCTGGACAACTGCTTTGGTCTGGGGTGCTATAGTGATATAGATAAGTGATTGACTGAACTTGCCACAGAATGTAAAAACAAGATGATTTCAAGAAATTGTCACCAATGCCCACATTTTCTTCACCACATTAGCGATAGCAGCATAATATTTTTACTCTATCAGCTTTAAAAATCAACCAATGTGTAGCAACTACTCCACCTGTTGGTATTGGAGATTATAATGCCAGAATATCAATCTTGATACACAGCCCGTAATGTCATCAATTTATTTTCTAATCTTCAGCAGTACTGACATTTGAATAATTTCAGATAAATCCAGAGTAAAATTTCCTAGCTTCTCTCCTAAGCTGACCCTCTGGAATCCCACCAAGGATGTGAATCTCTTCTCTATCAGGCACTACGCAGGACTCTGTGGGTCTCTGAAAATGCCTTAAATATTATTCTAATTGAAAGTACCCTGGAACTCAGAGGCACCATCTCCACCGGAGCAGAAAGACTGACCCCACGTGATCTTCCAGTTCCAAGGGGATATCTGGGTTCTGGGTGTGGCACAGGGCCCTGAGAGCTGAGTGCCTGTGACCTTTTCACGTCATGAGATCATGAGAGTGTGTCCATGAAATAAAGACTCTGCCTCTCCCTCGATTCTCCAGACAATGCATTCCCTAACCAATGCCTTAGGATAAAGTGAAACAGATGTCTTCTGTCTTCATGAACCACACGCTTTGTATAAATAAGGATGTATCTGACATCCCAGAAGTTAGATTTAGGCTTCTCCCTATGGAAAACATCTCTAAAGACAAAACACTGCTAAGCAGAATTTCAGGTTTCCAATATGCACTACTCTTGGAGAAAAACCCGTGGATAGATTTTGTTTTCTTTAAAAATAATGTATAATTTTAACTAAGAAAAATTTCAGAGGATTTTTATTAATTTCTGCTGCTTGAAATGGACCATTAGTGTATGTCCAATTTAATGATAATCCCTCACACATTGTTCCCTCCCCTCCAGTGCCAGATTCAGTGCTCACCTTGAAAATCGGGTTGTAGTATTCACTGTTATTTTATTTTATTTGAGACGGAGTTTTGTTCTTGTTGCCCAGGCTGGAGTTCAATGGCGCAGTCTTGGCTCACTACAACCTCTGCCTCCCGGGTTCAAGCAACACTCCTGCCTCAGCCTCCCAAGTAGCTGGGATTACAGGCACCTGCCACCACACCCGGCTAATTGCTGTATTTTTAGTAGAGACGGGGTTTCCCCATGTTGGCCAGGCTGGTCTCAAACTCCTGACCTCAGGTGATCCGCCCACCTCAGCCTCCCAAAGTGCTGGGATTACAGTCATGAGCCACTGCTCCTGGCCATATTGACTGTTATTTATGCTCATACCGAAATATTCCTAAACAAGCTTGTTTGTCAATCTCAAATTGTGCAGGGACTGACTATAATATAACAAAATGGGACTAGAAAGAAAACTGCAAGCACTTTTCTCAGCAAATTTAGGTCCATTTTGATGCATATCTGCACGTGGTGGGTTGGAGTCTAGGGCTAAGGAGGCTCTGAAATTTGAATCCCACACAGATCAATTTACTTCTCAGTGATGAAAATTCTGATGCATGCCCCAGAAGGCACCACAAATCCAGGGAGTTCTTTCCAGAGAGGACTCTTAAGACCAGCTAGGTTAGATTAGGGAAAGCTAGTCCATCATCATTTCCTTAATACAAATTCAAGGAATAAACCCTGAAATTGATGTGCCAGGAATATTGTATTTTTCTTCTGTGGAAATTGTGCTTGGCCCTTCGCATGGAACAATTCTGTGAGATGGAGCAGCTTGAGTCAGCTTCCTCCTTATTTCTCGTTCTGAGTTCTAATGGGACGCTAGGGAAAGGCTGTGTGTTCTACCTGGGGTCTCTCTGGGTTTAGTGCTAGGCTACATTAGGGGAGGTCTGGCTCTTTAGGGGACAGAATTTCCTTTCTGTTTTCTGAAGCGGCGTGAAATCAAGTCCTTATTTGTATGCTACAGGACAAATATGAGTATGCCAAAGACGACATCTTTTCTGTGATCCAAAGTTGCCCTCCTAAGAATGTTGTAGGGGGCAAAAGTGCATCCGAGCCTCTTGGTTGCATGACCTTTCCATCTGTGAGTCTTGCTGGGACATCACCCCAGGGTCAGATTCTGCTCTGCAGCATTTAGTGACCATGGGCGGGGTGTGGGGGTGGGTGGTGTGGTGCTGGTCCTTCTCACCCTGAGAAACAGGGCCTGAGCTCAGCCCCCTCCTGGTAGCTGGCTGTCCCCATTACCACCCACGTGATGATGCTTCTCAAACCTCATTACAGGTCTTTTGGCCTTTTGTTTTAAAATAATAAACCTATTTTATGCTAACTAGGCGTCAGCCCTCAATTCCCTCTAGGAAATTTCATGTGCATCATGTATTAGCGTGCCTTAAAGGCATTATTAATGTTTCATAAAACGATGGTAACAAATGTGGGTTATTCCTTTTGAGAGGCTGAATATACTCAGACAATGGCCAGACCAAGTGTGCCAACAGAACTCTGACCCACAACCTCTGTAGCAATCGGCTCAGAATGGTCAAGACTTTGCCAGTGACTAAGAGCTTCCCTAATTTTTCCTCCAAATCCAACTCAGGACCCACTAGAGGAAGCCAAGGTATGCACCAGTAAGGAATCCCATAGGATGCCTTGTCTAGGGAGCCACCTCCAGCTTCCCCAGGCCAGCAGCCTCTGATCAGGGTAGACTCAGAGCTTCCCTGCTTTTCATTATGAAGCATTTGCTTTTCCTGTCTGTCTTGAAGTCTCCACTAAACACAAGCAATAGTAGCAGGATAATAATGCTGTATCAAGGGCTGAATAAATAGTGTGGCTTGTTCTCATTTGGGTGGTCTTTGTGCTCTTCCATACTCTTTAAAAACAAGGTCTGAGGTTTAAAGTGTAAATCTTCATCAGTTGACCACCCGCGATGACAAAACTATCCAGATGCTGGGTGCAGCTTTCTCCACACAGGCAGAGCAATGTTTGTACCACAAGGGTAACCACAGTTACTAACAGAGAACCCAAGCTTGATTTCCTATGATGTAATGAGTAAATGCTCCCCACTGTCACTGAATCCAGGTGTCTGAGCAATCCATGCATCGAGTTCATTTTCTAACTCCTGAGGTCCTTCTCACTGATTCAGTGATTCCTGGCTGCCTCAACTGTGTGGCCTTGCAATCAGTCTCCTGCATACTTCTCCCGCTGCTGGGGTCTTCTGCATAATTTAGCAGTGGGTTCTCTTGTGTTGTCTATAACTGATTTGCGTTGTTCTCTAATTGATTTCTTCCTGAGCTTTGTCACTAAAGCCACACCGAAAATCTCTCCTGAAGCTTAAAGAAAGTGAGAAAAAAATTACTATTTTCAATCCAGAAAAGATATGAAGCAAAAACATTATCAACCTGATCACCTTCCTGGGTCACCCTGGAAAGAGGAAGGGACAGCAGCTGAAGCAAGTCCTAAAAGAATGACATAGGTGTTCCTTATTCTAATTCTTGTCCAGGGAATCTTCAGATTTCAGAGTAAATGGTGACACACACACACACACAAATACATATATACATATGCACATAATTGTATGCGTATCTTTGTTATGAATTATAAATGGTAATTACTGTTTTATGAAAAAGAAAGGTAAAGCCTTTTTACTAATAGGAGTGATTACTCCAGGCAGAGAGAATGAATCACCAATAATAGCAAAGTATCATGTATAGCTAGTCACTAAGAGTAACAAAAGTGTTTTGAGCTAACTTTCAGAAAGATTTTAAAAATACAGGAAAACAAAGAACAATGTAACCAACACTGTGAATCCACCACAAATCAACAGATGTCGACATTTCATTGAAGGTCCTTGGAAGCCTTTCCCGGTCTCCTCCTCAGAGGCAGCAGCCATCACGGGCCTTGTGTGCAGTTGCAGATGCCACTGGGGAAGGGAAGAGAGATGTAGCTAAGAGACCATGACGATGGTGACTGGCCAAAAGCAATGTCCACATCCCTCTGGGTCAGAAGAGCAGGACTCACTGCTCTGGCAGAGGAGTGGGCTCTGGGTGGTGAATCTGCCCACTGGAAGCCCCCACCCTTGTCTGTTGTTTCCCAAGGACCCTTTGGAGAGATGTAGCAGGGTTCTAGCCCTTCTGGGGAAGTCCACATAGAAACCTTCTTCCTCTGGGTTTGGGGGCCTCAGGATTATCTTGCAGTTTAAACAATCCCAGGCCTTAGTCTGCAGCACAGTCCAGGTATCTTCGACAACACATCCTGTGGAGCTGGAGTTGACTTTCCGTTGATTTGCCTTTGGTCAACTCAGTTAATGAGAGACTAAATCCAGAAGTATTTATTTTTCTTGTATCCAGGCCAAGTGTGGGATACCCTGCCTCTTAGAAAAAGCCTTACATATGTGCCCAGATCCACAAAGTTCAGTTGAGTATGAACTTGATCTCTACCTGAAGGTAATTCAAAACTATGGAGTCTGCACTTGGCCTAGGGGTGTAATCCTAGGGAAGGCCATATGCAATACTGTATTTGTCAGACAGGAAATGGGGGCCTGGAAGAATCAAGCGTAGCCCAGGTCCTCTCTCTTCTTCAGGTATATTTCTTGTCCTCAGTCTTCAACTACCACCAATTTTAATTTAGAATTGGGAAGTTTGGGTTTTCCAAAGTTGAATACTATGCTCACAGTGGTCATCCTAGATTCCTGGCCCTAGGAAGAAAGCTCCTTTCTCTGCAAATCTGTGTTTTCCTCCCTCATTGATTTTAGAGACTGCAACACCTTGACATCTTTCTATCAAATCCTATAAAGTTCAGACACCACTGGTACTTGGCATTAGTCCCAAGACACAACAGAAAACTACTTAACAAAATGCTACCACATAACAGATTTCTCTATTATGGAATGCATGGGACAAGCATGGAATAAAAAATCCTTTACAACCTCCACTTACCTTGCCTCAGCCAGTCCCATTGTTAGCATTTCTCACTTGTGCCACTCAATTCCAGGTGTCATTTTCTGGACCAGTTAGAGGTTTGGAGGTACAAGTAACATATGCTCACTCTGGTTGGTGAGAGGAAGAGTTGGTTAAACTGAGTCAGGGTGGCTAAACAATCAGTCCTTAGAGCCAGAGACCATAGAGGCCCTAGGAAGTGAGACCCAATGGACAAGCCCTTCAGGGTGCATAGTTTCAAATATTTGTATCTTTGGTTTTGTCTTGGTTTTATTTTGGAATGGCAACCAAGCTATATTTCTTGTCAGTTTCCAGAAGAGGGAGATTCTGATTGGCCTGCAGTGTGGGGCATAAGGAGGAGAGCAGGGTGATGCATATTCTCACCGGGCAATTTCTGAAGGAAACTGAATTACTGGTTCTTCCCAATTCCTGGCAATTACCTAGCTTTAGCACTAAAAGTCCTGTATTCTGGGAAACCCCTCTATCCCATGAGCCTTCCTAGGGAGACAGTCACTCCCCCTAAGGAGGGCTTCTTCCTCAAAAAAAAAGACAAAAACCCAAAGCCAAAAAATCACCTGAGGTTATTGTTATTATCAGAAAAGGGCAGAATGGAAGTTGGACAGGGAGAAAAACAATATAAATCCCCATGGCACAGCCAGCACTCATGATTTATGTAATTTCCTATAGTCTACTGGTGATGGGAAGCCATGGGAAAGAAGAAGTTGTGTATGTGTAGACTTGGTTTGCCATGGTTTTCTAGGAAGCCCCAGACTTCTATATTGTAAGAGGGATTAATAACTACCCAGGAATATCATCGTGCTGTCCTCACCTCTGCCTTGTAGAGGAATACATTTTCATTGTCATGACAGAGACATTGTGATTCTTTTCACTCTAATCTTTCCTTGGATCCTCCCATCCTATTTTCTCTGATTCCAAAACCAATTTCCTTCCAAAGCATGGCTTTTGGTGGACAGTATATACATGTCCCATATTCACTATAATAGGCGGTTAATAAATTCAGGTTACACAAATTCTAGTTGAGCATTTACTCAATACCAGGAACAGAAAAGCCTCTGGAGTTTGGTAACATAACAAAACCAGCCCTGTGCCTTGAGGGGAATGTAGCCCACTGGCCCAGGTCACGTGATCAGTTTCCTCCAGAATCAGTTAACTTTGCTCTCTTTAGCAGCCATAGCCTGTCCTTCCCACCTCCTGCAATTCACTCTCCAGCGAGTCTCCAGGAGTCTGAAGGAGGGAGTTTCCACAGATCATTGAAAGTCCACTTCTACTTCTGTTAATTTTATGTACTGTTCTGGCTCTCCTGGTGGTAGACCATTGGTATGATTTGTGAATATAGTGTTCCATGCATATGTTGCATGGAATGTAATTTCTGTGCTAGAAGAGTAAGTTATAGGTGACCGGGGCTGACTAGTATATCAACTTGACTTTTCTCAGAATCTTTTCTTACTCCTGCATCCTATTTCATTAGAAAGATTACATTTGATTGTGTACAGCAAAGTAGTCACAATGTGGGTGTCTGGAAACTCAGATTTCCCAAAGCCAAGTCTTATTTCTGTCCAATAAATATCATACTCACGACATCATGAGAGAAAATAAATAAAGTCTCCCTTGAAAGTTGGCTTATGCTTTTTCTACTTTGAGGAGGTGGTTTGGGAATAAGAATGCTGGAACTTTCTATTTTAGACTTAAAATAATTTATTCTTTTTTGCTTTAAGTTTGGATTGTTTTTCTTTTGGCTTAGTCTAATCCTGATGATTCACAATTATAGCAAAATGGATTTTTAAATTTTATGATAATTATTATATTCTGAATCCTAAAGCCAGGTATGTCCCACATTTTCAGGGAATGTGCCAATTTACATTATTCTTCCATTTTCATCATCAGCAAAATTAGAAAGACAAATACTGCCTGACTTCACTTATATGTAGAATCTAAAAAAGTTGGACTTATGGCAACAGAGAATAAATTGGTGGTTACCAAGGACAGGGGAGCAGAGGAAGAGGAAAGATGTTGGCCAAAGGGTACAAACTTTCAGTCGCAAGATAAGTAAATTCAGGGGACTTTAGTTAACGATACTGTATTGTATACTTAAAATTTGCTTGAATGTTCTCACCAAAAACAGAATAAAACAAAAAGGGAAGCAATGACCTTGGGTAATAAATATGTTAACTCATTTGATTGTGGTGAATCATTTCACAGTATACATGTGTATCCAATCATTACATTGTATACACTGAACCCTTATAATTTTCATAAGTATATCACAATAAAGCTGGAAATTTCAAATAAATACAGTGCAAAAAATATTTTGGAACGGTGAAAAATATGTTTGCTATCTTAAGGATAATGATGATTTCACAGATGTATACGTATGTCAAAACATCAATTTGTATACTTTATTTTGTGCAGTTTATTGTTTGTCAGTTATATCTCAACAAAGCTTTAAAAAATAACTATATATTCGGTGTTTGGCATTCAAAACACATCTCATGGACAGTCTCATGTACCTGGAAATAGCACAAAGTTGATTTGTTGCATAACTGCCCCATTTTTTTTATCATGGGGGGAGGAAATGAGATGACACTTCACATATGTCCCTGAGTAAAAAACTGAGGCTGGAGCTCCAGACTTCTCTCTGCCTGAATGCAAAGAAAGAGTTTTGATAAGCAGCTGGAACGTGGAAGTCATGCACTGTTTTCTTTGAACTTCAATGAACAAAGAATCATAATTTAAGAAGAGTATGCAAATCCAGCAATCACCCATCACATTGCCTCTGGGACAAGTAGGTGTTCAACCCATTACAGGATGCAAAGGAAATATAACAAAAGTGTGCAATCTGATGCCTCATCTTCAAGAACCGCCACTGCACAGAGATTTGCTGATGACCAGCTTCTGCCAGTCACCAGGTTATACCTGGGGATGCAAAGAAAAATAGAATGCAGTTTATTTTCCGGAGAAGTGTGTACACGCTAAGCTATTTGAATGTTTTGGCAAAGCTCGAATTGCTAGCAGATGGAGCCCCTCGAGGGCATGATCTTACTTTCTTGCAAGAATGGGATGCTTCAAAATAAAGTTTGAATTGTAAATCTCTTCTCAGGGCTGAAGAATATTTCATAGAGATGTGGATTCATAATAATAAAAGCTACTAAGAAACTGATATGCAAACAAAAATTTTCAGCTCCTCTATTCATTAAGGAACTATTTTGGTAGGCTAGAAGATTAAGGGTGGAAATCCTAAATCATTGCTTCAGCATAGGCTACTTTGAAATCTCCTGTACTCCGAAGAGAAATCTTGATGTACTTTACTGCTGTGTGGTCTCCAATCTGTATTTCTTGATGGTAATTGTTACTGAGCTTTGCACAGCGGCTTTGCGGAATTACATCTTTCTTGAAAATGCATGATGTAATTGATCTTAGGAAATCTTCAGTTCCAGCTCGTAAATCTAGGATGCCTGTAATTTAAATTATGTTAAAAGCAAAAGTCTCGCCTCCCCTCCAAGGCTTTTATTTAATTCCAAGTATCCGCATGTTTAATTGGAAAGGGATTTTAAAGATGAATCAAATAGTGTAAGGCTTAAGAGATTCTGGCACTGTAAGGGACTGTTTTTACATTATTGCCTGGATTCTTTTTTTTCCCCACAAGGGGTTACAACTGGTAGACCACAAATGAATCAGTCATTCTACCATATGCTCTCATTATTTATTATTAACACTTGCCCTTGGGTCTTGTAGACTAATAAAAAATTTCCTTAAGGTATTTTACAAGTAAAGGAGATTAGCTAGCTTTCCCCACCTCATTTTATGCAAATATATTAAATTATGAGCTCTGAAAAAAAAGCAAAGACATGAGATCAGCTACTGTCTCTTTTGCTGAACAAATTAAAATGTAAGAAGTAGAGATGTTCTGTAACTATAAGATATAAAACCCTCTTTCTATTTTTCTTTTTTACTCTTAACATAACCAAGGCTGTAAAACATAAATAAGACCTTAAAGATGCTCTTGTTCAACTCCTTCCATTGGAAAAGAAAATCATCAGGTCCATTCAGAGGAGTTAAAGTGACTTTCCTCCAATAACAAAATTAGTGTATGTGTTTGCATACCATATGTGTATACATAGACATAAATATGTCTACATCTATATATAGATATATCTACATATAGATATATAAATATATATCTAGATATGTGTGTGTATGGTGTTAAATAAGACTGTCTTTATTTGGTGTAACTCATATTATAAAGCATAATGATGTTTGTTTCCTAAGTACAAATAGGAGAAAATTTATTTTAAGATTTCTATGAGAAAAGAAATGAATATTTTTAATATCTCTAATTAAATACCCACTTTTAAAAAGTGAATCAAATCTCTGTTGCTACTACTCTCTTAAAAACCAAGTCAGCTTTTATTCGAAGTTCTAGTGAGTTTATAGACAGCCTTCTCACACTGGTCATGGGGTTTAGGGAAGACCTCAAGTTGCGCTCGGCAAATAGGGTGATGATACAGCCCCATAATTCCATTACAAAACACCATCTGCCCCTAGCACGCAAGCTGGTTTTGTTCAATTGTGGCTTGTACCCTGAAGCATTTGCTGACTATGCTCTTTCATGCAATGACCCTGGAGGAGCCATTAGTTGTTCACTTCTTCAAACTATGAAACAGGTGCAATAGCAATTTGTCCACAGATGCCTTCAGATAATAGGCAGAACTCACCGTATTTTAATCATCCTATCTCAACTCTGAACATAACTTCAGTTTTTATGCCAGTAACAATGTTTAAAATGTCTTCAAAGCCCACTTGTGATTATTTTCTTTCTCAACTCAATTACAAAAGTACTGTAACTCATGCATTTCCACATGACTCAAAAAAGACACAAACACATTGCAGCATTAAAGAGATTTGTTCAAGTTCTGGTGGGAGAGGAATTGCCATGATTTGACTTTCAGGTCAAGATGCATATTGCATCACTGTAATACAAGATTTTATTTAGTTTTTTTTTTTTTTCTTTTCTTTTCTTTTCTTAACACTGTCTTTACCCAGTTTCGATGCCCTGAGTAGAGGCTGTGCATTTTCCCTCCTTGATCGGCTGTTAAGTTCATACACTAACCCCTTTCCTTATGTGTCCTTCATGTTCCAGGCCACAAGGTACCCATCCTAAAAGCCCATAAATAGGGACAGCCCTATGCTGAGCCCGATAAGTCATCAAGTTAGCCAAGCCATGGGGAGCTCTGGAACCCAGCTAATCCCAGTCTGCTTGCCATAATTAAGCCTGCTGTTACCCTGCCGCAAGTGTGGCTCTGCATGGCCCTGTGTAGCAGCCTTCTCTCACATGTGGCTTCCAGTAACAAAGAGCTCATCTACTCAAGTGTTGTACTGTGCCCTGCCATCCCCAGAACCGATAATTCTACAGAATATTTTATGATTACAAAACAACCAAGCTTAGAGGGATTGGTATTGCTTTTATCCAAACTTCCATGTTAGTCAGGAGATGTATATTTCAAGCATAGAATCTTACACATAACTTGTACTGAATACATATAAGTTGATTGCTTTAAAAATCACTAGGCACTAATTTACATTCCCAACAGTGTAAAAGTGTTTCTATTTCTCCGCAGGCTTGCCATCATCTGTTGTTTCTTGACATTTTAATAACACTGTTCTGACTGGCGTGAGATGGTATCTCATTGTGGTTTTGATATGAGTTTCTTTAATGGTAAGTGATACTGAGATTTATTTCATATGTTTCTTGGCCACATAAATGTCTTCTTTTGAGAATTTCCCAGGGTTTTTTTTTTCTTGTAAATATTTTTAAGTTCCTTGTAGATTCTGGATGTCACACCTTCATCATATGCATACATTGTAAAAATTTTATCCCATTCTGTAGGCTGTCTGTTCACGCTGATGATAGTTTCCTTTGCTGTGCAGAAGCTCTTTAGTTTAATTAGATCCCATTTGTCAGTTTTTGCTTTTGTTGCAATTGCTTTTTGTGTTTTTAATCACAAAATCTTTGCCCATGCCTATGTCCTGAATGATATTGCATATATTATATATTTTCTTCTAAGGTTTTTATAGTTTTGGGTTTTACATTTAAACTTTTAATCCATCTTGAGAGACCTAGAACCAGAAATACCATTGACTCAGCAATGCCATTACTAGGTGTGTACTCAAAGGAATGGAAATTATTCTATTATAAAGATACATGCACGTGTATGTTCATTGCAGCTCTATTCACAATAGCAAAAACATGAACTCAGCCCAAATGCCCATCAATGATAGAGTAGATAAAGAAAATGTGGTACATACACACCATGGAATACTATGCAGCCATAAAAAGGAAAGAGACCATGTCCTTTGCTAAGACATGGATGGAGCTGGAAGCCATTATATAACCTCAGCTAACTAACACAGGAACAGAAAACCAAACACTGTATGTTCTCACATATAAGTGGGAGGTGAACAATGAGAACAGATGGACACAGGGAGGAGAACAACACACACTGGAGCCTGTTTTGGGGGAAGGAGGAGGGAGAGCATCAGGAAGAATAGCTAATGCATGCTGGGATTAATGCCTAGGTGATGGGTTGATAGGTGCAGCAAACCACCATGGCACGTGTTTACCTATGTAACAAACCTGCACATCTTGCCCATGTATCTCTGAACTTAAAATTAAACTAGATTTAAAAAAAAACAGGCTGGGCGCAGTGGCTCATGCCTGTAATCCCAGCACTTTGGGAGGCCGAGGCGGGAGGATCACGAGGTCAGAAGATCGAGACCATCCTGGCTAACATGGTGAAATCCCGTCTCTACTAAAAATACAAAAAATTAGCTGGGCGTAGTGACAGGCACCTGTAGTCCCAGCTACTCGGGAGGCTGAGGCAGGAGAATGGTATGAACCCCGGAGGCGGAGCTGTCAGTGAGCTGAGATCGCTCCACTGCATTCCAGCCTGGGTGACAGAGCAAGACTCCGTCTCAAAAAACAAAAAAGAAAAAAAGGAAAAAATCACTAGGCAGACACAGCCAAGTTATCAAGGAAGTTTCAGTTCTGTTTCATTTTGATTTTTAGTTTATAGAGTTATAAGACCATGACGTAGAGAAATAAATTCTATCTCATTGAAAATTACCTGCAGTTATTAGGCATGCAGTATATATTAATTCACTACATGGGGTCTTATTCCAAGAGGTAGAATCACAGACTTCCTTGGAAGACACTTAAAAGCATACCTCTTTGTTTGTGCTTTGCAGATATTTTTAATGTAGATGAAATAATTTTCTCTTGGAAGAGGATGCCATCTAGAAGTTTCACAGATAGACAGGAGAAATAAATGCTTGGCTTCAGAGCTTTGAAGGACAGGCTGACTGTCTTGTTAGGGGCTAATGCAGTTGGTGACTTAAGTTGAAGTCAAAGCTCATTGCCACTTTGAAAATCCTGGCGCTGCTAAAAATTATGCTAAGTCTCTCTGCCTGTGCTCTATAAATGGAAGAACAACGTCTGGATGACAGCATATCAACTTATAGTATGGTTTGCTGAATATGTTAAGCCCGCTATTAAGACCTACTGCTCATAAAAATGATTCCTTTCAAAATATTACTGCTCATTGACAATGTACCTGGTCACCCAAAGACTCTAATGAAGATGTACAAGGAGATTAATGTTGTTTTCATGCTTGATAACATACATCCATTCTGCAGCCCATGAATCAAGAAGTGATGTAGACTTTCAAGTCTTATTTTTGAGAAATACATTTCATAAGGCTAGAGCTGCTGTAGATAGTGATTCCTTTGATGGATCTGGGCAAAGTACATTAAATAACTTCTGGGAAGGATTCTCAGTTGTAGATGTCATTAAGAATATTCATGATTTGTGGGAGGAGGTCAAAATATCCATATTAACAAGTACTTGGAAGAAGTTGATGCAAACTTCTTCAACATAAATGATTTTGAGGGCTTCAAGACTTTGAGCCTTCAGTGGAAGAAGTAAATGCAAGTGTAGTCAAAATGGCAAGAGAACTAGGATCAGAAGTGGAGCCTGAAGATGGAGCTAAATTGCTGTAATATCATGATCAAACTTGAACAAATGAGAAATTGCTTCTCATGGATGAGCAAAGAAGGTGGTTTCTTCAGAAAGAATCTACTCCTGGTGAAGATGCTGTGAACATTGTTGAAATTGTGGCAGGCCAGTTTCCATTAGCAACCAGAGCAGTCAGTTTCCACTAACCCTTTACTATAATTTTAATGAATATGTAAGTTAAGCATTAAAGAACTGGAATAACTGGTGTCTCAGTTCAAGGGCTGGAATGTAAAAAGAAAAAAAAATCCATTAAGACCCCATCTGGGTTTTCTCAGACCGTAAAGTCTGATTGAATAATAAAAGCATTCTAACACATACACCTTGCACCAGGGCCCAATTAAAATTAAGAAATTTTCCAAGACTCTAAAGGAAGTTTTTCGACCTTAGGCCCTAGTTAAAGATTAGCTATCGATTAAATGAAACTCCTTCTTGTAGGTACACACTCACATGTAGGCATAGAACTTAGGATATATCTAAGCACTGAAAAAAAAAAAAAGCTTTTAGCTTTGAATTGGTCTGTTGAGTTACTTTGACCTTTTCCCTGCAACTGGTTGCAGAAATAAACTCTTCTTTCCCAGTCTGTCTGCACATCATTATTGGACCACTAGAATGAGCAGCCTGTTCTGTCCTGGCACAAATCAATGGCAAAGCATTTAGAATATTCCATAAACTTAGCTGATAAAGCAGTGGCAGGTTTGGAGAAGATTGACTCCAATTTTGAAAGTTTTGCTGTGGGCAAAATGCTGTCAAACAGCATGGCATGCTGTAGAAAAGTCTTTCCTGAAAGGAAGAGTCTATTGTGGCAAACTTCACCATTGTCTTATTTTAAGAAATTGCCATAGCCAGCCAAACCTTCAGCAACCTCCATGCTGACCAATCCACAGCCATCAACACTGAGGCATGAACTTCTACCAGCAAAAGAATTAGAACTCAATGGAGGCTCAGATGACTCTTACCATTTTTGAGCAATAAAGTATTTTATAAATCAAATTATGTATAATTTTTAGACAATGTTATTGTACTTAGTAAACTATAGTATAGTGTAAACATAATTTTTATGTGCAGTAGGAAATCAAGACATTTATGTGACTCACTTTATTTCAATATTTGCTTTATTATGGTGGTCTGGATATAAACCTGCAGTATCTCTAAGGTATGCCTGTATTGGGTGCCTGTCATAGATCAGCCTATGTGTGAGTTACTGGATCTAGAGAGATGAAAGAAAAACATTGCCTAAGACAGATGGGAATGAGCACCCCCAAAATAGATTTCTTCTTGGGGTGTCCAACTCAAACAAATGAAAACTCTTTAAAGAATTCAGTGAAGCAACATGGAATTGTAACCACAATTCCTATGCTCTGAGTGACCAGTTGCCATCAGGGGGTAATAGTTTTCATGGGGCGCAAAGTCCTTCTTCCCGCATTTTCCATAAGTACAAGGTAAAAGTCAATATGCCGAGTTTGCTAGAAATATGATTTTATATAAAACTAAAATTCTTACTGGATGAATTGCTTTCCTAGCAGAATAGTTTGGTTTTTTCAACTTGAAATGCAAAGCTGCCAATAATTGCACAATGCTACGAGGAAGCTGATATTCCTTATCAAGGAACTGTAACCAAAACACTTGTATATATTTGGGATCCAGTACATTGCAACCATTTGGTTGAACATCAGTGAAACTATTTGACTAAGCACTGATTCTGAAGACTGCACATGAAAGCCTCTTTCTCCTCCGAATATCTGCCGACCCCTTTGAGGCTAAGTTTCTATTAGTAGTACAGCAACTCTCCGGCAGGGATTTGCGCTGGGAATCCTGCCCTCTCCTCTTCCTTCTGGAGTAGGTTGGAGGCTCCACCCTGCCATGTCAGAAGGTAGCCCCAGAGGCCAGCACTGCATTGGAAGGACCGCAGAAAATCCTTATCAGACATTCTGATTGTAACGGAATACGTGAAGCGTGGCTAAGGGCTCTCTGTAAAAATGTATCTGGTGCAAGCTCAGACGTTAAAGACACCCATACTTTAAGTTGTATAACAATAGCAAAAATTATTCAATTGCCAAGGAAAAAATGTAATGTCCCAATAAAAGGAATTCCCCATTGTTCTGCTTGGGATCTTGGTGTGTTCAGATCACAAAGATTGTGAGGAAAAGATGAGGAGAGGTTAACTGTTCAGCAATTCTAGGTGATGACAGAGAGATAAATGTGGGGTTCACAAGCAACCTGAGAAAGAGAAGAGGTGAGATTGGGTCAATAAGTCAGGGAAAATAAGAAGGAAATCCACTCTGCTGGGAGGGCACATCGGAAAAGGAGATATGTTGCTTTGAATGTGCAGTTTCTTTCTTACTGCTCTTTCATAAGCATCTATTCATCTATTCTTTCCTCTGATTTTTCCTTCCCTGTAATTGCATCCCACTTCATTTTAAGTTTTTTTTTATATATTCACAAATGGGTGATTAAGATGGATACCTTGTTCATTATTGTTTGTGTGGTGGAAATTAAACATGCTAATAGTTGGAACTAAATAGAAATTATTAGTCAAACCTGACCTTCAAGTACTGAAGAATGGTTAGATGAAACAGGTAGGTAAGTAAATGAGGCTATGTAGTGTGGAGCTTCACAGGCAGACAGCCCAGTCTCCCATTGCCTAGTTCTGAGGCTTGGGCAAGCTCTTCCCCTCACACATTGATCAGTGAAAGTTTGCAAAGACCCAGCACAGAGTTAATTGTGACACACTCTAAATGCCAATCAGAGGGAATGCAACAGAATGGGAACAATCAATCCAGGTGAAAAAAAAGAACATACCTTGGGAAACTCTAAAGCACATTGGAAATCTAGATAAATTGAACCTGTTTGCATACAATAGAAGTTTTTATTTAATCTTGGTTGAGATGTGTTTGAGTGTAATTTGAGCGTAGATGATGATAGTTTGATTCAATAGACATACTTAAATTCTCCAAAACACACACATTTCTATTGCTGCATCAACTCATGTGTAAAATGCCATCTTTGAAAGTGAGAGTCCTCCACGCCAGCTTGACCCCAGAGAGCGGGCTTCTGAACTGTGATCATCGTCCTTGCCTGTCATTTGCTGGGAAGCTGGGCTGGGATACAAGGAATGGGTTCTCCAAAACTGGGGGCAAGTAGTGAAATATACATGCCTGCAGGGGCATTGGTCACAAGAGAATTGTCAGAGCTAGCTTTGAACAGCCAACAAAGGGGCCACTCCTATGGGTTCTAAATATATAAATTTAGTATTACTTGTAGCTGCAGAGTGCAGGAGGAGATGTTATGGAGAGAACAGAATGTGATCTTTGTGGGAGACCACAGGACCCTCCAGACTGAGCCCAGCTCTCCAGGGGCTCCCAGAGCAAAGCGATGCCTCTACCCAGAATGAAGCACAAATCTATGAAGCCAACAAGCCTGGACTTGGCTCTGGGCTATGAGTGTTAGTTTCAATAAGCCCTCAAAACAGTGTTGTTTTTTCTCTGGGTCTCTGTTTCCAGAATTGTAAAATGAATGGTTGCTGGACATTAAAGGGACAGTTCTCAGGAAGTGGCTGGCTCTGTGTTGGCACATAAAAGAATTCTAGACAATGTCTGTCTTCTTGCTTTCTGCCTCTTAGAAGGCACAGAAGAGATCTACTAGAACCTTCTAGAAGGCTTGCATAAGATTTATTTTGTTAACATTCTGTACTGTGTCTGATAAACATTCCATGAGTCCCTTCCCTAAACTGCCTTGGAAATGAGAGCTTTGGAATCCCAGGAGAATACTTAGGAAACTATTATACTCAGCATCTCTCAGTATACAAAAAGTTTTCTTAAACTTCATTCCTGCTCTTTTTTTTTCTCTTAGTTTTTGTGGCGTTTCATTGGTCTGAGTAGTGACTAGCACCTTAGCTCAGAGGCGTTAGCCTGCTTATTTTGCCAGTGAGTTTTTGAACCCCACTCTGCCGGGCGCTTCTGAAGAGAAATGATGTTCTTCCAACTGTGGACTCAGCTGTCACCAAGAAGCACCTCCTTTCTTCTCTTTCTGCACTCAGTTTCACAGCCCTCACTGGGTTCTATAAGGTTCATTCTCTCCTAATCCATCAGGAGTTTTTCCATCTATTTCAATTCTATTGATTTTATTAATTGTCTCCTAATTTATTTTCACATAAAACAATTTAGAGCCTGTTAGCAAACCAATTTGTAGTTGAAATTATAATGATTTTGTGCTTTCCTCATAAGCATATATATTTACATATATATATATTTCTGAAAAAAATATATAACACTATATACAATCATTTTTCTTATTTTCAAATAGTTACACATCGTATTAGGTCTTAATTTTTATAATGCAACAGTTTGTGACTGAGATGCTTGTCTCAGGCTTATACTCATCAAGCGAAGTTCTTTATTTGTTTTGCTTACTGACATTTTTATTACATATAATTTTTATTATATATAATTGTAAGAAGATGAGGAGCATTGTATTTATCAGAACTCTTAGAATAGCGTCTTCTGAAAGTTGTGTATTCAGGTGAAGCAATGTTTTAAAAAGGCAGTTGGGCGGAGGGGAGAACCCAGAGTTTCGGTAGAGTCCATGCACTGCCTTCTTAGGAGGTCAGCTCCATCAGGTGCTGACTGCAGCACTTGAGAAAGAGCAGCATTTTCCTGTGCAATGGAAGAGACAGACACGCTGTGGTTCTGCTTCAGAGAAAGAATGCCACCCCTCATCTCGGTCCCCAGAGAAGGATTAATTTGACTCAGCCCAACAGTGAGTCACTGCAAAGGGAGCTGTTCCTGAAGGGTCAAGGGTATGGGAACCACAGAGGAGCAGAGGAGCTGTGCACACTGTAGAGGCAAGGTAGATGGAAGGTCTGGTGTGGGCTGTTAATGAGGCTTTGAGGAGAATGTCATAGCCCAGACATGTGCTTTTCAGGTCTCCTCCACGAAAGATTCCACATGGCTTTGGGGCATGTGGCTACCAGAAGGCTCCTGAGATGGGCTCCTTCAGGGTCTGTCCCAGCTGCAGATAGTCACCTCACCTGACTGCACATCCTTGCCCAGAGCCTGCAGTTGGAGACAAAGGGAGTCCCAGTCACACCAGCCTGGCTCAGGACACTCTGAAGAACACTAGTAGCTCCAAGGCTCCCAGTGGGGTTGGGTAAGGCTTTGTCCGTTTGGCATCATACTTCGACTTGCCTCGCTCCCATCTTGCTTCCTATCACTTCCTTTTCTGAATGTTGATCCCCAGAAAGCATCTCACTACCCAAAGTCCACCTCAGCATCAGTTTCCAGAGAACCCTATCTGTGAGAAAATAAATGTGTCTCCTGGGGATTTTATGTGGAACCTAGAGCAAAAGTCCCATACCCTTGATCCTTCAGGAACAGCTCCCTTTGCAGTGATGCTGTTGGGCTGAGTCAAATGAATTCTTCTCTGGGGACTGAGATGAGGGGTGACATTCTTTCTCAGAAGCAGAACTGCAGACTAAGGTGCAGGTGGGATGGAGTTGGGGGGCTCACCAGCCTGTGTTATTAGCCCTGATTTACTTATAAAGTTACTGCCACAGAGCCTTCTTCTGGGGCTCTGCCTAAGTTTCATTTTTAAAAATCACAGTAAGACATGAAACTGTGTTTTTTAAATATGGCATTACATTTGGAGCCGATGCAATCTTTCCGTTATTTGTTTAAAAATGTCCATTTCTATAACATTGCCAAATGTTTCCACAAAAACAAACAAACACCAGCTTTCCTGCCAATGATTAGGTTGCTTGGAACAAAATGTCTCTTGGAAGATGGCCGATGGACAGTTACCTTATCTGTAATAGTGTCTTTGTGTTAGCGTCGATGTGTTCAATAGAGGATGGAGAATGAAAGCCATAAGGAAACGTTCCGATAACGCCATGATTACCTGTCTTTCTGAGACACTGCACTTGCTTCTAACTCTTGAGTCCAATAGATACCCGATGATCTCCTCTCTATGGGAAATGCCATTTCAGATTCCTCTGGGGTAGTGGTGGGGTAGCCGAGGTAAGCTCAATGGATAAGCGTGATGACGGTTCCTAATGTCCGGAATCTCAGCATCTTCAGGCAGGGAGATAATCTTCATAAGTGACTCTGACTCAAGGCAGGCAGAGATACAAATATTGTGCTATGAGGACCTGAAATAAGCAAAAAAAAAAAAAATCCCAACTAGAGAAATATAGTAACTATTAGCTCTTTGCAGCAATCTAGATTTTTGTTTTGTATTGATTTATTTTAATTCCCAAACTATTAACTAGGGAGCTTTGGACACCGGAGATATTTGGAATTTTGGCAATGGGCTCTGACCTGGAGTTTAGATTAATTTCTGAGGCCATCTCTTGGGGGTTGATGTGGAAAGAGGGTAAAAATAAATCACTTGCCTTTGGGCACAGTGGGAGTTAGGTAGAAGGGAGTCTTCGGAGAGTTTTTGGTCTAGGCTCAGAATTTAAACACAACTCTGATTTGGGGGACTCAGTAATTAATTTTCAGTGGTTATTGTAAGGGGCAGGTGTCAATGACAATCCAGGTGGAAATGAAATATAGATGAAAAAAGTAAGGGGCTTATTTTCCTGATCCAAATCCACTGCCCAAGTAATCTACCTTCTGATAAAACAGCAGAGATTAAATTTTAAAAGGTTTTTAAGCAGCAAGAAAAATGAAAAACAGATCACATTTTGGTGCTTTAGAGAGTCTGAGGGCAAAAACATTTCTAGGTACATATAATTATAAATTTATTTTGATATTGATTTCAAATTACTATTGTTTAATGGAAAAGATTTTTGTGTTCTTTTTTAGCATCACATAGCATAAAAAGACACATTATCATTTTCACGGAGTATGAAGTACCTGCAAAATGTTAAAGGAAAATATTTTACTTTAAAGAAAAAGATATTTAATTATACTATATTGCATAGTTAACCTGTGCCCTGTTCATTTATAAATATTTATTTCCCCTTAATCTTCTTCTCTTTTGCCATCACAGGGCTAGATGATATAAAATTGGACTACGGAAATTAGGGACCAGGTCATGCTGCTAGTGCATAAGTGAGGGGAGGCTGGGAAATGGAAGCTGGGAAATGGTGTTTCTCTTCAAAGCAAATGTCAGTCATCTGAAGTCGGGGTGCCTTAAGAAAAGCCTGATGTGTTTCGCCAGAAAAGGACGCTGATGGTAAGGTGGAAGGCTACACTGGTGTTCCTACAACATTGTACTATGCAGCAGAAGATGCAAGATGTATATATTTTTCAAATCAATAATAATATTTGTTTAATGTCTTGCATTTTATACTTATTTGCTAGGGCTGCCATAACAAAATATCACAGACTAGGTGGCTTTGAGGCAGGACAATAGGGCCTGGAGGCCTGAAACCTAAGGATTTCCTACAATTGAATCAAACAGAAACACTTCAGCTGTGACAGGAAATATCATCTTAATTTACATAGGGCGGACACCTAGTAAATGATTTTGTAACTTTACTTCATCCTCTCCATTTACATAGGGCGGACACCTAGTAAATGACTTTGTAACGTTACTTCATCCTCTTCATTTACATAAGGTGTACGCCAAGTAAATAACTTTGTAACTTCGCTTTACCCTCTTCATTTACATAGGAGTATACCAAGTAACCAATGGAAACCTTAGAGGGTATTTAAACCCCAGAAAGCTCTGTAGCCGGGCCCCTGAGCTCCTGCGCTCGGCCTGCTCCCACCCTGTGCAGTGTACTTTCATTTTTAATAAACGTCTGCTTGCTTCATTCTTTCCTTGCTTTGTTTCTGCGTTTTGTCCAACTCTTTGTTCAAAACACCAAGAACGTGGACACCCTCCACCGGTAACAGCTTAATCAACAGAAACTTGTTTTCTCACAGTTCCGAATACCCGAAGTCCAAGATCAAGGTGCTGACAGGGTTGGTTTCTTCTGCGACCTCCCTCCCTGGATAATGATGGCTGTCATCTTTCTGTCTCTTCACATTATCTGTCCTCTGTGTGTGTGCATCCCTGCTGTCTCTTTTTGTGTCTGAATGTCCTCTTTTTATGAGGACACCTGTCAAATTGGGTTAGGGCCCATGTTAATGGATTCATTTTAGCTTCCTCACTCTTTAAAAAGTCTCTACAAATAAGCCACATTCCAAGGTACCGGGTGATAGGGCTTCAACATATGATTTTGGAGGAAGCACAATTTAGACTGTAACATCTCACCATTTTTCCCACTTACGTTGTCTCATTCAACTCCAATAAAATAGGTAGAGTAGGTCTTACTCTCAATATAAATTATTATCATCTCTACTTTCAGATAAGGAAACAGATCAGAGAAGTTGCGAGCTTGTCTGAGCAAACTCAGGACCTCTGAGTCCATGTCTAACACCTCTAAGCAGCCTTGGAAACAGCACGTTCTCTCATGGTTGTAACAAAAAGGGACCCTAGTGAGGCATTTGCTATCTTCCTCAGGAGAACCAGGTGAGGCCTTCAAGGCTGCAACATGATGACATTGTCTGTGAGCAGGGAGTTTCAGTATCAGACCTCAGCTGAGGAGAAGGGACGGTGACTCTAAGAGACTTAGTTTTAAGTAAAATGCTGTATTTAGTCACAGTGAATTAATACCTTTGTTTTTCTTTACTTTTTCTTTTTCTTCTTTTTTTGTTATACTTTAAGTTCTGGGATACATGTGCAGAACGTGCAGGTTTGTTACATAGGTACACATGTGCCATGGTGGTTTGCTGTACCCAATAACCTTTTGTCTACGTTAGGTATTTCTCCTAATGCTTTTCCTCCATTTGCCCCCCACACCCCTACAGGCCCCAATGTGTGATGTTCTCCTCCCTGTGTCCATGTGTTGTCATTGTTCAACTCCTACTTATGAGTGAGAACATGCAGTGTTTGGTTTTCTGTTCCTGTGTTAATTTGCTGAGAATGATGGTTTCCAGCTTCATCCATGTCCCTGCAAAGGACAAAAACTCATCATTTTTGATGGCTGCATTGTATTCTATGGTGTGTACATGCCACATTTTTTTTATCCACTCTAACATTGATGGGCATTTGTGTTGGTTCCAAGTCTTTGGTATTATGAATAGTGCTGCAGTAAACGTATGTGTGCATGTGTCTTTATAGCAGAATGATTTATAATCTTTTGGGTATATACCCAGTAATGGGATTGCTTGGTCAAATGGTATTTCTAGTTCTAGATCCTGGAGGAATCACCACACCGTCTTCCACATGGTTGAACTAATTTACACTCCCACCAACAGTGTAAAAGTGTTCCTATTTCTCCACATCCTCTCCAGCATCTGTTGCTTCCTGACTTTTTAATAATCACCATTCTAATTGGCATGAGATGGTATTGCATTGTGGTTTTGATTTTTATTTCTCTGATGGCCAGTGATGATAAGCTTTTTTCATATGTTTGTCAGCCACATAAATGTCTTCCTTTGAAAAGTGTCTGTTCATATTCTTGCTCAATTTTTGATGGGGTTGTTTGTTTTTTTCTTGTAAATTTCTTTATGTTCCTTGTAAATTCTGAATATCAGCCCTTTGTCAGATGGACAGATTGTGAAAATTTTCTCCCATTCTGTAGGTTGCCAGTTCTTTCTGATGATAGTTTCTTTTGCTGTGTGGAAGCTCTTTAGTTTAATGAGATCCCGTTTGTCAGTTTTGGCTTCTGTTGCAATTGCCTTTGGTGTTTTAGTCATGAAGTCTTTGCCCATGCCTATGTCCTGAATGGTATTGCCTAGGTTTTCTTCTAGGGTTTTTATGGTTTTAGGTCTTACATTTAAATCTTTAATCCATCTTGAGTTAATTCTTGTTTAAGGTATAAGGAAGGGCTCCAGTTTCAGTTTTCTGTGTATGGCTAGCCAGTTTTCTCTTCACTATTTGTTAAATAGGGAATCCTTTCCCCATTGCTTGTTTTTGTCAGGTTTGTCAAAGATCAGATGGTTGTAGATGTGTGGCATTATTTCTGAGGCCTTTGTTCTGTTTCATTGGTCTATATCTCTGTTTTGGTACCAGTACCATGCTGTTTTGGTTACTGTAGCCTTGTAGTATAGTTTGAAGTCAGGTACCGTGATGCCTCCAGCTTTGTTCTTTTTGCTTAGGATTGTCTTGGCTATATGGGCTCTTTTTTGGTTCCATATGAAATTTAAAGTTTTTTTTTTTTTCTAATTCTCTGAAGAAAGTCAATGATAGCTTAGTGGGAATAACATTGAATCTATAAATTACTTTGAGCAGTATGGCCATTTTCACAATATTGATTCTTCCTATACGTGAACATGAAGCTTTCTCCATTTGTTGGTGTCCTCTCTTATTTCCTTGAACAGTGGTTTGTAGTTCTCCTTGAAGAGGTCCTTCACATCCCTTGTAAGTTGTATTCCTAGGTACGTTATTCATTTTGTAGCAATTGTGAAAGGGAGTTCACTCATGATTTGGTTCTCTAGTTGTCTGATATTTGTGTATAGGAATGCTTGTGATTTTTGCACATTGATTTTGTACCCCAAAACTTTGCTGAAGTTGCTTATCAGCTTAAGGAGATTTTGGGCTGAGATGATGGGGTTTTTGAAATATACAGTCATGTTGTCTGCAAACAGCGACAATTTGACTTCCTCTCTTCCTATTTGAATACACTTTTTTTCTTTCTCTTGCCTGATTGCCCTGGCCAAAACTTTCAATACTATGTTGAATAGGAGTGGTGGAGGAGGGCCTCCTTGTCTTGTGCCGGTTTTCAAAGGGAATGCTTCCAGCTTTTGCCCATTCAGTACAATATTAGCTGTGGGACTGTCATAAATAGCTCTTATTATTTTGAGATATGTTCCAACAATACCTAGTTTATTGAGTGTTTTTAGCATGAAGGCATGTTGAATTTTATTAAAGATCTTTTCTTCATCTATTGAGATAATCATATGGCTTTCGTCATTAGTTCTGTTAATGTGATGGATTACATTTATTGATTTGCCTATTTTGATCCAGCCTTGCATCCCAGGGATGAAGCCAACTTGATTATGGTGGATATGCTTTTTAATGGACTGCTGGATTTAGTTTGCCAGTATTTTATTGAAAATGTTCGCATCAATGTTCATCAGGGATGTTGGCCTGAAATTTTATTTTTTTTGTTGTGTCTCTGCCGGGTTTTGCTTTCAGGATTATGCTGGCCTCATAAAATGAGTTAAGGAGGAGTCCTTATTTTTCTATTGTTTGGAATAGTTTCAGAAGGACTGGTACCAGCTCCTCTTTGTACCTCTGGTAAAATTCAGCCATGAATTTGTCTAGTCTTGGGCTTTTTTTGGTTGATAGGCTATTAATTACTGCCTCAATTTCAGAACTTCTTATTGGTCTATTCAGAGATTTGACTTCTTCCTGGTTTAGTCTTGGGAGTGTGTATGTGTCCAGGAATTTATCCATTTCCTCTAGATTTTCTAGTTTATTTTCATAGAGGTGTTTATAGTGTATTCTATAATGGTAATTTGTATTTCTGTTGCAATCAGTGGTAATCTCCTGTTTATCATTTTTTATTGTGTCTATTTGATTCATCTCTCTTTTCTTCTTTATTGGTTTGGCTAGCTGGCTATCTACTTTGTTAATCTTTTCAAAAAACCAGCTCCTGGATTCACTGGTTTTTTGAAGGGTTTTCCGTGTCTCTATCTCCTTCAGTTCTGCTCTGATCTTAGTTATTTCTTGTCTTCTGCTAGTCTTAGAATTTGTTTGCTCTTGCTTTTCTAGTTCTTTTCATTGTGATGTTAGGTGTCAATTTTAGATCTTTCCTGCTTTCTCCTGTGGGCATTTGGGGGTATACATTTCCCTCTAAACACTGCTTTAGCTGTGTCCCAGAGATTCTGATATACGTTGTATCTTTGTTCTCATTGGTTTGTAAGAACTTCTTTATGTCTGCCTTCATTTCATCATGTACCCAGTAGTCATTCAGGGGCAGGTTGTTCAGTTTCCATGTAGTGTGGTTTTGAGTGAGTTTCTTAATCCTGAGTTCTAATTTGATTACACTGTGGTCTGAGATAGTGTTTGTTATGATTTCCATTCTTTTGCATTTGCTGAGGAGTGTTTTACTTCCAATTCTGTTGCCAATTTTAGAATAAGTGCTATGTGGGGCTGAGAAGAATGTATATTCTGTTGATTTGGGGTGGAGAGTTCTATAGATGTCTATTAAGTCTGCTTGGTCCAGAGCTGAGTTCAAGTCCTGAATATTCTTGTTAATTTTCTGTCTCGCACTAATACTGGCAGTGCGGTGTTAAAGTCTGTCACTCTTATTGTGTGGGAGTTTAAGTCTCTTTGGACGTCTCTAAGAACTTGCTCTATGAATCTGGGTGCTCCTGTATTGGATGCATATATATTTAGAATAGTTAGCTCTTCTTGTTGCATTGATTCCTTTACCATTATGCAATGCCCACCTTTGTCTTTTTTGACCTTTATCGGTTTAAAGTCTGTTTTATCAGAGACTAGCATTGCAACCTCTGCTTTTTTTTGGCTTTCCATTTGCATGGTAAATCTTCCTCCATCCCTTTATTTTGAGCCTACATGTGTCATTGCACATGAGATGGGTCTCCTGAATACAGCACACCAATGGGTCTTGACCCTTTATCCAATTTGCCACTCTGTGCCTTTTAATTGGGGCATTTATCCAGTTTATGTTTAAGGTTAATATTGTTATGTGTGACTTTGATCCTGTCATTATGATGCTAGATGGTTATTTTGCCCATTAGTTGGTGCATTTTTTTCATAGTGTCGAGGGTATTTGCAGTTTGGTTTGTTTTTGCAGTGGCTGGTACCGGTTTTTCCTTTCCATATTTTGTGCTTCCTTCAGGAGTTCTTGTAAGGCAGGCCTGGTGGTGACAAAATCCCTCAGCATTTGCTTGTCTGTAAAGGGTTTTGTTTTTTTTTTTCTCTTTCATTTATGAAGCTTAGTTTGGCTGGATATGAAATTCTGGGTTGAAAATTCTTTACTTTAAGAATGTTGAATATTGGCCTCCACTCTCTTCTGGCTTGTAGGGTTTTTGCAGAGAGAGCCATGTTAATCTGATGGGATTCCCTTTGTGGGTAACAAGACCTTTCTCTCTGACTGCCCTTGACACTTTTTCCTTCATTTCAACCTTGGTGAATCTTACAACTATATGTCTTGGGGTTGCTCTTCTTGAGGAGTATCTTTGTGGTGTTCTCTGTATTTCCAGAATTTGAATGTTGGTCAGTCTCGCTAGGTTGGTGAAGTTCTCCTTGATAATATCCTGAAGAGTGTTTTCCAACTTGGTTCTATTCTCCCTGTCACTTTCAGGTACACCAATCAAACGTAGGTTTGGTCTTTTCACATAGTCCCATATTTCTTGGAGTCTTTGTTCATTCCTTTTCATTCTTTTTTCTCTAATCTTGTTTTCAGACTTTATTTCATTAAGTTGATCTTCAATCTCTGATATCCTTTCTTCTGCTTGATCTACTTGGCTGATGATACTCATATATGCTTCACGAAGTTCTCATGCTGTGTTTTTCAGCTCCATTGGGTCATTTATGTTCTTCTCTAAACTGGTTATTCTAGTTTGCAATTCCTCTAACCTTTTGTCAAGGTTTTTAGCTTCCTTGCATTGGGTTAGAACATGCTCCTTTAGTTTGGAGGAGTTTGTTCTTACCCACCTTCTGAAGCCTACCTCTGTCAATTTATCAAACTCATTCTCTGTTCAGTTTTGTTCCCTTGCTTGCAAGGAGTTGTGATCCTTTGGAGGAGAAGAACCATTCTGGTTTTTGGAATTTTCAGCTTTTTTGTGTTGGTTTTTCCTCATCTTCGTGGATTTATCTACCTTTGGTCTTTGCTGCTGGTGACCTTCAGATGGAGTTTTTGCACGGTCATCCTTTTTGTTGATGTCGATGTTATTGCTTTCTGTCTGTTAGTTTTCCTTCTAACAGTCAGGCCCCACTTCTGCAGGTCTGCTGGAGTTTGCCTGGGGTCCACTCCAGACCCTGTTTGCCTGAGTATTACCAGCAGAGGTTGCAGAACAGTAAAGATTGCTGCCTGCTCCTTCCTCTGGAAGCTTCATCTCAGAAAGGCACCCACCAGATGCCAGCCAGAGCTCTCCTGTCTGAGGTGTCTGTTGACCCCTGCTGGGAGATGTCTCCCCATCAGGAGGCACAGGGGTCAGGGACCCACTTGAGGAGGCAGTCTGTCTCTTAGCAGAGCTGGAGCACTATGCTGGGAGATCTACTGCTCTCTTCAGAGCTGGCAGGCAGGAACATTTAAGTCTGCTGAAGCTGCACCCACAGCCACCCCTTCCCCCCGATGCTCTGTCCCATGGAGATTGGAGTTTTATCTTTAAGCCCTGACTTGGGCTGCTACCTTTCTTTAAGAGATGCCCTTCCCAGAGAGGAGGAATCTAGAGAGGCAGTCTGGCTACAGCAGCTTTGTGGTCCTGCGGTGGGCTCTGCCCAGTCGGAACTTTCTGGTGGCTTTGTTTACATTGTGAGGGGAAAACCACCTATGCAAGCCTCAGTAATGGTGATGCCCCTCCCCCACCAAGCTCGAGTGTCCCAGGTTGACTTCAGACTGCTGTGCTGGCAGCACGAATTTCAAGCCAGTGGATTTTAGCTTGTTTGGTTCCATGGGGGTGGGATCCACTGAGGAAGACCACTTGGCTCCCTGGCTTCAGCCCCCTTTCCAAGGGAGTGAATGGCTCTGCCTTGCTGGCATTCAATGTGCCACTAGGGTGTGAAAAATAAACTCCTGAAGCTAGCTCGGTGTCTGCCCAAATAGCCACCCAGTTCTGTGCTTGAAACCTAGGGCCCTGGTGGTGTAGGTACCTGAGGGAATCTTATGTCACTTAATGTAATGTCCTCCAGTTCTGTCCATGTTGCTGCAAATGACAAAATTTTATTCTTTTTTATGGTTGAATAATATTTCATCATGTGTGTAGACCACATTTTCTTTATCCATTCCTCCACTGATGAACACCTGTGGATTCCATACGTTGGCTACTGGGTACAGTGCTGCAGGAAACATGCGGGTGGAACTATCTCTTTGAGGTACTGATTTCCTTTCCTTTGGGTATCTACCCTGCAGTAAAATTGCTGGATCAGAAGGTAGTTCCATTTTTAGTCGTCTGAGGAACCTCCATACTGTTTTTGGTGGTGGCTGTACTTATTTACTTTCACACTACCCTGTAAAAGTGTTCCCTTATCTCTACATCCACTATTTTTTGTCTTTTTGATAAAAGCCATTTTAACTGGAGTGAGATGATATCACAATCTATAATTTTAAAAATAAATGTTTACCATTTCTCACTTGCCTTTAAAGGAAAAAATTCCAGGGATATCATGTTTACAAGTTATTTTTCCAGTAAGTACCATTAATGAGAAACTTGAATGCTTGAATCTTTTTTTTTTTGGTGTTCCAAACTGTGAATTTATTGCTTAACATTTTTCAGCTAATTTTGAACAAGTTGCAAATAATATTTACAGCACTTATTTATAAATTGTATACAATTTAACCATATTTTGTTCATTGTGATTATGAACCTGCATTAATTTACAGTTTCTAAAATCATGTATAGAATTATTTTAAATAAATTCTCCAAAGTATATTTAATCAGTTCTGAGTTAGGCTAGCTCCATGTGTTTTACTGAACCTAACTCACTGATGTGGATGAAAGTACATGATAATGGGAAAGAAAGAATAATGAAAAACAGAAAAACATGAGGCATGTTTTGGGAGCTACAAACAGTTCAGTTGATTTTTAAGACTAAATACCAATAGGTATCCCTAGAGGAACCTGGCCTTTAATGTGGGCTGCAGACAGATTGTAGAGTATTTTCTGCATTAGGTATGTGAGTTTATTCTCAATTATGGAAACACCGAAAGTTTTTATTGGCAGGACTTGTTCACTCATTCATTCAGTCAATAGCCATTTGTGGCCGGGTGCAGTGGCTCACACCTGTAATCCCAGCACTTTAGGAGGCTGAGGCAGGCGGATCACCTGAGGTCAGGAGTTCAAGACCAGCCTGGCCAACATGGTGAAAACCCATCTCTACTAAAAATACAAAAATTAGCCAAGCGTGGTGGCACACGCCTGTAGTCCCAGCTACTCGGGAGGCTGAGGCAGGAGAATCACTTGAACCCGAAAGATGGAGGTTGCAGTGAGCTGAGATCATGCCACTGCCCTCCAGCCTGGGTGACAGAGCAAGACTCTGTCTCAAAAAAAAAAAAAAAAAAAAAAAAAAAAAACACAAATAGCCGTGTGCTGAACATTTATCTTTTTTTGACATATAGGTACTTATTTATTTGACAAATAAAATTATATATCTTTTTATGTAAAACATGTTGTTTTGAAATATGTTTACATTGTGGAATGGCTAAATCAGGCTAAATAACATATGCATTGCTTCACATGCTAATCATATTTTGGGGGTAAGAATACTTAAAATCTAGTCTCTCAGCAGTTTTCAAGAATACAATGCCTTGTTACTAACCACAGCCACTATGCTGGGTTACGTTTCTCTTGAACTTACTGCTCCTGTCTAGCTGAAAGTTTGAATCCTTTGACCAATGTTGGCTGAGTAGCTCTTGAGTTATGAGCAACAGGGAGGAAGGGAAGAAAGTCATAGTTCCTGCTTGCATAAAATTCAGACACTAGAAGCAGAGACAGAAAGGTGAACACATCATGAACGCCCTTGTGCTCAGGGATACTAGAGAGACATAAATAGGAGCATTGGATGGTTGGGGATGAACTCGCCAGGGCTCATCTGGATACCATGTATTCTGTGCTTTCTGGGGGCAGCCCTGACCCACAGCTTCATGTGTATTAACTCACTCAGCCTGCAAAGGGCCCCATGACAGAGACACCTGCACTGCCCTTGTTTCATCAATGAGGAAATGAATGGTGCAGAGAGGTTGGGTGACTTGCCCAGGATCCCACAGCTGGTCAGCAGCTCAGATGGACTATGAACATACAATGCACACTGTAGACCCCAGAGCCTCACTGTCTCACTGTTTTTGTTCTGTTTTTCATTTGATAGTAGGTGATAGGTAACCTGCACACATTTCACTCATGTTCATATGGAAGCTTTCAACTCTTTTTCCGGTAGATTTTTAAAACATCCTATAGTTTCCAAGTTAAAAACTAAGAAATACTTAGTATACATCCTTCAAAGTGAAAATGGAAAGGTTCCCTTATCCCCCTCACAGGGTGTGTGATGGGGGTGTGGCTCTCTTCTTCAGCGTCCCACTGCTCAAACTTCTAGGGGAGCATATAGATGGGCCGACTGTGGGGCTCCAACCCCACAGCAGTCTCTAGGGGTGAATGTTTACAGCTCCTGAAGCCCCAGTGGGCGTGTGTTACAGGATGCTCTCTGAGTTTGCAGTCTATAGGCGGCTTGTGTTAAACAGCTCAATTAGACGCTCTACCTTGTCAGGAGGACAGAGGGCTTTCTGTATCCCGGGTTCTTGCCTTGGAGTGCTGGAAAAATTGGATCACACTTGGGCTTGGAGAATTCGTGCAAAGCTTTATTGAATGGAAGTAGCTATCTGCGGATGGGGGAGCCAGAAGGGAGATGGTTTTCCCCTGGGATTGGGCTGCTCAGTGGCAGCCCGGCTCTCCTCTGACCGCCCCGGCCAATCTCTGCCTTGTCCTGCGGATCCATGGCCGTCTGTCGGTGTGCCCTTCCCTCGACGTGCCCCCTTGATGTCCTCTCGCCGTCCAGTCGCTTGTGTCTCCTTCCGTTGATGTGCCTGCTCCTCTTGACGTCTCGCCGCCTGTGTGTCTGCTTTGCTGGGCTCTCGAGTTTTTATAGGCCCAGGGTGGGGGCTTGGAGGGCCAGGGTGGTCTTGGAAAATGCAACATTTGGGCGCGAAGGCAGAAGTGCCTGTCCTCACCTAGGTCCGTGGGGGTGGAGACTTAGCCAGGGACTATGCCCTCCTCTACCCAGCACTTCCCTTCCCCACTTCCATATCATTTAAAGGGACCACACTCTTCCCTTTCCAGCACTTCCATATCAAAAGTATAAAGGGTAAAAGGTAGAAATAATACAGAAGTTAATTAAAAAAAACTAAGAGCATACAAGTATCATGAGAAGCCCATGATAAATTGGTAAATGCATCCCAAAAATATACATTAACACATTAAGCATAATTAGACTAATTATTCCTGTTAAAGTCAAACATATTTTATTATATTCAGTAGGATAGCCTTTCAAGAAATACAGCTAAAATATAAGAATTAAAATAGAAGAAAAAAAGAATACATTCCAACTAATTTTAATCAGTTGATGATGCAACCTCTGAGGTTGACAGGTGCTGGTAAAGCTATTTGACTTTTTAATTTTTGATCATATATCCTAGAGCAGATGTCAACATCGATTCTTAAAAAATATTAATGAAAAAAATTATTATCAGAATGGGTGTCAACTTCTTCCCTTATCTTCAACAGTACTTTTCTTCTTATGCACAGTTTTGGAAAAATTGAAACTCAAAGCTATTGGGAAGAAAAATCATTTTTCAATGATTATCAACTATCTTATAATTTTATCTCTCTAAAAAAATCTGATTTTTTTTCCAGATTTTTACCTTACAGTAGAGGAAGGAGACATGTGGATCAGAAATTGGCCATAGTTCTTTTTAAAATGCCAATGTTTCTATTGCAGAAATGAATTTCAATGAAATTGGTCCAGAGAGTGGGTACTGAATCTGAGGACAATCACACTGCCCAAAAGTCCAAGGGTAAGGGAGAAGTTGTTGGGTTTACAAAGTGTCTATTCCCAAGCTATCCCACCTTCGCCTCATGACTAACCCACTAGGTATGGAATTTCATTACCTCCATGTGACAGAGGTGGAAAGAGAAATTTTGAAGGGTCAGGGCTGTGGGGCTCAGTAAGAAGCATGGAGACCAGAGACAGAGCTATGGAAAGGAGCCTTCCAAGAAAGACACCAGGTCATGGAACATGCTTGCGAGCTACATCAGCTCCCTGCATGCAGGCTGCAATGAAAATTTAACCACATATTAAAGAACTTCTGGTTGGAAAAACTCTTTCACTTTAAGATACCAATTAGATTTCATTTAAGATATCAATTACAAGAGTTTGAACATTCTTTTTTGCAAAACCACATGCAGCTGACCTGTACTGAATTACAGGTTTAAAGAGAGTTTCCAATCTCAGCCACTTTATAGAATATATATTCTTTTTTTTAGCCACAAATTGGACCTAGGCACAATATTTAGAGGCCATTATCTGTTTGAACAACTCCATAAATATAAACCTCCATAATAGAGTACCATATAATTGGCTTCAAGGGAAATAGTAGCTTTGGATAACTTTGGAATATGTTCTTTTTTAAATTGGTCTCTATTGTGAATATTTCCATTTACTCAGCCAAGTTTTTGTTCCATCTAGGATAGTTTTCTCAGAGGCCTGCCACCTGCATAAGCCTTTGTTAAGCAGATTCAGAATCCAAAGGTGCTAAACAATTTTGCAGGTATTTATTCTACAGGAGACATTGCTATACATATACATAGTTACCCTGGCTTCTGTCCTGTCTCATAAAAGTTTTGGTAATAAAAGTAATCTTTCTATAGTTGAGAATCGGCTATGTAGAACTTGGCATACAGTAACTTAGATTACTTATAAGTTCCTTAACTTTTAAAGGAAAACATGTATGTGGGTATCCCTTTGGCTGGGTTTGGTAAATTTATTTCAAGGGCTCCTTTGAGAACATTGTAGCAATTGTGCTTTCTGAGCCTGAGAAAGCCTTAATATTTAAAAGGGGGAAACATTTAAAAACATATGTTGAATACTGAATATTAAAGATCTTCACTAATGGAGACGTCTATATTCAGATAAAAAACAGCAGAGGTTTTGTTTCATTAAGTGGAAAGTTATCCTGTTTGAAATGTTTGTTAAAGCTGAGCTTGGGCTTCTGCTGGGGATCTGCAATACCCAAGGGTTACCCTTCATGTTCTATACTTGAGGGACATGTGCAGCAGAGACACAGGAATATCCTGAAGATTATCATCACAACTGTGGATATCTGGTCACTGGGAGGGGACAGGAGCACCTCAGTTACTTCCCTTAGAAGAATGCTCATGTCCAAGGAATCAGTGTGGTGGGATGGCCGATGTTATGGGTTGAATTGTGTCTCTCCAAAATTCATATGTTGAAGTCCCGTCCCCAGGACCTTAGAGTGTGACCTTATTTGGAAATACAGTCATTGAAGATGACATTAGTTAAGATGAGGTCATTAAGGTGGATTCTAATCCAGTATGACTAGTTCCCTTATTAAAAGGAGATATTTTTGGCTGGGCGCAGTGGCTCATGCCTATAATCCCAGTGACTTGGGAGACTGAGACAGGAGGATTTCTTGAGACCAGGAGTTCAAGACCAGCCTGAGAAATACAGTATGACCTTGCCTCTCAAAAAATAATAATAATTAGCTGAGCATGGTGGTGCGCACCTGTAGTCCCAGCTACTCAGGGGCTGAGGTGAGAGGACCAATTGAGCCCAAGAGTTCAAGGCTGCAGTGAGCTAATGAACTAGGATCATGCCCTTGCACTCCAGCCTGGATGACGAGTGAGACTCCATTTCTAAAAAGAAAGAAAGGGGGAAATTTGTACATAAAGACAGACAAATCCACAGGGAGAACACCATGAGAACATGAAGGCAGAGATGCGGTGATCCTTCTATGAGTCAGAGAACAGCAAAGATCTCCAGGAAACCAGCAGAAGCTGGGAGAGAGGCAGGGACCAGTGTCTCCCTCACAGCCTCAGGAGGAACCAAACCTGGCATCGTCTTTAGCTTGGACTCTGGCCTCCGGAACTGAACTGGGAGACAATGAATATCTGTTGTTTACACCACCCAGTCGTGGGTGGCTTGTTAAGGCAGCACCAAGAAACGAATACATCACATCCCTGTGGAACTCTTAGGCTTACTGGAAAAACAGATGTACCTCTTATTAGCCCCCTCTAACTATACAGAACCAGAGATTCTGGCTCCTTTTCAAAGCTAAATACCCTTAGCTTGAATTGGTTTGAACAAAGGCTGGGTGATCTCAGAGAACAATGGGATATTTTCTGGGAGATGGAGAAGGACCAGCTCTGGCTATGCTGCTGCTCTGGGATCACAGGATTCACATAGCCGGCTCTGGACGACCTCAGTTGTCATTGTGTCTTTTTTCTTTTTAAAAATTTCTTTCTTCTATTCCATCCCAGGCTTTTACAAGCATCTGTCATGAGTCCCAGCAATGTTCTTTGTATTTATCTTCCTAACTTTCTTTTGGAGAGGTGAATTGCTGTTCTTGCAAAGAACGGAAAGCAGCACATGTGGGAGGATTTTCTGTCCTTAGTATTTGTGTCTCCCATCTCTTTCTCAGCTGTACCTTCCCCCTCAGGACCCGTGCACAGAGCTGCCCATTGGTCTTAGTCAAGTTTATTCAGGTTGAAGTTGTAGATGTTTGTCACTCCAGTGGGGTCATGGGCAGAGAAGACCAGGTCACAAATGTGTGTGACTTAGCACTAAGTCATGGGCTGGTCCAGGGACAAGATGGGCAGCCTGGGAGCTCCTGGGAACAGGTGGTAGATGACTCAGGGGCAACAGAGACATGCACTGGGCAATGCAGAGATGGGTCTCAGTGCAAAAGTGAAGGCAGGGAGAATGTCCCTAATGTTCAAAGTTTTCAGACAGTAGCCCAGATAGAAAGTTGGGGAAAGATAGACCACAGGAAAGTAAGTCTATGGGCCCCTTCTCTGATCACTGGAAAGCGAACACCATGAGTCCAGTGCAGCTTCCTCACAGAAGAGTGGAATGGGAGAGAAGAGGCGGCGGTGGAGGCAACATGGTAGCAGGGTGGTGGCCGCGGTTTGTGCGCATGGGACAGCTGCAGAGTGGACACGTCGGGTGGAGTGTAGAATTCTGGTACAGTCAGGAAAAAGATCAGAGAAGGGTCTTATTTTTGTCTCATTTTAAAAATAAATCCAAAGAGACTTTATTGTTATATAAATATAAAATATCATCTCATAGTACTCCTTTTAACTATTACAGATTTCCTATATATACACACTTATAAATTATGTTTGAAATTACTAAGAATTTTGTACATCAGCTAGTGCTAATAAAAAATACTACACAAATTGCAGAATAAACATTATATTGCTTTTGTAGTTTTTCAACCTGTGAAACAAGACTTATATCTGTGCATCGTGATAAACACATTTTTTAATGTTAATAACATTAAATGTTCTTAGATCCTTCACCTCCAAGAATTACAGGGATAATGACTTGCTATGGATTTTTGGACCTCAAAGATACTAGGGATTACAGGAAAAAAAATGTTGGCTACTGAATAGAGGGATAGATATATTGTAAAGTATTAGGGAAGGCGGAAGACAGGCAGTGGCCTGTGATGAGGCAAAACCCCAGGCCAGGCAGTTAGGTCATAAAGGATGATCACGACACGCTGTAAGGCCTGAGGCAGAGTCAGTGAGCATGGACCCTGGGTGGCTGAAATCGCCCAACTCAGAGCACAGCTGTTCCAACACCAGCCAGGCCCTGTCTCCAGGTGCAAGAGCTTGGCTGACCCAAATAGGTCCTTAAGCTTCACCTTCTCCCTTCCCTTCCAGAGATTCCGCCATCCGTCCAGCCCTTCCTTAACTGATTCATTCCTTTCCCTATTGTCTCTTTGTGTAATTTACTTCTTCCTTGACCTAAGGCTAAAGATACTAAATCAGCCCAATTTGTTCCCAGTTCAGGCCACTCATTTCAGTCACCTGAAGAACAGAATGAGAGAGAGAGCAAGAAATAACTCATTCTCACACCATGCCCCAGACCAAAACACCAGGATCTCTGTTGAGAACCACGGAGCGAAACCCTCTTATTTGATCACCAGCATGGCACATGTATACATATGTAACTAACCTGCACAATGTGCACATGTACCCTAAAACTTAGAGTATAATAAAAAAAAAAATGAAAATCATTCACTATTTACAAAGTTCAGGGTCGTCATAAAGGAATTGCTGCCCTCAATAATTGAAAACACAGACACCTATTAATTTATTCCTGGAAAGTCCTAACCCACGGAACTCAAGTTGCCTCGTAAACCCTGTGGAGACATTATCTTTTGAGACCAAAGCTGTATCTTCCTCAATTATTTATCTCCACCTGCCTGAAACCTAGTAGAGATGCAACAGTTACTTTTAAATGTACAAATGAGTGAACATACCAAAGGAATATTTTGTAAAACACGTTGTGGGCCATCAGCAGTGCCCCTTCCATCATGGGGGAAAGCAGGTGAAACCCTCCTGCTCTGCCAGGTGTCCAGCAGGTGAGAGGGCGTGGGCAGGACACACTGACCCATTCCATCCCACCGGTGCTCAGGGCGGAGGTGATTTTCGGGATCAGAATGTGCCACTATTGCAAAAAGTAACTGTTATCCTAGGCATAAAGAGTCAACACTCCATTTTGCAAACCTGATTTCTTAATTTTTATTATTATTATTTTTTTGAGACGGGGTCTCGCTCCGTCACCCAGGCTGGAGTGCAGTGGCGTGATCTCGACTCACTGCAATCTCCGCCTCCCAGGTTCACGCCATTCTGGTGCCTCAGCCTCCTGAGTAGCTGGGACTACAGGCGCCCGCCACCACGCCTGGCTAATTTTTTGTGTTTTTAGTAGAGACGGGGTTTCACCGTGTTAGCCAGGATGGTCTCGATCTCCTGACCTTGTGATCTGCCCGCCTCGGCCTCCCAAAGTGCTGGGATTACAGGCATGAGCCACCGCACCCGGCCACAAACCCTGATTTCAAGAGGGGCAGATGAGAATGTGGTTAGCTCAAGATTTATAAAAACTGCAGGAATGGGGCTTGGGGAAGGAGAGCAGACCAAGGCACAGACGGCCAGGGGGACAAAGTGCCCCAGGGGAGGTTGCTACGTCTTTCTTTTCGAAAAACAGAAACAAAAGAAAAGAAGGACGCACATGCTCTCAGGTGAGTAAGGACAGTGGATTCGTTTTCTATGGCTGTTCTCACAAATTCCCACCAACTTAGTGGCTTAAAAAATATAAATTTACTGGCCAGGCACAGTGGCTTATGCCTGTAATCCCAGCACTTTGGGAGGCAGAGGCAGGTGAATCACTTGCAGTCAGGAGTTCAAGACCAGCCTGACTAGCATAGTGAAACCCTGTCTCTACTGAAAATACAAAAATGAGCCGGGCGTGGTGGCAGAAGCCTGTAATCCCAGCCACTCAGGAGGCTGAGGCAGGAGAATCGCTTGAACCTGGGAGATGGAAGTTGCAGTGAACTGAGACTGAACCACTGCACTCCAGTCTGGGGGACAGAGCAAGAGTCTGTATCAAATAATAATAATAATAAATAATAAATAAAATAAATTTACTGCATTACAGTTCTGGAGGTTGGAAGCCTGGCATGGGTTTCACAGAGCTAAAATAAAGATTCCTTAATTTGGACAAAGACTTTTGTAAGGACAGTGAACACAATTTTCTTTCTCTCCATCAGACCTTATGTTGGGCAGCCTGCTCAGATTTTCCCTCCTTCCTGGCAGTGGAAGCTTTTGTTCTCAACTAGTATCTCTTGCTCTACCAACTACCAACTTCTCTCAGATGTGTGGGCTTATTCAAAGAGAGGCATGTCGTTTGCATGTTTAGAGCTGGGTAATCATCTTTCAGAAATCATGCTAACACAGCGAAAGAAGACTATGTCAAAAATAGCCGAAAGTTCTGTGTGGATTAGAGTCAATTTCTTTCTGTGGGAATATCAAAGAAACCAACTGACATTTTGTCACTCATTCAGTTTCAAAATATAGCCCCGTTTGGGGTATCTTGTATGACAAGCAGTGTTTCAAATGACAGTGGATATGATCTGACTTGGTACATTTTTGGCATGAGAACGTTATCAGCATCACTGCTGGAAAAAGCACAACCCTGCTATTTGCTAACAAAATAAGGTAATGCATCAGGAAGAGGTGACCTATTTACCTCCAAAACTCTGCTCCTGTTACAGGGTCTGCTGCCTCATGGACTGGCTGTGCAGTGTGGAAAATCATCTGTCCTGCCTCTTAACCAACTTGATAATGAAGACTCGGTAAAAATAGGACAGTCAATTTTAAAAGGCAGCATGAGTCACGCGTGTGAGGCTGCACAGTCGCAGAAGGTGGTTTGTATGGAACCAAATTCACTTTCAGAAACAGTCTCCCAGTGCAGAAGCACCTCCTCTCCTCACCCCTGCCAGTGTTCACTGTCTTACAGGCATCTTTTCTTCACCAGTTCATCGTTTTCAAAAGAAGTTTAAAAAGAGACTTGGAATAAACCAAAATCAAACAAACACAGCAAACACCTCACTTACACTGCAGTTAAATGACTGGAAAGTTACCTGCCTTCCTTGAGGTGGGAAGGTTGCCCCATGGAGGCTCACAGTGGTCCTTCAGAGCCCCAGAGACACTCACATCGGTGAGAAAATGCAGTTGGGCTGGCAACATATTTCACACTTTCATGTTTCAATGCCTTAGGCTGGTCTTCTGAACTTCCCAGGAAAAGATAAAATGCTGTAAGTTCCCAGGAAGGTGCGTGAGCCACCCTTTGGCTTAGGGGGCTTTGCAGCCTCTCCTTTAATTCAAGTAGAAAACTCTCCTTCTGCATGCTTATTCACAGTAGAAGGCAAATGTGCACATGCACACACATGCGCCAAATAGACACACATACACATACATACCACATGCACACACACTAAACACACAGACACATCACACACAGACACACATCCTACACACACAAATACACGCCACACACATCCTATACACACAGAAACACACCACACACGCCCCACATAGACACATACACACCACACACACTCCATACACACAGACACACACCACACACCCCATACACACAGACACACACACCATATACACACCACATAGGCACATACACACTACACAGATACACATATACAACACCTGCCCGTACACTAACATATCACAGACACATCACACACCACATGCACACACACTGCACACACAGACCCCACACACAGACACACACCCTATACACACACACACCATATAAACCCCACATAGACACAGACACACATATACAACACCTGCTCATACACGAACACATCATAAACAGACATATCACACACCACAAAAACCATGCCACATAGACACAGAGCACAACATACAGACATCACAGATACCACATACACAGCACACACACACTTCACACACACACGTCACACACCACACCACATGCACACACACACTTCACACACACACATCACACACGACACCACATGCACACACACAGACACATGCCACGTACACACATACCACACACATACAGACATCACAGATACCACATACACAGCACACACACACTTCACACACACACACATCACAAACATACTTCACACACTACGAGACACTGAGTCACACATACACACACCGCATGCACATACACACCCTACAAACACACCACACACTACACATTCACACACCGCCACCACACCCTTACACCACACACACACAAACACATACACGTAACACATATACCGAACACATGCCACACACATTCACACACCACGTACACATATACACACAGATTGTTTTTTGAAGAATGCAAAGAGTAAATAGTGATTAAAGACCATTTAAACCTGAGATCCAAATTTGAAAATAGCTTAATTTCTCCTAAGTTGACTTTTTAGAATTACACTATTTCACATTCCTATAGTGACTTACTTAGGATGAGTTTTACTTACCAAGAATTCTTACAAATTACAAGGAAGAAAAATGTAAAAACTGTAATTTTGATCACGAACGTATCTTATCTTTTCTACGCAAGGCATACATTATACAGAAAATAATGACATCGACTCAGTATCTTTTCCTCTGCTGACCTTAAAGGATAAATGTCTTTTACAATGGCATATTTTCCCCTATGAGATTGTAAATATGTCTTAGTGCATATGAATGCTGCTTCTGCTTTCTGTGTTATAAAAATATTACAAGGCACTCTCCATTCCTCTGGAATTCAGAAATTTTCACAGAGTCTTCACTAAGTAGGGACAAAAGAATGCAGGCTTTGGAGAAGTGATCATGGAGATGCTATCCTGACAGGGAGAGCTGAAGAAGCCCATTGAGCTGCAGGTTCACAAGTTCAATTATTTTCAGAGATGATAGCAACTCTGTAAACACAGGCCACAGATGTGTCACTAGCCATTGTTCAGAAGGCCAAGAATATTAGAAAGAATCTTACAGGAAAGAGAAGTTGTCTTTCTTTACACTTCACCTGGTGTGAGTATCACCTTGGGCCAGATAACCATAAGGAAGATGGCTTTAAGACAATCAAACACAGCTGCTATGGAAAACGGTATGGAGGTTTCTCAAAAAATTGAGAAGAGAGCTACATATAACCCAGCAATTCCATGCTGGGTGTATATTCAAAGGAAGTGAAATCAGTGTTGCAGAAAGATACCTGTACTCCCATGCTCATTGCATTATTCACTATAGCCAAGATGTGGAATCAACCCAAATGTCCATCAACAGAAGAATGAGCAAACAAAACGTGGTATACACAAATAATAGTTCAATATTTTTCAACCTTAAAAGAGAAGGAAATACTGCCATTCATGACAATATGGATGCATCTGAAAAACATTACATTAAGTAAAATAAACTAGTCACAGAAGGATCAATGCTATGTGACTCTGCTTATACGAGGTATCTTCAATAGTCAAACTCATAGAAACAAATCCATCACTGAGTACCAGAGGCTTGAGGGAGGGGGACATTGTTGTTCAATTGGTGTAAAGTTCAGTCATTCAAGACAAATAAATTCTAGAGAGCTGCTACTTACGGGTCCCTACAGTTGTGTTAGTCTGTTCTCGCACTGCTATAAAGAAATAGCTGAGACTGGGTAATTTATAAAGAAGAGAGGTTTAATAGGCTCACTGTTCCACAGGCTGTACAGGAAGCATGTCTGGAGGCTTAAAACAACCACATCTTGTGAAAACTCACTCACTATTGTGGCCAAGGAGGATGGTGCTCAACCATTCATGAGAACTCCACTCCCATGACCCAGTCGCCTCCCACTAGGCCCCACCTTCAACACTGGGGATTACAATTTGACATGAAATTTGATGCAAACACAGTTCTGAACCATATCAGTAGTTAACAATACTGTACTGTGCACTGAAAAATGCATGAAAAACATAGCTCTCATGTTGAATGTTCTTACCATAAAAAGAAAAAAGGACACAAGAAATTCTTTGGAAGTAACAGACATGTCTATTACCTTGATTGTGGTAATGGTTTCACAGGTGCAGGTGGATGTCCAAACTCATTAAATTTTATTCATTAAATATGTGCAATTTTTTGTATATCACTTATACCTCAATAAAACTGTTTTTAAAAAGCATATGCCTCTATTTAAAAACCCATTTCACATTTTCCTTCTAAGAAAACAAAAACACAATTGAACACATTATATATTCTGAAACCAGCTGCTTGAGGGATAGTGGCATAGCATTGCAAATAAGATCTATCTCTTTCAGCTCTGGGGAAAAAGAAAATTATTCTATAGTTCATTCAAGGCCAGGGCCTCTTTTTCCTCCTGGGAACCCAGAATAGAAGCAATATGGAATCATTCGATGCTGGCATTCAGAGAAAGGGTGTGAGGTGGATTTGTGCTGTCCCCAGGCTTCTGCAGTAGGATGTACAGCACGTGTGCTGGAAGGGGCTGGAGAGGGCATGGGAAGCATGATGCTGTTCCCTGCCATCAACACTTGTTAAAATCCTTTATAATCCATCTGTCAATCAATCAGAAAAAGTCAAAAGTCACAAACTAGATTTACAAGTCTCTTTAAGGTACATACAACTCTATCCTATCTCCTGAGAATTCTACAACTTGTGTGGTGTCTTCAGGGAAGAGGACTCCAAATTTTACCAGAAACTGCTAGTAAAATTTGAAAGTGGACATTCCCAAGTTGCATGTGGTTTTGGAAAGGACTCATCAGAATTTTTGTTCTCTGCTATCTATTTTGTTCCACAGTGGCCAATTTTTATGCTTGGGGCAGAGGACCTGCTGCACAGTTGAAAATCAACAGCAGGAATCAGAACAGAGAGAATGCAGCCTCCCAGGCCCTGGGCCAGCACCATCAAGCTTCTCCTCTTCTGCAAGCATGTGTCCCCAGCATCATCGCTTCCTTCCAACCACTAAATCTCCAAATTTTGAGAGAAATCTAAAGGACTAGTCACAGATTCCAATTGGCCAAGAGTTGTCCAGTGCCTGGGATGATTTTGTACAGGGAGTGCATAGAACATTGGCTCTGGTGGGCTTTTTTGCCTGATGGCCTCTCATTTTCTGTTGCCATTCAGTACAGATGCAAGTGGATATTTTCAACTTACCCATGTGGATGACAAACTGTTAAATGATTATTTTTGGAAACACTTAATTTCCCTTCAAATTCCCCTACTGGATATTGTTGCCTTTGCCTTTAGCAGATAAAAAAGTCTTTACTTCACAGCCATGATGGGAGCAGAAATTGAAGGCAGAAAATTCTTCTGTTGTCTGTCATTAAGTTCCTAGACTCCTTTTTCATGGCTGCCCCTGGTAACAAAGGAATGTCCTTTATCTTTTGTATTAGTCAATTCAGGCTGCCATAACTAAATGCCACAGAGTGAGTGGATTAAACAACCAACATTTATTTTCAACAGCTCTAAAGGCTGGAAGTCTGAGGTCAGGGTTCCCATATGGCAGGGTTCTGATGGCTTGCAGATAGCTGCCTTCTCACTGTGTCCTCACATGGCAGAGCCAGGAAGCAGGCTCTCTGGTGTCTCATCTTATAAGGGCACTAATCCCCTAATGAGGGCCCCACCCTCATGACCTCATCTAAACCTAATTACGTCCCCAAAACCCTGCTATGAACTGAATTCCTGCCCTCAACTTTGTATGTTGAAATCCTAACCCCCAATGTAATGGCATTTGGAAATGGGACCTTTAGAAGGTAGTTAGGACAAAAGGGTAGAGTCCTCATGAATGGGATCAATGCCCTTAGAATAAGAGGCATCGGAGAGCTTGCCCCTTTCTTTCTTTTCTTGGAAGACAGCCATCTGCAAACCAGGAAGTTGGCCCACACCAGACACCAGCCACTCGATCTTGAACTTGTCAGCCTCCAGAACTGTGAGAAATAAATGTTGTTGTTGTTTAAACCATCCAGTCTATGACATTTGTTAGAGCAGACCAAAGTGACTAGGATAGACCCCATATCCAAATATCATCACACTAAACATTAGGGCTTCAACATATGAATTCTTGAGAGGACAAGTATTAGTCAGTTCTTGCATTGCTATAAAGAAACACCTGAGACTGGGTAATTTATAAATAAAAGTTTAACTGGCTCATGGTTCCACAGGCTGTATAGGAAGCATGTGCTGGCATCTGCTTGGCTTCTGGAGAAGCCTCAGGAATCTTCCAATTATAGCAGAAGGTGAAGGAGGAAGGAGGCATCTTACAAGGCAGGAGTGACAAGAGCAAGAGGAGGGGAGGTGCCACACACTTTTAAACAACCAGATCTCATGGGAACCCACTCACTCTCATGAGGACAGTACCAAGAGGGATGACGCTAAACCATTCAAGAAAGCAAGAAAGCTCTGCCCCCACGATCCAGTTACCTCCCACCAGGCCCCATCTCCAGCATTAGAGATTGCAATTTGACATGAGACTCAGGGGAACATATATTCAAACCACATCAGTACACAATTCAGTTCATAGCATCTTCCTACCTGGAAAAATTGCCGTTTCTATTTATTGAGTTTAAGACCACCGAAGATCATCTTTCTTTTGTAACTATTACCACTCCAGCCAGTGAGAAATGAGCTTTAAATACAGGAGAACATGACACCAACCTCTTTATTAGGACTTCCCTGGAGCATTCAGGGGCCTCCATCTTGCCAATGCCCCTGGCTTTCTCATGAATTTATTTTCATTATTGATCCATGATATGTATAGAATTAAAAGTAGACTTGCTCCAATAAAAGGGCTTGTCTGTAAAATGGTATGATTTATCTCAGTATAAGGACACAAGAGTGAGGAAATTAGGAAAACAAAATAAATTTTATCATTTGCTATTTAATAAGATTGAAGAATCCTAGTGTGTATAAGTGAATGTTTTGAATGGAGTTCCAAACTCTACTACCAGATAGTGTTATAGTTAGGCTTTGTGTCCCTACCCAAATCTCATCTTGAGTTGTAATCCCCAGAGTTGAGGGAGCGTCTTGGTGGGAAGTGATTGGCTCATGGGGGTAGTTTCTCTCATGCTGTTCTCCTCATAGTGAATTTTCACAAGATCTGATGGTTTTATAAGCGTTTGACAGTTCCTCCTTCACATGCTCACACTCTCTCTCCTACTGCCACGTAAGAAGTGCCTGCTTCCCTTTCCACCATAATTGTAAGTTTCCTGAGGCCTCCCCAGCCATGTGGAACTGTGAGTCAATTAAACCTCTTTCCTTTATATATTGCTCAGTCTTGGGTATTTCTTTATAGCAGTGTGAGAAGGAACTAATACAGATGGTTACCAAACCCAGACAATTACTTCAAATGTAACTGACTGAAAACTGCTCAGAGGATGCTTAAGCCCAAACCATGAGTAATTTTTTAAGGACTGGTGTGGGAGGTGGGTAACCAAGGGGGAGTTTAAAAGGATAAGCTGTCTCCAAGTGGAAAGAGTGGGCACGCTCCCACTCTCACCTCCATCAGGAGAGGTCTGTTGTGAAGAATCCCTGTGGAGAGGCTGAGACGTACCTCTGCAGGAAAGGGGCCAGTGAACTGGGGCAAAACTCCAAGGGCAGAGTTGGGCCAGCCACATCACCAGGGAGGGTCAGAGCAAAGGATGCTCAAGAGATTCCCAAGAAGCAGCCAAGAGTCTGTAGGGAGAAAAAGGCTTGGGATTGTCTTGGCTACCTATAGCAGAGAACAGGCTCATCAGGGAGTCACCGAGAACATCACCACATTCCCATATCCCCAGGATGCAGACAGAGGATGGAGGAGAGCGCTCCACCCACAGCAAGAGGGCCCAGCTGAAAGGCACCTGGTAATAGAAGGGTGGGTGGGACTGGGTTGCTGGTGTGGGTCCCACAAAACCCACAGAAAGATCAAAAATAAAAGTCAGCTAGAAATACCATTTAGATTGAGAACTAAAGCCAAGGTAAGAAATTGTGAGTTGAACCCATTTAAGGAAGAAGTTGACCCTGGAGGTCTAGATGAAGAAATTGGGAGGCTGAGGAAGGACAGTGGAAACTTAGGGCTTGGCCTTCTGTTTCCCACCTGTATGAGGCCCCAGCTGGGGCACAAGCATTTTAGCCTTACATCACATTCAAAATTTTGGACATTATATGTCCAAAGCCCCTAATGGGATTTGAAAGAAAGGAAGCATTTTCCTTTGCTGGATGGAGACTGGACCCCTAGCACAGCCCAGGGACTGCTGTCCAGGTGTACATCTCAGGGAGGCCCTGGGAGGCCTGGCTGGGCTCGGGTCCTGTGTCTCACATGAACCTGCACCATGGCAGCTCCCTTGGGCTGAGTATCATCATCCCCAAGCAGCTGGACCCAGAACACCCGGGTTGGGCTAGGCCAGGAGAGACCTGGGTCCAGGGATGCCCCCTTCCCGGAGCTCCCCCTGAAGCAGGAGGATGTATGTGGGAAGGGCAGGGCAAGACCAGAGCCCCAAGATGCCTGGGTCCCTCCCCATGAAGAGCAAAGAAGGAGGCTGACTGCCGAGCCTTAAGAACCTAGTGAACTCCCTGGTATTTAATATCTTCAGTTTTTAGAGGGAAGTAAGGCAGAGGTTTAGTTACTGAGATATCTGATATCCCTATCTCTCCACAGGCCTCATTATGTGGGTGCCCAGCTTTTCAGGAAGATTGAAAACATAATTATACCACCTTTATTGAAATTATAAGCTACATTTATGAGGTATCTAAATGTTCATCATAAACAAGTCATTAGTTGACCCAAATGTTTTCCAGAGTCTGCTATAGTACAATCAGCAACTGGCTCTTATATATATTTTTCATTTAGGCTTTTTAATTTTTATATGAAATATTTAAATATGGATATGTGTTTATTTGTGTGCATGTAAAATAAATAGACATTGAAGGAGGAGAGAGAAAACAGTCTTGTCTTACCCTTCTCTTAAATTCATTCTTCTGTTTGGTTTCTATCTGTCAGAGGGGGTATTCTACTCTTAGTGCGTAAGGGGAAGAGGGAAATGCCTTTTGCATTTATTATTTCGTTTCATTTCATCTTTATTTTATTTGTGAAGGAATCATAGGAAAAATACGAAAAGTTAAGACAACAGAGGCAATGGTCTGACATCCATCAGTTGTTCCACATCTAAAACGGGATGGGGATAAAGCAAGTTAGCAGCACGTTAAAGGAGGTGAACATCCAGGCATCAACAACCTGTCTTCTCAAGAGATTGTGGATTGTGGATTCTGGACATTAGGAAGGCTGCTTAGGACACACAGCGTGCCACAGTTCTTCAAGGGACTCCCATCCCCAATCCCACCCCCTGCCCCACCACTCTGGCTCTGTCCTCAAGCTAACGCAGCCGCAGTTGCCCCAGATGACACTTTCAGGTTCCTGGTGCTGCCCAAGACAAGCACTGACAATCTGGCTACTTAGGTCTGTGAGAAGTTTTCCCTTAGAAGCGAAGTGAACAAAATTCCCAATAGCATCCCTATGGCAAATAAAATGGTGAGTTTCACTGGAATGAGTTTTTCTTAACACAGTCTTCAGTGAGTGCCAAAATACAGCTCTCTGGAAGCCAATCTGTGAGCATGAAAAGTAATGTTAAATAAATATACAGCTCTGCAATGCTGGGTTTAAATAAAGATACATTTCAGTGCATGGAAAAAGTAATTAGGTGCACTGCATATCTGTTACAGCCTCTTTCTTCATATCAAAGAGGGAAGTCTGAGCATCACATTCAAAGTTGAAAAGTTAGAATAGGTCAGGCCAGCTTGTGTGTGTTTAGCTCTTCTTATAGGTGTGCAGTGGTATCTCATTATGGGTTTAATTTGTGTTTCCTTCATGACTAATGATGTTGAACATCTTTTCACCTGTTTATTGGTCATCTTTTAATCATTTTTTTTTTGAGACAAGGTCTTGCTCTGTCGCCCAGGCTGGAGTGCAGTGACACAGCAGCCTCGGCCTCCTCCTGTGCTCAAGCAATCCTCCCACCTCAGCCTCCAGAGTAGCTGGGTCCAGAGGTGTATGCTGCGTGCTCAGATAATATTTTTGGTAGAAATAGAGTCTCCGCATATTATCCAGATTGGTCTTGAACTCCTGGGCTCAAGAATCCCTGCACCTCAGCCTCCCGAAGTGCTGGGATTATAGGCAGGAGCCACTGCACCTGTCCATATATCATCTTGAGTGAAGTGTCTGTTCACATGTTTTGCTCACTGTCTAATTGGGTTGTTTTCTTATTGTTGAGTTTTGAGAGTTCTTTGTATATTCTGGATACAAGTCCTTTGTCAGATATGTGACTTCAAATATTTGCTCCTGGTCCATGGCTTATCTTTTTATTTCTTACACAACTTAAATTATTTTAAAATTTTAAATGTGAGGTGTAACACACATATAAAAAAATTACACAATGCATAATTGTGCAGCTTAGTGAATTATTGCAAAGTGTTCACACCCATGTCCCATCACCCAGGTTAAGAATAGAATAATTCTGGCACAACAGTTGTTCCCCTCATGATCTTCACTGAGTAGTTTCTTCTCTCTCTCTCCTTTAGGTAACTCCTGTTCTGTTTTCAGAGATTATAGACTAATTTTGCCTCTTAAAACTTTATGTAAGTGGTTTGTGCCCGTCTTGTGTCTGAGATCTGGCTGGTGTTTTGTGTACAGAAATGATAGAAACCAGTTCCAGCTTGACTCACAATAATTCCCTTGTACCTTTCTACTCACTCACTTCCCTCCTCTGCTCCCAGGTTGCAGAGGACCCAACAGAGGACTTAGAGGCTGTAGGGAGCAGTGTGGGACCCTAAATCACATTGAGGGCAATCACAACTGAACACTTGCACATGAGAAGTGACTGCTTTTGTGTTAAACTCCTGAGAACTTGGAGTTGCTCATCACAGCATTGAGGCTCTGCTCATAAGACAAACATGCTGTGTTGCAATATCATATTATAGGAGGATTTATGATATTTACAAATTTTTAGTATTTCCTATTGACTTTTCAAAGTAAAAGCATTATATATTTTCTATATTTGTCATCTAATATTCATCAATTTTATTTTCAAATGAGGAGGTTCTCAAAACTGTAAATCAAATAGGAACCAAAAAAATTCCCAAAATTTAAAATGGAAATTGTGACTACTGAGGTAGCTGAAGATGAAGCACTGTTTCAAGCTCTAGGAGCAACTACCGTCTCCAGCCATTGAGCACGTCACGTTTCATGCTCCACCTCAAATCCCTTGGCCTGCTCTTTCCTTCTGGTCATTGCTGTACCTAGTGGTCTGGCAGCAACTTATCTCCTTTCTACAGAGTATCTCTTGTCTCCTGCCCTGAGTTTCTCCCGCCACTAGAAAAGCCAGCCTACAATGGGATGAGACACATTGTAAAACCAAGAAGGGCACCCAGCTCAGGCCACTTTAGACAGTCCAGATCCCAGCTGACCCAGCAACTGATCACCCAAGCATGAGCGTGCCCCGAACAAATAAAAAGAATCCCTCAAATAAACTTAGCCAAAATTAGGAATCCACAAAACCAAAGGCTAAATAAGTAGTTCTTTTAAGCCACTACATTTTGGATTGGCTTCCTGTGCAGGAAAAAGCGTCACACAGTTGCATTTTTTTCAATCCCCATGAGTAAAGGGGATGAAAATTCATTCTCATTTAAGATGAGCAGTTCCAGCCATACATAATCACTCACTTACCTTAGACAAGTTTAATGACCCCATCTTTCATCCATCTTCTCTGTAGAAATACAGAGCATGACCTTGATGGCCTTGATCTTGTACAGAAAGTCATGTTGAGCCACTGGACTGATGACACCATGTTAGTCAGGCAGGGGACCTGGATGCCTTGTATGCCCTAGTAAGTCACATGTCAAGAAGATACAGGGGTTGGCCACAGGGTTATGGTTTTAGAGGGCCATGTGTGTCAAATGGCTTAAGAAGACTTCTCTAATTTTTAAGTGCTAGTTATTGCAACTTGCATCCATTTGAACTATATCTTGAGGGATTCCATTAGAGGCAGCATATACCACATATTCATAAACTCCCCTTTTGTAGACTTTACAGCCAGTTACGGCTTTAAAGACTTAATGTTGGTGGTAAACAGATCTGGGTGGTACAAGAGGTGACTTGCAGCAGGTCCCCTTGGTACCCAGTATCACTGTCCTGTAACCCACCTTTGATTTCAACCATTGCCAAAGTAGGCAGTTTGATGCAAGTTTGGGCTCACCTTGTACTTACAGGCTCCACTGCGAGTGCACCCCACACCTCTCCATTTCTGATCCAGGTCCTTCCCTGATGGTGCGGTGCCTGCTTGGCCCACATGCAAATACAGCTCAGATGTTCAGCAGACCTCCTGAACTTCTGAAAACTCCTGGGACAAACTGCCACCAGCTGCCACAGCAGCCAGGGGAAAATCGCTCCAGCCTGCCATTTTTCTAGCAGGTAATTATGGGAGGCCTCTCCACTTCTCAGGAGATTCCAGTAGTAGTAAGTTTTAAAGGAAAGTTTAAGCAGCTAGAGGAAAGAGGATTCTAAATGGTGTTAGAAAGTAAAAGATTTTTTTTTTTGTATTTCACTTGTAATGCAAGCTCTTAATGGAAAGACATGCAATACACAGAAAAATGGATCAGTCCCAGTGCCAGAGGAGTAATGCATTTTGTAGCTTTTTATGCTACAAGTCTTTCTTTGGCACCTGTAATGCACAGGGCACTCACCTTCACACAGGAGATACAACAACAAACAAAACGAACCAAGACCTTTCCTCCAGCTCACGGACACTACAGGGAATAGCTTGGAAATTGAACTTTGGCTCAAGCCCTTAACTCAGAAAATATATTTTCAGTAAGGACGGTTATATTATTTAGGGAAAAGAATGGCCCATCTCATACTTTGCAGCCTTCAAATTCCAGTGTAAAATCATTGCTTAAAAAATTTGTTCCAAAGAAATGTTTTCGTGACGTGTGTAGCACACAACTTTCAAACATCTTCTGGAAGTACTTAAAGGTTGATTAAGAAAAATAAAAAGCTTAGTTTCTCATTGTTACTAAGTTATGTTTTATAAAACGATGTTCTTTTCCATCTAGATTTACCAAAAAAGAAAAAAAAATCCTGGATACTATAAAATGGCAAGGCTTTTCATTTTTCTTTTTCTTTTTTGTTTTTTTACCTTTTATTTTAGGTTCAGGGGTACACGTGAAGGTTTGTTACATAGGTAAACTCATGTCATGGAGTTTGTTGTACAGATTATTTCATTACCCAGGAATTGAGCCCACTACCCAATAGTTATTTTTGCTGCTCCTCTCCCTCCTCCCACTCTCCATCCTCAACTGGGCCCATTGTCTGTTGTTTTCTTCTTTGTGTTCATAAGTTCTCATCATTTAGCTTTCACTTATAAGTGAGAACATGCGGTATTTGGTTTTCTGTTCCTGCGTTCGTTTGGTAAGGATCATAGCCTCTAGCCTTTTTTTTTTTCTTTTTTTTTTTAGACAGAGTTTCGCTATTGTTGCTCAGGCTGGATTACAATGGTGCAATCTCAGCTCACTGCAACCTCCACCTCCCGGGTTCAAGCGATTCTCCTGCCTCAGCCTCCCAAGTAGCCGGGATTACAGGTGCCCGCCACCATGCCCAGCTATTTTTTTTTTTTTGTATTTTTAGTAGAGATGGGATTTCACTATGTTGGCCAGGCTGGTCTTGAACTCCTGACCTCAGGCGATCCACCCGCCTTGGCCCCCCAGAGTGTTGGGATTAGAGGCGTGAGCCACCATGCCTGGCCTAGCTCATTTTTTAAAATTGCTTTTATTATGAAAAATTTAATCACACACAACAACGTAGAAAATGTATTATTAATCTCCATGCATTTAATAACTGGTCCAATAGTAATGGTAATATTTTCTTCATCTATACTCCTCCTTTCACTTCAGGGATGTATTTTGAGAAATGAAATCTTTGGATAATGCTTGACACACATGACAACATTTTTAGTGAATAATTGCCAAATTTCTCCCAAGTTTGTTTTTACCTACTGATCCTCTCACAGATAACAAGAGATTTCTTTTTTTTCAAAGTATTAAGACAATACATTTGAAAAACTGAAAGTCGTCGCTGCAACCATAGTCAACATTTATTTAAAATAACCCCAAATGTGTAAAGGAAATAAATCATAAGAATCACGACTGTTGATCTTGCATTAATGACATTTAGCTTAGAACTCATTTGTACTTTCTTGAAAACAAGCAAGAAACAGCACATTACCACATGGAAAATTTGTTTTAACACCATTTTTTCCTACTTGAGAATTACCACACCCATAAAAGTCTCACAGAGGGCAAAAGGGCATCCTGAGATTTTTCCAGTCTAACATAAACTGCGTGTTAGCCAACAAAAGCACACACATTAAGTAGATGGAAGTCCCTCTGCTCTTGGCTGGAATTATATCAAGTGGAAATGGTAAGGAGGACAACTTCATTCTGATGGGACCTCCTAACTGGCTATTGATCATAAAGTAATTTCTGAGACCATATTAGGACAAAGAATTCCAGGCAGTTAAAAGATAGGGGAGGTTGGGGGTTACTGGTTTAAAGCTCACCAATATGTTCTTTAAACAAAAGAATCACCACTGCCTAAAGTGGAGAGTTTGTTTTTAAATGAAATACTAGAGCTGTCAGTGAAGCCCGCTTTCTGTTCTTGGCCCTTTCAATACTCCTCACTAAAAGTGCTAAACATATTTATAGCAATGAGATTAACTCAAATCCAGGCACCCAGAATTTGAGGCTGAGCTTTATTTACCTGAAAACAATGTTTATAAGTCACTCCGTATATCAATGAGGTAAGCATTCTCGAAATCAGACAGCAAGAAGGAAAGGCTGCTGCAGCCCCAGTTCCATTAGCAAGGTCAAAGGATAATGGTCAGATCCATTTTAACTTGTTCACATTTTTTTTTCATTTGAATAAATTAATTTTGATTGGTTAGATTGTTTAAGAGGAAGAGATCTTATGCATAAGGTCTTATACATCTTTGTACTCCCTTTCCCAATAAAGAATTTGGTAACTATTCTGAATGAGTTTATTTTTAAAATTATTTTTGATCTGATAATTGCTGTTGATATTTCTTTAATCACACAGTTAGAAAACACTGCTTAAATCTCTTATTTGTCTTAATAGCTTATATACTCTTATTTTCTATGTAGCCAATCATATTTTCTGTAATTAGCCAATATATTTATATTTATTTATTTTTTTGATCTTATTGCACAAGATAAGAACTTTATACACATTGTTGAATGGTAGTGGTGATTCTGACTTTAGATTTAATGGGAATGACCTTAACGGTTTAATGCTATGCATATTATTCATTTTAGTTTTTGGTAGTCACGTTGCTACAATTTAAAAAGTCCTTTACTATTTCTAGTTTGTTAAGAAATTTATCAATTCTGATGGTTGCTGAATATTATTTTCCTGTATATTTTAGATGATCTTTTTTCTCATTTAATTAATGTAAATAGTAATATTAAACTTAAAACATTCTAATGGTCTTGGGAAAAGCCCTAATTAATCATATTTTATTTTACATGCATTCCTGGGTTTGATTTATGATTATTTTATTTATGATTTTAAATTTTTTTATGTTTATACATAAAAGTAGCCCACATTTTTTCTTTTATTTTTGCTATCAGCGTTATAAAAATAACTCATAAAATGAGTTCAGTAACTTTCCCTAATTTTCTTTGTAATGGTTATATATTTTAAGGATTATATGCACCCTGAATTTTATACTGATATGGTTTGGATTTGTGTCCCCACCCAAATCTCATGTTGAATTGGAGGAGGCGCCTGGTGGGAGGTGTTTGGATCATGGGGGCAGATTTCTCTCTTGCTGTTCTCATGATAGTGAGTGAGTTCTCATGAGATCTGATGGTTTAAACGTGTGTGGTACTTCACCCTTTGCTCTCTCTCTCTCCTGCTCTTCCATAGTAAAGATGTGCCCGCTTCCCCTTTGCCTTCTGCCATAACTGTATGTTTCCTGATGCCTTCCAGTCATGCTTCCAGTTATGCCTGTGGAACTATGAGTCAATTAAACCTCTTTTCTTCATAAATCACCCAGTCTAAGGTAGTTCTTCATAGCAGTGTGAAAATGGTCTAATACATACACTTTTCTGTGAAACTTTTCTTTTAGTTTACAGGGTGTGAAGATTTCACCAAGATTGATATGGAATTTTATAGGATACTACATCTTAATCAACTTAGATGCTGGTGTTATATATTTTTTTATTTTTTTAACTTGCTGGCATTAGTTTACTAATATGTTACAATTTTTTAACTTGCTGGCATTAGTTTACTAATATTATGTTTAGAATTTTTATATTCCTATACATACAAAAGGTTGGCCTATGGTTTTATTTCCAGCACCATATTTTTTGGCTTGGTATCAATATTTTAAAAGTCTGTTTTTTATTTCCTGACTGATATAACAGAAACTTTGAACTGCATATTTACAGTATAATACAGATATGGGCCCCAGTACCCTTCTTTCATGGAACATGTCTCAGGCTTCCTGATTCAGGGAGCGTGCACATTACCGACACTGGTCTAGAGGAGCTGCTCTCCTGTGGGGGTGACCTATAGGTAAACATATATACCTATACACATATATACACATTCATATATATATATATACACACACACACATAGGTAAATATATAAAAAGAGATTTAGTATAAGGAATTAGTTCACACAATTTTGGTGGCTGGAAATTTCCAAATCTGCAGTGTCCCAGTTCAAGTCCCGGTTTGAAGGTTGTCAGGAGGTGGAATTTTGTATTCAGTCCTTCTATTGGTTGAATGAGGCTCATCCACATTATGTAGGGCAATCTGCTTCACTATTCTACCAATTTAAACATTATTTTTATCCATAAAACACCTTCACAACAACACCTATAATAATGTTTGGCAAAATATCTGGGTACTATGTGGCCCATTCAAGTTGACCCATAAAATTAATCACTTCATTTACTGCATTATGCATTGACACATTTTTAGTGCCACATATGAGGAGAAACATTGAGTAAAAGTCAGGAGACCTGAGTTCTGGTATGAGTTTTATCATTTATGAACAGTGACTTTATGGAATCATTGAAGGTCTCTGAGCCTTGGTTTCTTCATCTATAAAAGGAATAAAATAGTTGTTTTCCTTTTTACCCTGTAGGAATGTTATATAGAGATTGAGTGTAAATCCAAAATTGCTTAGTAAATTCTATGACAATGGTAATGATAGATTATTACTGATTACATAGGACATTTACTAATAAATTTACAATCTGCATGTTAATACCGTGTAGAGAAGTTAGTTTTGTTGTATTCTCAGATCATGAAGTATACTTTGTTACAAGCCAGTCAACTTGAAACTGGACCCACAGAACTCATGTTTGTGGTTTCTTTTGAATGAACGTAGAAATTGACACTCACAGTCTTAAAACTTGAGAAAGTTATAGTTGTTTTATCTGACTTCCCTTCTCAGGAATCCAATCATCAGACCTCCCAGATAATACCAAGGAATTGAAACTCAGCATCTGGACAATGAGGAACCAGGCTCCTCACCCATCATGGTTGCCTAACCAACCACCTGCTTCCTGTTGACCAACTTCTCTTCTTTATCATGCCCCCATCCTGTTTTCCTGTACGTAGTTATATTTCTGCTATATAAACTCCTAATTTTAGTTGATCAGGGAGATGGATTTGAGACTCATCTCTCATCTCCTCGGCTACAGCACCTGAATAAAGCCTTCGTCTTTGACAATACTCATTGGCTTTCTGTGCAGCAAGCACCAGGGCTTAGACTGAACACCTGGTGTTTAACAAACTATCTCCACTTTTCCACATTGCTGGTAGTTAGCTTGCTTTGATTTTTCTTGTTTTCTCCCTTTTGTAGGATGTGGAGCATTTATGTGGTTGGGAACTACAGCATAATAGTTCTAAACTTCTCAATGTGTAGAGGCAGGAGATTTTCTTGGGATACAATTTGGGTAGCAGACAATTCCAAAGTATCCAATTTTCACAAAGTTGTATCAGTACAGTTGCCTGCTGAATCTGGCACATATTTTTCACATAAACTTCTTCAATAAATTTAGTTTCATTTTTAGTAGAACAGTGGCCATGAGACCTACAGTCCCAAGATTACTAATGGTGCTGTTTCACATACAAAGTCAGCAATGGACAGAAACTCCTATAACCACTAGGGCAGGCACTGCTTTCTGCATGACACACATCAGGTTTTTCCTCTTCCATAATAAAAAGACAGTGGGTAAAATTTTCTGTATGATATTTGTCTTTCTGTTTGTGATTTGTATTATTTGTATCTTTAACTCAACAAAATATTTGCTCTTGTACATTCATTTATTACCTGTGGCTTTAATGAGCTCTGTGTTAATGGAGTCTTACAGTGAAAACATCATGCACTACTTTGAACAGTGAGGGGTAAAAGGTGGAAAATAATTAGTATCTATTTTAGGCCTGGTGGTCCATCAGCGTCAACAGGAAGAGAGGGGAGCAGAAACAAAGTAATGAGGAAAGGACTTTGCCCAGTAGGATGCAGACTTAATTAATTCACCCCAAGCTAACCTGAAAAGAGTGGAAAATGAACTCAAGAATAAGAACATGTTCAGATTCCTGTGTGTATATTTTACTAAGCTTATTTTATCAGAAGTTTTGTCTTAACCCTTTAGGACACTACCCTAGCTTATTTTAATGTGGATGCTGTATAAACTCAAAGCCAATTTATTTAAAGGTATACAATCATTTACTCATGGTTAATAAATTCCTTCATTCATTTACTAAGAAATGCTTATGTTACTCATAGAAAATTACAATAAAATAGAAGAGAAAGACTTGCAAATAAGCATTGTTGTACAATAACAATGGCAGCTTCGTTTTTGTTGATTTGCCAAGAAAATCCAAATTTAACTTTCAGTCAAGTTTATTTTTTAATTAACCATTTTTGTGACTCCTTAAAGTAATTATATTTCCAGTTAGAGCCATGGCATAACAGTTAGATTTAAAGCTATGTGTATTTTATATAGCTCTGAGCAACTAAGAGAAATATAAATGGTGTCCCATTGATTCTAAAGAGAAGAAAAGCTAATTTAATTATTATATGAGCATTATGTAGAGATTTGTAGTTGTATTTGTGAACTTTTGTGAGCAACAAAGTTCTGAAAATGTCACAACCAAAAACAGTATCAGAATAAAAAGATAAAGTCATTTATCATGACATCCTAGTGTAAGAAGCCCTAGGAAATCCAAAAGACTCTTAGGGCCTCTTTTCATCTGGATTCCTGACCCTGAGCACTTTCCCACAGCCCCTTCTTGTATGCAGACGTCTTTATTAGGGCTATGCTGGCACAACAGTCACATTGAGCAATGGAGCAACGTGCAATAATTTGGCCCTCTGCCCATGGTACAGTTGTTTAATGGCAAGCAATGGTGGTGTAAACACAACTTGAACCAAATGGTGACAGACCTGGGTGATCATATTGACTCCTCTTTCAGCTGTGTGACTTTGGGCATGCCCCTCAACCTTTCTAAAATAATTCCCCAATCTATGTTGGGAAGACTACTAATCTGTATAGAATTTTTAATGTAAAATCCTTTGGGGCCGTCACAAACTGTGACTACAAGCACTTGTAACTAGGCCCCAGGATGTGTCCACCTGTTCCCAGCTCCTGATCATGCTGATCCCTGGGGGTTGGGGTGCTGCGGTCACTGGGGGGGCAGTGTGAGACTGAGCCTGAACCCAGGAAACCAGGAGTCCTGCTTTCTTCCACCAAGGCAGCCTTCCGTGGGTGCAATTTACATAGTGAAATCCGTGCAAGATTTTGCTTAAAAAGGAAAGCTGACTAGAAAATCTTTTCTCTGCTGACACAAGTCTCTACAGAATTTCAACAATTAGCTGCATGATTATAAAATATATAAACATTTGAGAAACAAAATCTGAACATCATCTCATGTGTTGACTTTTCAATAAAATGTTTTCATAGCTTTTTGGAGGCTCACTCCCACAGCCACCTCTTACTGTCTCCCAGTCCATGATGGACTGATGGATGCAAAGTCATGGCCTGCTGGGATCCACAGCAAATGCACCATCAGTGTCAGGCCGGCCAGGTGCTTCACTGCCTGTCTTGGTCTGCAGGACGCTAAGAGTAGACAAGCACTCATCATCTCCAACCCAAGAGAGGATCTGGCTGGGCTCAAATTCTAGGCTGAGAAAGTTTACTTAGTATAAAAAAGGAAAGACAGAGACAGCGACAGAAGAGAAAGATGGATTAAATATACTTGCAATCAGAATATTTAAATATTTCATAGCTGGAAATGTTACCTAACTTTGAAGACCGTATAATATTCTCTCTCTCTCTTTCTCTGCCCGCCACTGCAAATGCTAGAACAGATATGATGCACACTTTTAAATATCATATGGCATTTTTCAACATGTCATCAAGATGTTACCCCAACGTTTTGCTGTGTGGGGATCCAAAAATATAGGAGACCACTGTTCCCCACATTGCAGACTTCAAAATAGTCCTCTTGGCCTTTCTGAAGAGATGGGAATTTGAGCTTCTGCTTTAAGACAACCATGGAGAGAAGAACCTCTCCCCTGCAGGTTTCTCACTTCCGATGCTATTTACATCGACTCCTTACCAGGACCACTGTCACGCCTGGGGAACCCTAGCAGTGCCTTGACCCTGAGGGGCTAAGTGTCAGGGTCACTGTGTGGGGGGGTCACTAGTCTATGAACCTTGGTCACTGTAGAATGTTGTTCTACAATTGGCATTGACCAAACTTGTTCAATCCTGGAAAGCCTGGCATTTGTGACTTGACTAGTTTTGTAGTGTGGTTATCTTGCTGCACATAGCTGCCTGGGTCCCTCCCTCAGATATTTGGCGTTTGTGATGCTGCCCCTTTTGCTATTTGTGGATTCTGCTTTCCAGGCTATGTAGGGACTTTGCCTGCTATGTTCCAGAGAACTCACATCAACAGCCAGGGTTCCCCTCTCAGCAGCACTTCTCTGAGGGATGTAATTCTTGATGTAATCTCCCATGTTTATAGGTTTCCCTAAGCTCCCAGCCACCTGCAGCCACTCAGCCAAGCCCTTCTGGGCCACCTTCGGATGCGTTTGGGTGAGGAACTCACCCTGAGCACTGCAGAGCTTGCGCAGTACTGGCTCAGAAGTGCTGTGGTTTTTAGTGCCAGCTGAGCTAACAGGAAGCTGAAAAGCAGCATTTACTTGGTGAGTCTATCTGTTAAACATTGTTGAGTCAACATAAATGCTTGACAGTAAAAACAGATACAGCTGGATAGTTTGCAGACATTCTAGTCCCTGAAAACAAATCCTGGCTTGTCCTTAGAACTAGAATTCAGCTATAGGCCAAGTGGAAATGAAGCTTCTTACCCATAATTCTAGAGACTCAGTAGGGAACACCTCCCCCAGCCTCGCACCCCTGCTTTGAAGTTTCTGCTCTGTGCCTCTTATCTTCTGGTTCCCAATTCCAGTTCCCTGGAGATGAAATTGCCCTTAACATGGAACATCACTTCCTGGATTCTACTGGTAGGAGTTTTGTTTTTGTTTTTGTTTGAAACGGAGTCTTACTCTGTTGCCCAGGCTGGAGTGCAGTGGCATGATCTCGACTCACTGCAGCCTCTGCCTCCCAGGTTCCAGTGATTCTCCTACCTCAGCCTCCTGTGTAGCTGGGATTACAGGTGCACGCCACCGTGCCTGGCTAAATTTTTATATTTTTAGTAGAGGGATTTCGCACGTTGGCCAGGCTGGTCTCAAACTCCTGACCTCAGGTGGTCCGCCCACCTCCGCCTCCCAAGATAGTTTTAATAGGTTATCTTTCTGGTATATTAGTGAGTAAGATTATAGGATTTTGGATTAAAGAGACCCAGGTTTGAATCTTAACTTTCAGAATGAACTCTTTGACCGTCAATAAATCATTTGAGCTTTTCAAGTTTTAGTTTCTTCCCCTGTAAAATGGTGATAAAAATACACATTTATAATGCTGTTTCAGAGCTTAAAAGAAAAAGAAAAAATAGAATTAGGAATTTCAGCCTCATGACAGATCCATAATTGATGTTCAAACAGTAACTATCATTAATATTAGTTAACTATTTCTTTATTATTTCATTAATTATTCATTAAATAATATTTCTTTCTAAGGGAAGGAAGAACTTGGACAGAACACTGGGCCATTACTGCTTATTTTGATGGGATTATTGAATTTCAATCTTACTACCTGTTTGCCAATTAAAAAAGCAATCTTTCAGTCATTTTGACATATAGTGTAGTGATACAGTATAAGCATTTTTCTACTGTCAGAGGCCAACTCCTAAAAGCTGGAAACAAACCTCTCTGCTCCAAGAAGGTCTTGCTGGCCATGAGGCCACATGCTCACTGCAGCTTGTTAGGGAAACCCGAGCTTGTTAACCTCATTGGATTTAGATAGCGCAATGGCAATGCTCCTCAACCTTTCCGTCATTATCACCCCACTAATGAGATATTTTAGACACTTCTTCTCAGATCACTCCTATCTACATACAAATTCAGATATATACTCTGCATTTGTGTGTGTATATGTATATATAGGGGTATATGTATCTATATGAGTGTGTATATTATATATAATATACTTATATACACACATATGTATCTATATATGCATATATACATATAAACAGATATACATATATATATATATCTGTGCTTTTTATGTAAAAAAGTAATTTTTTTTAAATTTCAATTCCCTTGGGACAGTATCACCCTGCAGAGGTATCCAGTTGATATCTTTAGCCTCTTTCCAAGATATAGCGACTTTGACTGAGTGGTGGCTGTAGGAAGAGATGAGTCAATGGTAAGTGTGGGGATCTCTATGAAAAGACTTTCTTAAAAGTTTAAGGACAAGTTAGGCACTCCCAGGCTTCCCAGGAGGGGGCAATGAAAATAGAAAGCAACTTGTGTGACCCATCTATTCCGCCTGAGAAGGATGGTGCCTTTTAATTAAACAAATTACCAAAAATGCTTAAAGGTTAAATGGAAGGTGTCTGAGCAAGATATGGACCTTATCAGCATGGTGCATGGAGAAGTTCCTCTATGGCAGCATGTTGTGTGAACTTAGATTGCATAGACGTGGAGAGTAAAGATTGCTCTAGGGACCTTGGTAATAGAGAGAGACGATAATAATCTAGCAAGAGAAATAGAAGGAAAGCAAGAATTATCAAAAGTGCATACAATAGGATGGAGATGGGCGAAAAGATGACTGAGGCTAGAATCTGGAGCTGAATCCCTGAGAAACGTGTGCATTATTTATACACTAAGGAAGTCAGAAAGAATGTCCGGTTTAATAGAGAAGATGATGAATTTTAGCTATTCTCTTTTGATTTATTTATTTGAACTTCAGCACTTAATATATTTAAACATATCTGTGTACTTGTAAGCCACATTTTCCACTTAAAATAAAAATATTTAAATTATATTTTAATCAGTCAGGCTTAAAAGAGTGATGATCAATATTTTTATAATACTTTTCTTTATCCTTCAAAAATAGATATCTATTGTCACTTGAAATGTAATGTTTTAACATGCGTTTTCTTAGTAGAGAGGACCTCCAAGATGGTGGAACTGCATTTGTGGAATCATCCTAATGATTAGTGCTAATTAGACTTGTGATTTCACCATGATATCAGAGACCTAAGTAAGCAAAATTTCTTTGTAAAAATAATCATTTGTTTGTCTATAGTCAATATGTTTCTAATAGAAGCTGTCAGGATTGTTCAAGTCTGTTCTGAATGCAGGCTGTTTCCTTCCACATATGATAATAATCTCAGATGCCCCCGCAGAGTAAAGAAAATTCTCTTCCACCACTGCACATTCATGAAAATCATGTCCTATGAGAGTCAACTAAAGAAGTTACAAAGAAAATGTCCAGAGCAAAAGATAAACATGATGGACATAGTAGAGACATAAAAGCCTGGATCCACGTGCAGATCTTCCTTCTCAGAGCTGGGCAATGTGTGCTCTGAACTTACTCTGTTACCGTTAAGAACCCCGAGCAACGGGTAAGTCACAAAGCTGCTGTGGACTTCATTATACTGGGTTTCTTTGCTATAATCATATTTTTTCTTCACTGTGGACCTATCTAATTGTATTTATTCCAGTGAAAATTTGGATTCAATGTAGTAGAAGTATTGCCATAGAAAGGTAAGTTCCTTATGTGAAGCAGTAGCAATTCAAAGATAGCTACTGCCAGAGCCTAAACTCAGGAAACCAGGCATGTGGTGCATAGATTAAAATAGAAAAATAATGTCAATCTCTTAGTTTGGCAACACATCTACTAGGAATTCATTCATTAATTCCATAGACTCAAAATCTATTATGGTGTCACAAATCCACATGAGTTCTTTGGGTCCCCAGCTGCTAAACTAACTGCAGGATGCTGGCATGACGACTGGTTGTATTTTCAAGATGGCTTTCTGTGTTGCACTTTTCAGCAAAAGCCAGATGCTTTTGGTTTTGCTTATAGGATGGAATTCCAATCTGTTCAGTCTGACAAGGATATTCACACAACAGATGCAAAGAACTTAATCATAGCTCAAGGGAAAAAAAATATGGCTCTTACTGAATCTTGCTTAGCTCTCAACTTTCTCTTGGAATCCAGACTTGCCCAATCTCTGATACATGTGAAGGAATTTTTAAGTGCAGAATAATTTGATGTAGGGACATTTCTTAAAATGATCTTGAGAAGATAAAAATACCTGATTTTATCAAATCCCTAGGGGAGATCACCATATCTCATCAGACAAAATTTATATTATTTTTGTCTTGATTTAAATAAATTAATTATATAAAATTTTAATAATATTCTTATTATGTTTCCACATGTTTCAGGATAAAGGAAAAATAAGCATCATTCTTTCCTTTCATTTAGGCTTCCACATTTAAATATTAAAAACTAAGAGTGACACAGATTTTCAATGGTAGCAATGGCTACCACTGAATCACAATGAGGTTCCAACATAATAGAACCCCTATTGAACCTCAATAGAGGCTCAATTGTATATATTATGTAATTTTATATATTACAAAATGCTTAGTATTCTATTCCATAATTATCATTTCAACGTTTGCAGTATAATTTGAATTAGATATATTTTATTTCATTTAACTCAATTGTATTGGGGATCATCTATTTTATTCTTAAGTCTAGAGCATCTAATGTAGAGGCTTGTACAGACCAATGTGAGAGTGAAAATTTAATGAAATTAAAAGCCCCATATGAGATAAAATAATTGTAAGGAGGAAAGCATAAAATATGATTCTTGCCTTCAAGGATCTCACAGCCTTAAAGTGGGATGTGTCCATTCATGGTTCCTGAAGGGTCTTACTTATTAGTATAAGATTCATTTCTTACATCCTCCCAGTCTCTCAGAGCCCAGACTACTAAACCTGGGCCCACAAGTTATATCCTGTAAAGGTTCTGTAAGTGTACAGTTTGTGAGCTAAGAATGATTTTTTACATTTTAAATCATTCTTTATAAAAACAAATACTATGCAACAGAGATCCACATGGCCTGAAAGGCTGAAAATATTTACTTCTATCTTTCACAAAAAAAGTTTCTTTCCTCCTGACTTTGATGATTAGGTTTACTGTTTATTACTTGATATGACACAGTTCCCTGTTCAGAATGTGTGCTAATTAACTTTATACGTTTGTGCTGATTCCAAAGCAAAGACAACAATCTTAACATTTGTCGATTAAAGGAACAAACAAACAAAAAAGTCGTTTTTTAAAATATGCCTTCCCAAAAGCAACACAACTCACTTCTTTCCACATAATATGGGCAAGATCCAATGGCCACACTTGGATGAGAGGGCTGGTGGATGCAGTCCCTGGCTGGACCACTAGGGGTGCTCTTCACTCTGGACAGACGGCACAAGCCCCTGGGAAGCACCCAGCCTTCTCTGCACCTGTGTAATGGTAAACAAAAGGCCTGACTTCTGAGCAGCGATTTTCAATTAACAATGCATCAGATTTCACTCTATCCCAGCACCCCACTGAAACCTCCAGTGCAGATATTTTAATAAAATAAGACACACAAGAATAGGGAAAATGAGAGACAAAAACCAACAAACAAAAACATGGGAGCAGAAGAAGAAATTGATTATGTGATAGCTGGCTTTAAAACCTGAGAAGACCAAATCTTGACCTTGCAGTGAGAATACAGAGGATTCTTCAAACAAGCCAGGAATTTTTGACCTTGCAGTGAGAATACAGAGGATTCTTCAAACAAGGCAGGAATGCCCATTCGACTTTCCCCAATGGCTCTGCATAAGAGGAACCAACAGAGATCCTTTCCTGAGACCTAAGGAGGCAAAAGCTAGGTGGCAACCAAAGATTTCAGAGGAGGAAGCAGGTAAGGTGCAGAGCTGCCAGGTGATTTCTCCCATTGACTATTTGTCTTTTTCCTTTCTTACTACCTTCTTTGTTTGCTTATTTTAGTAGTTGCTTCAGGATATATAGTAGTATATATCACAGGCACCCTTCAAGTGATATATTGCCCCTTCATATAGTACAAAATCCTCACAACAGTATACTTCCATTTCTTTTCTCCTGGCCTTTAGTCCTCACTGTCTTCTGTTTTCATCCAAATCTTCTTCCTGACTGTTGACTCTATTGAACCCAGTGGCCCCAAGTCTGTCACCACATGCTGGGCTGTGAGATGTCGGTGCCCTGCAGCCAAAGGCCTCCAAGAGCTCACCTGCACTTAAGTAAGTTGGGTTTCTCATTTGTCACCGTGAGGGAGTACACACACACCATGGAGAATTGCCAGGTGTCCCAGTAAAGGGTGTCAGAAAGAACCTATTATAGGATGTGAGCTTTGCTTGGTGGTTTTGAAAGGATTTAGTGAAATAGGGAATTGGTCTCTGTTGGCTGCAGTCAAGAAGGGAAGGTCATTCTATGATTGGTACCTCAATAAATCTTACCTATGGGAGGGCATTCTAGATGCTAAAGCAGTAATTAATAATAATAAAAAAAGCAGCCACTCATATTACCTGAGGAAGAGAGATTTTTGTATTTTGCAGCTCGGATGATATGCATGTTTTGTCTCTATTTAGGCATGATTCTGGAATGGTCTGTTTGCTATCTTCGTTGTTGTTGTGTCTTGATCTATCATAGTCACAGAGTGATCTTGTCTCATATTAATGTTCTGTGAAATCATTTATGTTCAACAGGAAAGCACCGAGGCACAGCCATGAGTGCCACACCAGCTCATAAAAACACCAAGATCTGCCTGATAATGCCAGGGCATGCCTGGGTGTCAGGCGCTGCTCTGCTTTTCTGGGGAATCGCAGAGTTCTGGTGTGAACTTCTCCACCAGCCCCCGAGCAGCCTAGCCTCAGCAGCAGATGTGCTTGGCTGCTCAGGTTGACTGATGGGAATCTCCTCCTATGTTCTTGTTTCCCTTTAGACCTTCATTTCTCCAGCTTCTCCCCTAATTGTGCCAATCTGATTTCTATAATGAATCCCTCATCCCATTACTCATAGTGGTACTGCTCCCCTAGTTAAACACTAACTGATACCAGGACTCAAATAAGAGACACAAATTAAGTTATATTTAAAAAGCAAATAGATCCCTGGGTCCCCTTCTTCACATCTGCACATTGAGAAGCTGTCCTTCTCAATCACAGCAGAATGATGGAGGTTCATGCTCTTGAAAAGGCAAAACAGAGGGTCTTTGGAAGCTCAGAGATATTTGAGGGAAGAACAACTTTCTAGAAACAGGGGAATTATTTTAAAATATGTTAATTGAATGCTGAGGTCACTAGTCCCCTTTCTCTACTTTCCAAATTTTACACCCACACAAGTGCACCTGCTGGGTGGCGGGTGGGGGTGGCGACTCTAAACTCTGACCAAAGGTTGACAACAGGGGATCAACGTTTGAGGCTTAAAATGACCACAAATGATGAAAATCATTATGTCCATGTGATGAATTGATTCCACAATCACTAAGAATTAGTCTTCTTTATTCCTGGATAGAATTGTATTATCTTTATTCAGAGAATAGAAGTACTATTATCATCTCTGAAATTACTTTGGCTGAAATAAATACAGCCACTCCAGCTATATTTTCGTTTGCATTATCATGGTATACTTTTCCCTGTGGATTTTCATGGAAAATTTGATTTAATTTTTTTGCAAGTAGCATATCATTGAGTCTTACTTTTTAATTCGACTATTTTTTCCTTTAATTTCAGTGTTTCAACTGCTTACATTTAATATAATTATTGATATAGTTATCTTTGTCTGTCATATTTATTTTCCATTTTTCCCATCTACTGTTTGTCTTTTTCCTCCTTTACTACCTTCTGTGTTTGCTTATTTTAGTATCTGCTTTAGGATATATAGTAGTATACATCACAGACACACTTCAAGTTATATATTGCCCCTTCATATAGTACAAAAACCTCACAACAGTGTTATTTATTTTCTCCTGGCCTTTATTCCATTCTTGTTATACACTTTAATTTTACCTACCTTATAAACTCTGTGCTATAATTTATTGCTTTATTTCTAAACAATCCATTATTCGAAGGAGAGATATAAATAACATTTTAAAATAATTTTACATATTTGTACATGTGGTTACCATTTCTAGTGCTTTCAATTGATTTGGTTGATACATCCTCCTGATATCATTTTATTTTTGCCAGAAGAAGTTTTATTAACATTTCTTGAACCCAACTGAGTCGGAGACCAGAGTGGCTCTGTCTGTCACACTTGGAGAAACTATTAAGGGCTATTCATACCTGCTCACTTCCTCAACTGCTCTGTAAATTGAATAACCAAGCCAGAGAGTCAGAGTCCAGTTGTCATGTCAGGACTACTTGTATCTCTCTTCTTTATAATGAGTGGGAATTTGGGACTAATTCGCTTTAACACTTGGTGTGTTTTACACATTGACAAATCACAGGAAAATGCTTTTCTAAAATATTTAAACTTTATGAACACTGATTTCTAAATAAAAAATACCTGAAACTTTTTCTTTAAATTATTTCTTATATTTTATGTAGTGGCTTGAAATAGATCAAAGGAAGGATGCTAGATGTAGATATTTTATAAATTTTAACAGTACAGGAAATTGGACTCTTTATTTCCATTTGAATCCATATTTTGTGAAAACCCTCCACCTAGAAAGACCTCCCAAGTTTCATCTGTCCCTCTGTCTTGGCCAACTTGTTCTTTCTCTGTCTCTTCCCCTGCCTTGAGCTCCGAGGTGCTTCCTGGACTGGCTGGGCCCCTTGCTCCTCACTGCACATCTTAATATTTCTCTTCCTCCTTGTGCTCTCTCCAACCACTGCAGCAAATAGTGCCTATGCTGCCTCTGTTTTGCATTCTATTCAGCTTAGCTTCTATTTATTTGCTACTTGAACTACTCACTAATTGTGCATAAAGTGTACACTTTGCAACTCAATAGGCTATCAATGGCTGTGTTCCCCCGTCGTGCCCCAGCACCCACCTGGTGAGGAGGAGGAAGGGAAGATAAGGAGCTAACCCAGTGGGAGTTTCAGCAAGAAGCAGGCATCTGGCAAAGGTGTATCTTTCACCTGAAGTTCCCGGGGAAAGTTCAAAGCAGGAGTAAACAGAGAATGGAGCACCAGGTGGGAAGCCGAGCTCAGTAAGGTACAGAAAGAAGCCTGATCGCCAACAGAAGGGTCAAGGGCAGGGATGGAGGCTTATGTGCAGAACCAGCACCTGGAGGTCATGAGATCAAGACCTGGGTGACGAAATGTGATGCAGGTTGAGCCCTTGGGGTGTCACACCTGATATTTGGCTTTAAAAAGTCTATGTGGGTGTGGGTGTTAATTACCTCATTAGTGTCCTGTGACTGCTATATTAATCACCACAAATGTGGTTACTGAATTCAACGTAAATATATATACTCTCACAGGTATGGAGACCAGAAGTCTGCAGTTAAGGTATGGGCAGGTCTGTTTCTTCTAGGGACTATGAAGGAGAATCTACTCCGTGCCTCCTTGCAACCCGTGGCACTCTTTGGCTTACAGAAGCATCACTCCAAATTCTGCCTCCGTCTTCCCATGGCCTTCTTCTCCAGATTTAGGCCTGTCCTAATCCTGGACAATCATATCTTGAGATCCTTAAAACTGCATCTGCAAAGAACCTTTTTTCCAAAGTCGTCTTCTCAGGGTTAGAACTTGGACATATCTTTTTTGGGGGTACCATCATTCAACTCAAAACCATTATACAATTCGAGACAGTGTTCTAAACATGTATGAATGCACTTAATTCCTATACCAATTCCACATTAAAGTATGTGTCAGTATTATGACCACTTTACAAACCAGGAATCTGAGGTGAGGAAGGAATAAGTAATCTTTCCAAACCCCCATAGCTGTCAGTGTCAGGGCTGCACCTGAACCCAGGTAGGCAAATCCCACAGTTCACATGCTTTATCACTGTGCTTTAGAAATGGCTGAGCCTCTGTTTCTTCACCTGTGAAATGGAGACAGTGACAGTACACATTTAATAGAGTTTCTGTGAGATTACGTGTGCCCCAGCATGGACAGCCACTACAGATTTAACTACTGATACTAACACGAGAGTGAAGCAGCTGGGGCAGGTCCTGCAAAATTCCAGCAACATTTGACTTTGATGGGCTCACAGGTATGGTGCAGAGGAGAGCTGGCTGTGCTGAAGGGGCCAGACACAGGGGCCACCGGAATAGAAGCTTCTCAAAGGTGGCAAAGATGCTTTTTATGCTTGTTGCCACCACCCAGAATGATGTTAACCATGAGGTACGTGCTCAGTGAAAGGGTGTGGAGTGAATGAATGAGTGACAGTACATTTTTTGGAAGCAGGCACTATAATAATTATTTCTTCTGTACCTCCTTTTCCTAACTGATCTCTGCCTCTCCAAGGCTAAGAATAGTGCTAGTCATAGACAGTAATTTACTTATGCAGGTCCTTGACCTCTCCATCATCTCTTAGCCTTAGATGGAAAATCATACAAGAGAATGAAGCTCCTGGAGAAGAAATGGTGAGAGAAGACCTCCAGGATCTTCAGAAATGTTGAGACACAGGGATGTGGTGAAAAGAACATGGGGGAAGAGCATGGGCATGGTGGTGGGGGTCAGAGCAGGACTTGGTGAATACAACTCATGGAGTGCTTGATCTGTTGATCTGTGCCAGGCAGTGGGCTAGATTGTAAAAATAAGACCAATGATAAAAATTGATATATACATATATATATATATAAAATATATACGTATATATATAGAGAGAGAGACAATGACTGATATATAATCAATAGATGATGGATAGATAAATAGACATAAGTAGATAGATAGCTTTAATTCTTACTGTGCCACTTAATATCTATAGAAACTTGCATGAGTTATAATAACAATTTAAGCCTCCATTTCTAGATAAAATTAAGTTACTTAAATGCTTAACTCATAGGGTTTCTGTGATAACTAAATAATAAATCTTGCATATATATGCATGTGTATGTCGGTGTGAGTACGAATATATATACAGAGAGAGAAACAGACAGACAGAGACAAGGACAAAGAGACAGAGAAGAGAGAGCCAGAGAGATTGGAGGGCACACAGGTGAGCTTGGTACCAAATAGATCATTTTGCCTTCCTTTTCTTCTCAACTCCTGAAATACTCTGTTTCTGAAATACAATGCAGTGATAACTACTGTTTATCCTTTTTTATTTTTTTTGTCATGTAAGTCCAAGATTCCTTTATAGAAAACTCTCAACCTATGGCATCAATTTTGGACCAAGACGTGGCCATCTGCCTTCCTAAATGCCCCTAAATGACAGCTGAGCTCCTCAATAGCCTTCATTGCTCCTGATCTTTCACCCCTGCAGGGAAGCGTCTGGCAGCACACTCAATGTCCAATGCCCACTGGGCTGACCCAGAAGCAAATTTTGTGTCAGCTCCTCCAGCCCACCATGGATCATCCTGGGAGCTGTCTTCAGATGGTAATTATTCTCAGCTGAAGCCATGGCCCCATTAAAGACAGAACACTGGAGATGAAAAGTCCCAGATTCCATTAGCAGTCTCTACTTCAGACATGAACTATGGGACTTGATGCCTCTGATGTGTCTCTTCATGTTGCTTCCACAGGCTTAATGATGCCTTTAGCATCTCTCACCTGAAAGTATCGCTCATTATGTCACTGAGATGCACGGCCATATTTCAGTTAATTAAGTTCATTTGCTAGTTTATAAAGGAAACACAATTAATAAAATAAGTCAAGCATGTCTTACTTTTTTCAGGTCAACATTGAAATGAGAACTATTTTGACTAATCTGCTCGGAATAAAATGAGAAAAACAGTTCATGCTGAACTACTCATATGTGGAGGTGATGAACATATGTTTCTAATTTTGAGCTGAGAGAAAAGCAAAAATAAACAAATTTAACAAATCTTAGTTCTTGACAACCACTCACAGAATAGTTCAGCTAAGAAATAAACATATGGTTCAGGGAATAAAGAAACTGCCTGGCTCGGTGTGGAAATGACACTTCTAGACTCAGAGTTTCATGACTGCAGTGAGCTCATTTCTTCTGTAATTAGGGTCAAGACTTGAACTTTTCCTGTGGATTTTCCCATCAGAAGACTGGTGCCATTTATCCATTTAGGTGAGCACTATAAGGACATTGCTTCATATCACGCTTCAAGAGTGATGAGTTTCACAAGGAGATTGCATGTCTCCTCAGAGCTGGCCCGTCTGTATGTGATCAGGTGGGAGAATTTGCTTCAGTAAGTGGAGTGTGATGGGACAGGGGTGTTAAGTGCCCCCTGAGGAAGTGTTGGCTCTAAGAAGAGAAGAAGTTTGGCCATGATGATGCTTGGCCTCTTTTCCAGCCATGTCTCAGTCAACCCTAGCTGCTGGGAAAATTATCACCGACTGGTAAACAGCAAACATTTATTTCTCGCAGTTCCGGAGACTGGAAGTCTGAGATCAGAGTGCCAGCGTGGTCAGCTTCTGGTGAAGCCCCTCTTGTGCCCCACATGGCAGTGAGAAAGTGAGCTGGCTCCAGGTCCTCTTTTCGTAAGGGCACTCATCCACTTATGAGGCTCCACTCTCATGACCTAATTACCTCCCAAAGGCCCCACCTCCAAGTATGATCACATGGGGGACTCGATTTCAACATATGAGTTTTGGGGGACACAAACTTTTAGTCTGCAACAAGACAGGATTGTCTTACTATGATCAGACTGTGGGTGATTTACTTCGTTTCTTGACACATCTGTTTTTATTCTTAAGCCTGTATACATAGATAGTACTTACTGTTTTACAAGAATCCAGTTTTTCCTTGCATGGTAATTTATTTTTAAAAGCACTGTTTTAAGGTTTCTGTGATGAGCTAAAGGCATCTAACTGAATCCAGAATATACTGTCAACTTTAGTGTCTCAGGTCGTGTATTGTGAAGGAAAAGGTGCCACACGCTTGACACTGGTCTTGGTGCAACCTCAATCGCAACATGTGAATCCCAAGGGAGTTTCTTCCTCTCCAAAAGCCTCTGCTTCCCCATCTTTTTTTTTTTTTTTTTCTGAGACAGAGTCTCGCTGTGTCACCCAGGCTGGAGTGCAGTGGCGCAATCTCGTCTTGCTGCAACCTCCATCTCCTAGGTTCAAGTGATTCTCCTGCCTCAGCCTCCTGAGTAGATGGGGTTACAGGTGCGTGCCACCATGCCCAGCTAATTTTTGTATTTTTAGTAGACACGGGGTTTCACCATGTTAGTCAGGCTGGTCTCGAACTCCTGACCTTGTGATCCACCTGCCTCGGCCTCCCAAAGTGCTAGGATTACAGGCGTGAACCACTGTGCCCAGACTTCTCTATCTTTAAATGAGCCAATTGAGGATGATCCCTGGGATTTATCCAAACCTACACGTTTTGGGGGTTGATGAGAGTGAGGGTGGAATGTCTGTCCCTCCTGGACAGAATCCTAACAACTCTTCAGCAAATCAGTGAACTTGAATCCATGCAGAGGCCTGTTTCTAGGGAGAATGCCTCGGCCAGCTGACCACAGGGATCATAGCCCTTAGACTTCCTCAGATTTGAGGGAGGGGTTCAGTGATCCTGCCTGTCAGCTCCCAGGTTCACAAGTACAGCCACAATATAGATCATCAACTGCTTGTCTTCTCAGCCCTGGGAAAAGTGTGGGTGTCTCTTTGCAGCAAGTTGTATCAGCAAGACTGCCATATCAGGGGTTGCGCAATCCTCAGTTTAACATGAGGAAGAATTTACTCTCTGTCAGAGTTGCACATTCTGCTCCAAGAAGCCGTTCACCGTGGGTTCCAGCACAGGCCAGATGAGGAAGAGAAGCTTCCCACTCTGAGGGGTGAAGTCCCAAGTCCTGTGGTGCCCACAGCAAGGTCCTTAGGCCAGCAGCATGGGCATCACTAGGGTGCTTGGTGGAAATCCCCACACTTAGGCCAACACAGTCAGCCTCTGTGGGGATCTTTCTCTTTCTTCCTGTACCCCCACAAGGTAGTTAGGAAGGACCCACCTCCCACCATGCCCTCAGATTGAAAAAGTCTCAGTTCTCTGTGGCTGAGTCACATTCTGACTTGCACAGCAGTTTTAAAGTCTTCACAATGACCCTACTGGCTGAAAGTTATTATCAAAATTCCAAGTCATAAATTAGTTAACAACTAAGTAATTTTCGGTATGCAATCTACAGGCTTGTCATTATTCCTGTAGGTGCTGTCTCCTGAGGCTGTTTAAATTTCTGGTAGTTTCTGGTAGTTTCAAAATCTCAGGAGCCATTTGTTTTCACAGAGATTCAGTTGACTTTTTAATTATAGTTTAAAGCAAAGCTGTGGTTAAAAAGTAAGTTATACGTAATAGAAACATGAGAACTAATACGGAGAATTATCTACTAATGCATCGGTAATGTTGATCCAGTTTGATATCTGACAGCTGAGGGGTCTTGTTTTTCTGGCTTGGAAAAACTAACTCCACTGTAAATACACAGTGGGATATGTGAGACATTGTTGTAACCCCCACTTCCTTTTCAAATTGAGAAAAAAAAATAAGTGTGAACTTTGGCCTATGTGGCATTCTATAAGCACATTTTCTGACATAAAACATGGCACAAAGTTTGGCTTTTTGGCTTTTAGCAATGTGGAGTTTTTATTATCTTAAATCCCACTCACTAGCGAACTTGGCAATAATTTCAGTCTTGCCATGGGCCATCAACTGAGTACCTGAGGAGGCTCTTTCTCAAGAAATCCCACGTAAGCTTTGTGAGTCTCATGTCTACTCTAACTCCTTTTTCCCCTTTGCCTTAAGTTTTCCTGAGTGCTCCCATTTAGTTCAGCTGAATTACTGTTCACAATTCACTTGCACGAAGTCACCATAGCTCATATTAGTGAGAGCGACCTTCCAACCCATCATTCCAGCCCTGCAGTGCAGCTCCTACTCAAAGGGCTGGGACAAGCTTCCTTGGAGAAATGCTAACGCAACCCTGGAGACGAACGTCATGGGAATCTCAGTAGGAAGGAACACTTGTACAGAACTGTCATTTAAAAGGAATGAGTTTCACCATTGTGTTTTTCATGCAATCCCACCACTGAAACTACTGACATGATGGGTCACAATTGGCTCACGTTGCTTTCACGGAAGTGAGGGTGGAACCTGCAACAGTTCAGTAAACTGTGTTTGTTAGCACTGGTGAATCTACACGCGTCTACAGCAACCTCAATTCTCGCCTCCTCAGAAGAAAGAATTTGACCAAGGAACATGAGGTAGAGGGAGAGACTGAAGCAAGTTTTAAAGCAGGAGTGAAAGTTTATTAAAAGGTTTTAGAGCAGGAACAAAAGGAAGTAAGGTACACTTGGAAGAGGGCCAAGTGGGCAACTTGAGAGATCCAAGTACATAGGTTGCTTTGACTTGGGGTTTCATACATTGGCATCCTTCCGGGGTCTTGTGTCCATTCTCCCCTGATTCTTTCATTGCAGTAGGCTGTCAGTATGTGCAGTGACCTGCCAGCACTTGGGAGGGGCCGCATGCGCAGTGTGATTACTGGAGTTGTGAACATACTCACTTGAGGCATTTTCCCTTGCCAGCTGAATGTTCCTAGAGGAAGATCGTATAGCAGTCAGATGCCACCATTTTTGCCTCTCAGTGTGTATGCTTGAGCCCACTCATCCAACTCCTGAGATATTATTAGGAAGCTGCTGATCACCAGTTTCAGGCTTTTCTATCTGTTAGGAGACTGCCTCTCCCTGGTGCCAACTACAACCAATTATTATTTTAAAGAGACAGTTTAACAACCACCTGACCATCACTGGATGGTCTCCTGACAATACTGGTGTGGGGCCCTCTTCTGCCCTGCTCATGTTTGCCTAATTACCTACTGTAACATGTTCTGAAGCTTCCTAAGTGGGAGGACATTTCCTACCTGCCTCCCCTAAATAAGCTACTGCTGGAAAGATGCAAGATACTCCGAAAATAACAAGGCTTGGTAGTTAACTAGTAGCCCGTTGAGATTTTCTCATTACATGGTGGAACCAATCATTGTGTAATTGAGGCACAAGATCAACTTTCAGCCATCACAGGGGCATACAGGCCCCACCATGTGGCAATGGTACAGATCTTTGAGCCCTCCTGTACTGTAAAATTAAGCTTATGTTTGTAAGAACTACTGGAGGTTCTAAATGTAGACACTAACTTGCGCCCCTTCCACATCCTGTGTTCAACGTTCATTCTTATTTTGTCTGTACATGATCTAAAGTGTAAACTGGACCACTAACATCTACTTTGAATGACGTTGTTTCAAAAGTAGGCAAGGTTCTGAAAAATCTTGTCTGATTAAAATAAAAATGAATAAGAGGACTTGATGTGCAATGTCCAAGACAAATAAAACTGTGTGATAAAATTTGTATGAAAATAAAATGCTTTTTTCACTTTGGGTTTGTGTCATGATTTGATTCTATTTTGAAATATTTTAATGGTATATAATAAATTAAGTTATCCATTTGATTATAAGAGCACTGGTTTCTAAGTTGTGTTATTAAGTCTCATTTATTTCAGAATTTTTCACTTGTCGATTTTTAGTGAGGCCCACAATAGCCTCCAAGATTGAGAAGCAGAAATGAACTTTTATTTAATAGGTCTGAGTTTGCAGTTATAGAATTGATTGTAGTCGTTCATCTTTGTCAGCCTGTGAGAGGGTGAGAAAAGAGGTTACATGGCAATAATAAAGGTTAATCAATTCATTAAATTGAAAACATGGGTCTGGCTGCTTCACCTTCGACATTGTGCTCAGTGCAAGGCGGGAAATGTGAGGGTCACCAGCATCACCCCAGGGGAACTTCTTCATCTAATAGCAAAGAAAGACTTTTAAAAAAAGTTAACAAAGGATTGTAAGTGCAGTGATAGCTCAGTGTATATATTATATAGATATATATAAAAAAAACACCTGGATCAGAGCATCCGACTCCATCAGAAGCCAAGAAAGGCAGAGAAAACTAAGATGTTAGAAAGTGTTACCATTATTTCATCAAGTGGAAAGAGGCTAAAATTTTAAACTTCATCTGGTAGGCATTGAGATTCCTATGATAGGTTTTAATCAAAGAAGCAATCAGGTAAATACTAATATTTCTGCAGTCAAATAATTACTGCGGGACTTACTTTGACTTCAGATTAGGGAAGACTACTTGAAAGATATTCACCGTGTTGTTCTACAATAGTGCCATACTTCAGCCATTTATGTTTGTATCTTTAATCCATCTGGAAGCATTGTTTTTCAGATTTAGTCTGATTAATGATCTAGTTTTCTTTTCCCTATAGGGTAACTCACATTTTCCATTATCACAGTCTGTCCACAGTATGAGTCCATTTCTCTATTCCTTTACAGCAAGGTTTTTCAACCTCAGTATAACTGACAATTGGACTAGATAATTCTTGGTTGTTACAGATATCCTGTGTTTTACAGTATTAAAGAGCACCCCAGCCTCCATCAACCACACGCACACCCTCCCCAGTCTTGTGACGTGAAAAATGTCTCCAAACTTCCAAATGTCCCATGAAGGATAAAATTGCTTCTGGCTGAGAACCACTGCTTTCAGGGTACTTTTCAGCCTTTATTACTGTGGCTTGAAAGTTACTTTCTAGAAGATTGGAGGGATATCTCTTGTCTTCCTTTACAGAATTATCTTAGCGAGTTGGAGACTTTCTTATATTTACATATATTTTTAAAATATTTTGTCCAATACTCATCAAATATCACTGGGTTATTAATGGACATATTAAATATCTTATTAATTTGGGGAATATAGACATATTTATAATGTTATGTTCCTCCAGTTAGTCATTCTTTTGTGACTTTTACAATTTATTCATAAATAATTCTATCTCTAAATTAATCCCACGTGGGTTATAGACTAATGCTAAAGCAAATAGTATCTTAGTTTCCTCTGGTATTTCCTATTACTTTTTGTGGAAAGTTATGGATTTATGTTTTGACTTTTACGTAGCCATTTTATACTCACTTTTAGACCATAAGCTTGTCAATGATTATTTTGAGTTTTTGTTATTAAAAGTATTTTATATATTAATATAGTACCAGCACACGATGAAAACTATCTCTTCTTCCTAATTCTTATACTGCTTATTAATGTTTCTTGTTGCAATGTCATAAAGAAAATTTCTCTAACATGTAAAACCTAATAGAGTTAGCTACATTAAGTTAAAGAAGATACAAGAAAGAAGAGACAGGCGACCAAACAGGAAAGTATATTTTTATCCTACATAAACCAAAATGGTGGTTTGTTTAGGAACAGGGGTCCGCAAACTTTTGAAAGGGCAACACGGTAAATAATCTAGGCTTGTGATCATACTGTCCATGTTGTAACTAATCAGCTTTACCATTGTAGCTTGAAAGCAGCTGTAGACAAGATGGAACTGAACTGATATCGTTCCAATCAAACTTTGTTTACAAAAACAGGTTTGGCTCACAAGTTGTAGACTGTTGAATCCTGATCTAGAACATGTTAATGACCACCAAAAATCAACATAAAAAGCAGTCATAACCAAGTAGATACATCATCTTGGATGATGTATCCAAGGGAATTTTGGGGGTAAGGAATCCTGAATTCTTGATACCACAGGTGAATTGCACAACTTTATTAATTCTAAGAAAAGACTTTATTTGATATAGAGATATTACTTCATACCATCTCAATGCTAAAAGTTTATAAAGTCAGACACCAGACAGTGGCATGGCAGTTATGTAAACAAAATTTTAGTGGGAGTGAAAACTGACAGTGTACTTTTGAATAATTTTTTTGCCTTTTTATTTTTTTATTTTTTATTAAAAAAATTTTTTTTATTATACTTTAAGTTCTGGGATACATGTGCAGAATGTGCAGGTTTGTCACATAGATATATATGTGCCATGGTGGTTTGTGTGCACCCATCAACCCATCATCTACATTAGGTATTTCTCCTAATGCTATCCGTCCCCTAGTCCCCCACCCCACAACAGGCCCCAGTGTGAGACGTTCCCCTTCCTGTGTCCATGTGTTCTCATTGTTCAACTTTCACTTGTGAGTGAGAACATGTCGTGTTTGGTTTTCTGTTCTTGTCTTAGTTTGCTGAGAATGATGGTTTCCAGCTTCATCCATGTCCCCGCAAAGGACATGAACTCATCCTTTCTTATGGCCGCATAGTATTCCACAGTGTATATATGCCATATTTTCTTTATCTAGTCGTCATTGATGAGCATTTGGGTTGGTTCCAAGTCTTTGCTATTGTGAACAGTGCTGCAATAAACATACGTGTCCATGTGTCTTTATAATAGAATGATTTATAAACCTTTCAGTATGTACCCAGAAATGGGATTGCTGGGTCAAATGATATTTCTGGTTCTAGATCCTTGAGGAGTCACCACACTGTCTTCCACAGTGGTTGAACTAATTTACACTCCCACCAACAGTGTAAAATGTTCCTATTTCTCCACATCCTCTCCAGCATCTGTTGTTTCCTGATTTTTAATGATTGCCATTCTGTTTTTGTGTTTGTTTGTTTGTTTGTTTGTTTGTTTGTTTTGAGATGAGTGAGAAGGAGTCTCACTCTTTTGCCAGGCTGGAGTGCACTGGTGTGTAATGACCGACATTCTAACCAATGTGAGATGGTATCTCATTATGGTTTTGATTTGCGTTTCTCTAATGACCAGTAATGATGAACTTTTTTTAAATTAATTAATTAGTTTATTTTTTAGTAGAGACAGCGTTTCACCATGTTGGCCAGATTGGTCTCAATCTCCTGACCTTATGATCCGCTCACCTCAGCCTCCCAAAATGCTGGGATTACAGGCGTGAGCCACCGTGCCCAGCTGATGAGATTTTTTTCATATGTTTGTGGGCCTCATAAATGTCTTCTTATGAAAAGTGTCTATTCATATCCTTCACCCACTTTTTGATGGCGTTCTTTGTTTTTTTTTCTTGTAAATTTGTTTAAGTTCTTTATAGATTCTGCATATCAGCCCTTTGTCAGATGGATAGCTTGTAAAAATTTCCTCCCATTCTGTATGTTGCTTGTTCACTCTAATGACAGTTTCTTTTGCTGTGCAGAAGCTCTTTAGTTTAATTAGATTTCATTTGTCAATTTTGGCTTCTCTTGCCATTGCTTTTGGTGTTTTAGTCATGAAGTCTTTGCCCATGCCTATGATCTGAATGGCATTGCCTAGATTTTCTTCTAGGGTTTTAATGGTTTTAGTTCTTATGTTTAAGTCTTTAATTCATTAATCCATCTTGAGTTAATTTTTGTATAAGGTGTAAGGAAGGGGTCCAGTTTCAGTTTTCTGCATATGGCTAGCCAGTTTTCCCAACACCATTTATTAAATATGGAATCCTTTCCCCATTGCATGTTTTTGTCAGGTTTGTCAAAGATCAGACGGTTGTAGATGTGTAGCATTATTTCTGAGGCCTCTGTTCTATTCCATTGGTCTATATATCTGTTTTGTTATCAGTACCATGCTGTTTTGGTTACTGTAGCCTTGTAGTATAGTTTGAAGTCAGGTAGCTTGATGCCTCCAGCTTTGTTCTTTTTGCTTAGGATTGTCTTGGCTATATGGGCTCTTTTTTGGTTCCATATGAAATTTAAAATAGATTTTTCTAATTCTGTGAAGAAAGTCAATGGTGGCTTGACAGGGATAGCATTGAATCTATAAATTAATTTGGGCTGCATGGCCTTTTTCACAATATTGATTCTTCCTATCCATGAGCATGGAATGTTTTTGCATTTGTTTGTGTCCTCTCTTATTTCCTTGAGCAGTGTTTGGTAGTTTTTTGTTTGTTTGTTTGTTTGTTTTTGAAAAGGTCCTTCACATCCCCTGTAAGTTGTATTCCTAGGTATTTTACTCTCTTAGTAGCAATTATGAATGGGGGTTCACACATGATTTGGCTCTCATTTTGTATATTATTGGTGTATAGGAATGCTTGTGATTTTTGCACATAGATTTTGTATCCTGAGACTTTGCTGAAGTTGCTTATCAGCTAAAGGACATTTTGTGCTGAGATGATGGGGTTTTCTAAATATACAATCGTGTCATCTACAAACAGAGACAATTTGACTTCCTCTCTTCATATTTGAATACACTTTATTTCTTTCTCTTGCCAATTGCCCTGGCCAGAACTTTCAATACTATGTTGAAAGAGAGGACATCTTTGTCTTGTGCCAGTTTTCAAAGGGAGTGCTTCCAGCTTTTGCTCATTCAGTATGTTATTGACTGTGCATTGTCATAAATAGCTCTTATTATTTTGAGATACATTCCATCAATACCTAGTTTATTGAGAGTATTTTGCATAAAGTGGTGTTGAATTTTGAAAAATATTTTAAAGTATTTATTGAAATAGAATACATGTATCACTGAAATCCAATATTTCTACTCCAGGGTTATGCTCTAAAATCTATTGTTGCATGTAAAAAGATGCTATAAAAAATGACTTTAATGAATCTACAATATATGTAAATCAAAATTGCCCAGTTCAAATGAGATGTACAGTTACTCTATCCAAAATAAGTCTCACAGAAGTATGTGGAGAGTTGTAGAAGACTGTCTCTTGTAGATTATTGCTGTAATTGCAAAAACAAAATCTCGTATCTAAAAAAGATATTCATAGAGTCTGGGTGAAATGGCTCACATCTATAATCTCTCAACATTTTGGAAGACCAAGGCAGAAGGATCACTTGAAGTCAGGAGTTCAAGACTAGACTGGACAACATAGTGAGATCCCATCTTTACAAAAAATAATATAAATAATTTTTTAAGTTAGCCAGGCATAGTGGCTCACACCTGTAGTCCCAGTTGCTCAAGAATCTGAGACAGGGGGATCACTTGGGCCCAGGATTTCACGGGTTGCAATGAGCTATGATTATGCCACTTCACTCCAGCCTGGGTGCCAGAACAAAACCTTGCTTCCAAAAGAAAAAAAGGAATCTTGGTAGAAAATTATATTGGAAATAACAAGTGGATACAAATCCTGAGTGTCTTCCTGGCATCAATCCGAAACCAAATACTGTTGCTTTCCTCAATAAATGTTAGTATATGTACATTCTACAAATTAGTTTAAATTTTGTTGGAGCTATTTATATTTCAAACTTCTGCAAAAATGCAAACAAACAAATTATACCTCATTAATTTGCTTTCAGCTCTAAAACTGATTGATTTGCTTTGCTTTTTTTTTCTCTAATTCATTCTGGTAAATAATTATGAAACTATGGACTTAAGGAATCTGAGAGTTGTCTTGTACTTCTTCCTCATTTAAAACAAACTTGTCTTAAACTTCCTATTTTAAAACATCATTGCTAGAACAACATGGGATAAATTGCATTCAAGAATTACTCTAAAGCTACTATAATTAAGAAAGGCTACTATATAGGAAATACTATGGCTGGACGTGGTGGCTCACATTTGTAATCACAGGACTTTGGGAGGCCAAGGCAGGTGGATCACTTGAGATCAGAAGTTCGAGACCAGGCTGTCCAACATGGTGAAACCCCATATCTACTTAAAAAATACAAAAATTAGCCAAACATGGTGTCGCAGGCCTGTAATCCCAGCGACTCAGAAGGTTGAGGCTGGAGAATCACTTGAACCCAGGAGATGGAGGTTGCAGTGAGCTGAAATCATGTCATTGCACCCCAGCCTGGGTGACTGAGAGAGACTCCATCTCAAAAAAACAAAAAAAGAAAAAGAAAAAAGAAATACTAGACACATCAATAGAACACAAGAGAGATGAGAAATAGATCCACACACATATGGTCACCTGAATTTTTTGAAGTACAAACACAAAGAAATTGAGGAAAAATGGTGCTCAAATGCAAAAAGCCAGATGTTTATATTTAAGAAAAAATAAATCTGGACAAAGACCTTGCGACTTTCACAAAAATATTTTCTCAAAATAGAACATAGTTCTAAAGTAAGATGCATAACTATACTTTCTAAAAGGAAACATAAGAGAAAATTAATATGACCTTAAATTTCTTGAGTAGCTAAATACAACAACACTAAAGCAAAGTTCATAAAACAAAAAATATGTTGGATTTTATTAAAATTAAAAACTTTTGTCCTGCAAAGGACACTGGTAAGAGAGTGAAAAGAGAAGCCACAGACTGGGATAAAATATTGCAAAACATATTTCTGATAAATGAGTGATATCCAAAACATAGAAAGAACACTTAGAACAATAGTATCACAACATAATTTAAAGATGGGCAAAGATCTGAACAGACACTTCAGTAAATATATACAGATGGCAAATTAGCATATAAAAAGATATTCAGATTGGAACCAAGATGACTGACTAGACAAAGCCAGGAGGAATATCTGCCACTGAGAGACAGGGACATCGGGAACCCATGTCCCTTATCACAGATTCTTCTCCAGCAGACTACAGAATGTCAGAGACCTCCAGCAGAGTGGCCCCCACCATTGCAAATCAGCCTATCTGCACTTTACCTTTACCTCAGGCTCCCCATGCCACTTTGTTGGCACACTTGCCCATAACTAACCCCCACAACTTTGCTGGCCCACGTGTGGGCAAACCTCACTTCATCTCACCTGACAGCATGTGTGTGTACATGCACACTACTAAATTACTGCTGCCAGCATGGGCACACTCTTTTGCCCCAACACCCTGGTGATGCATGAGCACCTGGCCATGCTGCCATTCCCAGCACAAGCGCATACACAGACTCCTGCAGCCCTGCCCCCAACCCCATGACATCTCTACTGCTGAGGTGAACACAGGCACAGAGGCCAGCAGCTTGGCTTGGCCTTTGCCAGCACCTGGAACACACCATGCTGCTGCCACCAGCACGGACATGAGCGCATTCATGGACACCAGAGCCCGACTCCCACCAGTACAGAACCCCAGCTGACATGCATCCAACCCACTGCACTGCCACAGCTGCCAGCACACATGAACAAGCAATGGTTCCACTGTCACTGCCCCAAATAAATGCTTTGTCCAACACCACCTATCAGAGTCTTATGGCCAGTGGACCAGGAACACCTCAGACCCTCCAGGGCAGCAGGTTGCTACTCTCAACTGGGCTGGAGAACAAAGCCAGGGGCCCAGTACCAGCTCCCTAGTGTTACAACATACAGTCCAGGAGTGCTGAGTTGAACCTTGGCCCCTAAAATCTTTGAGAAACAAAGCAGTTGACTGAACCCGCTTTATACCACAATAAAATCCTCAAGGGCATCAAATAAACTAAAAGCAAAAAAATCCCTCCAAAGGACAGTAACTCCAAAGATGAAAGGAACAGTCACCCACACAGATGAGAAAGAACTAGTGCAGAAACTCTGGCAACTCAGAAAGTCACTGTGTCTTCTTGCCTCCAAATCACCACACTAGCTCCCCAGCCATGGTTCTTAAACAGGTTGAAATGGCTGAAATGTCAGAAGTAGAATTCAGAATATGGATAGAAACAAAGATCATCAACGTTCAAGAGAAGGTTGAAACCCAATCTAAAGAATACAGTAAAATGACACAGGAGGTAAAAGATGAAATGGCCATTTTAAGAAAGAATCAAAGTGATCTGACTGAGCTGAAAAATTCACTTCAAGAATTTTATAGTATAATCACAGGTAATGACAGCAGAATTGACCAAACTGAGGAAAGAATCTCAGAGTTTGAAGACATGGTCTTTGAAATAACTCAATCAGATGGAGAAAAAAGGAAAACAAATAAAAAATAATGAATAAAACCTCCAAGAAACATGGGATCATGTAAAGAGACCAAATCTACAACTCTTTGAAAGAGATGGGGAGAAAGTAAGCAAAAAACATATTTCAGGATTTCATCCATGAAAATTGTCCCAAGCCTGTGAGAGGCCAACATTCAAATTCAGGAAATGCAGAAAATTCTTGCATAATACTATACATGATGACCATCTCCAAAACACATAGTCTTCAGATCTTCCAAGGTTGAAATGAAAGAAAAAATGTTAAAGGCAGCTACAGAGAAAAGGTCACCTACAAAGGGAACCTCATCAGGTTAATGATGGATCTTTCAGCAGAAACTCTACTAACCAGAAGAGATTAACGGCCTATATCCAGCATTCTTGAAGAAAAGAAATTCCAACCAAGAATTTCATATCCAGTCAAAGTAATCTTCACAGGTGAAGGAGAAATAAGATCCTTTTCAGAAAAGCAAATGCTAAGAGAGTTAATTATCACTAGACCTGTCTTACAAGAAGTCCTTAAGGGAGTGCTAAATATAGAAAGGAAAGACCATTACCAGTTACCACAAAAACACTGAAGTACATAAAGCATTGATATTATAAAACAACTGCACAATCAACTCTGCATAGTAACCAGCTAATGACATGATGACATAATCAAACACACATATCAGTATTAATTTGTAGTTTCCAATTCAAACATTTACATGTCAAATAAATATCCAAGAGTTTCTTTTTAATTTTTTATTTATTTATTTATTTATTTATTATTATACTTTAAGTTTCAGGGTACATGTGCCCATTGTGCAGGTTAGTTACATACGTATACATGTGCCATGCTGGTGTGCTGCACCCACTAATTCATCATCTAGCATTAGGTATATCTCCCAATGTTATCCCTCCCCCCTCCCACCACCCCACAACAGTCCCCAGAGTGTGATGTTCCCCTTCCTGTGTCCATGTGATCTCATTGTTCAATTCCCACCTATGAGTGAGAATATGTGGTGTTTGGTTTTTTGTTCTTGCAATAGTTTACTGAGAATGATGGTTTCCAATTTCATCCATGTCCCTACAAAGGACATGAACTCATCATTTTTTTATGGCTGCATAGTATTCCATGGTGTATATGTGCCACATTTTCTTAATCCAGTCTATCATTGTTGGACATTTGGGTTGGTTCCAAGTCTTTGCTATTGTGAATAGTGCCGCAATAAATATACGTGTGCATGTGTCTTTATAGCAGCATGATTTATAGTCCTTTGGGTATATACCCAGTAATGGGATGGCTGGGTCAAATGGTATTTCTAGTTCTAGATCCCTGAGGAATCGCCACACTGACTTCCACAATGGTTGAACTAGTTTACAGTCCCACCAACAGTGTAAAAGTGTTCCTATTTCTCCACATCCTCTCCAGCACCTGTTGTTTCCTGACTTTTTAATGATTGCCATTCTAACTGGTGTGAGATGGTATCTCATTGTGGTTTTGATTTGCATTTCTCTGATGGCCAGTGGTGGTGAGCATTTTTTCATGTGTTTTTTGGCTGCATAAATGTCTTCTTTTGAGAAATGTCTGTTCATGTCCTTTGCCCACTTTTTGATGGGGTTGTTTGTTTTTTTCCTGTAAATTTGTTTGAGTTCATTGTAGATTCTGGATATTAGCCCTTTGTCAGATGAGTAGGTTGCGAAAATTTTCTCCCACTTTGTAGGTTGCCTGTTCACTCTGATGGTAGTTTCTTTTGCTGTGCAGAAGCTCTTTAGTTTAATTAGATCCCATTTGTCAATTTTGGCTTTTGTTGCCGTTGCTTTTGGTGTTTTAGACATGAAGTCCTTGCCCATGCCTATGTCCTGAATGGTAATGCCTAGGTTTTCTTCTAGGGTTTTTATGGTTTTAGGTCTAACATGTAAGCCTTTAATCCATCTTTAATTGATTTTTGTATAAGGTGTAAGGAAGGGATCCAGTTTCAGCTTTCTACATATGGCTAGCCAGTTTTCCCAGCACCATTTATTAAATAGGGAATCCTTTCCCCATTGCTTGTTTTTCTCAGGTTTGTCAAAGATCAGATAGTTGGAGATATGCGGCATTGTTTCTGAGGGCTCTGTTCTGTTCCATTGATCTATATCTCTGTTTTGGTACCAGTACCATGCTGTTTTAGTTACTGTAGCCTTGTAGTATAGTTTGAAGTCAGGTAGCATGATGCCTCCAGCTTTGTTCTTTTGGCTTAGGATTGACTTGGTGATGTGGGCTCTTTTTTGGTTCCATATGAACTTTAAAGTAGTTTTTTCCAATTCTGTGTAGAAAGGCATTGGTAGCTTGATGGGGATGGCATTGAATCTGTAAATTACCTTGGGCAGTATGGCCATTTTCACGATATTGATTCTTCCTACCCATGAGCATGGAATGTTCTTCCATTTGTTTGTATCCTCTTTTATTTCCTTGAGCAGTGGTTTGTAGTTCTCCTTGAAGAGGTCATTCACATCCCTTGTAAGTTGGATTCCTAGGTATTTTATTCTCTTTGAAGCAATTGTGAATGGGAGTTCACTCATGATTTGGCTCTCTGTTTGTCTGTTGTTGGTGTATAGGAATGCTTGTGATTTTTGCACATTGATTTTGTATCCTGCGACTTTGCTGAAGTTGCTTATCAGCTTAAGGAGATTTTGGGCTGAGACAATGGGGTTTTCTAGATATACAATCATGTGATCTGCAAACAGGGACAATTTGACTTCCTCTTTTCCTATTTGAATACCCTTTATTTCCTTCTCCTGCCTAATTGCCCTGGCCAGAACTTCCAACACTATGTTGAATAGGAGTGGTGAGAGAGGTCATCCCTATCTTGTGCCAGTTTTCAAAGGGAATGCTTCCAGTTTTTGCCCATTCAGTATGATATTGGCTGTGGGTTTGTCATAGATAGCTCTTATCATTTTGAAATATGTCCCATCAATACCTAATTTATTGAGAGTTTTTAGCATGAAGGGTTGTTGAATTTTGTCAAAGGCCTTTTCTGCATCTATTGAGATAATCATGTGGTTTTTGTCTTTGTCTCTGTTTATATGCTGGATTACATTTATTGATTTGCGTATATTGAACCAGCCTTGCATCCCTGGGATGAAGCCCACTTGATCATGGTGGATAAGCTTTTTGATGTGCTTCTGGATTCGGTTTGCCAGTATTTTATTGAGGATTTTTGCATCAATGTTCATCAAGGATATTGGTCTAAAATTCTCTTTTTTGGTTGTGTCTCTGCCTGGCTTTGGTATCAGAATGATGTTGGCCTCATAAAATGAGTTAGGGAGGATTCCCTCTTTTTCTATTGACTGGAATAGTTTCAGAAGGAATGGTACCAGTTCCTCCCTGTACCTCTGGTAGAATTCGGCTGTGAATCCATCTGGTCCTGGACTCTTTTTGGTTGGTAAGCTATTGATTATTGCCACAATTTCAAATCCTGTTATTGGTCTATTCAGAGATTCAACTTCTTCCTGGTTTAGTCTTGGGAGAGTGTATGTGTCAAGGAATTTATCCATATCTTCTAGATTTTCTAGTTTATTTGCGTAGAGGTGTTTGTAGTATTCTCTGATGGTAGTTTGTATTTCTGTGGGATCGGTGGTGATATCCCCTTTGTCATTTTTTATTGCGTCTATTTGATTCTTCTCTCTTTTTTTCTTTATTAGTCTTGCTAGCGGTCTATCAATTTCGTTGATCCTTTCAAAAAACCAGCTCCTGGATTCATTAATTTTTTGAAGGGTTTTTTGTGTCTCTATTTCCTTCAGTTCTGCTCTGATTTTAGTTATTTCTTGACTTCTGCTAGCTTTTGAATGTGTTTGCTCTTGCTTTTCTAGTTCCTTTAATTGTGATGTTAGGGTGTCAATTTTGGATCTTTCCTGCTTTCTCTTGTGGGCATTTAGTGCTATAGATTTCCCTCTACACACTGCTTTGAATGTGTCCCAGAGATTCTGGTATGTTGTGTCTTTGTCCTCCTTGGTTTCAAAGAAGATCTTTATTTCTGCCTTCATTTCGTTATGTACCCAGTAGTCATTCAGGAGCAGGTTGTTCAGTTTCCATGTAGTTGAGCGGTATTGCGTGAGTTTCTTAATCCTGAGTTCTAGTTTGATTGCACTGTGGTCTGAGAGATAGTTTGTTATAATTTCTGTTCTTTTACATTTGCTGAGGAGAGCTTTACTTCCAAGTATGTGGTCACTTTTGGAATAGGTGTGGTGTGGTGCTGAAAAAAATGTATATTCTGTTGATTTGGGGTGGAGAGCTCTGTAGATGTCTATTAGGTCCGCTTGTTGCAGAGCTGATTTCAATTCCTGGATATCCTTGTTGACTTTCTGTCTCGTTGATCTGTCCAATGTTGACAGTAGGGTGTTAAAGTCTCCCATTATTAATGTGTGGGACTCTAAGTCTCTTTGTAGGTCACTCAGGACTTGCTTTATGAATCTGGGTGCTCCTGTATTGGGTGCATATATATTTAGGATAGTTAGCTCTTCTTGTTGAATTGATCCCTTTACCATTATGTAATGGCCTTCTTTGTCTCTTTTGATCTTTGTTGGCTTAAAGTCTGTTTTATCAGAGACTAGGATTGCAACCCCTGCCTTTTTTTGTTTTCCATTTGCTTGGTAGATCTTCCTCCATCCTTTTATTTTGAGCCTGTGTGTGTCTCTGCACATGAGATGGGTTTCCTGAATACAGCACACTGATGGGTCTTGACTCTTTATCCAATTTGCCAGTCTGTGTCTTTTAATTGGAGCATTTAGTCCCTTTACATTTAAAGTTAATATTGTTATGTGTGAATTTGATCCTGTCATTATGATGTTAGCTGGTTATTTTGCTCGTTAGTTGATGCAGTTTCTTCCTAGTCTCGATGGTCTTTACATTTTGGCATGATTTTGCAGTGGCTGGTACCGGTTGTTCCTTTCCATGTTTAGCGCTTCCTTCAGGAGCTCTTTTAGGGCAGGCCTGGTGGTGACAAAATCTCTCAGGATTTGCTTGTCTGAAAAGTATTTTATTTCTCCTTCACTTATGAAGCTTAGTTTGGCTGGATATGAAATTCTGGGTTGAAAATTCTTTTCTTTAAGAATGTTGAATATTGGCCCCCACTCTCTTCTGGCTTGTAGAGTTTCTGCTGATAGATCTGCTGTTAGTCTGATGGGCTTCCCTTTGAGGGTAACCCAACTTTTCTCTCTGGCTGCCCTTAACATTTTTTCCTTCATTTCAACTTTGGTGAATCTGACAATTATGTGTCTTGGAGTTGCTCTTCTCGAGGAGTATCTTTGTGGTGTTCTCTGTATTTCCTGAATCTGAATGTTGGCCTGCCTTGCTAGACTGGGGAGGTTCTCCTGGATAATATCCTGCAGAGTATTTTCCAACTTGGTTCCATTCTCCCCGTCACTTTCAGGTACACCAATCAGACGTAGATTTGGTCTTTTCACATAGTCCCATATTTCTTGGAGGCTTTGCTCATTTCTTTTTATTCTTTTTTCTCTAAACTTCCCTTCTCGCTTCATTTCATTCATTTCATCTTCCATCGCTGATACCCTTTCTGCCAGTTGATCGCATCGGCTCCTGAGGCTTCTGCATTCTTCACGTAGTTCTCGAGCCTTGGTTTTCAGCTCAATCAGCTCCTTTAAGCACTTCTCTGTATTGGTTATTCTAGTTATACATTCATCTAAATTTTTTTCAAAGTTTTCAACTTCTTTGCCTTTGGTTTGAATGTCCTCCCGGAGCTCGGAGTAATTTGATTGTCTGAAGCCTTCTTCTCTCAGCTCGTCAAAGTCATTCTCCATCCAGCTTTGTTCCGTTGCTGGTGAGGAACTGCGGTCCTTTGGAGGAGGAGAGTCGCTCTGCTTTTTAGAGTTTCCAGTTTTCTGCTCTGTTTTTTCCCCATCTTTGTGGTTTTATATACTTTTGGTTTTGATGATGGTGATGTACAGATGGGTTTTTGGTGTGGATGTCCTTTCTGTTTGTTAGTTTTCCTTCTAACAGACAGGACCCTCAGCTGCAGGTCTGTTGGAGTACCCTGCCGTGTGAGGTGTCAGTCTGCCCCTGCTGGGGGGTGCCTCCCAGTTAGGCTGCTCGGGGGTCAGGGGTCAGGGACCCACTTGAGGAGGCAGTCTGCCCGTTCTCAGATCTCCAGCTGCGTGCTGGGAGAACCACTGCTCTCTTCAAAGCTCAGATGGAAATGCAGAAATCACCCGTCTTCTGTTTCGCTCACGCTGGGAGCTGTAGACCAGAGCTGTTCCTATTCAGCCATCTTGGCTCCTCCCCGCCAGACTTCTTAACCTGCTTCTTAACAGGGTGGTTCATACTGATGTGTGCAGCTGTATTTCTTACGCATGTGTGTGCATGCGAGTGTAGCACACAGAAAGGGAAAATGAAGAAGGCCTGTATTTCTAGGCAATAAGTTTTCAAAGACTATAATAACATATCTGAACATGCACCTGTGTCTACACTCTCTAATCAAAGCATTTTAATACATAAATTGAGAAATGGGCTAAATCAATTGACAAGAACAATAGATCAATTGTCTACCTATCTACCTGTCCCTACCTCATAAGTCGTGGATTATGGAAACACATAGTGAACAGTCTGAATCTAATAGGGGGTGACTGTGGTGTGGCTTTTTTTCTGTAGCCACTGCCAATAACGTTCTATGTCAAACCTTCCTTCACCATTTTGTAGCATTTTGTTTAATTCCATCTTGACCATATCCACTAGCTTTTAGAAATCCATTCAGTTTTAAATCCCAATCTTACTTCAGCTCAAAGTTTCTCTCTCCCCCTTGCATAGCCACGCTGGTGGCTCCAGGAACCTGCACTTGGGAGGGGTCTGTCTGTTCTTTCACTCCTCTCCTTCCCGCTCCAGCACTGGTGAGTGGAGAAAGGGACTATGGAGTTGTTCTGGGACCTCCCTTCCCTTCCATTTGCAGAGCCTCACTTCTCCGGTTGAGGTTTCCGGGAAGTAATGGATGGGAAATGTCAAGTACATCCTTATTTTGCTGACATGGTGCAATCCTGCCAGTCTCTGCTGCCACTGATGATAACCTCTACTGGCCATTCAATTCCTCTGTCTGTGTCTTGGGATGCACATTCTGGCTCTGTCTCTTTTTTTTTTTTTTTTTTTTTTTTGAGACCGAGTCTCGCTCTGGCGCCCAGGCTGGAGTGCAGTGGCGCGATCTTGGCTCACTGCAAGCTCCGCCTCCCGTGTTCACGCCATTCTCCTGCCTCAGCCTCCAGAGTAGATGGGATTACAGGCGCCCGCCACCACGCCCGGCTGATGTTTTTTTGTATTTTTAGTAGAGACGGGGTTTCACCATGTTAGCCAGGGTGGTCTCTATCTTCTGACCTCATGATCCACCTGCCTCGGCCTCCCAAAGTGCTGGGATTACAGGCATGAGCCATTCTGGCTCTCTTGTAGGATGCATGGGTAAGTTATTTTGGAGTCCAAAAGGTAGATGCCTGGGATAGGGTAATTGGAGGACTCAGAATGACTGCTGGGCACAAAGGGCAGAAGACAGCACCTCCAGATTTTACCAAGTATGGAAATATGAGGGAAAGGTTCACGCAGGTCTTGGTATCCACTGCTGCTTTTCCCTCCAGAGTGAACAGGCAGGCACAGTGAAAGCCAACGGAGCCATTCCTATTATTGAGAAGCCTCGTGGTGATGGTGTCTGGTTGAAGCTGATTGATGAGATAATAAAGAAACTGATCTGGAGCACACAGATGGTCACACATGCACGGTTCCTCTCTTTGAACTGACATCTTGGCAAAAGCCCTCTGAGCCCCAGGGATTGCAATGCAGAATAGACACAAATCCACTTGAGTCAGCAGAAGTCTGCTGTATGTGCATACGTGCTTGCACATGTAGAGAAGACACCTGGAAGGATGTACCACAGCTTGTCCAGCCCGTCATCTGACTCAGGAGGTGGGCCTGAGGAATGGGTGGTGGAAAAAGTTAATTTTCACTATTGCCCTTCTGTTCGTTGAAGTCTTATACCTTATGTGTATTACCTATTTAAAACTAAATAAAATCCAAAATGAGAGAAAGAGAGAAATAATACAAAAATGTGAGAAAAATCACATGGCTTGCTGCTTTCATTAAAAATAAACAAACACACACTAGAGAATGATACTTGCATATGAAAAGACTCGCAGTGTGGTTCCACATATACAGAGAAGCCATAAGCACAGGAAAGTTTCAGTTACTCCTGTTCTATTCTGCTTACCTGAAACCATGCCAAGTTAAGGGGGTATTTAGCAAAAACCCTTTCAGGTTATCCATAAATAAAAATATATGTGAACGCTATTCTTTTTCTTTCAATGCATAAAAAATCTTTGATTTAGGCATAAATAGCTAACAGGAGCAAAGGGGAATTATTTTTCTTCCTAAGCTTTTCCAGTAAAAGTTATCTTTGGCTCAAAAACAGCTAGAGAAATTTTTGGCTAATATTTTCAAGAAGTTAGAAGTGGCTAAGAACAAGAGTTTAGCGTGAAAGTAATTCCTCAGCCATTGCTAATGGTATTCCACAAATCTCTCATGCAATTCAGAAGTAAAACACGGGCAGAAGATTAGACTAGAGAACAGCCAGGGGAGAAATGGGCCATTTTTAGTACAAGATGGCTTTCTAATTCTAACCCAGTATTTCAGATTTATTGACTGATCAACCTAAGCTCACAAAAGTGTATTTTTCCAGAATTAAAATATACTTAGAAAATATATCCCTGATTAAAAAACATTCTAAATAACTCAGGTTAAGGTACATCTCTAGCAAGCATCATTCCAGCAATATTCACTTCCTGCCCCATCTCCATGCTCTAGAATGATGTGCCTTTGCACTTAACCTTATCACATATAGATCTACCAGCTACTAGAACTAGGTTTCATTATATAGATGTGCAAAACTTTTTTAAGTCAGTCTCTTATGTAAGGCCATTCGAGATGTTTCCAAGTTTTGCTGTGATGTATAGCAATTAAATAATTGCCTGTGGGTCTTTGTGCAATTTCTATTAAGAAACATGGATTTTAATATTGAATCAGTATTAAACATTTTTAATACTGATTCAATATGTATTCCTACCTGCTGTCCTGCTAAAAATTTTTCCAGTTATGGTTGCCAAGGTAAAAAAAATCAATGTCATACTTCAAACACGTTACTTAGACTAAATACATTTAACAATATTGTAGACTATACAAATTTAAGAATATTTTAGGCTATGTAATTTTAAGAGTATTTGAATTTTTTATTATTGCAAAATATTATTCAGGCACCACATGCAAATGGCAACTCTTTGCCAATTTAAGGGTACTTCCAAAATCAACTACACACTTGAATCCAACTAAAAGAAAGTATATTATCCACATTACTTGGGATGATACCTTGTGTGTACATGTCTCTTGTGTTTATGCTATGTATGTAAGAGGAAAAATTTAGCGAGATTATTCAGTTGTCTTTTCTTTTTCCTAGGCATTGTTACTCTTCAAATCCACACCATACTCCAAAGTGCTGTCTGTTTTAAGCCCTTCTGGGAGCACAAACTTCAAAACTCCGTGGAATTCACACATAAGTGCTTTTGTTTCGACGATATAAATAACAGTTGCACAGAAATGTTTCTCTGGGCCTCACTGATGTTAGTAATATAAGCAGATGCTTACAGTTTTGCTCTTGCTGGATCTGCCATAAATGTGAGACCTTGAGTGAGAGAGATGTACATGTGTTCTTTCATAAATTCTTTTTTTACAATACAGTGGACCCTCTAAATTAGGGCCAGCAAACTTTTCCTGCAAAGGGCAAATTGGAAGTATTTTAGATTTTGTGGACTGAGAGGCAAAATTAAACATTTTATGAAGGTACTTTATTGTGTTTCAATAAAAGTAATTTATGGACACTGAACTTTGAAATTCATAAAATTTTATGTGTCACAAAATATTTTTATTCTTTAGATTTTTAAAATCCATTAAAATTAAAAAAAATCTTAGCTTGAAGATTGTATAAAAACAGGTAGTAGGCCATATTGGGCCCATAGGCCACAGTTTGCCACCCTTAGCTGTAAATTCAGAGCCCAAGGCAGGTGTTTCTCTTGATAGAAAAATATTTCTGGATCCTTAAAAAAATCCAGTGCAGGAGTTGTTTCACCCACAATAAATTTTGAATAAATTTTTCCCTACAAATACTGTTCTGGTAGGATTTATTTCACCACCTAGTTTTCATATTTTATACTTATTAAACTTTGTGACTATGTGGTAGAGAACTATTCTCTTTGTTTTTAGAGCAGTGTTGGGCATACAGAGAGTACAGAGAGTTCCCATCTATTTCCTTCTCAACCCCCTTCCTCTGATTGTCTTCCGTTATCAACATTTTACATCACCATGGTACTTTGGTCACAATTGATAAATGAATATTGATATATTATTACTAAGTTCAGAATTTACATTAGAGTTCACTTTTTGTGTTGTCCAGTTCCAGTTCCAAGAAAAAAGTGTGGAAAGAAGTGCATTGTAGAGACATCCTCATAAGCAAAATCTCCTTATAAAACCCTCAGATCTTGTGAGAACTCACTATCACGAGAACAGCATGGAGGTAATGGCCTCCATGATTCAATAACCTCCCACCGGGTCCCTCCCATGACACATGGGGATTATAGAAACTACAATTCAAGATGATATTTGGGTGGGGACACAGCCAAATCATATCACTGGAATCTGAGGGAGGTTCAAGGGGACATGCTGTATGACTGCCCAGAAGGACAGGTTGGAAGCTCAGGAGGGATTTCTATGTTACAGTCTTGAGGAGATGTCTCCTTTCCCGGGAAATCTCAGTCTCTGCTCACAAGGCCTTCTCTACTAATTGGATGAAGCCAACCAATATTATGGAAGGCAATCTACTTTACTCAAAGTCTACTGATATAAACTGTTAATCACACCTGAAAAATACCTCCACAGCAATATCTAGGCTGATATTGGACTAAACAACTGGGCACTGTAGCCTTGCCCGGTTGACATAAAATTTAACTGTCACGTCCAAGAAAAGATACTTGAGAATGCCAGTAGCTCACAGCAGCTGAAGTAAAGGCCTTGCACCTAACTTGCAAAATATGGCTTCCTGTTTTTCCTCAACCTGGGACTGATTAACCGAGTGCTTTAATGTGGTAGCTTTTGTCCCTCTGTACACTTTGCTGTTCTTTCTTTCCTGTTTTCTGACAACTTGACTATCTTGTGTGTTCAACATGAGTTGAGTGATTGCTGTTCTATGGGTGAAGAAAGTTGCCTTCTGGACCACTGGGGAAAAGACCCCAGGGAGACACGACCTTCACCAAGTTTTTCCAGAGGGAGATACAAGTTGCTGGCAGAAGTTAAACTCTGGGGCCAGACACCTCTTGAATTGGATCCTTCCCTCTGCTGGCTCTTAGCTGAGTGATATGGGGCAAGCTTTTTAGTCTCTCAAAATCTCAGTTCTCTCTGTGGTCATGGGCAGATAATAAGTTCACTTTTAAGATTGCAGTGAGGGTCAAATGAGGAATCACACTCAGAGTGTCTTTTGCTTCTGAACATGGTGGAATTAATTTAACGGTCTTTTTGTGGGGAAAACCCATCTCCTGGTTACTCCACGTCATGAACTGCCCGAGGCTTGCCACATCTCCTCACCTCTCCGGTACAAAAAATAACTGCAGCACAAAAGGCCGGGGTTCCTCTCTGTAGAAGGTAGGCCCCTGACTTTCATCAGGATCTTTGAGGTGGGTGCAAATATCATGGCACTGTCAGATCCGATGTTGCATCCTGGCCCTTCCGTGATCCTTGGAAGATACTGTGGTGGAGGCTTATATGTTGTCATGTGAACCTCGAGGGCTACACCTGGCTGTTATGCCATTGACTTTTTATTTATTTTTTATTTATTTATTTATTTTTTTATTTTATTTTTTATTATATTTTAAGTTTTAGGGTACATGCGCACAACGTGTAGGTTAGTTACGTATGTATACATGTGCCATGTTGGTGTGCTGTACCCATTAACTCGTCATTTAACATTAGGCATATCTCCTAATGCTTTCCCTCCCCCCTCCCCCGACCCCACAACAGTCCCGGGTGTGTGATGTTCCCCTTCCTGTGTCCATGTGTTCTCATTGTTCAATTCCCACCTATGAGTGAGAACATGCGGTGTTTGGTTTTTAAAAAGTCATTGTGCACATTCATCTACAAAGAGTGCATGGATGCTTCTGTTATCTTCTGAGCAAGGAACACTATGCTGGGTTACTAGGGCCTCTGCAGCCTGTGTGATTCTCTGCCTTTGGAAGAGATGTGGGTATTGCCTTCCTATCATGGCCTCTGTGAGAGGATTCGGCCCGTGCCTGGTCTGTTCCTCTGGAACAAGTCCCAGCAGAGGGGAGTACAGCAGGTGCATCCTCGCTTCCTCAGTGAACAGGACGGGCCTCATGGCTCCAGCAGCCTCATTCCATTAGTTGCAGCTTGTCCTTCATGTTTTCTGTATCCAGTCTGAGTTCTAAGAATCTGAATTCCAATTAGGATGTGATAGTTGCCTCCATCCCCTGGCCCCATTTAAATAAGAATATAGTACAATTTTAAAATAAGAATAAATTAGAATTTTAGCTGGAGCTCTTCAGGTATTTTTTCCCACCACCCCCACCTCCTTTTTTTTGGTTGTGGTCTTTTGACAACTTCCAGTGATGAGGAGTTGCAGTTTGCAGAGTGATTATTTGGAAGCTTTAATATTTATCATCATGTGTGAATTATTTTTCAAGAGGGTGTGACACCTTTGACATGAAACCCTCTGCAATCTTAGCTTAAATAACACATCAGTCCCACAGAAATCATAGATTTTAGTATCAGTCACAATAATGACTGAGTTTTGAGTGTTAGGAGACTCAGCAAGCAGTTATGGTTTGTCACTTTTTCTCTTTGCCTTTTTTTCTATTTCTAAGTCATCACACTAATGGCAGCTCAGAAACACTTGCTACAGAAAGGAAACTGCTCAGGGTCTCATTTGGACCTGTTCAGAGCCAGGCCTGTGGCTCTCCCACTGGCCTGGGAGGTGGCGATGTGGGACCCCCCCCCCCCAACTCCTGAACAGATGTTTTTTGTCAGAATGATGGTGGTGAAGACCAGTGATGAATTAGGCAGAGGATCTCATGCTTCACAGCTCGCGGATTTTAATGTTCCATACGGAACCACTGCAGCATGCCCCATTTCCAAATTAAACGAAAGGAGAAATTCCCACAGGCAAGCAAATGCAGCACTCTCTCTGGAGCGGCATCTGTTCTCCAGGCAGCTTTGAACAAGGTCTACAGACCTGAGAACATAGCTCTGCAGAAGAAGGAAAGCACAGAACCGCTGGCACAGGCTTTCCTTCCCTTCCACCCACAGCCTGACACTAACCTGCTGCGAGGATCGGGGCAATTTTACTGTTCTCTGTTCTCAAGTGAGCACATCTCCTTTCTGTTGCTTCCCAAAGCAGATGATTACAACACAGCGAGAAGTTGGCGATGGGAAGTAGGGAAGCTTTTACTCATATTTAATGTGTCTTAAGCACTAGCAACACAGACAATAATTTTATAGGAAAATACAGTATCTATCAAAAACTCAGAAAAAGGACTTCCGGAACTTCCCTAAAGGAAGAGCATGAAAGTGATTTAATAGGAACACAGACTAAATCCCATTCAATACTTTTATTTCCCATTATCATACAGAACTACCACATAGAGGATTCATAGAAAAATTAAAAGCTCCCAACCAGCCATGGTCTTTTCTGTAACAGAGTTAGAGATAATTCACAGGATGTAAAGATCTTCCTTTAAATACAAAACATTAAAATTAGAGGAAATTTTAGAGGTCATTCCTTTCAATAGACTGCTTCTCATAAGAAGCGCTGAATGAACTTGGGGGCACTTAGCCAAAGGGAAAATGGGGTGAATGGCCTTCAGTTATTTGCAAGCTGTGCTGTCACATGCCAGAGTGACAAAGCTGTGACAGCAGGGGAGGCCAGAGGGAGAATGAGGACAGTCTCACGTGTTATGATAGAGCCAGTGGTGGAGTTTCACTGCAGCAGATTTTAGAACAGAATGAGGCACCTTTTCATCAAGCACCTCTTTTCTTCTTTTAATTTTGTTTGTAATTGACACATGATAATTGAACATATTTATGGGATACAATGAGATGTTTCAATACGAGTGCACATTGTGGACTAGACAAATCAGGGTGATTCACATGGGCATCACTTCATACATTTATCATTTCTTTGTGGTGAGAACATCCAAAATCCTCTCTTCTAGCAATTTTGATATACAATATTGTTAACCATAGGCACATTATTGTGCAATAAAATACTAGAACTTATTCCTCCTATCTAATGGTAGCTTTGTCCCAGTTGGCTAATCTCTCCCTAATTGCCCTACCCCCTATCCTCCTCAGCCTTGTAATCACTATTCCAGTCTCTACTTCAATGAGAGATCACTTCTCCAGATGCCACAAATAAGAGAGACTGTGCAGTGTTTGTCTTTCTGTGCCTGGCTTATGTCACTTAACAAAATGTCCTCCAGTTCATCCTTGTTGATGCAAGTGACAGAATTTCATTCTTTTTGTGGCTGAATAGTATTCCTTTGTGTGTATAGGCCCCGTTTCCTTTACCCATTTATTCCTTGAGGGACACTTGTGTTGTCATGTCTTGGCTGTTGTGAATAGTGCTGCAATAAATAAATAAATATTTACATTTACTAAATGTAAATAGTTCCGCCAAAAATATGCTCCAAAAATATGCTCCAATTAGGCCATTTTCTCTCTAAAGGGTGTGATTTCAAATGCAGTTATCAATGCAAAAATGATTCCTATTGAGTTTATTTTCCTGTGCATGGAATAAAAAATCCCACCAGCTGCATCATCAGCCTGTTGAATCCCCACAGGTGAAGATCGAATGTGATGTCACATGCCAAGCATTCAGTGGATATTCAATTAACATCGCCTAAAACTAAAAACAAAATGAAACAAAAACTTCAAAAAACTTCATTTGGAAATCTTAGTTTTCTCACAAACTTTGAAAATTGCCTACGGTGAATCTGATTTACGGTGAATCCACATAAACCAGCAATTTTAGAAGATATCACCAGGTCAAAGAAAAAACTGAAGGGCTTTGAAATGGTCAACAACAGGCTGTTCAAAGTGAAAATAAGAATCTTATTTGGCTGGGAGCGGTGGCTCACATCTGTAATCCCAGCATTTTGGGAGGCCAAAGCAGGTGGATCACGAGTTCAAGAGATAGAGACCATCCTGGTGAAACCCAATCTCTACTAAAAATACAAAAATTCGATCGGTATGTTGGCACGTGCCTGTAATCACAGCTACTCGGGAGGCTGAGCCAGGAGAATTGCTTAAACCCGGGAGACGGTGGCTGCAGTGAGCCGAGATCGTGCCACTGTACTCCAGCCTGGCAAAAGAGTGAGACTCTGTTTCACAAAATAAAATAAAATAAAATAAAAAAATCTTATTCTACCATGTATATGTTACAAAGGGCTAACAGATTATATGAAAATAATATCTTTTATTATTATTGTCTGGATATTATTTGAAATATTACGTTTTGTATACATTTATTTATTTCAAAATCCAAGAATTAATTCAACTGTCTTTCTCACTCAAACCACTTTTCGATACACATCCCCCAGAGGTAACTCTCATGGTGACTTTTGTAGCAGTCATTTTTTTAGGTACCGTGCTTTATTGTTTATCATTGAAGTCACTGCAGCTTACTCTTGTCCATTTCATCCTTCCCTCTTCTTTACAACCTCCCTGTTGAACATCCTGGTCATTTACTTCAGTTTCCCCTCAGCTCAGGACTGCTGCCTGTACACTGTGGCTGTCCATCAACCTGCTCCTCTGTCTTCCTTATTTCTAAAAAAATTAGCATCTGGGCCATCTCTAGTACCATTCCTTTGGTGAGACTGTTGTTGGAGTTATGTTCTTTCATTAGGAAGAAGTTTATATCTGATTGTCTCTCTTTTACTGATGCCAGCACCATTGCTGCTTAACGTCTCCATCATTAATCCACTGGGCTTACAAAAGGATGACACGCCAATTCTATTATTTATATTGTATTTGTTAGTTGGAATACTCTTTAAATACCTCTCCTTATCTCCCATTTAGTTGCTTAGTGGTGTCATTCACATATGAAAGGCAAGATAAATGCTTATTTCTCTTTATTTTACTTAGTGTTTAAGATAATAAACCAGTTTCTGTCATCCTCTAAAGATTGTTTATGCTTCGTAGTTTCTCCTGAACATCGGGTTTCTGAAAGCATAACTTATACACAGTAAAAGTCATGCTTTTAAGGCATATGGCTTTATGAGTTTGGTCAAATATGTGGTCATGGAAATACCACCAAAATAGAAACAGAACATTTCTATATAACTAATGGTGTTGGGCATTTTTCCTGTGCTTAATTATCACCCACATGTTTTTTTCTTCTTGTTTTTTTTTTTTGTTGTTTTTTTTTTTTTTTTTTTGAGACACAGTCTCGTTGTTTCCCAGGCTGGAGTGCAGTGGCGCGATCTCCGCTCACTGCCACCTCCGCCTCCTGGGTTCAAGCGATTCTCCCACCTCAGCCTCCAGAGTAGTTGGGATTACAGGCGCCTGCCACCACGCCTGGCTAATTTTTGTATTTTTTAGTAGAGACAGGGTTTCACCATGTTGGTCAGGCTGGTCTCAAACTCCTGACCTCAGGATCCGCCCATCTCAGTCTCCCAATCTTGTTCATTAAAAATATTTGTTGTTGTCTTAATATTAACTTTTGAGAGTTTTTGACCTGTTCTTTATACAGATGCATTAAAAGTTTAATATGACTTCCATTTTCTGATTGTTGAGCTTCTATGCTGAATGACATTTACGCTGTTCAACATTGCTTTAAAATAAAATTAAGCACTCTCACCTTGGATTTAATTCTGGAATGAAAGTGTTCCTAAATAAATATAACTGGAGTGGAAGAAAAACTAAATTATGAGAAAAATTTGCAACTATGTTGCAGTAACATCCAATAGCTAAGAAGTTTACCTAACATTTTAAAATTTTAAAATTTTGATATGCTTGTTAAATCCTCTTAAAAATCAGGTTCACTGAGATGTAATTTACACAGCATAAAACTTACCCATCTTGAGTGAACAACTAAATAAATTTTGGTATATTTACAGAGTTGTACAACCATCATCCCAACGTAAAATTTAGAACATTTTCATTAGTTCTATTTGTTTCCTGGGCCTGCTGTAACAAATCACCATAAACTTGACGGCTTAAAACAACAGAAGTTTGCTTCCTCACAGTTCTGGAGGCTGGAAGTCCAAATCAGGCTCATGGGGCCCAAGTCAAGGTGTGGCAAGGCCATGCATGCTCTGTCTGGAGGTTCTGGGGGATCATCTGCTGCTTGCCTGTCTGGCTTTTGGTGGCTATGGGCATTCCTTGGCTTGTGGTGGCATCGCTTCCGTCTTCGAATCTTCAAGGCTAGAATCTACAAACGTCTTTCTGTTCCATCTTCACATCACCATCTCCATTGTGTGTGTGTCAATTCTCCCTCATTCTACCTCTTATAAGGATGCACATGACTGCATCTAGAATCCACCAGAAAATCCCGGGGCAATCTCCTCATTTCAAGATTCTTAATTCCATTACATCTTTTGCCATATAAGGTAAAATTAACAGACTCTGGAGATTTAGAAGTGGGTATACTTTAAGGAAGGGGTCATTTATCAGCCCACCTCATCACCCTACAAATGGGCCTTGTACCCGATGAAAGTTACCACCCACCCTATTCTCATCCTCAGCCCTAGGCAACCACTAAACCACTTTCTGTCACTATACAAATTATCTCAACGCAGAACAGGCATTATACTGGATTCTGATATGTTGAGTTGCACTGTCTGTATATCTGTTTGTGGACTTTGGTCTATTTAAATTAATTGGTTTGAGAGAAGCAACATTACCAGATTGTAAAATTACTCTGTAAAATATAAAATTATAACTTTTAGTTATAACTTTAGGACAATATTCGTGTCTTCCAAATGATTATTATATGTGATTCTGCATTTTTAAAATATTTTTCAGTTAAAATGTCTATCAATAGCAGTATTAAAGAGACTGTAATTACAACAACAGCTTAGTGTCTTTAGTTATGCAGGCAAAGGCTTCCAAATTCTGGTCATAAATCAACAAAAATAAAACAATTTTTCAGACAGGTTCAAGGAAACCACACATATTATGTACATTGTTCTTTCATAATTTATTTATATTTATTTCATTTCTAATAGGATAATCAACAGGTAAGAGACATTCTTTAGTGAATAAAATATGAGTATTTATTGTTAATTCACAGGTATAATAATCTTATATAATTTTCTTTAAAATCATATTTGTCTTGGTTTTCATATCACACAGCTTAGTCTTCTAAGAGCTTTACTATCTTGGAACTAAGAGGGCAAAACTTAGATATTATTGCTCATCTTCAGTAATTATATATATTTGTCCATAGTTCAGCAAGAAAATGCAGAGGTACATTAAATATTCATGGAATTTCACCCACTCAATATCCACGAAGGCTTAATGGACCAATTAAAATATGCTGAGCAATGACCGAATGGCTTGTCCGATAGATTTTAGATTGCAACACACAAAACCTAATGCTACTCAAGTACCTTTTTGTTGAATTATTAAGTCATGCTCATTTAAAAGTGTTTTATTTAAACGTGAATAGCTCCAGCTGCAGTCATGCTATTGTATTAGTTTTCTAGCCTGCTATAACAAAATACCACAAGCTGAGTGACTTAAACAACAGAAAATTATTATCTCACAGCGCTGGAGGATACAAGTGTGAGATGGAGCTGTCAGCAGAGTTGGTTGCTTCTGAGAGCTGAGAGAGAGACTATGCTTCATGCACTCTCTGAATTTGTGGTAGTTTGCTGGTGATCTTTTGTGCTCACTGGCTTTTAGAAACATCACCCCAATCTCTTCTCCATGTTCATGTGATGTCTCCCTGTGTGTTATCTGTGTCCAAACTTCTTTTTGTACAGACACCAGTTATATCAGGTTAGGGGCCACCGTACTCCAGTATGACCTCATCTTAACTAATTACATCTGCAATGACTCTATTTGCAAATAAGGTCGCATTAAGTGGTACCAGGTGGCCGGGTGCGGTGGCTTACGCCTGTATTCCCAGCACTTTGGGAGGCCGAGGCAGGCGGATCACCTGAGGTCAGGAGTTCGAGACCAACCTGACAAGGATGGAGAAACCCTGTCTCTACTAAAAAATTACAAAATTAACCAGGCATGGTGGCACATGCCTGTAATCCCAGCTACTCGGGAGGCTGAGGCAGGAGAATCCCTTGAACCCGGGAGGCACAGGTTGTGTGAGCTGAGATTGCACCATTGCACTCCAGCCAGGGCGACAAAAGCGAAATTCCATCTCAAAAAATTAAATAAATAAAATAAAAATAAAGATAAATAAAATAAAAAAAGAGGTAACAGGTATTATGACTTCAATATAAATGTTGAGGGGATTCAACACAATGCAACCCATAACAGCTGTTAATGATACAGTACATGTTGAGAAACAGACTTTGTGACTGTCAAGCACAATTGGCAGTAACTGAGGAATTGACTTTACATGGCAGCACACTCTTGCAGAGGGGCCGATGCCCCAGCAACACACTCTTATTACAGGTCTGTGCATTCACAGAGGAAACTCAGGTTCACTTTAGGTTACCACTTGGAGGAATTCACTTACATTCTATTACTTCTTTTGTCATTCCAGGTTTCCTTTTTAGACCCAAAAAGTGCCAAGTTCTGTAACACTTCCCAGTTTCCCATAAGCTCGAACTGTCTCTGACATGACTATTCAGAAATTCTATACATGCCACTTCCATTTGGCATTTTGAACTGCATTTCATAATTACATGCTTGAAAACCCCTTGCATGAAAGGTTGCTTTGTGGAAATGAAATTATAATACCGCAGTAAATCTCTAATTATGTGAAAATGTGCTATTCTTATCATCATCTGGTTTTATGAAGTTTTAAGTACACTCTGTTTAAAATTTTATGGTAATGCTGCCTATGTTGTGAGCCCTTTTGTGCCAAGCTTATTTTAGAATAAAAAAACTGTATGAAAATATATGATCTATAAAATATTCTTGTCACAGGTATAACTACTGCCTCAAATGGTGCTGAAATTCTGGTAAAAGATACTCAAACCTCAAACACATAGAAGACAGTCACTAGGGCAGAGATGGTTCAAGCAGGTACCCAGAGTTGAGTCTAAAAAGTCAACAGGTCAATGGAAACAGAGGTATGTAATAAAACTAATTAACCTTTAAGCAGTAATGGCACTTTGGGGAAACACATGAATCTCTGTAACAATTTTTTTTTCTGCTGTAAAAATCCACGCGATTTTCAAACTTAACTCAAAACTCATTTTGTAGGTGACTCGATGATGACAGTGGTGTGAATCCGGTTTGAATTTCATGGATTGTAAAGGACAAAGAAGGCAGCTGCATTATGGTGATGAATGTCTATTTAAGATCCCTTTGATCAGGTGTGTGGGTCAACATTCTCACTGTGTCTTTCTGCCTTCCACTCATTCACTGAAATAAATACACCAGCCATCATTAAGTGCAAGAGATGAAAACATCTGGCTTCAGAAATCCTAGGCCAAAGGCAGACAAATAAACATTAATTCATTTAATATTCAGTCAAACTGTTTTTACAGATAAAATTTATCTCACTTTCCTGGCTTAAGTCAACTCCTGAAAATCTCTTGGCTAAGTGACTTAAATAGAAGTCGGTTCAGAAGAGCACTTGTTTATTTTCTCCTTAATGACAAAAGACTCCTAGCATAATGTATTGGGTGACTACAGACTGTTCCAAACAGGGCGAGCCAAAAGTATTTTACTTTAATAGCCAAAGACAGGGACATGAGGTACACATACCTGTAGGAATTTGAGTAAATATTACTATGTGTGATATAATGAATGATAAGTATATTTCATTGGGACTTCAATACTTTTCATCACTTTTTATGAGGTATGATTCTCCAAAAGACTCAGAACACTAAGGTCATTCCTTGTGGGCTCGTGGTCAATGTGAATTACAACAACAGAAAGCAAAAGATGGATAATACCTTAGTTTAATACAGGCATGAAAGTGGGTTTCTTTTAGCCAATATTTTCGTCCTGTGCAAAACTCAAGCATATTCACAAGTATAGAATATGATATTTTAAAGGTTAGGAACAATCTAAGATATCAAGCATATAACTATGTTGAGGAAGTATTAGTTCATGTTGCATACTACTCCCAAGATTAATTTTTAAAAGCGTAATATCAAAGTGGACTTTAATGTTTGTGTTTTGATTCTTTATTTCTTCGGCTCTATGCATCAGTATCACTGTCCCCTTTTTCTATCATATGGAATGGTCACTGGGTAGTAGCTTCACATCAGGGACTTCAAGCCCCCTTTGTAGCCAGATGGGGATGAGAACCTGTTTCTGCCTGTTGGATGTGAGTGGAAGTGATACGGTCACTTCTAGCCCAAGGCAGCTGAAAAGCAGGTACATCACTCAACTCTCCAACCACCCACCATCTGCTGAATGATGTGGAGGACTCAGGCCCAAGGGGTTGGGGAAGGTGATACAGCAGGTAGTTAGGCATGAGTGGTGCAGTAAAGGGCTCCCCAAAACCCAGCCAATGAGGAATGTCAGGCCACCATCAGGTGATGGTTCGGCAGTTATCTCTGGCTCTCTAAAATGATAATTGGTCACAGCTGACACCAGGGAGAGGCAGTTTCCTGATGGTCCAGCAGTTGTCACACTGGTTCTCTAAAATGATAATTGGTTGCAGCCAGTGCCAGAGAGAGGCAATTTCCCAATAGATAAAAACACTTGAAATTGGTAATTAGTAGCTTCCAATAAAATCTCAGGAATTGGGCAAGTGAGCTTGAGCATGCTCATTAAGAGACAAAATGGCAGATTATGACTATGACCTTCCAGGGACATTCCACCAGAAAAGGGAAGAAAGCCTCAGGTGGGCATGCACACAACTTCCTAAACACACTGTGCATGCTCACCTCCCAGGTGCAAGGAGGGCACCGCGCATGAGGGTGGCTCACCCTAAGGAAAGAATGAAGGAAAAAGAGATGCAACACCCCAGAAGTAGGCCAGCATATAAAACTGCAAGTCAAAATGTCAAATGCCACACTTGACCTCCAAGTTCCCTGCTTGGGTATCTTCCAAGTGTACTTTCCTTTCTTTCCTGCTCTAAAGCTTTTTGTTTGTTTGTTTTTTTGAGATGGAGTCTCACTCTATCACCAGGCTGGAGTGCAGTGGTGTGATCTCGGCTCACTGTAATCTCCACCTCCCAGGTTCAAGCAATTCTCCTGCCTCAGTCTCCCAAGTAGCTGGGACTACAGGTGCACGCCACCACGCCCAGCTCATTTTTGTATTTTTAGTAGAGACGGGGTTTCACCATGTTGGCCAGGATGGTCTCAATCTCTTCACCTGGTGATCCGCCCATCTTGGCCTCCCAAAGAGCTGGGATTACAAGCATAAGCCAGCATGCCCGGCCTCTAAAGCTTTTTAATAAACTTCCATTCCTGCTAGGAAACTTGCCTTGGTCTCTTTTTCTGCCTTATGCCTCTCAGTCGAATTCTTTATTCTGAGGAGGCAAGAACTGAAGTTGCTGCAGGCCCATACAGATTCACCTCTGGTAACTTGGGTATTCGCCACACCTAACAAAGGCATAAGATGAACTAACCATGGTCCCCGAGTCACCATGTGCAGTAAAGCCACACACCAACCAGAGCCTCTCACATCATGTTATTAGGTGCATTTATGGCCCTCTCTTTGGTCAGCTCAAATGCACCACTGCCTTTTCTAAGAACTTCCCTATGTTGCCAGCAAGGCCAGGAAATAGAATCTCTTTTCTTGAATGGCTCCAGGTTAGAATTTGACAAAGAATTTCAGATACAACTGGACTGCTGGGCAGACACCAGGGTCACTACAGTTTCCTGGGGCCAGTGGGGAAGGTAGCAGGGGCAGAGGGGAGATTTGGAGCCACCTGCTTTGCTAATCTGAGGGAGGCAGTAGGTCCCCGGGGAATCCTGAGCACCAAGGAAGCATCTCCATGGGATTTTGAGAACCACTCGCTTCAAAGACTTAGGCTGAGAGGTCTAGGGGCAGGTTCCCTGACTTTTGTGGTAGATTTCGTAATATTCAGCTATTACATAAGACCTAAATCCTTTATGAAACCCTTTACACCTGAAATGCTTAGAGTGGCATCTGCTAGTGTTACTGAAGCCTGCAAACTATGAATAAATTTCTATATGTCCTACTGCTAAATGATCATCCTCACAAAACTCAACATGAGTTTTTTGGCTGTGTCCTCTTTTTTTTGAAAAACACAGCCTTTTCCTCTAAGCCATCTCCTTGCACTTGCTGTACTAATCTATATCATTTACAGAGAGCCTAAATCTCCATTTCGTAGATACAACGTCAGTTCTTTAAACACACAGGTCCACTTATCATTCTTAGTTTATAATCTCTCTCTGTTTTTGAATACTAATGAGATAAGTCTTTACCCTAATTCTTAGTACTTGTGTGGAATCATTCTCTATATCAGTCAAAACTACTTTGAAGAAATCATCTGTTTAATTCTCACAACACTCCTTTGTGGTAGGCAAGAACTAGGGAGGAGGATAATCATTTGTTAATGAGTTTCCCTCAAATTTCAATTTTCTAATTTATGTAGCAGAAAATAAGCAGTAGTCTCACAAACTAATGCATCTATAAAAAAAATAATGGTTGCTAGAAAACAAAGAAACCTATGTTGCGTATATATTGGAAAACCCACAGATAAGTAATAGGTTTCAAGTTTAAGTAGCTATGAGAGGCAGGACTGTATGGAGAGTCAATATAAAAGAATCAAGTAAAAACACTTTTAAAATCAATTACAGAATTCTGTAATTTGCTAATTACAAAATTTCCATAAAATCAGTAGCTTAACTAAACACAGGCAACAGCTAGAAAATTTAATGACACAAAATATTGTATTTATAAGAAAAATAGGCATAGATAAAATAACATAAACTTTACAAAGCATGTATACAATGCAGAGAAATAAAACTTTAAAATTGTACTGAAGGACACAGCAGAAGTTAAGTGAAAATGAATATCCTAAACCTGGATTGAAAATTAAAACCCTGATGAACAAGGCGCCAAGAAGCCAGTTTATATAAATTAGCCTACACCTATATTCAATGAACTTTCAGTGCTCATCCAATGAACGTAAAAGCAACATTGTTTTCTCACATACATAAGTTGATCCTGAAGTTCTTTGGGTAAATAAGTGTGAAAGAATATGTAGGGCAGTGCCAAAAATGAAGAGTAATAAAGTTGAACTAATTCTACTTGGTATTGAAAACCTAATAGAAAGCAACACTAATTAAAATAGAGTGGGCTGGGCACAGTGGCTCACACCTGTAATCCCAGCACATTAGGAAGCTGAGGTGAGCAGATCTCTTGAGCTCAGGAGTTCAAGACCTGCCTGTTTAACATGGCGAAACACCATCTCTTAAAAAAACAGAAAAATTAGCCAAGCATAGTGAAGTTCACCTGGTCCCAGCTACTTGGGAGGCTGAGGCAGGAGGATTGCTTAAGTCTAGGAGGCAGAGGTTGCAGTGAGCTGAGATTGTGCCACTGCATTCTAGCCTGGGCAACAGAGCCAGACCCTGTCAAAAAAAAAGAAGAAAGAAAGAAAGATAGAAAGAAAGAAAGAAAGAAAGAAAGAAAGAAAGAAAGAAAGAAAGAAAGAAAGGAAGGAAAAGAAAACAAAGAGTGATACCAAGTCATGAAGAGACTAAACAATCAATAGAACATAATTCAGGATCTAGAAATAAGCTAAAAAATATAGGAATTTCATAAACAAAATAGAGTTTAATAGAGTTTTACTTTTAAATCAGCAGGCAAATGTGGGTTAGTAAATAAATGTGATCAAGACAACTCCCTAGCTATTCGAAAACAAAAATTGAATCCACACCTCACCACTTATACTAAAATAAATTCCAGATATACAAAAGTCACTTAAAAATTAAAACCATAAACATATTAGAAAAACATGATGTAGTTAAAAATAACCTTGAAATAGGAAAGGCTTTTCTAATTATTAATAAAAAGCTTTATGAGAGAAGACATGTGGGTTTATCTAAATAAAAAACATCTAAACAACAAATAAAAATGTAATAACAGAAAAAAATGTCAAAAACAAAAAAATGTAAAAAACAAGGAATTGGAGAAATATGCCTGAATGACAGACAAAGAGAGAATAATGCCAATTATTCATTCTACCCTTATAGGAACGAGGAATCCAGGGCAGAGAATGTGTGTGTTAAGATCTCAGCTTTGGAGAGTCAGCATCGAACAGGACCACAAATGTGAGTTTAAGACTTGCTTGATACAATTAAGATTAAAAGGAAATGGCAGGTACCCAAGGCAAGTGTGACTGTGGCAGAAGAGAGCTGAGGATTCCCAGTAATAATCAATGTTTACAAGTGAAGAATTTTTACAAGTGAAGAACTCTCCCCAGAAGGTAGGGCCTAGGAGAGTTGGAGTCTGTTTAATTTAGAGTAAATCTATACAAACAGTGGAAGGACAACTGGAGACTCTTCCCACTGGCCAGCATGTCCTGGGCATGAGTCCTTGCATGGAATTAATTCCAGGCTACAGAGCACTTCTGAGAACGTGGCCTGGTGCAAGTGTCCCCTCTGCCATCCCCAAACCTTTGTCAACATGGCTCACTAAGACCTCCAGCTACATTGCTTCAAGAGGATGCCTCCCAGTTCCCAGGTTGCTACTGTTTCATTTTAGTGTCTGATTTCCCTCTGAGGTCTTACTATCTGTAACCTTGTATCTAACAAGTAAAGCTGGAGGTTTCTTTCACTCTTCCAATCACTTCTAAGGATCTTTGTCTGCCCTTGATAATATCTACAGAAGCACTTTAAACTATTGATATGGTCTGGCTGTGACCCCACCCAAATCTCATCTCGAATTGTAATCCAAATTGTAATCCCCATATGTTGGGGGAGGGACCTGGTGGGAGGTGATTGGATCATGGGGGCAGTTTCCTCCGTGCTGTTCTCCGTGCTGTTCTCATGACAGTGAATTCTCACCAGATCTGATGGTTTTAAAGTGTGGCACTTCCCCTTTGCTCCCTTGCTCTCTCCCCTACTGCCTTGTGAAAAAAGGTGCCTGCTTCCCCTTCCTCATGCTTGTAAGTTTCCTGAGGCCTCCCCCGCCATACGGAACTGTGAGTCAATTAAGCCTCTTTTTAACTTTTTTATAAGTTACCCAGTCTCAGGTAGTGTATACTGCTGTGAAAATGGACTAACACAACTATTAAATTGTTCTGCTAAGTATGGTAAAGTCAGATTAAGTTTCTTTCATAAATGCAATTAAACTATGTATTTCCAAAACATGACTGAGCATGAAAAACCAACAGTTTGCTATCTGAGAAAAAAGCAAAGCAAAACACCTCAAGCTGATCTCATGTCCACAAATAAAGCCACATCTTCATTTTCAGCTGGAGGCATTTCTAGTCTAACCAATCCACACAAGCTACCAACGCAATGGCAGAGACTAAGAGTTTGGATGTTGCAAGAAGCCCAGCAATTTCAGACGCTGAATTCCAAGGGATAATAGCATAATTTCATAATAATGGTTACTGGTTATTAAAGTATTACCCCACCAGGATTTTACCTCTATAATGTGAAACATAGCTATTACAGTAGCAGTATACCATCCTTCATTAGACTATAATAACTACTCTTACTATACTTTAATGCTGATATGCTGAATTAATAATATCCTGCATATTAACATGAGAGAAGCATTACAGGACAGAGCACTCCATCTGCACAGAGCTATAGGGAAGCCGTAGCTTCCTAATGAGGCAGGGATGTTGCCTGAATAGCAATTGCTTTAACATCACATGGTTCTAACCTTTCCTGCACTTCTACTTTCTTCATGACAAAAATTCAGAGACGCTGCAGGGGAAATGATGGAAACAGTTAGCAAAACCCACCAGCTCCAAGCAATACAAGAAATAGTGCCAGCTGCATTTTAGAGATAAACTAACATATTTTGATATGTTGATTAAAGTGGCAATAAAGATGGCCCTAAAGCATATATGGAAATAGGAAAATGTGGTGCCAGTTCTGACTGGAAGCATTCCAGGGAAAATTTCTAAATCTTGAACTGCAATTTTTCTCTAAACATCAGGAAATGGTTAAGTCCCAGCAACTGTTACATAGTGTAAACATAATAATTGAGAAGATTTTGTAAGAAGAAGAAAAAGTCTGTATCTTAATTATTGAAAAAATGAAGGCAACATTTATCCTTCACTTTATTAAAATTACATGAATTATATGCACATGTATACACATGTAGGGACACGTGCAAAAATGAAATACACTGTATACAGAGGTTAAAATTTGAGGTATACATTTTTTATCCCCTTTAATCATTACTTTTATGGTATCTTAATGAAATATACATATGAAAATTGGAATTTTCTATTTTCCAAAATATGATATGTTATTTACAGAACTGTATTATTTTTACTTTTGGAAAATAGAAAAGGCTGATTTTAATGTATATAGAACAACAAGCAATGACCTAAATGATAAGCTTTCAGAGATCTGAAAATGATTTAGCAGCTTCCTAAAAGTTCTCCAACGATCTGTCAAGAGTCCACAGAAGTGGACCACTCCACTGAGAAATACCACGGATCGTCAATGGCACCAGACATTCACCTCAGCATGGGCACTGCCCTGCCACCCCTTGTTCCTCCTCCTGTGGGGATGGTGCAAGCACTGCTAATTCTTTTTTGTTTGTTTTTTGTTTTTGTTTTTGAGATGGAGTCTCGCTCTGTCGCCCAGGCTGGAGTGCTGTGGTGCGATCTCGGCTCACTGCAAGTCCGCCTCCTGGGTTCACGCCATTCTCCTGCCTCAGCCTCCCAAGTAGCTGGGACTACAGGTGCCCACCACCACGCCCGGCTAATTTTTTGTATTTTTAGTAGAGACGGGGTTTCACGTGTTAGCCAGGATGGTCTTGATGTCCTGACCTCGTGATCTGCCTGCCTCGGCCTCCCAAAGTGCTTGGATTACAGGAGTGAGCCACCGCGCCCGGCCAAGCATTGCTAATTCTTAGGGTGTTGTGAATGTTTATCAAGACATGTGAAGCCTTCTGTGGAGTGGCAGAGAAAATATTGATGAATCTTTGGACAGTCACAATTATTTGACTTTTAGAAACTGCTTACATTTGGACATACTGCTGGAGAATACAAACAAAATTAAAAACTAAGCTAATGTTGGCTCAATTTAGCAACTGTCAAGCAGCATTGTTGGCAACTGAGTTTGGTTAATTGTCTTATCCCAAGCAACACAGCTGGTGACTGGTCCAGACCCTGCATCTTTAAGAAAAAGGAGCCCATGATCATACCAATACCCTTCACAGCTTTTAAGGTTGCAAAAAGTTATGGGAGTGGTGATAATGAGGATGATGGGAGGGCATGGCCGGAGAAGCCTGGCGTGGCTGAAATAGAGGCTTCACATCAACTCGATGAGGCCAGACGATAGAAGATTGAAAGAGGAATGACCAAAATCTGTCTGATAACTATGAAAATCCCATCATAATTTAAGGAGCTGCCCATTTTTCATACCATCCTATATATTACCTATTCCTTTCACACACAAGGTGAGAGTCAGTGGCACACACAACAGTGGTTCTGGAGAGTGTTCAGAAGACACAGTGACAGAAGGAAGGAGCAGGATGCAGGAGCTGGGACAACAATTGTGTGCCAGCGATGCGTTAAATGGGGTTAATTCATCCTTGTCCACTCCCTCCCTCTCAGCACATTCAAGAGAATTAATATTATCAAGATGAGCTGAGTATACGAGATAAATATTCTACATGAACTCAATTTAGTATTATAAAATTCCATTCCCAGCAGTGAGAGCCCCCAATGAGAAACAATTCTGACTTTTATTCAAATTGCATAGTATTTACCCCAGATGACTCCATCTTGGGATAGAACTACAAATTAATAGGGCACTTTAAGCATCATTCTTGTAGCAAAGTCAAAAGTGCAAAGAAGATTTTACACATTTGGCCTTATCTTGAATTTGATTAGGGCTTGATGCTGTCAGTTGATTATAAATAGATAGTCCCTAGGTCAAGATTATTGTACTAAAGGTAAGTCGCCTAATTTGATTTCCCTCAATAAGGTGCACCTGTCTGCTGTGATATTGACTGGAATTTGGCCTTACAAGGAAAAAAGGCAGCATTTAGAGCTCCATTATCCCTCTTGTTTTTTAGTGCGCTCTACATTTATTTATTTGCTTTTCAAGATTATGCCCAATGGAAAATGACTTTGCTGAGTCACAGAAAGATAAAATACAATGCTGCCGCTCATAAAGTCTTTTTTTGGCTGTTCTTTTCCGGATGACTGGGCTACTTTCCCAGGATTGACTTTTTAAGAAAGTAATCAACCTTTATTTTTTTAGTGCCATTTTTATTTATAGAAAAATTGTGAGGCTAGCACAGGGAGTTTCCATATACCCTACTCTAAGTTTCCCTTATTAACACTTTACACTAGTAGGGTATATTTGTTACACTTAATGGAATAATATCAATACGTTGTTACTAAATCAAGTTCATTCTTTATTCTGTCTTCCTTGTTTTTTTTCATAATATTATTTTTTTCTCCTGAATTCTACCCAGGGCACACATTACATTTAGTAGCCATGTCTCTTAGAGTCCCCTTGGAAGTGACAATTAATCAGGCTTTTGTTTTTGATACCATTGAAAGGTTTGAGGAGTACTGATTAGGTATTTTGTAAAATGTTCCTCCATCGGGATTATTCTCATGTTTTGCTCATGATTAGACAGAATTAAAGTGCATTCTCACCACATCATATCGAAGGTACATCCTGTCAACTTGACTTACTACCATTGATTGATATTGACCTTGATCATCTGGCTACTATAGTGTTAATCTAGTTTCCCTACTGTAAAGTTTACTCTATTTCCACTTTCCATACTGAACTCCTATGAAGGAAGTAACTAGGTGCAGCCCACACTTAAGGGATGGGATTGACGTACCGCTTCTTTGAGAGCAGAGTATCTACACAAAAGATTTGAAATTCTTTTGCACAAAAAAAGACTAAAAAGAGATTTGTCCCTTCTCCCCCATTTATCTATTTATTGAATTATTTTTATCAGTAAAGACATATGGATTTTTTTTAGTTTGGGTTATAAGCCAATGCGATTCTGTTTATCAAATTGTTGCATATATGGCTACAGGAACTAACTCTCTATTTCAGAGTGATCTCAGACTCACGGGCCAGCCTACAAGGGACAAGTGTGACGGGAAGAGCTCAGCCTTCCCCGGGCCTGCCTCCGTCCCAAGCACATATGTTATCTGCATCATCTGTTCCAGTTTTTCAGGGGCTGGCACTGGGACTTGGTGCATTGGCTTAACAGAACAGTATTTGTCCCCTTGCCAGACCTGTCCACTGTAGGTCTGCAAGTCCCTGGATTTTCTCCAAACTGCCATGAAAAGAAGACAAACAGATTCAGGAATAGAAGATCTCCCTGACCACCATCAGCATCCTGCACTTTTGCTTCCTATACACAGGACATCCACTCACTACAGGAGGTGAACAAGAGCAAAGATGAACTCAGGTGCCCCTCCCTCAAGGAACTCTTTTAGGGTAAGGGAGGCTAAAAATCCTGCAGTATAACCACAAGGTTAAAACAAATCCCTAAAGATATTCTTAGTAGTTGTGCCTTCATAGTGTCCATAATCCACTTTGAACAAATTAAATCTTCCTGCTCATTAATTTTCAAGGTACCTAAGAGATCAGTTTTGTGCATTTACTTTACTTCTATTTTTTTTCTGTGCAATTTCAAGCCTCTACTTCATCTTGGTAAAATTCAAAAGGGGACAATGAACAGATAGAAAGCCAGTAACGTTTTTTAGGATCTTCCAGAGACTTTAGGCTGAAACCATGTTCCATTAATTTTGTTTAAATAGCTTTTGGATTTATTCTTTTTCATAGAATAGAAGTAAAAGTAAAATCTGACATGATATCAAAAATACATTGCTCTCTCAGCCTTTTTTATGTCTCCGTGATAATCAAATTTTTCTGATCTTTTCAGCAGTTCACTAAATATATTACAGAATAAATTTAGAAATGGGAGGGTTGAATTAAATAGCTGACACCCAAAATGCTAAGTATTCTTAAGATAGGTTACAATGAAATAGACTTGTTTCAAACCTTACCTGGAGTGACCAGCATCCTATTCATCATCTGTAATTCACTAGATCAGAAATTGCTTTGCTTGTATTTCTTTTCTATCTATTTATTACAACAGCTCTACTATAGCAAGCCATGAGAAATGGTGTTAGATCTTGACATTTTTCATATCTCTAGGGTACTTTCTAACATGCATTGAATTCAGATTTAATTAATTATGTGAATAATGTAAATGTGAAAATAATTTCCTGCTCTTGATATATCAAGCTCAGTAGAAAAATCCCAGCAAGAGAAATGGAGTGAAATTAGGTCCACATTATTATTTTTGTAAGGCTGATTTGCTTTGACCCTTTTTAGTTAAATCAGTAGAATGACACTGGTATTCACTGAATTGACATGGCAGTATTCATAGCAGCAGCATCCACACTGGAAATGCCTCTTTGGGTAAATTGTCCCTAAAGAAGAAAAATCTTTGTTTGCAATGCATATATTACTAATTTTAATTTTACTTAAAATAAATAATGAATTATAAAATATATAACATATATTAATAAAGTTTATATTATATTTATTATAATATAGTATGTTTGTAATTTTAAGTAAATCATATATAATATTGTATATTCATAAATATATTTAATATGTAAAATATAATATCTAACTAACCAAATGTAAATCAATGATAATCTAATGCTTCTAAATATAATTTTAATTTAAAAAGTACTAATAAATCTACAAATGATTTTATATCATCACATAATTGCAAGAGAAAGAATTTTAGTAGAACTTACTTTACAACACTTAACTGTTGTGAGACAAGTTATAAAATGTAAGGTATGCCTGTATTTAAAGTTCAGTAAGTATTGATTCACCATCAAAACTTTAAAGAGTAAACATGTAAACATATGTATGCACAAATATTTCCTAACTAACTGATGTTTAAACACATTGTGATGAGTTGTATCTTGCTGGTTTTGTAGACTAGATCTGGTTGATTGCAAGACAATCTGTAGTAATATGATGTAATTAACACTATTACAAGAGAAAGAGTGAGTTGTGACAAAAATACTGAGTAAATACAGATTACATAGATCCTTTATTGTTTTAAAAGATTCCAAGGTCAACGACTTTTTGAATAATAATTTTAGAAAAACGAGTTCTTATATGAATTAAACAAGGGCCTATGTATCAATTTCAGAACAAAAGAGATACCATACTTATTGTGGCTGACATACTGTGAAGGTGGCCCCTTTTCTTTCTTACTGCATGGTGTTACTCCCTATGCAGTCTTTTCTCCTGGAGTTGAGTAGGACTAGTTTGAAATGAGTAGAATATGGAAAAGATGCTAATATATACATGATTATGTGTATGTGATTATGTTACATAAAGCTATGACACCTGTTTTACTGAGAGGATCTTCCTTGCAGGCTTTGAAGAAGCAAGCTACCATATTGTGAGCCGCCTATGGGGAGTGCCACAGGAAAAGAAACTGAGGTGGCCTCCCAGGGGACTGAATGCCACCAGCAACCATATAAGCAAAGAATTAAATCCTTCTCCACAGATGAGCTTTCAGAGATCACAATACTAGCAGGCATCCTGACTATAGCCTGTGAAACCCTGAAGCAGAGGACTCAACTAGGTGGTGATTCCTAATCTACAGTGTGAGAGAATAAATATGTGTTGTTTTGTATCAGGATCACTAGGGTATCTATCTATTAATAACTAAATATCTATCATCTATCAATCCATCCATCTACCTATCTAATTTATTGTTCTGTGTCTATCTCTATGAATAAATTGGCTTGTATCTATCTATCTATCTATCTATCTATCTATCTATCTATCATCTATCTATCTATCATCTATCTCTATCTCTCTCTATCTCTATCGCTCTATATGTTTATCTCTATCTCCATCTCTCTCCCTGAAAAAATTGGCTTGTGCAACTGCAGGGGCTGCCAAGTCTAAAATCTGATGAGTTAGCTTGCTAGCAGGTTGAAAACTCTAGGGCAAGAGCTAGTGCTTTCAGTCTTGAGGCATAATTTTTTCTTCTTCAGAGAAACTTCACTTTTGCTTCTGTTGCCATCAACTGATTGGATAAAACTCATCCACATTATTGAGGATGATCTCCTTTATTTACGGTCAACGGATGGTAGTTGTTAACTTTCTACGTCTGTTGTTGTGTTGTTGACAGCAACACCTAGACTCATGTTTGGTTACATAAGAATAATTGGCCAGCCATGTTTGCCCATGAAACCAACCATCACCCTAATCACACATGGTTTCCTGTGGCTACAGATAGATGTGGGAAGTCCACAAAGCATGTCTGTGTCTGTGTGTGTGTGTTCTTTAGGAAGGGGTGGAAAGAGTATTTATTTCAAAATTATCTTTAAAATCTTAACATTCATAAATATATAAAGCACGAATCCAGGTAGATTGTGAAACTCTAAAAAAATGGCTGAATCAAAACAAGTGTTGTTACTTTAAGAGGTAAACATGCTTTAGCATTTAGCACTCACATCATAATAATGATGATTGCAAGCATTAATGTGGATGCATAACAGTGGCAGCAGCAACCAGGCTTATGTATCTGACCTGAAGGATGAAAAGTGGCAGTGTCCCTAGAAATAAGAAAACTTAAGGATAATTAGACCTGTTAGTAATTTGCTTGTGATAGGTCAGGGAAGTAGGGCACTACATAGGCTGAACTCCCTCTCTTCCACCAGGAGACATTCACTAATTTGAGTTTTCAAGGCTTGCCATTCAGAAAGAGTATTTGTGAATCAAGGTTGCAATTTAACCACTAACTCATTGACTCCTTCATTTATCATTAACTGATTCATTTATTTATTACTTACATTAAATAAGACCCTTATATTTAGTTACCCATGGTACTGACCCAGAGGGAGGAGAGCAGAATTAGACACAAATCCTGCTTTCATAAATGCTCCCCTTTGGTATTTAACACTCTAGTGGGAGAGAGAATTAAGAAAGCATGTGGTCGAGCCAGATTCTGATCAAGGTGATGCAGAGACACATTAGGTGTGCCAGGGGCAGGGAAAATGCACATTGCCTCACTTCCTTCTGGGATCTGTCTTGGGTCAGTGGGAAGGCTTCTCTGCATGAGGCAACACATTTATCTGTGTAACCCTGGCCATCAGAACTGCATTCTCTCTCGATCCTCATGGCCTGAGACTTCATTAGGAAGACTGGAGACAGAGACTTAGAAAAGCTACAGGTGAACAGTCATCACTTGGAAGACGCTATGCCACTTTTATCTGTTTCGTTATTTCCTGGCCCTAGAGAACTATATCCTGGTCACCAAATGGAGTGAACATTTTCTGAGTTCAGAAGTCTGAAATATCTAACACAAATCTAAATTTCCAATTGACTTGAGTAAAATTCCATTTGGTGATCATGTACTTATTCCTACAATTTTAGCTCGAGCCATTCTGGCTGAGGCATAATTTTGATAAATGGCCCAGCAATTGGTTCCCCTCTGATGGTCATATACATATCAGAGAAAACACTATTCATTTATATGTGAAAAGCCAAAGAAGAAATTCAGGTTTTAGACAAATGTGCCAATTGTGAAACATCTCATGTGGACATCATCTTAAATCTCTGGGTTGATTCCGAATGAATCATCTGCTCTTGCCATGAACCTACTGTCCATATGTTTACAAATAAAAACATGAAATGTAAGTAGGCTATCAAAAGATAACACCACATGTTTCAACCGCCGCTCAGTGTTTCTTTCTCCCATGTCTTTTCTATTTCTCTGTATCAGCTTTTGCTGTACCTGAGAGTATCGAATATAAAAACCATATGTCTTGTACTTTGTTTTGAAATGAGCAAGAATTCTAATTAGCAATGAGCCATGGTAATAGTTTTAAAAATATTTTTTCTCATTAAAATTAAAAAGAATTCAATCTATTTGGTTCAACATGCAGATGGATGTCTGCACACATTCTTCTTTATTGCTTTATTTTTCATTATATAATTTTATTTTAAAAATCTAGTTTATTTTTGTTCACAACTAAAAATACTGTCAGAAAAGCTTAACAAAACTCTATGAGTATTCTGTGTATGTATGAGAACTACAGTGAGTGTTTTTCCCAAATTAGCAAGATAAAAAAAATTATCTACAAGTTAAATTATGAAAGGGTAAAAAGAAAGATTTGTAAAATGGATGAAAACAAGAATTTATTAAAAAAAATTATCTTACTGAAAAATAATAGTAAGCCAGGCTTTACTGTTGCTAACTGAAGGAATTGAGGTATCTAAATATAACATTTTTCTTTAGAAATGGATTTTGTAAAAGAATGAATGACCACTTAAAGGTCAATTGGCCATTACCCATCTTGGCTGCTCTTCATGATAAAATCACGAGAGGGCAAAGATCGCCAGCACTCAATGCTCTTATTGTGCCCGATCCTGCCTTATCCTGCTGTCCACCTGCACTGCCATGGAACATGCATACAAAGGACAATAGAAAAAAGCAGTATCATTTACTTAATATCTGCATAGTAAATAATCCAATGCAGAACTGTGGTGAATACAGGGCAGGATTCATGGCTTAAGCTCAATAATGAACCAGGGCATTTTTTTTCATTTCTCCTCACATCTAACCTTTGGAAATATACCACTCTCTGGATGGCCAGAAAGAATTGGGAAGGGGAGTTGGAGTTTTGTCAGAGTTCACAGGTGTCTCTGATTCCACCTAGTCCCCTAGATACAAAAATGTGTGTGAGTCCTGAATATTCACTTTTAATGCCCAGTGACATCCCCATTAGACATAGTGTCTCAATAAAAGCTTTGGAATCAAATCAGATTGCAGATAGTACATTGAGATAATAATGTAAGATGCAGACTATGTCATCTACTTTTTGTAAAAATACCATTGATATCAGTGTATAAAATAGTTACAAATGTAATTTATCATATATAACTACTGTATATATGAAAAAACCCTGATGTATAAGAATAAAATCTAAACTGTCATGATTTGTTTTCTCAGAGAAAAGAGCATGTGATGAAGGACTCTCCACTTCTGCTTTATCATATTCTTTGTATCACTTGAATACTTTAAAATTTACATCTATTAATTCATAAATATTAAATGCCTACATCAAAAATTCTAAAAGAGCACAAACTGGCAATCTAAGGTCACATCACAAGGAACTAGAGAAACAAGAACAAACCAAACCCAAACCTAGCAGAAGAAAAGAAATAACAACGATCAGAGCAGAACTAAATGAAATTAAAACAAAAAAATACAAAAGATAAATGAAACAAAAAGCTGGTTATTTGAAAAGATAAACAAAATTGATAGACTGTTAGTGAGATTAACCAAGAAAAGAAGAGAGAAAATTCAAATAAGTTTAACTAGAAATGTAATGGGTGATATTACGACCAATACCACAGAAATACAAAAGAACATTCAAGGCTACTCTGAGAACTTTTACACGCACAAGCTAGAAAACCTAGAGGAGATGGATAAATTCCTAAAAATATACAACTCTCCTGGATTAAACCAGGAAGAAATAGAAACTCTGAACAGGCCAATAACAACAGCGAGACCAAAATGGTGAAAAACAAAAGGAAAAAAAATTGTTAACCAAAAAAAAAAATTCAGGACCAGACAGATTCACAGCTATTATACATTCAAATAATTGGTACCAGTCCTACTGAAACTATTCCAAAAGATAAAGAGGGAATCCTCCTAAATCATTCTGTAAAGTTAGTATTACCCTAATTCCAAAACCAGGAAATGACAACAACAAAAGAACAAAAAGAACAACAGACCAATATCCCTGATGAACATAGATGCAAAAATCCTCAACAAAATCCTAGTTAACTTAATCCAACAGTGTATTGGAACGATATTACATCATGATCAAGTGGGTTTCATACCAGGGATGGTTTAACGTACACAAGTCAATAAATGTGATACACCACATAACAATAATTAAAAGCAAAAATCACATGAAAATCTCAATAGATGCAGAAAAAGCATTTGACAAAATTCAGCATCCTTATATAATTATAGTCCTTAGCAAAATTGGCATAGAAGGGATATAATTTAAGCTAATAAAAGCCATCTGCAACAAACCCACAGCCAACATTATACTGAACAGTGAAAAGTTGAAAACACTCCCCCTGAGAACTGGACCAAGGCAAGGATGCCCAACTTCACCACTTCTGTTCAACATAGTACTGGACATTCTAGTCAGAGCAATTAAACAAGAGTATGAAATAAAGGGTATCTAAATTAGTAAAGAGGAAGTCAAAGCATTGCTGCTTACTGATGATATGATCAGATACCTAGAAAACCCTGAAGACTCATTCAAAAAACCCCTATATTTGATAAATGAATTCGGTAAGGTTTCAGGATACAAAATTAATGTAAACAAATCAGTAGCACTGCTATAAACCAACAGTGACCAAACTGAGAATCAAATCAACTCAACCCCTTTTACAATGGCCTTAAGAATAAAATAAAATAAAATCCGTAGGAATAAACCTAACCAAGGAGGTGAATGACCTCTAAAAGGAAAACTACAAAACACTGCTGAAAGAAATCATAGATGATGATGACACAAACGAATGGAAACATACACCATTGCTCAAGGATGGGTAGAATCAATATTGTGAAAAAGCCCATACTGCAAAAAAGTACTGTATAAATTCAACGCAATTCTCATCAAAATACCATCATCATTCTTCACAGAACTAGGAAAAGAATCCTAAAATTCATACAGAACCCAAGAAGAGCCCACCCAGCCAAAGCAAGACTAAGCAAAAAGATCAAATCTGGAGGCATCACAGTAATCGACTTCAAACTTTGCTACAAGGATATAGTCACCATAACAGCCTGGTACTGGTATAAACATAGGCATATAGACCAATGGAACAGAATAAAGAACCCAGAAAAAAAAAAGCCAAATACTTACAGCCAACCGATCTTTGACAATAAACAAAAACATAAGGTACAGAAAGCACACCCCATTCAACAAATGGTGCTGGGATAATTGGCAAGTCACACATAGAAGAATGAAACTGGATCCTCATTTCTCACCTTATACAAAAATCAACTCAAGATGGAATAAAAGACTTAAATCTAGTACCCAAAACTGTAACAATTCTAGATGATAACATTGGAAAAACTCTTCTAGACATTGGCTTAGGCAAAGACCAAGAACCCAGAAGCAAATGCAGTGAAAACAAAGATAAATGAAATAATCAGCAGAGTAAGCAACCTACAAAATGGGAAAAAAATATTCACCAACTATGCATCCAACAAAGGACTAATATAAAGAACCTATAAGGAATTCAAACAAATCAGCAAGAAAAAAACAAATAATCCCATCAAAAAGTGGGCTAAGGACATGAATAGACAATTCTCAAAAGAAGATATACAAATGGCCAAAAAAACATATGAAAAAATGCTCAACATCACTAATGATCAGGGAAATGCAAATCAAAACCACAATGTGATACCACCTTACTCCTGCAAGAATGACTATAATTAAAAAATCAATAATACATGTTGGCATGGATGGTAAAAAGAGAACACTTTTACACTGCTTGTGGGAATGTAAACTACTACAAGCACTATGGAAAACAGTATAGAGATTCTTTAAATAACTAAAAGTAGATCTACCATTTGATCCAGCAATCTCACTACTGGGTATCTATCCAGAGGAAAAGACGTCACTATATGAAAAAGACAAGTGCACATGTGTGTTTTTTATTTATATATATATATATATATTTATATATATATATTTTATATGTATTTATATATATATTTTTTATATATATTTATATATATAAAACAAGCCGTGGTGAAGTGTTCTACACCTGGGAAATGGGACATAAAGTTGAGATACAAATTAATTTCACATTTTCAACTTACATCTGCTTTTAAGAACATATATGGCAGTGAAAATTCGGTAATACAACACTTTTAAAAAATTCTGGGACTTAGCATGGCTGATTTTCAAGGTGGGTATGTAAAAATATTTAAAATGAAGTGCTATAAGCTCATTACTTTTTATTTTCATTTATTTTTATTTTGGGGGGTACATGGTAGGTGTACATATTTATAGAGTACATGCGATGTTTTGATACAGGCAAACACTATGAAATAAGCATATTATGGGGGTATCCATCCCCTCAAACCTTTATCCTTTGAGTTACAAACAATCCAATTGCACTCTTTATTTTAAAGTCTACAATTATTACTGACTATAGTAACCCTATTGTGCTACCAAATAGTAAGTCTTATTCATTTTTCTATTTTTTGTATGCATTATAAGCTCATTATTACATTTTAAATTGTTTTATTTTTAATTCTGGTGGATATATAGTAGATAAATATATTTATGAGGTACATGAGATGTCTTGACACAAGCATGCAATATACTGTAATCACATAATGGAGAATGGGGTATCCATCCCCTCAAACATTTACCCTTTGTGTTACAAACAATCCAATTATACTCTTCATTATTTTAATATGTGCAATTACGTTATTACTGAACTAAAGTCATCCTCCTGTCCTATCAAATACTAGGTCTTATTGATTCTTTCTAGCTATTTTTTGTACCCATTGACCATCCCCACCTTCCCCTCACCACCTCATTACCTTCTCAGCCTCTAGTAACCATCCTTCTACACTTTATGTCCATGAATTTAATTATTTTGATTTTTAGATCCCACAAGTAAGTGAGAACATGTGATGTTCATCTTTCTGTGCCTGCCTTATTTAATTTAACATAATGATCTCTAGTTCCATCCATGTGGTTGCAAATGACAGAATCTCTCTCTCTTTTTTTTTTTTTTTTTTTTTTTGAGACAGAATTTTGCTCTTGTCGCCCAGGCTGAAGTGTAGTGGCACAATCTCGGCTCACTGCAACCTCAGCCTCCTGGGTTCAAATGATTCTTGTGCCTCAGCCTCCTGAGTAGCTGAGATTACAGGCATGCGCCACCACTCCTGGCTATTTTGTATTTGCTTAGTAGAGTCAGGGTTTCACCATATTGGCCCAAGCTGGTCTCAAACTCCTGACCTCAGGTGATCCCCCCTACCTCGGCCTCCCAAATTGCTGGGATTACAGGCATGAGCCATGGTTCCTGGCCAGAATCTCATTCTTTTTAATGGCTAGTTTTCCATTGTGTATATGTACCACATTTTCTTTTTCCATTCATCTGTTGGTAGACACTAAGGTTGTTTCCAAATCTTGGCTATTGTGAACAGTGCTGCAACAAACATGGGTGCGCAGAGACCTCTTTGATCTACTGATTTCCGTTCTTTTAGGTATAGACTCAGCAGTGGGATTGCTGGATCATAGAGTACATTGTTACTTTTTCAGTATTACTATCGTAGCATTTCAGGGAAATAATGGCTATGGTCATTATTCATAAAACCTGTCTCATTGTCTGAGCAGTGTGGCTTTGTAAACTGTGGTGAAGACTAAGCAAGGAGACATCATCTGTTACTTCACTGCCATGCTACTAAAAAATACATCTTATATTATTAGAATTAATAAGGACTTCAACATTTTCAGTGTATGTCGAACCAAAAATGAACTTAGGAAGTAATGCTAGGGTATATCAGAACACAGCCCGGACTTGGTATTTTGTTCAAATGGCATTTGCTTATTCTGTGACTTCAAGTTACTGAAGTTCTTTGAGTTTCACCTCTTCCCTAAAACTCATTGTATGAGTCAGATAAATTGGAGGATATGGAGTTCCAACACACTCTAAATCCTCAAGTGTGTATCAAAAAATGCCAGTTATTATTTTATTACTGTTGACTTTTAAAATTTGTTATGAGATTCTTCTGTTTATCTTTTCCTTTCAAAAATTAATAGGTTAACAATATATAATTAGAGAATTATACCTAAAATACAACACTATAAAAACCGTTTTACATTTTTTTGCTCCATCAAGGCCATCTTAATCATACACCAAATTCAATATTTCCTCCCTCCTTTCCTTTTCTTCTTTCTTTCCTACCATCATCTGCCCCACTTCCTACCACCTTCCTATCACCTTATTTCGGAAACCCTGTGTTTTCCTGAGGCCCTAGCAGTTACACAAACGGCTTTTTTTTTTTTACTTTTCATGGACGTTTCATTTGCATGAGAGCTGGTGAATGTGATATTTTTCTTTAAATTGTGAACATGTTGCTGACATCTGTTCTGCAATAAATGACTTTAAGTGCAGCAATTAACCCTTGAAACAGCCTGCTGCACTATGCCATTGCTCTCTCTACAACACCAACTGGGCATATAATGTCCTCTACCACTGGGGTTAGTACTCTTATCTCTATCTGTCAATTATTTAGCATTCTTCATTTTAGCTGAGTGGGTAATAACCAATAACTATATTAAGTTGCTTTCAACAGCAGTGCATTAAAATCTTGTGAAACATACTACAAAAGATAACCAAGGACATAAAGAAAAATATTACATAAAGTTGAACACGATGGAAAAAATTAATTGGAAAGTTGAATGAAATTTTCCAATAGCAATGTCAAGGGAGATAATAAACATTGGTCAACCTCACACTTCAGTAACATCAGAGAACCGCATCGGCCTCTCAGTATAGGTCACTACATTTATGAGTTTCCCATCAGGGATTGAATATTTTGCTAATTACAAGTCCTCATGTAACAAACACATTTTTTACAGGTTTAGTTATTATAATAATTTGAAAATTCTTTATCTCATTGAATATTAAATTTTGGGAATCCCACGCAAGAAATAAGAAGCAGCCAAGTCCATTAAAGTCTTCTTTGAACTGGGAATTATTTCAATATTCTATATGGTACTCTTTCACTCAGTTCTAATTCCATATAGAAAATTGTTAGTGAAATATCGTCCTCAGTAAATAATTTTAATTGCATGCATCATGATTTTTCAGTAAAAACAAAAAGAATATACTGGGTTAAGCCAAAGAAAGTATCAGAAAATGATATATTCCTAAGTATAATGATGTAATAATATTCAATTCATATTCTAATACCTGTGAGGGATTCCTATGAAATTCTATATATATATATAATTTTTTTTTTGAGACAGTTTCGCTCTGTCACCTATGCTCGAGTGCAGTGGCATGATTTCGGCTCACTGCAAACTCCGTCTCTTGGGTTCCAGTGATTCTCCTGCTTCAGCCTCCTGAGTAGCTGGGATTACAGGTACCCACTACCATGCCCAGCTTATTTTTGTATTTTTAGTAGAGACGGAGTTTCCCCATGTTGGCCAGGCTGGTCTCAAACTCCCGACCTCAGGTGATCCACTCTCCTCTGCTTCCCAAAGTGCTGGGATTACAGGCGTGAGCCACCACCCCTGGCCTAAAATTCTAATTTAATAGAAATCCTGGTCCAAATAGAAGAGAAAACTATGTGAATTCTTTTCTTCACCTCCCAAAAACCTTGTTCTCACCAGTTTTTATTAAAGAACACTGTCCCCAAAAAGAGTGTGATATTTTCTAAGTGTTTACATTCTCACATATGTATCAGGAATAGTAAAAATAATTCATTCTACATAAAGAAATATTTAAAATAATATCATTTTCCTCTAATAGCTTACTTGAAGAAATCCTTCAGAAACCCAATATGCACATTAATTGAAATGAGTGCCATTGGTTCAGTGGATAATTCTGAGGCTTAGGTGAAGACAGGATCATAACATTTGAAGATTCATTCTAGCCCTTTTGACACCGGTCTGATCATTGTTCTCAGTGGAGTCTAGTTCTTTGGATGTTTCTGAAAGTTTATAAGACTGAAAGTATGCAAATACTAATGGGTATATGTTGCTCAATAATTAAACTCAGCTAAATAAATCATTGCCAAATCTTTTAACTTACTACATCCATTCAAATTTTCAAAATAATGCTTAAAACAAAAGATTACACACAGAATTCACAGGAGTGGATTGAGAATAGTATTTTGATTATCTTGTTGATGATATAATAATGATTTGGCATTTATTGGGTGCCTATTCTACTCCAAGCACTATGCCTTGTGATTTATAAACATTTCGTTGAGTCCTTAACACTTTATGGGTGAAGTTGATTTCCACACTGATGCTTGGAGAGTACAATCAAAATGATTAATCTAAACATCAGTGAGCCCACAGATTTGATCCTGTCCCTGAATTGATCCACAACTATTTTACTCATTATTCTTGATGGAGAAAACTATTTATACATAGAACAGAACTTAGTTTTTAAAAAGGATGTAAAGGCAAATTCAGGATGAAATAGAAATTACAGAAAAAAATGTGTACCAGGAAATTTGAACTTTCCCTTGTGTGGCATTAGTGAGGGATCATTGAGATTAAGGCGTTTAGAGGAAAGAGGCAGAGGAAGATGTTGAACCAGGACTCGCCAGTGAACACCCCCCAACAGGAACATCAATCTGAAAAACTATTCATGCACAAAAATACCTTTACAAGAGATAATCAGACTAGCTGAGGGATGATAGTACATGGTTTCAGCACAATAATAGCAAAGATTCCTTGAAGATGGTTGGAAGGAAAGTTTTACATTACTCGTGTAACTTTTCCTTGAACCTCAGGCAGCACAGTGTAGAGAAACTGTCCAACTGGGGAAAAGTGAGGGAAGTAGGCACAGGACTTTGCCCTGGAATCCAACACTGGGCCCGCCATAGTAAAACTCAGCACTAGGAAGACCCTCATGGCTCCGTCTTCCAAGCTGCTACATGTGGACTAAGTCTCTAGACCTGTCCTGGCATAGGGCAGGACCACACAGTTGAGACTTACATGGCAAACCCTATCTTTAGCCCAAATCACAACCAGGCTGACATCAGTGCCCCCAGCCTCCAGATAGCCCTCAGCAGCAGGCAGGCCTTAGTGGTCTCTGGATCCGGATGTGCCCCAGTCCTGGGGTGGCCATATCTGCCCCAGGCTTCTGGCAGGACCATAGAAGCCACTGCTGCCTGAGTTTTAGGGATGCCCCATAACAGCACTGTCTACACCAGCCCAAAGCTTCTGGCCTGTCACAGCACAGCACTTGCTGTAGTGAACCCTAGACGTCTGGCAGTGCTATACCACCTGCAGCTGCCTCAGGATTCTGATATGCCCTACTGCCGCATCTGCTGCAGAGTTTTTCCAGGCAAAGCCAGTCTGCAAAGACTAGAATAAGAACCTATTTCTTCAAATGCACAGACACTGATGCATAACCAAAAAGACAAAGAATAATCAGGGAAAAATGACATCATTAAATAAAAAAAGTAAGGTGCCAGTGATTGACCCAAGGAAATCGAGATGTATTAACTCTTTGCAAGGAATTTTAAATAATTATTATTAAAAAGCTCAGCAAACTTCAACAGAATACAAGTAATTCAATGAAATGAGGAAAGCAATAAATAACCAAGATAAAAATGTAATATAGAGATGGAAACAATAATAATAATATTAATAATAATAATAGAAATCATAGGGCTGAAAAATTCAGTAAACTAAATGAAACATGCAATGGAGAAAATCAACAACAGAACTGATCAAGCAGAGAAAAAATTTGTAAACTTGAATGCAGACTATTAAAAAATGTAATGTCAGAGAAAAAGAAAAATGAAAGAAAATAGATGAAGATAGCTTACAGGATTTATGAGGCAGTATCAAAAAAGAAAACTTTTAAGTCATAGGAGTTAAAGGAGAAGAGAAAGATAAACAGATATGAAGTGTATTTAAAGAAATAATGGCTGAAAACCTTTCCAAACCTGGAGAAAAATGTAAATATCCAGGTATAGGAAGCCTAAAGGTCTTCAGTACAAATAAGATTACCCCAGGATATATTATAATCAAGTGTCAAAAATCAAAGACAAATAAAGAATCCTGGAAGCGGCAAGAGAAAAGGAGCCAATAATACATAAAGCAGTTTCAATATGAGTCACAGCAGACAGTAGAAATCCTATAAGCCAGGAGAGAGTGGAGTAAAATATTCAGAATGTTGAAGAGGGGAAAAACAAGAATATTGGCAACCAATACTGGCCCCAGCAGAGTTGCTGTGTTGAATACATTTCAACTATACCTAATTTGTTGAGTGTTTTTTTTAATCATGAAAGGATGTTGCATTTTTTTGAAATGTGTTTTCCGCATTTATTAAAATGATTATGGTTTTGTTCTTTATTCTGTTAATGTGATGTATTATATTTATTAACTTAAGTATGTTGAAGCATCCTTGAATACATGAGATGAATCCTAGTTGATCATGGTGAACGTTCTTTTAATTGTGATGTTGAATTCAGTGTGCTAGTATCTTGCTGGAGAGTTTTGCATCTATATTCATTAGGGATATTGACCTAGAGTTTGCTTTTTTGTGGTATCTTTGTCTAACTTGGATATCAGGGTGATGCTAGCTAGCCTCATAAAATGAGATTGGAATTATTCCCTCCTCTTAATGTGATTCAAAATTTTATTATTTAAAGTTATTTTAAATTCTCTTTTTTATATTTTGCTTTAGGGTGCCAATATCTTTTTTTCCTCCATGCACATCAGAAAGCAAGCTTAAGCCTTTGGAGAGGTGTGTCTGTGCTGGCAATTGCTGATTTGTACTCCAAGATGAAAATGGAGACTTTGTAAAGAATAATTTCAGGGAAGCTGAGACTTTGATGAGCCCTTCATCATTTGATGAGGCAGACACTTCTAAACCAGACAAGACAGACAAGACTGCTTGGGACTGATTGTAAGTCACTCCATGAAAGAGGAGAAATAGCTTGAGAATTTGAGCCAATATAGTCAAAGAAGAGCAGAAAGAGTTGAACAAGAAAGAAGGTGACATTCCCAACCCCTATAGGTAACTGCATCGCTTTCCATTATCTGGTGGATGGTATCAGTTTCTTGAATAGCACCCACAAGAGTGCAGTTATGAACTCCAAGAAGTAGTGGATTAATTGGAGGCAGAGCAGGGGGCAGCAACAGACAACTGTGTCCTCTTGCTACAGAACATGAGGGTAGTAGTGAGTGAGTTACTGAGTCTTCCAAATTTGTTTTTTCTTAAGGTGGAGGATTAAACTGACCCAGAATAGGTGCTACCATAGAGGTCTCTACTATGTTTATACACATATTTGAACTACGCTTTGTCAAAGAAAACCAATAATTTTCAGATTTTAATAAGATGATAACTTTTCAAGAGAGAATGAAGACAAACGGTAAAAGAAGACAGGCTTATGAAAATGAAAAGTTTGAGTCATATTGTCTGTAGCTCTGATAATTTAGAACGTTTTAGCTTTTTCATATTTTTAAATATAATATCCGAGACATGAAAAATTTTTTATAAAGTTAATGTTTTATCTTGACTATCCTGTGTATTACTATCATTAAAAAGCATTTCTAAGCATTTATTTTGGCAGGAGCTATTCTAATGTCTTAAAAAAAGAATATTATAGACGGATCTTTACCCTTTCAGGATTGTTAATTACAAGAAAAAGGCATAAGAAGAAGTGATCTGCAGTACTAATTTTTTTCATCATTCTCTAAGCCTACTCATTTTAGTGTTTATCAGATAGTGGAAGAAACAGGCATAAGCCAAATGCACAAACACACACACACGTTAAGTATCACCAGGATGCCTATGAGTCAAATTATGTGATTTATTGGAGACTGATTTTTCTGTGTGTCGGTAAATGAGAATAATACCTACCTCACTCTTAGGATTCTTGTGAGAATTAAAGATAGCATAGGCTTAATAAACACTTGGTATTTGCTGTCAATTCCTACAGGGAAAATGATGAAACTGTGGTTACTCTTCATTAGCTCTTTAATAACTACAGATTACATATCAGTGAACTTGTTTTGGGGAAACAACAGCAGAGAGAAAAATAATATATGGTTATTATTTATATCAAACTACTATCTGAAAGAAGTTTCTTTTTTATTTCCCCTTTTTTTCTTTTTAGAGATGGGGCCTCTCTTTTTTGCCCAGGTTGGAGCGCAGTGGTGGTATCATAGCTCACTGTAACCCTGAACTCTTGGGCTCAAGCCAACTTCCCAACTTAGCTCCTGATGAAGGAAGTTTCATTTCAAATAGAATAGGTAAGAATAAATTTAATGAAAGTTATACCAAACTTATGCCCTGAAAACTGTAAAAAATACTGCTAAAAGAAAGCAAAAAGAAATAAGTGGAGAAATATATATGTTATAGATTAGAATAATCAATATTGTTAAAATGGCAAATTTCTACACAGATTCAATGCAATTCCAATCAACATGTTAGCTGTCTTCAAAGGATACAAAGTATCAAATACGTAGGATGAACAAGGCCAAAGATCTAACATCGAATATGAGAGCTGTGGTTTATCATAGTGTATTTTATTCAGAATTTTTGCTAAATAAATTATAGCTTATTTTGCCACAGAAGGGAATAAGGGAGATAGGTAATCATTTAAGATATGAATATGTTAATTTGTTTCATTATGGTAATTTTACTATATATATTTATATATTCTATTTATATAGTCTATATTTCTAAATATATACATACATTTGTGTATAGCTATATATACTATATATTTATATATACTATATATTTATATGTATTATATATACTATGTATTATATGTATTATATAATTATATGTATACTATATATTTATAAACATACTATATATTTATATATAAATTCATATTATATATTTATGTATATATTTATATATTCTATTTATATATAGTATATATATTTCTAAATATATACATATATTTACGTATAGCTATATATACTCTATATATTTATATTTAAATATATTTAAATCTATACACACATATTTATATAGTTTATATATACTCTATATATGTTTATATATACTCTATTTATATATGCACTATATATATTTATATATACTATATATCTTATAGCATCATATGGTATGCCTTAAGTATACACAATAAAAATTGTTTTAAAAAATTAAATCAATAAACAAACTTCACAAACAGACTTGGTTATACTGTTGATTGATTTTCAACAATGATGCATAAGTAGTTCAATAGGGAAAGAATAGTTTTTTCAACGATATTGCCGGAACAACTGGATATATGCAAAAAAGAAAATGAACCTCTCCATTCAACTAACACTACATGCAAAAAGTAAATGGAAACGGATCATAGACCTAAATGCAGTAAATTTAACTGTAAACATTCTGGAAAAAATATAGAAAGAGAATCAAAAATAATGACCAAATTTGGAATGGTTTTCAAGTGGTAATGACAGAAGAAAAAGTGGAGACCCCTAATATAGACAACCCTTTTGAAGCATTTTTTAATAAAAAAAGACAGATAAATGGGATAGTGGCTAGAGAAGGTTGTCAAGAGATGATATACAAATACACACAGATAGGCACACACATATACACACAGATATACAAAGATATACACACACAGAATATATAAATATATGTATACACACATAATAGTTTGGATGATACTAACATGAGTGTATTTTTTTTTTTACTGATGATCAGCTCATGAGCAGTTGACTTTTAGCAACTAATTTGATCTCTTGCCCTTTTTCTCCTCTAAAATGGGACAACACTTTATTCACGATTTTGCAATGATGATTAAATTGCATAAAGTAACATCCACTTGAGTGCCTAGTAGGATGTCTTGCTCACAGCAGCTCCTCTATAAATAGAACTCCTCATTCTAACAAGTGCTCCTTCAATCCGTAAGCCAAGACATGGCCGCATATGTGGTGTGTAAGCCCATGTGTGAGAAATGCTGGGATGTGCAAACACAAATCACTCTGGATCTGTTATGTGCTGGGGAAAGTTATGATCTTTTTGGAGAGTACCAGACAGTTAAAGTTAATTGGTTATAAGATCCCACTTAGTGATTCTTCTCTATGATTTCTATTTCAGAAAACACCACCTTTCCACGTCAACCTAGAGCTTTAGATTTTACTTATGCTGCCCCTTTACATTGATATTTGATTACTGTATCTCATTTAATCCTTACAAAAACTACGAAAGGAATCACTATATCAATTATGGTATTGCACAAATAACTTTTAGCTGATAAGCCACTGGTCAAAATCCAGTCTTGTCATCCTGGTACCATTATTGGTTCCATGTCACTTTCCATACAGTTGGAAAACAACCCACATTCACCCAGGAATGTGACTTGTTTGGGATAAGTAGAATCTGGGGCTTGTCTGTCCTTTTCATTGGTCTAGGGTTGTGTCCCACTACATGCACTGGACTTTAGCAGGCTATGAGAATTAAATGTTCTAAATATTTTCCAGGACATTCAACCCTAAGTTCTGTGTTTAAGTACATAATTCATTGTATTAGTGTCTTGTTCTTTTCTTCGTTTCCTATTTGTTGTCTTTTTAATCTACTTTAATTATTTTACATTACCTTTTCTGTTTTCTATGACATTTAATTATTTAAAATTTCAATTAAACATTTTTTGAGAATTAACAGAGTGTCACTAAAAAATCAAGATATTTCTTTTTGTATCTTTGGCATTCTTTTGAAATGAAATTATAAAGTAAAAATGCTGATATTTGGAAATGGCAATATGTGGTCTTCATATTCATATTACGAGTACCTACATTTGTATATTTATGTATATATTTGCTATCCTTTTCTAGTTTCCCTATGAATGAAAGTTTATAATGTCAAGTTCCTTAAGAATTTAAATTTAGACTTATTTCAACTACTAAAATGGGGCATATTGGTTAAGGCCATAAAATTAATAAAAAAATACAGTTTCCATGGATTTATGCTACTTAACTATAATACATGGTTGTTTTATAATTGCCTAGGTGTAATGCAGCAAATACATTAGTATCTAGTGCCCAGGCCAGGCTGTAACTCAGGGAACACCTGTAGCCCACAAGATGGAGCCCCTGGGAGGTCTTCTGGGCTGGCTCCTCCCTGACACAGAAATGGCTAAGGACGAATCATGCCAGGTCAAGGACAGCCTCCCCATGCAGATGTGGGGCCGGCTGGCTGGGGACTGGGGACCTCAGAGTGCAAATGTCTATCCAGATCTGAGTGAAGCAAATTTTAGGTTTGAGTGAATATTTATCACCACATGAGAGTGTTTAAATCAGAGTGCCTGGAAAAATTAGTGGATTGGTCTCAGTTAACTGCACAATAAAATTTTATGCTCCCATTGTGAGGTGGAAATGGGGCCTTGTCAGAGGTACAGTTACAACAATAAAGTTAACTTTATGATTAAACATATATGACTGGGGCCTATTAAATTATGCCTGGGGCACATGTAACCTGGTAAGAAAGCATGCATTCAAACACACCTCTGGCTCTTTAAAAAAATATATATATCGAGAACATATTTCTTTCCTTATGGAGGCATTCCATTCTTCACAAAATTCTCATTCTCATTTTCTCACAGCTTCAAAGCCCCATATTCTGCTGAATGTTACAGATGACCCAGTGGCTCAAGGCCAATCCACTGAAATTTCCTAGTCAGGTGGCTCATCAGTTCTTCAGAAATCAAATTCGGAGCAGCCAGCATATTTTAATTCATACCTAATATCCCCTCTGTTGTTCATTTTCACTTTGATTAGCTGTCTCTCAACATTTTGGGGTAGCTGTTTTTGTTCTTTGTTTCAGAAAATTTGGGTTATTGCAAATAGACATTCTGTGTGTGTGACAGATTATCAAAATTTGGGTGTGTTAGTTCATCCTCATACTGCCATAAAGAACTACACGAGACTGGGTAATTTGTAAAGAAAAGAGGTTTAATTGACTCACAGTGCCACAGGCTGTACAGGAGGCATGGCTAGGGAGGCCGCAGAAACTTACAATCATGGCGGAAGGGTGATGGGGAAAATGGCACATTTTCATATATTGGAAGGAGAGACAGTGGAAGGGGAAGTGCTACACACTTTTAAACAGCCAGATCTCCTGAGAACTCGCTCACTGTCATGAGAACAGCAAGGGAGAAATCTGCCCCCATGTTCCAGCCACCTCCCACCAGGTCCCTCCTGCAACACTGAGGATTACAATTCCACATGAGATTTAAGTGGGGACACAGAGGCAAACCATATCACTGGGCATATGAAGAGATGTAAAAGCACACAAACCTTGCCATTTTAGATACCCCAAAGTTTACTCAGCTCAGTTTTTATTCAAGCAATGCCTTTCCTTACTATAAAAACAAGAATGGATTTCTAATTTCAGTGAACACAAGTTTTATATTATAGCTCTTAGAACGATAACAAAAATACCTGACCACAGTTAGAAAATATACAAAAGTTATCAAATGTCTAGGTCATCACTGATAATCTCTGTAGTAGGAGACAATAGTTTTGTCATGGTTTTTAATTTAGGATTTCTTTGTACTGTGATATTTCTGAGAAAGGTAAGGTTAATGTTGCCTATCCTGTGTAAGGATGTACTGAAGCAGTAGATGACTTTGGATACTGATATTTTGACATACTTCTAGGAGATAGACAAATAACTTTGATGGCTTAGAGAGGTCCAGAGCCTCTATAGTTTTCTGACTCCCAGGAACCTCCATTATCTCGACCTTATGGTTTAGGGCTCTGTTCTTGCATTTTTGCTGTCTCTGTGTTGCCTCATGGTGTGTCAGACATGAGCCTCAGCACCAAATGGGCCAACAAGAATCCTCTCAAATATAGAGCATTGGTAACCAGGTGGAGCAGGTATGGGTTTGCAGAAAACCTGGAAAAGAGATTCTGCACCACCCTCTGGAGAGCACATTTAGCAATCCCACTTGGACATTTATGTACAGACCAGTCTCGTTCAGACCTCACACACGGGGGCTGCTCTTCATTCTTTCTCAGACAAAAATTGTCAAATACACTAAGGAATGGGTAAATTTATAATGGATGTTCGTGGGGAGGCATGCAAGTCGAAATAGCATCCTAATCTGAATACACTTGAAACTGAAGATATTTAATCACTACTTGCGGAAAACCAGGAAAAGTAGACTTTTTGAAAAATTCATTTAATGCTAAGTGTTATTTGCTATGATTGTATTATCCAATGCTGAATTCACCATTTAACCTAGAAACTTTTATGCCAATACAAAATCAACAGGTGTTCTCTTCAGTTCCTTGTTTTGACTCCCAAGTTCACTCAAGCCTTTTAATGCAGCAACCAAATGTCATGCATTTGGAAAATCTGTCATAGAAGACTGTCCAACTGTTGCTTTATTACTTGTTATATTACGCTAGAGAAGTTTAAAGAAATATGTGGAAAGAAATAATAAAGAACTCTCATATATGGCTGTCTCAATAAAATATTATTTTTCTAAACATAGGCCTCTTGAGCCTATGAAATTCATATAAAATGTCTAGCAATATAATATGTATATTTTAAATAACTTACCTTAGATAAGATATATTGTGTATGTTTTTGGGCATTTACTTGTTCTTTTAGATGTCTTCTTTGTCTTTTCATAAATGCAATAGAGAAGGAGATTCTGTGTGATCCTAATATGTGTACAACATATTATTGAAACTCAATTTCACACTTAAAACAACTTCTTTAGCTTATAAAACTTTTTTAGTCAGAAATATGGAAACAATTACAAGTTTGGGCATGAATTAACAAAGAAAAGCATATGTCTACCCTTCACTTGCTTTTTGTTTATCTATTTTCTTTTCTTTTTTTTTTGAATTGTTTCATGCCAGGCAGTCTGTGCCATCTGCAACCCAGGAGAGAGTGTGAAATGAGTTGGGATTGAGTCAGACCTGTTTCTAGAAGTTGAATTCCAGGCTTAGGAATTTGAGATTAACCTGCTGACCTGTGGAAGAAGGAAAGTGATATCATCAAAGCTGCACCCCAGAAAGACTAGGCAGGGTGGGTGGTGTGTGTTGAAGCAGGAGACAAAGTGGACCAGAGGAAAGCATGGGGAGGTATTGCCATGGTCAGTCCAGGCTGTAGTCTCCAAATTGAGCTGTATGGGCCAGTCAAGGTTGGGGACGTTTTGCAACCTGTATGTACATTTATCTTCAAATCATCCTTTCAAAACGTATCCTTTGCACCTGTTTCATAATATACCTAATATGGTAACACTTGTGTATCATATATGGGTGAATTCATGTAGATGTATTGTGAGGGGTTTCTTATAACCATTTACTGATGGGGGGTGTGATTTGAAGACTGAGATTAGGTTGTAGGTAGGGACAATGGAGAGGAAAGGATAGATGCAGAAAGCATCCTCCAGGTAGAGGGAGGGGGCCAATTGCTTAATGAGAATTTTGATGTTTAAGGTGTGAAATGACATGAGTGCAATGAAGTCCAGAATTAATAGCTTCTTAATGGACAGGTTTTCAGGACTTCTTGATCAAGAAATCAGATAATTCTCTTTCCTTCTTTTATAAATTATTACCAAGAGGCACATGAATGAGTTTAAACATGGGCACAACTTCATTTGCACAAGACAATCAAGGATGTATTAATTATATTCTCCTAATGACTGAAGCTGAATTTAAGTGCTTTTTTGTACATTCTAAAATTAAGTCACAGTTGTATTAAACTCTAGGAAAGTTTGATTAGTTTGATCTTGGTCCTTATAGGACAACAAATGTCAAAGGTAGTCAAAAGATGGCTACTTCTTCACCTTAAGAAAAGTTTTGGACTTTAGCTTTTTCATGTAGTGAATTTCCTTATTACATTAAAATATAAATCAATTTAAAGTCTTGTAATTTGCATAAAATTCTTCAGAGGCAGACTATAAGAGATCCTTCACTATTGAGCTGCAAATTATGAATAAATTTAGGATTCTATTTTAACTAACAGTGGATCTTAAAAGTTATATTCACTATAGAGATCAATTGAATCCAGATTTTCTCTTCTAAGGTATGACATACATATATTACAAAAGTTGGCTTATAAAAGAAAAGCTAACATTGCTGGAATATTTAAATTGCCAGTTGAAAGAACTAGGAGAGTGCTAAAGGTATCAGAAAATGAAGCAAATAATTCTAGGACCAACACAGAATGTCTTTGACAACTGAAGAAAGAGCCTATGTATATGCAAAGCCTATTGCAATGGTTTTTCACTATCAGAACAAGGCTTAAGTAATCTGCCTTAACCTACTAATCCTTCCACAGTTTGAGGCTGATTCCAACCAAAATATGAAATGTTGCAACAAAATTAATGCATGGCCCTAAACATCTTCTTTTCTGTGACTACTCACTCTCCAGCTCATAAAATTATGAGTTTTCTTCATCAATGCTAATGAATATTAAGTTGAGCCCCACAGTTGCATGGTTTTAGTACATAAAAGAGCGCATTGGTAGCCTGCTAATGTGATCTCTTTGCACAGAGACACATCGATTCTCTATTTCTAATACTAAAAGTCCATCCATAATATATACCATAAGAAAGCTCCTCCAGAGCTATTTTGAGGATTTTCCAATTAAGTTTTGAAAATCACGTTTGATATGTAGTCTATCTTCTCTGTTTTTATCTTCTCTGTTTTTATCATGTCTATGTCAAAGAAGAGTTTGCAGTATTATCTTACTGCAGAATGACCCTTCTCTCTAAGCTTTTAAAACTCAATTACAAAAGGTTCATATGAAGTGTCATTGCAAAGAAAAAAATAAAATATCAAAACACATTCATCCTTAATTAAGTCTGAGAATTACCTGTAACAACAATATTAAAGCAGTATTCTACCTGATGTCTTTGACCTTCTTTGAGAAAACTGAGATCAAAGCTGGGGCCAGTCTACTTTTGAGACTTAGTGGAAAAAGCAGAGTATAAAATAGAGAAAGAGAAACTTAATGTAATAGCAAATTTCTCCCTGGTATTTTCTCCTTACAGAGTTCTCATGTGGCTGTGCCCTGTTGTGTTGAAAGGTACCCAGGAAGGGAAATATGGGAAATATGTGCACAGCCTTTTTCAATCTCTAAAACAGGCAGCAAGAGAGAAAACTTTTTTGCTTTGAGACACAACATTCTCACCACTGGTAAAGAAACACTATCTAGTTAACAGTTTCTTCTTTTCATTTTAGGTAATAAATAATAAAGTGTAGACAAGAAAACCTGATGCATTTGTTCCAATATTGCTATGCATGGCAAGTTGAATAGTAGCAGGCCACCTCTATATAGTCATTAGAAAGGGGGAATACCTTTCTCCTTCAATATATTGCATGAGCCAAGTTATATTAAATAGTACACTGGAGAAAAAAATATGTCACAATTAACTGTGATAAATCCCAGGAATGTGAGAGTGGGTCAATAGGAAGAAATCCATTAGTAGAATCCATTATATAAACAAGGCTAAAGGGAAAAATCCTGTGATAATCTTCATAGCTGCAGAAAATGTATTTGACATTTTTCAACTCTGAAAAATTTTATTTATAGAATAAATAGGAATTGGTATAAATGTTGACATATATATGTACATATACATATGCATGTGGGCATATGTACACACATATGTAGAATTAGATAAAAGAAAGTAATTAAAAACAGGAATGAGAATAAAAGAATCAAAACTGTATTTATTGCAGGTATTATAATGTTATATTTAAAAATTCACAAGAATCAATGGAAAATTACTGTAATATGAGAATTTAGTAAAATAGTAGGTCACATAATCAATAATCAGTTTATAATAATCACTAAGAATACATATATAGCAAGTAGAAAATATAATAGACTGATATACAAAATTAATGTAATACATAAAAATGTAAGATGGTAGGCAACAGTAAACTTCAAATTCTAAAATCTCTTGAAGAACATGAATTAGATCTAAACGAAATGAAAACATGTCATGTCTATTTTGCCACCAGATCTCTTTTGGTAATATGACCCACATCTCATATACCTCTGTCCCACCAGGTCTTGGTATAGCCTGCTAAAACCCATATTAGATGCTCAATATATCTTTTTGAATAAGGATGACTAGATGTTCATGTGTGGATCTTCAGCATTGAATTATTTGGAAAATGTCAAATATTGAAGTTTTACATACCAGAAAAAGACCTAGTCTGAGTCACTGAGATTTCCTTGAAATACAGAATTGACCTTTTAAATCTGTAGATACGTATCTCACTTTTTATAAAATGGAGTGATTCTGCATATTACAAAATAACTTTTATCCTTATATAATGATTTTACTTTAATTTCCTTTCAATACTACGTTACCCTAGTAAGTTAAAATATTTCTCAGTTGAATAATAAAGTTAAACCTCGTTTACAACCAACTTTCTTGTTCTGTGATGTGGTGATACCTATTTTTTCATGCTTACTGAGATATATGAAAGTTTCAGAAATTGGGATAAAATTTTTCAAGTAGACCTGGTAAAAACTTTATGGGGGGAATTATGATCTGGTTGTGATTCACTGTCCAGGGATCTCCAGCTTCTTCAATGGTTATTTAAAAAGTTAATTAAGGTTAAATGAGGTCATAAGGGCCCTAATTCCATAAGACATGTGTCTTTATGAAAAGTAGAAGAGATACTGGACATCTATCTCACTCTCTGTTTCTCTAGGCGTGCACAGAACAAAGGCCATGTCAAGACAGTGAGAAGGTGGCTGCCTGAAAGCTACAAAGAGAGGCCTCACCAGAGCCAATCCTGTTGGTGCCTTAATCTTAGACTTCTAGTCTCTAGAACTGTGAGAAAATTAACTTCTGTTATTTAAGCCACCCAGTTTGTATGATATTTTGTTATGGCAGCCCGAGCAGAATAATACACATATAGTCTTTCATATTGTTAGAAAAGTATCTCTTACCATAAATTAATTTTGATTTTGTTATCATTTCACCAGCATTTGCTGTTCAAAGCCATAGTTTCATATGCTGTGCTAGACACTGGAGATACAAGGCAGAATGAGGACTTGGAGCATGTATAAGCTAGACCAAAGATGGCAAATACAGGGCTCTTAGCACCTTCCATTCCCTCCCAGGTCCTAACTTCTAATTGATAACAACACAATTCCCCATGGAATTGAACACTACAATCTTACTAAACATAGAATAAGTGCCAAATGATCAGATTTACAATGTACCAGGATAAACGTGTTGGCTAGCCATGGTCCACTGCTATTGCAGAGACACCTGGAACGCAGGTTGTTTTGCCAGGACTTGTGTAAATTTAAAGAAAAAAAAATCCCAAAAATTATGAAAGAAAGACTTTGTGTGCAGTTGTGCCCATACAATAATAAAGAAGCTAGGTAGGCCTTTGGAATAGTACTCTTTTTGTATATTCACGGTTACCATATGATTTCTAGAACCTCAGACAGTTGTCAGATTTTCCTATTTTCCTACTTTATAAACTCAATGATTTCACAATATCTCAGCACTTTCCTGCATTTACTTACATTCAACGCAAAAGGAGATTATTCATATACCATCTGAAAATGCATTAAATTTAACTTTCACCACTCAATCACCCATTTATTGTTGTCCCAGAAAGTTGCTATACTTCTAAGACAACATAAAACTTTCAACCTGATGTTTGTTTAACCAAATTCAGAATATTTGTAATTCATTCATTAATTACCCTCATTTCTCACTTCTAAATTGGTAAAAATAGCCTCTTTAGCATTTCTGCAGTATTTTTTTTCGAAAATGGTTATTTCTGTCTTTCTCAACCAAAAATATTATTTTACCTTTTGAAGCTTGCATGAGATCAATTCCACACAACTGAAAATGCCCAAAAGAGTCACACCCTGATTTTTTATTACTATTAATATAAATATATTGTAAGATCATTTGAACTCAACAATGGAGCTATATTATTACATATTTTGGCAGCTTGCTGTAAACAATGAAAGATAAGTTGAAAATATAATTATGAACAGTTTTATCTAGAAAACCATGAATTATTTTCCTTTGTTATTTATATATCTGACTATTGTAAATAGCTTCACAGAATTGGCTAGGATATAAATGACTGAAAACAAAATCTTGACAGTATTGCTTCCAATATGGCTTGGATTTATCCCCATCAAAATCTCATGTCAAATTGTAATCATCTCCAGTGTTGGAGGAGGGGCCTGGTGAGAGGTGATTAGATCATGGGGGTGTTCTCCCCCTTGTTGTTCTCAGGATAGTGAGTGAATTCTCAGGAAATCTGGTTGTTTGAAAGTGTGTAGCCCTCTTCCTTGCCTGCTCCAGCCATGTAAGATGTGTCTCCTTCCTCTCCACCTTCTGCCACAATTGTAAGTTTCCTGAGGCCTCCTCAGCCATGCTTCCTGTACAGTTTGTGAAACTGTGAGCCAATTAAACCTCTTTTATTTATAAATTACCCAGTGTATTAGTCTGTTTTCACACTGCTGATAAAGACATACCTAAGACTTGGCAATTTACAAAGGAAAGAGGTTTAATGGAGAACTCACAGTTCCACATGGCTGGGGAAGCCTCACACTCATGGTGGAATGATGGAAGGCAAGGAGGAGCAAGTCACATCTTACATGGATGTTCTGCAGGCAAAGAGAGAAACTTTGCAGAGAAGCTCCTGTTTTGAAAACCATCACGTCTCATGAGACCCATTCACTATCATCAGAACAGCATGGGAAAGACCTGCCCACATGATTCAATCATCTCCCACTGGGTCCCTCCCACAACATTTGGGAATTATGGGAGCTACAAGATGAGATTTCGGTGGGGATACAGAGCCAAACCATATAACCCAGTCTCAGGTAGTTCTTCATAGCAATGTAAGAATAGACTAATACAGCTTCTATTTTATTCTACAGCTTTATTTTTTATAATTTTCAGTTTTTGTTGGCAATTATTAACTTATATTTACTTTTTAATTAATAATAAAGATTGTGGGATGACAAAATTCTGTATCTTTTATATGAAAAATAATACAAATAAAACATCAATAAAAACAAATAAGCAAAAGTAAACAAATAAAACAATATTAATATAGACAGACTCCAATTTAAGACCAAAAAAACCATAATACTATATATTAATCAAAATAACAATATTCTAAGAAAGTCTATTGGTAATTACTTTTCTTCAGTTAATAACATAATTAAAATATTTAAGACAAAATTTGAGAGAAATACAAAGAGAATTTAACAAAAGCACAATCATATCTAACTTAGAAACTCAGGAAATAAATTAAGCAAATATGTTAGAATATTGAGAATTCAAAAATCACGTCTACATGGGTAAGCAAATATCACATATATATCATTTTGTTTTTAATAAATTTTAAAACAAGGTCTTTTTGTAAATATCTCACACATAACATCTTATATTCAATAAATTTAAGAACAAGATCTCTTCACACACACACATGGATCTTTTTTAAACAATGATCACATATTTTTTAATTCCAAAAGGTAGAAATTTCACAGGCTGCTATCATGGAGTCATAGGCAATAAAGTTTGACTACAATAGAAAAGTAAGAAAAATAATGTTCTATAACTAATAAATGCACATTTTAAACATGTTTTTGTTGAAAGAGATATTCAAAGGAGAAATTTAAAATTGCATATAAATAAAAATTAGAACAGCATTTTTAAAACATGCAGGTTATAAAAGCAGAATGTAATGGAATGTTTGCAATTATAAATATGTTTATTATAAAACAAAAAAGAATGAGAAAAACTAAGACAACAGGATAAAAAGCAGGAACATAACATTCGATGAAACAAAATAATATAAAAGGGAAGAAATAATAAGGACATGAGCAGAAATAAATTATATAAAAATTTTCAAAACAAAAACTGGTTCTTTGGAAGCTACAATAAATAATAAATATGTAAGTGAAAAGGATTATGAATGCCAGAAGATAGCATTGTATTTTCAAAGATATAATTAGTTACACAGAAGATCTATTGAAGGCAATTAGAAAGTTCACAGTGATGGCTAGAATTAAGAATAACATAAAATATAAATTAACGTTTGCATATAGCAGTAACAATAAATTAGCAAGTATTGTAGGAAAATCCCATTTATATTAAGCAATTAAGACAATACAATTTCTGATAATAAATCTAACAAGAAATTGTTAAGATCGTAATGAAAAAAATAATTTTAAAAAGTATAAAATTTTCCTGAAGCTGAAAAATAAAATTTGAATAAAAGAAGAGAGATATGCACATGAATTTGATTATAGGATGGGGTGCAGCACACCAACATGGCACATGTATACATATGTAACAAACCTGCACGTTGTGCACATGTACCCTAAAACTTAAAGTATAATAAAAAAAGATATAATAAAGATAATTCTCCCCAAAGAGATCTATCAATACTATTGCGATCAAAATTTTAAAAAGGTTATTAGAAGGCTGATTCTAAAATACTGTATACTGTATGGAAGAAGCAATACACAAGGAGAACTGGAATAAAATGGCAAGATGAGCCTACCAAAGTTTAAACATTTGAAAAGAGCCCAGTGCCATGGCTCACAATTGTAATACCAGCATTTGGGAGACCAAGGCAGGAGACTCTCTTGAGACCAGGAGTTTGAGGTCAGCTGGGGCAACATAGTGAGACCTGTCTCTACACAAAATAAAATAAAAAAATTAGCTGGGCATGGTGGTGCATGACTGTAGTCCTAACTACTTGGGAGGGGGAGGTGGGAGGATCACTTGTGCTTAGGAGTTCAAGGTTTTAGTGAGCTATGAATGTGCCACTGCACTCTAGCCCTGAGTGACAGAATGAGATGCTGGCTCTAAAAATATAAATAAATGAAAATAAAAAATAGAAAATATTTAGCTTTGTAACAGAAGTAGACAAAAATGGTAATATCAGAAAATGCAGCTTAAAGAAGTGAACTCATGTTTCGTAAACAATAGAGGTCAGGCACGGTGGTTCATGCCTGTAATCCCAGCACTTTGGAAGCTGAGGCGGATGGATCACGAAGTCAGGAGTTCGAGACCAGCCTGGCCAACATGGTGAAACCCCATCTCTACTAAAAATACAAAAATTAGCCAGGTGTGGTGGCATATGCCTGTAATCCTAGCTACTCAGGAGGCTGAAGCAGGAGAATTGCTTGAACCCGGGAGGCGGAGGTTGCAGCGAGCCAATATCGCACCACTGTAATCCAGCCTGGGTGATAGAGGAAGACTCTGTCTCCAAAAAAAAAAAAAAAAACAAAATAGAAATTTTTGGATATGTATATAGTATTTTGTGTATCACTATACATAAATCAGTAACTAAATTATATATACACTTCAATAAATAAGATTCAGATTATTAGCTATCAATTGAAAATCACTCTTCTCATCCACTAGACAAGTACATTGTAAATGTGTTACACAAACATAAAAGAAACAAAAGAAAATAAAGGAGTTTTTATTCACTCCCAATGATGGTAGATCACCAACCTATAGAAGACTAAACAAACCTCTCACCAAAACAGCTAGAAAATCCTGGAGCGGTGACAGTACAGAGGCTGAACACAGTGTCAATGCCACTTTTCTTTTTTAGAACATTTGCTGATTTGCAAGTGGAGATTGAGAACTGGGAAGCTGGTAAGATCTTTCAGGGTCTCACAGGACAAGGGAGAGAAAAACTAACAATCAAGATCTGCCAAAGTGGAGGGGTCCTCGTCAATACCTCCAAGCTTTTACCTGGGTTTCATAAGAAGGTACATCCAAGGCACGAGAGCAAATTAGAGATCAGTTCACCCTCAGAAATACCAAACCTTTTCTTTAAGTCAGCCCAATCCCTGATTGTATCATAGAAGTTACTTCCTACTCTAAGCACTGACTGATGAGACTGAGAAGTAAGCAGTAATCACTTCAACATAAAAACTATAGTTCAGGAATCCAGACCTTGAGTTGGATTCCTTGAATGGTAATAGCCTAGGAGACAGGCAAAATAAAATTTACTGATGTTAAAAAGGACTGAAAGTATAATATGAAAGTTGCATGTAAATGACCTTAATGCCTATTAAAGGCAAAAGAGCATCTTCTCTGTAAGTAAAATGACACCACTAAGAAACCAGATGATCTCTATAATTTTTGTATGTAATTTTAGTCATTTAATCATTACGAGATACACAAGACATGAACAAATGAGTGAAAATCAAACTAAATAAGAGATGAGAAAGTGGCATTGAATTAAAAGAGCTGTGATTAAAATGCTCAAGAAATGGAGACAGAATACAGTTTTCACAAGGGAACTGAAACCTTTAAAAAAAAGAATCAAGTAAAAATTCTACAGCTGAAGAATACTGTAGCTCAAAGAATTCACTTAAACATAAAGGTTTAACAGCACATTAGACCTAGCTACTGGAAAAAAAAGGTAATAAGAAGATAGTTCAATTTAAAAAATACAGACTGAAATCAGAAAGCAAAAGCTGAAAAATAAAATAAAGTATAAGACACATATAAGACATGGTGAAAACATTCTGCAAATGCATACTTGAAGTTCCAAAATAGAAGACAGGAGCAAATTTAAAATATTAAAGGACAAAGATTTTCCCAAACTGAGAAAAAACTTCAAGACATATATATTCAAGAAATTCTACAAAATCCAGGCAGAATAAATACAAGAAAAACACCTCTAGGTCTAGTATAGTAAAACTGTAGATAATCAGCATAAATAGAAAAAAAAAAGTCTTAAAAGAAGCTAAAGGAAACAGTGACACATTCGCAAGAACAAAAAGAAAGACAGTTAATACCACATCAGAAACATTGGAAGCTAGAAACAATAAAAGTATCTCTAAACTATTAAAAGATAATGACTTCTGCTTGGCGATTTCTCAAAGAACTCAAAGCAGAACTACCATTCGACCCAGCAATCCCATTATTGGATATATACCCAAAGGAATATAAATCATTCCACCATAAAGACACGTACGTGTGTATGTTCATCACAGCACTATTCACAATACAAAACACATGGAATCAACCTAAATGCCCATCAACAGTACACTGGATAAAGAAAACATGGTACATATACACTATGGAATACCACCCAGCCATAAAAAAGAATGAGGTCATGTCTTTGCTGCAACATGGATGGAGCTGGAGGCCATTATCCTAAGGAAACTAATGCAGAAATAGAAAACCAAATACTGCATGTTCTCAGTTATAATGGGAAACTGAACATTGAATACATATGGACACAAAAAAGGGAGAAACAGACGCCAGCGCCTACTTGACGGCGGCTGGTGAGTATTGAAAAGCCTACCTATTAGGTACTACACTTATTACCTGAGTGATAAAATAATCTGAACACCAAACCCCCATGGCACACAATTTACCTATATAGCAAACCTGCATATGTACCCCTGAACCTAAAATGAAAGTTAAAGAAAAAAGATGACTCCGGAGTGAAATTCTGCATCTGGTGAAAATATCTTTCAAATATGAAGGTGAAAAAGCGATATTTTCAGACAAACAAAAACTATAAGAATTCAACATCAGTTATTCTACATTAATGATGAGTTACTGGGTGCAGCACACCAACATGGTACATATATACATATGTAACTAACCTGCACGTTGTGCACATGTACCCTAAAACTTAAAGTATAATTTAAAAAAACAAATATTAATTGGGTTGCTTAAGAACAACACAAAAATTTTAATGAAAAGTAAAGAATGGAGAACATTAACAGAATTGAATGAATGTGATTGCATTAAACACGAATCAGAACATCTTGAGGGGTTGAAAGTAAACACGAACTGAAAGACATGACAGCAATAGCAGAAAGGCAAGTGGGCGTAAGTGAAGGTAAAACCTTCTAAGAGGCTTGCATTGTCCCAGGAGCAGTAATGATGATAATTTATATGAAGCTTTAATGAGCCCTGGATATGTTATACTCTTTAGAATAGTGATTAATACAACAACCAGTGTTATTTTATGTATGTGGGGATGTCAGGTACAACCAGGGTACTGACATGGCACAGGCATTAGAGACATTACTTTCCCTTGTGCTTTACATTTTATTTTAAAAATTTTCAAATATTCAGCAAAGCTGAGATCATTTTTCATTGAATCCCCTTTCAGCCTAAGTTTCTGCCATTAACTTTGAACTGCACTTCTATACATGTGTCTATCCCTTGATCCATCTATCAAACAGTGTTTTATGCATTTCAAAGTAAATTACAGACATCAATATGCATCTTCCTAAATATTTCTGCATGCATGTCATTAGCTAGTTTTCAATGCACTTAACCCTTGAACTACATGGGTTTGAACTGAGTGGGTCCACTTACGGGTGAGTTTTTTTTTTTGTTTTTAACCAAATGCGTATTGAAAATACAAATATTCTCAGGAAGGGAACTCTTGTATACAGAGTGCCAGCTTTTCCTATATGCAGGTCCCACAGGGTCCCTTTAAGTATGTGTGAATTTTGGTGTAAGCAAGGATCCTAAAACCAATTTCCGCAGATACCGAGGGATGACTGGTATTTATTTACAGCTTTGTGTAAAGTTTACATTCAATGAAATGTGCAAATCTTAAGTGTATATTTGCTGAATTTTGACAAATGCCTGCATCTGGGGAAATGTTAATTTTATCTGAGAGAATATTGAGATACTGAAATTCATTACCAGTGCTATGGTTTATATTAAGTCACAGGGAATTGCACACAGATGTAACGAAAAGCCATCAGGGAAAGCTAGAATCTATATGTGAGGAAAATATAGCTAAAATTCAATAATTTAAATAGCCAGTAGTACTCATATTTTTCATCTGTTTCCCATTTAGAATAATAAGTGTAATAGCTTCTATTGTAACTAGAATTTCCTATAGAAGAGATAAAGTTCTTAATTTTATTTGTCTATCAATTACTCAATATGTTTACCCTGTACAAGTGTTACTAAAACTTAGGTTAATGAGACATGCTTTAAGGCTCTAAAGAAAGCCAACAATTTTAGATAAATTTAATTATATAAATCACAATTGCAATGTTGGCAAAATAAAACCATTGTCTACATATAGGCAATATATACATTATTCTAAAATATTTTCAACAACTCTCGGAATACTAATATTGTTAAAGAACTCAGTTAATTGAATTACACAATATAGGTTTATTCTTTGAGCACTCTACTTAATTTTGAAAGTATTCCTAATTAAAACAGACCCACAAAATACTCAATATATTTTCTCTTCAATAAGCAAGCACTTTAAAAGTTATTTATGTAACTTAAATGCATCCACTGCTAACTATAGCTGTCAGCAATAAGCAATACATCATTTTTTCATACATGCCAGTGAATAGATAACAAAGCACATGAGCCTCTTTAAATTAATTTGGTCTCCATATGTTGTCAAATCTTAGAGAAACAAAGACTTTATTTTACATTTTAAAAGTGATTTTCCTACATATAGGAAAAGCTGGCACTCTGGATACAAGAGTTCCCTTCCTGAGAATATTTGTATTTTCAATATGCATTTGGTTAAGAACAAAAATCACATTTTAAAAGTGATTTTGGTTAGGATAGAAGCAGTTTGTTATAAATGGTGTAATTTATTCCAAGTCGTGTCTCTCATCAAAGATATTTGTCATCAGTAAATATTTAAAAACAAACCAGCCAATAAACAGTTTCCACTTTCCTCTTGTAGAGGGGTAGAGATGTGGTTGGTTTTGACCCATTTAATCCTATTGTCCTCTCTGCATCTTTTCTGGATAAAAGAGCTGGATGCACCCAATTATAACTGGATAAGGGTGATCCAGAGAAAGAATGCAATTCACATGTGCATTACTACTCTAAGTGTTTAGGATTCTGCTGCCTGTTTCTTTATGCATATTTTAATCTATTTTACTGTCCAGTATCAAGATTTATAAAATGCATATTTTTAGGCCTGGTGCAGTGGCTCACGCCTGTAATCCCAGCACTTTGGGAGGCCTAGGTGGGCGAATCACAAGGTCAGGAGCTCAAGACCAGCCTGGCCAAAATGGTGAAACTCCATCTCTATTACAAGCACAAAAAATTAGCTGGGCATGGTGGCGGGCACCTGTAATCCCAGCTACCCAGGAAGCTGAGGCAGGAGAATCACTTGAACCCAGGAGGCAGAGGTTGCGGTGAGCTGAGATCATGCCACTGCACTCCAGCCTGAGCAACAAAGAACAAGACTCTCCCTCAAAAAAAAAAAAAACATAGTTTTAAATTCTGTGTAATAGTGTGTAATACTACATAATATTCTGTGTAATACTACGTCAGTACTGCAGTTATATTGTAATCCTATAATAGAAAGTGCTAACAACTCAATTAGCTGCCACTAGAGGTATTTTTGGGAATGCTAGGCCATTTTCTTTTTAATTTTATTATTATTATACTTTAAGTTTTATGGTACATGTGCACAACGTGCAGGTTTGTTACATATGTATACATGTGCCATGTTGATGCTAGGCCATTTTTAATTCTACTTTTAGATATATAAATAATATTTAATATTGTAGTAAGAAGAACAATATCTTAGGATAAATAATATGGCAATTTTCAACAAAGATAGCTTTTCCCTCCCAAAGCTGAGATTACACAACTCCCCCACAGTTTCCTGCTTAAAATGTAGAAACAGATAAAAATTGAAGGAATAACAAGCCCATGAGGCTTGTGGAAATGAGATTAAAGCTTAGTTTTTCATATTTCATGTCAATAGCCCTGAACAAGCAAAATGGCTCATATCAGGATCTTCATCCTAATCACCAAATTCAGAGTCATTAATCACAGATGAGAGTTGGAGAGAAGTTCTCTGGGTTTTCTCATGAAGTCACTTTAAATTTCATCCTGGGAGAATTAATAGTCTGTCTTATCAGCATCCCTGACCATGAGATCATCTAGAAGTGATGAAAAAAGATAAAGAAAAGCCAAGAATTGAAGACATAAGGAAGAAATGTGGGACCTCTTCTAGAAGCGGAAATGATGTAAATGTCTTTGATAAGAAAATGGTCTCTCACTCTGAAGTGGGGATAAGTCTTCCCCAGAGTAACTAGCTACTGTAACTAGTTTATTTCCAAGACTGCAATTTATTGTCCTGCGTTTTGTTTCCCTCATTTTTTTCCTGTACATTCTTTTCACTATTTAGAGTAGTTATTTTTGTCATTTCACTTTCTAACAATAGGTCAGCCAAAAAACAAAACAAAGCTCTCCTCCCCTCCCACCCTACCATGGCTGACATTGTTTCCCCAGCTGTGGGGATGCCTGAGTCCTCTGGGGCCTCCTTAACCTTCTCCAGCCTTTGGCACCCACATCTGGGTGCTTCTGTCATTTGCCTGGTCACGTCCACTCCACATGACATGGTTGCCACTCTTGGTGGCCACAGCTTCTATGTGAAAAGTGGGTGGACCCCGAACTGCTGGTGTTTTAACCTCGTAGGTACAATATTGCTCCCCGCCAGCCCTCCCAGCAGGCCTCCACTCACAATGTCAGGATCATTAATGAAGCTGTCCTTGAAACACTGACATCAAGCCACCCCACTCTCTGATGCCACCTACTTTCATCTGAGGCCATTTATTTTTCTTCTCTCACGTTCGGAATTCTCTGACCATAATGACATCTCCCCCAAAGTGACCTTTATACTCTCTCACTATCTTTCATGACCTTACTTCCTGACTCTCCCAGGCCAGATTCTCAGCACTTCTTAAAACGCTGATGAAGGTATAACACTGGCCCAATAAATTTTGCATCTCAAGAGAAATGTTTGAACCTATACTAGAGAAGCATAGGCCTTTGCAACTTGATTGCAGAGCAGAAGGATGCCAGCAGGTCAGTGTGACAGATGGAGATGTAGGTGACTAAGATGCCAAGTGTAGATGGGCACAGCTCATGGCCATCAGGCAATGCCCCAACACAGAGACATTGAAAATGAACCACACAGAGGACCCCATATTCCCTGGGTTGCTTTCGTATAGCGACTTAGTTGTAAATAAAGAAGGTATCAGTATGAGAGAGAGAGAAAGAGAACTCTTGCAAAACCCTCAAAAGGAAAGAAATGGCTTGAAAAAGAAAGTCTATATCATAGCAGGATTTAACTATATGGAATCCTGCCTTAGAAACTGTGGCAGATAAAACAAGTTGGATAGTGAGTCCTGTGTTCTAATATAAAAGTTTATTGTTACTTCAACTAAGCAATAACTGGCTATTTCAAATAACTATTTTCAAAAGTTTTGCAAACACTGTCTCCATAAAACATCTAGTAGAGCTTTCTTAAACCACCTTTCCCTGCAAACTCTCTTTCCCTGAATTATTTATCAAGGAGATAAACACACAAAACTCCCAGTATTATTTTTACAACACTCTTACACATTAAACTTTTTATTTCCAACAGAAAAATTGTTTGACTTTTAAGTATCACTCATGTTTACCCTTCTTTCTAATATCCTATAGAAAAAAAATTATAACATTGACATCAGTAGATCCCAGTTGTAAAGTTTTGATGGAACTGCCATGCTGTGAAGCTTTTCTTTTAAGTGTTACAAATACTTTTCATTTTCAACAAAATTCTGTCAGTTCAAAGAACAACAAGCACCCTTATACACCAGAGTTTACCTTGTACTGTTCAGGAAAACCACATGTAATATACTCTTGACCTCATTGATAGGTATTTTCTTATTTCCATAAAGAAACAGATTCTAACTGATCATTTTAAACGTAAGTAAGCAAGGAAGAAGTTCTCCAGGATGCACTGCTTTGTCTCCAGTTCCCCTTTAACTCAATTTTAAATTCAGACTTAGGAAAATTAAATGTATAGATGTGAGAGGAGTCTGCAAAGGTATATTTACACACTTGCTTAATCAAATTAAGATGGCATCCTACTTAAGTTGAAAACCCATTCAAATAAAAAAAGAGAACAGTATTTTTTTCTGGGTGAAGATCCAAAATAGTATGTTTAGTGTATACAAGAATAAATTGTATCAGTCTCAGTACATTAATATTATAAGGATTGTACACAGATTTAACATGAGATATAGTAAATTACCTTAGGAAGAGTCAGCAGTGGTTATTAATAGTAGCATAATGCTTTTCAGTTTATTTCCCACAAAATCATATTTACACTAAAAATTACACTTGTTTGAAGGGTTCATTGAGCTATAAAGAACCTTTAAAATAGTTTAATGAATAGTCTTAGGTTGGAGTAATGTGATGAGGATTTTTCATTCAAAGCTCATGGTATTTAAAGATTATGGCGCAAGTAAATAGAGAAGGTGAGATGAACTTCAATTAATTGTTGTCAGCTGGGATGTGCTTTTAGAGCTAAATACAAAATCCAAAAGTTTTTATGGAATCAAAAATTTAGGGCCGGATGTGGTGGTTCACGCCTGTGGTCCCAGCACTTTGGGAGGCTAAGGCGGGGGGATCACCTGAGGTCGGGAGTTCTAGACCAGCTTGGGCAACACAGAGACACCCCGTCTCTACTAAAAATACAAAATTAGCCAGGCATGGTGATGCATGCCTGTAATCCCAACTACTCGGGAGGCTGAGGCAGGAGAATCGCTTGAACCCTGGAGGCGGAGGTTGCAGTGAGCCGAGATCGCGCCATTGTACTCCAGCCTGGGCAACAAGAGCAAAACTCCGTCTCAAAAAAAAAAAAAAAAAAAAAAGTGGTATCTACAGTTTAGTGGAGAAATGAAGGCCGCCACCTAACGGGGCATATTTGTGATGCCAAAGGAAGACATTAGCAGTTATTTTGCTTTTTTTTTAAGCCAAGATATTCATTCAAGAATCAAAAGCTGAACTTTGGGAGGCCGAGGCGGGTGGATCATGAGGTCAGGAGATGGAGACCATCCTGGCTAACAAGGTGAAACCCCTTCTCTACTAAAAATACAAAAAATTAGCCGGGCGTGGTGGCGGGCGCCTGTAGTCCCAGCTACTCGGGAGGCTGAGGCAGGAGAATGGCGTGAACCCGGGAAGCGGAGCTTGCAGTGAGCCGAGATTGCGCCACTGCAGTCCGCAGTCCGGCCTGGGCGACAGAGCGAGACTCCATCTCAAAAAAAAAAAAAAAAAAAACAAGAGTCTGAAGCAGAATCTGTGGCCTCATGAAGATCACCCCTTCTTTTGCTCTCTGGAAAGCCACAGGTATCAACCACCCTCAGGAAGAGCAGAGGCCAGGGTTGCAGAGACCTTGTCCCATTGGCCATTCCCCAGCCCCAGATTGTGCACTTTCAACACAACCAGTGCTGGGAGCAGATCCTCCTCCTTCCTCTCTGGGCAACTCTGTGCTTTACAGGGGCTTCATGACTGGGCAGGCTCCCGGACAAAGGGTGGGGTGGTTGCCAAGCTCATACTCTCCCTGCTGGTCTAAGGAATCAGAGATCTTGCTATTGGGGTGGGACATTTTGTTTTATTCTTCATTATTCCCTCTCAATTTTCCCTTTCTTTTTGCCCTTGTTCCAAGCTCATCGTATACATGAGAAGTGGGCCACAAAAAATGAAGTGAAAAAAGAATCTTTTCTGGAATTCTGGTATTTAATATCTTATCCTCTGAGGGACATGGAAAGGATCCCGGGACAGATTCAAAATACGGGAGAAAACAGCATGTTAAACTGGAACTCAGGCTGGCTGGGGACAGGGAGGAGTGAAATAGAAGATATGATAAGAGAATGGTCCCTGGGGACCTAGGACCAGTCATTTAGTCAGGAAATGACAACTCAGAGAAGACATCATGCTCAGCAAAGGCAGACCTTGTTTCCTCCCAGCCTTAGGAGTAAGTGCCCACTGCTGAGCCCAGGGGATACACTAGACATATTTTCATGGTGTCTGGAGAGTTTCTTCTCAACAGAGCCCAGTATGATCCCAGTGCATGGACCTTCAAGAGTAGAACCCGAAACTTTGCTCAGATTCTATCCTGAGATTGGGTAATGACCCAAGATACTGGTGAGCTCCCTGAGAAGGAAGATGGCATACTACACAACAGGCTGCATGGTAGAGGTGCCTCATAGAGAACCTCCACTAGAGCAGTACAGAGGGAAAACATGGGGTTAGGGCCCCCACAGAAAGTCCCCATTGGGGCAATGCCTAGTGGAGCTGTGAGAAGAGGGCCACCATCCTCCAGACCCCAGAATGGTAGATTTGTTCAATTATTTAACATCAACTTTTCCCTCTTGGGCTTGAAGCTCTGTGAAGGGAATAACTGTTTTTCTTGTAATTCTCTGCACGCCAAATGCTAATGACAGGCCATAGAGGGAGTCCCCAGCAGCTTGCACCCTGCAGCTGGAAATGTCTCAGGCACTCAATGCCAGTTCACAAGAGCAGCCACTGAACCATGCAAAGCCACAAAAGTGGAGATGCCCAAGACCTTGGGGGCCCAACCTTCTCACCAGTGTGCGCTGGATGTGAGACATGGAGTCAAAGGAGATTATTTTGGAGCTTTAAGATCTATTGACTGCCCTGTTGGGTTGAAGACTTGCATGGGGTCTCTAGCCCCTTTCTTTTGGCCAATTTATCCCTTTGGGAACAGGAGTATTTACCCAATGCCTATACCTTCATTGTTTCTTGGAAGTAACTAACTTGTTTCTTATTTTGTAAGCTCAAAGGTGAAAGAGACTAGCCTTGTATCAAAAGAGACTTTGGATTTTGAGTTAGTACTGGAATGAGTTAAGACTTTGAGCACTGTTGGGAAAGGATGACTGTATTTTACGTTATGAGAAGAACATGAGATTTGAAGGGGCCAGCGCTGGAATAATATGGTTTGGATCTATGTCCTCACCCAAATCTTATGTTGAATTGAATTGTAATCTCCAGTGTTGGAGCTGGGGCCTAGTGGGAGGTGATGGGATTATGGAGGTGGAGTTCTCATGAATGGTTTAGCAATCTCCTTTGGGACTGTATAGAGATAAGAGTTCTCACAAGATTTGGTTGTTTAAAAGTGTGTAGCACCCCTATTCCCTCTGTCTCTCCCATCTGCTTCAGCCATGTAAGATGCCTGCTCCCACTTTGCCTTCCATAATGAGTAAATTCTCCCTGAGGCCTCCCCAGTAGCAGATGCTGCCATAGTTCCTGTACAGCCTGAGGAATTGTGAGTCAATTAAACCTTTTTTCTTATAAACTACACAGTCTCAGGTATTTCTTTATAGCAATGCAAGAATGGACTAATACAAGGTGCCAGATGTAAAGTTGGAAGCAAACCAGGATTTCCTATGTACCTGTGAACATTTTCAACTGGACTGTAGGGAGCCAGAATGCAGATATTTAACAGAGGGCTCCTCTTTTAAGAATCCAGCTATTACTTCCAACTTGTGCTTCACAGATTCTCATAGCTTATTTGGGCAAAGATTGATGTTCATTTTCTTCCACATCCATGAAACTATTTGAATTTCTATACCATTAGCATTAAAATTGTATAAGCCACTGAACAGGTAAATTGAAAAGAGAAAGAGAATTTCTCCAAAAAGTGATGAAATAGTAATTGTATTGGAGAACATATGAATTTTCAAGATGGTTCTTGAGAAATTTGTTCTCTGAGTATCAGGATATATAAGTTTACATCTTTTTGAGTTCTGAGCTAACTCAAGTGAAAAATATATTGAAAATATGTGGGATGCCCCACCCTCCTATTGTAATGAAAAATGTGTGCCTCATCCTATAGGAAAGCAACTACCTCCACTATATTCTAGAGGCTATTGTTCATACTCTGAAAAACATACACTATTCCTTTTGTATCCTTAATACCTCCCATTATCCTGATTCATTTTCTAATGGTTTATCCTGATAATCACAACCAAACTGCACAAAAGAACTGTCTGCACCATCTGCTTCCATTTCTGCAGTTTCTCCTCCATTTTCAATTCATTACAGTCTGGCTTCTGCACCTTCTCCCAGAATCCTTCTAATCGAGGCCACCTGTGACCATGTGTCATTAAACCCAGTGGACCTTTTCCCTTTGGCAACCTCACCTCCTTCCTGGATCCCGTGGCACCACACTTTTCTGGTTTCCCATCTGCCTTCTCCATCTTGTCATCAGTCCCCTTTGAATCTCTTCCTCAATGAACATGGTGTTTTTTGATGTTTTGGTAGTGGTCTTTCTCCTTCTGAACCTACATGTTCTCCTTGTCTAATCTTAGGCAACTCTTCAAGATCAATTGGTGAGCTCATGAGTGCAAAGATTTCTCTAATATCCAATTCCCATGTAGACCAAAATCCTTAGCGCCAAACATACTGTTCCTCCTCTCTTATGCGTCTTTAAACTCAAAGTGTTTAGCACTCACTTCATCATTTCCCTTTGTCACTGCTACCTCCATCCCCACCCCCACTAAGAATCTTAATTCTCTTCTGAACTTTCACCAACATCTTTCCATTTGCCCAACATAGAGGCCTAGACACAGCCTTTCATCACTGGGCTCTTGGGTTCTGCCACACTGTACAACTTCTTCACGAGACTTCCATGTAGATATGATGACGGTGGCACTCCTGGGGTGCTCGGTGTGCAACCAGCACAGCTATGTGGGGTGCACTGGTCTCCTCCTTCATCACCAACATTTGAACAGTCACCAAATATATTTAGCTTTGCTTCTAGAATATCTCTTGTATATATTCAATTTTTCTTCTATTCAACTTCTAGTAGAGCCTTGATTATCTTTTTCTTGGACTGTGGATCCAGCTCTCTGGCTTGTCTCCTGCCTCCTGTGTTACCCCTCCAGTGTTTGTAGTCAGAGTGGCATTTAGAAACAGGATTATGTTTTTTTAACTCTTGAATACCCCACCATCACCTTGTAGATGAACAAACCTCCTGGTTCTCAAGACCTCGAGATCTGGCCCCTCCTTCCTCATTTTCAACACTCTTCCTCCAGGGCCTGCACTTGCTGATGGCCTTCATTTGACTCAAGGGCACCAATGCTGTCTCTCACCTGCAGGCCTTTGCCACGTCCTCTACCCAGTACAACCTTCCCCTGCCCGTGTCCTTCACCCATGGTCAGGTCTCAACTTAAATATCCATTTATTAGGGACTCCTTCTCTGACCCCTTGACCATGCAGGCCTGCCCTGATTGCATTCCTTTGTGCTCTGGGCTTCCCCCATTGTAACACAATTGGGCTTTAAGGTGACTCCTGGTTTCATTGTCTCCCCGGAAATAGGGAACTCTTGTTTACTAGAATGTTCCCCCAATCCAACATAATACTTGGCACATGGTAGGTACCTAGAAAATTGCTGCTGTAGATTAAATATGTTCTATCAGTTCCTAGACTCTCAAACATGTGTGCCTGAAAAAAGCACAAAAATTTAAAACTCTTTATCTTGTGGAATACTATGATTTCTGAGACCCAAGTTAAATATTTAAATTGCTTCTTCTCATCTTGATTCTAAAAAGAATGAGTTTCTAAAGAGTAAATAAAAAATGAAAAGCCTCAAATTTTACAAAAGTTATATTTAACAACTTCTGAACTCAATTCTACACTAAAAATAAAGTTTTTGCTCAAGCAGAGAATTATGTGATAGCTTTTCTGAGGAAGATAAAGTGGTTCCTTTTTTTTTTTTTACTTAGAATTGCTTTTCATTGATGTCCTTGAGATTTCATTTCTATGTAGGGGAAGGAGGAAAGAGATTAACAAGAAAAAAGACTTGTCATTTACTAACTTGGTGAGTTTTAGCATATTTTTACTATAGAATATTTAATAGTCCAAAGACCTAACATTGTGGAGAAACATATGGTATATTGTCCTATGGTTTTATTGTTTTGTTTGGTTTGGTTCTATTATGCTTTTCCATCCCAGGGGAGTAGTTTATAATTTCGTATCATTTATTTTTCTCACTTTCCTTTATAAATTATGCCCAGAATCTATAAATGACCAAATATAAAATTGTATACTTGCTGACTACAAGTTCCAAGAGGTAAATATATCCCTACCTTAAAATGTAATGAACAAATCTTGAATGCAAATGCATTATTAGAAACTCTTGAAGATGGCCGAATAGGAACAGCTCCGGTCAACAGCTCCCAGCCTGAGCGACGCAGAAGACGGGTGATTTCTGCATTTCCATCTGAGGTACTGGGTTCATCTCACTAGGGAGTGCCAGACAGTGGGTGCAGGTCAGTGGGTGCGTGCACTGTGTGCGAGCCGAAGCAGGGTGAGGCATTGCCTCACTCGGGAAGCGCAAGGGGTCAGGCAGTTCCCTTTCCTAATCAAACAAAGGGGTGACGGACGGCACCTGGAAAATCGGGACGGCACCTGGAAAATCGGGTCACTCCCACCCGAATACTGTGCGTTTCCCAGGGGCTTAAAAAACGGCGCACCACGAGATTATATCCCGCACCTGGCTCGGAGGGTCCTACGCCCACGGAATCTCGCTGATTGCTAGCACAGCAGTCTGAGATCAAACTGCAAGGCGGCAGCGAGGCTGGGGGAGGCTCACCCGCCATTGCCCAGGCTTGCTTAGGTTAACAAAGCAGCCGGGAAGCTGGAACTGGGTGGAGCCCACAACAGCTCAAGGAGGCCTGCCTGCCTCTGTAGGCTCTACCTCTGGGGAGCCTACAAGACAAAAAGACAGCAGTAACCTCTGCAGACTTAAATGTCCCTGTCTGACAGCTTTGAAGAGAGCAGTGGTTCTCCCAGTACGCAGCTGGAGATCTGAGAACGGGCAGACTGCCTCCTCAAGTGGGTCCCTGACCCCTGAACCCCGAGCAGCCTAACTGGGAGGCACCCTCCAGCAGGGGCACACAGACACCTCACACTGCAGGGTACTCCAACAGACCTGCAGCTGAGGGTCCTCTCTGTTAGAAGGAAAACTAACAAACAGAAAGGACATCCACACCAAAAACCCATCTGTACATCACCATCATCAAAGACCACAAGTAGATAAAACCACAAAGATGGGGAAAAAACAGAACAGAAAAACTGGAAACTCTAAAAATCAGAGTGCCTCTCCTCCTCCAAAGGAACGCAGCTCCTCACCAGCAATGGAACAAAGCTGGATGGAGAATGACTTTGACGAGCTGAGAGAAGAAGGCTTCAGACGATCAAATTACTCTGAGCTACGGGAGGACATTCAAACCAAAGGCAAAGAAGTTGAAAACTTTGAAAAAAATTTAGAAGAATGTATAACTAGAATAACCAATACAGAGAAGTGCTTAAAGGAGCTGATGGAGCTGAAAACCAAGGCTCGAGAACTACGTGAAGAATGCAGAAGCCTCAGGAGCCGATGCGATCAACTGGAAGAAAGGGTATCAGCGATGGAAGACGAAATGAATGAAATGAAGCGAGAAGGAAAGTTTAGAGAAAAAGAATAAAAAGAAACGAGCAAAGCCTCCAAGAAATATGGGACTATATGAAAAGACCAAATTTACGTCTGATTAGTGTACCTGAAAGTGATGGGAAGAATGGAACCAAGTTGGAAAACACTCCGCAGGATATTATCCAGAAGAATTTCCCCAATCTAGCAAGGCAGGCCAACGTTCAGATTCAGGAAATACAGAGAACACCACAAAGATACTCCTCGAGAAGAGCAACTCCAAGACACATAATTGTGAGATTCACCAAAGTTGAAATGAAGGAAAAAATGTTAAGGGCAGCCAGAGAGAAAGGTCGGGTTACCCTCAAAGGGAAGCCCATCAGACTAACAGCGGATCTCTCGGCAGAAACCCTACAAGGCAGAAGAGAGTGGGGGCCAATATTCAACATTCTTAAAGAAAAGAATTTTCAACCCAGAATTTCATATCCAGCCAAACTAAGCTTCATAAGTGAAGGAGAAATAAAATACTTTACAGACAAGCAAATGCTGAGAGATTTTGTCACCACCAGGCCTGCCCTAAAAGAGCTCCTGAAGGAAGCACTAAACATGGAAAGGAACAACTGGTACCAGCCGCTGCAAAATCATGCCAAAATGTAAAGACCATCGAGACTAGGAAGAAACTGCATCAAATAATGAACAAAATAACCAGCTAACATCATAATGACAGGATCAAATTCACACATAACAATATTAACTTTAAATGTATATGGACTAAATGCTCCAATTAAAAGACATAGACTGGCAAATTGGATAAAGAGTCAAGACCCATCAGTGTGCTGTATTCAGGAAACCCATCTCACGTGCAGAGACACACACAGGCTCAAAATAAAAGGATGGAGGAAGATCTACCAAGCAAATGGAAAACAAAAAAAGGCAGGGGTTGCAATCCTAGTCTCTGATAAAACAGACTTTAAACCAACAAACATCAAAAGAGACAAAGGCCATTACATAATGGTAAAGGGATCAATTCAACAAGAAGAGCTAACTATCCTAAATATATATGCACCCAATACAGGAGCACTCAGATTCATAATGCAAGTCCTGAGTGACCTACAAAGAGACTTAGACTCCCACACATTAATAATGGGAGACTTTAACACCCCACTGTCAACATTAGACAGATCAACGAGACAGAAAGTCAACAAGGATACCCTGGAATTGAACTCAGCTCTGCACCAAGCGGACCTAATAGACATCTATAGAACTCTCCACCCCAAATCAACAGAATATACATTTTTTTCAGCACCACACCACACCTATTCCAAAATTGACCACATACTTGGAAGTAAAGCTCTCCTCAGCAAATGTAAAAGAACAGAAATTATAACAAACTATCTCTCAGACCACAGTGCAATCAAACTAGAACTCAGGATTAAGAAACTCACGCAATACCGCTCAACTACATGGAAACTGAACAACCTGCTCCTGAATGACTACTGGGTACATAATGAAATGAAGGCAGAAATAAAGATGTTCTTTGAAACCAATGAGAACAAAGATACAACATACCAGAATCTCTGGGACGCATTCAAAGCAGTGTGTAGAGGGAAATTTATAGCACTAAATGCCCACAAGAGAAAGCAGGAAAGATCCAAAATTGACACCCTAACATCACAATTAAAGGAACTAGAAAAGCAAGAGCAAACACATTCAAAAGCTAGCAGAAGGCAAGAAATAACTAAAATCAGAGCAGAACTGAAGGAAATAAGAGACACAAAAAACCCTTCAGAAAATTAATGAATCCAGGAGCTGGTTTTTTGAAAGGATCAACAAAATTGATAGACCAGTAGCAAGACTAATAAAGAAAAAAAGAGAGAAGAATCAAATAGACGCAATAAAAAATGATAAAGGGGATATCACCACCGATCCCACAGAAATACAAACTACCATCAGAGAATACTACAAACAACTCTATGCAAATCAACTAGAAAATCTAGAAGAAATGGATAAATTTCTGGACATACACACTCTCCCAAGACTAAACCAGGAAGAAGTTGAATCTCTGAATAGACCAATAACAGGATCTGAAATTGTGGCAGTAATCAATAGCTTACCAACCAAAAAGAGTCCAGGACCAGATGGATTCACAGCCGAATTCTACCAGAGGTACAAGGAGGAACTGGTGCCATTCCTTCTAAAACTATTCCAATCAACAGAAAAAGAGGGAATCCTCCCTAACTCATTTTATGAGGCCAGCATCATCCTGATACCAAAGCGGGGCAGAGACACAACCAAAAAAGAGAATTTTAGACCAATATCCTTGATGAACATTGATGCAAAAATCCTCAATAAAATACTGGCAAACCAAATCCAGCAGCACATCAAAAAGCTTATCCACCATGATCAAGTGGGCTTCATCCCGGGGATGCAAGGCTGGTTCAATATACGCAAATCAATAAATGTAATCCAGCATATAAACAGAGACAAAGACAAAAACCACATGATTATCTCAATAGATGCAGAAAAGGCCTTTGACAAAATTCAACAACCCTTCATGCTAAAAACTCTGAATAAATTAGGTATTGATGGGACGTATTTCAAAATAATAAGAGCTATCTATGACAAACCCACAGCCAATATCATACTGAAGGGGCAAAAACTGGAAGCATTCCCTTTGAAAACTGGCACAAGACAGGGATGCCCTCTCTCACCACTCCTATTCAACATAGTGTTGGAAGTTCTGGCCAGGGCAATTAGGCAGGAGAAGGAAATAAAGGGTATTCAATTAGGAAAAGAGGAAGTCAAATTGTCCCTGTTTGCAGACGACATGATTGTATATCTAGAAAACCCCATTGTCTCAGCCCAAAATCTCCTTAAGCTGATAAGCAACTTCAGCAAAGTCTCAGGATACAAAATCAATGTACAAAAATCACAAGCATTCTTATACAACAACAGACAAACAGAGAGCCAAATCATGAGTGAACCCCCATTCACAATTGCTTCAAAGAGAATAAAATACCTAGGAATCCAACTTACAAGGGATGTGAAGGACCTCTTCAAGGAGAACTACAAACCACTGCTCAATGAAATAAAAGAGGATACAAACAAATGGAAGAACATTCCATGCTCATGGGTAGGAAGAATCGATATCGTGAAAATGGCCATACTGCCCAAGGTAATTTACAGATTCAATGCCATCCCTATCAAGCTACCAATGACTTTCTTCACAGAATTGGAAAAAACTACTTTAAAGTTCATATGGAACCAAAAAAGAGCCCACATCGCCAAGTCAATCCTAAGCCAAAAGAACAAAGCTGGAGGCATCACACTACCTGACTTCAAACTATACTACAAGGCTACAGTAACAAAAACAGCATGGTACTGGTACCAAAACAGAGATATAGATCAATGGAACAGAACAGAGCCCTCAGAAATAACGCCGCATATCTACAACTATCTGATCTTTGACAAACCTGAGAAAAACAAGCAATGGGGAAAGGATTACCTATTTAATAAATGGTGCTGGGAAAACTGGCTAGCCATATGTAGAAAGCTGAAACTGGATCCCTTCCTTACACCTTATACAAAAATCAATTCAAGATGGATTAAAGACTTACATGTTAGACCTAAAACCATAAAAACCCTAGAAGAAAACCTAGGCATTACCATTCAGGACATACGCATGGGCAAGGACTTCATGTCTAAAACACCAAAAGCAATGGCAACAAAAGCCAAAATTGACAAATGGGATCTAATTAAACTAAAGAACTTCTGCACAGCAAAAGAAACTACCATCAGAGTGAACAGGCAACCTACAAAATGGGAGAAAATTTTTGCAACCTACTTGTCTGACAAAGGGCTAATATCTAGAATCTACAAAGAACTCAAACAAATTTACAAGAAAAAAGCAAACAACCCCATCAAAAAGTGGGCAAAGGACATGAACAGACACTTCTCAAAAGAAGACATTTATGCAGCCAAAAAACACATGAAAAAATGCTCACCATCACTGGCCATCAGAGAAATGCAAATCAAAACCACAATGAGATACCATCTCACACCAGTTAGAATGGCAATCATTAAAAAGTCAGGAAACAACAGGTGCTGGAGAGGATGCGGAGAAATAGGAACACTTTTACACTGTTGGTGGGACTGTAAACTAGTTCAACCATTGTGGAAGTCAGTGTGGCGATTCCTCAGGGATCTAGAACTAGAAATACCATTTGACCCAACCATCCCATTACTGGGTATATACCCAAAGGACTATAAATCATGCTGCTATAAAGACACATGCACACGTATGTTTATTGCGGCATTATTCACGATAGCAAAGACTTGGAACCAACCCAATGTCCAACAATGATAGACTGGATTAAGAAAATGTGGCACATATACACCATGGAATACTATGCAGCCATAAAAAATGATGAGTTCATGTCCTTTGTAGGGACATGGATGAAATTGGAAATCATCATTCTCAGTAAACTATCGCAAGAACAAAAAACCAGACACTGCATATTCTCACTCATAGGTGGGAATTGAACAATGAGAACACATGGACACAGGAAGGGGAATATCACACTCTGGGGACTGTTGTGGGGTGGGGGGAGGGTGGAGGGATAGCTTTAGGAGATATACCTAATGCTAGATGACGAGTTAGTGGGTGCAGCGCACCAGCATGGCACATGTATACATATGTAACTAACCTGCACATTGTGCACATGTACCCTAAAACTTAAAGTATAATAATAATAAATAAATAAATTTAAAAAAAAAAGAAAAGAAGTCTGGACGTAGCCAAGGAACAGGCGCAGATGGGATTAATGCATGGGAGACACATGATGGGAAGACAGATGGCGCCCATCCTATGGGTCTCTAGCAGCAATATGGGGTGGGATGGAGACCAGGTAATCAAGTGTGCCAAGAAGAGCAAATGCAGTGTCCATGGTGACAGGGAAGGACAAAGGACCTGAAAAATGACTTAGGAGGCAGCCTAATCATAGTTTGGGACTAACTGGATGTGGGGATAGAGGAGGAGGGGATTAGGCGGGAGGTTGCCAGTGTCTGATCTTGGCAGACTATGCATCTGGATGGAGAGATGGTGACTCAGTCAAGAGAAACAGACTCGTGGAGTTTCTAGAAAGGGAGAGTTTCTGGCACCCACCACATATCTTGAAGGACCAAGAGTGTTGGATGTGTAAATTAATAATTAAATTCTAAGCCCTCCACTGACTGAATAGAACCTTTGTGGCCAAGAGGACCCCAGAAAAACCTTGAAGCTGAGTTCCCGGCCATGACGGGATGGGAGGTCAGACAGGCCTCATTATGCCCCCTCCCTTTTGGAGTTGAGACACAACTGAACAGCATTTATGTTACAAGAAAGATCCTAAAACTGACAGAACAGATTCTTTGTGACAATAAGACACCAAATTATAAACAGAACCTGAGGCCATACCAGGAAAGGGTGAAGTCATGCACCCTTCCTTTAAAGAATGAAATATGTTCTAATCGCCAAGAGGTTTCTCTTTTTCTCTAGAAGTTAAACAAGCACTGGCCTCGAGATGGGCAATATGAAAAAACTCTGAGGACCCACCAGATGCTGACTAACTCACCCGCTGCTCCAGCAGAGGTAACTACAGCTTTGATTGAACAAGAGAATGATTTCAGTAACTTTCTCCTGAATAGAAGACCACAGAGCATGGACTGGTTCTGCCTGCTTTACAGATTGTGCACTTTTGTGCCTTTGTGTTCTGAGAAGACCTTTTGACAAATAGGCCTAATTGCAATACATTTAAATGTTAAGCCTCCATCCCAAAGTGAACATGGGTTATATGTTCCATGCACGTTGGTTTAATACACATCCTTCATGACGACCTTCACAAATATTCATAGCTCCTCCTGTAACCTGCCCTAGATGTAGGTTTAGCCAACTCATTGAGCAAAACAAATCTCCTACCCTAATTCCTCCTCCTTTAAACTACCTATCTCTGTGCTTCAACTAGAGGCTGTGCTTCCCAGCCTGCAGGACGGCCACCTTGCAGGCTGCAACTCTAAAACAAATTTATAGATTGTCTTGTTTCTTTTTTTTTTTTTCCTTTTCTTTCTTTCTTTTTTTTTTTTTTTGAGATGGAGTCTCGCTCTGTGGCCCAGGCTGGAGTGGAGTGCAGTGGCGAGATCTCGGCTCACTGCAAGCTCCGCCTCTCGGGTTCATGCCATCCTCCTGCCTCAGCCTCCCGAGTAGCTGGGACTACAGGCGCTCACCACCACGCCTGGCTAGTTTTTCATATTTTTAGTAGAAGTGGGGTTTCACCATGTTAGTCAGGATGATCTCGATCTCCTGACCTCGTGATCCGCCCGCCACGGCCTCCCAAAGTGCTGGGATTACAGGCGTGAGGCATTGTACCCGGCCAATTGTCTTGTGGTTTTTTAAATTAACAGATGTAATAGGCAAAGCCCAGGGGAGAGGCCTGGGCTGAAACTTGGGGTGAGGGTGCCCTGAGCTGAAGGTGAGACATGACATGGACCAGGAAAACAGCCAGATTTCAGAGTGGAAAACTGTGAGCACCAGTGGAGGCCTGCGAAAGCTACTTCTCTCTCAATATTGTAGAGACGAGTTATTTTATATTCAAAGAGTACAGCCAGAGTGTTTTTGAATCATGACAATAAAGGATTCCAGCTAGCCAGGCTTTCCTGAGAAGTTTTAGTCATTATCATCATTGTTTCTAGATGAGCGGAAAATAAGGGTAGGTTCGTGCTTGGGGTTGAAGAAGAGAAAAATTCTTAACAAAAAGGATTTAATTTCTGAAAAATGAAGAAAGTGATGCCATTTTTATTTTGATTCATTAAAAACAATATGTGGATAAATGACTTTTCAAATCATTGTCTTTAAACATTTGAGCAAGTGCAGAAAAAAAACAAAACGTCACAATTTATGAAAGGCAAAACTTAAAAAATAAAGCTGAAGCCAAGCATACATCCAAAAGAAGTGTTAGTTCCTGGGCTTCTCTAGTCATAGGCCGATAGGAACAGTAGCCATACTCAGGAGGGCTTCAACACAGGCCCACCTCCTTACATCTTCCATCAAAGGAGCAACTGTCCCTGCAAACACACCTTGTAAGTCACAGTCCTCTGAATCATCTACCTCTCTGCCAGCTCAATCACGGAAGAAAGCAGAAAGATTAGGGCACTACATCCCTCCAGGAGGCCACTAGAAACAGGCACTGCGCTTTTGGTGGAACCACAAGCTCAGGTGCCACTTAATCTGCTGCCCTGGGTCCCAGCCCCTCCACCGGTCTCTCTGTGTGGAGGCCCCACCGTGCTGCCTGAAGCCAGGCTGCCTGCCATGGATTGAACTCCCAGCTGCCCCAGGGGGCCCCCTGTGCTCCACTCCCCTGCCCTCGCTACCTGTAATCCCTCTGCCTTCCTTGCCCCAAGTCATTATCCCCTCTTTAAGTGGCACAGAATAATCAATCTTAGCTGAAGCTATTATCTCAGTGTCGTGTCTGACCATCCACTGTTTTTTTGTGTGTGTGTTGGAAATTAGAGAGCTGCTTTGCATACACCTGCAGTGTGACGGCTGTTTAGAAGAACACCAGTACCCTGGTCATCTGAGCCTGCCTAACTCCTCTGGCCCCACCTGCCAGCCCCATGCCCTCCCCTGCACACTCTGTGCACTCTGCTCCCTTGGCCTGGAATTCCTTCCTCCCACTTCTCCACTTTCTATCTCGGGGCAACCCTCTCCAGCAAAGTGGGGCCACGGACCCAGCCTGGGATGCATGCTCTTTCCTGTGCTCCTGCATAATATCTCTGTATAATAATAAGCCATGAAATAAACAAATTGAGAGAACAGAATGGGAAGAGATGCCTCTGTGGGACTAATTATGGAAAACACAGTGACTCTCTGTCAGTGCTGGAATAACGGTAGAAAAACAAGACAGGCACCCCCAGTGAAGCAAATTAGGTCCCCTACTACCCCCCTGTGGAGCTGAAGGAGAAAGTTTTCTGCAGGAGCCCGCAGGGTGCAGAGCCCATGGTGCCTGGAAGCCTGACAGACCCAGGGCACAAGGAGGAACCGATTGACCCAGCAGAGCACACAATTTGGAGACAAAAAGCAAAGTTGGAGACTTAGGTTTTCGGTTCCATGACAGTGGGGACAATGCAGGCTGAATCCCCAGAACCCTGGGGTCTGTATGTGTCTCTGGTCTCTGCACTCAGGGTGGGATGTGGGGCTGCAGATGCTTTCTCCTTCCAAGGCTCTTGATCCAAAACTATAAGGTCCCCAGAGTGTTGAGATGCACAAGATGCAGGTGTAAACCCACTCTTGTGTCTGACTCCTGAGGACCGGAGCTTCCAGTGGGGCCTGGGACTGCATGCCAATTCCCCGAACTCAGGGCCATGTCAAGTACATGGTGGGTATCGCTAGAGGTGTGGTGAATGAGCAAATACATGAGCAAAAGGAAGAATGATGAATGATGCTCATCACACCCTCGGGTGAGGTGGTGCCTGCAATGCTAGACAGAGGTGCCTGGACGAGGATGCTGGCAGGGCCGGTGTTTGAAGCTGATAATGTTAAACCTCTCTGCCCAGGTGCCAGCTTGGTGACCTCAGGCAAACTGAAAGAAAGTCTGGAAGAGTTTAACTAAGGGACGAATATCTACACCATGAGGTGTGGTAAGCACCACTCGGAGGGTGTCTTTCAATCCAGGGGAGGATGTAACCAACCATTCTCTACAGCCTGCTTGGGTGAATGTGCCCCAGGGCGAGTCACTTGTGGAAGGGCTGCTGTATGTGCTAAGGTAAACTCTGCACTCAATATCCACAGCAATACAGCAACACAGAATATCCACAACAATACCACAATACAGAATATCCACAGTAATATAGAATAAGCACAGAAATACAACAATACAGAATATCCACAGCAATACAGAATATCCACAGCAAAACAGAATATCCACAGCAAAACAACAATACAGAATATCCACAGCAATACAGAATATCCACAGCAATACAGAATATCCACAGCAAAACAACAATACAGAATACCCACAGCAATACAGAATATCCACAGCAAAACAACAATACAGAATATCCACAACAATACAGAATATCCACAGCAATATAGAATACCCACAGCAATACAGAATATCCACAGCAAAACAACAATACAGAATACCCACAGCAATACAGAATATCCACAACAATACAGAATATCCACAGCAATACAGAATATCCACAGCAATACAGAATATCCACAGCAAAACAACAATACAGAATATCCACAGCAATACAGAATATCCACAGCAATACAGAATATCCACAGCAATACAGAATACCCACAGCAATACAGAATATCCACAGCAATACAGAATACCCACAGCAATACGACAATGCAGAATATCCACAGCAATGCAGAATATGCACAGCAAAACAACAATACAGAATATCCACAACAATACAGAATATCCACAGCAATACAGAATACCCACAGCAATACAGAATATCCACAGCAAAACAACAATACAGAATATCCACAGCAATACAGAATACCCACAGCAATACAGAATACCCACAGCAACACGACAACGCAGAATATCCACAGCAATGCAGAATATGCACAGCAAAACAACAATACAGAATATCCACAGCAATACAGGAACAAGTCTAACTTGGCTCATCCTCTTCGGAGTATTTATCTTATTACCATGACAACTTACTTCATAATTTTGTTGCCAAACACATGACTAAAAAAATAGGACAGGGACTTTACTTAGTAAAATTGAAAATAAATCCTCAAAAGTACAAAGTAAATAATAATCCAGTATCCAAAAGCATTAAAAATGTAACTTAAAAAGTTAATTTAGTGGTGAATAGATTTTTAAATTCCTAATATTGTTAAAGCCTTTACAAATATCGAAGATATAAGTTCTCAAAAAATACAAAATCAAAGGTTAACATTAAACAATATTTGCTTGCTCAAACGATATTTTCTGGGCTTTGGAATACACCCATGCTTTATTTTACTTTCAAAGGATTTTTTGAAGTCTTGCTCTTTGTAAAACAATAGAACCATCCAGAACTGAAGTAAAAACAGAAATTGCTCCTTCACTCTCTCCACCTCACACAGCTAGTGTTTTGCCTTCTCTTCCCCCAGAGCAACCACTCTTAACAGCAGGCATATATTCATACGAATAGATAGTCTATATATATATATACAAAAAAATAAATGTCATATATCTTATTTTATAACAATAAAATCACTTTACAGTCATAGTAATGCATAAGACTGCATTCAGCTATATCTCATTCCCTTTAATGTCTGTGTGGTACAACATAATGTGGATATACTTAAATTCTTAACCATCCTCTTATTGACCAATATGCAGGTTGTTTTCAATTTATCATTAATACAAAGAAGGTTGCAAAGGACGTTTTGTACATATGCCTTTAGGGCACATGGCGTGATGGATAACAAAAGTAAAAGTGCTGTTCACATGATATGCACACTCGATATTTGATAGGCATTACTGCATTGTTCTTTAAATGGTCCATGAAATGCTATTCACAAATGTAAGTTCCCATTTCTTCACTGCTTTGTCTTCATATTATCAGTTTATTTTTTGCCAAGGTGATTGATATCTATATATATATGCATATATAATATATAAATACTACATATATTATTGATTTTATAATTTGCATCCCTGATTACTGTGAGATAAGGCATTGTTTTATAAATATATTAACATTTTGTTGATGTGCTTATTTTTACTTTGCACACTTTTCTATGTGGTCATGTATCTACTTTGTTGAATATAAGGGGTTAATCATTCATTATGGACCTTCATCTTTCCCTGTATCCATTATACCAAACCCATTCTTGTAGTTATATCTTTGTGGGTTTTCTCACATTATATCTTTGAATTCTAAAAGTTGAGTGTTATACATTCAAATTGGATTATCAATTTCTCCTAGTATGCCATGCCACATACTTTTTGTTTGAAGTATTTAGGAACTCTATTGGTAGTGATAGAATGAATTATCTGTGTTCTTCGTGGACTGTAATTTTCACCTCCATTTGTCCCATTTAATATTTTTCAGCTGGAGTTTTGATTTTACAACTGCCAGGCTATCTTTGTATTAACCTATTCCTGATAGATTTTTTTTACCATGCGTTTACTTTTTACAAAGGAGAGTTATTGAAAGTATAGTCTCTGGAGTCAAACTCATGGGTCAGTAATTGTGCTTAGTTCATAATGTCATTTTGAGGATTAAATGAGGTGATCTATATAAAAAGATTAGTCGACTGCTTCTAACATACTCAGCATATATTGTGTCATTGTATTTTTGGTATATGTCCTTGTAAGTGGCTTTTAGCTGCGTTTTTATTTTGTCCAAAACTGGCAACAAATCTATCCCATTCAAATTCATTGTAAAAAATAACATTTAGCCTTTTCTAGTCTTCCATTTGACTCACATTTAGGGAAAAACCATTTAAACACACTTTTTAATTAACATCAATAATTAAACTTTGTGTGCAGCCTCTCTAACTTGAACAAGACAAATCCATCACATGTTCATGTTTGTTAATTTCTTATTTCTCATATGTTTTAAACAATCACTTAGAGCATTTGCCTATGATTTCTTCTAGTAATAAATGTCTATGAATGGATGAATGGATAAAGAAAATGTGGTATATATACACAGCAAAATATTATTTAGCCCTAAAATAAGAATGAGATCCTGTCATTTACAGCAACATGGATGAACCTGGAGGAGAGTATGTTAAGTGAAATAAGCCAGGCACAGAAAGACAAATACTGCATGATCTCTCTATTTATGGAAACTAAAAAATATAATCTCATAGAAGTAGAGAGTAGAAAAATAGTTTCTAGAGGCTGGGGGCCGGGGCAGGGGGTAGGTAGGGAGAGATTGGTCAATGTGTATAAAGTTACAGTTACATAGGAGAAATAAGCTCTGGTATTCTATTGCACAGTAGTAGGGTGACTGGTTAACAATAATTTATCACATATTTCAAAATATCTAGAAGAGAGGATTTTGAATGTTTCCAACACAAAGAAATGATAAATGTATGAGGTAATGAATATCTCAATTACCCTGATTTGATCACTGTGCATTGTATGCATATAATATATTGAAATATCACATGGACACCAAAAATATGTAAAATTATGTGTCAAATTTAAAATCACCTAGAATTTTAATTATAAATTATTTTCACAGTACACTTCTGCATTCTTGGGAATTGTTTCTTATCAACTGGAGTTTACACTGTGGCTACATTATCCACAATTTTGTAAATTGTGTAGGTATAAATACTTTTTTAAATTCACCACCCATTTTGAATACTGTGTTCAAACCTAAATTCTGTTATTTTCATCTCTATACTATTATTGGCCTTAGTTTGCTCTTCTTTTTCTAGCTTTTTAAGGTTAAAACTTGATTTATTATTCTGAAACCTTTCCTTTTTCTAGCTTTTTAAGGTTAAACTTGATTTATTATTCTGAAAGCTTTCCTTTCTAATATAAGCATTTAAAGTGATAGCACTCCTCTAAGATTTGTTTAACTGCATTTCACAAATTTGTATGTTTGTCTATACTGGGGGTGGCAAATTTTTCTGTCAAGAACCAGACATTAAATATTATAGGTTTTTTAGGCCAAGAGTCAAAATTTTAAAAATTCTATAAGTACTAACAAGAGAAAAAATTTCACAAGCATTTATTGATACAATATAAAATAATACAAGAATAATTGAGCAAATTATTTTGTAGGTTCACTGATGAAAAGAATGAAATTTTGATTTGGGGAATAATCTTTCTCTTTGGGGGATTCTAAGTGATATGTCATTATAAATGAAAACAAGAGCTTGATATTAGTTTGCTGTGTTGTGCAAAGGTGAGAGAAGTCAATTTAAAATTGTAAGGATTGTGGCTAGGATTCAGGATGGGAAATGGAGAGAAGGAAGCAAGTGCACAGATGCCATACAGCCTAGATGCTTCTCCCATACTGTCACTCATTCATTCAACAAATGGCTATTGAGGCCCAAGCATGTTCCAAGCACTCTTCTAGGAACCTAGGACAAGCCAGTATCCTGTAGAAAAAAACAGCAAAGATACCTCTCCTCATGGTACTCACATTTTGCAAAGTGATGTAAGGAAATGCATGGGTCAAGATATAACAGTCAGTCGGTTTCATGCTCTTGCATATGGCTAGGGAGTTATCCTAGCACCATTCATTGAATAGGGAGCCCTTTCTTCATTGCTTATTTCTGTCAACTTTGTCAAAGATCAGATGGCTCATTTCTGGGTTTTCTATCCTGTTCCATTGGTCTATGTGTTTATTTTTGTACCAGTATCATACTGTTTTGGTTACTTATAGTTTGAAGTAAAGTAACATGAGGCCTCCAGCTTTGTTATTGATGCTTTCAATTGCTTTCTCTGTTCAGGCTCTTTTTCAGTTCCATATGAATTTTATAATTTTTTTTATCTAAATCTGTAAAAAATGATGGTGGTGGTTTGGTAGGAATAGTGTTGAATCTGTAGATTGCTTTGGGCAGTATGGCCATTTTAACAATATTGTTCTTCCTATTCATGAGTATCAATGTTTTTCCATTTGTGTCATCTCTGATTTCTTTGAGCAGTGGTTTGTAGTTCTCCTTGTAGAGATCTTTCACCTCCTTGGTTAGCTATAGTCCTAGGTATTTTATTTTCTTTGTGGCTGTTGTAAATGGGATTATGTTCTTGTTTTGGCTCTCAACTTGAATATTATTGGTGTATAGAAATGCTACTGATTTTTGTACACCGATTTTATATTCTGAAACTTTACTGAAGTTGTTTACCAGTTCCAGGAGGAGCCTTTTGGCAGAGTCTTTAGGGTTTTCCAGGTATAGAATCATATTTTCAGTGAAGGGAAATAGTGTACATTATATTGAATTAAACTAGCTCACTTGTAATAGTCTCAGATTTAGAAATACAGAAAAATTTTTGTAAATAAGTGAAAGTTTGAAATGTGCATATAAATTGTAGCTACAATTACTGTAGAAGATAACTAAAATAATTCATTGCAGTTCATCCTTAAGCATATTTTACATGAACATAGACATTTCAGGAAAGCTTATCAGGGGATCATTGAGGTATTTTTATAAAATTAAAAATTAATTTCTTATACATTATCTTAAATTTTTGTTAGAGTATAAATGGCTGTAGAAGATAACAAATATAATAGTTTTGACTGAGTCTTTGAGTTGCTTCTTTATGTAGGAAACAAAATGCAAACTTTCAAAATTTGTTTGCTTTCATTAACCAACAATCAAAATAACTTATTGCCACATTAAAATAATAAGAAACAGGAAATTAAATTAATATGGTACTTTACCTGATACTGAGATTGAGGTTAAAGGATAATAATTTATTCACCCTATGAAGAAAGTGAATATAGAAAGATCAATGTGAAAATCCCTGCAATTCTTAAATTAATATCACAAATATTATATTATGAAATAAGATATAAAGTGGGATTATCATTCTACTATACATAGTATTCTTTGGGAAATACCCCACAAAAATTAATTCACAATTCTAAACTGAACAAACATATTGGCTTACATAAATTTATAAGTATTTTTTATCATAACACTTTTTCTACATTCAGCCATATTTTTATTTTGTTGAATGCAATGTTCTTCTTCATAACAATTATGTAAAAGAAGTATATCATAAAAAAGAAATACTTATAATAACAGCATAAGTATTTTAAAAACGTTCTCACTGGGTATGGTGGCTCACGCCTGTAATCCCAGCACGTTGGGAGGCCAAGGTGGGTAGATCACAAAGTCAGAAAATCGAGACCATCCTGGCCAACGTGGCGAAACCCCGTCTCTACTAAAAAACACAAAAGTTAGCTGGGCATGGTGGTGCATGCCTGTTGTTCCCAGCTACTGGGGAGGCTGAGGCAGGAGAAGCACTTGAACCCAGGAGGTGGAGGTTGCAGTGAGCCGAGATCGCGCTACTGCACTCCATCCTGGCGACAGAGCAAGACTCGTCTCAAAAAAAAAAAACCAAAACAACAACAGTAACAAAAACTAACTTTCTACAGGAAACCGTATATTATTACACAAAATGATCTGTTTAGGCTCATGATACGAATGTCTTCAGAAATTATCGTTTGAAACAGAGCAAGTAATCTACAACATTCTGCACCAAGTAAGATACATGCACACCCCAAAAATAAATCACATGGGGCTTACTGGAAAGATAATTTATGGCTTTAAACAATTTCCTTTCTATTTAGCAACATTTAAAATTAAACCCAATGTAACTACAGTTAGAATGCACTTTTATTAAAAAGTTTATATTATTTTTGAAATTTTTCATTCTTTTTAATTGTGTAGTATTATGCTTTCTTTAAAATACTGATATGGTTTGACTCTGTATCCCTATCCGAATCTCATATTGAATTGTAATCCTGAATTGTGGCTGTTGTAAATGGGATTGTGTTCTTGTTTTGGCTCTCAACTTGAATGTTATTGGTGTATAGAAATGCTACTAATTTTTGTAATCCCCATGTGTTGAGGGTAGGACCTGGTGGGAGGTTATTGGATCATGGGAGCAGTTTCCCCCAGCTGTTCTCATGATAGTGAGTGAGTTTTCACAAGATCTGATGGCTTTATGAGGGGCTCTTCCCTCTTTGCTTGTATGCGCTCTCTCACCTGCCGCCATATAAGAAATGCCTTTGCTTCTCTCTCACCTTCCCCCATGATTGTACGTTTCCTGGGGCCTTCCCAGCCATGTGCAATGGTGAGTCAATTAAATGTCTTTCCTTTATAAACTACCCAGTCTTGGGAAGTTCTTTATAGCAGAGTAAAAAATGGACTAATACAAACAGAAAACAAAATAAAATTTTTTGAAAGATAAAAACATGTGTTGTCAATTCAGTTTCTTACACAGAACTGATAGGATGGCTGAAGCCTGGAAACCTTTCTTAGACTTCTGAAACTTCCGCAGGTAATAGCCCTTCTTGTCATTGTTCACCTGGTCCATAATCAGCAGGTTTCTTTTTTGGGTCCCTAAGATGAGCCTGTGCCAGATCCTGGGTCAACAAGACATAGCAAGACCTGCAGGGTTCATAGATGTTCATGAAACTCTTGGCAAATTACAGGAGATCATCCAAATTAAGCAAATAAATATGGCTCCATGAGCTATAAAGGCTGCATGCTGGGCTGGGTTGAAGAATGAGGGAAAAGATGTTTGGAGGAGCACAAAACCTCTTTCTAGGGTCTACTCTGGGTGGGGCCTTCAGCAGAAAAGAAAGCAAGAGGTTCAAGGTTTACAATAGAAGATTTGGAATTAAAAGAGATTTTAGACTTAGTGATTTCTTGAGTCTTTGTAAGCTCATTTTCTCAACATTTTATACATATTAATCCTTGAATATTCATAAATGTTAATAAATATTTGTGCCATATTTATTACAGCTTTAATAAATATTGTTTTTCTCCTTGGTTCTTCCTTTCTTTTTTTTTCTTTTTCCTTTTGAACTCACCTCCTCTCACCTCCATTCACATTCTGTCATCTCCAGTTTTGGATAAATTCATGAGTTGTGGCCAGCCAACCTTCTACTTTCTGTGTCCTTTTATAGAGAGCTGAATCATAGCCAGACCTCCCAGGGAGCCCATCCAAGCGCTGGCCTAACTTCCTGTGGAACCTAAGAGAACCAAAACCTTGGACCCAATCTTACCCCGAAGTCAACCCCTACGTGACTCCAGAATAACTTCATGACGTAGGAGTACTACATACTCAGTTGAAAGAAAAGGCAGCCCAGAAGAAGACTGTGTCACTTCCAGTGCCAACATAATCAACTATCATGGTAGCCTGTGGCCATTCAGGGAATATCACTGTTCTAATGAAAAGACTTTCTGGTTAATTGAAAATCAGGCTTCATGGAGGAATGCAGGTCCAGCAAGACTGCAGCTATTAACCCTCAAATTAGAAGGTTAAAATTAATAAATCTTTTCTCTTCACTGGTCAGTGCTGTCCAATTTTTGCAAAAGGACAATGAGTGGGGGAGGCATCAGGAACTACAACTTCAATTTCAATGGAGAGAAAAACATTGAAATTAGAAGGAGAGGGTGATTTTCAAGGAGTTATGTTCTCATAACTTACCTCTTCATGAAAAGACTCAGGAGTTGAACAAGGAAAAAGCACTCACTTGTGATCTATGTGGCCCCTTGGGACTCCGGCAGGTGTGCGGCAAGTCATTTTACTAATGGCTGAGAACCAGTCCAGAGCCTCAGGAAGAAGTGACAAAAGTAATGACCCTCATACCCTGAGATGTAAGTCTGGCCACACTTTCTTTCTTTTCTTTTTTTTTTTTTTTTTTTTTTTTTTGATTCAGAGTCTCGCTCTGTCGCCCAGGCTGGAGTGCAGTGGCGCGATCTCGGCTCACTGCAAGCTCCACCTCCCGGGTTCACACCATTCTACTGCCTTAGCCTCCCGAGTAGCTGGGACTACAGGCGCCCGCCACCATGCCCAGCTAATTTTTTGCATTTTTTTTTTTTTTTAGTAGAGATGGGATTTCACCGTGTTAGCCATGGTTTCTTACACCTCACCCCATGTGACAGAATCCAGAACTGCAGAGAGTCCCCATGCAGGACTCTCTCAACCTCTAGAGCTGCCCAAGGGTTGAAATCTCTGCTCATCACCTCTGGATGTGACCTTGGACAACTTGCTTAACCTCACTGTGCCTCAGCTTTGTCATCTCTAAGATGGGCACAACAAATAGTATCCATCTTCTCATGTTATCACTAGGATTAAATGGGTTAATGTATTTAATGTTAAGAATAATATTTGACATATAATTAGGGCTACTAAACTATTATAATTATTTTACTTAGATGCCCACAATATCAAACCAGAAAGGAGCCAGGACACTGTCTATAGACATCCAACATGGTGGCCACTAGCATCCTGTGGTCACTGAGTACTTAAAATGCGGTTGGTCTCAATTGAGATGTGCTGTAAGCGTAGACATCAACCAGATTTTCAGGACTCCGTACAGACAAAGGAATAGAAACTATCCACTTACTACTACTTATTATTATTATTATTATTATTATTATTTTGAGACGGAGTCTCGCTCTGTCGCCCAGGCTGGAGTGCAGTGGCACAATCTCGGCTCACTGCAAGCTCCGCCTCCCGGGTTCACGCCATTCTCCTGCCTCAGCCTCCCAAGTAGCTGGGACTACAGGGGCCCACCACCATGCCTGGCTAAGTTTTTGTGTTTTTAGTAGAGATGGGGTTTCACCATGTTAGCCAGGAAATACTTATTCTTATATCGGTTACATGTTGAAATGATAATGTCTTGGATATATTGAGCTGAATAAAATATATTATTAAAATTAATTGAACCTATTTCCTTTTAATTCTTTTAATGTGGCAACCAAATTCTTAAAGTGTGGTTCACATTATATTTTATTTGATTCACATATATCTAAACTAACATCCTCATTTCACATAATAGGAAACAAGGAAAGCAACAATGTTTTGTGTCTGAACTTAGCAGGGTCCAGCTGAAATTGATAATATCCAGTGCCCAGTCGCTGCACTTCCTCCTACAACCATGACCTATGACGTCACTGTACGAATAACTTTCTCCAGAATCCAAGTGGAGAAATTATGTGAAAACTGACCAGAAAAGGTCAGCAGAATAGACCAGGCTTATTGTGTATTTTCTTACTGGATATTTTTAGTAGCTTTTCTCTCCTATAACTCTTTTTTTTTTAATTTCTAGTTTTCTACATACATTGTAAAGCAAAAAGTAATAGTCATTATCCACTATGCCACATTTTCAAAAGACACTGAATTTTCTATAAATGTCTTCTGAATCTCAGCTTTAATAAAAAGAGACTCTCTTACCCTTTTATTGTCAGAGTTGCTACTCTCTGCTGCACATCAACTTCTGACAAGTCTGTAAATGAATAGCACAAAAATGAGGTTCCTGTTATTGTCTGTTAGGTTCAACAGTCCCTGAACTCTTCAGAAAATAAAGAAATTTTAAAATCTCCCTCAAACACCGGAACACACACAAAGACAATGTCACTTCAGGAAAATATTTTTGGTTGAATGGCCTTGTTCTTAGCCTAGTTACACACCAAAAATAGTCTAAATAACATGTACAAATGGTCTAAAAGGCATGTGAGATGAGAGAAGTACCACAAACCCTCAGTGATCCAGAAAGACCTGAGCTCTTTACATCGGAGGCTTCTCTGCTTCCAAGGAAATAACATGGGCACCTAGAGATAGAGGGCGGGAGACATTTGGACTTCTGAAAATATGCCTGTGATGGATCAAAGGCCAAGGACCTTTGGAAAAACTGACCTTGCTTCAATTCTTGGAGAACAACTAATTGTTCACATTCTTGTCTTGCCTGGATTCTCTTTCTAGTGTCCTTAAGGGAGTGTTCATTTCATGTCCGTTGGAAAAAAAAACAAAAAACAAAACACTCTCAGTCGCATAAGATAGTTCATTCTGTTTTTACAAAAGCTCTAAAAATTAGAAAGTTTTTTTTTAATTAGAAAGTTTTGCATATTTATTACTCCATTCCAGGTGTAAAATCCTGTTAATTCTCTCAAAATCATATTTAACTTCAATTGTTTCATGATACTATATAGCATTAAGTTTTCCACTCGATTTTAGGTTCTGCTTACATCAACCAATCAACAGATTAATTGAGCATTTACTGTAGAGATTTCAGAATAAATATAGAAGCCTAAACAATGGGATTAAATACAAATTCTGTGTACAGATAAAAAACATCTTAACTAGAAAAAAATGAATTTATACTATTCATTCTCGTGTGTGTGCATATATGTGTGTGCATATACCTATATCCACACCTTTGAATGAATAGCTTACTTTATAGGCTACGTATTCTAAAGACAGCCCTAGATAAGATCTCTCTAGACCTCTCCGTATCAACACATCATATGGCTGAGCCTGGATTTAAAGGAGTGTCTTCCTGTTCTTTGTTGCTCTTTACTGTTTCCAAATCAAGACCCTCCCTCCCTTCTGGGCCTCCTTAACTTTGCATCTCAGATATCAGAATACACTGCATGATACCCATTCTGTTATTGTCTTCTACCAACCCCCGTGTGTTAGCTCTTTACTATTTGACAATTAACTCTTGGCTGAAAACAACTCATAATATCTCTCCCCAACACCACCCCTGCCATCACTGTTCAATATCTAGGAAGATGAATTTTTCCATATAAACTGATATTTCAGTCAATTCTTTGTTCTCTTCTCCAACCACATTCTGCTCCAAACTAACTCAACACTCACTTGGATGGGCAAACTCTTGATCTTGTTACCAACTGCTGCAATAGCTTCCTAATCACAATTTTGGGAAGGCTGATCTCTAACATCTACCCCTCCCAGATTTCTACCATACTCCCTCTCTAGCCCCACTCCAAAAATCCTTTTCCTTACAAGGACCTCAAGTCCAGTTCTCCCCCTATCTCTTCACTGTCTAACAACAGTTGTCTCATGCCCTCTGATCCTCTGTTATTCATCTTAAAATCTGGGATTTTTCACTTTAATCAAGATTTTCATCCATCTTCCAGGTGTCTCTGTACATGCTTCCTCAAAAGATAAACAGCAACCACAACAGGAACTGAAAAACAACTCTGCACCAGTGTGGCTAAATGTGCCTGGGCAAAAACAAACAAAACAAGCTGACTGTTCTCATTTTGAAGTCATAACTTCTAATATCGAGTGGCTTGTCATGCTGCCTGGTAATCCTTGTAAATTTCTTTCTTCCATTTGCCTACTTACACCCTTCTCTCTTTTCTTGAATGGCTCTTCCTCCCCATATCCTGGCTCTCAGTGGAAGACCTGCTTTCCTTCCACTGAGAAAAGAAAAGCAATTTGAAGAGAGCTTCCACAAAGTTCCACCGCCATATCTTCCCACCCATGTGCAACTGTGCCCTATGTGCTGGCTTCTCTGCCTTCTCTCCTGGAACCACAGATGAACTGTCCCAAGGCAAATCCTCCTGCAAGTAAGCTGCAGCCCATTTCCTCTTTCCTAACCATGGACATTGTTCCAGCACTTCCCTCCTTTCTCTCCTACTTCATCAATGTTCCTCCATATATGGATCACCTCCATTAGAATATCAACAATCTCTGATTTCATGCATATTTAAAAATATATAACTGTCTCCTGGCTCCACATTCCTCCCTAGGTACCAGATCATTCCTCTGCCTCCAGCCTTCCTTTCCCACTCTTCTGAACCCACCAAAGTCAAGTTTTTGATGCCACCTGTTCTTTATCAAATCTGCTCTTTCCAAGATCACCAATGGGCTCCCAGTTGCTAAATTCAGTAGTCTAATATGAAATTTGCTCTTACTTAATTATACTTTATTTAACTATCATTCATTCTTTCCCCAAAATGCATTTTCCCTTGTCTTGCAGGATACACATCAACCTGCATTTCTTTTGTTATATCTTAATGGAAAAACTCCTCATTTCCGGTTCCTTCTCATCTCAGCCTCTAAGTCTTCAAATCCTTGAGGGCTTCCCTGGAGCCTCTTACTTTTCTTTCTACACTCACCCATCGGAGACCTCATTCCCACCCAAGGCTTTAACTACTATCTATAATCTGATGACCAATAAATGTATCTCAAGCCTGGTTCTCTCCATGGAACACCCAATTGTAAATCTCACTATCTTCTGAGTATCTGTACTGATAGGTATAACGGGCATCTGAAAAGCATAACATGTTCGAAGCAGAAACCCTGATCCCCCCAATACACACACACACACACACACACACACACACAAAATAATTACTCCAGAATTCTCTCCTATCTCAGTAAAAGACAAGCCTCTTTTCAGTCAGTTGAGCTAAAAACCCTGGAATAATCCTTGTCTGCTCTCTCTCACACTTACTTGCAACACTTCAGCAAATACTTTTGGTCCTAGATGGTGAATACATCCAAGAACCCCACCACCAGCACCTTCTCCAAGCCCCTACTCTTGCTTTCTTGTGGATCATGGCAGTAGTATAGGAACTGGTCTTCTGCTACATTTGTTCCTTGAGTGCTGCTCTTGACACAGCAGCTGGCGTCATCCTCTTCACTAGTAAGTCAGATCACCACACACTTCTTCCCAGTACCTTCCAAGTCTTCACATCTTGCTCAAAGTCAAAAACAATGTCACTATAATGGCCTTCATGGCTTTCTGTTCCTTTCAGCTGTTAGGTACCATCCTCCTGCCCTGGGCTTCCCTTTCCCCAGGCGCACTGACCTCCTTGCTCTTTTTGGAAACAGCAAGCACGCTCCTCCCTCACAGGTTTCATACTTGCCCTGTCCACTGCCAGGACACAACTATCTCTTTATGATTTGATGCATGAAGGTGCCCAATGGCCACTCTTTGAGTGAGGTCTTCTCTGCATGATATGAAAGGGTGACTCCTGCTTTTGTCGTACTCTCTGTCACCCTTATACCACGTTCTTTCCATTACATGTACCAGGAAATATGTAATATATATGATATATGTATTTTACATTTACTATATATTATATTATATATGCATTATATATGTGTAATATATCCATATAATATATCATATATGGTATATATGTCAAATATATAGGTTACATATATAACATATGATACATACCATAGATAGTATTTTTTATGTTTAGTATCTTCTAATTAGAATTTGTTTTTTTCTCCACTAAAATTTAGTACCCATGATAGATTTCAGTCAGTTTGGTTTACTGCTAAATCCCCGGCAATCAATACAGGTTCTGGCATGCTTAAAGCACTTAGTAAATATTTGTTTAATTAATCAGTCAATCCAAACCAAATTCTTATCCAGCTTATGCTTAAACCTAGTGAACAGATAATAACTACCTGTTTAGATTATTTATTCCATCCCTAGAGAACTCTGCTGGGAACTTGCTGCATGAAATCCAGCATGTTGACTTTTGATCAGCATTCATATGTCTGTCTAATACAGTCAATCTGAACAAGTCTAATGTCTCTTCCTCCAGATTTTTCATAACAACTATCTTCATTAAGGTTGTGCAAGGAATTCTGAAAAGAAGGCTTGCAAAAACAAGCAAATTTTTAAGCAACATAATGCATATGATATGACATAGCTCCTATGGTTATACTGAGAACCCTCTTCTTGCTCAATAGCCATTGTCTGGGGTTGATCAGGAGGTGACATTAATGTTCTCAAAATACTTTTTAAGTTAGCTTATAGCCAATTCTCTTGGCTCACTGGAGGTTTCTGCTGAATATTGTCTGAAACAGTCTTCCTGGCCAATTAAAATGCAACAGAGGTAAATCTGAAGCCTGTGTCTGAAAATGGAGCTTCCATAAAATATGGCAGTGACAGTGGTATTAAAAGAAAAGGCAATAGTAACAAATAATTGCAAAGAATTTTCAAGGTTTGGGACTCCAATAAAAATTTACAAAGCCGTGTAAAGTCTTAAGAGATGGCATGGGGTAGTAATTAAAAGTCTAGTTTCAGGAGCTAGTTTTCAGTATTTAAATTCTGACTGTGTCCCTCAATGAGCTTGTTAGATTTCAGAATTATTATTTAACAGTGAGTTATGTGTGCCAACCATTTTATCCATTTTTGAATGAGGGTCCATAGAAGTTATTCTGTACTTTTTCTACCATAGTATGTCGGAAGAGTGGTGGGGGAGGGAAGAGAAGATAAACTCTCCTCTTGAGCTCACAGGTCTGCAGATGGAGAGGTGTTATACTCAAGGAATTTACTCAGGGGACACCTGGAGAGCCTCATCCACACCTGAACGGGAGGCAGATGATGAGATTTAGGATTTCAAGCTGATGCTATAAAGGGTTGAGACTTTGGGGAACTTCGAGGGTGATGAGCGTATGTTGCAGATAGAGGAGCAACATTCCTGGGGGGTGGGGAGGGGTGGGCAGAGGGTGTGATGTGAAAACCAGCTCCCAGATGGCCTCCAATACTTGCTACCTTCTAGGATTTATGTCCTGTATATTTCCCTCACACATAGAATCAGGGCTACCCCGTGTGGAGAATTCTGTGAACAGGAAAGTACATAATTTTTGAGGCTACATCATAAAAGTCACTATAGCTTCTGCCTTGGGCTTTTTAATTGCTTAGTCTAGAAGAAATTAACATCCATGATATGAGGCTACTCAAATAGCTCTGTGGCAGGTCCTCAGTGGAGAGGAACTAAGGCTGCCTGTTAGCCATGTGAGTGGACTTCCAAGAAAGCAAATTCTCCAGCTTGGCCAAGCCTCCCATGACTATGACCTGGTAAAATGTTATACTACAATAATACAATAGAATTGCCCTATAGCAAATATGTACAGAATAATCATCTGATGATGGAGAGTTATTAAAATAAAAAAAACAGCTCAACAGACGTCTATTAAGCACCTGTTTGTGGCAGGTGATATTATAGAATAGGACAAGTTACTTGCCTTCAAGAGTCCATTGGCAGTGTCTGGGAGACAGATCTAGTCACAGGAGGTCATTAAATGTGCTTAAACAGAGGTTTTTAGAGAATATTATGGAGTAGACATATATGTCTGGAAGTTAGAAGGGCTCCCTGGGTAGGTATGTTCACCTTGGGCCTTGAGGGACTAATATGATGGTCTTCTGCATACAGACTAGCCTAGGTTTTTGTTCACACAGCCTGGGAATAGGAGACTGACTTTACCCAAAAAAGCTGGGGCTTTAAGGCTTTGCAAGAAGATAGTGTTTGCACTTAGGACATTTGACTTACAGAAAAGGGGATAAAGAGTTTTTAGAAAGGAGGAACAGCAGAGAGCAAGCTCAAAGGTTGGAACATGCTCAGCATTTTGAGGAAAAGACCCTCCTGTGGATGGAGCATGAGGAATTAAAGGTGGAGAAGAGAATGGAAGGAGTCGACCAAATGTTGGGGTGAGTCCTGCAGCAACGCGGCCTGAAGCCACATCACAAAATGTGCACATTTTCTGTATTTCTGAGGAATCACCTGAATATTTTAAGTGGATATTTCAAGGTCAGATATGAGTTTAGAAAATATCAGTCTGACCTTGAATGGAAGATATAATCAAGGAAAGTGAGATTAAGGGGGGTGATATGGTTTGGCTGTGTCTCCATCCAAATTTCATCTTGAATTGTAGCTCCCATAATTCCCATATGTCATGGGAAGAACCCAGTGGGAGATCACTGAATCATGGGAGCAGGTCTTTCCCATGCTGTTCTCATGATAGTGAATAAGTCTCATGAAATCTGATAGTTTTATAAAGGGCAGTTCCCCTGCAGACACTCTCTTGCCTGCTGCCATGTAAGATGTGGTTTTTGCTTCTCCTTCACCTTTTGCCATGATTGTGAGGCCTCCCTAGCCATGTGGTACTGTGAGTCCATTCAACTTCTTTTTCTTTATAAATTACCCAGTCTCGGGCATTTCTTCATAGCAGCATGAAAATGGACTAATACAGAGGGAATGAGATGAAATTCTACCCTAATACCTCTGACCCTCCTTCTTTAAGTGAGAAAGGATGGAGGTCAGATACCAAAGCAATAAGGACAGAAACAAGAGGACAAGTCAGAGACGTACACAAAGAAACAATAAACCAAAGAGTACGCTGTGAGAGAGGTAATGGGCCCTATTCTTCTAGAATAGTGAATGGTTCACTATTTTCACTGCATAATTACATAATAGCATATTTCCCTCCATTTTTCAGTAGACAGTAGACCCGTTACCTAGAAATCATAAAGCTACTGGTTTTTAGGCTGCCCAGGTTTAAAAAGAAACTTTCAAATGGACTAAAGGATTTAACCCATATTTAGGGCTGCTTAATGCCCAATGAGTTGCCTCACTATCTTGAAAAGGCATAATATATACATACGTTTTTGTCCACTTATTTGTCCTGAATTTACAATGTACATTTAAAAAAACAATCTGGGCTGGAGTGGATTTTACGTTTCAGTGTTTCTCATTCCTCTCCCTCTTCAATGTGAATATTGTGAATAATTTCTTTCCAGGGCGGGTATTCATCACTGGATCCCACTGTGGGAGGCAGAGGTGGGCTTGAAGCCGAAGGCTGGTGTCAGCCCGGTCCAACGCCCTGGGTAAGACATGCACTCCGTCCAGCACCCGCCAGCTCCTCTGTCCATCCTGCTTCCCTCCAGGACTGTCTCTTCCTGGATAAACCCATCTAGGAGAAAGAACTGCAGCTGCTTGATGACCTTGAGTGAAAGCCAATGAAAAGTAAAACAAAGCACAAATATTTATTTTTTTTAACTTTGAGGATGATACCATATTCTAAGTGTTTGCAGCAGAAACCACAGCACTGATCTCTCCAATATTACTAGCAAATAAGTGTCCAGAACAACAATGGGATAATTTGGAACAGCTAAATGTCAAGGCCTTCCTCAGCATTCTCAAGGCAGGTTTTGAAAAAATAATCTGAGAGCACAAAGGGCCAAGGTATACCTCCCATTTGCCCTCTTGGGAAGTGCTCCTATAAACAGAATTTTTTTAATGCATTTAACTTTGATTCAGGAAACCTGATATTGAGCTCTAACTATGTCAGTGGAGTTCTGCAGAATCGAAAATTGTCACGTAAGCTGAAAAATTCAAAATTTTGTAAATAGTATTTATTGTAGTGGGCACGACCTCAGGCATACAAAAAGAAATGTGCAACATTATGTTTCTATAACTAAATGGTCTCAAGCCCAGTCCCTTCATCATGTCAGAAAATGTAATACAGCATGCATCAGGGAAAATAAGTCCTTCATTTTAAAAGGCCCTCTTTCAGAATCTGTGCCCTCCTTCTCCTCAGGGTAGACCTTACACCTCAAGCTTCACAAGGAACCTTGTGGGGTTGCAGGTACAAGCTACATCCAAGAAGTTGCACTGCGTCATTCCCACTGCATTCTCTTGACCACTCAGGCAATGCCACTCAGTGTGGGAAGGGACTGCCCAAGGGCAGGAGGCTCAGTTCACCAGGCCGTCTGGATAACTGGCTACCAGGAGGATAGCATTCACAGAGTAAAGGGTGGTGGACAAGAAGAAAGCTACCACAGTGAGGGTGTGTAAGGGGTGTGGGGATTTGAGTCCTACTTCTTTTAACTAGAGGGAAGTTTGTGACACAGCAGACGGGAGCAGTGATGAGGGAGAAGCTGGCTGACCTCTATTGAGGGGATGCCACATAGTAACTGAATATCAATGTAATTTAAACAGGGAACTCATTTAGTTTCTGTAATACGTGTTAATATCGGATTGAAGAGGAAGGGGGAAACACGGGCACTGAGCATTGCTATTTCTTTTAAAGAAAGCACAATTATCAACTCTACCCCAGTAAAGGACTAAATGATGCAAGTATCTCTCTGGTACTATAGATTAAAATTAACAGTAGGTGGAAATAAGAGGAAGGATTGTGTTATCACAAGGAAAAGAGGGGCCAAGCTTATGCTCAGAGTCAATGAGAGCCTTGAAGATTCCCAGCAATCAAAGAAGCGGTCAGCTTACTTATTTGGAAACCAGAAGTGTGACTTTGCCTTCATTACAGATAAGGAAGGCATCCACTGGGGACATGGTAACAGATGCTGCCCAGTGCAAAATGTCACAATGCATGGCCTGTTCTCCCCTGTGACCTTGTTTTGTGGTCATAACAGGATACAGGAATCACTTTGAAATCCTCAAAAGCCCCTAGGCCTTGTGTTAAACCCCACAAGTATTTAGAGTCCCACAACTACGAAGCTGAATATCAAGAGAAAAAGACAGATTCCAAAAATGGTCTCAAAGTACCTCCTTGTTTAAGTTGGCTGCCAGGCAAATCAGTTCATCTCCAGCAGAACGGAAGCTGCCTTTTCAGGGAAGCGTGGCAGCTGCCGGTGAACACAAAGCAGCTCTGTGATGGTTGAAGCCAGGAAAGAAAACTGCCCCCTCCGAGTGGAATCACAGGAAGGAAACCGCCGTGGGCAGCAGGAGCAAGTGCAATCCCTGGAGAAGAGCCGAAGGGGCCCAAGGCCCCGAGAAGGGCAGGATGCGATGCTGGGTGTGTGACCTCAGCCATGGAAGGGCCACCAGCCACCTGGGGGCTGGGCCATCGGGCCTTTGGCTGTGGAGGGAAAAGCCTGGCCACTTGCTGGAGCTGGGAACGTGCAGTGATGAGCACTAGGACAAGACTACTGTGACAGAGAGACACAGAAGGTAAAACCGCCCGAGTACAGGCTGATCCACAGGACTGTGTCCTGGGAGAAGCCTCAGGGTGGATTTGGAAATGCAGAACAGGTTCATAAAATCCTCACACACCTGCCACATATTCAAGGAAGGTGCTGTTTACTTGATTGATTGTTTGTGCTGGTCCTGAACATCTGACATGATTTGTGCTTCTAAGTGGGTGTTTGCCATTGACTATAACTATCTTGGAGTAATTTAACAAACAACAATAGGTATTGGGGCAGGTCAGCGCATCTCCATCTGAAAGACAAAGGAAAGCCGAGAAGGCAGGGCGGGCAGCTCACTTCTCTTTTTACAGAGCTCATGGGGCTCACTTCTCTTTTTACAGAAGTCCTGTCTGTGCTCAGTGAAGAGGACACTTTATGTCACCTCCAGGGAAGGATGTACTGGGGTCCCAACTTCCCTTCAGGGTCCTAACACCTTCATTCCTTAGCCAGAGCATCAAGCATCAAGCACCTGACTGGGATGGCACATTCGGACAAAACCCCACATCCAGCTCAGGCCCAGCAGCCTCAGGAGGAAATCTAAGGCTAGCAGGGCACTCGTGCTGTAAGAACGGGGACTGTTCACAGCGCCAGGGAGAGGTGATCAGAACACACAAACTCACTGCTTCTGATTGCTTTAGAACTAAGGCCCTTTGTCTCATTATTTCACCTCAGGTACATTTTTGAAGGTTGCCAGGATTCACAGAAGGGTGTAGTGGGTGAAAGGGGGACACAGCACTGCCCTAGGGGCCTCCAGATGCGGTTTCTAGACACTCAGTAAAGTGATGGCCTTGGCTGGTAAATCCATCCACTGGGATGTCATCCTCACAACAAAACAGGGTTTAGACCAGCAGATCTCTGACCTTTGCGGCTTTCAGATGAGAGACCAGTTGATCATGATTGGGCTGAATGTTGCTGATTTCACTTGTTCATCATTCACTTATTCCATGTGTCTCTAAGCCTGGAATGTGCGGGAGAGCTGGGGTAGCAGAGATCCCATGATGTGGCTGCAGCTCTAGAGCAGCCTCCACCACAATAAACAAACAGACACACAATTGATTTTGATGATGTTGATATAATGAAGGTAACTAAGTTTAACATTTATCAGAAAAGTGTGACTTCTGCCTGCCACCTTACAATTTGAATCATTTAGGACCATGGCCGTAAGAGTCCACACCCAAAACCACTTACACAGCTGGGTACTTCGAGCCAAAGTATTTCTTAACACAGCTCCTTCTGCTCAGGACCCCAAGGGAAATCAATAAATAGTTCCTCATATGAGCAGGCAAAATTATACTCTTTTTCCCTTCTCTGCTATGCTTTTGACGTGTTATTAAACCCTGAGATAATTATAGGATCCAATTCGGAAATTAAGACTTCTAAATAGTACCCTCCAAACCTGAAACGAGACTTTAATAAACGTCTGACAAATGCTCTGAATGACACGTAACATTTTTCCCACCATCGATATGCGCGGTATCACATTTCATCATCTCATCGAGGCGTGAGGTGCACAAGGGAGAGCGGTTGAGGTTCCAGAAGTTTAGTTAATCTTCTCAAGTTCTTCCCTCTGATACACGGTGTCTACAAATTTCACACTTGGGTTTTTTAGTTGGAAATGCAGTTCTGTTTGTTGAAACAAAGGACGCCAGCTGCCACACGGTTCGTGCACAGGCGGCCTTATGTCCCGGTGAGCATGGGACCTCCCACCAATGGTCGGCCCCAGCAGCACAGCCTCTTGAGATAAACCCAGCCAGTTCCCTCACGGCAGCTGCTCCAGCAGCTGATGCTCAGTTTCCTCACCGCCCAGCTCTGCCCCGTGCTGCCTCTGCTGCCCCTCTGGCTTGTAAGATGCTCTCTGCTGCGCTATTTCCTGCTTGTTCTGCTGTAGGAGGCACCAGCTCTCCGCAGAGTCAATGAGGGGTGACCGTCACTCAATTCCATGGGCAAAGGTGGAGGGAGAGACCTCACTTCACCAAGAAATCCACACTCGACTGTTATCAGATATCATGGAGAGATTCAAAAGTCAAGGGTAATCGTTAAGTGTCCCAGAAGGTCAGGTTTGAGAACCACCGTCTTGCAATAAACAGGGAGGAGCCCTGAACAGAGCAGCATTTGCTGTGCTTAATTTGCCTGAGGCAGCTGGTATGATGGAGAGTCCTGGAGGCTGAGGCTTGAGCAGAGCTCTCTTCCCATTTACTCCAGCGGGAAAGGGCAGGTGAGGTGGGGGAAAGGCAGGGACCACGCCTCCTGTGCCTGCTGTCGGGGCACAGCAGAGTCCTGAAGGGATGGCTTCTCATTCCCAGTCGGGAACCCCTTTGGCCTCCCTGGGACCCTGTTCCTGGCTTTTCCCTCCATCAGTTGGGATGAGAATGTTTATCAAAGAATGGTGCTTACATGGCTTTCAGAGGTCCTTGAAGAAAAGCTGTTTTCTACGTCGTACTCAATATTTATTCCCAGAGCAGGATCGCTTGAAACTTAAAGCTGAAGACTGACACGAGACTAAATTCCACAAGCCATTTCACTCCCAAGTGTCCCAGCAAATACACGTCTCAAGTGCCCGATGTGAGCAGCTGTGCGAGTAAAGGTGATGCACGTCCTCTCCAACCCTTAGTGCTCCTGTGCTGATGAAGGATGCTGAACGCAATCATTATGGTAATGAGGAGGTGGACAGTGCAACCTCAGCTTCCCTCTGTGTTCAACAGCCTCCCACAGGGCAGGCCCCACACGTGCTGAGGCTGAGATCCAAGACTGATGACTCAGCAGAGCAGAGGAGCATGTGTGTGTGAGATAGTGTGTGTGTGTCAGAGAGAGATTGGATGTGTGTGTGTGTGTGTCAGATTTCTAGTGCATGTTTGTGACCCTGTGAGACTGTCAACGTACCTTCGTGAGTGTCTTGTGAGAGTGAGGCCGTGTTTGGTGCAAACATGTGTGACTGTGACTGTGTATGTGTGTTCTGGGGGATGCAGAAGTAAGAAGAGCGATAGAGAGAGCCTCTTACACGCTTTCCCCAGGAAATAATGGACACTGGAATTTCGCCCAGTCCATGGATGCATGTCTTGATGAAGCCTCACTCTGCCCCGCAAAACTTGGGAAAGTGACGTGGCAACCCTTCAAAATGAAAAATGAAATCCCTGTAAACACAGCGCTCCCGGTGATCCTGCTCATCGGTGCCCTGCAGGGCCTTGATCTTGGTGGCAGCTCTTAGCTGACTGCATGGGTTCCCTTATCAAAGGAAAAAAAGGCAGCTAGAAATGTTGTACAATCTTCTTCTTACTTTATTTTTCAGCCTGTCTTTTCAGTCCCTTTACACTTTCAGAACGTACAATGTTGATCACTTCAGGTAAAAAAAAAATTTTTTAAGTTATTTTTGAAAGAAAATGAAATGATTTAGAAAAGTCCATTTGCTAATTTTATATTCTGCTTTCATACAGGTATTAAAGCAACTTAAGTAACAAAATCAGCATAAAAGCACAGAGATTTCTGAATTAACTGTTTCTGTTTTGCCTTGAAGAAATCCCCCACAGTTGGGCACTGAGAGTTTGTTGGAAGCTCTAACCAGGAGGCTCGGCTGCCGTTTGCCACCCTCGCGGGAAGAGCATTCCTCCTCCTTCCCTGGGGAAAGCCTCTCCCAGAAGGTTTTGCTGAGGAGCAGGGGGAGGACAGGGCTACACAGCCACCCCTTCTGCCAAATCTCTCTGAGGAAACAAGTGGTGACAGCTCAGGTCCCCCAAAACAGCTTCTTTCAATCCAGGACTTTCTGTAGAAGAGGTAAATGTGTTCACTTAGGGGACAAGCAACCATACAGAAAACAGGAAGATGGATGCAACTGCTGGAACATTCCACAGATGAGAACCTCAGGCAGGGAGTCAGGACTCAAAGCTCCATCTTCAGGCTTTTGTCTTGAAGTGTGATTCAAGTTTTTAAAATATTTTCATCCCTTATGGAAATACTCATTAATTTTTTGGGAAAACTTGTTTTAACCGTGAGCACTGAGGAGATAAGTTCGTGTTAGGAAGCTTGTTTGCCACAGATTTTTCAGACCCAAGGAAGAGCTGCCAGTGGTATCACATCAACATTGGTTGAGTTATTCCAACAATGATGCTCAGCTGAGGCCCCAGGCAAGCAGGGGTGGAGACGATTTTATCCTCCACCTTGGCCTTTGTCTTTGGTCCATTCTGTGGCACTCTGCAGTGGCAGCGGCTGCTGTTCTGTGGGGAGACAACCTACAGGGAGAAGAGACGAAGCTGAGACAGGGAAACTTGTCACTCCTAAACTGTGACCTCACTGTGACATTTTCCTTTCTAAGAAATGAAAATAGTACCTGTTCTTCACTTCTCAAAAAAGACGTTGAAATGACTGAAAAAATTGGAAGTACTGTCTATGATTTGTTTCTTTATGGATTTTCACTTTTGTGATCTCCCAGTTTTAAGATTAAAGACAGAACCAAAGAGAATATGTCTGGTAGTACTGTGAAAAGCATTTTACAGTCATTTCTAACATATACAGTGGCCAAGATATTTTCATTTCTAAAAAGAACTGCATCTGCAAAGAGACTCTTGCCTTGAGCTTTTCCTAGCGACTCAAATAGAGACCCAAGGTGTCTAAAACCTCTCAACTGAAGAATGTGCGTGTCAGGGGACAAGGGGAGTGACATTCCAGATATTCGTGACACCTCTGGAAAATCATCTTTGTCATCTGTAGAAGGCATCTCTTAATGTTTCTATGCAAACACCCACGAGCATGTCCTAGTTTTCCTTCAGCCTCAGAAAAGCACCCAAAGATTCTGTAGTGTTAGGCATATGCTACAAAGCATTAAGAGGGAAAGAAGATAAAACAGATTCCACATTGATATTCTGTGTGTTTTTCATTATTAGGTCAAGTATATTCAGAGTATCAAATTTTTGTATTGCTTTGTAATGATCACGCCTTGAATCCAGGAAGAAATGCATCTTCTTCAATGGAGCTGAGAATAAGTATCACAGTTTAAGCTGGTTTTGATTTGTTATTCATTGAAAACAAAGCAAGTTGTTGGTTTTTAATAAATGTTAAAACCAATCAATAAAAAGTAAGTTGGACTTATGAAACGGTCCATTTGGGACTCATAGAATATAGATGAACTAAAGTGTTTTAGCAAAGCACCTGAAAGGTCGAAAAGATGTTGTTTCTGGAATGGCTGGAGATTTAAAGCACAAGTGCTAGAAAAGAAAACAAAGGAAAATTCAATTCGGATTTATCAACAACATGAAGCCAGGAGACATGAAGCTGGAAAATAAGCAAGCTAATTACCATCAGTGAATAATAAATTAGACCTCCACTAAACAGAACAACATTTATTTAAGTAGAAATAAAAATAAAAGTACTTCTTATATTGCCCATAATGTTGCACAGCCATTTTAGTTTCTTTATATATTCACTGGCTTTATATTATTTTGGAAAACATAATATCGGCTCTCTATACACTGAAACAAAAAGGTACATTTGAGGACTGTAGGAGGATATCACATCCTGCCTGCACTCAGAAAAAAACATTGCTCCTGAGGAAAAATTGCTGCTCTTAAATTTGCTGTTGCATTTCTTAGCTAAGAAGCAAAGATTCCTTAGTGGAAGGGGAACGGGACAAGGCTTAGATGTTCCAACTGCTCTAAAAGAAATTTAAAAATAGAGTAATTGTAGGTAGTAATTCCAAATAATACAAAATATTTAAACTCTTATTCCAGTAAAAATGTCTTCTGTTTGTAAAGATAAAGTAGAATTTTGAGTTTAAATTGTTGAAAATTAATGTTGAATTGTTTTTTAAATACATTGAGAAAGACACATGTCCCATTTTGTGTCCACTTATTTATATGTGCTCTGTTTCTTAACCCATACACATTTATTTTTTATATGTGTATGTATTCTATACATTATTAAATATTTGATGTGCATTTATAAATGGTATATTTAGATATATACATGTCCATACATGTATATGTAAATATCTGAAAGATCATTAAATTTTTCTGCGTACTGAACACTGATATTTCAAGTGATTTGTTTCTTTTTTGTGATTCTCTGTGATGTAAACGTCTTTGTAAAATCATCATGTATTTATCTATGTCACAAGCAAAAAATGTTAGACATTTTTATTAGGGTAAAAAATGTAACTGCTTAATATGTGAGAAACAGATCTGGCTCTTTCTCCTGTATATCCTTCTCTATAATATAATAAACTTTCTTAGGGCTTTTAAGAAATGAAATACCTTTCTCACCCCTAGACACCACCTACATTTTAAACTAATAGGGGAAAACTAAAATTATTATTGTTTCAATTTTATTACTTTATAGTGAGCCACTGTATTTTTTAAGAGCATAAACCATATTTGCCTAGAACCAAATCATTCGCTGTAGATGATTCTTGCAAACTGGATTGATGTGTAAGAAGCATATTCTGATCCACACAAGATAGATGGTTCAATATCAGGGCCAGATGTGAAGCTCAATAATTCAAAAATCTTCATTCAAATCAATGACTGAAGAGCGAAAAAGCTCCCGACACACAACCCCGACACACACATCCAACTCCATAGGATGGCTTTGGCTTTTCCCAGCACACGGAGAAAATATTTTTTAAAAAAACAAAATCCTTAAAAGCCTAAGGGGTTTTAGTTTGTTTAATTAATTGCCAAAGCTGACACCAGAAATAGGAAAGTTCTCCTCATCACAGTCCTAGTTGGAGACAAAGCACTGGAATTAAGGTCAATATTACCAGCACTGGTTAAGCTGCTTTTATCTTTTTCTTTTTGCCTTAGTACATTATTTTCATAACTGCTTGTAATTTTTGTTCAAAATAAAATTCTGCTTTTACTCATTTGCTACAAAATATTTCTAATGTAAGACAAATTCAGGGTAAAATGAATTTAATTTCTTCCTATGCACAGATTAGTGAAGGCAGAAACTTCTGACAAAAGTTCAGCACTAAAGGTTATACGAAAAAGAATCACAAAAAGAAAATGACAGCAGGAAATATTAAATACAAGAAAACCTGCTCTGAACAAACATAGTACGTTGATATGTTGATTTCATAGCATTTCCAATAGCAACAGTAAAACTGTTGTACAAGGTGCCTATAATATTTTGAAAGGAAGTCAAAGAATTCAGGCACAATGGAGAGAAATCTCCACAGGTGGAGGCTGATGCCCTTGGTGTTGGCGCCGGAATTGGCATCCAGGCCTGGGTCCCAGGGTTCCCGCGGCTCAGCGGATGCTCGTGGGTGTTCACCCAAGGGCCTGACATCAGCGGGCTGCGGTCATGGTGAGTGACGTCATCCAGGGCAGGAGGAGGGCGGACCTTCGGTACCAGAGTCACTTACAGGAACGAAAACACACAAACCAGTATGTGTGTGACATAGAATGTCCCACACAGGGGTTGGGTCTCGGAAGGGCCCCCCTACAATCCACCCATTGCCCCACCTGGGACTCTGCATCAGTAGAGAAGTAAATGGGTAGATGCCTCCTTGGAGCATCACCCTCATTCTTGATGAGGACCTGTGGGGCAGACATGCTGGGCAGCAGATGCACCCAAAGAGGACAGGGACAAGGCTGAGTGAGCCCGCCCAGCTCATTCTTCCAGAGATCCAGCTCAGGCTCGGGTGAGGAGGCTGAAGTAAGCAGCACTCACACTAGGAGCTCCCTTCCCAGTGGGAGAATCGAGGTAGGCCCAAGGCTTTCCCCCTCACACACGGCCATTAGGGTTAGATGCCCCGACCTTGACTCTCACCTATGACTTACATCCAGTTGGCTGAGAACCTTGCCTGATTCCCACAAGATTCCCTTTTCTCATACACAGAGGGGGAGCACAGTTAAATATGTAAAATACCTAGCAGATGCTTAAGAAATGGAAGCCAATATAGAAATTGTCACGCTATGCCTGTGCAAGTTTTAATCTTGCACCAAATGCAGTCATCTTGTTTCACTGATAGCTACTCACCCATAAACATCTGTTCAGCCTGTGGTTGCCCCCACACTGCCCCTCCACTCTGCCTGTCTGTGTGGATGCTAACAGAAATTAAAATTCCTGGGCAAGGATAGTGGAGCACTTTCAATCAAATGCATGCAAGTAAAACTAGTCTACAGCCAGATTTCACAACCCCTGCCCCCTGAAAAAAACCCTCTTGTCAAGTCTATCTTCTTAATGTGAACAAACATGCTGCCTTTATCCACCTTACGGGATGCAACCATGGGGCAGACCCTCTTACCTATACCCTTGGATAGTCTCTGGTCACTGGTCCGCTTCTTCCAATCTCTACCCCAGCTAATCCCAAGTGATTCTTCTAAAAACGCCAATCAATTCAAAGATTTCTGTCTGCCGCAAGTCAAAATCTAAGCCTTGCACCACTCTTTAACTTCATCAAATGCAGTCGCCGCCTGGAATCCTGGGCTCCAACCGTGCTTGTCTTCCGGATGGGTCAGTTTCTGCCCTTCCTCTGGGCCTTGGTGTCCTCTGGTCTACACACTGTCCTCCTCCTCTGGCCTGGTACACTTTCACCAGTTTGTTTTTGTTTTACCTAACTGGGTACTGTCAATTCTCAGATTAGAGTGACTTTTTCAGGAAAGCATTTCTTCACCTCCTGGTGCTGAAATAAGTACTTTTATTCAAGCCATCACTTCGCATGTGACACTATGCTATCACTTAGTTTTCAGCTGTCCCTCTCACTAGACTGGACACTCCTCAAGAGCACAGAAGGAATCATTTCATGAGCATTTTCACTGCCAGGCACAGGGAAGACAGGCACAGGGTGTGTCTTCAGTAAACATTTATCCAAATCCACTCAGCATTGAATGAATGAATGAATGAATGAATGAATGAGATATAAGTATGTGACTGTACTTTAGTGACTCTCTGCTGTTCCCAATCAATATTTCCATTGTTCCAATCACTGTTTTTCCCATCCGCAGGTTATCTATTTATAATTTTTTTCATTCCCCTACCCCTGGTTTATTCAGAGGTTCACTCACTCCTCTATATTGAATGGCCAGAATAAGACTCAAAGTCAGGGTCACTGTTGGTACATGATGGTGCAATTAGTAGACATCTCAGTGTGAAGATTAAAACTTACACATAGAGCAAGACTCTGTTAAAAAAAAAAGAACTTGCAGAATCCACCTGGTGAATTCCTTTCAGAATTGTTTCTTTTAGAATTTCTTCCTTGTAGATTTCTCTTCTTTCATACACTATTTTTAAATCCTTCTCTTTGTATATCATAATTATCTGTCTCTTTTTGGTTTGATTAATGTCTACTAAGCCTTTCACTTAGATAGTTTCAGTTCTCAGCTATTTAGGACACAGCCAATACCTGGGAAGATTTCTTCCTTTTGGAAGGACCGTCAGCACCAGGGCAGAATGCAGAAGGCGGGAGGAAAGAAATGCATGACTTAGACAAGTCGTGCAAGGAGAAGGATGCAGTGTCTCCCAAGGCGCTTTTCCTTTGGTGTTTGCTCATCTCATCTCTCCATAAACTGTGGGGGTAAAGGGAAGCAATGGAATGCCTCAAGGAGAGGAGCACCTAGGTGAAAGGAAGCAGGAGACAGAGGCTTTCATCCAGGGTGCTTTGGCCTTCCTGTCCCATTTGGTACCAAAATTTTGCCTCTTACACTTGGACCAGACCAGGTTCATCAGGTCATGTTCCAACACTGGAACAATTTGGGCCTACATTGAAAATAGTAAGCTAAACATGCATTTGCTGAACTTGCCAGCTCTGTCTCCCTGAGGCCTCTGCACACAGATGTCCACAGGCAGCTAGCAGAGCTTGCAGAGATCCTGGACCTCAGCCATTCATCAACGTCTTCCCATCATAGAGAATAATAACATCTCTTCTCATGATAAGTGATCTTCCCTCACCTAGCACCTTTGACCCATTTATCTTACCTTGTACCCTCAAGTTTTTAAAAATGTGTCAGCTGTTTCTCCCTTTCCAGGGCCCCTTCCATGAGCATCCAAACGTACTCAATTTCTCACCACCTTAAAAATAATTATTTCCCCAGCTGTATCCTTCCTTCTCCTTCTTATACAGTTGACCTATTTCTCCCCTTCATTCCTGTCAAATTTCCAGTTTTCTATAGTCACCATATCTAGTATGTCTTCCCTTCCATTCATTGACCAAACTGCAAATCACCTCTTTCTTTTTCTTTCTTTCCTTTCCTTCCTTCCTTTCTTCTTTCTTTCCTTCTTTCCTTCCTTTTCTTCCTTCCTTCCTTTCCTTCCTTCTTTCTTTTCTTCTTTCCTTCCTTTCCTTCCTTCCTTTCTTTTCCTTTCCTTCCATACTTCCTTGCTTTCCTTTCCTTCCTTCCTTCTTTCCTTCCTTCCTTCCTTTCCTTTCCTTCCTTCCTTCCTTCATTTCCTTTCCTTTCCTTCCTTTCCTTCCTTCCTTCCCTCCCTCCCTCCCCTCCTTCCTTCCCTTCTCCTTCCTTCCTTACTTACTTTCCCTTTTCCTTCCTTCCTTCCTTACTTCCCTTCCTGTCTCCTTCCTTCCTTCCTTCATTCCTTCCTTCCTTACTTACTTAACTTCCCTTCCCTTCTCCTTCCTTCCTTCCTTCATTCCTTCCTTCCTTACTTCCCTTCCCTTCCCTTCTCCTTCCTTCCTTCATTCCTTCCTTCCTTACTTCCCTTCCCTTCTCCTTCCTTCCTTTCCTTCCCCTTGCTTCCTTCCTCTTTCTTTCCTTCCTTCCTTCTTCCTTCCTTCCCTTCCCTTCTCCTTCCTTCCTTCCCTTCCCTTCTCCTTCCTTCCTTCCCTTCTCCTTCCTTCCCTTCCCTTTTCCTTCCTTCCTTCATTTCTTCTTTCTTTCTTTCTCTGTCTCTCTGTCTCTTTCTTTCTTTCTTTCCTTTCTTTTCTTTCTTTCTTTCTCTCTCTCTCTCTTTCTTTCTTTCTTTCTTTCTTTCTTTCTAGAATCTCTCTCTGTTTCCCACGCTGGAGTGCAGTGGCACAATCATGGTGCACTGCAGCCTTGAACTCCTGGACTCAAAGTGATCCTGTCATCTCAGCATCCCAAGTAGCTGGGATTATAGGTATGAGCCACTGCACCCAGCCTCAAACTGCAAATTCTGTAATTCCCATCTTTCTTCTGAAATCATCCCTGCTAAGGTCAACAGTTACCTAAGGTCATCAGTTACCTAACTATCTTCCTTTGTTTTTTTTTTTCTTTTCCATTCAGGAAACATTTACTAATCTAGCTGTCAGGTTGTTATTACTACATTACTAGATCATTTCTGCAGAAGAGTGTTGGGGAGATAGGGTAGATGAAAAATTATAGTACCAGATTACCTGGTTTCTGCCTCTGAGGGGCAAACAGTCATCTGCACAGCCAAAGGGTAAACAAATAATGACTGCAACTCTATGAAGGCTCCTGACCCCTGAGTAACCACAGCCAGGGAAGGGAGGCAGTCAATGAGACCAGCTTAATGCTCTCACAAGTTCTCTTCACTAAGGCATAGTGATTTTTAAAAATATTTATTATCTCCTTGTGGGTTTATCCTTACTGCAATTCATTTTTATGAATCTTCTCTTTGGCTTTCTTTTTGAAAAACAGCTTGATGTTTAAGCAGCCAATCCTGCAAGGCTTGCGTTCTCACAGCTGTCAAGGGACTGAGTCCAAGTGTTAATATTAATTTGCAATTATCCTACAGGGGAGAAATGTGTATGCTGCCAGAACTATCAGAATACCCTCATAGAAAGACCTATTTTAAAATTTATTGCATCATGGTTTTTTCCAATTCACTGAATATTTCCCAGAGCAGAAATAAATTTAAATGTGATTATTTCTTAGAATTATCTGTTCACCACCAAAACACCCTACTTCATTTAATCTAAAATGGACTGCAATTTAAGCTGTAATGCACATCTTTTATGAAATGCTATAGTGTGAAGCAAACCTTAAAGAATCACAGGTTGTGAGTGATATTGTGTGGATCACCCCAGCATCTGGGTGCCTCTGGGGAGCCGGACAAATTCCCATGATCTGCAGCTCTGAAGGTAGAAATCAATTAGTGAAAGAGAGACAGAAAGATAGAGATAAAAACATTTTTAAATCAATTTTATTCTCTCTACTTTCTCTATTTGAGAGACAGCTGAAGTGTATGGCATTCATAGGTCACAACTTCATTATAGCAATAAAAATATTATGGAAAAAGATGCATTCAGGTTTAGAAAAACAGATTACTTATTAGAGTTCAATAAGCTACTTCTGATACAGTTTGCCTTAACTTTAAACTTGGTGTTTCTAATAAACCCAAAGTGAAGCACAAAATGAGAAACCTACTGAGGTCTGTGCCAATGAGCCAAAGCTAGAGAGATGAAATAAGAAGGTACCCGGGGAACACCTCTACCATGCAACTGAGAACCCTTGATGAGAGACTGAGGAAGCCAGGGTACCAGGAGGGGCCTAGAAGGCTCCTTTCAAAGGATTGCTTTATACCAGGAGATGGTCCACCCACGGAGGAAACTAAAGGAAAACCTCATAGCATATCACAGATTTGAAGGCCTCCCTTGGAAGAAGGAGGTGACTTATTTCGGCCTGCTCCAAACCTCCAAACTACAAAATAAGTTTAACTTTGACAGAGCAAGAATTCATTTAAATAAATACACAGTTAAAAATATTTCAAAGCCTTTTTTTTTTTTTTTTTTTTTGAGACGGAGTCCTGCTCTGTCACCCAGGCTGGAGTGCAGTGGCGCGATCTCAGCTCACTGCAACTTCCTGGGTTCAAGTAATTCTCTTTCCTCGGTCTCCCCAGTAGGTGGGACTACAGGCATGCGCCATCACGCCCAGCTAATTTTTTTTCTTTTTATTTTTAGTAGAGACAGGGTTTCACCGTGTTAGTCAGGCTGGTCTTGAACTCCCGACCTCAAATGATCTGCCCACCTCAGACTCCCAAAGTGCTGGGATTACCATAGTTCTCTCAGGTCTCTCCGATTTTATGATTCTGTCCAACTACAATTTTGGAGGGAGATAATACAATAGCCAAATATTTTGGGGGCAAAAATCATAGACATGCCATGCCATAACGAGGAGTTGGCAGTTGTTTTGGTAAAGGGCCTGATAAAATTTAGTATTTGCAGGTCACGCCATCTCTGCTGCAATTGTTCAACTCTGCTGCTGCAGCAGAAAAGCAACTACAGACTATACGTAACATAGGTGTGGCTGTGTTGCAATAAAACTATTTACAAAAACAGATTCGGCCTGCAGACCATAGTTTGCCAATGTTGTTTTATAATATTAAATTGTGTTCTGAACTATATGTAACTATCAGCAGAATCCAAAGCCTGAAGTTGTTTATGGTACACTCTGGCCCACCTCCCATGTGGGCCATGTGTAGTTGTGGCCTCAGTGGATGCTCAAGGTTCACATCAGGTAGGTGATAATCACCTTCCACTCCACTGCGCTCAGCACCACACAGAACCATAGTCAGAATCCCACATTCTGTTCTTGGGTTCAGAGACAAGGCCACACTGGAGAATGTTCCAACGAGACCAACTACAGCTGAGACAGCTAAGCCAGCTTTGTCACCTGAAGAAAAGTTGAATGAAGACAAGAAGTTGAAGGCAGCCAGCACGTTAGCCCCAGATATTTTACCTGAATCCAAGTCTCTAGCAAATCCTAACGTGAAAAGATTCTCATTTATATGCAGGACAGTTACTCGAAACTTTGGGTAGGTAAATTTTTCCTCAATATAAGGAAGACCTTGACAAAAATTAGAGCTGCCTCGCAATGCAATTGGGTGCCTGTGGATGTTTCTCTTTCACTCAGGGTGCTGCGTGAAGACCAAGCTAGTGCTCTGAAATTAAACTAACTGAATGGTTTTGATCTTTTTCTCTACTTTTAAATAAAAACTTAATACATTTTGTCATTTTGGATTTCCTTTGGATTTCCTCTCTGTTTTTCTTTCTGTTTTTTTTTTTTTTTTTGTAATTTAGGCAAAGATCTCTGACATGGCCTAGAGACATTTTCCCCATTGTCTTGGGGATTAACATTTTAACTTCTCCTTACTCATGCAAAATTCTGTAGCCAGCTTAAATTTCTCCTCAGAAAAAGGGATTTTATTTTCTATTGCATTGTCAGGCTGCAAATTTTCCAAACTTTTATGCTCTGTTTTCCTTTTAAAATTGAATCCCTTAAACAGCACCCAAGTAACCTCTTGAATGCTGTGCTGCTTAGAAATTTCTACTGCTAGATACCCTAAATTATCTCTCTCAAGTTCAAAGTTCCACAAATCTCTTGGACAGGGGCAAAATGCCACCAGTCTGTTTGCTAAAATGTAACAAGAGTCACCTTTGCTCCAGTTCCCAATGAGCTCCTCATCTCCATCTGAGACCACCTCAGCCTGGATTTTATTGTCCATATTATCAACGTTTTGGTCAAAGTCATTCAACAAGTCTCTAGGGAGTTCCAAACTTTCCCACATTTTCCTGTCTTCTTTTCAGCTCTCCAAATTGTTCCAACCTCTGCCTGTTACCCAGTTCCAAAGTTGCTTCCACATTTTTGGTACCATTTCAGCAGCATCCCATTCTACTGGTACCAATTTACTGTATTAGTTTGTTTTCACACTGCTGATAAAGACATCCCTGAGCCTGGGCAATTTATAAAAGAAAGAAGCTTATTGGACTTACAGTTCCACATTGCTGGGGAGGCCTCACAATCAAGGTGGAAGGAAGGCAAGGACAAGCAAGTCACATATTACATGGATGGCAGCAAGCAAAGAGAGAGAGCTTGAGCAGGAGAACTCTTCTTTTTAAAACCATCAGATCTCATGGTACTTATTCACTACCATGAGAACAGCTCAGGAAAGACCTGTCCCCATGATTCAATTACCTCCCACTGGCTCTCCCCAACAACAGGTAGGAATTCAAGATGAGATTTGGGTGGGGACACAGCCAAACCATATCACAGAGTAAATCAAATGAAATCCAATATGACTGGTGTGGTTACAGAAAAAAGGAAATTTGGACACAGAGACCAATATGAAGACACAGGAAGGAGATAGCAATTTATAAGTCAAGGAGAGAGGCCTGGAACAGAGCCTTCCCCCATAGCCTCAGAGGGAACCAACACTGCTGATACCTTGATCTTGAACTTCTAGCTTCCAGAACTGGTATTTAAGAACCTGGTTTGTGGTCTTTGTTACAGCAGCATCAGTAAATTGATACAGATGGTGAACAACTTACCCAGAACTTGGAAGATCAGAGCCTCATAGATGCCCAGCTTATCCAACAGGTGGGATGTTGGCATTGTTCTCCCCAAAGGTAAAATATTATTTTTTCAATATAAAACTGTCCTTTTTGTTGGTCCCCAAAGTTTCACATAACTACTTTGCCCATTGCTTTAACTTTTTTTTCCAGCCACACCCAGTGATTTTTTTTTCTTTTTTTTTAAGTTCTGGGATACATGTGCAGAACTTGCAAGTTTGCTACATAGGTATACATATGCCATGGTGGTTTGCTGCACCTATCAACCCATCACCTAGGTTTTAAGCCCTGCATGCATTAGGTATTTGTCCTAATGCTCTCCCTCCCCTTGCCCTCCACCCTCTGACAGGCCCCAGTGTGTGATGTTTCCCTCCATGTGTCCATGTGTACTCATTGTTCAACTCCCACTTATGAGTGAGAACATGCAGTGTTTGGTTTTCTGTTCCTGTGTTAGTTTGCTGAGAACGATGGCTTCCAGTTTCATCCATGTCCCTGCAAAGTATATGAACTCATTCTTTTATATGGCTGCATAGTATTCCATGGTGTATATGTGCCACGTTATCTTTATCCAGTCTACCATTGATGGGCATTTGGGTTCATTCCAAGTCTTTGCTAATGTAAATAGTGCTACAATAAACATTATGTGTGCATGTGTCTTTACAGGAGAATGACTTATAATCCTTTAGGTATATACCCAGTAATGAGATTCCTGGGTCAAATGGTATTTCTGGTTCTAGATCCTTGAGGAATCGCCACACTGTCTTCCAAAATGGTTGAACTAATTTACACTCCCACTAACAGTGTAAAAGCATTCCTATTTCTCCACAGCCTCACCAACATCTGTTTCCTGACTTTTTAATAATCTCCATTCTAACAGATGTGATATGGTATCTCATTGTGGCTTTGATTTGCATTTCTCTAATGATCAGTGATGATGAGCTTTTTTTCATATGTTTTTTGGCCACATAAATGTCTTCTTCTGAGAAATGTCTTCTCATATCCTTTGCCCGCTTTTTGATGGGGTTGTTTTCTCTTGTAAATTTGTTTAAGTTCCTTGTACATTCTGGATATTAGACTTTTGTCTGATGGGTAGATTGCAAAAATTTTCTCCCATTCTGTAGGTTGCCTGTTCACTCTGATGATAGTTTCTTTTGCTGTGCAGAAGCTCTTTAGTTTGATTAGATCCCATTTGTCAATTGTGGCTTTTGTTGCCATTGCTGTTGGCATTTTAGTCATGAAGTCTTTGCCCAGCCTATGTCCTGAATGGTATTGACTAGATTTTCTTCTAGGGTTTTTATGGTTTGGGGTTTTACATTTAAGTCTTTAATTCATCTTGAGTTAATTTTTGTACAAGGTATAAGGAAAGGGTCCAGTTTCTGTTTTCTATATATGGCTAGACCCATGGCTTTAACTTTTTAAGAAGTTCACTAGGATCTAGAATATATAAATATCCCCCAAATAGAAAAGTAGGATGATTGTATTCAGAGATACATTTTTCTAAGTTAACTTTTCTATATCCAAATATCTCTGATTACAGATATCTCATGAAACTATAGTTTGGAGAATCAATGATCATTTAACTAGTCTTCATTATTTGTTTTTTGTTAGTTTTTTCTTTACCTTTCACATTATACTTTAATGAGGCTTTGTTATTGATGGATAACTAATTGACCAATAGAGCATCCTGTTCAGAATGTGCAGCTTTTAATCTGGTGAAATCTCCAGATGTTACACTTTACTTTGTCACCACCCAAGATAATGGAAATCATTAAAAAGTCAGGAAACAAGAGCTGCCGGAGAAGATGTGGAGAAATAGGAACACTTTTACACTGTTGGTGGAACTGTAAACTAGTTCAACCATTGTGGAAGTCAGTGTGGTGATTCCTCAGGGATCTAGAACTAGAAATACCATTTGACCCAGCCATCCCATTACTAGGTATATACCCAAAGGATTATAAATCATGCTGCTATAAAGACACATGCACACGTATTTTTATTGTGGCACTATTCACAATAGCAAAGACTTGGAACCAACCCAAATGTCCAACAATGATAGACTGGATTAAGAAAATGTGGCACATATACACCATGGAATACTATGCAGCCATAAAAAATGATGAGTTCATGTCCTTTGTAGGGACATGGATGAAGCTGGAAAAAGTATTCTTTATGAACTAATAAGTGGCCTCACTGAACCTGCCCCTGCCTTGATTTTGATCTTCACAGCCTCCAGAGCTGTGAGAAATAAATTTATGATGTTGATAAGTTACCCAGTCTAAGTTATTTTGTTATAGCAGCCTGAATGGACTAAGACAGTATCATCATTCATCAAAGATTCTCTCTTAATTGCCTGTTTACCTGCAGCAACATTATCATCATTGTTTATCAGCCACAAGGAGGCATCTTAACCTCTAAACATAGTGCTCTGGAAATCAGCTCTGCCTGCCTTTCAGGGTTTCTATGCAACAAAACCTCTCTCACCTTTGTACTTTCTTAGCACAGTCATTCCAAAACAGGGGTAATTGCTGCATGTTTCCAGGTCCTCCCTGAGAACACAGTCAACTATGGAGGATGTGGAGAGATGTCAGCATCACCTAGAACATCAGCCTCCCTCACATCTGGGTTAAAGTAGGCACTTCCCCTGCTTTTAGTGAGTCTTAGCAAGAAAGCAATTTTCTGTCCAATAGCAATGTTTCTCAAAATCTTCCCCCTTAAACTATCCCTTGGGGAAAAGGGAAAGAAATGGACCACTGATATATGCAAGTGTCAGTGCAGCTTCGGAAAGGTAAAATTCATATTTAAATCTTCATGTTTCACCGATAAAAGTCATGTTTCACCCGTATGTTACTACTTACCATATTGTTTATAAAAATGATTTTTAAGTAATGCAGAAACTTTCATTACATAAACTGCAAGAAAAATTGCTGACATTTTATCTTCATGTATTTTCTGACAAGTGTGTCTATCTTTTAGAAATTACAAAACTAAAATGTGAACAAGTTTGAGAGCTAAAAAATCTAGGGGGGACTCTGTTATATGGGAGTCCCTACACTTTTTTGAGCTTTACATAAAAAAGGATCTTACAATAAATATTGGAGAAGAATCGCCTTATACTTCTGGCAGGGAGAGAGGAAAATGGACCATTTTGAAATATAGCAGAGTATTCTGTTTTTCTTAACGAGGACTTCCCTCAGAAGAAACTAACTAACCAGATCTAACCTGCTGGAGTTTATCAGAGCCTAGCTGACCTCAGGGAAAAGAAATGCCCAACTTTGGCTCCCTTCTAGGCATTCTGTTCCACCTAAGAGGAAAAAGGGTGGAACATAATAATCACATATGAAGATCTCTGTTCAGAGGTATAGGTGCACTGAAAGGTTGAAACCTAATTACAGGACTAGAGAATGCATCTCCTCCCACCACAACTTACCATAGCATTACTAAAGGCAGATTTACAGCAGTTAATTATACCCAGAATATCATGTCCAACTATCATGAGAAAATTACAATACACATTAAAAGACAAAAAGGTACAGTTTAAAGAGATAGAACGAGCATCAAAACCAGACTCAGCTATGGCAGGGATATTGAAATTATCAGACCAGGAATTTGAATTTATAATAGTTAATATTCTATGGACTCTAATGGATAAAATAGATAGCATGCAATAACAAATTCACAATCTAAGCAGAGAGATGGAAATAATAAGAAAGAACAAATAAAAAAGGAATGCCAGAGAGCAAAAACAACATAACAAAAATAAAGAATACTTTTATTGGCTTATTAATACAGTACACATGACTAAGGAAAAAAACACTCTGAGCCTAAGAATGTTTCAGTAGAAACTTCCAACACTAGAAGAAAGCAAAAACAAAAAAGTCTGAAAAAAATAAACAATTTTTTTATGGAAGAGGGAGGCAAGATGGCCTACTAGACAAAGCCAGGAGGAACATCTGCCACTGAGAGACCAGGACATCAGGATAACTGGCACACTCTGAGAAGATCTTCAGAGGAAAGGCATTGCAAGTAGATGAAGGGTGGATGCAGATGCTAGACTGAAGTAGGAATGAAGCTAGGAACCCCACAGGGAGCTACCAAGCACCAGGACTCATTCCTGAATGCCAGTGACTCCTATGAAAGAGGTGAGTTGAACAGATGAAGAGTGGTTTGCTTTCACTAGAGACCTCTAGAATCCTAAGAGCAAGAGACCCTGCAACACCCACAGAAACTTGAGCTGGCAGGCAGAACTGCTTAGAGAGGTGTACAGACAGAACTCCAGCCAGTGTGGAGCCCAGAGTGTTTGGTGCAGGAGCACCTGCAGTGCAGCATGGCCTGGGATGCCCATCCCACAAGGCTCACCTTGCTCCCTTAGGAGACTTTAAGCAAACTAAGTTTTATAAGTAAAGTAAAAATAAGATCTTTTTCAGACAAGCAAATGCTAAGGGAATTAGTTACCACTGGGCCTGCCTTACAGTAAGTCCTGAAGACAGTGCTAAATATTGAAAAAAAAAAAAAAAAAAAAGACTGTTGCCAGCTACTACAAAAACACACTTAAGTACATAGACCAGTAACAGTATAAAGAAGCCACACAAACCAAGTCTGCACTGTAACCAGCCAACAACATGGTGATAGGATCAAATCTACACAGATCGATACTAACTTTGAATGTAAATGGCTAAATGCTCCAATTCAAAGGCACAGAGTGGTAAGTTAGATAAAGAAGCAACACTCAACAGTATTCTGTCTTCAAGAGACCCATCTAACATGCAGTGACACCCATAGGCTCAAAATAAAGGGATGGAGAAAAATCTACCAAGCAAACAAAACATGGGAAAAAAGTGGGGTTGCTATTCTAATTTCAAACAAGACACACTTTAAGCCAACAAAGATAAAAAAAGACAAGCAAGGGCATTGCATAATGGTAAAGAGCTCAATTCAACAAGACCTAACTACTTTAAACATACAAGCACCCAATACAGGAGCACCCAGATTCATAAAGTAAATTCTTAGAGATATATGAGGAGACTTAGATAACCACACATAATAGTAGGAGACCTCAACACCCTACTGAGAATATTAAACACATTATGGAAGCAGGAAACTAACAAAGATATTTAGGATCTGAACTCAACACTTGACCAAATAGACCTAATAGACATCTTACGGAACTCTCTACTCCAAAACAACAGAATATACTTCCAAAATCAACCACATAAATTAACATAAAACAATCCTCAGCAAATTCAAAACCACCTGAATCATACCAATCACACTCTTGACCACAATGCAATAAAAATAGAAATCAGTACTAAGAAAATCCCTCAAAACCATACCATTACATGGAAATTAAAAAATCCTGAATGGCTTCTGGGTAATTAATAAAATTAAGGCAGAAATTGAGAGGTTCTCTGAAACTAATAAGAACAAAGATACAACATACTGGAATCTCTGGGAGACAGGTAAAGCTGTTTTAAGAGGGAAGTTTATAGTACTAAATGACCACATCAAAAAGCTAGAAAGATTTCAAATTAACACCCTAACATCACAACTAGAGGAACTAGATAAACAAGAGCAAACCAACCTCAAATCTAGCAAAAGACAAGAAACAACCCAAATTAGAGCTGAAATGAAGGAAATTGAGACATGTAAAATTATACAAAAGATAAAAGAATCCAGAAATTTGTTATTTGAAAGAATTAATAAGATAGACCACCAGCTCGACTAACAAAGAAAAAAAGAGATGAGGTATATAAACAATTAGAGATGACAAAGGGGACATTATCACTGACCCCAGAGAAATACAAAAAAAACCCTCAGAGACTACTCCAAACACTACTGTGCACAGAAGCCAAAAAACCTAGAAGAAATGGATAAATTCCTGGACATTTCTAGTGGGAAGGTAATTTGACCCAGCAAGCCCAATACTGAGTATACACCCAAAGGAATAAATTTTCTACCATAAAGATGTATCCATATGTAGGTTAATTGCAGCACTATTCACAATACCAAAGAAATGGAATTAACCTAAATTCCCATCAGTAGTAGACTGACTCAAGAAAATGTAGTACATATACACCTTAGAATACTATGCAGTTATAAAAAAAAAAGAATGAGATCATCTTTTCAGCAACGTGAATGGAGTTGAAGGCCATTATCCTAAGTGAACTAATACAGAAACAGAAAACCAAACACTGCATGGTCTCAATTATACATGGAGGCTAAACGTTGAGTAAATATGGACACAAAGAAGGAAAAAACAGACATCAGGGGCCACTTGAGGGTATAGGGAGGAAGAAGGGTAAGGCTTGAAAAACTACCCATTTGGTATTATGCTTCTTATCTGGGTGGATAAATTATCTGTACACAGAGTCCCCATGACACACAATTTACCTATATAACAAACAAGCACAGGTACTTCTGAACCCAAAATAAAGTTTAAAAATTAATTAATTAATTAATTTTAAAAAACATACCATCTAGAAACATTAGGACAACTGAAAACTGTGAAATGTAGCTAATGGGAATACCAAAAGGAGAAGAAAGACAGAAAGAAACATGATAAATCTGAAGCAATAATGACTGAGATTTTTTTCCCAAATTGTCAGATACCAAACTACAATTCAGGAAGCTCAGAGAATCCAAGATGAATGTCTGAGAAACTACACCTTAGCATATTATTTTTAAACTACAAAAAGTCAAAAATTTAAAAAAAATATTTGAAAGTCAGAGGGAATAAACACCATATATAGAGAACAGCAAAGGTAAGAATTGTTTCTGATTTTTTTCAGATGCTATGCAATTGTATTAGTTTGTTTTCATGCTGCTACTGATAAAGACATACCCAAAACTGGGCAATTTATAAAAGAAAAGGGCTTATTGGACTTACAATTCCACATGGCTGTGGAGGCCTCACAATCATGGTAGGTGGCAAGGAGGAGCAAGTCACATCTTGCATGGATGGCAGCAGTCAAAAAGAGCTTGTGCAGGGATCTCAATTTTTAAAATCATCATATCTCAGGATGCTCTCATATCATCATGAGAACAGCACAGTTAAGACCTGCCCCCATAATGCAATTATCTCTCACTGGGTCCCTCCCACAACACAAGGGACTTATGGGAGCTACAAGATGAGATTTGGCTGGAGACACAGAGCCAAACCATATCATTCTGTCCCTGGGCCCTCCCAAATCTTATATCTTCAAATTTCAAAACCAATCATGCCTTCCCAACAGTCCCTCAACATCTCAACTCATTTTGACATTAGCTCAAAAGTCCACATTCCAAAGTCTCATCTGAGACAAGGCAAGTCACTTCCACCTATGAGCCTGTAAAATCAAAAGCAAGTTAGTTACTTCCTAGACACAATGGGGGTACAGGCATTGGGTAAATGCAGCCATTCAAAATGGGAGAAATTAGCCAAAACAAAGGGGCTGCAGGCCCCATGCAAGTACAAAATCCAGCAGGCCTGGATTCAAATCCTAAAGCTCCAAAATGATCTCCTTTGACTCCATGTGTTGGGAACAGGCCCAAAACTCGCCATAAACAAAATCTCTGCAGCACTGCAACATGTTCATGATGGCCATAACGCCCACGCTGGAAGGCTGTGGGTTTACTGGAATGAAGGCAAGGAATAGCTGGCCCACCCAGGGCAGAAAACCACTTAAAGTTGTTCTTAAATGACAAACAATAGCATGAGCGATCTGTGCCTGACGGTATGTTCCTGCTGCAGATAACTAGACAGACCCACCCCTTTATTTTGGCCCATCCCTTCATTTCCCATAAGGGATACTTTTAGTTAAACCCATTTCCCATAAGAGACACTTTTAGCTAATCAAATATCTACAGAAACAATGCTAGTGTCTGGCTTGCTGTTAATAAATACATGGGTAAATCTCTGTTCGGGGCTCTCAGCTCTGAAGGCTGTGATACCCCTGATTTCCCACTTCACACCTCTATATTTCTGTGTGTGTGTGTTTAATTCCTCTAGTGTCGCTGAGTTAGGGTCTCCCCAACTGAGCTGGTCTCGGCAAGTGGCGTCCATTATGGGGGCTCAAATCCAGGTCGAAGGGTGGCTAGAGTGACGGTTGGAGAATGTGCAACTAGCTGGACACCCAAGTACTCTTAAAGCAATCCCCGTGGTGAGTAAGAAGGGGATCTTGGAAGCATCAGGGTAGCAATGGGACAATCGTGGGCTCTGGTTCATTCCACCTTGGAACTTTTTCACACTGATGAGGAGGAGGAGGGAGAGTATAACGAAGTAACAGAAGAGGTTACAGAGCAGGTTTATTTGCCAGCTAAAACTAAAGTGGCAAAGGAGGGAGAGGCTCATCCCTACCCTTCTGCACCCCCTCATTATTATTTTGAAGATAAAGACCCTCCAGATCTTTCTTTTCTGGAGGACACTGGGTGAAAAGTAGTTGCCCTAGTGACTTTAGGCATAAATGAGGTCGAACTCCTGACCTCAAGTGATTTACCTGCCTTGGCCTCTCAAAGTGCTGAGATTACAGGCATGAGCCACCGCACCCGGCCACTTCTACCATTTTTAGTAAATTTCTCTAATTAGATAAATTTTAAACTATTACCATTTAAATTTCCTGTTTGAAGTATTTCCCATTCATATGGCTTGCTACTTTTTTAAACTATGATTTTGTCTTTTAACTTGGAAGGAGTGTTTCTGTTATGTGGCAGCTATTTGTCTTGATTTGTCTATTGTTTTAAATCTTTAATGATAAAAGATTGTTGAATATTTAAAAATGAATTAAGTCACCTATTTCTACTCATGTTTCGGTGCTATTGCCTGCTTAGAAAATCTTCCATTACCATCTTACAATATAGGAAGCTCAATTTTCTTCTAGAACTTTTATGCTTTAACATGTAACATTTAAATATTTAATCAATCTCTAACACTGGTTTCCTCACCTTGCACCTGCATCAGTTATCCTCATTCTTTCAAGTCTTTGTCAGTCTTAATATTTTCACTTGCACTTCTGAGGCACAGCATCCCTCCTTAAAGGAGAACCACACTTTATCAGAGAAGGCTCTGAAAATCACCCACTGAAATATGGGGCAGATTAACGAGGTGTTAAACAGAGATGAAAACACTTGGATCGGGTAAAAGGAGGATCAGAGGAGTCACAAAATCTAAGGAGCTTGAGATTGCTCTTTAACCCATTTATGCCTAAAGTCCCATTATTGGGATGCTAAGCTTGTGGGAGTTGTTTTTATCCTACTGTTCAAGGTCATGGGCCAAGGTCTAATTTTTCACACATACAAAAATTGCAAACCCCAGGATAATTAGGGAGGAGAGGACCTCTGGAAGAAATGAGCAAAAGAAAGGAACTTACAGCAGCTTCTCTCCCAAGAAAACTATATTCACAGAGTCACCGGCCATGAAAGGCATGGTGCAAGGGAGATGGGAGGAGCTCTGCTTTCTGAGTTGTTGAGTTTCTAGATTGCTGAGTGTGGGGTGTGAAAGCATGAGGGGAAAGATAAAGAGAACTATGAGACCAGCTTATAGGGAATCTTAAATGCATAATTAACTATTTCAGCTCATTTTATAGCCCAAGGACAACTACTGAAGGATTGCATATAGAAGATGATTCTTGCTGCAGGAAGCAAGACTAGTGGTGCAAAACCTGACTTTAACATGAGAGGACGATGAATTCACAGCTTCCACATCACTAATTCTTTAAATCTGCACATGACAGTCTGAACTGCAACTGGCATTAAAGAAGAGGACATATTTCCTCCCTAAAATGAGACGTGATCTCCCAGAAGAAAGATATGCATAAAAGACAACAGTGCAAGGTCACCTGAAATTGGTGCCAAAAATGAGACATGCAACCAGTCACAGGGGCTGAGAGAACAAGGAATCTTCTGCTCAAGAAAATAAAGAAAGAATTCAGGGAAAGGGAGTAATGAGTGCATGAAAGAGATTATTTCAAAGAGGTTGATGAATAGATGATAGAAAGATAATATATCAGATACAAATTAGATAATATATTTAATACATATCAGATATATCTAATGTATACATTAGATATATATAATGTACCTAATGTAATATAATATTTAATACATATGGATGTTATAACCACATATAATTTCTGTGGATGTCATAGAAGTTAGATAGACAAGAGGAAAAAAGTTATAGAGGAAAGAAAGCTTATGACACATTTTAACAATCACCAGTTTTTATCTCAACTGGAATAGTGGGGACTAAATAGATAAATTAAAAGGAGTCTGTAAATGGCCTTAACAGCCCAATTAAGAAAACCTAGCTCAATAACCACATGACCTAAGGGCCTCCCTCCCCTCTATTCAGAGGTCAGTCCTTTCCAGGTCATAAATGGGAAGAAGGAAGAGTGTATTGTATGATGCTCCAGAGATATCGCCTCTGCTCCTGCTCCTCACGTCCACAGCCCCTCCCGCCCACTCTGGGTCTCCTGCTCCTCAGGTCTACAGCCCCTCCCGCCCTCTCTGGCCCCGCCCTCTCTGGGTCACTGCCCTCCTCCCTGGTGCTGCTGCTGCTCAGGAAGCTGCTCCTCAGCATAGATAAAGGTAGAGAGGCCTCACCTGTCCCCACCATTCTTCCTTTACTGCCTGTAGCACCACCCGCCCAAGGCTTTACATGTGGGCTAGCATTCATGGAAGTCTGGGGTCCAATTGACCCAGAACAATTCCCAGGTTCCGAGGAGATGATTTCAAGAAGCCAAGCCCTTTCAAGGCATTTTCCTTGAGGGTCAGCTCAAGTTCTACTAGTTTCTCTTGTTCACATGTCCATAGCTATCTGAGAAAGGACACCCGCTCAAACCTCTAATGGGCCAATCTTTACCCACCTCTCTGGGAATGGCACTTAAAACTCATGGGGGTGGCTTTGCTCATGAACCATCTCCTCTCAGAAAAGTCCATGTCAATATCTTTGGCGTCCCTGGTACCACGAATGTTCGGGTCTTAATGCTCTCCAATTCCAGCGGCAGAGCCCACGGTTGCACAGACAATCCATGAAACAGGTGGAGCCACTGCAGGTTTCTAACCAGAGAAGGGGCATGATCCAATTGGTATCAAACAGAAGAATTTTCCAGTTGCAGTGTGCGTCACCGGCTATCAGGAAGGTGTTTTGGAATGAAGCAATTTAGGAGACCGTAACCATGGAGCAGAAATAGAATGAGCACCAGGGGGTCCATCTGGAATTCGGTAGGCTCACTGGAGCTACAGGTGTTGGTATTGAGAGTCGTGTCACGAAGACCACCCAGCTCACTGTTGGGGGCAGGAACCACTCACCTATGCATGAAGATTTATCTTGCACAGACACTGGCTGCTGACCCAACCCCGCTGCAGCCTCCCTGCCACCTGAGGACCACTGGCCCAGCCCAGGCAAAGGCCTTGGGCCCCACTCCCGTCTGCTGTACCTGCAAAAGTTCTTCATCCCAGCGATACTTGGTGTCTTGTGCTCATACCTTCCTAGCATTGCTAAAGGTGGCTGTTTCATGAGCCTAATGCATCTCTTCACCAGTGTAAGAACACAGGCACCATTTCTGGCTTATCTGGACCTGAATACTCCACTCACCTGTTAGAGATAATGACACGGCCAGATAATAAGTGAGGTTAGTAAGCCTTACTTCTTCTGTCATGCCTGGACAACCGCTCTGCCCAATGTTTTTCTTCTCTATTTTTTTTTTATTTAAAAAATCTTCATATCTAGGGGACACAATCATAGCATTTGAGCAGTGTGAAAAATCTTGAAATTCTCTTGTTTTGTTTTTAAACATCTGTTTTGAATGTGGCCTTTGGGAGCCAAGGACACGTATCACACAGGGACCTTCTGTGAGAGAAGCCTCATCTGTTTGATCCATTTTGGCCTTTTGTTTGCAAGAATCTAAATAACATTCTAAGAAAATAAGTTTTTCAAAAGTCATGATTTCTTATTTGTCAACTAAGGGACATAACTAGCATTTTCTTGTGGGTAGAACTGCATATGAGCAAGAAGCAATAACTTAATGCTACCCTGGAAATCACAGAGCTTGAGGCTTGGTTACCATGGAGATACTACCCGCCTCTCACCTGCGGCACATTTGTGACAATGAAAATGAACTGTTGCTTTTGTACTTTGGTCCTTGGGTAGACACCGTCACAGAGAGCCAGTGCTCTTGAATTTACACAGAAAATCCATATGAGGATAAAGCATTCCCTTGCTGGGCATTACCCTCAGAGATTTTGGTTTACTTAGTTTCTGGGCCCTGAAAAACTGAAATATTTTCTAAAGCTTCCCAGGTGACAATAAAGTCCATCCAGGGTTATAACTTTCTGACTTAATGGGAGATAGGTACTTAATGTCAAGCAATTGTTCCAAAGGCTTTTCTTTTAAATCAGTCCCCAAACTAATTTTGAAAATAAGGCAGGGAAATTCTGATTTGGGGAAGATGGAGTAGACATACTTTTTTTCTATTTCTCTAGCTGAGTACAACTGAAAACTCCAGACAATGTGCATCAACAAACATGGAAAGACTTTGAGGACAGCACAGCTAGTGAGCATTGGCACCAAGGGAAGACACAGTGATGAGTTCCCTGGGTTGTTTTTTTATTGTTTTTTTGTTTTTGTTTTTTTGTTTTGTTTTGTTTTTGTCTCATAAATTCAAGACTGGGACATAGAGAAGCCAGCATTCAAGAAACAAAAATAGGCATAGAAACAAAAAGCCCCAAATAAAGCCTGCTCTCTCCAACCGAAGGACCATGAAAGGGGTAGCTTCGTAGGACTGAAAACTCTTAGATGGTAATTACTCTACTATGAACACCACAGGAAAATACTGCAGCCCTACACCCACCTTCTCCAGCAAAGGCCTAGACTTCCACCCTTGCTGGGCTATAACGACGAGCCCCAGACCAGGGCAGGGAATATCAGAGAAGGCTGAGTGGAGGTTTTCATCTCTGCCAAACAGTAAGGGATTCCCCTATGGTGGAACAAGAGGCCATGGGGGAACCAGAACTTCCACTATTACCTGATGGTACCAAGGTGGCTTCTTCTCCTCACTGACATGGTGTTAAAGAAGGCTGCCTGGGAAGTCCATCGATGGTGATGGGGCCGTGCACCCCTACAGTCAGTGGAAGCTGTATGTGAAGTGATAATGAGGCACCTCTTCTACTTCCCAGCCAGCAGAGACTTGGCAGGAAGACTGGACTCCTACTCTTATCCCCTACAGGCCTCTCTTTCCTCACCATTCATCATGGCAACAGAAGCCAAGTGGAAAACCTGTATTTCCAGCCACAGCAGGCAGCATTGAGAAGGTACTGCTATCCCTGTTGAAGTGGTATCAGAGAAGATCTACTAAAACACACTTTAAATAAGAACTAGAGTCTTACAACATAATACCCAAAATATTCATAGTTCATTGAAAGTTATCTCATGAAAAGGACCAGGAAGAACTAAACGTGAATATAAAAAAAAAAATCAGACACAAACATTGGGATAACATAGATGTTAGCACTATCTGACAAGGATTGTAAACCAGCCAATAAGAAAATGTTTCTATATATATATATATGTGTGTGTGTGTGTGTATATATAAATATATATATATTTATTATACTTTACTGGGTATATACCCAAAGGAAAATGTTTCAAAAAGCAATGACAAATATGCTTGAAACCAATGATAATATTAAAAGCCAAAGGAAAAAAAATTGAAGATATAAAGAAAAACATAGAAAAATTTTAGACATAAAATTCAATATGACAAACTTTTTTTTTTAATGGATGGGATTGATGGCAGAATGGAGAGAACAGAGGAAATAGTTATGCACTTGAGCATAGAGCAATAGAAAGTACCCAGTTTGAGTGGAAGAGAAAAAATAGACTGGAAAAAAACTAGCAGAGCCTCAGGAACATGTGAGACTATAACTAAATCTCTAACACTCATGTCACTGGAGCTTCAGAAGCAGAGGAGAAGAGGGAGTGGAGGTGAAAAGTATTTTTTAAAGGCTATATTTTCCCAATTTTGGCAAAAGGAAAACATCCATAGACTTAAGAAGCTAAGTGAATCCCAAAAATAATAAATAATTGTAAAAATGCATACCAGGACACATTACAATCAAACTTCTGAAAACTAAAGAAAATCTTAAAAGCAAAATCATACAATGATTCATTTTTCACTAAATGACAGCAGCCTTTTAATCAAAAAACATGGATGCCAGAAGAAAGCAGTACTTTGTTCAAGTGTTGAAATCAAATGACTGTCAATTCAGGATTTAATATCCAACAAAACATACTGTACCTCAGGAATTAAGATGAATTCAAGATATTTTTAGATGAAGGAATTTGTTACCAGCATAGTTTTTCTAAAATAATGACTAAAAGAATTTATCTAAGAAGAAAGGAAATTGTAAAAGAATAAGTCATAGAAAATTGGGAGAAAAGAAAGAAAACAGTAAAAATAAAAGATGAGAAATGTAAAATGTTCAGGTATTACACAAGAAGGCAGGACAAAATAGAAAAATAATAAACAGAATAAACAGAAAAATAAAATGTTAGACTTAAACCGTAACATAATCATTATATAAAATATTAATACTTTTATTAAATTGTATTACACATAAATGGTCTAACTACATTAATTCAGAGACAAAGTTTAGAAGCATGGATTAAAAATATGACATAACTATATGCTATCTATAAGATACTACCTCTAATATAAGAATACATGTAGGTTGAAAGTAAAAAAAAATGGAAAAAGATATGCCATGTAAACAAAAATGAAAAGAAACTGTAAGTGGATAAGTTAATATAAAGTAGACTTCAGAGCAAAGAAAATTATAAGGACAGAGAGGAACATTATATAATGATTAAAGGATCAATTCATCAAGAAGACATAGCAATTCTAAATGTTTATGCACCAACATTAGAGTTACAAAATGTATAAAGCAAACACCAATAGAATTAGAAGTAGAAAAATACAAATGCACAATCATAGTTGGAGATTTCAACACTCTTTTCTCAACAATTGATAGAGCAACTAGACCAAAAATCAGCAATTATACAGAAGAATTTAACATCATTTATCAAAAGGATCTAATCAACATTTAGAGGACATTCTACCCCAAAACAGTAGAATACACATTCTTTTCAAATGCCTATGAAACATATGCTAAGAGACCATAATATAGGTCATAATACAACCCTTAACAAATTCAGAAGAGTTAAATCATACAGAGGGTATTCTGTAACCACAATAGAATCAAACTAGAAATTAACAATAGAAAGAAAGAAAAATCTCCAAACACTAGGAAACTAAAGAACACTTTTGTTTTTGTTTTTGAAACAAAGACTAGCTCTGTGTCCCAGGTTGGAACACAGTGGCAGGATCATAGCTCACTGCAGCCTCAAACTCCCTAGCTCAAAAGATCCTCCCACCTCAGCCTCCTGAGTAGCTGAGACTACAGGTGCATGCCACTATGCCCAGCTAATTTTCTTGTTATTTTTTTGTTTTTATTTTTATTTTTATGTTTTGAGATGGAGTTTCATTCTTGTTGTCCAGAGTGCCATGGCGCAATCTTGGCTCACCACAACCTCCACCTCCTGGGTTCAAGAGATTCTCCTTCCTCAGCCTCCCAAGTAGCTGGGATTACAGGCATGCGCCACCATGCCCAGCTAATTTTGTATTTTTAGTAGAGACGAGGTTTCTCCGTGTTGGTCAGGCTGGTCTCGAACTCCCGACCTCAGGTGATCTGCCCACCTCAGCCTCCCAGAGTGCTGGTATTACAGGCGTGAGCCCCTCCAACTGGCCTCTTTTTACTTTTTTTATAGAGATAGCGTCTTGCTATGTTGCCCAGGCTAGTCTTGAACTCTTGGGTTCAAGCATTCCTTCCACCTCAGCCTCCAAAAATGTTGAGATTACAGGCATGAGTTACCAAAGCCCAGCCAGAACATATTGCTATATAATTCACAGATGGTAAAGAAAGATGCAAAAGAAATCAGAAAACACATTGAACTGAATGAAAGTAAAAATATAACATATTAAAACTAGTGAGAAACAGCTAAGGCAGTGCTGAGAGAAAAATTTATACTACTAAATCTTACATCAGAAAATAAAAAAAGTCTTCAGTTATCTAATTTTCCACTTCGAGAAACAGGAAAAAGAATAGAATAAACCCAAAGCAAGCATAAGGAAGAAGCAATAAAGATAAAAGAAATCAATGCAATCTCAGAGAAGCAATAAAGGAATTCAGTGAAACAAAAAACTAATTTCTAACAGATTAATACAATTAACCCTCTAGCAAGGTTGACAATGAAAAATATAGAGAAGACACAAATTAACAATATCAAGAATGAAACAGCAGAAATCATTGCAGACTCTGAAGACCCTTGGAGGGTAACAAAAGAATGCTATGAACAACTCTACCTACATAAATTTGACAACTTAGATGAAATGTTCTAATTCTTTAAAAAAGCTACTATAACTCAAGGAATAGAAAATAATTTGAATTGCCCTATAACTAGTATGAAATCTAAATTCATAATTTTAAATTTCTCCTCCCAAAAAGAAAGGTCCAGATTCTAATAGTTTCACTAGAGAATTTTACCAAATGTTTAAGAATGAACCCACATCCTACACAATCTCTTCCAGAAAATAGAAGAGGGAACACTACCCAACTCATCTCTGTGAAGCCAGAAATACCTTTATACTAAAACCAAAGAGAGTACCATAAAGGAATAGTACACATCAACATCAGTCCCCCTTGTGGATATAGATGCAAACAATAGCTGAACGAATGTAGCAACATATAAAGGGAATTACATACCATAAATAAGTGGGATTTACTCCAGGTGTTCAAGAGAGGTTTATTACTCAAAAATCGATCATGAAGCAGAATGCCTAGAGATGCGTCAGAGCCGGGAGGAGTTAATGATTTCACCAGAAGCCCTGAAATTTTAGGACAAACCAGATGGTCCAAGCATCTAATCACTCACAAATTTTCAACTTGTAAACTGAAAGGGTTAAACTGGGTTATTGTTAGGTTCCCTGCCAATATGCAGTTTGGGTTATCTGTGTGACTGTCATTAGAGACTTCATAAACATGCATCTTCTCCACCCTCTTCCCAGCAGATGACAGGGCTGAACTTTTTCTCCCCTTTTAAAAGTGGATGTGGCACGTAACTTGCTGTGGCCATTGATATGTGAATGGACAAGGAATATTTTCCTATAGGTTACAAGCTTTCAGAACCAATGCATGACTTGCCCCATTTCCTCTTACACACTGTGGGAACTGTGAAAACATGCACTGTGTTGAAGCTTTCATCAGTGTGAACCTTGAAAAACTATGAATGGCCGAGGATCCCTGCCATCCCACCTTGGAAAAGTAGTATGAGTTAGAAATTAACTTAGTTATCTTTAGCCACTGAGATTTTTAGGATTATTCATTACTTTAGTAAAACAGTGAATTCTGACTGATATCTTATAACCCAACTTCTGAAACTGAAAATATTTAGTGCTGACTGAGAGGGATTTGGGATAATATATGATGAGAATTATGATTATGAGAGGGTAAATATTTTATTTATTAAAAATTAAATAGGTTTTTAATGTGTGGCAACTATAAAAATGTATTTATGACTTCACTTGGTCCCTGAGATTTACAGATTTCAGTGTGTTCCTAAATTTTCTGACTCTGAGTCTGAGAACTGACAATATTACCTTATTTTGGAAATATGTCTCTAAAATGACAGCAGACAAAGCTGTAGTGAGAGCTAATTTTGCAACTCAGTGGTCAGTGAATCAGACTTCAAGGAGAGACTGCAAGGAGGAGAAGGTTCACAGAAATATAATAAAGTCAATTTTCACCTTTGGGATTATTTTATTAGGTTTAGCGTTCTATTCTTGAGATTTGTTATTAGCCAATGCTTATGGCAATGAATGAGTTAGATAACATTCAATGAGAAAATATGCAAAAAATTACGTGAAGAATTAAAATATCAAGATTATTTAGCACAGCATTTTGCTAATGGAAATACATGACTAATAAAAATAATTATCGGCCGGGCGCAGTGGCTCACGCCTGTAATCCCAGCACTTTGGGAGGCCGAGGCGGGTGGATCACGAGGTCAGGAGATCGAGACCATCCTGGCTAACAGGGTGAAACCCCGTCTCTACTAAAAAATACAAAAGCATTAGCTGGGCATGGTCGCGGGCGCCTGTAGTCCCAGCTACTCGGGAGGCTGAGGCGGGAGAATGGCCTGAACCCGGGAGGCAGAGCTTGCAGTGAGCCAAGATAGCGCCACTGCACTCCAGCCTGGGCAACAGAGAGAGACTCTATCTTAAAAAAAAAACAGGCCGGGCGCGGTGGCTCACGCCTGTAATCCCAGCACTTTGGGAGGCCGAGGCGGGCGGATCACGAGGTCAGGAGATCGAGATCATCCTGGCTAACACGGTGAAACCCCGTCTCTACTAAAAATACAAAAAATTAGCCGGGCGTGGTAGCGGGCGCCTGTAGTCCCAGCTACTCGGGAGGCTGAGGCAGGAGAATGGCGTGAACCCGGGAGGCGGAGCTTGCAGTGAGCCGAGATCGCGCCACTGCACTCCAGCCTGGGCGACAGAGCGAGACTCCGTCTCAAAAAAAAAAAAAAAAAAAAAAAAAAACAAAACAAAAAACAAACAAAAAAAATTATCACATAACAGAGAGATCTATCTAAGACTCTAAATTTAAGCCAAGAGATATAACATATCCACCAAAGAGACAGAAATAATCTAAGAGAAAAAAGTGAGACACTGTTTCTAAATAGTTTCTGAACAGTTTCTGAAATTGTAGGAATCTAACTGGGAAGAAACTTTAACTTTTTGTAAATGGAGAATCAAAGCCTCCCTAAGCATGTCTCCTGGCTACTGTCATCCTGGCCTGACTTGAATCAAAATCACAAGTGTCCTGTGTCTAGATAAGTCTTTCGATCAAAGCTCTACCTAGTGTTCTTGTCATTTCTGGTATGATTTCTTATATTTTTGCCCCTGGTTCATGCGTTATAAAGCAGGATATTGAAACGCTAATAAGTCTTTGGCTGAACTTTAGAATCACAGCAGTGACAGCAGCAAACATACCCTCCTTTGTTCTCTTTCTTGTGCTGAAGATACTGAAATATTCTTATCTGCCAGAGCCAAATCAGAGCCCTAACTTACCTGATAGCTGGAACTGCATCTTTCTTTTTTTATTATTCTTAACAGTGTGTACTTGTATTGAAGCATTACATGATAAAATAGATGGAAAAACACTCTTTGATATTCTTGAGAAAGATTTAGGAGCAAAAGTAATAGTCACTGAGGATGTAAAGTTTAAAGCAATAGTGAACAAGATAGGAAACATGAACACAATTAGGAGATATTGGTAGGATCTTGAAGGCTGAAGTTCAAATACAGTTTCTTGCACAAGGACAGCTGGATGTAGAGTCTCAATCCTTTAGTGGAAGTCTGACATAACCACTATCGGATTGTTGTTCAATCATTAATATCTTGGCGAAAACCCAAGTGGAACGTCTGCAGAAAAGTCTGGTCAAGGCTATTTCACACATTTGTTACAGATGCCCAGGCATGTCTTCATTTTGGTATGTCGTTCTTCTGTCCATACAAGCCACATGTTGAAAATACGTTGGGTCTTGATGCTTATCCAGACCTTCTACGTGCTAGGACTTAGGATAGAAAAATCAGCAAGGCATGGCTCTTACTTATAGCTTACTACTAAGAAACAAAACAGTTTACCATTAAAAACAAATTACTTATAGTTTGCCATTAAAAGCAAATTCCTTCTCTCTTTTGATAGCTTAGCAGAGTTCAGCATGTAAGAAATTTCTCAACAAAAGAACAGGCTATCAGACACTGTTCACCCTTCCTGAAAAAGCCACTTCTCAAACTAGGCATTGTCTACTAGTAATAGTCAAACAAGTGTTCCCTGTTTTCGACCCTATATATTTGAAGAGTAACAAAGGGATGGAGGTGTTGTGTACTGGCAGGCTGGCCACCACAGGGTATGAGGACTAAGAGGTGGGATGGTGAGAGCCCATAGATGTGCTGTATTAGTTTTCAGCTCCTACGGTCTTCCCCAGTAAATCCCATGTTCTAGCATCACTATGTGCTAGTGGTGTCTGACAGTAATCCCTATGCAAACTCAGGAGGGACACAGAGAAGTAAACAACCAACCCAGGGGGTGTTAAGGTAAAGAAAAAGCAATATTCTCCTTTTATTGCACAATGAAAACAAAACACTGATTTCATCTGCAATCTATGAGATGATTTCATGGAAGTTATGGTCATTAGGCTGAGCCCTGAAGGACAAGCAGAACTGGATAGAGGCAGAGAGAAGACATTGGGGTTGACGACAGGGGTTTGAGAAGGGTGCCGTGTGCCTTGTTGGTACTGTGGTCTGAATGTGTCCCCCTAATATAACCCATGTTAAAACTTAATCTCCAATGTAATAATATTAACAGATGAGACCTTTAGGAGGTGATTAAGTCATGAGGGTGGAGCCCAAGGGAGTGGGATTAGTGACCTTATAAAAGAGGTACAAAGGAGCTATTTATCCCTTCTATCTTTTTTGCCATGTGAGAAGACCTAGACAGCACCATCTATGAGGAATGGGTCTTCACCAGACATCAAATCTGCCAGTGCCTTTATCTTGGACTTCCCAACCCCTCTGGAACAGTTAAAAATAAATTTCTATTTTTTGTAAATTACCCAGTCTAGGGCATTTTATTATAGCCACACGAACGGACTAATACAGGTAGTGAGAAACCTGGTGGAGCTGGGATGTACGTGTTTTTAGTAGACTGGCTCTTTGCAGAGATCCAAGGGCATGGGAAATAAAACCTACATTGGTTTTTACCACAGCCCTCCTGGGAATACTCATGTCAATAGGACAGTTATCAATAGGGAATCCAGAACAGCTGAAATACATCTGAAATCTGTTGGAATATTTTTTCACTTCATAATGGTTTTCCACCTCTCCTTTAAAGTATTGCTTCCTTTAAAGGGGGGCAGCCTTGAGCTCCTGAATATTGCAATCACTCTGTTAAACATATATTTACTTCAATGGACACACTTTACTAGACATTCTCATAGTTTTGTTTAGTATTCAATGATATTAGATAGATCCTACTTCTCTTATAACAATTGGCTTTGTAAAGTCTAGGGTTTGAATTTGTTGATAAAGTATGTCTAAAGTCATTAGCATCAAGGGAGAAAGATTAGTTTCCTTTAGAATTTCTAAGAAAACACCTGTGTTCAGACACTACATAAAATACATCATTTCTCTGTGACATTGCATACTACAAAATTGTAAAGTAAGTCTTATTGATGTCACTGTTAGCAGTATAAATAAAGGGAAAAAAATGTTAAAAGTTATCCAATTACTTCATTGTAGCTTTTTCTCAAAAATGCACATACTGTTAACATAAGTTAGAATTGTAAATTTCAAGAAAAATTCTAGAAGTCAGGTGTTGACAGCTGTAGGTGTCTGAAAATGAAAATCTTAAAGACTGAGGTCAGGTCAATAATACAAATTTTATAGGAGAACACAATTTGAAATATTTTAATTTCTGTAGATAGGGCATGAGTTGGTTAGAAAAAGTGGGGGCAGGCTTATCACATTAAATTAAAAACGTGTGTAATGTTCTTTGTCACACTCATTTCAACTGCTTTAATTTTTTAAATACACAGCTGACTTTGACCTTCCCAAATATCCATTTTCAGAAGTTGGGGTAACTAGTTTTTCTAAATGGGCACTGGTAGGGCAAGGGGTAAGCATTATAATGTTCACCACAAATTTCTGTAATCAATTTTCAACCTAGAATTATTCATACAGCTTTTTTTCACATGAAGATTTAAAAAAGGACATTTTAGACAGCAAAAGCAAAAGCAATGCATTGCCAGCAACCTGTATCAAAAAAGTTAAAGAAATTTCTTCAGGTTGAAGGATAATAACACTTTATGGAAATTCGCATCTATACGAAGGAAGGTAGAACCATGGAAATAGTAGTTACATAAGTAAATGTATCAGAATTTGAAACATTTATTTTAAAGCTCAATAATCTATTCTTAAACTTTTTAATCTTAAGATACCTTTAACTCGTAGAAACCTTTTGGAATCCACAGAGGTTCACAAAGAGCTTTTTTTAATATATAAGTTATAGCTGCTAATACATTTAACATATTAGAAATGAAAACGGAGAAATATATATATTAAAGATAACAAGAATTCCATACATGTTTTAAAAATCTTTTTAAATAAATATAACTGTGTTTTTAAAACAAAAAAAAATTACTAGCAAAAAAGTGACACCGTATATCTTTGCAAATTTCTTTAATGTCTGACTTAAGAGGGGACAGTTAGATTCTCCTATTTTTGCATTCAATCTGTTACAATACCATATGTTATGTAGCCTCTGAAAATGCAAATATATGCTATGATAGCATGAAAGTAAAAATGTAAATAAGGTATTCTGAAAATAGTTTCAATCTCATAAACAGCGGAAAAGAGTTTTAGGGGTTTTAGGGATTTCAAGTATCACAATATAAAAAAATTATTTTAGATAAAAATAAAGAAGCAACAACAATAATGATAATATACTTTGGAGTTTAAAGCATACGTAGAAGGACAAAAGGCATATAGAATGGGAAGGAGGAAATTGAAGTACAATTTTGCAAGGTCATTACACTCTGCCAAAGCATTATAATACAATTTAAAAGTTAACCACCATAAGTCAAAAGTGTATATTAAAACTCTAAGACAGTCATACCAAAAAGAGTAAAAAATGAAGAGAGTTATAGCTAATAAACCAAGAGGGAAGATAAAAATGGAATACCCAAAAGCTAATTACTTGATCCCCAAAAAGGTAAAAAAAAAAAAAAAAGTGAAAAAAAGAAACAATAAAGAGATAGGGTACATAGAAAATAAATGGCAAGAAAGAGGTTAAACCCCAAAATAGTAGAAATTACATTAAATAAAAATTATGTTAAAAGTCCAGTTTAAAATAAACATAGTACGTCAGAATTTTTGTAAAAAGCAAGGTATTAAAACAATATTTTGAGTATAAGAGATAAGTGTTATACAAAAACACAGCGAAAGTATACCAAAAAAAGATGTATATACCATTGTAAATACTAATTATAACAAAATCCAAAAGATATACTGAGATTGAATAACATTTTCAAGACAACTATAAAAGATATTTAAGTAATGATAAAAGTTAATAAATCAAGAAGATTAAATGCTGTATATTTATAGATGTATATCTATTGTAGAGCTTTCACATACATGAAGAAAAAACTATGTCAAATAAAAGTAAAAAGATACAAGTCTACAATGGTAGTGGTAGATTTTAACAGTTTATCTCAAGTGTCATTATACGTTAGAACAATAAAAGCAATAAGGATTGAAAACATTTGAATAACCCAGTAACACTATCAACTAAAGTGACCTAATTGACCCTTATGAAACACTTTTACCCCAAAAGAACAGAATATGTATTTAAGTGCAAGAGTAACTATAACAGTGTTTTTAATAAATTTGAAAGATTGAAATTACATAGTATATGCTCTGTGACCAAACACCACCTAAATTAGGATTCACCAAAACTATCTGAAAAGTTTCCCAAATATTTGCTAATTGAAGAACAGAATTCCAAATTACACATGGGTCAAACAATAAATCACAAGGAACATTAGAAATGTTTTAATAAATGAAAAATAAATTAATACATATTAACTGTATGGAATGCAGCTGGAGCAGAACTTAGAAGAAAATAATATTTTTATCTCCTTATATGAATAACAATAAAAGATTTAAATCACTGACCTAAGTTTATATTTTAAGAATCTAAAAGAAGAACAGTACAATGTGAAGTAAGTAGAAAGAAGAAAATTGTAAATATGAGAGCAGAACAAAATAGAAAATAAGCAGTAAAGAACAATAAATAAGTCCTGGATTGGCAAGTAGGCAGCTCGCAGGTAAAAACCCTGCGAGTTTAGGTTTTTACCCCATTCCAACAGGTAAAAACCTAAACAAATGGAAAAATCAACTCTTCTTAGATCCATCTTAGAAGTGAGGTAACAGGGCAAGTGCTGCCCCTAATATTGTAGAGACAGAAAGATGAATACAGAGAATCAAAACTTTCCATATCAGAAGTTCATGAACAGAAACCTCTACAGGAGCTAGTACTGGCTTAGAAATACCCAAACTATAATTGACAAATTGCTGGAGATTCAGAATGAGCAAGGCTGAGACGAGGAAACAGTCAGAGGGGCCTCCCACATTTTTATGAGTTTTATTTCCAAGACCTCTGCCATGGTTCTCACCACGAAAATCAGAGAAAAACCCCCTCCTGTTACAGGCAGGGGAGAAAGCCAAGGAACCGTTGTGCCATGGTGCAGGGCATTCTTTTCTATTTAACAAGGCCAGCCTTCAAAAGAAACTATTGTAGGCACAGCCTCATCTATTGTGGTTTTATCAGAGACTGACTGGCCTAGGGTAAGGTAAATACCCAACTCTACCTCCTTGTAGCCAACCTGTACCCTCTAAGGGAGAAAAAAAAAAAAAAAAAAAAAAACTCTGAACAGCACTTTTGAAGTTCATAGCCGAGGGGCATAGGCTCACTAAAAGACCGGGAACTAATGATGAAACTATAAAAAGATTCCCTCATACTTTACCATTACATTATTCAAAACCTATTTGCCACAGTTCCTTTTACACAGTTTATTATGTCTGCTTTTACATGAAAAACTACAAGGCATACTGAAAGAGAGGGGGAAAAACACTGTTTGAAGAGGCAGAACAAGCATCAGAACCAGAACCAGATATAAAATGAACAGTGGAATTGTCAGATGATGAATTTAAAACAACTATGATTAATATTCTGAGGTCTTCTAATGGGTAAAGCAGACAGCAAAAACAGAAGGGTAATGTAAGCAAAGAGATGAAAATACTAAGAAAGAACCAAAAAGAAATGCTAGAGATGAGAAACACTGTAACAGAAATAAAGAATACCTTTCATGTGCCCACTGGTAGACTGGATACAGCTAAGAAAATAATCTCTTCGCTTTGTGATATGTTAATAAAGCCTACAAAACTGACAATCAAAGAGAAAAAAAAAGCTGAATAAAATGGGCCAAAATAAAATTCCAGAAAGAGAAGAACGAAAGGAATAGAAGAAATAAGTGAAACAGTAATGCCTAAGAATTTCCTCCAAATTAATGTCTGAGACCAAGCCATGATCCATGAAGCTCAAAAAACACCAAGCAGGATAAATAAATTAAAAAACTCTACACCTAAGTACATCATATTCAAACTGAAAAAAATTAGTGTCTTAGTCCGTCGTTCTCACATTGTTAATAAAGACGTACCTGAGACTGGATAATTTATAAAGGAAAGAGGTTTAACTGACTCACAGTTCAACATGACTTGGGAGGCCTCAGGAAACTTATAATCACAGCAAAAGGGGAAGCAAACTCATCCGTTTTCACATGGCAGCAGAAAGGAGAAGTGCTGAGCAAAAGGAGGAAGGCCCCTTAAAAAAAAATCAGATCTTGTGAGAACTCATTATCACGAGAACAGCATGAGGGTAACTGTCCCCATGATTCAATTACCTTCCACTGGTCCCTCCCATGACACATGGGAATTATGGGAACCACAATTCAACATGAGATTTGGGTGGGGACACAGCCAAATCATATCAATTAGATAGAGAAAAAAAAATTGAAAGACCCTAGAAGAAAAAAATCACCTTACATATAGAGAAGCAAAAGTAAAAATTACATTTAATTTCTCAGAAACCATGCAAACAATAAGATAGTGTAGTAAAATATTTAAAATGTTGAAAAAAACTCATCAAGCTACAATTTTGTACCCTGAGCAATCCTTCAAAAACAAAGGAGTCAAAATTTTTATCTTTTTGTATCATGTATTCCTTAACAACATATCATAGCTTTATTTTTTAATGTTTTGATTTTTAGCCTCCATACTACAGGCATGAATGATTTACATACCACCATTACAGTACTACAGTATTCTAAACTTAACTATATATTTAACTCTACCAGTGAGTTTCATTTTTTTTATGTGCTTATGATATCTTTTTGTTTTCACTTGAACAGCTCTCTTAAACTTTTTATGTAAAGCAGGTCTCGTGGTGATGAATTCCCTCAGCTTTTGCTTTTTAGGGAAAGACAATGTTGCTCCCTCATTTCTGAAGAAAAACGTGGCTGAGTATAGCATTCTTGGCTGTCAGGTTTTTTGTGTTTCCTTTCATGCACTTTGAATATATCCTTAAATTCTCCTCTGGCCTGCAAGGTTTGCTGAGAAATCCACTGATAATCTAATAGGAATTCACTTATATGTGACATGTTTTTGTTTTTTCTTGCATTTATTAAAATGTTCTCTTTGCCTTTGACTTTTTACAACTTGATTATAATGTGATTAAATCTGTTAGGGAAACTTTGAGCTTTATGAATGTGAACTTTATATCTCTCTCAAGACTTGCAAAGTTTTTAACAATTGTTTTAGATAAGTCTTCTGTTCCTTTATCTGTCTCTTCTCCTTTTAGAACTCCCATACTGCAAATAAGTGTATGCTTAATGGTGTCCCATAAGTCCATTAGGCTTTCTTCACTGTTTTTCATTCTTTTTGTTTTCTTTTCTTGTACCCTATGACTGAGTAATTTCAAAGGACCTGTTTTTAAGTTTACAGATTCTTCTGCTTGAGCTAGGCTACTGTAGAAGCTTTCTGTTGTATTTTTATTTAATTTTTTATTTAATTAATTTTTTTATAATTATTTCTTTAGCTTCAGGATTTCTGTTTTATGGTACCTATCTCTTTGTTAAATTTCTTATTAACATCATGAATTGATTTTCTGATGTCATTGAATTGTATATCTGTATTCTCTTGTGTCTCACTGACTTTCCTTAAGCATATTATTTTGAATTCCTTTTCAGACAATTTATAAGTTTCTGTTTTAGGGGGTTGGTTACTAGAGAATTCTGTTTCATTGGTGATATCATATTTTCTTTTTTTAAAAATGTATTTTTAAAAATATATCCTTATTTATTTATTTACTTATTTTTGTAGAAATGGGGCCTTGCTATGTTGCCCAGCCTGATCTCAAACTCCTGGCATCAAGTGATCTTCTCACCTTGGCCTCCCAAAGTGTTGAGATTACAGGCATGCCCCACCATGCCCTAGTCAGTTTTCTTGATATTTCATATTGTTTTATCTCTCTCTGATGATATCTGCATACCTGAAAGACAGATCCCAAATAAATACAACTAACAGTATGGTATGCCTCAAAGAGCTAGAAAAAGAAGAACAACTAAACCCAAAGTTGGCAGAAAGAAGGAAATAATGAAGGTCAGAACAGAAATACATTAGTGAATAGAAAAAACAATAGGAAAATTAATGTTTTGAAAATATAAATAAAACTGATAAACACTTAGCCAGACTAAGACAAAGAGAAAAAATACTCAGATAATAAGATAGAAATGGAAACATTGCAACAGATGCCTCAAAAATAAAAAGGATTATAAGGGATTGTTATGAACAAGTCTATGCCAACAAGTTAAATAACCTAGAGAAAATGAATAAATCCCTAGGAAAATATCACTTACCAAAAAAATCAGGAAGAAATAGGAAGCCTGAAATGATAAATAATAAATAAAGAGACTAAAGAAATAATCAAAGACTTTCCAACAAAGAAAATCCCTAGAGCAGATGGCTTCATGCTAAATTCTACCAAATATTCAAAGAATAATTAATAACAATACTCCTACTTCCAAAAAATAGAGCTACAGGAAATACTTTCAAAAGCACTTTATACTGCCAACATCACTTAGATACCTAAGCCAAAAACATCCCAAGCAAAGAAAATTATAGTCCAATATATCTGATGAACATTGATGCAAAATTTCTCAATAAAATATTAGCAAACCAAACTCAACAACACATCAAAAGATTATACATCATGACCAAGTAGGATTTGTCTCTGGGATGCAAGGCGGATTTAACATATGGAAATCAATAAATACGATACATCACATTAACAAAACGAATAATAAAAACTACACGATCATCTCAATTGATGCAGAAAAACATTTGACAAAGTTCAACATCATTTCTTGATAAAAACATTTTATTTATATCTTCAAACTATCATAAATAATTTTTATCAGTAATTTACTATAATTGGTGTTACAAATTTTCAAACAACCTTGTTCCCAAATTTTTGCAAACGTCTACTACAAATGTTCTTTTTATGTGAATTTTAATTTTTTTGTTTAATTTTAAAATTATTATATATTTATCATGTTATTCTCTGTTTAAAATCTCCTCCTGACATAGGATACATCCCAAATGTTATATATAAGACAGATGGCCTTTTATGACGTGGCCTTATTTTATACATATTATTTTGTTTTTGCCCTTTCTTGCCCTGTCTTTCCTCTGCAAGTCACAGAATGCTATTAGCCAGCTTCAAAACTTTTAAAAGTGTTGAAGTCCTACAGACTATATTATCTAATAACAACAAAATTAAATGAGAAATAAGACTGATATCTAAAAAATATCCCAAATATTTGGAAATATTTTGAAATTAAACAATACAGTTTAAAATTATCTATGGATTAAGAAAGAAAGCACAAAGGGCATTGGAATATTTTGGATGAAATGAAAGTGAAAACATGCCAACATTTGTTGGATACAGTTAAATCAATGCTTGCAAGAATCTTTATAGTACTGGAAGCTTACATAAGAAATGGAGGCCGGAAGTGGTGGCTCATGCCCATAATCCCAGCACTTTGGGAGGCCGAGGTGGGCAGATCACCTGAGGTCAGGAGTTCAAGACTAGCCTGACTAACATGGCGAAACCCCATCTCTACTAAAAATACAAAAACTAGCCAGGCGTGGTGGTGTGCGCCTGTAGTCCCAGCTACTCAGGAGGCTGAGGGTAGAATCGCTTGAACCCGGGAGGCAGAAGCTGCAGTGAGCCAAGATCATGCCACTGCACTCCAGCCTGGGCAACACTGAGACTCCATCTCAAAAAAAAAAAGAAATGGAAAAGATCTGAAACTAATTATCTACTACAAAAACCTAGAAGGAAAAAGTAAATTAACTGAAAATAATGTAGGAAGTACGATAAAACAGAAATAAACATGATTAATCAAATACAAAATAGACAAGAGAAAAATCAAGGAAACCAAAGCTAATTCTTTGAAACAATCAATGAAATTCATAAGCCTTTAGTTAGAATGATTAAGAAAATAGGAGAAGATGCAAATTACTAACATCAAGGATGAGAGACAGGACATCTTTACACATTCTACAAATATTAATAATAAGGGAATATTGTGAACAATTTTATGTCAATACATTTGACAATTTAGATGAAATGGAGAAATGTCTCAATACATTTCTGTATTAAGGTGACACAAGCAAAAATAGAAAATCTCAACAGTCTCTTATTTCCTAAAGGATACAGGTTTCTGCCCTGTCAGATCCACCACCCTTCTCCCACTTTCTCCAGTTAACCCTGCTGCCGCAGCTCAAATCACTAATCTCAGTTCTGAAAAAAATAAAGAATCATCATCCTCAATGGAACTATTGCAAAAAGCTACTACCCCATCCTCATCGTTAAGAAAGTCCATACAAGAAGTTCAGACTTTTTAAAATAAAATGAAGACCTTTCATTATCAGATAGGAGTTGAGGGTAGTGATGCTCTATTCTTTCCTGGATAAGCTCCCAAATCACCAAAAAATAAGTAAATAAGGAGTAACTGGTGTTTGTTTCTTATTAACACACTTTCACCCACACATAGGAATATAATATGTGTGTGTATATATATGTGTGTATGTGTATATATATACATACACACATATATACATATATATACACACACACATATACATACACACATATATACATATGTAACATATATACATATATATATTTAATTTTTATCTACCAGCATCTTTTTCTCTATTTTTCTTCCTTAACAGATCCTGATTTTATTGGACATAATGCTCCCCAAGCATCCTAAGTAATTTATCAGCAGCTGATTCCACTTTCTTTCCTTCCTTCCTAGTTCCATTTGCTCAGTTGGTATGCTCCAGACACCAATATGCTTCAAAATTTTATTTAAGTATTAACTCAATAAAATTCCTAATTTCAGGTATGGCCCCTAGTCATCTGAACAAATCAGATTTAGCTCATCCCTGTTGTTTATAACTGGTTGCAGAGTGGAGATGACAGTTTAGGCCAATGGGATATAAAGAGATTCACCACTGGCTGCAGATGAAATTTCTCCTCATTCTCCCAAGAGAGTGCCCAGGAACAGTCATCTTCATGCCCAGGTATGAATGAGGAATCCCCTGCATCTTAGCAGCCCCCATCCTCAGGGAAGCAGCCCTGGGAAGACCTCGATTGTAGACCAGAAAGCCTAGAGGGGAGGCAGGAAACCTGGGTCCTTCACTACTCCACTAAGCAATGGGACCCTTCAGCAAGGCCAGCAACACCTTGGGCCTCCAGAGCCTGAACTCTGGGCTTTCTTACTACTCAACACAGTTAGGCTTGGCTTCATGCAACTGAAAATACCACAAACGTTTCACAGAAGAGAGAATCAGGTTGTTTATAATTTAGTAACAATGTACGTTCATAAAGAGAAGCACCCACTGAACTAAGTCCAGGAAGTTTATGTAAATAGAAGACCTGCTCAAGAGACCTGTTCACATTTAATTATAGACAAATTTGTTATTTCTCCTTTCTGTGCTTTAGCCTTTCCTTGGTTTTAACACTCAAAATGGTAAGAAAAACTACTTCATGGGACTCAATGAATATGTAAATGACTGGCAATACCCACAGGAAGTCCATTATAATTAAATTTATCATGCTCCCAGCTAAGTCTGATTCATTATGAGGAAGTCAGTTTTCAGATGGTTTTAAATTAACCCTAGAATAAAATATTAGTATCCAGTTCCTTCCCGTGCAGCACTATTAACAGTCATCCAGTCGCAGTGATTTAAATAGCACTCCATTAGGAAGTCGAGCCAGAGGAATGCCCCTACAGAAGTCAAAGAAAATGAAATAACTTGATACGTGCATAGCCCTCTTTTGCATTGCATACCAGCTAAGTTCCTAGATGAATATGTTTACATTATGACATCACAATATGTTGATTCCCGTCTGGTCAGAGTTCCAAGGAACTTATGCTACAATCTTCCTTCCCAGAGTCACTGGTGAAAACTCTACATCTATGGAAGCGATGCTGGGTTATAAAGTTGTTTCTATGAGCCTGTTTGAAGAAATTAACTCAAGCATAGCAAACCAAATTCTCTCTCTTGGGACTTTATATCCTGAGCAAGTGACTTCAGATGATGGAGCCAGATGGTGACTGTATTATTCCTGGGGGTAATGATGATGTTGTGCTGACCAAAATCTTCCCATGGCATGCACTTTGGTCTGCTCACCACTGTCCAGCCCCCCTTGATGCCTGTTCAGTTCTCAAGCACGGACTTTCAGTTTTTCCTCCAAGCACATGAGAGGATTCTAGTGAATCCCATTTTGTATTAAGACGGCCAGAATCAAATTCCTCTGTTAGTAACCAGAACGTGATTTCCACTGACATTCAGCCTTCTCCCTTTCCTCACATTCTCAGAAAATAATTATCATCTTGCTGGCATCTAGTACTTTTTTCTGTACTGTAAAGGGAGCAAAGAGGGAGGAAGAGAAGTTTTACTGGTGTGTCCAAGGAGCATTATGGCAAGTAAAGGTGATCCTGGAACATCCATCTGGGTAAGACAATTGTTTTGATCCCCGCCATTTCCACTATGCACCTGGTCTTGTGACATCTCACTTGAACAGTGCCCTAGGATGTTGTAGTGAGATTTGAACCCTATGGGCTTTGAAGCCTCAGTCCTATTTTGAATTTCAACCTTCGCCCTTGATAGTTTTACATTCTTGACATCTCTAATTCTCACTTCTTAAAAATGTATGTTACTGAGCTTGCACATTATTGAAAAAATGAGAGATGCTAGAGGTAGCAACTGGGACATCTGTGTGCACCATAAATGGTACATATTATCATCATCACCAGAGTGCTCCTTCTTCTGATCTCTCACACTCTGATCTTGCTACACACTAATGCCAGAGGAACTGAAGTCATATTACTTTTCTGCAGAACAGTACAACGGCAGAAGCTCATGGTTTGAAGCTGACAGGTCTGCTTTAAAATTTGGACCTGACAACTTCCAGCAGAGTGAAAATTCAAGCATCAGTGGAGTTCAAAAAGTTGTTTATTACCAATTAGCATACGCTGAACATATTTCAGCTTCAACCACTTTTCTGTAAAAGGTGTATAAACACCCTTCTCAAGATTTGAGACAGTTAAATTAGACGATATCCTTAATACCCAGTACCATGATTGACTCATAGTAATGTGCAATTTCCATTCATTTTCTCCTTCTCCTCTTTTTCTTTTCTTTTTTCTCCTTCTAATTCTTAAAAAATAAAATAAAATCCACTCAGTTAGTCATCAAATTCCTGCTCGACTTGCATCTTAGTCAGTTCATGCTGTATCACAAAGTACCCAAGACTGTGTGGCTTATAAACAACAGAAATTTATTTCTCACAATTCTGGAGGCTGGAAGCCCAAGATAAGCATGCCAGCAGGGTTAAATTCTGATAAGAGCTCTCTTCTTGGCTGCGGACTGCTGATTTTTTATTGCTGTCTCACTGGTGGAAAGAGTGAGCTAGTTCTCTGAGGTCTCTTTTATAAGGACACAAATACCATTCATGAGGGCTCCACCTTTTACATGGTTTGGACATCTGTCCCCTCCAAATCTCATGTTGAAATGTGGTTCCCAATGTTGGACATGGGGCCTGGTAGGAGGTGAATAGATCATGGGGGTGGATGCCTCATGAATGCTTTAGCACTATCCCCCTGGTGACAAGTGAGTTCTCACTCAGTTCACGTGAGATCTGGTTGTTTAAAAGTCCCCTTCACTCTCTCTTGCTCCCCCTGGCCTCCCCCTGGCCATGTGATACACCAGCTCCCCTTTTGCCTTCTACCAGGACTGTAAACTCTCTGAGGCCCCCACCTGAAGCAGACGCCAGCACCATGCTTCCTGTACAGTCTGCAGAACCGTGAGCCAACTAAATCTCTTTTCTTTATAAATGACCCAGCCTCAGGTATTTCTTTATTATGATGCAAGAATTGACTAATACAACTTTCATGGCTTCATCACCTCGCAAAGGTTCCATCTCCTAAAATTGTCACCATGAGGGTTAGAATTTAACATATGAATTTGGAGGAGACACAAATGTTCAGCCATAACCGCTTGGCTCCAGTTTAGCCATCCACTTCACTTTGAAATTCCCTCGTAATGAGTTCGCCTGTCTCTCTGGAGCCATTTCTGTGCATCTTCCAATCTCTGTGCATTATGCCTGCCATCCTTGCCTCTGTCCTTGCTTCTCTCCCTCCCTGGAAGGCTTTGCCCTACCCTCAGCACCCACGGACCTCGGCAACCCAATTTGCAGCCTGCATCTTCACAAAGTCCTCTCCCTGCCGCAGCCTCCATGAGGTCTGCCTTCACTGCCGAGCACACTCCGTCTGTACTGCTTCTCCTCAAAGACCGTCTTGCCCTCACCTGCTGTCCCACAGTGAGGGACAGCAACTCACTTTCAGTTGTCTGTTTTCTCACTGGCTGGACACTAGGCTTCTTGCAGGAGGGAGGGAGGCACCATTTCGCACCCTCTCACACAGTGGCCACAGCAGCTTAGGGGCCCCTCTCTACCCGCTCATGTTTTCACTCCTCATCTGTGCTTCAGTGGGAGACTGGATAAATTAATTCATCTTCTCTTTGATAATTGGATAGAATGATCAATATTAAAGATGACATAAGGCTGGTGCGGTGGCTCACGCCTGTAATCCCAGCACTTTGGGAGGCCAAGGCAGGTGGATCACGACGTCAGGAGATCGAGACCATCCTGGATAACACAGTGAAACCCCGTCTCTACTAAAAACACAAAAAATTAGCCAGGCATGGTGGTGGGCGCCTGTAATCCCAGCTGCTCCGGAGGCTGAGGCAGGAGAACGGCGTGAACCCGGGAGGCGGAGCTTGCGGTGAGCAAAGACCTCGCCACTGCACTCCAGCCTGGGAGACAGAGTGAGACTCCATTTCAAAAAAAAAAAAAAAAGACATAATTGAAAAAGGCAAATTGTATCAATCATATATGTAATTTATGAATGAAAAAATGAGATTCTCAGATGAATATTATTAATCCTCATTCTTTTTATTATTTTCAGAACATAAGTTATTGTACAAATGAACCAAAGAAAATGAATATTTTGGGCATCTTCTGGCTTTTTTAAATTTCAATAGATTTTTGAGGAACAGGTAGTGTTCTAAGTTCCTAAGTGGTGATTTCTGAGATTTGGGCATTTTTACGGACTATTCATCACCTTGTGATTAGAAAGGTTGCAAGAGTTGTTGCTAGAACACGGTGAATCTCAGCTCTGCAACTTGCCAGACATGGGATCCTGGCAAGGTAGGATCTCATCCCACCAGCCATCTGGGTAGGAACCAGTTAGCACAGTCTGGGATGCAAGATGACAGTGGTATGAGGGTGCTCACCCTTCCAATTCCAGACTCCATGCTTGGGGCCAAGACTCTTGCTTAGGTGAGGGAGACTGGAAAAGGGGGTTTCTCTTTAGGCCTGTTAAGGCCCTCATGGTTTTATTGTCTAAAGCCACTTCTAGGCACTTGATTAATCTGAACCAGCTGAGTGATGTCCAGCATCGGCAGTTCAGGCCAACTTGACAAGTAGTGGTTCATTGGAGAGGAAGGTTTTGATAAAATAGCCTCTCAACAATAATCATCCATAAGGATATTACCCCACATTGACACTACGTCACTGTGGAAGAGCACTCCCATCAGAATGATGATAAATTATCAAGTTAACTTGCTGCATTCTTTGGGTGCTGACAAAAGATACACAACCCCTAGGTCAGAAACAAAGGACTTTTTGACTCATAGTATCGGCAACAGCAGGATTATTACCACAGTCCCACTGGCACCTAGAGCTACAAATCCCACTGGGTGTTGCAGAAGTCCAAGTGGAGCTGCATGGAAAATGGGGTGCACAATAGGAGAAAAACTTTGAGCTTATGAAATCTGCTACTTCTGTGTAAGCTGTAACCAACCCCATCCTTTGTCAGAGAAAGAACACTTTCAGCAAGAACCATGTAGTACATTCTTGGCTGCATATTTTCACTCTTCAGTACTGCAAGCTGCATAAACAATCCTGAGAGGTGGTACAGGTGAAAGAATAGTCAGGGCATTGAGATTTTGGACCACTCAGCAAGATATGTAGGAGTGACAGAGGCCCATCGTGAGCTACCTCCCAACACTGTCCACCAGGAAAATGCTGCCTCCCCCACCATATGCCAAAACCTACCCATGGCCAAATCATTTCATGGCCAAAACAAGGACAAGACTTTATTGCAGGGATTCTTTTTTTAATTGTTGGAGACAAAAGAAATGGTCATTTGATGAATTTAAAACTGTAGGAAATGAAAAGCAAAATGGCCCAATTTAAAGATATTTACTGCAACATTTGTCACAGGGTAACTAAATTTATTCCAAATTTTGCAAAAGAATATAATTATTGGAAAATTTATTGTATAGTTACAATTATTATTCATATAGCATGAATTTACTAGCAGACAAGTCTGAAAAAAAATAATATAATGACTTGTAAGAACCAAATTGAGAAGTCCTGGTTTAGTAAAATGTAATCACAGCCTGGATTGTCATGAGATACTGTGCCTCAAAATAGTTTATATATCAAAATTGACAAGCAATTGTTTTATCCACATATTATTATCAAATATTTATAATTGAATTATTGATGGCTTTCAGTTGCCTGTATTGAGGAACACATCTCATAACGAAAAATTTAAAAGCACAATTAGAAACTATGACATAAATGTTTTAACAGATTTTTTTAATACTGTGGTTTTATAGAGGTGACATTTATAGCTTAAAATAAATTCTGAATGCAATACAGTCAGATGTGTAACTTTGAAAATTGCATATGTAAATGTTAATTTAAAGTGTATGATACTAGTTTCAGGAAGAGCAGATAAAGATATGTTAATAGCTACATAGCTGTGAAACAGTAAACATGAAATTCCTTCCCCAGAGGTCTTGCAGAAATCTTGCTGACTCTGTTCAAGAGCACAGAACAGTACCCTTTGTATTTTAATAAAAAGGAGGCAGTAATACCATATGACACTTGAGTACATAGAACATATCAGATATTGTTCTAAGGATTTTGTAAATGTGGTAGATAGAATAATAGCCCCCGAAAATACCTACATCCTGTTCCCTGAAACCTGTCAATATGTAATCATACATGACAAAAGAGACTGCAGATGTGATAAAGATAAGGATCTTAATGTGGATTATCCTGAATTATCAGGTAAGCCCAGTGTAATTATACAGGTCCTTCCTTATAAGAAGAAGGCAGGTTGGACATCAGCAAGATGGGAAAATCAGACTTTCCAAATGCTCATTCCCCCACAGAAAAATCAATTTGAACAACTGTCCATGCACAAAAATACTTTCAAAGAGCTAATGAAACCAGGTGAGAGATTATAGCACCTAGGTGGAGCTGTGAATAACAAAAGACTCACTGATGAGGGTAGTAAGGACAGTTTGATATCACCTGCATCACCCTTCCCCAAGCCCCAGGCAGCACGGGGGAAAAAGATTTATTAATACCATCTTCAGAGGAGTGGGAAGTGAGCATTAGGCTTTGCCTCAACCTTAACACCAGGCCTGCCCCAGTAAAACCCAGCATTGGCCAGGTCCCCATGGCCCAAGATGCCTGGCCTCAGACTTAGCCTTGAGGCCAGCCCCAGTACCAGGCCAGATCCTACAGCCCAGGCTCCTGGCCTTGCCAGTAGGCTCAGTCTCTGGACCCACCCCTCTGCCAGGCTGGCATCCATGGACCCATCCTCCAGAAAGGATGCTGTGGATACAGACTTCAGGCCTACCCAAAACCAGGTGAGCCCCTTTGGCCTCAGGATCCAGGCCTACCCCAGATTCCAGAGCCAGGTCAGTTTATAGAGCTCCAGGCTTTGGTTGCACCCCAGTGCCAGGTCAGTACCGCTGAAACAGGCACTAGGCCTGCTTAATGTCAAGTGGGTCCTAGTAGACCCATACTCCAGCAGACTGAGGGTCCAGGCCCATCCCACTAGACCTCAGTTCTGGGCTGATGCCCATGAACTCAGGCTCCAGGACCAACCTTGTGGACCCAGGTTCCAGGCCAGCCAGTACCCAAGCAAGCCCTCATGAAACTAGCCTCCAGGCCAGCACCTACACACCCAGCCTTTAGAATAGACCCCGTGAACTCAGGCTCCAGGCTGGTCTCCATACCCCAGTGTGTAGGCCAGCCTCTGTAGGCTCAGGTTCCAGTTGTGTCTCAGCGGATACAGCTGCCAGGCCTATCCAAGTGCCTGGCTGGCTCCTGAAGACTCAAGCTCAAGGTCCATCTCAGTATTAGGTCACTCTACCCCAGGCTTCAGGCAAGTTCCCACATACACAATCAAAATCCCTCCCTTCTCCTTGCCCTCCACCCCTGCCAGTGCATTCAGGCTCCAGGCACAACCCCACAAACCCAGGCACCAAGACCACCTACTTCTTGACCCAGGTATCAAGTACCAGGCCATGTCTGAAGATTCAGCAGCAAGCCTACCCACAGACCTTAGTAGACAGCCTGCTCAGTATCTCTGGACAAGCTGACTGGTGAAGGGGGGCTTTCCCTGAAGGAACAAGTCTGCAAAGACAAAAAACAGTCCCTACTTCTTCAAATGTGCAGACAATCATGCACAACTACAATGGCGGGGAATAATCAGGGAAACATGACACTACCAAAGGAACAACAACAACAAAAAGAGCCAGTAAATGAGCCTAAAGACAGGAAAATTTGTAAACTCCTTGACAAAGAATTCAAGATAATTATTTTAAGAAAGCTCAGTGAACTTCAAGAAAATATAAACTACGGAACAAAATCAGGGAAACAATAAACAACTAAAACAAGAAATTTAACAGAGACATTAAATTATTTTTTGAAAATCAAACAAATTATGGGACTGAAAAAATCATATTGTTAAATAAAAAATGCAATAGAGATTATCAACAGCAAAATTAGTCAAGCAGAAGAAACAATCAGTGAACTCAAAGACCAGTTATTTGAAAATATACAGTTAGAGAAGAAAAGAGAATGGAGAAAGCTTGCAGAATTTATGTGACAGCATAAACAGAAAATATTTGAATTATAGGGGTTCAAAAAGACAAGAGAGAGACAAAGAGACAGAAATGTTATTTTTAATATAACAGCAGAAATACTCTCAAAATCTGAAAAAAATCTATTAATATCTGGGTACAGGAAGGTCGAAAGTCTCCAATAAGAATCACTTCAAACAAGACTACACTGAGACATATTATAATCAAACTGTCAAAAATCAAATAGAAAAAGAAGATTCTGAAAGCAGCAAGATAAAAGAAGCATATCACATGTAAAGTAGTTCTAGTAAAGCTACGAGTCTCAGTAGAAAACTTATAGGCCAGGAAAAAGTGGACTAATATAATCAAAGTTCTAAAGGGGGTGGGTGGAAACCCTGCAAACTAAGAATTCTGTACCTGACTATGCTGTCTTTCATAAATAAAGGAGAGACAAAGTGTCTTTATTACAAAATACCTAAAACTGGGTAATTTGTGTTTTTATAAAATGAATTTATTATCTATAGTTGTGAAGTCTAAGTCCAAAGTTGGGGGGATACATTGGGTGATAGCCTTCTTGCTTTTGGGGACTCAAGAGTCCCAAGGCACAGGGTATCACATGGTGAGACAGCTTAGTGTGCTAATGTGCTACCTCAGTTCTCTCCTTTCTTATAAAGCCACCAGTTCTCCTTCTGTGATAACCCAATAACACATTAACCCACTAATTTGATCATCTATGAATGGATTAATCCATTTATAAAAATGAGCCTTTATGACCCAATCACATCTTAAAGGCACCACCTCTCAATACTGCCATGATGGGGATTAAGTTTCAACATAAGTTTGGAGAGTAGGCATTTAAGCCATATCATTCCACCGCTTGTCCCCAAAGCTCATGTTTATGTCACATACAAATAGATTTATTCTTTACCCATAGCCCCAAAGTCTTAACTTGTCACAGCACCAACTCAAAATTTCAAAGTTGGAAATATCCTCTGTTGAGTCTGTGAAATCAAAACAAGTTATCTACATTTAAGATACAATGGTATAACAAGCATAGAGTAAACATGCCCATCCCAAAAGGGAGAAATAGGCAAGAAGTAGGGGGTAACAGGCCCCAAGCAAGTCCAAAGCCCAAGAAGGCAGATATTGGGTCTTAAGGCTCCTGAATAGTCTCCTTTGACTTCATGTCTGGCATCCTCTGCACACTGGTGCAGGAGTTGGGACCCCAAAGTCTCAGGCCACTATGGCTTGAGTGCCACCCAGCTCTCTCAGACTGGCATTGCATGCTGGTAGCTCTGCAGTTCAGGGGTCTTGGTGGCAGCCCTGCTTCTATGATTCCACTAGTCATTGACCTAGTTGGAACACTCAGTGGCATCCCCAATCTCACATATCCACTCAGCATTGCTTTAGTAGGGCCTCTCTTCAGTTTATTCTCCCTAATGACAAGTCTCTGCCCTGGATCTCAAGGCTTTTGATAACATCCTCTGAAATCTGGGTGGAGGCTGCCAAGTCTCTACGGTGTTTGCTTTCCGAAAGCCTGAAGAATTAGCACCAGGTGGATGCCACAAAAGTTTATGACTTGTACATTTCAGAGCTCCAGCACAAGCCAAACCTGGGACTGCTGGGGTGACAGCAGAGCACTGTGTCAACATGTGGGTAGTAGAGCTTTGAGGCAGCCCTGGGTAATGAGCCTTAGCCTGTGGAGAGTACACCAGGGCTGTCCTCTGAAATCATTCTGCTTTCCTGGGCCTACGGAACTGTGACGGGAGTGGCAACCTCAAAGATCTCTAAAAGATCTCCAGGGTCTTTCTTCCATTGTCTTGAAGAATAGCACCTGGATCCCTTCTATCCATGCTTATCTCTTTAGTAAATGACCACTGGGCTATACCCTTGATTTCCTCTGCCAAACATGTTTTTCACTTTTTTATATGGTCAGGCACAGAGTTTTCCAAATCTTTCCTCTCTGGTTCCCTTTTAGTTACAAATTCTGTTTTTAAATTATTCCTTTGCTCCAGAATCTCAGCAAAAGTAGCCAAAATTAATCATGTATCTCCTTCTATATTTTGTTTAGAAATTTATTCTGCCAGACAGGAGAATCACTTGAACCCAGGAGGCAGAGGTTGCAGTGAGCTGAGATCATGCCACTGCACTCCAGCCTGGGTGATAGTGTGATACTCTGTCTAAAAAGAAAGAAAGAGAGAAAGAAAGAAAGAAAGAAAGAAAGAGAGAGAGAGAGAGAGAGAGAAAGAAAGAAAGAAAGAAAGAAAGAAAGAAAGAAAGAAAGAAAGAAAGAAAGAAAAAAGAAAGAAAGAAAGAAAGAAGAAAGAAAGAAAGAGGAAGGAAGGAAGGAAGGAAGGAAGGAAGGAAGGAAGGAAGGAAGGAAGGAAGGAAAGAAAGAAATTTATTCTCCCAGATACCCCAGTTCATCACTCTCAAGTTCAGCCTTCCACAAAGGCCTTGGGCATGGACACAGCTTAGCCAAGTTCTTTCCTAATTTATAATGAAGATGTCCTTTACTTCAGTTTCTAATACCTTCTTCCTCAGTTCCATCTGAAACATTGTCAGAATAGCTTTTACTGCCCATATTATTCTCATCCCATCCACTTATTCAGTTTCTAAAGAGTTCCGAACTTTCCCTGGTCTTCTTGTCTTCTGAGTCCTCACCAGAATCTAGGCTTTTTCTAGCCCGATCCTCCTAATTCTTTCAGTCTCTGCCCATTACCCAGTTTTAAAGCTGCTTCTCCATATTCAGGTATTTATTATTAGCAACATCCCCACTCTTGGTACCAATTTTCTGTCTTAGTCTGTTCTGTGTTGCTTATAACAGAATACTTGAAACTAGGTAATTTATAAAGAAATTGAATTGATTTCTTAGAGTTATGGAGGCTTGCTTGTAAGGACTCTGTGTGGTGTCCTGAGTCAATGCAGGGTGTCACATTGTGAGGGGGCCGACTGTGCTAATGTGCTAGCTCAGGTTTCTCTTCACTACCTTGAAAAGCCACCAGTTCTTATTCCATGATAATCCGTGACTATTAATCATGAATTAACATATTAATTCATGAGTGGACTAATTCATTCATGAGGACAGAACCCTCATGATCTAATCACCCCTTAAAGACCCCACCTCTCAGTATTGCCACATTGAGGATTAAGTTTCATTGTGAAATTTTTTTTAGGGTGGGGACATTCAAGCTATAGCCAAGACTTTCCCAGAGGAACAAAAGCTGAGGATGTTTATCACCAACAGGCTTATCTTACACGAAATGCTAAAGGAGGTTCATCAAGCTGAAAGGAAAGGAAGTTAATTAATAGCATGAAAACATATCAAAATATAAAACTCATTGGTAAAAGTGTGTTTTTAGTACAAAAGTTAAAAAACAAAACAATTAAAAATAATTATAGCTATAATTTGTTAAAGATATATAAAAAGATACAAATTGTAACATCAACATAAAATGTGGGGGAAGAGTAGAATAAAAATGAAAAATGTTGAGTTTTTTCATGTGATCAAAGTTAAGTTGCTATCAACTTATGATGGCTTGTTATAAGTTGTTTTACATAAGCCCTCATGGGAACCGCAATGCGCAAACCTGTTGTAAATAACAAAAGATAAAACAATAAAGAATCAAGGCACACTACTAAAGAAAATCATCTAATCATGAAGATAGCAAAGGAGGAAGAAAGGATTTACAAAACAATTAACAAAATGGCAATAGTACTTATCAGTGAATATCTTAAATGTAAATGGATTAAATTGTCAAATCTAAAGACATATAAAGGCTGAATGGATAAAAGAAACAAGACCCTGCTATATATCATCTACAAGAGATTTTCATCACAGTTAAGGAAATACATAGACTAAAAGTGAAAAAAAAACATTTTACACAAATAAAAATCAAAAGGGACTGGAGGTAGCTATACTTACATCAAATAAAATTAAAAATCTAACATTACACCTCAAGAACCTAAAACAAAAAACAAACTAAGCCCATGGACAGAAAGAAAAAATGAACACCATATCAGAAATAAATGGTACAGAGACTAGAAAAACACAAAAGTTCAGCAAAACTTTGAGTTAGCTTTTTGTAAAAACAAAGTCAGCAAACCTTTAACTAGACTTAAAAAAAAAAAGAGGGAATAGTGAATAAAACTGCAAATAAAGAAGAGACATTACAGTTGATACCAACGAAATACAAAACTCATAAGAGGTTACTAGGAACAATTATACAGTAACAAAATGGATAACCCAGAGGAAATGGATGAATTCCTAGAGGCATACAACCTACCATAACTGAATCATGAAGAAACAGAAAATCTGAACAGACTAATGAGTAGGGAGATTGAATCAGTAGTAAAAAAGTTCCTATCAACAAAAAGCCCAGGACCTATTGGCTTCACTGTTGAATTCTATCAAACATTTAAATGACTAATATCAATCTTTCTCAAACCCATCCAAAAAATTAAGAAGAAGGAATATGTCCAAACTCATTTTACCAGGCCAGCATTAGCCTGACAGCAAAGTCAGACAAATATACCACAAGAAAAGGAAATGGCCATACATGATGGCTCATGTCTATAATCCCAACAGTTTGGGAGGCCAAGATTGGAGGATCATTTGAGGCCAGGAGTTCAAGACCAGCCTGGGCAGCATAACAAGACCCCATCTCTACAGAAAATCTTAAACATTAGCCAGACATAGTGGCACACACATGTGGAACCAGCTACTCAAAAGGCTGAGGCAAGAAGATCACTTGAGCCTGAGAGGTTGAGGCTATAGTGAGCCATGTTCATGCTACTGCACTCCATCCTGGGCAACAGGGTGAGACCTTGTCTCAAAAATAAGTAAATAAATAAATAAATAAGTTAAGTAAGGTAAAAGGAAAAGAAAATTATAGGCCAATATCTCTGATGAACATAAATGCAAAAATCTTCAATAAAACACAAGCAAGCAAAATTCAACAGCATATTAAAAAAAGTCTTTCACCATGTTCATATTAAATTTATCCCAGGGATGCAAGGATGGTGCAACAAATACAAATTGATAAATGTGATATACTACATTAACAGAATAAAGAACTGTGATTTTGTGATATTTATATATTGGCTTTCATTCATAATTCCTCTTGTAATCCCTGTTGTTTCCTAAGTAACAAAACAATAAGCATATCTTTTGTAAAAGTATTTGGCCTTTTGTCCTTGTTTTTCAAGCATCTATAGAATAGCTTCAGAGCAAGAAACGTGAAAGATAGGCTTTAGTTATAATTTTGGGGCATTTAGGCCTCAGAAGCAGGCCTCAGAAAACAAAATCTTTCTTTGACCTTCTCCTGCCCTCCTTTTTCTTGCTTCTTTTTCTCCCCAGGACAGGGCATAGGAACTAAAAATATGCTCTAATCTTCCCTTGCCTTTCTTTCTTGGAGCTGGCCATAAAGAAATTCTCTGACCTTCCTTGTCTAACTGTAGGTCATAAGACTCCCATTCCAGAAGGGGTCCTGCTCCACACCCTAGGGGAAGGAATGCCGCACAGAGAGGCCAAGAAGAATCCAGACAGGCCTTGCTGTGTTTTCCTACTTGCTCTATTAGTAGTAGATCATACCCTCTTTGGCGAATCACATCTCTACACAGTTGTAAATCTTCAATCATGCCTGTTCCATGAAGTCTCCATTAACAGCCAAGAGGACAGGGTACAAAGAGCTTCTGGGCAGCTGAGCTTTTGGAGACTTGCTGAAAGGTGAACAAGAACTCTTCCACAGGGCAGGAGTGTGGTGCACCCCAGTTCCTTGGAAACAGAAGCTCCTGTGCTCCAATGTCCTTCCAGACATTGCCCTGTGTTTTTCTTCATCTGGTTGTTTACTTTTATTTTTTTAAAATATCCTTTACAATAAGCCAGTAAATTAAGTAAGTGTTTCCCCAAGATTAGTGACTCACTTTAGCAAATTGTGTCTAAAGAGGGTTCATGGGAACCCCTACTCAAAGCATTTGACAAAATTCAATATTCATTTATGGCTTAAAAACTCTCAACAACTTAGTAATAGAAGGAATGTACTTCAAAACAATAAAAGAAATGTGACAAACTCACAACCAACAACATCATACTCAGTGGGAAAAAGTTAAAAGCTTCCTCTAATATCAGAAACATGACAAGGACGCCCACTCTTGCCATTCTTATTCAACACATTTCTGGAAGACCTAGCCAGTGAAATTAAGCAGGAGAAACAAATAAAAGCATCCAAATTGAAAATAAACAAGTCAAATTTTCCCTGTTTACAGATGACATGATCATATACATAGAAAAACCTAAAGACTTCACCAAGAACTGTTAGAACTGATAAACAAACTTAGTAAATTAGCAGGATTAAAAATCAGCATACAAAAATGAGTACCACTTCTACACACTAACAAAGAACTGACAAAAAATCAAACATTCCTATTTACAATATTACCAAAAAAATAAAATACTTAGGAATAAATTTAACCAAGGAGGTGGAAGGCTTGTATGCCAAAAACTATAAAATATTGATAACATAAATTGTAGAAGACACAAATAAATGGAAAAATATCCCATGTTCATATATTGGAAAAATTAATATGTTTAAAATGTTCATACTACCCAAAGCAATCTGCAGATTCAATGTAATCTCTATCAAAATCCCAATAATATTTTTATATAAATAGGAAGAGAATCCTAAAATTTATATGGAAACACAAAAGACCCCAGATAGCCAAAAACATCTCGAACAAAAAGGAACAAAGCTGGAGACAGCATACTACCTAACTTCAAACTATACTACAAAGCTATAGTAATCAAACAGCGTGGTACTGGCATAAAAGCAGACAGATAGACCAATTGATAGACTGAAGAATCCAGAAATAAATCCATGCATTTAAGGTCAATTGATATTCAACAAAGATGCCAAGAACACACAGTGGGTAAAGGACAGTCTCTTCAATAAATGATGTTGGAAAAACTGGATATCCACAGGCAGAAGAAGGAATTTGGACATCATATACAAAAATCAACTCAAAATGGACTGTAGACTTAAACATAAGATGTGAAACTGTAAAGTTACTAGGAGAAATCATAGGAGAAAAGCTCTAAGACACTGGTCTAAGCAATTAATTTTTAAATAGGACTCTATAAAGGAACCAGTAGCAGAAGCAAAAATGAACAAATGAAATTATAACTAATTGAAAAGCCTCTGCACAGGAGTCAACAATCAACAGAGTGAACAAACAACCTACAAAATGGGAGAAAATATCTGCAAACCATACATCTGAAAAGCGGTTAATATCCAAAATATATAAGAAACTCAATAGTTAGTAAAAAATCTATTTAAAAATGGGCAAAGGCCCTGAATAGACATTTATCAAAAGAAACCATACAAATGGCCAACAGATGTTTGAAAAAATGCTCAACATTACTAATCATCAGGCAAATGCAAATTAAAACCACAATGAGCTATCACCTCACACCTGTTAGGATGGATATTGTCAAAAAGACAAAAGATAAGCATTGATAAGGATGTGGAGAAAAAGGAACCCTTGCACACTATTTGTGGGAATGTAAGTTAGTTCACCCATATTGAAAACAGTATGGAGGCGCCTCAAACAATTAAAATTAGAACTCCCAAATGATCCAACAATTCCACTGCTGGTATACTTCTAAAGGAAATGAAATCAGCATGTTGAAGAGATATCTGCACTCCCATGTTCACTGCAGCATTATTTGCAATAGCTAAGATATGAAATCAACCAGAGTATTCACCAAAGGATGAATGGATAAGAAAATGTAGCATATATATGCAAGGAAATACCATTCAGACTTTACAAAGAAGGAAATCCTGTCCTCTCTGACAACATGGATGAATCTGGAGGACATTATGTTAGATGAAATAAGCCAGGAACAAAAAGTCAAATACATGTTATCACTCACATGTGCATTCAAAAAACACTGAACTCGTAGAAGCAGAGAGTAGAATGGTGTTTGCTAAGAGCTGGGGTGAGAAGCATGGGATGGGAGAGATGTTGGTTGAAGGACACAAAATTTCAGTTAGATAAGAAGAATAAGTTCAAGAAATCTAGTCTATAACATAAAGAATAAAGTTAATAACAATGTGTTCTTGAAAATCACTGAGAGAATTAAGTATTAAAAAACGGTAAGTCTGTGAGGTAATGCAAATGTTAATTAGGCCAATTTTGCCACTCCATAATGTATACATATTTCAAAACAAATCCTTCTTTCTCACATCCCTCACATCCAGTTCCTCAGCCAATCCTTTCTGTATGACACCAAAATAGACCCAGAATATGATCATTTCTTACGACATCCACCACAGGTCCATGATCCAAGCACTGTTTTGTTGAGCATAGCATCAAATAGCAGTAGCTTCCTGGCAGCTCTACTGCTCTTGCTGGCCTTGCACAGACCCCCTGCCACCTATTATCCACAGAATGAAGGGGTCCCTTTAAGATCTAAATCAGGCCCTGCCTCTCCTCCATCATCTCCCATCACTCAGAGTAAAACCAGAATCTCCCCACCCCAACCCACCCCTGTGCCAGCCGACCTGGCCTGTCTGCCTTGGCCCATATCTCCTTCATGCTCTCTATCCTTTATCCTTTCCCTCTGTCCTAGGGAGGGGACTGGTCTCAGTTCTAGAATTCACCAGGCAGTTTCTATTCTTAGCTCTAGTGATGAGCTCAAATGTGTATGCCCCAAAATTCATATGTTGAAATCCTCACTATCTTAGAACATGACTGTATTTGAAGACAGGACCTCTAAAGAGGTAGAGTTAAAATGAAGCCTCCATTCAATATGACTGGTGTCCTTATTAGAAGAGTGAATTTGGACACAGACATGCATAGAGGGAAGACTCTAGGAAAACAAAGGGAGAAGACACAGGGAGAAGATGGCATCTACAGGCCAAGGAGAGAGCCCTCAGAGCAAATGCCCTGTTGACACCCCCATCTTGAACTTCCAGCCTCCAGAATTATGAGAAAACAAATTTCTGTTATTTAAGCACCCGCTCTCTGATTTACTGTGACAGCCTGAGCAGGTGTATACAGGGCCTTAATTCCCCTATGTCCTTCAGGTCTTTGTTCAAAAATCACCTTCTTAGCCTGGCCATTCCTGAACATACTTTCCACCCCTCTATCTCTGAATTTTCATGCCTGCTTGCCTCCTCTGTGTTTACATCAAACTTGTGCATTGACCCAGACTCTCCCTGGGGCCACCTGCAGATGTGATGGGAGTCTCTCAACATTTAGAATAACTTTGATGATATCTATGACTGAACCGTAACCTGCTGGGAGCCGACTTTTGTCCACATGATTCACATAAGTTACATCCCTTAACATCCTCATAAGGTGAGAACCCTGTTTGTTCTTGATTTACCAATGAAGATAATGAGGATCACGGAGGTTAAATAGCTTGCTGAGTTTGTACAGTTAGTAAGAGGTAGAGTTTTTTTCCTTACCCGCTTTTCCCAAACTCTTGTTTTCTGACTCTAACCATGCAACAGCAACAGCACATTACCCTGTATCTCAGGGCCATGGCAGGTGTTGCTGCATAGGTCAAAGAAATCCACTGCACCCGCTCAGGGCATTCCCTGTCACTGTGAGAGTTAACTGTGTGCCAATTCACCAAAATGTTCACAACAAATCAGAAACAGAATGATTTAGAGCAATTTAACCATTTTTGAGACGGTAGAAATAAACTAATTGCTACATTTTTGTCATTAATTAATAAAATAGTTTAAATGAGGTGCCCTATATTGAACCAAATGATGCTGTTTGTGTTTACTAACTTACCCAGTATCTCAAGTCAACAGGATCTGCAAATACAGGACTAAATTAGCCTAGAAATATAATTGCTTCTGACCTTGAAACCACCTTTGCAAAAATTATAACTGAGGAAATTATGACAGTGAAAGAGGTCAGACCTAACTGACTCCATCTTGCTTCTAACCTTTAAGCTGTCCTTGTTCATTCTTGGGCATCAGCCAAACTAACCTTGGGAAGGAATTTAGTTTATAGTTTGACTCTAAAAGAAAATTGATAATAGTCCTTTCCCAAAAAGACTCCCTTCTTGCCTGGGGACCAGTCTGCCTTTGTAGGGCTAACAAATTAGCTACAAGATTAGAAATTAAGGTTTAGGGGTCATGCAGCCTCTGGCTGTCAGAATCTGAACCTCCCGAGATTGCTCCTGGGATAACATCACTATTGTAAAGCCTAAGATCAGTGCTTCAGATATTTTGCAGACCCTGCACTCGATGGATCAGTTGACACCACCCAGGCCTGTAATTTGGCTCAATCTTTTCTGCAATCCCACCCAGGAACAGAAGACACCAAGAAAACCTAAATACGGCCACCTACGATTCCATTTCCAGCACGACCAATCAGCACTCCCCACTTACTGAGCCCCTACCCACCAAATTGTCTTTAAAAACGCGGATCCCGGAAGGCTCAGGGAGACTGACTTGAGTAACAATAAAACTCCAGTCTCCCACACAGCTGGCTAAGCCTGAATCACTCTTTCTCCATTGCTATTCCCCTGTCTTGATCAATTGGCTCTGTCTAGGCAGTGGGCAAGGTGAACCCGTTGGATGGTTACAACCCTCTATATGTTTTTACTATGTATATGAAAAAATATCGAGTACTTAATAAAAATTGCAGTCCAAGGCACGTGGTTTTGTTGGCATGTAGAACTGCTCTGCACAACGATTCAGAGCCTAGGATCGTTTCAACTCGCAGCACACCCATCCGCAGGGCTTCGTCTTCATCTGCATCCAGCCACTGTAGGGGAAAGAGTGAAGAGGAAGGTCACACACAATGCTCAGAAGCCTTGGTGTCACTTCTCACGTCTCATGGCTGTGACTCCCCCACCAGGTAGCACACGTCCAACAGCAAGAGAGGCTGGAAAATGCAGCTTAGCCTGGTGCCGGGACACTCCCATTTCCATGCAAGGTGACGAGGAATTTCAATGGCTGCCTGGTAGGTTCTAACACAGAATAAGATAGAAAAAATGATTACAGGTCAACTGGAACTGCCAACTAATTTCAGAGTTTCACAGACCTATCCACCCAGTCGTGAGTCATGACCAACTGGGACAGGCCTCTGGACAACAGCCACCTGCCCAGGTAAGACGAAGCCTAAACCAGCAGAGCAGAACCGCACTCCCTGCAGGCAAGTTCACACCCCAGAGCAAAAGAGGGAAGCGCACAGTCAACAGCGACATTCTTCATTAATTATCAATGCAGTAATTTCATAAATCTTAGTACAGAGAGAGGAAAGGGGGACAGAGGTCAGCGTGTTACACTTATTAGGCTCTTCCCACACAGAAGGAAACGTCTGGGCAGGAAAGAACAGTTCCGCTCTAACATCAGCTTTCAAGGACAAACCCAGTTTCTCCTATTTCCAAGGTAACTGACCCTCCAGACAGAAGCAGTCACTCATTCCTCTGTCTTCCTTAAAGTTGTGGACTCTCCAGTGGAACTTGTCCTGTTTCCCTTTTATCATACACATCTGTTTACATATTTAGTATCCCTAAATAGACTGTGCCCTTATGAAAAAAGCTCTTCATTTCTTAGCATTTTGCATTATTTTCAGTAGCTAACACTTTGTCCTTATATACACTAAAATCTTAACGATGAATAAATACATGATTCAAAGGTGTAAAATAAGCAAAAGTAATTGATTTGTACTTATGACAAAAGCGTGGGTTTCCTTCTCCTTGTGGCACCATGAATTGCTTACTGCATACATTGATTGCTACTAGAGAGAAAGTCCAGGTTAAAATTCTTCTCATGTATCAAAACCTGAAAGATATGGAACCAGTTTGGAATCTAACACGGCATGTCAATTACAAAGATGGAACACAAAGCCTGAGCATTCCAGTTTCACTTTTGGATTTTTAAAATGATAAAACAATTACTCGACAGTTAGATTAGCAAACCACATAGCATAAATTGTTCACAAGTTTTTTTTAAAGCAAATTTAAATATTTTCTGTTCTTGAATAACTCATTTTATTCAATGTTTAAAACAATGAGTTATTAATATGACTGAAATTATTTTCATTAAAAGGCAAAGCTTCCAAAGTCTTTTTAATCCCAGAAGAAGTAAATTGTAGATCTGGCATTTGTAAATTCTACCTTAAAAATATGTATATATTCATTTTGTAGAGCTTAGAACATTTTGAGTTAAAGCATTAAAAGTAATATTCTCTCCTCCAATTAGGAAAAGTCAGTTGTTGGAATAACAGATTACCAAATATCATTTTAGAACAAAATAAGAATGTAAACTAATTGAAACCCATAGCTTTGTTATTCCCTTTTGTAACATAATTTTGAAAAGGAAATATAGTCACTACTAATGATGGTAAAATTACTCTGTTTTTGCAAGTAACCCTAATTATCCACTCTGTTTACCAGGAAAGCATCTACTGGTCTGACCTTGGAAAGGCCCCTCTTGGCTCTCTCAACAGCTCGTGCATGTCTCTGGAATTGCATCCACCACTTCATTGACTCTATCGGTCCATCAGGTCCATCTCCCACATCAGGCAGAAGCCCCTCAAGGGTGGGGCCCATCTCATCCAACCAGCATGGTTCCTTGTGGCCTACACACCCCTCAGCCCAACACCCCAAGCCCTTCACAATCTCCTCACTAGTTTCTCTAGAAGTACAATATGGGCATCCTGAGACCACACTACCTGGGCGTTCCCATTTCTGGGCTCATGTCCTCCCACTTTCCAGCTCCCTCCATTCAAAGAGGAGCAGCCATATTACTCCATCATGAAACCTCGTTCACAGACAGAGGCAGCTTTCCCTTCAGCTAATCTGTGATCGCCTTCTGTGCTTCTTTTTATTGTGATATTCACCATTAGAATGGGCTTCGTGTTTATATATGGCCATGCTTTTTCCTTTAGACTTAATGAGAGACTTTATGGGCAATACCTCTAGCAGAACCAGGACAGCACTCGATGCACTAGCCCATATGCTACAACTATTTCTTGAATTGAGACAACTTCCTCAATAAAATGGTATATTTTCTGATATTGGAGACACAAGAATGATCTTCCTAGCATTAAAGTCCCCCGTACTTAGAAGCACCATGCCAAAAGTGATTTAGGTATCTCCACAAATCATGTACCTTTGTAAATTACTATGGGGGAACTCATTTGAGTAATCATCCCACTCTTAGAGTGTAAGTTCAAAGATGCCACAGGTCATCGATAATATTTCAAATTAGTTTGAAATATTAAATTACTGTTAAAAAGATAATGGCCAATATTTCAAGAATCTAAACATTCAAATATATGTAATTTTAAATAGGGGTTACTATAGTTGAAGCTAGAAATACTTTCTTGAAAAATCCCATGGTGTATCCGAAATGAAATCAACTTGAAGATGCCATTTTATCAAATTCACAAATTAAAACATGATGAAACAAATATCGAATAGTCCCAATGCTGACTAAAACACAATACCAACCTCTCCCCAAGAATATCGCATAGAAAGAATTTTCAGGGTTTAAAAATGAGTGAAATAAGTATGATCTACTTTAAACCCCCCAAAGTTCAGTTATATCTAGGTAAACTTTTAGAAAGCACCCTTTTAACCTCTGTTATCTTAGAAACAGCTGAGCCCTGCTAATGTAGGCATTCCTTCAGAGGACAGTTGTTGCATCCATAGAAACAAGACAACTACAAGCAAAGGGAAGGGGCTGGCTTAGGGACTGAACTGCATCTACCCAAAGCCATAGGCTGAAGCACTAACCCCTAATATGACTATATTTGGAGAAAGGGTCTTTAAGGAGGTAGTTCAGGTTAAATGAGATCCTATTGGTGGGACTCTAATCCCATAGGACTGATGTCCTTATAAGAAGAGAAAGAAATATCAAAAAAAATCTATGGATCTCTCTCTGTGTATGTGGGTGTCTCTGCCTCACTCTCTCTCTTTCTCCCCTCCTCCTCCCCTTTTTCTTTTCTTTCTGTCTTTCTTTTTTTTTTTTGTCTGAGACAGGGTCTTGCTCTGTTACCCAGACTGGAGTACAGTGGCACCATCACAGCTCACTGTCTCAACCTCCCGGGATCAAGTGGTCTTTCCACCTCAGCCTCAGCCCCCCTAGTAGCTGGGACTACAAGCATATACCACCATACTAATTTTTGTATTTCTTGTTGAGACGGGGTTTCACCATGTTGCCCAGGCTAGTCTCAAATTCCTGAACTCAAGCAATTCACCTGCCTTGGCCTCCCAAAGTGCTAGAATTATAGACATGAGCTACCACGTCTGTCTTTCTCTCCTGCCTCCCTCCTTTTCTCCTTTTCCTTTATGTGCTTCCTTCCTCCCTCACTTACCCTCCCCTCTCTCCACACGCACAAAAGAAAGGCCATGTGAGGACACAGAGAGAAACCACCAACTGCAAGCCAAGGAAAGAAGCCTTACCAGAAACCAATCCTGCCTACACCTTGATCTTGAACTTTCAGCCTCCAGAGCTGTAAGAAAACAAATTCCTGCTGTTTAAACCACCCAGTCTGTGGTATGTTATGGTAGTCCAAACAGAATAACACAGCCTGTTTGATCACCTTAATTCAAGCTTGTTTCACATCTCATCAAAACTGATGATTGTCTTTCAGAAAAGAAATGAATTAATATGCAAAAATAATTGTAAATTAATTGCAAAATAATCAGTAAGTATTGCTAAGGAATACTTACGAGGGTCGTTGTAAACATAGATATTTATGTGATATGAAGACTCTTTGTTAGGATGTCAATGTCTTTTGCTTTATTGGAGAAATTAATTTGGAGGCACAAAGGGTTACTCTCTGAGGTCTAATATTCTGTGGATCAGCGGATCAAGTGCTGCTTTGGAGTAGATCATAGATACCTGACTTCAAATCTAATCTTTATATTTATCTGCTGTGTGACCAAAGACAATTTCCATAATTTCTTGAGCCTTGGTTTTTCTCATTTCTACAAGAAGGAGACAATTCTACCTCTCTCCACTGCTGGAAAGAATATGATATTGTATAGGAAGAAACTAGCAGAGGAATCATTATTATTTTTCAGGTTTTTTTAAGTATTTTGCAGGCTTCCAGGATGCCAGAATTTGTAGAAGCTCTTCTAGAAATAGATATTGCTGTGGGTATTCTCACTTCTCTATAAAGGTAATCAGAATATTGTTTTGATAGTAGGATCAAAAGATGAATTAAACTCCGGGCAGTACTTACTCAATGACAGATTATTACTATTAATATAAAGCATATTACTAGACATGAACACTGGACTCGAGACCAGAGTCTGCCACTTTTCAGGTAACTTAGGACAAGTTGTTTTATTTCTGGCTTCAAGTTCCTCCTATATAAAATGGGGACAACTATCCCTTCAACTTCACAGCTGTTCGTGGGATTCAAAGGCAATCAATAAAAGCGTTCTGAAGTTTTTCTAAAAAGAAATTAGAGCCTAACACAAAGGAATCATCAGGTTTTAATGGAATCTCATTCTATAGTGACTGAGGACATTGCACCATGTTCCAAGCAGTCAATATTTAAAGGAACAACATTGGGCCACGTGCTAGGCTGAAGTCCATGTCTAGTAACCAAAAGGAATTTGGTTCCTGCCTTGAAGGAGATTTCTATCAAGCAGGGCAGACAGATAATAAACACGCAAGAAAACTAATATATTCATTAATCCAAGATGTGAAGGGTCCTATTAGTGAAGAGATTGGGCAGCCATGAAAAAGAATACCTGGGGCAGGAGGACTGATTTAGACCAGGAGTCCAGGACACGTGGCAGGGTGAGGTTTATGCTGAGATGGGCAGGAAAGATGGAAGTGAGGCAGGGAGAGTGGAAAAGGCAGCCTAGGCAGGGGGAGGAGCTCATGCCACTGTCCTCAGACAAGCAGCGATCATGGCCACACCTTAGAGAGCAAAGGGGCGGAGACATTAGGAAGACACAGGAAGAGGGCTGGTTGAGGGAGAGACAGGGCCAGGAAGAGCACAGCACGTAAGAGATTCTTTATTTGAACCCCCATGCATGGGCAAATCTTATTAGAAATGTCTTGATAATTCTTCCTTTCTCTCAGAAAGAGTAATGTAATCCACCAATTTCACAAAAAGAAATGAAGGCAAGGCATTGGTTGGTGCTAAGAGAGAAACCTGATTAGGGTTTTACTCAATATTAGTTATTTCATTGTCCTATCAAATTTCTCTCATATTAATTGAGTCTGATAAGATTGTGTGATTATACTTCAGCCTCAAAATCCTAAGTTGTTTTTTGCTTCTGGTATTTTTCTGAAGTTTCCCTACATGGGCCATTCCTAAAACAATTTATATTTTATTCCTTCAATTTAAGTTACAATAATTATTTTAATTATACCCTACTTTTATTTTGTAGCCATATTTTGGTTTCTTTTTCTTTTATTTACCTTTATGGGAAGTACACTATTAGTTTACGAAAAAAAAAAATGGCAGGTTTCTATAACCACAACACAATAAAAATTTTAGCCATTTTTCAAGGACGGCAATTATAAAAGGAAACTTTACACTGTAGTTATACCAATAAAACCGTACAGGGTTTCTCAATAAAGTGCATCACAATTTGGAGTTACGAAGCTTTTAGGTTTTGATCATCACCACATTTCAACTTGTCGTCTCCTCTTTATTATTAATAATACCCCCTAAATTCCTTTCCTTCAGCCTTATCTGCTTTCATAATTCTCTATTCTCAGGGCTGGCAGGGAGGAAGGACGGCTGCTCTCACTAGGAGCACGCGAGCCATCTGTAATCATTCATCCCATAGGGGAATTTCGCACAGCAATTGGCTCTGTAAATCCCTTTCTTTTCAAGTTGTGAAGTGATGGATTCATTTTGTCATGCATCTTTCATTCGCTCATGTATACATAAAGATAAATTGTAGTTTACACCATTACATCAATATAGTAGTGCCATTTTTGAATGCTATTAAGAGTATTAGAGATGCTATTTCCACCAAATCCGTATGAAAAAAATACTGAGGCCAGGCACAGTGGCTTATGCCTTTAATCCCAGCACTTTGGGAGACCAAGTTGGGTGTATCACATGAGGTCAGGAGTTTGAGACCAGCCTGAACAACATGGTGAAAGCCTGCCTCTACTAAAAATACACAAATTAGCTGGGCCTGGTGGTGCACACCTGTAGTCATAGCTACTCGGGAGGCTGAGGCAGGAGAATCACTTGAACCTGGGAGGAGGAGGTTGCAGTGAGCCGAGACTGCACCACTGCATGCCAGCCTGGGCAACAGAGCAAGACTCCATCACAAAAAAAAAAAAAGGAAGGAAGGAAGGAAGAAGGAAGGAAGGAAAGGGAAGAGAAAAAATGCTGACAACAACAACACTAGTAAGATTATATATCTGCATTAATTCTTTTCTCTAGAACCTGAGGTGTGACTAGAGCAGTGAGTAATTAAGAATCAACTTGTTTCAGGGAGATGAGTGATGTTCACCTCTCTAGTACTCGAGTGAATCTTCCTAAGGTTGAGACAGATGCTTCCAACTTCCAAAAATCTCTGGCAGTGACCTTGTTGGGACACCAAGCCTCCCGTAGGTGCTCTCTCCTGGGAGACAGATCTGAGGAATAGATAATTTGACCTTGTGACTCATGTTTCCAGGCTGGTCAGAACCAACTGTACCTTGAGCTACCTGCAAACGGTCAATGGTGTCAACATAGCTTATCTTCTCTATGAGCCCCTAAAGTTCATGAAACTTTAAGGACTGAAAAAACGTGGGCATTTTAAGTAGCACTGGTTCTATAGATAATACAAAATTACCCAGAGAATACATTTGGTTTTGTCTTCTCATATAGAAATCTCTGTCCTCTGTACAGAATAACACAATTATAAGGAGGAAAAAAAACGTTGCTTTAAATCCCCTTTCTATAATGCTGCAAGGTTTATATAAGACATCTATACCATGGGGAAGGAAGAGTTGTTAGTAGACCTATTCCACAGATGAGGAAAATAAGGAGAAAAAATGGTGATTCCTCTGGGGTTCCAGAGCTCACACTTAGCAGAATCAGATTCCAGCCACCCGGTGGACTCCCAGTCTTGGTCTCTTTAACGTGAACGTCCTGACCACTCCATACTGCCTATGAGCCCATGGGCCACTATCCTTCCATGCCAGGAGCTAGTGCACATTCTGTGGACTAAGGGATAATGGATGCATGAAAATCATGCATGTATTACACGATATTCCTGTGGGCATTTTTTCCTATTGTTTGATTTCATATTGACCTGGCTGCATTTAAAAATAATTACATAAATAATAAAAATTAAAAAACTATCAACAGTGTATTTTCTTATTTTGGGTCACTGTGGATTAGCTTGCTGCAGACCAACTCTTCCACCAAGAACAATTAGAAAGGCCTTGAAAAATAAAAATAAATAACTTGTTTATGTGTGCCTTCAAAAAAAGGCTGCTTTTGTGATTTTCTTTCTGTATGTAGTTTCATCAGTTTTATTATGCTGACCTTGGTGTGTTTTTCTTTATACATAGTTGATTTAGGATTTATTGACTTTTAACCTGTGGTTTGATATCTGTCAATTGTTTAAAGTTTTAGGCCTTGATTCTTCAAATATTGATTCTCCTCCTCCTTTTTTTCTCCTCTTCTATTTTAGAGTGCCAGTTCCACATGTATCTTATCACCATGCCTCATATCTCTCTTAGGCTCCTATCTGTATTTTCAAGGAAAAGTCTTCTCAACAGAAACAAGAGAGGTCAGAAAACCTGAAAATGCAATATTCAGACTATTGAAAGAAAATAAATGTCACTTTAGATTTCTGTACACATGAAAAGCATCATTTATAAACAAAAACAAAATAAAAACATTTTCTAACAAGCAAAACCTGGTAGAATTTGTAACCAAAGGACACTTCCTAGAAAAAACAATATGATCCCAGAAGGAAGGATAAAGACAATGGGAATAATAAAAAGCAAAAAAAAAATGATAAATATGTAGGTAAACCTAAAGCATATATATAAAATAATAATGCATTTGCTTTGAAATATCTAGAGAATGAAATACAGGGCAACAAAGGTACAAGATATGAGAGGGAGGTAAGTAAATGCAGTTAAAAGGTCTGAAGATCATTAAAGGTAAATAAGAATTTACACCAGACTTCATAAATAATGGATTCATGTTGTAAACTCTAGGGTAACTACTCAAAATAGTAAGAAACTGTATACGTTAAAACTATTATTTTAGAAAAAAAGAGCAATAAAAATATTTAACAAAAAATAGTCAAAGAAAAGGAGAAATATAGAACTGATGTTAAAAATAAAAAAACTAATAAGAAAATGATACATTTTTAAGCACGAGTATATGTGATTACATTAAGTATAAACCAATTACATACTCTAAATGAAAAGCTTGGCAGACTGGATTTACAAAAATAAAAAAATGTAAAATATCTTGCAACCTTATTCTGAATCTGAAAAATATTCAGAAAAAGTCGTTTGAAAAATTTCTACCAATACTTTGACAAAACCCTTTGAAAATAGAAATACAACGAAATTTTATGTGTTAAAGATTTACTTCAAATAACTTAAAAAGGAAAACATACATAATAGGTAACTGATGAAACTTTGCCCTTAGATCAGGAATGATGTATGAAACAAGTTTTTCCTCAGTGTTGTTCTGGAGGTCCTAGCCAAGGCAATAATACAAGAAATTTAAATAAAACAGGCTTAAAGATTGGAAAGGAATAAATAAATCTGTCACTATTTGCAGAGATCACATTATATACTTATGCATATATTTATATACATTATGTATATATTATACATATACGTTAATATATATTATGCATATACTAGCAAAGTTTATGGATACACGGTTCTATTAGTCTGCTAGGGCTGCCATAACAAAATATCACAGACTGGGAGGCTTAAACTATTGAAATGTGCTGTCTCACAGTTCTGGAGGCAAAAGTCCAAGATGGAGGTGTCAGCTGAACTGGTTTCCCTAGAAATCTCTCTCCTTGGCTTGCAGATGGCCATCTGCCTGCTGCTACTTCACATGGCTGTCCCTCCATGAACACTTAATTCTGGGGTCTCTTTTGTGTCCAAATTTCCTCTTCGCATAAAGACATTAGTTCTATCAAATTAGAGTCTCATCCATATGACCTCATTTACCTTACTTACTCCTTTAAAGTCCCTAAATTCAAATACAGTTACATTCTGAGGTATTGAGGATCAAGACTCCAATATATGAATTTTAAGAAACACAATTCAGTCCATAACAAAGACCAATATACAAAAATCTATTATATCTCTGCATACAACAAACAATTAGAAAATAAAATTTTAAAAATATTGCTTATAATAATACAAAACCCTGAAATTGCAAGGAATAATTATAACAAGAGTTTTGTAAGGCCTCTGTGTAGAAAATTATTTAACATAATTAAGAGAAATTTAAGATGACAAATAAATGTATAGATATACCATGTAAATGAATTGAAATGCTTGATAGTTTAAAGATCTCTATTTTATTCAAATTGATATATGTAATCTCAATTAAAATTCCAGCAGGTCTCTATAGAGATTTAAATTATGAAGCAAAAATCCATTTGGAAATGCAAATAGCCAAGATAAGCTTGAAGAAGAATAGCAAAGTTGAAAGAATTTTTAGAAAGATGTCAACTGACAGAGATAAATAGAGCATGGACTATTATAGGATCTAGAAACAGACCCACACATAAATGGACATGTAATTTATTCCGAAGCTGGTACTGCAGTGTTGTAAAGAATATCATGATTTATTTATGATTTTGAATAAATTATAATAGCTAAAGTGGATATTCACAGTAAAAATAATATGTTGACCCCCACTTTATACAATGGACAAAAATCCCTTTGGAGTGAATTTTATATCTAATTCATAAAAGAACAATAAAGCTTCTAAAAGGTAATATACAAGAATATCTTTTAGCTTAAGAACAGGCAAAACTTTCCAAACAGAACACAAAAAAACTATAAAAGAAGATAGTGATAAATTACATTAAAATAATGAACAATTCAATATCAGAAAGTAGAAATGCAGATCAGAGTGAAAATGTGTTTTAATATGTATACCCAACAAAAAAAGCATATGCAGAATTCTTTTACATCTTACAAATAATAAGTGAAAGATAGATTAATGGATTAATATGAATTTAAATTTCCTTGGCACCTGAACCAAATAATAAACCAATCATTGTGACTGTTTCTAGTAAAATAAAAAGTGGAAGACACATGAAAGTTACAATACAATACTTCTGAAATATAAAGTCATGCTTTTATAAAGTTGTTCAGAAATGCAGCTCGTTTTTATTATCTTTCACTGTCTTTTTATTCATTATTTTTTACATTGAATTACATGAATCAAAAAAACTTTTCCAGTCATTTTCATTCTAAGGCAAAAGGAGGGTTGCTAAACCATAATAGTTTATTCTTTTGTTTAATTTTTGTTCATTATATTGCTGTGGTTTGAATATTTGTCTCCTCCAAAACCCCTGTTGAAATGTAATTTCCCATCTGGCAGTATAGAGAGGTGGGGGCTTTAAGTGATGATAGATCATAAGGGCTCATAAATTAATTAATTCATTGGGTTTTCGCGGGAATGGGATTGGGGGCTTTTTAAGAAGAGAGGCCGCGTGCGCCCCTCACCATGCACTTGGCCCCTTTTCTTTATAAACTACCCAGGTTCAGGTATTCCATAATAAGCAACAGCAAACAAAGACATATGTATTTCTTTTCGAAATCACTGTATATATCAAATTCTACCAGCTTGTTATAGAAATGGCAAATGGGAAAAACAATACGTAGTAGACAGATAGGCTACCTCATATTCAGAGGAAAGATTTTTTATATTTTCATTCACAATCATTTCTAAAATTCTGTAAATTAAAAAGATAGTATATTTTTACAATAAATATAGAAATGTTCAGGAGAAAAATATCTCTAGATTAAAACAAAGCAGAAAAGAAAGAGACTTCATTCTCTTCCAATCTACTAAAGTCTGCAAGCTATAATTAATTCATTTTCCTATTCTCTGCAATGATTATTTCAAATATTTTCACTTCTGAAAGCTGTGTATTTTTCAACAGAAGCCCCTGTTTCTAACTTCTTTGAGAGATTAGCCATTGATCTAGCTCCGATTTGCACTGCCATTCTACAAACTCACCTGCATTTCATTCACCATTTTCTCCTCTCCTGTTAACCAGGAGCAGGTGCCTCAGTTTTGTTTCAGCTCAGCTTCTCCCCAGGTACCATGGAACTCATCCATGCTACCTCTCAATCATTAGGCACCCCGGTCTATAAATTATCTCCTTTCTACTGTATATTTAATCTATCTTCTGTGTATACTCATCAGCATTAAAAATTGCTTTAAAATCTTCCATCTGGCCAGGCGCGGTGGTTCTCACGCCTACAATCCCAGCATTTTGGGAGGCCGAGGCGGACGGATCACCTGAGGTCAGGAGGTCAAGACCAGCCTGGCTAACATGGTGAAACCCCGTCTCTACTAAAAAATACATAAATTAGCCAGGCGTGGTGGTGGGCGCCTGTAATCCCAGCTACTCTGAGACAGGAGAATTGCTTGAACCCAGGAGGCGGAGTTTACAGTAAGCCGAGATCGCACCACTGCCCTCCAGCATGGGCGACAGAGCAAGACTCCATCTCAAAAACAAACAAACAAACAAACAAACAAAAAAACCAGCGCTCTATATCCCTGTCATTACTCATGTAACTCTTTCTCCCTACCAGAAACTTCCTTAAAACTGCTACTTTGCTCTCTCCATTTCCTCACCCCCACCTGCAACTCAGTCCTCACCTCACTCAAGTCTCTTCTACCCCAGCACGAAGTTGCAACCGCTCTCTTTAAGGCACCCAGTGATCCCCTGTGGCTACATCCAATCAATATCTCTACATCTTTCCCCGCAAAATGGATTCTACTCCTTCATCCGCGATGTCAACAAATAAATGACAACATGTTCTACTCCGTTGTTAATGTCAGAAACCAAGCAAGAGACAGCATGGGGCTGGAGCTCCGTAGAGAGTGGGGGTTCACCACCCAGTCCTTATGGAATTCTGCTGTGTTTACATGGGCGACAGATGATGTGGATTCAATGCCAAACAAAAGTTCAAAGCTTTTCAAAGTTTGTCAGCTGCCTAAACGTAAATGTGAGACTTGATATTTCTACTGGAAAAGGAACTTTCCACACTCCTCCGACATGACCAGAACCTTCCCGTTCCCTTCTCTCCTCAGAGCCCTGGGGAAATGCTGGATCCTGGCCCCACCCGACCCATCCAAACGTGGCCAAAGACCCTGGGGCTCGCCAGGACTCCTGAGAGTCTGAGGCTCCCACATGGAACGGCACAGGATGTCTCTGCCTTCTTTGCTGTTTAGTGGCCAGAGCCCGCCCTGTCCCAGGGTCCCTTGGCCTCACAGTTCACTGGGGTGAGGACTCCTCGTCTCACCTGGAGCGCCCCATGCCTGGATTTGCCCCGTCCCCAGCCAGGGTCCGCGAGGCTCCACCGTCCCCGCCTCGGGGGCTCCACCCAGGCTGGGCCCTGCGTAGCGCTGCCCGGGCCTCCCAGATCCACTCTCTCCAGGTGATGAGCCAAGGCCGACCTCATCTCAGGCTCCCTAGGCAGGTGCCCAGTCCTAGAGAAGGGCTGTCTGCAGGGCCACCGCCCTCGGGGGTCCTGTCCTGTGCTAGGTGGAAGGCAGAGGCACGGGACGTAGAAATTCCAGAGACTCCAGCTGCTCTGCCGGAAAATGGAATTGAAAACCTATTTTGAGTGGTCAAGAGAACCATCCGCCCATGATAGCTTTTTGTAGTGACGCAAATTATCCCCTCCAATTCCGGGTTAGGGGTGTGCAGAAGCAGGGGAGCCACCATCATATGCTCCAAATTCTCCTAACACTGGAGTGGACATATTAGGGGCTTTCTTCAAGTAAGAAGTTCAGGGGCACAGCCCGGGTGCTCAGCGAGCCGAGCTCCTTCTGACTTCTTTCCACTCTTGCAGGGTTATTCCAGCCGCAGGGTCACAGAGGCACAGTCCCTGCTAGAGAGAGAGCACCGGGTTTAACTGTAAGGAGGGACGTCTCCAGAGTCTTCAGTCCACATTTCACGAATCAATTAATAACTTAACACTTACAATGAACGTATGGATGGTATACATATTACTATATTAATTAATTATATATTATTTAATCTATTAATTAGGCAAATATATTGATATATTTAAAATAAGTTTATAATAATAATTGACCCTTATTAATAAATTACAAGTAAGGTCATTTGCTTTTTCTTTCTTTTTTTTTTTTTTTGAGACAGAGTCTCACCTGGAGTGCAGGGGCACCATCACAGCTCACTGCAGCCTAGATCTCCTTGGATCAAATGATTAGTCCACCTCAGCCTCCCAAGTAGCGGGGACTGCAGGCACACACGACCGCACCTGGCTCATTTTTAGTAGTAGTAGTAGTGGTAGGAGGAGGAGGAGGAGGAGAGAAGAAGTCTGACTGTATTGCCCAGGCTGGTCTGAAGTGATCCTACCACCTTGGCCACCCAAAGTGCTAGGATTACAGGACTGAGACACCGCGCGGCCCATTTGCTTTTAAATTGTTGGATAATGTAAAGAAAGCATGGAGAACTCCCACTGTTGAAAATTTTAACATTGCATGTTTCACTTCATTAGACACACAAATGCACTTCTAGATCCTTCTTCAGGAAGAACTCACTGGCCAGAGGCAGGGAGTGGGGTCAGCAGACACCAGGTCCAGTTCGCAGCCCTTCCAGGGTCAGCCTCAGCTGCAGTGAGCCACCCAGCCCATGGCCACCCCTTTTTTTGGTTGCCCATATCCAGAAGCTGAACAGGTGGGAAGCAAAGCCCTGAGCTTGCTGCAGGACGACTCTGCCATCAATTCCCCACCCCGGCTGCCCATCATGCAGGGAGGCTTGGTGACATCACACCTGGACCTTACCTCTGTCCAACCCTGCCTCCTCCCTTTCCCTTCACAGGTGGTAGCGCAAATGAACATCTTGCCCCTCAAACATCATCTCAGGGTCTGCACTCAGGAAAATCAACCTGAGACACAATAGCAGTATTGTTGTGCATTGTTTTCCATTTTTATTTTTCAGATAGTTTGGTAAAAGTCATTTTAAACAATGGACATAATTTAGAAAACTATGATCCATTTTTTAGAAACCTTTTACAAGAAACAATTCCAAAGTAATTATTGTATATCTGCTATAATTCTTTCATCATCTTTTTTTCTTTTTTTAGATGGTTTTTCACTCTGTTGTCCAGGCTGGCACGACCTCGGCTCACTGCAACCTCCACCTCCAGGGTACAAGCGATTCTCCTGCCTCAGCCTCTGGAGTAGCTGGGATTACAGGAATGAGGAGAGATGGCCTTGGTGGTCCTCCTTAGGTTGGCAACATCCAGATGCAATTGTTCACATACCAGCTTCTCATAGCGCTACCAAAAGTCTTCAACTCTTGTGGGTTTGTTTCATATCTTGAACTACTATTTTAAATAACTCTATTATTCAATGTCAAATCAAAAGCCATTAGTATTTGAATGGCTTTTCTTGGTGGGGACTTTTCTGTGTGTTTTTTTTTTAAGTTGCCTACTTTCACCCCTTCAGCTTTTAATTTTGCATGTCTTTTTTTTTTTTTTTTTTTCCCATGAACAGTAATTGGGCCTCTCATGCCAAGAACCAGGAAGAGGCACAAAATTCCTCACTGAGATACGGTGTGTTCTACTTCCATGACTTCCACACACCATTCTTAGAAATAGGAGGTGAGCATGAACAGAAGGAAAAGGAAAAATATCATTCATGTCTGACCTACATTGTTTGCAATAAGAGTAAAATTAGTCTCATCTGACAGTGAAATTATTGCATGATTCTTAAGATTGTAATAGTCTTTATAAATTTATCTTGATGATTTAAAATAACAAAATTAAATGTGCATAAAATATTATGTTAATATAGACCAACTCATTTATTTCTCATGAAATCTGATAGCCTAGTTCGGATTGCAGAGTTAGGTTGGCAGTTGGGCAAGTTATTTTCTCCAAGAGCAATTGCACAAATTTATAATTCAGGTAAAAGTGGCCTCCATTTCATGCTTCAATTATCAATGTTCACTGATCCTTGCAATTTTGCAATAACAGGGCAAAATAGAAAGTCATTTGCTCCAGCCATAGGACAGTAAAGAAAACTCCTAGGGTGCTAGTTCTTTCTAATAAGGGCATTTATACAAATTTTCTGGGGAAACTTTAATGCTATCTCTCCTCTTCAATTAAAAAAATGAATAAAGGAGAAAAAATTACTAATTTATTCTGACATTTTTCTATGTGCACTCCTAATGTCCAGTGATAGTAGAATATCAATGGAAAAGAAGAATGTGCATGTATATTTGTGTGTATGTTTGCATATACATGTGTGTGCCTGTGCATGTGTGTGTGTGTGTGTGTGTATCAGTTACTTTACTGTTATGCCCTTTAAAAGTGCCCATGGCCAAATTTTTGTTGGTGTCTTTTATGATGTTTGCTAAGATTCTTTGCATTTTATTTTCCCTTGCAATATTTTAGACTTGGTACCCATTAGGGTTTTCTTAAGCTGCAAGTAACACAAACTTGCAAAAGTGAATTATCCAAACCCCTTTTCCTTCAGATAAGTGAACACTAGAGGTATACAGCTATGGATAGAAAATGGAATTCCAAACTGTCCCCAGGGAACCAGCCCCTCTTGCTTTCTTGCTCTATGACTGTCAGGTGTGGCGCCATCCTCATGCTCACAGAATGGCAGTTTTACCTCTAGGCATTTGTATTCCAGACACATGAGAAGGAAAAGGGGCCAAAATAGTGGTCCAGCTCGATCTGTTTATTTTCTTATTTATTTAACTAGGGGAAAGTGTAAATGCAGTTCCCTACTGCCACAATTATGCAGTTGAGTTTATCACATTTGGGAAAATGACGGGTCAGCACATGTGGAGTGCAATGGATAAGCTTTGCCCTGGGAAAATCACCTTTGTGATCATGATGTCTCCCCTGCTAAGTGAGTGTGTTTCTTTTGATCTGAAAACAGCAGTTTTCCTAGGAGCATCACCCAAGAAAATTAAGATTCTCATTGGCCAGAACTATGTCAAAAGGTCACCACTGGATGAAAGGAAGCCTACAAAATTGAGACTTTTAGCTGGACATGTAGCTAACCAACCAACACAGGAGTGTCCTTAGAAATGAACGGAAAGTAGTGATAAATATTGAATTGACCAATCACAGTGTCTTCTACAGTTTTTCTGTGATTAGAATATGTTTTCTACATGGAAAACTTCTACATTTTTCTATGGTTGTTATATATTCATTTGTTACTTAATAATTGGCAATAGGTGATATGGTTTGGCTGTGTCCCCACCCAAATTTCATCTTGAATTGTTGCTCCCATAATCCTCATGTGTAGAAGGGAGGACCCAGTGGAAGGTAATTGAATCATGGGGGTGGGTTTTCCATGCTGTTCTTGTGATAGTGAATAAGCCTCACAAGATCAGATATTTTTATAAAGGGCAGTTCCCCTGCACACACACTCTTACCTGCCACCATGTAAGATGTGCCTTTGCTCCTCCTTCACCTTCCACCACGATTGTGAGGCCTCCCCAGACATGTGGAACTGTGAGTCCATTAAATCTCTTTTTCTTTATAAATTATCCAGTCTTGGGTATTTCTTCATAGCAGTATGAAAATGGACTAATACACTGGGTATGGGTTAAAGATACCCATAATATTGCAATTCATGATAGTTATGGTGCCAAGAGGAGGGAGCCACGATCCTCAGGGGAATCCTCAAACCCTGGCTGACCCCTGTGTGGAAGAGCCACAAGGTCCTCATATGAGCCCCCGGGAGGAGGTCCCATCTTCCCCCTGGGCTATTGCTGTGCTCACTGGGTATCATGGTATGAGAGTGAATGGGAGGAGGGCAGATGTGAACTGGGAGAGAAAGGGCACAAGTGTTGCAACTGAGGGGAAATGAAGCACAGAAACCACATTGAAAGTCTCTCCTTTGGTTGCAGTGAGCTGAGATCATGCTGCTGCACTCCAGCCTGGTGACAGAGTGAGACTCTGTCCAAAAAAAAAAAAAAAAGAAAAAAGAAAGTCCTTCCTTTGCACTGAGCTGGAGATAGAGCATCACTGTTCTCCTTGATGTGGTGTTTATCACAAAGAAGCACATCTTCCTGAAATCCTGTAATCAGAACAATGTCTAATTTCTCTATAGGACATTGATAATCCCAGAAAGACCATATGATGATTATTAAAAACACAAAAAATACCTCCACCATGTGCTGGATACTGAACTAGAGTACTGATCCTGCAGTAGGTGCTGTGTTGGGTTCGTTATCTACATTGTCTAACTTGACCCTTGTAAACCCTGTGACACAGGGATTATTGACCCTATTTTACATATTTACACCATGGACAAAGCAGGTCTCCAACTGACCAAGGGCCACTTGGTTGCAGCAAGAAGTGAGTTGTCCTAAGAATAATGCCCATCAGAAGTACAGGAGAGACAGAGATACCCACAGCATTTGAGCCCCTGGATCCAGCCATATCTGGAGCTAGAATTTTCTGTTCTATGATCCAGTGCATTCTCTTTTCCCATAAGCTAGTGTGAGCTTGGTTTGTCTGTCAAAGGATCCTTCTTTACATTCAACATGCATCTCCTTCTTCATGATTACTACATGGGCAACCAGCCATTCTGATTCATAAAATGCCTTCCCAGAGACCTGCTCCTCAAAGTGTTCATGGGCCCAACAAGCCATCCCCACTGTGGGGAAAAATAGGTCAAATGCAGCTAGTATAAAAAACAAAATGTGCATAAACACACCCACACACATCTTCCAGCCATCAGAGAACTCTCCCAGCCAAGTCTGCATGCTAATTTTTGAAGTCATGACTTGAAAAAACAAATGACTACTCATTTTAGATATAAAATAAATCTACTCACCATCCCTGCATGGTATTCCATCAGCTTTATCTTCCTATCAAATCAAAACAAATCTAGATTTTACAAGAACGTTCCAAGTTATATTACATTGTTTTGTTTTGGGGAAATAAACATTTTCAGTCTCTGAGGATACACATAATCTTTCTTCCACATGGCATTCCTGATATAATCAGGTGAGACTGCACCTATATTCTATCCCAGGAACAACTGTAGAGACGAAAATCTCAGAGCAAGCACTTTTTCCTTGGGCAGAGCTGAGAATCCTGCCTTCACCTCACTGTGATGTCCTCTCCCTCTTTGCTATCCACTGTGAGCATGAACTCAGCTTTCTCAGCATGTTCTTTCATGCAGTTGCTTGATGCAATCAACATATTTTCTCTCTAAAACGTCCCTTTAGAAACTCCAATAACTCCTGGAATTCCCTAACCTGGCACAATTTTATGTTAGCAAGAAAATCACTTGCCTTGTAGGTATAGCACATATTCCATATTCCATACACATATAATAGCAGGTCTTAGGTCTCAGGAAGGTAATTTAGCAGCATAAGTTGAGGCTAAGTGGATTTATATGTATATAAATTGATGCTGAGTTCTTTTATCCCATGGCTACTTTTCCAATATTATTCTCCTGTCACAGAACCTTAAATCCAATGAAATGTGTCCCGTCTCCTCTCCTTTCCGCATCTATGTTTATGATCATATGAAAAGAAACACACAGCTTTGGTTTTCTTTAAGTATTGAAAGTATATCACTGTCTTTCATGATGACTAAAATATATCACTTATTTTCCTTCTAACCAGAATCTCCTCTGTTAGGACTTCGCATGTCAAGGTTAAAATTAACAGCAGATTTTCAGGCTACTTGTAATGAGTTCTGTGCCATACTACGCATTGTTAAGAGCAGCAATTTAATTAAGTTACTGTAATAAATTATCACCATTCCATTGACACTATTGAAACCACATTCAGTGATTTTTTGTTTTTGTTTTCTGTTGCTTTCCTCTCAACTTGGGGTAGAAGAGTTTTGTGTAACAAATTATTATATCATGACCAAATTGTGTTTTTTTCCCATAAGGGGTTTTATGCATTATGGCTAGTCAGAGGTCAGAGATCTGTTCTTAACAGATTTTGGTTGCTTTTAAGTTGAGAGGACAAAGGGGAAACATATATTCAGAGGGAAAAGTGTCAGACTATGGGGCATTGTCTGGATTTGTGAATTTGTGCTTTATCTAGATATGGCCACTGAGAAGTCTCTGTGAGCCCCAAGTGAGCATTTATGGGTGGGGAAACCACAAATTCTTCTAAGAATTGTGACCATGAAGATGTAATTATTGGGGGTTCGGCAGTTATTGTAAAAGCAAATAGGATCCAAGAGATTGATAAGGCATAGAAAAATGTCTTCATATGAGAGAGAAAAGACTAAAAGGAAAATCCTCAGAAATCTAGACATGAATAGCACAAATTCAATACCCATTAAAAATACTAGAATGAATCATCAAAGATTCCATTTATATACACTTCCACAACCACAGGGGACTAAGCCAAGAAATCCACCAGGCTTTGTGAAGAGTCTATTCAAGAGCCCAAACCAATTTCACCCAGTGTATTGTGACACGTTGGAAGGATCGGGGAAGGAAGACAGAGGACCCAGCCTGTTGTGAAAGGCACTGTCCCTTCCTGTGGCTCTCTCGGACAAGTTAGAAAGTTTGCCCTTCGGGATCTTAGAAGACAAAAAACCAATACATTGGTTTGTAAAGTTAACTAACACTACAGATCAGTAAAATGGAATGTAAGCCAGGCATAACTCCCATCAATGATTTACTAAGAAAATCATTCGGCGAAATAGGATGAATTTGAGGCTATCAATGATTCCGTTAAAACTAAGAAAAAGAGAAACATAAATTAAGCTGTATAAATTTAGCCTGAGTCTCTGCAGACATATTACTTGATGATTCATTGATTTTATATTTAATCAAATTATTGCGTTGTTTATGTGATTCACAATCTTTATTGAATGATGCTTTGGAAATAAACAAAAGCCAACCAAATGAGAACAAGCCAAGGCTGTTATTCTTTACTTGCTAGAGCAAGAAAGTCAGCCACTGTTACTTGCGTTTGGCAAACTCAAAGTCAAGCAGAGGAGTGGGAGAGCTTCACAGTGGGAAAAGGGAAGGCCTCGAGAATGTCCTGATTAGAGGCTGTTGGCCTGGGGAAGCTGCAGGAATCCAGGCACTCAGTTGGTTAGGGGTGCATATTTGGCTCTCTCTGATTGATCCTAAATTGGAAGTGGGGACACAAATTTCAAAAGCTGTCAGTTATTAGTCAAGTTCTGGTCATTTGGGGTCAGTTGTTGCAGGGAATATTGTTTGTTTTGCTGGATTGTTTGCCCAGAGATCTTGGTCTGACATCCTACAAGTCTGGCATGGCTAGATAACAGGTGAGTTTACTGGGCTGGTTGATGCAGATCCTGGGTCACAGTTCTATTTTTATAGATGATCTGACCATTGTCCCTTGGTGTATTCAATCTTTTACTTCCCTATGACCAACACTGACATGTACCATCCATTATTTCATTTAATCTCATTTAATCCCAAAATGAAGCTTTGAGAATTCCTGTTTTACAGAGGAAGAAATCAAGCTTGATCAGTTCATGTGCATGTCCAATGCACACCAAACGAGTGCTAGGGCTGGTCATCAGAGTCCAATGATCTGATCCCCAAAGCCTAAGTTCTGGACAGGCACGTGTTCCTGTGTCCCAAATTCTCCCTGGTGAGGCTGCTGATAACTGTGGTATTTGGAAGTGAAGAGGCAACTTGACACCTGTTTGTCTCCATGGTTTATGTTTCCAATTCCATTGGAGATTTTAAGCACATTGTTTCAGAAAATTCTCACTCTAAGTGTGGCTTTCTCACCAGGAGTTTAAATTAACTTCTATAGTAGAGGATAAAGCTAAAAGTCCATCAGGCCAGGAAAGTAACCTGGATATGTGAGTCTCCTTGAGTAGAAGGCCATCCATACGTGGGAGGAGTTTGTATCTGCCTAAAGGAAGAATGTTCCCATCCCCACTCCTGGCTTTCTAATTAATTTTACCAACACTGCACTGAAAAAAAAAAAACTTCTGGGCAGGAGCTTGTGACTCCAGTTCAAATTTCTGCAATAAAATCAAGCAAGAAATATGCTAAATTAAAAGTTGGATCAAAAGTGCAATTGGTTAAGAAGAATTTGAAGAATTCTTAATGTACCTTCTGGATACATAAATTTTAAATTCATATCCTTTACAAATAAAATAATTTCACCCGTATCTCAAAATAATAACAGCTATGTATGACAAACCCACAGCCAATATCATACTCAATGGGCAAAAACTGGAAGCATTCCCTTTGAAAACTGGCACAAGACAGGGATGCCCTCTCTCACCACTCCTATTCAACATAGTGTTGGAAGTTCTGGCCAGGGCAATCAGGCAGGAGAAAGAAATAAAGGGCATTCATTTAGGAAAAGAGGAAGTCAAATTGTCCCTGTTTGCAGATGACATGATTTTATATTTAGAAAACCCCATCATCTCAGACCAAAATCTCCTTAAGCTGATAAGCAACTTCAGCAAAGTCTCAGGATACAAAATCGATGTGCAAAAATCACAAGTATTCCTATACACCAACAACAGACAAACAGAGAGCCAAATCATGAGTGAACTCCCATTCACAATTGCTTCAAAGAGAATCAAATACCTAGGAATCCAACTTACAAGGGATGTGAAGGACCTCTTCAAGGAGAACTACAAATCACTGCTCAACAAAATAAAAGAGGACACAACCAAACGGAAGAAAATTCCATGCTCGTGGATAGGAAGAATCAATATCGTGAAAATGGCCATACTGCCCAAGGTAATTTATAGATTCAATGCCATCCCCATCAAGCTACCAATGACTTTCTTCACAGAATTGGAAAAAAACTACTTTAAAGTTCATATGGAACCAAAAAAGAGCCCACATTGCCAAGTCAATACTAAGCCAAAGGAACAAAGCTGGAGGCATCATGCTACCTGACTTCAAACTATACTACGAGGCTACAGTAGCCAAAACAGCATGGTACTGATACCAAAACGGAGATATAGACCAATGGAACAGAACAGAGCCCTCAGAAATAATACCACACATCTACAACCATCTGATCTTTGACAAACCTGACAAAAACAAGAAATAGGAAAAGGATTCCCTATTTAATAAATGGTGCTGGGAAAACTGGCTAGCCATATGTAGAAAGCTGAAACTAGATCCCTTCTTTACACCTTATACAAAAATTAATTCAAGATGGATTAAAGACTTACATGTTAGACCTAAAACCATAAAAACCCTGGAAGAAAACCTGGGCAATACCATTCAGGACATAGGCATGGGCAAGGACTTCATGACTAAAACACCAAAAGCAATGGTAACAAAAGCCAAATAGACAAATGGGATCTAATTAAGCTAAAGAGCTTCTGCACAGCAAAAGAAACTACCATCAGAGTGAACAGGCAACCTACAGAATGGGAGAAAATTTTCACAATCTACCCATCTGACAAAGGGCTAACATACAGAATCTACAAGGAACTTAAACAAATTTACAAAAAAAAATCAAACAACCCCATCAAAAAGTGGGCAAAGGATTTGAACAGACACTTTTCAAAAGAAGACATTTATGCAGCCAACAGACACATGAAAAAATACTCATCATCACTGGCCATCAGAGAAATGCAAATCAAAACCACAATGAGATACCATCTCACACCAGTTAGAATGGCAATCATTAAAAAGTCAGGAAACAACAGGTCCTGGAGAGGATGTAGAGAAATAGGAACACTTTTACACTGTTGGTGGGAGTGTAAACTAGTTCAACCATTGTGGAAGACAATGTGGCAATTCCTCAAGGATCTAGAACTAGAAATACCATTTGACCCAGCCATCCCATTACTGGGAATGTACCCAAAGGATTATAAATCACACTGCTGTAAAGACACATGCACATGTATGTTTATTGTGGAACTATTCACAATAGCAAAGACTTGGAACCAACCCAAATGTCTATCAATGATGGACTGGATTAAGAAAATGTGGCACATATACACTATGGAATACTATGCAGCCATAAAAAAGGATGGGTTCATGTCCTTTTTAGGGACATGGATGAAGTTGGAAACCATCGTTCTGAGCAAACTATTGCAAGGACAGAAAACCAAACACCACGTGTTCTCACTCATAGGTGGGAATTGAACAATGAGAACACTTGGACACAGGGTGGGGAACATCATACAGTGGGGCCTGTCATGGGGTGGGGGAAGGGAGGAAGGACAGCATTAGGAGATATGCCTAATGTAAATGACGAGTTAATGGGTGCAGCACACCAACATGGCACATGTATACACATGTAACAAACCTGCACGTTGTGCACATGTACCCTAGAACTTAACGTATAATAAAAAAAAATTTTGAATGAAATATCATAATTGAAAAATCATTGAAAACAGTAGTACAATAAAAATTGAAGAGTATCAAAATTCTAATTAAATGCACTTCTGAAGTTTGTTACTACCATAGGATTCTACCTTTTCAAAGGTGAAAGTGCTCCATTGTATGCTACTGCGGTGGGTCTGTAGTTGTATTAGGCCGTTATTGCGTTGCCATGAAGAAATACCTGAGATGAGGTGGCTTAGAAAGGGAAGAGGTTTAATTGGCCCACAGTTCAGCAGACAGTACAAGAAGCTGGGTGCAGACCTCTGCTTCCGGTGAGGGCTTCAGGAAGCTTACAATCATGGCCGAACGCAAAGGGGGAGCAGGTATTTCACACGGTGAGAGCTGGAGCAAGAGAGAGTTGGGGGAGGTGCTGCACACTTTAAAACAACCAGATCTTGCATGAACTCATTCAGCACCAAGAGGATGGTGCTAAGCCACTCAGGAGAAATCCATTCCCATGACCCAATCACCTCCTACCAGACCCAACCTCCAACGCTGGGGAATATATTTGAATATAAGATTGGGAGGAGACAAATATCCAAACCATATCAGTTGTCACTACCAAACGAAAAATTAGAGATGCCAAAATGGAATTTTTAACTTATGCAAACTATTTAAACATTGGATTCCATTTTTCTATGTGTTTACATAACAAAATTTAAAAATAATTTTCCTTTACTTAAATTGTAAAATATTCTGGGCTCCATCAAATATGTCTGAGTGTTATATTTAACAGTGTTGGGGAATATGAAGCTGCAATGTAAATGCAGATCCACAGCTGGGAAGTCCAATGGTCTCCAGGTTGCTCCCATGGCAGCTACCCCTGGGAATCACTAGGGATACTAGATTCAATTTGAATTCTGTTACCTATGCTTTAGATCATTTTTTAATGTTATGGTAAAGACATTAATGTATATCAATTGTCCCCAGTAAATGCTAGGAGAGACCTTTTTTTAAGTAGGATTGTGTAAGACTCAAGCTTTCATCCTCATTAGTCCAGGAAATAAATGAGAGCTGTGTTGCTGGGAGAAATTCTTGTTAGCTTTGCAGAGAAAAAAAATCACAGGAAGGTGGACAAGAGGTCAATACAGATTCCAGCACCCCAGAAGGCCATAACATGGCAAAGGTAAGACATGAATGAAATGAAAATGTTAGCACCTACACGGAGTTAGGGTCCACCAACCATAACTCTTCCAGGAAGGAGATAAATATGCTGGATTTGAGAACCCCTGCCTGCTTCAGTGGAGGGTGAGAGAAAAGAAATAAAAGTGTACATCAACAATAGGATGATCACGTGTCATATTTCCCCTTGATTTTCTCAGTTTATGTGAATTGTCCTGGCATAATTATCACTAGTGCCAAAAGTGTCCTGGTTTAGGCAATAAGCTATATATTTAACAACTAGGGGTTCATTCTATTCTTAATGCCTGACCAGCTTGCATTCATCTGTGTTTCCTAGTGTCTCTCCACTGAAGTGTAATGGATGGAGGTGGGGAAATGCCATCCTAACATGAAGCAGAAATTTAAAAATACCTCCGAGAGAGAAAAAAAAAAAAATGTAGACACTTGTTGCTTAGCACAAATCCAGAAACCTGACTACTTCAATTCTGAGCTGAGATCGCACCACTGCACTCCAGCCCGGGCAACAGTGTAAGTTTCCATCTCAAAAAAATAAAAATAAAGAAATTTTAAAAAAAAGAAGAGGAAGTGAAAAGATGCAAAAATACTTAGCTAAAACCATGAGATTCTCTTGCCTAGAACTGCTGGATGAAGCCCTCTGCCTCAGAGTGTTCACATCACTTACTTCTAGTTTTCAAAGATCCACTATTGAAGAGTCCCATCTCAAGGCCTCATCTGTTAATGCATTACCCTTTACTATCAGCAGTGGAGGAGAGCAGAACCATGCCTGGATGGAAAAGGAGAGAGAAGGGGTTCTGCTTCCCTGGTTAAGTAAGCTTGCTTTGAACCTGGCTGGGCCTGATGATATGTGGCATTTGCAGAGCTGCTGGAGAAGAACTCATGAGTGATCGTGATTCTGCAGCTCATTTACTAAGCCTCACTGAAAAAGACTTTGAAGGCAATTAAACTTAATCTCATCATCTAAAAATTAGTCCCAGCGAAGTTCAAGGTTGCATACAGTCATATTGCTAGTTTTGGTTATGGGACTGGACCACTAGAACAGTAATTTTTGCTCTTCAGCAATCTTCTATCTATTCTTTTATTTATTTTGGATACATGTTTCAGTGCATGTCTACAACGTGCCAACAACTAATTTGGGATCTGAGTATTAACATAAACAAGAAAAATTAAATCTCTGCCCTCAATCTGCTCTTTACATTCTGTCTCCAAAGGTGCTCTTCTTGAATTAGAGTACTAAAAAGTGACTGTTAGACCCTTATCTCTTGAAGATTTTTAAGCATAATTCTAAAATTATTTTTATAAAGGCTATTTGTTAATTTTTCTAACATGATATTTTCTCCCCCTGATTAATCCATAAGATCTTAAATAAAGCTAGACGTTTCCATAGGAAAAATAGCTGCCGCTTAACCCTTTCCTATAACCTGCTGCCTGGCATCATTCCCTTTCCTGTATGATGCTTCGAGCAGTTGTTGGCCTATGTATTTTCTCTCTCATGAAGTAATTTTAATAAATATCACAAAGTATACTGTTTGAAGTGGTCTTTATTTCAGAGTAAAACATACAACATCTCTAGTGTAACTTCTTCCTGTTGCTTTGTGGGCAGCATAAGAAATTAAATTCTTGAACAAAACATAACTTCTTTTTGAAATTCCTTTAATGCTAATATTTATGGTGATTTATGAAAATTTACCTTTTAAATTTAAAAACATAAGATTCTAAATGCTTTCATGATTATTTTTCTTCTCTTTGTTGAAACTTGGTTATTTATGTAAAGGACATCTGTCATTTCTGCAGTCCACCATCCATCACCCCTTATTTTAGCAATGGCTTAAAGGACCTCTTCCTTCATTGTATCTATGTGAACCAAACCATATCAATCATCTCACTTACTCTGTAATGAAACCCTTAAGCAGAGGGGCATGCAAGACCAGCACATCACAGAGAAATCCTTCAAAATGCTGAACCTGCCAATTTAGTTTCCTTGTTCATCTCATTATCTAAATCATAGCCTTCTAAAATCTTCCTTTATCCTTGATTTAATCAAGTTAATTTATATTTTTTGAAACTGAAAAAGCTTAGTTATCCTAAAATTTCTATTTCTTCTCTTAAACATTATTACTTAAAGTCAATGCGAATATGACTTATAAATGTGTCAGCTTGAATTGAATGAAATGAAGGCATTTAAAATAGGTGAATTTACCTCTGTAACTCAGTAGGTATAAAGAGGAAAATTCTTTGCAATTCTGCTGTATAAAAATGATCACTTGTTTATGGGCAAAACACTGCACAAATGTTGAATATTTTATAAAGTTCTTTACTGCTTCCCCAGCTAAAACAAAACTTTTAGGGATGAATTAAGTAACAAAAGTGGTGAGATTCCTCAAAATATCTATGCAGTTGCCACTGTTACTACTGCTGCTAAAATGCTGTTAACTAAATTAGACCATTTATTCATCATCTGCCGCATACTCAGTATTACTCTAAGTTCTCTGAGGGTACAAAATTGAACACTTGGCCCACAGGCTCAAGGAATTTTCACCAAGTAAAGGGGAGAAATAGTATAAAACAGAGACATTAATTTTTGTTTTCATGTTGGAAAGAACATTTTGACAAGTAAAAATGTAAATTGGTTTTTATATGTAGGACACAATTAGGACAGATGGAGCAGGCAATATTTGGAACGACTGAGTCTAAGAAAGAAGAAATTGAGGTTTAATGAGTCCAACTGCACATCATCATGATGTTGCATAATTTTTGACAAACTTATGCATACAGATTGACAATATCCCTGTGGCATATTTCATTAGCATGATAAAATTTAAATAACAAAATATTAGTTGTATTGTTTCAGATCACATAGCTACATAGAGAGAGAAATGAGACAATTTCTTAGACCCCGGTTAAAAATTATATTCTTAAATTATGCCATGTTTCTCAAGCTTGAATACTGTTTGAACATGTTTTGAAGAATAAAACAGTAATTCCCAAAATGAACCAAATATCCTTATTACTGTATTTATATAAATGATGGTAGCAGTATGCTACAACAAAGCCATACACAGATTTGCATTATTGTGCTTCAATATCCATATGTGAGATAGCATTGTTTTATTCCTTCCAAACTATAAAACTGGATTGCCACCATTTAAGGCTTTACTTCTTTCACTGTGCACTTTAGCTGGAGAAGAGTTTTACTAACATCATTTTGCTGATTCTTCCAGTCTTTTCATTCTGCATGTATTCATAAAATAAAAAGAGCAAGAACTCTCTTTCCCAGTTTAATCAACCATAGAAAATACTCTTCAAGTTCTCTCCAAAAAGCCATTCCCTTCCCTGTCTGACAACTCACCACCCAGTCATCAGATCTGATAAGATTAGACTTCAGATCAGAAGGGCACCCAGAAGCCCCTGTGAAGTGCCCTCTTAGTGAACGCACTCTGTACACATAGAAAAGACAGAGATATGTATATATTATGCCAAGAACAGAACATGCTCTACTCTGTGCTCAGAGTTTCAGCTAGAAATGGTGTGCTTTGTCTATCTCAGAGGCAAGCAGAGGCCCCTGCATGGCAGGAACTTGGCACCCTCAAGAGCTGGCTCTGATGTTAGACCTGAGAGACCCACTCTCCAGGGAGCAGAACAGGAATCTGGCTTACCCTTCACCCAAACTTTCATTTTTGCTAGAGAATAACACAAGTATATTCATTCGATTCCTACTTTTACTTAATCTTTTCCTTAAGCGATGTTCATGAATGTGTTTTCACTATGTAATTCTATGTCAATAAATTGTAGCTATTTCCCTATACTTGGAATTTTCAACATATTTTTTATCAATATTTGCTTTATTTATTAGAGTTGCTGATATAGGGAAAGTAATTTCTCATATGCATATTCGCATGTCCCCCCAATCCTATGCGTTAACAAGCCTCTACTTTTCTGTGTCAGCTGCAGGAGCACAGCTATTTTATTCTCACTTCAGTGAGGCTCCACTACCACCCACACAATGTCCTCCCTTTAGAAGCGAGTAACTCTGCACATTCCTGACACAACCCTAAGTTATTTCAGTGTTGACCCAAAATTAGCAGTTCCATTAAAAATTAACTCTGACCTGCTGCTTCTTATTCAGTTTATTTGAAGGCAGTATTGTGTATACATTCTACAATCATATAAAAACATATTTACATGGTCTTCCTCTTGCTGTCATAACAAACATCCACAAACTTAGTGGCTAAAAGTAGCACCAATTTATTATCTTACAGTTTCAAGAGTCAGACGTCTAACATGGGTCCCACTGGACTAAAGTCAAAATCTCAACAGGGCTTCCCTCCTTCTGGAGGCTCAGGAGAGGAGCTAGCCCTTGCCTTTTCCAGCTTCTAAAGGCCACCTGCATTCCTTGGCTTCTGGTCTCTTCCATCTTTGAAGACAACATTGCAACATCTTCAAATCTCTAATTCTGCCTTCTTCTTCCACCTCCCTCTTCCACATTTAATGTCCCCTGTAATTTCACTGGACCCCACCTCCAAGCAACACAGGACTATCTCCTTATTTTAAGAGCAGCTGATGACCGAACTTCATTCCCTCTGCAACCTTAATTCCCCTTTGCCACAGAGTACAGCATAACCTCAGGATCTGAGGATTAAGACGTGGACATCTTTGGGGGCCATTATTCTGTCCACCACAATCTTAGTTGCTGCCTTTGGCTCTTCTTATTTCTGTGTGCAAATTAATGTGATCCGAGTCACTGTTCAATTTCATCATTATGTTCTTTTGCATGCAACCAAGTTTACCAAATAAATGTTTCTTTTCAATAGTAACGACAAATTGCTATAACTGTTGTTATTTGTAAGCTGCTTCTCATGACACACCTTTCAGTGTTTCCATTAGACTCAGATTTCTCACACACTCACCGACTTCATGTTTCATGTAGATTACATTTTCCCATGTCAGCAGACAAGCACGCATTTCATAGACAATAACATGAGACACAGAGAAGACTTCAGGGGTAAAGTTTAGTGCTGTGTTAAAATGATGGTTCTTATGGGTTCTTCTAAGTCCAATTTAACTTCACTGTACCATGATTTACTGGAAACAGTGATATGTAATAGAACAAGATCTGGCTGAACACCCTGAGTGTCTAATCAGGCCGATAAGGATGGATGCCCTTGGTGTTGAGGAAATCTGAACAGTAATTCCCCAAAATGTGTGATGAAAAGCTTTCTTTAACATCTAATAGTGTCCTTCCTTTTGTGCATAGTTACGTTGTTCTCTTCACTATAGGAAAAGCATGACTTTTTTCCTAAGCAATACCGTAAGTGCTGCCTACTTCATTGTTGTGGAGTTCTACCTTCCTTGGCAGATGAGTTAACAGGTTTTCCAGCCCTCTGAATTTTCATATCTGCTTTCTATTACCCATTTTCTTTTCCTTTAATTTAACAAAAATCCAGAGATTTAAAATTCCATAATGAAATACCACCTTATCTACAGAAGTCACAACACTGTTCACCATGGTGCCATCACTGGCTGAATTTGATCCTCTGTGTCAGCAATATGCTGAGTTACAGTTGTCACAAAACGCCAATGCACATTTTATGCACATGTAAGTTATGTGGGGTTAGGAATTTTTATAACACTATTTCAATATATGGCATGATTGATTATTAAAAGTGGAAAAGATTAACATTCTCTTGGTATTTATTCATTCACTTATTTATTTATTATTTATTTTTAACATCAGAAATAAAAGCACAGACCTTTTTACATGGGATGGACATAAGAATAAATAAAACAAAGTCTCTCTGTAAATAAAGAAAAGTCTAAAAGAGGAAATATTAGACCTTAAATTTTGGGAAAAAGACATCCACAGGCTAAAGCTGCCTCTTTTCAGTTAGCTCTTTCATTTCATAAATTCTGCAGGACCACAAAATGTGGTCCTTCAATCAAACATGACGGGTATTCCCAGTGGAAATGGGGTAAAGATCATTGTGGTAGGGAGGCCAAGAAAGATTAATTTACGTTTGAAGGTGACCAAGGTCAAAGGTATTGTTTTAAAATCCAACGTTAAATAACATCACTTTTGTAAACTTTCATAAAGTTTTTCAATCTCTTAAATCAAAGTATGATTAATTCCTTAATGTTTGATTTACTTCAATAGCTTCTAATGCATAGGCTGACACTGTACTCATTATATGAGGAATGTCTACATATTAAGTGAAGCAATGACTATCTGGTGAGTGCAAAAGTAGTTGCAGTTTTTGCATTGTTGGAATTCGCCGTTTGATACTGGAATACATTCTTAAATAAATGTGGTTATGTTACACATTATTTTAATGTGCATTTCTCACTTTATTTTTTTAATAATGGCTTATTACACTTGTTGTTTATTTTATGTTTATTTTAGACTATGGGAACAATGTTAGACAAAAAGCAAATTTGAGCGATTTTCTTATTCAAGTTCATAATGGGTCATAAAGCAGCAGAGACAACTCGCAACAACAACACCACATTTGGCCCAGGAACTGCTAATGAACGTACAGTGCAGTGGTGGTTCAAGAAGTTTTGCAAAGGAGATGAGAACCTTGAAGATGAGGAGCGTAGGGGCCAAAGTTGACAATGACCAATTGAGAGCAATCATCGAAGCTGATCCTCTTACAACTACACAAGAAGTTGCCGAAGAACTCAACATCAACCACTCTATGGTTGTTTGGCATTTGAAGCAAATTGGAAAGGTGAAAAAGCTCAATAAGTGGGTGACTCATGAGCTGAGTGAAAATTAAAAATAAAATCGTTTTGAAATGTCGTCCTCTTATTTCACTCAACAACAAGGAGCCATTTCTCAATGAGATTGTGATGGGCAATGAAAAGTGAATTTTATATGACAACCAGGCATGACCAGCTCAGTGGCTGGACAGAAGCACTTCCCAAAGTCAAACTTGCACCAGAAAAAGGTCATGATAACTGTTTGGTGGTCTGCTGCCGGTCTGATCCACTACAGCTTTCTGAATCCCGGGAAAACCATTACATCTGGGCAGTATGCTCAGCAAACCAATAAGATGCTCCAAAAACTGCAAGCCCTACAGCCAGCATCGGTCAACAGAAAGGGCCCAATTCTTCTCCACAACAATGCCCAACTGCACATGACACCACCAATGCTTCAAAAGTTGAACAAATTGGGCTATGAAGTGTTGCCTCATCCACAATATTCACTTCACCTCTTGCCAACCACCACTTCTTCAAGCATCTTGACGATTTTTTGCAGGTTGTGGAAAATGCTTCCACAACCAGCAGGATGCAGAAAATGCTTTCCAAGAGTTTGTGGAATCCCAAAGCACAGATTTTTATGCTACAGGAATAAACAAACATTTCTTACTGGCAAAAATGTGTTGACTGTAATGGTTCCAATTTTGATTAATAAAGATGCGTTTGAGCCTAGTTATAATGATATAAAATTCACGATCCAAAACTGCAATTACTTTCACACCAACCAATAGAATTGTGATGGGCATCCATGTTTGAAATCATTATCCACAGGTGGAACTTCCCTCCCATACCTGAGTTGCAGGAGAGCACATGGTATGACATTAGCTCCTTCTAATACGCAACTTACACCGCTTTGCAGAAATCAAAAGATGTGACATAAGATCTTCCTTCTACACCTGCCATGGGAAGCTGGCTGCCTATTCTGAATTAGATTGTTACCTTTCACCACTCTTTTGGAACTTACCAAATGTCTCCCTTGTGTTCTTACATAAACACACAATAAATTATGAACTCCTGGAGAACAAAATCTGTGATTATCGTTGAATCCCAAATAGCTCCCACGATAATGCTTTGCCCATGGTAGAGCCTCCACAGTGGCTTCTGAATATGAAAGGGTCAGTTCCAGGATTTTCACTGATGCTTTTAATCACCATCCCTTTCCTCAGCAGGGCAATAGCAGCTCATGAACAGTTCCTTTGTACTGAAGAGATAAAATTCTTCCAGAACATGGGGGAAACGATCTTAGTTTTAGTTGTCATAACACACAATTGTGCACTGTGGACCTGCTTTCTGCTTTGTTGATAAAATACACTTGGTACAGCCCACTAGGTTTTATTGATGGCATCTCTTTATTTCAGTACTCCTGGTGCACTCTCTCTCTGTCTCTCTCCACATATACAGACAGAGATATAAATGTGTGTGTATCTATATCTGTGTGTGTGTATATATATATATATATACATATAACCTCAAACCAACATATCTGTGTGTGTATATATACACACAGATATATATATCCTCAAATATATACATATGAGGTAACATATATAACTCAAACCAACATCAAGTGCAGCAGCACTCCATGAACCTGGACGTAACCCAAGGAGATGAGTAAACTGATACCTGTCCTTAATTCAACCAGAAGATGGGTCTTGTCTGCAGGCAGCAGGTATAAAATTGAAGACAGTACCAAGCATGGGTCATGGTGAATGGGTTTCTGCAGCTTCGCACAGCTCAGAGAACTTCATTCCCTTTGCATAGCTGAGAGGGGGTTCAGGGACCTAAGTGACACTGGCGGGAGGCAGTCCACATGGACCCTCACACACACAGAATGCTCCAACGTGTGTGGGGACAAAAGCCCACTCAGGAGACTCCACCCCAGGACTCTGCACAGGAGGCAAAAGTAGCATTTGGCTGTACCTCAGAAGTTGCAGGGCCAGCGCTGCCCCTGCCCCTGTCCCTGCCCCGGTGAGATCTGCCACCTAGAAATGCACTTTGCCCTCCTGCTTGAGGTTCCTCAAAGGTGGGAGGAAAGAGCTGTCACTAGATCAGCTCTGAGTGCAAGTCAAGCTGTGGTATTTTGTTCATTCAACATATTAAGGACAAATACAGGTCATGTTGAGATTTATAGCATTGTGAAGATATTCAAGGATTTTGTAATGCAGTAAAGGATGTTCCTCTGTCTAGGAAGAAAGGTAAAATAAGACATTTGCTGCTGCAGCCAGATGTTTCCTGTGATTGAGGAGCTCACCGATGATCATAAATGACTGTATGACTGCAGAAGTACAAAGTACACAGTGTCTCAAGATTTGCATTTTTCTCCAAAGAGTTTACAGAAGCCAAGGCCCATAGATTTTATTTTTGAAAGAGACAAATGGGAGGGACGTGCCCCTCACAAAATCTGAGGCTTCAAGCAGTTATGGGAGCAGAGTTGTGAATGCAATGTTTGTTTGTTTTTTATTTTATGAAGAGAAACAGTTTTTTTCCAGAGAAATTGTGTGTCTGCTTGAATCCAGGAAAAAAAATTATCATAAGGTGACAGAAATCAAAGAGGCAATATCAAAACATGTTTTTCTGTGGTCACTTTAAAACAACAAAATGTTTCATGCTGATTTCCCCAAAGATATCACTTTCCTAAAGATTATTAAGTTTTATAAACTTCTCTTTGAAATTGTTTTCTTTAATGATAGAAATTTCTAAAATCTATAGTGCATAAGTAAACTATAACATAGGAGTAAGCTATAGTGTATGAGTGAGCTACCTGTTCATCACATTCTTCTATGGTCCGCTCATTGATACAGTAGATTGCATTGAGACCCCTTTGTGCCAAGACACTGCCCTGCCAAGCAGTTTAAAAATGTATGTCTAATCAGTCTTTCCTTGAGGAGATACGGTCGTGAGACATGATGGACACACAAATATCCACAAAACAGCACAGTGAGAGATAAGTACTACTGAAAATTTTTCTCAGTCTGCATAGTTTATTTTAAAGCATTAACGCTTGCTGATTTCCTCAACAAGTCTGAAGAACAGAAAAGTAGGGGTGATATTGTCAGAGGCCTTTGAACCAGAGCAACTCCATCTTGAATAGGGTGAGCAAAATAAGGCTGAGACCTACTGGGCTACATTCCCAGACAATTAGGCATTCTAACTCACAGGATGAAATAGAAGGTCAGCACAAGATACAGGTCATAACGACCTTGCTGATAAAAGAGGATGCAGTAAAGAAACCAGCTAAAACCCACCAAAACCAAGATGGCAACAAGAGTGACCTCCGGTCGTCCTTAAGGCTATACTCCCACCAGCACCACGACAGTTTACAAATGCCATGGCAACTTCAGAAAGTTACCCTATATGGTCCAAAAATGGGAGGAACCCTCAGTTCTGGGAATTGCCCACCCCTTTCCCAGAAAACTCATGAATAATCCACCCCTTGTTTAGCATATAATCAAGAAATAACCATAAAAATGGGCAACCAGTGGCTCATGCCCCTGCTCTGCCTATGGAGTGGCCATTCTTTTTCTTTTTTTTTTTTTAAGCACATTAAAAAGTAGGATTTATCCTAAGGATGCAGGGTTGGTTTAATGTTTTAAACAAATTAATGTAACACACTGTATCAATCTGATAAAAGACAAAAACCATGAGAAAAGCCAGAAGTGAGATGGAGAAGTAAGAAGGGACAAAAATGGAAGTTACTTCAAAGGAATAATCATGAGGACTTAGGATACAAAAAAAAAAAAAAAGACAGAAAATTATAGTTAACACTGGAGATTTTTGTTTAGTTACTATTTTTTATTTATTCATTTTTGTCCTGATGCCTTGAGAGGATGAGATATTCTAAACAGACACAGAAAAATCAGGATTAGGAAGCATTGAGGAAAGGAAGATTATCAGACACAAAATGTCTAGAAGACAGATGAAAATGTGACTCCGGAGTAGCCTACAAGGTCACTGTCATAAGACTTTCTATAGCAGTGATTATTGCAGCTAATTTTGTCTTCCCAAATTTGTATATTCAAGTTCTAAAGCCCCCCACCCCAATAACTCATAATGTAACCATATTTGGAAACAGGGTCTTTAAAGAGTTAATTAAGGTAAAGGAGGTCATTAGAGTGGCCTCTAATCCAGTACGACTGGTATCCTTATAAGAAGAGGAGATTAAGACAGAAACATGCAAAGATGGAAGACGATGTGTGGACACCAGAGGAAGAGGCCATCCAGAAGCCCAGGAGAGGGCCTTCTAACACCTTGATCTAACCCTGCTAACACCTGACCCTGCTAACACCTTGATCTTGGACTTCCAGCCCCCAGAATTGTAAGAAAATAAATTTCTGCTGTTCAGGTCACCTAGTTGTTTTATTTTGCTATAGCAGCCCTAGCAAACTAATACAGTAACTTCAGAAGCAATTTCCTGAAGGCCAATTTGGAGTTTGAAATAAGACACTCCTAATTTCATATACCACAAATTTGCATATTGCCACAGACACTGTGTGGGATATCCTGAGGCCACGTGCGATTTAAAGTTTCATTAATGCTTCTCTGAAGTCCACTGTGCCCGCGTTGTTTGCCCTCACGCTATTTGTGACTCGAATTCTGCAACCTATATTTGAGAAAAAGAGAAGGTGGAAAATTGCCAATCCAAACAAGTAGAAAATTCCCTGAAACGTGGCAGGTTGATGGCAAAATGAAGATAATATTGGCAACTCTCAACCGTGTTGCAGAAGCATTTTCCCATTGAGGATGCAGCAATATTTCTGGTCCCACGTGTGCTCCCCCATTTACAGGTGGACGATTTTTCTCCTTCCCTTGAACCTGGCAGGTGAATGAACAGGATGTGGTCAAAGTGATGCACCTGACTTCTGTGCCTGCCTCTCTCACTTTTCAGATGCTCACCTGTGCAACCCAGTGACACACTGTGAAGAAGCCCTGCCCACAGGGAGAAGCCACAGGGAGATGTTTCAGGCAAGAGGCCCAGCCAGGGTCCCATGTGACAGCCCCTCATGTGAGTAAATAAGACTTCAGGCTGTTCCGGCCCCCAACCTTCAGCTTCCCAGGCTCATGCTGAGAATTTCCCTTCACCACTGTTGTTCGAGTTCACCTCTGAGTGTTGGGGGAGGCCCCTTCTCCCTCTTGGCCTCTGCCCAGCACCAGCCTACAGTCTGGAGGAACAGCAGCTCTGAGACCGGCCAGGAGTTCTCAGTGTTCCTGTGAGTCTGAAAGCAGGAGCGTTCTCCGGGAATTTGCACGCTCTGCCTTTTGGCGAGGGGTAATTTACCCATGGAGAATGGCAAAGGGTCAGGCTTGTTTGTGGGGATGCAGGGGCACCCTCTTAGGGCTTCCAGAAATCACTTGGAGAGAGTATCCTTGGGGGAAAGGACTGATGCTCCATGACCAACTCGGAGACTTACCTAAAGGGACGCACCAACTACATTCTTATTTCACACAAGCATGGCACTGCCCCACAGGCCGGTAGGGTGATCTCTGAGTAGAGATGGTTTATGCCATTTCTACAGATAGGCCTCCCCTTATTCTAACTAAATGGGCTCATCATCTCAGAGTCATTCAACATGCTAGATGGCGTTCACCAATAAGCCTGGCAGAGATTAAACACTGAATCTCTAAAGCTACTGTTGTGCTTGGAAATAGGCAATTTGACATACTGTTGGTCAAGTGAACTTTTCCAAAGATCAACTTAGCAGTGACATCAGAAGCCTGAAATGGGTGCTTGCCTTTGACCTGGTAACTTTGTTTACAAGAATGTATCCGTAACTCAGCATGGTGTCCATGTCTACAAAGACATTCATAACAGTCTTGTTTTTAACAGTGACTGCTAGAAGCCACCTACATTTCCAAAACCGAGAATTGGCCTTCATATAATGGAAATTACAGCAGCTGAAAATGACAAAATAGAATATGTAACAGCGTGGTGGCTCATGCCTGTAATCCCAGCACTTTGGGAGGCAGGTTCTGGATATTCCCCCTTCACCAGGCCGTCGTAGGTGTCTATTTCCTTCCCCTTCCGGATGAAATAGACAATCCAGGCTATACATTTTCTCCCATTAAACTTCATATCAGTTTGTCTTCTCAGCTTATTAAATTTTTCACCATTCTTAAATGAGTCCAATTTATTTTTCAAACTGTAACATGGAATTCTCCTAATAGCAAATGGTTGTATATTTGCATGTTTGCAAAGCATTTTCATATATATTGTTTCATATGATTGACATTAAACCAATCTACCTACCAATATTTCTTTTTTTTTTTATCGTTTTCATCTTCTGGTTCTATTCACATTCTATAGGCTGAGTCACCTTTTCAGGTAAAGAACTTTACCCTTCTGATTTCTGATATCACATCATTTTTTTTTTTGAGATGGAGTCTCACTCTGTTGCCCAGGCTGGAGTGCAGTGGCACGATCTCAGCTCACTGCAACCTCTGCCTCCTGGGTTCAAGCAATTCTCCTGTCTCAGCCTCCCAAGTAGCTGGGATTACAGGCACATGCCACCACGCCCAGCCAATTTTTGTATTTTTAGTAGAGACGGGGTTTCACCATGTTGGCCAGGCTGGTCTCAAACTCCTGACCTTGTGATCCGCCCACCTCGGCCTCCCAAAGTGCTGAGATTACAGGCGTGAGCCACCGTGCCCGACCAACATCATCTTTAAATGTGTAATTCCCTATTGCCCTGAATACATACACACACACACACACACACACACACACACACCCCCTTATCCCACATTGGTATTATAACCATGTTTGCCACATCCACATTTTTTTAAAAAAGTATTTGTCACAGTAAGATTTCAGATATACAACGGAAAGGCCTTCAAAACCGTCTACTAAAAATATTTTTATAACAATGTTAAAATACATTATTTGCCTAAATATCCTTATCAAATTTCACTGACATTTTAGGACCTTATATTAAGTAAGTACTGCCCAGAACAGCGCATGGTAGTTGGAAATAAAAGTAGGCATTTCTGTTAGTTTACAAATGGTGATATTTGCTATTTCCAGGTGTATTAGCTGTCAACTAGTTGGAAAACAATGAGGACAAGCTTTACTGTTTGTCCTAGGAAAATAGACATATTTTAGCAAAAACCTTTGAGCTAAACAAAATGTAAAAGCACCACTTTAGCAACACTATAAAATTACCTCTAGGAAGCCAGAAAATATTTTGTTTTAGTTCCCAAAAAAATGCACTTGTGCCCTTAGCATCCTTTTTCTCTCTCTCTTTCTCCGTCTCTCTCTCTCTCTCTTTCACACACACACACACACACACACACACACACACATACTTCCAAGCACTGATTTATTTAGCATTTATTCTGTCTAGGGAGCTGCAGGCTGTGCAATTAGGTAAAAAGCCTCACCGGACTCCCTTTAGGCTTAAAGCAGCTCATTTCTTTGATATCAGTTCCATCTCCAACATGCAGCGCTCCCTAAACCCAAAACTGTAAGAGTCTTTATTTAAGAACTAAAAGCATTTTCGCCTTCACATTGATTTCTCCCCAGCTCCCCTCCACCTTATCTTTTACTTTCCCTCACCCGCCTCCTCCCGCGCCTTTACCAATCATCTACAGAGTCTCTCTGTCCTGGACATAGGAGGAAAGCCCAGGTCTTCAGTCTGAGCAAAGCCATGTCCAGGCATTTAAAAAAAAAATGTACAATTTCTCTCCAGCCACATTTAAAATTTTTTTATTTGTATAAATTTAAAGGAAACAAGCGCAGTTTTGTTATATGGATATATTGTGTAGCGGAGAAGTCTGGACTTACAGTCCAATCATCACTGGAAAACAGTATTGTCATTTCTCAAAGAACAAAAATGTAAATGTGATTCTATCCAGAAATTCCACCACTGGGTATCTACCCAATGCAAAATAAATCATTATATTAAAAAGATACTGGTGCTCATATGTTTACCGTATTTCTTCCTAAGGCAGGCAGTGGATCTTGTGTAACTGCTGGTCACTGTATTCCCATCCCACGAGGCCCTCCACGCGGCTTGTGGGTTAGACTGTTGAGCTGAGAAAGTGGAGCTTTGTAAAGTACAAGGTAGGGTCTCTGGGGCTTCAGCTCCCTTAAGACAAAAGAGTCAAAGGCAAGAAAGGGTCTAGTCCCTGAGAAGATTTTGGGGTGGGCAGCTAAAGAAGAAAAGTAATAGGGCGTGTGGTCCTTAAAACATACCCCCAAAGATGTCTAAAAATTTTTACAGGCCAGGCGCGGTGGCTCACGCCTGTAATCCCAGCATTTTGGGAGGCCGAGGCGGGCGGATCACGAGGTCAGGAAATCGAGACCATCCTGGCTAACACGGTGAAACCCCGTCTCTGCTAAAAATACAAAAAAATTAACCAGGCGTGGTGGCGGGCGCCTGTAGTCCCAGCTACTCGGTAGGCTGAGGCTGGAGAATGGCGTGAACCCGGGAGGCGGAGCTTGCAGTGAGCTGAGATCGCGCCACTGCACTCCAGCCTGGGCGACAGAGCAAGACTCCGTCTCAAAAAAAAAAAAAAATTTGTAAACATGCTAAGAAAATTTTTTCCAAGTCTCCCAAAGACACATAAGCAAATGATTATTCAAGAAATTTTAAACATGTATATCCTAAATAATTTCCCATATAAATGTTATTTTGACAAATCGTCTATAATTTTGTGACACAAACCAATTATTTTTGCTCTATTGCTATTTCTGAATATTTAGTATTATACCACTAGGCTGATTAATTACTCACATTTATTTTATCTGACCTCATACAATTCTCAACATTTAGAACTAGATTTAATTAACCCTTTCCTTCCTTCACTCCTGACATTCACATACCTGCTCCATGCATATTTTTCAAATACTTGTGAATTAGTGGAAAACAAGTAGATATCTACATATGCCATCTGAAAACAACAGTGAGACTTTACAGTATGTTTAAATGTAAATGATATATATAAACTTTTCACTACAGCTAAGTGTTTTGAGTTTGAAGTCATTTAGTTCAATGAAATTGCCAGTATTCTAAAGGCTTATTTCAAATACTCTAAAAATCCAAATTTGTCTATTTGCAATTTGAGTTCAGCTGATGGAAACATCTCTGCAGGAAGTGCCAGAAGCTTCGAGTTCTAGTCATTTCCTAACTGATGGTCTGGAATAGAAACATGTCAGTTTGGTTTGTTAGTTTGTTTGTAAAATAGAGATGAAACTATTATATTCTCTAATGTCTCATCCACCGGTTATTTTGAAGCTAACAGGAAACGGTGTAGAAGAAACCTTAACAAAATATAAAGCACTAAGCTCATGTGAAATATGGCCGCTGTAATCCCACTTGCTCTTTTTTTTCAAATTATGTACTTTGTGTCCAACATACAAATTCTGATGCATAGCCATGTGTGGGGATAAAAAATACACAGGGAGAATTTTAAATTAAAGGTCCTGTGTTACATCTTCATCCATAAGAAAACACGTATAAAAGTCAAACTTCCCTTGGCCTTTTGACATGATGCTTGCCTTTGTCTACCTAGCTGATCCTGCCTTCCCATTTTTCTAATAACAGTGTCAAGATTTCCTTAGAATGTTCAGGAGCAGAGAACAGGTTCCACTCCTGGACTTTAAGGGTGAAATATGTGTGCCTTTCTGCAGCGGGTGCAGAGGAGGGTGTGGATATCAGGAACACTGCCTAGTTCCAGGGTCCCAAGGTTGGGCAGCCCCGCAGAGAACGGAATCAACACAGAGAGCACAGCAGGAGTCTTGGAGAGTAAGAGTGATGGGCAGAGCTTCAGCAGGCCTATGTGTGGCTGGAACAGAAACCCCTGGAACTTCAGTCTTAGAGCTGACAAATCTCTTCTGCTCTTGCCAGTCTCAGATAGACATTTTTGAACTTGCAAAAAAAAGAAAGAGAAAGATCCTATCTAACAGGCATCTTGAGACACTAGCATTTTTTAAAATAAACATACTCTTTTTAAAATGGTCTATTATAGTAATATGGTAGGTTAATATGCTTCTGCCACTAAACTTTAATAGGCTACATCCTAAATTTATACAAATATGTATAAGAAAAATCTCCCAAATGGCAAATAGAGAGCTATATTCAAGGCCATTTGAAAATGTGATTGGCAAAATGATGTTCAGAGTCATAAACAATTAGGATCACCTAAATGTCCCTAAAGGGGAAATTTGGAATGAAATAGCCTCGCTTGCCCTCCCAGCTTCTAATGCCGAGTTGTGTGTCAACTTGCCAATGCAGAATGTGCCCGGAGAGGTCCTCCCCAGAACTCCTAGGGCAGCAATGGGGCTCCATTTGTATTCTCTGAACTGGCAACTTTTACCTCCCAGCCACAGATACAACATATGGAGAAAAAGGTGCCAAACCCCTTCCTACCTAGTGGAGAAGAAAGACACAAATTTTAAAAATTCCATGGGATTTTTCCAAGCCTTACACATGGAGTCTGTATACTCAGTAGGTGATTTGCCCACACTCCCTACCTTTTCACTTTGCAGCTGTCTACTACTTTATTCGACTACTGGTCTCAGGCCATGAAGAACGATGCTGTGATATTGGCAGGTGATGTTGCTAGCGGTTGCTTTGGACATGCTCCTTTAAGGGACTGAAGGGATGTATGTGTGTATTTATCAGGTACCAATGAGAGTTTCAAACAAATGGTGCACAAACAGCTAAACTGCTGTTCCGCATAATTCAAAGCTTCAGCAGTCAGACTCTAAGACATTTCTAATGTCTTAAGGAATTTTATTCGAATGGCTGCAATTCTCTCAGTAAGGCAAAAAATCAGAGCATGATAAATCCCCGAAGCATTCTATTAAACTTTCCCACAGAAAGTTATTCTGCTTTTGTATTCTATACAATTCATCGAAACTTCTGACATACCCTTTTAATTTTAAAATATTTGTTCATTGTTTTCCTGCAGCTCATGCGTTTATTTTCTAGAATTAGGTTGTGTTTTCTCACTTGTTGCTTTTGTTTCAAAAGGGAAGTAGCTTTATTGTTTCAAGTATCAAATTAGCAAATGCTCATGAAAGAAAAGCACACACTTAAAGAGTTATTAAATATTTCACCTATCTTTCTAAAGTATTTTATGCACATATATGCTGACATACATGTAATTACAAAATGGATGGCAATACAATATGTGTAAAATGACCTTCCTTGTTTTAGATTCTTTTTCTTTTAATTTTGAGACAAGGTTTCACTCTGCTGCCCAGGCTGGAGTGCCGTGGTGTGAACATGATTCACTGCAGCCTCAACTTCCCAGGTTCAGGTGATCCTTCCCAACATAGCATCCCAAGTCACTGGGACTACTCACCACCACACCGGTTAATACTTTTAATTTTTATTTTAGTAAAGAGAAGTTCTCACTGTGTTGCCCAAGCTAGTCTCAAACTCCTGTGCTCAAGCATCCCTCCTGCCTCGGCCTCCAAAAGTGCTGGGGTCACAGGCATGAGCCACCCTGACTGGCCTGTTTTAGATTCTTGAACTAGCTGATAACATCCATTTGCCAAAGCCTACTACTTTCTTTAGCCTGCACAGTGTCTTACTCTCATACTTGTTCCTACGTAGGTTAAAAGCATGGTATGGCCACTCAGATTGCAAGGGGCTTTCTGTTTTATTGCCTTGTATCAGTTTTCTTGCAGTTGGCCCTGGTCTTTCAATTCTTGATGATCTGATTTCTGAGGCCACTCCAGATTCTTCACCACCTGACTTCTTGGTGTACTTGTTACTTCTTGGTGTACTTGGTGTACTAACACCAAGGTTGGCTTTGGCTGTGACCTTCTACCTTCTCGAGTTCTTGATAGAACTCACTTTGCCCACAGGGCTGAGAACCACAGCCTGAAATGGAATGTGCCAAACCAAATTTGTCTGTCTTCAGTTTGAGTTCAGCTGATGGAAACATCTCTGTGGGAAGTGCCAGCAGATTTCAATTCTAGTCATTTCCTAACTGAGGGTCGGGAGTAGGAACAAGTTAGTTTGGTTTGTTGGTTTGTTTGCAAAATAGAGAAGATGAAAATATTATCTGTACTCTAATGTCCAATCCAGAGGTTATTCTGAAGGATGGTGTAGAAGAAACCTTAATGAAATATAAAGCCCTGAGCTTATGTGAAATATGACTACTCTAATCCCAGTCACTCTTTTTCATCAAATGTATGTGCTTTGTGTCCAACATACAAATACTGATGCATAGGCATATGTGGGGATAAGAAAATATGGGGAGAATTTTTAATTAAAGGTCCTGTGTTTCATCTTCATCAATAAGAAAATACGTATAAAAGTCAAACCTCCCTTTGCCTTTTGACGTAGACTAATGCCATTGCCTATCCAGCTAAACTTGTCTCCCCATTTTTCTGATAACAGTGTCAAGATTTCCATGGACTGTTCAGGGGGAAAAAGTGGGTTCAACTCTAGGACGTTGAGAGTGAAATAGGTGTGCCTTTCTGCTGTGGGCGCAGAGGAGGGCATGGCTAATTCAAGGACACTGCCTAATTCTAGGGTCCCCAAGGTAAGGCAGCTCCCCTGAGGACAGGAACAATACAGAGAGCACAGTGTGAGGCTGCGGGAGCAAGAGTGATGAGCAGAGCTTCAGCAGACATGCGTGTGGCTGGGGCAGAAACCCTTGATCCTGGAGTTCTGACTCTGCCTTGACCAGGGGCTTCCAGAGACTACTCCAAGAACAAAGACCCTCACCTTTGCACATTGCCTCATATCTCGGGTCCTGGCCCTGTAATCTGTGACTCGCCATGTTTATGGTTCTGACATCGAAACTAAGCATTTTACCAAATAATTAGAAATGAGATGGAAACAAAAAGATATCTGAGGTAGGACCCTAGTTTCCTAGGAATGTTGTAGAAAATTACCACAAACCTGGATGTTTAAAACAGGAGAACTTTATTCTCACATGGTTCTGGAGGCTGGAAGTCTGGAAGTAAGGTGCTGACAGGGCCATGCTCTCTCTGAAGGCTCCAGGGGAGGATCCTTCCTTGCCTCTTTGAGCTTCTGGTGGCTTCAGGTGTTCTTTGGCTTTTGGCAGCATAACTTTCATCTCCGCCTTCATCTTCATATGGTTTTCTTGCCTGTATGTCTCTCTGTGACCTCTCCTTTTCTTATACAGAAACCTGTCACTGAGTTTCAGGTGCACCCTAATCCCAGGAAGATTTCATCTCAAGAACCTCAGCTCATTACCTCTTCAAAGATCTTATTTCCACATAAGATCAATTCCAAGGTTCTAGATGGACATAAATTTGGTGGGGAACACTATTAAGACCACTACAGGCAGCAATATATATTTCCATCACCACAACTCTGAACAGATTTTGCAGTGTATGAGATGAAATTCAGGTCATGTCTTCAAAAAGGTCTGAGTTTCAAAGCTGTGTTGCAAATGAAGTCAGCATTCCATCCCAACCAATATGGGGATACAGAATATCATTCTCAAAAGAAGACATACATGTGGCCAACAATCATATCTTTAAAAAAAAAAAGCTCAACATCATTGATCATTAGAGAAATGTAAATCAAAACCATAATGAGATGCCATCTCACACCAGTCAAAATGGCTATTACTATAAGTCAAAAAATAACAGATGCTAGCAAAGTCATGGAGAAAAAGGAACACTTATACACTGTTGTAAATGAGCTCAACCATTGTGGAAGACAGTGTGGTGATTCCTCAAAGACCTAAAGACAGAAATACCATTCAACCCAGCAACCCCATTACTGAGTATATATCCAAAGGAATATAAATTATTCTATTATAAAGACATATGTATGTGCATGTTCATTGCAAGACTATTCACAATAGCAAAGATATGGAATCAATCTAAATGCCAATCAATGATAGACTGGATAAAGAAAATGTAATATTTACATACCCTGGAATACTATGCAGCCATAAAAAAGAATGAGATCATGTCCTTTGCAGGGACATAAATGGAGCCGGAGGCCATTATGCTTAACAAACTAATGTAGGAACAGAAAACCAAATACCACCTGTTCTCACTTATAAGTGAGAGCTAAAGATGAGAACACATGAATAACTAGGGGAGAACAATGCATACTGGGACCTATCAGAGGGTGGAGAGTGGGAAGAGGAAGAAGATCAGGAAAAATAACTAATGGATACTAGGCTTAATACCTGGGTGGCGAAATAATCTGTACAACAAACCCCCAAGATACAAGTTTGCCTATGCAACAAATCTACACATGTACCTCTGAACTTAAAATAAAAGTTAAACTTTAGATGAAAAAAGAAAATTGCAAGGAGCTTGCAAAAACTAAAAAGAGAAACTAAGGTATTAGTTCAAGGTTTCACAAAGGCTGGTCCTGGCATAAAGCTAGATCTGTTCATTTCTAGTCCAAAAGTCTTTATTCAAAATTGCCCTCTCCAAAATTAGCTTTTCATTATTTTCAACGTTATTTTAATTTGATATGTTAATGTAAGTCAACTAAATGAATGTCAGAAAAATGACTCTTACACTTGTTATCTTTCCCCATGTGGTCATCAATCCCTCTGCCCCTCTGAAATTTAGACTTATCTTCAGTTCTCTTTTATCTAAGCCAGATGCTGGAAAGTGTTCAGAGCCCCTTAGAGAGGAAGTGTGGATTTACTAGTCTATGTAGGGGTTAGTCATATACTTCTAAACCCCAAATCATGGCTTCAATCTTCAAAAGATCTTTCTCCTTGGTTGTATTTTTAAAATGCCATTATCAGAGAATTCTGAGAACTTACACTTTTTATTTCTCATCAATGCAAAATTTCTATAAACCCATCATTTCATAATTTCTACGAAGCCAAGAGCGATTTTCATAAGGCTTGATATTTAAGAAACTACAATCCTTCATAGATTCTGTGACCTTGAGTGCTCAAAATCACAAAACAGAATGTCTTTCTTCAGAAAATAATGTGCATTTTCTTACAAAGTACTTTTATTCTTATTGGCAAACATTTGGCAAAATAGCCTCTGTAAGTTCAAAGTCTTTTTATAAAACTCAGCAATTTTTAACATTATTTGCCCCTATTGATACAAAAAGGGCACTTACTAAATAAACAATAGTATTGAAAAATACCAGTTATATTTTAAAGAAATCGGTGTCTAAATTCCTAGTATGTGATGCATGTTTCTGTAGAACTATATAAAAATTAAATGTTTCAGTAAGAGCTAATGGAAACTAACTGTTTTAACAAATAGTTCAAACACATGGTTTGCAAATGCTTTCTCCCTTTTTGTAGGTTGCCTTTCTGTTGATGGTTTCCTTTGCTGTGCAGGAGCTTTTCAGTTTGATATAGTCCCACTTGTCTATTATTGTTTTTATTGCCTGTGATTTTGGTGTCAAAAGGGTTATAAGGGTGGGTCTATAGTAAGGGGTTAATTTCAAAAATATGTAAGACATTTTTACAAATCAATAGCAAAAAAAAACAACCCAATTAAAAAGTGGGCAAAGGACTTGAACAGACAGTTATCCAAAGAAAACAAGAAGTATATGAAAATATCATCAACATCGTTCATTATCAGAAAAATGCAAATCCAAACTACAGTAAGATAACACCTCATATCTGTTAGCATGGCTAGTCCCAAATACTACCTTTGATGCAATACCTAAGTCTGCCCACCTTCTGTTAAAGATACTTTTGCCCCCAATGGTGGATGCCTCATTGTGGGCCAGTAATATACGTGCCTCTGCCTAGACTCCTGATATCAATTCTAGACTAATTTTTGTTTGTTTGTTTGTTTGTTTGAGACGGAGTCTTGCTCTGCCACCCAGGCCGGAGTGCAATGGCACGATCTCGGCTCACTGCAACCTCCACCTCCCAGCTTCAAGCAATTCTCCTGCCTCAGCCTCCTGAGTAGCTGGGATTAATGTCACACACCACCACGCCCGGCTAATTTTTTTTTTGTATTTTCAGTAGAGACAGGGTTTCCCCATATTGGTCAGGCTGGTCTCAAACTCCTGATCTCGTGATTTGCCCACCTCAGCCTCCCAAAGTGCTGGGATTACAGGTGTGAGCCACCACGCCTGGCCTAGACTAGGTTTTTTTTAGTCCACTTTATTGAGCTATGAATTACATAAAATAAAATGTACGATTTTAAGTGTATAATTCAATCAGCTTGCATTGTTTACATTTGTGTAACCACCATCACAGTAATATACAGAACATTTCCATCAACCAAAAATAATTCCTTTGAGCTTCTTCGCAATCAATATCTTTTCCACAAAACACTGCCCTGCTTTCTGTCACCATAGTTTTGCCTTTTCTAGAACTTTGTATAAATTGAATTATACTTCATGTAACTTTTGTGTGTCTGGTTTCTTTCATTTAGTACAGAGCTTTTGAGATTTACCTATGTAGTTGTGTATATATGCAGTTGTTATTACTGAATAGCATTCAATTGCATGAATGCATAATAATTTGCAAATTCATTTACCTGTTGATAGACACTTGGATTGTTTCCAGTCAGGGGTAATGATGAAGAAAGCTGCTATCAATGTTCATATAAAATATTTGATGGATATTTGTCTTCATTTCTCATTTACTAAGGAGCAAGTGGAAATCACTGGGTTGCTAAACTTTCTGTTTAGCTTTATAGGAAACTGCCATATATTTTGCAAAGCGGCAATATTATTTTTGCATTATTGCTAGCAATTTATGAGTTACACTTACTCTGAGTTGAATCCTTGCCAATTCATGTCATTGCCAGTATTTTTCATTTCAGTTGATGTAGTAGTTGTGTAATGGTAGCTCATTGTGGTTTTAATTTACATTTACTTAAAAACTAATGATAATATCTTTTTGTTACTTATTTTAGATCTGTATCTCTTCTTTGGTGAAATGTCCATTCAAATCATTTGCCTATTTTTGAATTAGATTTTTCTGCATATTATAGAGTTGTGTTTTATATATATTCCAGATACAATCTCTTTAAAATATGTTCCACAAATATTTTCCATCTTTTGCTTGTCTTTTCTTGTTTTAAGTGTCCTTTGATTTTTTTAAAAAAAGTTTTCATTTTAATTAAGTTCAATTCATTATTTTATTCTTTCATGATTTATGCTCTTTGTGTTTTCTTTAAGAAATAATTACTTAAACCAAGATCACAAAGATGATCTCTTATGCTTTATTCTGAGTTACATCTCTTGAATTCAAGTTTGTGATCCATTTGGAGTTCATTTTCTTATATAACATGAAGTAAACCTCAAAGCTCAACTTTTTGCATGTGAATACACAACTGTTTTGTTACTGTTTATTGAAAAAAAAGAGACCGTTTCCTGCAAGGAATTACCATGGCTGCTTTGTACCATGTATGAGTATATACACGTGGATCTACTTCGGAACCTATAACAGGAACTTGTAGTTTCTGCTCTCACTTCCCCTGTGATATTGCCAGACATCTTTGTTTTACCTATGTTAAAACTCCAAAATGTTATTTTATTTAAACACTCAATTTTCTTTTGAAGCGTTTAAAAAATGACAATAATATCTTACATTTTGCCCACATACAATTTCCAGCACTCCCCCTTTCTTTGTGGAGGCCCATATTTCCATCTCGTATTTTTTCCTTCTTCTCGAAGAATTTGCTTTAACATTTCCTTTGGTACAGTTCTACTAGCAATGAATTCTCTCAGTTTTTGTTTGACCTCAAAATTTTTTAAAGGCTTTATTTTACCCTACTTAAAGACATTTTTACTAAAATTAGACTTCTACTCTGACAGATTATTTTTTCTTTTAGCTGCTTCAAAAATATTTTTTCCATATTCTTCTGCTTTACATAGTTTCTGAAAAGGAGTCTGCTGTAATTTTATCTTTGTTTCTCTGTGTAAAATGTGTTTGTATGTTTGTTTCTCTAGCTGCTGTAAGATATTCTCTTTATCATCACTTTTTAGAAATGTGATTACGATGCCCCTTAGTGTGATTTCTCTCATTTTCTTCTGCTTGGATTTTGTTGACTTTCTGGGATCTGTAGGTTTATCATTTACACTAAATTTGGGGAATTTTTGGCCATTTATTTCTTCAACTATTCCCCTCATTTTATCTCCCCTCTGAGACTGCAATTAAATATAATCACTTCATGCAAGCCATCTATGTTCATTCTTTTTCTAGTTCTGTTCTGTTCATTCTTTTTCTAGTCTCTTCTCTAGATCGAGTTCTTCATTTCATGTAGGATAAATTAAGAACCCCAAGCCCATGCATACTAAGGCAGGAGGTTCTGCCACATGGGAAATAGAACCCGAAAGAGTGAGCAGAGGCTGGGCATGGCAGCTCACACCTGTAATCCCAGCACTTTGGGAGACCAAGGCGGGCGGATCACTTGAGGTCAGGAGTTTGAGACCAGCCTGGCCAACATGGCAAAACCCCATCTCTACTAAAAATATAAAAATGAGCTGGACCTGGTGGCCATGCCTATAGTCCCAGCTACTCAGGAGGCTGAGGAACGAGAATTGCTTGAACCCAGGAGGCGGCAGTTGCAGTGAGCCGAGATGGTGCCACTGCACTCCAGCCTGGGCAACAAAGTGGGACTCCATCTCAAAAAAAAAAAAAAAAAAAAAAAAGACAGTGAACAGATGTTTTTTAGTCCTTATATTCTGGCCTTACATAAACAGGTTTAATTCTAGTCTCTTCCCACCAAACTCAAGAAAATAACTGTCCTTGTAGGAACACTGAATATCTAGTACTCAAGACAATCTTTGCTTCTGATGTCTCCACAGAGGTGTTCCACTCTCATGTTCAACATGCTCAATACCCACTCAAGCTTTGGATGGAAATCCCCACTCATTTTAGGTACCTGTGGTTTTATTTTTCTTTATTGCAATCTCAGCTATGCACTTTTATTTTACATTTACTATAACTTATTCAGCATTTTTCTGTAGTTGGCATGTGTACATTGCTGAGAGGTTGAGGAGGAAGGCATTCCATGTTAGTGCCATCTTCCACAGACTGGAATTCTCATGGCAGCATCTAAGGGAAATGATCCCAGAGACTCGTGGCTGCCATGGTTACTGGAAGGTCCATTGAACAAGGAGCTTGTTTCTATACATGAGTTGCCATGTGCATTTACTGAAGAATGTCATTTTTCTCAGTATTCAAAATAAATGTAGTATCTCTTTATAGCAAAGGTTGAGACCTTGTGTGTCTGAAAAACAGAATATACAGGAAACTCCAAAGTTTCTTATGCCTAGGTGTTGAGTACTCGAAGATCACCCTCCTGAGACTTTCCTTACTCTTCTTAACTGTGTAATTAAATACAACTGTAGTAAATTAAACACAGACAAAAATGCTTTCCTTGACATAATCTCAGTACAGTCTGCCTTAATTCTAATTAGCAAAATCTTCTGTTTTAAGAAACAATTTAGTTTAAAAGGTTTTAGGCATTTTTTATGTTAAAGTGTTGGCTATCACGACTTTTTCTGTAGTTTTTATTTCCTTAGAGCTATTCTTTGAGTGTTACTAGAGTGGGCTGCAGGGAATTGGAAAGCTTGGATGTGGGGCATGCTGACGGCAGTACTTTGGAGATGATATTATAAAAGCAATGTAGGCTGGGTGTGGTGGCTCACACCTGTAATCCCAGCACTTTGGGAGGCTGAGGCAGGTGGATTGCCTGAGGTCAGGAGTTCAAGAACAGCCTGGCCAACATGATGAAACCCTGTCTCTACTAAAAACACAAAAAATTAGCCAGGCATGGTGGCGGGTGCCTGTAATCCCAGCTACTCTGGAGCCTGAGGCAGGAGAATCTCTTGAACCCGGGAGGCGGAGGCTGCAGTGAATCTAGGTCATGCCATTGTACTCCAGCCTGGGCAACAAGAGGGAAACTCTATCCAAAAAAAAAAAAAAAAGCAATATAGACCAGCTTTCTTATGGGAAAGTGTTTCAAAACCCATCTTATCATAAAAAGGTAAACCCAAAGGTAAACCAAAAAGGTAAACCAAAGGTGATTTAGTGGATACAATAATCTTCTCCCAAAGAGACAAAAGTTGGCAACCTTCTTTCTAATGCATCCATTTGAAAGTTAGACATATTCACTTGGTTTTCCACTTTAGGCTGTCAAATTTTTGTAGACATTGGTGTCCAGGTCTGACAAGGTGAACGCAGGATTCAGACGATTCAGACATGCCCTGGATTTTTCCCTCAACCCCTTCCTCTCCGTTGTTTCCAAGCATCTAATCTTTTATTTCTGTTGGCAGAATTATCCTTGCCAAAGTGAGCAAAATTCTATCTCCACCTGAGTTGGGTAATATCTCATTGTTGTTTCCAAATGACTTTGATAGTTTGTCACAAAGGATGACCTTCAAAAGCTCCCCAAATTCTTACACAGCCCAACAGTAGGATTTGTTGTTACCTGGGTCCCAATTTAATTTTACTACACTGGCAAACTGTAGTTCCTGAAATGAAATAACCTGACTAAACTGTAAAGTTAATAGTGATGAGTTTTAAGATAAACAGGACAGTTGGTTATTTTCTAAGCACTGAGCACTGGCCCCAGTATCCTGATCTGCAGGCTTTGCAATTTGACATTTGCTGACGCAGACAACAGAGGGTCCATTTATAACAAAAAAGCACAGTCTCCCACCCGAGGGAGTTTTCATTCTCTCAATGCACCTGTCATCTTTCTCTCACTCTGCAATTACAAAACCTTTTCCACCTGGTTGTGCTGTAGTCATTGCCTCTGGCTCTACGAATGGATTATCACTTCCCAGGGAGGGCTTCCAGGGTGCAGATTCTTTCAGAAATAGCAATTTGATTGGAGGTTTCTATTGGTGCTGGCAGCCCCTGGCCCATGGGTAATGGGGCAGGAAAAGCACATCCTTCCCACCCCATGGCCACACTGGCTCGGCCTTTAACTGTCCTACATATTTGTGTTCCACATAAACGTTTCTATTTCAGAAAGAAGGAAGCTCTACAACATAAAACAAAAGTTAAGTGAAAGCCACTTGTCTGCAGAAGTGAGAGTTGTTTTTGTTTCTTTCTTTTTGTTTTGCGACAAAGGTAGACAAAATCCTCATTGTGAGGTTCTTCCAGGTCTAACTCCTCTCTTTCCTTCATGCTTCTCTCCACAGAAATGCTCTGTCCCTGTCAAACTCATCTCTTTACCACCAACCACTGCAACATGACACATGCAATCTCACTGCCTTTCATCCACTAATACTCTTTCCTTTGCATAAAAAGCACAACTATTGATTGTCAACATCTGCCCTTCAGGATTTGCTCAACTCCTACCTTTTCAGGAAAGTAGCCAATTATTTCTATCTCATGGGGCTCCCTCGTGATCCCCACGGCAACTTCACAACAAGGCCTTGAGGACGCTCCTCGATTGTTACTTCAGAGCTGTACACAGTAGACTTAGATCTTCTGCACGACATCACTCCTCATCTAGTGCTTCACAAATGAGAATACTCAGCCAAGAGTAGGACAGTTAGTCCTTAGAAAATTCGTTTAAGCCTACTGAGTGAAGAGTAGGGTAGCTAACAATTAACAAATTTGTTTAAGCTTTGCAAAGTCTTACTTTTCATATGCATATGACGAATGACTGAATTTTCAGAAAAGTAATATCTTTCTATGAGATTGCCGTTACCAAGAATAGATCCATACTGAGATTCAGCTGATGTGAAAGATTTGACTTTTGAGAAATTATGTTTATCCAGGTAGGTGCCAGTCCCTCCCCAGCAGTGAGATGTTTGGATGCAGTCAGTTGACCTGATTTGATAAATGCCTTCCATTTTGTGAAGACAGGAAGAAACGGACGATGAGAAGAAAAAAGAAAAGGACTAAACTTGGGCATTCCTTAATGAATGCCAGTCACATCTCAGCGTAGGCATTTCTTAGCCTTACTAAAATCCTTTAAAAAGTCCATCACGCTGGTCCTCATTAATCCAGTCATTTCCCATGTGATCTCCGCTTTTATGAAAAGGTTTTCAGAACCACTCTCTACACATGCAGTGATTCTATTATTGTGTTCAAGGACACATCATCCCACATTTGTCTGCAAACTGCACATGGTTATGTGATGCTGTTCTCCCACGAATCCAGAATTCACTCATGCACATCCACACTTCATATCCAGTGTACACGCCAATGTTCTCTCACCCGGCTCCCTCTGGGAGAGTGGCAGGAAGTGGGTGGGTTGGAGCAGAAGTGCTCATGCAGCTGAGGGCACCAGCAGGCTCACTAGGCTGCACCCCAGTAAATGTAACAGTAAATTTTACATTGTAAAATTTTAAATTTTAAAATGTAAACGATCTCAAAGACCTGAGTTCCCCTCAAAGATCAAATCGCTTAAGAAATTACACTGCTCCTAGTTACCCATTCACTCCCCTTCCAGGCTTCCCAGGGCACAGGAGGTCCACACTGGTGGTGTAATTCTGGCCATGGTGTAACAGTAAATGTAGGGTCTCTGTTTTTCTAACTGTATTGTGAACTTCTTGAAGGCAGATCATTGGAATCTTTTACTTCCTTGTATCAACACTGCATCTCCTGAATTACTAAAAGTTTGTGGGTTTAAATGGACTCTGCCATTTCTTGGCATACTCCAAGCTAGAAGCAGTGAGTGTTTCAGCATCTCTCAGCATGGTTAAGGTGGCAGAACCAGATGTAAGATCATATTTTCAGTTCACGTTGAGACTTGCATATGTGACTCCATTTGCACTGCTCCAGGCATTTGGCTGGCACGAGTTCGTTTTCAAATTTCCCCAAATTTATTCAGGTCAAAAAACCACTCAAATGCAGAGCCAGGCAAGGACCTTATAATTGATGAGGGCTGGTCTTGCTCCAAGCATTTGGCCTTTTTGTTCTATATTATTCTTTCCTTAAAACAACTTCAATTTCTCTGCCTGTCTCTAACCACAGATGTACATTTCCCAGGTGCTGCCCTGTGCTGTCCCCAGTGAGGTCCAGAGCTTCTCCTGGGAGGCTGAATGGATGGATAATGCCCGGCCTGGCCCCAGCTTAGAGGATGCCTCTCAAGTGCACTGATGCGTGCATGATTATTTTGCAATGTAATCCTGTTCCCTGGATTACAGCTGGGTTTCAGGGAGCTTTCTATTCTTTCCCTTGGTTCCCTCTGGCATAAACAGCACTGTGCTCTCACATTTGGCTACCCTGAAACCTGTTCCTTCTCCCAGCCATTAGAAAGGAATTGATATACTCAGTCGCTCCAACTGCTAACCTTTATACTCTAGGAGCTGGTTGTAGAATTAGAGACCGCTTTCCTCTCACAGACCTTTGTAAATGCTCTTGCCTATCACCTTATGTATGGATCACATATTTTGTCTCTTGTGAGGGAGTTAACAAAAGCCTTTCAAATCTAGAAAATATTGCATGCCTATATAAATCATGTCTCCTGAGCTTCCTTTAGCCACTTTTATATCAACTTCAAAAGTTTAGGAATATATTAGTTTTATAAAAATCAGCATTCTCAATTTTTTATTTTTATTGAATCTCTGTTGGCTAAGGATTTACTTGGGGTTTCTTTGTTCCTTTCCTTTGTCCCCACTATATTAGAGGCCAAAATTAATCAGGTCCACTGGAATCATACTCATCCTAGACTCTCCTTTCTTTTTCAGCATTCCATTCCTCACTGGATTTACAATTCTCATACAAAACCTGAGTGACATCTTTGGACGCCTTTCATCAGGATCTATAGTGCAATTACCAGGAAGTCTATATGTTGGTCCCTGGAGTTTATTCAAAAAGTAATACCTGTATTTTAGATGGACATCTGGTCACCCCAGGACATAGCTCCAATGTTTCACAGACCAGCTCTCATGCCTGATCATATCTACAATAGTGAGGACCCATCTTGGGGTAAAAGTTTAAGAGTTCTACTCAATTTTTTATCTAAGGTCATGGAGTTCAAATTTCACTAAGGAAGATTAGGCACTAGGAGCTACTTAATTAGGAAATATCCATCACAGCTCAGATTACCCTCCCTGCAGCCTATGTGTCAGGCAGACTTGTCCAGCAGGCAGTAACTTTTGCACTGGAGCTGCCCTTAGCACAGATGTGGGAGGAGGTCTGTAGCCTTCCTCACTACAGTCTCTGTCTCTGGCAGAGTCAGCATGCATGGTTGATTCCACATTGTGCTATCGCAGCTGGAGAAGATGTAGGAAAAGACACATGCATGCTGGACCGCTCTAGAAGGAGCTGCTGTCCATGATTGAAGCCTCCAGAGGAGGAGGCTCAGGTTCAAGTTTGTGGGCTAATCAAAGTGGACCATGATGGCCCCACGGCTGTCCACATGTCCTGACTTGATGGTGCTTGGGCACAGGTATCACAAGTCCTGAATGGCTTAGGTGAATCTCCTCTGCTCCTCCCATCCTCCCAAATCAGATTCCTCGTTCCAGCCTTGCCAAGAAATGCATCAGCATCCACAGGGCCATTACTGCTACTCTTCTGCTCTTCTGGGAGTTGAGTAAAAGAGCAAATCATGAAAAAAACAGAAGGAAAATGTTTTGCCTGGAATGTTTCTGGGAGGAGGCACCCCTGAGAGTACAAGGTTTAATTTAGACTGTATCTTTTGACCCCAATAGGTCAGGAGAGCCTTATGAAAAAGGTGATGCATTCTCAGTTTTCATTCCCAATCCGATGACCATAGACAGCTTAGACTGCAGTGACCTACTACAAAGCCATTCATTCACTTCAATACTGGCAATACAAAGGTGAGAGGGCCAGGCAAGAGAGGAGGGGGACAGCAAGGATTGTAGGGCAAGAGTGAGGGCTTTGAAGGACTGCGGGGGTTAGGGAGGTGATAACCTCTGAACAGCCATGTGGATGGTGAGCAGTAGAATGAGCTACATGACATCTGGGAGCCCTGAGCTCTGGGAACTCACTGGATGTGTATTTTGTCCCCATCAGTGGCCACCACCCAGCTCAGAACCCCTGCCCATTTCCTTCACCACCTTCCAGATGCAGCTTCCTCCACCTTATCACCCTCCCCTCCCACTGGCCAAAACCCTGAAGGGGCTATATCAACATATATATATATATAAAACACTCCTATATTCTATCAACAATAAACTGCAAATGAAAGAAAGGGAAAAAGGAAGGAAGGAAGGAAGGAAGGATGGATAAAGTCTACAAACTCTTTAAAATTACTGCTTATATCATGGGAAAATGCCAATGTCTGTTTTGACATATTTTTAGAACTGGCAGACTAATTTGCTTAGCAGTTTTCTACTAGGAATTGATGATATTTGAAATGTTGGATAAGAACAATAAAGCTGTGTTTTCTGTAGCTTGACTCAACACACAAAAATGGAAAATGTTAAGATATTTAAATTCTGATGGATGGGCTTGGGTTTTCTGACTTAATGGTGTGAAGTACAAAATGTCATATAATTAATGCATTGAGATTTTTAAATTATAGAAATTTTCAGGATTTATAGCATCTCTTATAATTTAAAACATTTATGATCAAGTCAAACACAACCACTTCATCTAAAAGCAAAAGTTATGAGACCTATAGAAATATCACATAATGTTAACCTATAAGAGCTAAATATAAAAGTGTTCCCAACTCTCCTTGTTTTCTTGTGTAAAACAGGCCTAAAATCTCTCAATCTATTTTTTTATCATTTTAGTAGATAAATTTACTATTTTAAACTTTTTAGGAGAAAACTTGTACAGAAAACCCAAATCTTTCTTTGGGAACTCAGATACGGGCTCCAGAGCTCCAGAGGACATGCCCATGTTTCTATCTGGAAAGCCTTTGAGCCATCACCAAAATTGAGAAAGACAAAACTACTGGTTTGTTGAAAAAAGTCCAGGAGTAGGTGCTGCATATTTGAGAAAGAAAAACAGAATAACTGAAATCTTGCATGCATTGAACAAGCTAAAAAAAGTTACTCTTGAGCTTATTTGAATCCTTTCTGTTTATTACCCATCTCTCTCCCCTGGGCTAGAAACAAGAAGAACCTCTTCCTTCAGCATTCTGACAACCTTTCCAACTCTCTCCCCTGTCCAGTTCTCCCCCTTCTCAGAGACATGCTGTCCCGTGAGTCCACAGCTCTCCTTTACAGAAACCTTAAGAGCTCTGCAATGCCCGGAATTATGTTATCATTTCCTGGTTCTAACTATGATTTCCGGGGTACAGTGAGAGCTTCATGTTTCCACGAGGAAGTTTATGCAAAACCAATTAATCAGAGAAAAGTAATTTCAGATTCTATTTGTATGTGTCCTATAGAAAATAATAAATCAACTATATTCCAGAAAAATAAAACTGGTCCAGATATTACCTTAAGAATGATTTCCTCTTATATTTGACTTTTTACAGTGATGCAGTGAGTGCATGCAACCATTTTTGCTATCCTGAATAAGCTGGGCTACAGGTGAAAATTTAAATGGAAACTTACATTACGTATTTCAAGTAGGTACAGACAGACATTTTAGATTATATTTCAAATTTTATTTAGGAAAAAATGAAGCAGATTCTATAAAAATTTACCTATAAAAGCATCATATGAAACCATCATTTCAGAATATAGATCACTAGAGTTGCAAAGGAAGTTTCAAAAAAAAAAAAGTTGCCCAAAAGCAAATTGTGTCAGGACACACTTCTTCATCCCAATTCACCTCTAAACTCACAGAAAAAAAGTGTAAGCTGTTATTCAAATTCTTCAAAATGTCAATATTTTATTATTTAGAGTTTAAGATACAGTTTAATCACTGTAATATGCTTGCTTCATTAGCTCATATAGCTGTGCGTTTGGGCATTTTCTTTTCTTTTTGCCTTCATTTCAAGAGGGCCTTAGTAAACACACATGGATGTATGAGTGTACATATATTTTTTAAGGGATTATGAATATTGAAATAAGGCTCTCACTCAATGGAGTGATTTTCCTTAGTCAGACATGTTTGTGTTGTGTGTGCTGATTGATAGCAGGAATTCATTCAAAACAAAACAAGTTTATGCGAAAAAGAAGAATTCAGTGTGCTGGAGAGAGGGTGACTATAACCCAACTCAATACATCATTCCTCAAGAGGATCTGTGTATTTGTCCATTCTTGCATTGCTATAAGGAAATACCTGAGGCTGTGTAATTTATAAAGAAAAGAGGTTTAATTGGCTCACATCTCTGCAGGCTGTACAGGAAACATAGCGGCCTCTGCTTCCAGGGAGGCCTCAGGAAACTTATAATCATGGTGGAAGGAGAAGGGGAAATAGGCATATCTTTTTTTTTTTTTTTTTTTTTTTTGAGACGGAGTCTCGCTCTGTCTCCCAGGCTAGAGTGCAGTGGCACGATCTCGGCTCACTGCAAGCTCCATCTCCCGGGTTCACGGCATTCTCCCGCCTCAGCCTCCCGAGTAGCTGGGACTACAGGCGCCCACCACCACGCCCGGAAAATGTTTTTGTATTTTTAGTAGAGACAGGGTTTCACCATGTTAGCCAGGATGGTCTCGATCTCCTGACCTTGTGGTCTGCCCACCTTGGCTTCCCAAAGTGATGGGATGGAAGTAGGCATACCTTACATGGTCAGAGCAGGAGTAAGAGAGAGAGCAGGGAGCCACACACTTTTAAATAACCAGAGCTCCTGAGAGCCCCATCATGAGAACAGCACCAAGGGATTCATGAAGGACCCTCCCCCGCAACAATGATCCAGTCATCTCCCACCAGGCCCCAGGTCCAACCTTGGGGATTACAATTTGACACGAGATTTGGTGGGGACACAGAGCCAAACCATATCAATTTGACACCAACTCCTTATAAATAGAAAACCTGGCCAGCTTACCCTGTCACGCATTTCCTATTGCCATGGACATCACACATTTATCAAGGGTTGAATTTGGCTTTAGAGAACATCCGATGACAAAATGAAACAATTGTAAAGAGTTACATCACAAAATAGGGAACAGAGATTTAACACAGGAAGAGGCATTTAGAATGTCATGATATCTTCAGAAGTCACACGAAGTGGTATAACACAAGGGTGTTGTCACACATCTCAAAGAATTCTACATTAGACTGAATATACACATATTTTTGCAGGTGATATAGAGTTTCAGTGTTGAATCTAGATGCTCAGATTGAAGCTTAGTGTACTACCTTTAACAGTGCCTAAGTTCAAGTTTTATGTCGGTCAACAGTCACCGTACTGGGAGAAAGCAAAACTAAGGGTGAGCTCTTCTGTAAACTTGTGAAGCAGTTTGAAATTGACTTTAAAAAGTAAAAATCAGGCAATGTTCTAGGTGACTCTCATTTAGCCCTGCACCATATCTGTGCCAGCTGTCACCACCTGTGCCTGCTTTCTTCTGTACCTATGGACTTGTCTGAAGAGAAACAGTAACACATTCCAATTTCCATAGGCGTCATGCTGACATTCCTAGTGTAAAACACTGCAGTGGTTTTGGAAGTTGTTTGTTTATTCATTTGTTTGTTTTGGGAAGGTGTAAAATTAGAGTGACATCATATTCTGGGATGCTGAATACTGGATTAACCTGCTGTAACTAAATTCTAAGTACCCCCTGCAGCTCTTCTGGCACTACGGTGGAGAGTGCTGATGCGTTCATTGTTCATTTTCTATTCTGAATTCAAAGAGAATTATAAAATCAATTTTCTTTAAAGTACATCCAGTCAATCCTCTGCTTCTAATTGAAACCAGTAACATCCAGGTGAAATGATAAACCATCACCTTAAACAGGCACTAGCAAATTCTTGTAGGAAGTTGAGCTGTCTACACTTACAGAGATGAAAGCCAGCAATGTGATCTTCTTAGCAACAGGTTAGAAGGAAAGTCTGGATTTTCCAGAATCCAGATCTCCCTTCTATCTTGTGACTCTTTATCTAACACTGAGACATTTTACGTGTTTCACGTTACATAGCATTAAATTGCCAAACAGTTGAGAAGGAAAGGGAGCACATTTGAACTGCTGACCTCTGATTACTAATTAAATAAGAGGTGGAATACAATTTCTTGTCTGACCTACATTTTAGTTTAATAAATATCATAGAGTGGTTTTTTGCCACTAGCATTGCGAAAAGAATTTGTACTACTTTTCTCTTTTTTCGTGAAAGTGTTCTTGACTAGCTAGCTTTATCTTGTCAACATAGTACAATAAGTTTATCTGAGCTAGATCTGATATCAACTCTTATCATGAGTAATAAGCTTGATTTTTTAGTGGATGAGCTAATATGATCTTTAGAACAGACTATATGAAATGACATTTACTAGTAACTGTGCAGTTGATATCAGTCTCTAAATTAAGTTTCTATTAATCTCTAAGCCACTTTTCTACATGAACCATATTTTCAGGAGAGAGCAGGTTTTTATTCCTGATGTTTTTATATCAAATTTCTGAAAATAAACTATAGTAAAATTGAATAAAACATTGTTCCATCTGCTCAGAGAAATGTATAATTCATTTTAATATTAAGCTCATTTTAAAAAGTGTATAAAATATTGCTATTTTAGAAATCACTGCCAATACTTCGACATTGCAGAGAGGCAATCAGGCTGGGAGAATGCATCACCTTCATTGTTTTTCAGTATCCAAAAAGAAGAGAGTTAGGATTAGAACAAAAATTTACAGTTTCAAAGCAGATAATTTGAATGCTTTAGTTCAGTATTTATTGAGTTACAAAAATTTCTTAAATCAACTATAAATCTATTACTATTCATGGCCTGGATGGAGAAGCACAGCAGAAATAAATTCTAAAATAGTGCCCTGTCTGCAAATATTGTATCCAACATGACAATGCATTGTCCAATATTTAACATTACGGTCTGTGCATTTCTCAGGTCAAAGTGAATATTACCCTATTTCTCCCATTTCACACCCACTGATCAGAGAAGCAGGGGACTCAGAATGTTTTTCTGGTGTCTGACATAGATAATCTGCTGATTGGTAATCAAATATTGACTATGTTGTGTCCAGAGAAATCACCAAGTACACCATCAACAAATAGATGTACTGGACAGAACCAATGCAATCATTTTAAAAAGAATGACAAAGTTTTTGCACATGAGTTGATTTAAGGTTGCCATTGGAATACTCTACTTATGCAGAAATGTACTACTAGAGCTATGGGATTAAAGTATGAGCCCCCCCAAATGGAGAACAACTGCTTTGAGTCAGACGCAGTTCATTGTATCTGCTAGTGGTACCTGTTACCTGCTGTTTTGCACCCCATAACCATCTTTTGAGGCAGAAATGCTGAACTCAGGTAAAAGCAATAAAGATACTCTAAAAATTCGTGCACACACACACAAAAAAACATGGAACTGTAAAAGACACCCTGGGGCTAAAGAAAGTTGATGGCCACGGAGCAAAATTGGTGCAGGAAGTGGTGTGACAGTGTTAATGTTCCTGATTTATTCTGAAAGTTAGAAAAACATTTTCAAGTATCCTAACGATATTTGCAAATCCAAACATTATCAAGCTTGCACCTTCAGTGTTCATTAAGAAAGTATTCACACAAAATGATTAGCCGAGTATAGACGATATATTTTGAGGTAAAATTTCCTTTGATATTCAATTGCATGCCAATGTATCCCCTTAGATGGCCAGTTGGGGACATGGAGACCCCTGTTGAGGCTTTGTTCATGACTTTGATGGCATGACCCACTAATTCCACCAGACACTCCAGTGGGAACACTCAGAAAAATAAGCTTTGACTCCCATGATTTTCATTCTTTTGCTGATAAATAAGGAATTAAGGACACCCTTGGCGAAAACTCTGGCACTCTGGGCAGCTGATCCTGGCAGAGTCCAAGAGTCAGACTCATGGACCTGTGCAGTGGGTCACGGGACCCGGGAACTGGCCATAGTGCTCGCTGGGGTGACCAGGTCCTGCCTTTCACATCACCTACTTATCTGACCATTTCCTCCATTTGCTTCTTTTCTCTTGGTGTCACTTGTGAGCCGATGAGGCCAGACCCCTGGCTCATCCCCGACCACATGAACATGAAAGGACCCTCTCTAGGGACAGAGGTTTCTCCCCAGCAGGGATGCCCTCACACTCATTCACTGTTTATAATCTCCTTTCAATTCCTTTAGAGCCTCGGCCCCACAGAAACACACATATTTATTAAATGTTCTTTTTTACTCCAATATGCATGCTAATTCTAGTGAGAATCTACTTGAACAGGCTTAGGGAAACATCCCTACAAACAGGAAGAAGCTGAGATGCCTCATGTAAGTCACAAGAAGAAGCAGCATAGAAATATGCTCAGAGTGGAATGGGGAGTTCTGGAGGGAACGCCATGAGCCTGGAGACTGTGGCTCTTCTGTGTGGCAGAGCCTGAACCAGTGTCCCTGAGTTCCTTAGAATTCACTGAGTCCACATCATTCAGAGGTGACAAAGCCCCAAGTTTCACCAAAGCCACATGCCACTGGAGCTATGGGGAAGGCCACGTGCTGTCCAGTGTGCAGGAATTCCATCCTTCTCCTTCCTGTAAACTGTCAGTGCACTGTAAAATCAATATTAGATTGGTGATGAGTCTAGCCTCAAGAAAGGACCCTGAATAGCACTGGAAGTCACTTTCAAAGAATTTAAATGTAAGACTAAAGCCAGCTTCCTCATGAAAACCAGCCAATCTTCAACTGTATTCAGAAACAACCATAGAAATTAAACTGTGATTTGTGATTAATGTCATTTGACATCAGGTTCCTCTTAGAGGGATTAAATTACTTGGTGAAGTTTAAAAGTATTGGTCTTTAATTGCATTTCTTACAGTAAAAAGAAAGATAAAAAGAAAATTAAAAAGTTATACAGAAGGGAAGAAGGGGGAGGGATAGCATTAGGAGAAATACCTAATGTAAATGACAAGTTAATGGGTGCAGCACACCAACATGGCACATGTATACATATGTAACAAACCTGCACATTGTGCACATGTACCCTAGAACTTAAAGTATAATAATAATAAAAAATAAATTAAAAAAAGAAAAAGTAAAAAAAAAAAGTTATACAGAAATTAGAACTGTGACAAGTGTCCCCAGAAAGTTTTGGCAGGAACCCCAAACTTTCCAGCCTAAAGAAGAAATGCATTATGAAAGAGGTTCCAGTAGAGGTGGCAGATAGCACTGCATATACCCACCACATGACGGTTCATGTAACAGCAAGAGGAGGAGTGAGAGGCATGAAAACACGAGCAAAAGCTATAGAGTCACAGGAAAACAAAAGTTCTTCCACGGCTGGCGAGAATATAGCTTAGAATATAGCTAAAATTGTTCTAAACCAATCGCTCTTCTGCTAAATGATAATTTTAAAAGGTAACAACAATGACACACCACTGTACACCCACTAGGATGACTAAGTTCCAAAACATCGACAATATCAATTGCTGGTGAGGATGTGGAGCAACAGGAACTCTCATTCATTGTTGGTGGGAATGCAAAGTCATACAGCCTCTTTAGAAGACAATTTTGTACTTTCCTGCAAAGCTAAACATAACCTTATCATATGATCCAGCAATAGTGCTCCTGTTGGTTTTCCCCAACAGAATTAAAAATGTATGACCACACAAAAACTGGCATGCAAATGTTTATAGCAGCTTTTTTTCATAATCATCAAAAACTAGAAGAAATCAAAATGTCCTGGTTATGGATCCGTTTGTGAGAAATGTATCTCTTTTTTTTTCTTTTTGGGAACCTCTATGAATGATGTTATCCCACTCTGAAATGCTTATCAATGATCAGTGATAACAAGACAGGAGAGTTCCCTGGTTCCCCTCACAGGGCATGCAATCCCCTCACAGGGGTGCTGCCCTCTGTTCCACCGCCGTGAGCTCAAACCCCCCTTACGGGAGGGGGACCACACAGACGGGAAGGTGCAGGAGCTGGGGTGAGAGCTTTGGGCTCTGGCCCCACAGTAGCATCTGGGGTGGGTGCCTGCAACCCCAGTGTTACAATGCTCTTTTAGCTCTGCCTTGCAGACGGCTTAAGTGTTAACCAGCTCTGTGCCCCCTCTGCCTTTCTGCAAGGGCAGAGGGACAGTGTGACAACTTTCTGTATCCTGAGCTCTTGTCCAGCATCCTGGAAGAATTGGGTCACACAGGGACTTGAAGAGTGGAGAATGCGGGCGCTTTATTGAGTGGTGGAGGTGGCTCTCAGTAGGATGGATGGGGAGCTGGAAGGGGGATAGAGTGGGATCTTCTCCTAGAGTTTGGCCACCCAGCAGCTAAACTCCTCTCTGACCATCCACAGCCAAGCTCCTCTTGGCATTCAGAGACTCCTCCTCTTCTCTCTTTCTCTGTTGCATCATTTTGCTGTTTATCGGCTTGTCTCCTCATCTTCTCACCTGCTTCTGGAGCCTGGGGTTTGGCGTTTATAAGGGTATAGGATAGAAGGCATGGTGGGCCAAAAGGCAGCTTTTTGGGCACAAAAACAGGAATGCCTGTTCTCACTTAGGGCCACAGGTATTCAGGCTTGAGGGTGGAGCCTTTGCCAGCAACCCACCCTCTTCTATCCAGTATTTCCCTGTCTCCTGTCTGTATCAATGAGACCATGAGGATCATAAAAACCCTTACTTGCAGCTACCCTGACACCCCAAGGTACATCCTGAAATGCTGTTGCCTCCATACGGAGGGAAACGGGGGTGGGTGAACTGAGCAGGCAGGAAGGCAGCACTGACATAAAATCAAAGGCACCAGAGCTGAGCATCTCCTGCTCCCCTGGCTTGGATGCAGCAAGTAACAGAGGAAACCAGGGATCACACTTCGTATGGATCCAGCGGACTCCAGAAAGCCAGCTTTACACAGCATTACTGCTCTTGGTAGGGGGTGATTGCCACAAATTAGTTACACTGGGGAGATGGAAAATAAAATATTAATTTTCATTAATATCAGTTCTTTCAATATTTTTCATAACATGAAAAATACATGTTGTTTTTAATTATATTTCACTATTTTCAATACTTTCCCTAATTGTCATCCATAAATATTCAAGATTTTTCTTTGCAGAGAAAGAGGAGGTGTGGAGTCTATCCAAAAGCTAAACAAGTTGTTGGTTATTTTACAGACTGGCTCTTCAGGACGTCACTATGGACCAGTCAGGTGGGCTTCCAGGCCAACAGCATGGCAGGTAGCTCCCTGGAATGTCATGAAATCCAAAAGTCAGAATAAGGCGAGTTTAGCAGCAATCTGCAGAACACGTCCCCGCTTCATTGTGCCTGCGCCTCTGCTCCGCTGCCTCCACCAGCAATGGCACAGAAACTGCATCAGCAGCAAGGTGGGGTGCCTACTGTAGCTTCTGCAGGTGCAGACCAGGTGGAATTCCTGAGCTTCCAAGATTAAAACACACAAGCTGCTTCCAAGAATTCCATAGTGTTATTCAGACAGAGGAACATGGGAGATCCATGGTGAATATCTGTGTGGTCACATTTATTTTCTTCATTTTATCAAATGCCACGAACCCAGGCACTCCTGGGGCGGGGATGAGGGGAATGGATTCTCAGACTAAATGCCTGTTACCTCGAATTAAACATCTTGAATATTCTCAATCAAAAGTGAGAAGATGTCTTGTTCCTAAAGACTTTTTCAAATAAAAATAAGACTATTCCAAAAGTATAAGACTATTACTTAAGAAAAAAAAAAAAGCTCAAGAAAACAATCCACTTCTTAGAGGAAACTGGCGAAACACAATCATCAACTTCACGCTGTGACCTGCAGTGCTTCCCATGGCTCCCCCAGCTGTGCTCCTGTATTATAGACTGAATTGTCACTCGGCCATATGTAATTCTTGTTGCATTTAAAGGATGTGATTTTTGGCAAGGATGGGCACTCATGGCTTGAAGTGTGCTTGCAATATATCACTCTTCACCTCTGAAGCCTCGGAAACGTGGGGAGGCACTGAGCATATACTTAGGGCAATGGGAAATTATGAGAGATGAAAAATATAAAAGCTCTTGGAATTCACTGGAATTCATCAGAATGATCGAGACCCAGAAAGCAGACATTAGAAGAGGTGTTTCTGTGATGTGGCTTGAAGTATTTGCTTCTTTCCCCTAGAATCGTTTTATTATTAAACTCCAGGAAAAAAATGTTTAAAAAAATACTCAATAAGTAGACTTTGAGAGACTATTACATTACGACTCAACTTCTCTCCAAAAGTCCTGTGATGCTAAAATGTGCTTTTTCATGGTGTTTTACCACAGATTATTCACTTCAATAAGAACTTATCATCTAGTAACTGAATTGGCAAATATTTTTCTATGTCTTCCAGTCTATTTTTCTGCTTTTGCCACAATATTTTCAAGAGAAGCTAAGCATTATTTATTGTAACAGCAAACTCAAGAAACTCAGCAAATGCTTCATTTCCAATGAAGAGACACTTAGAATGTTACCAAGTATTACCCCGTGGAGTTCTGTAGACATATAAGTAGATTTCTGATTATCACAGAAAGGTACATTCATAAGAGTTCCTGAAAGACCTTCTTCAGCTAAATTCCTCATATTCCAAATGTCTGAATTACTATTCATTTGTTCCATGTGCAGTTTGTTTGAAAAGTGACTATTGTACCTATTTCTGGATATAATCTTCCTCATTCATGATGTTAAAGTAAGCTGAAATTTCAAATCGTTACACTCTCACAGGTGGAGGGTAAGTATTGGGATGACTGGAGAATGATGAAGACGGTTGGCATAGGCCAGCCATGTGATGGAGGGGTCTGAGAGATTTACGAATGATCAGGGGACAGGTCAGTGCCACTAGAGTCTGCTCACGTGGCAGCAAGACTTCTGATTAATTCAAAAGGCTCCACATCCCAAGAGAGAACTTAGCACCAGCTAAATGACCATCCAGATTCCTGGAGTGACCACCCAGCACTGATGTTGGAATCACATGTAGCCAAACCCATTTCTTTTGTCCTGGAAGTTCACTTGGAAAGTTCTCAAGACCTCTTTATACAGGAGAATGTGGGAGCTCCTTGTAAAACGAGTTGCTCTTTCTCCTCCTCACCTATGGGAGCCCAGTTCTGAGGGGCCGTGAGGGCTGTGTGAGTAATTCACGATGCTTCACTTCAGGACTTTCACCTGACTCATGTGAGGAGCTGATGGATTCTTGACCCCAGTTCAACCAGAGGCCCCGGGAGTACAGGCAAACTAGTAGGAAGAAACTTTAATTACAAAGGGAGATGACGTGGGTACAACAGAGGGGAAATCACAACACTCCCTAAGGATTTTAAGGGCAATCAACAAATGAATGAAAAAATCATGTTTGGTTTACCTAGTTCAGAAGAATTCCCTTCATCCACAGCTGTGAGAGGGGAGGTTGAACGCAGCCTTTCATGTCTCTTCAGGTTCCCTTGCAGCCTTGTGTGGAGGCACAAGTAAGACTACCAGCTACCCTTTGCTGAGCACGTTCACCCATTTAAACCCTACAGCAAGATGGAAATACACAGCCTTTCATCCGTGTGAAAGATGAAGACACTGAGACACAGGAGGCCAAGTACCTCACCTGGCGCCACTTTGGTAAGAAATGGCTGTAGGGCGTCCTGTTTCAAGCCTCCAGCTATAACCACCACATGAAATCCCTCAAACAAGACCCCAATTTCATGAGCACTTAAGTGTCATGCACTGTTGAAGGCGTTTTATAGAAATTACCTCATGAAATCCTCACAACACTGCTCTAAGTGAAGGTCGTTATCCCCAGCTTATAAAGAAATGGAGGCCTAGAGGGTGTGAGCGTCTGACCCGATTGAGGTCAGCTGAGTCCAAAGCTGATGTCCTTCGCAGCCCTTCTTCCTGCGGACTAGGAGGCTGGCCCTCCACACAAAATTTCTGCTTTAAAAACTAGGGATTTAATTGTCCAATGGGGGAAAAAATACAGAACACGCCACCTCACACCAGAAATGGGAAGCTGCCTTACAGTATGTGAGGCACTTTTATTGCCCTGGAAAGAGATCTGAAGGTGTAATTGATAGCGATACAATAGTTGTCTCAGGCTGCCATCTAGAGGCAGGTGCTGAAGCGACATCCTCCCCTCCATCCTGCCGCCTTTTCTCTGACCCTTGGGACACGGAAGCCACGGTTTGGGCTGAGGCAGAGCTGGACATTGGACAATTACCCAACATCGGGCAGATCTTTATTTCTTGCTTTTCCTTTGTTCCTTTATAATCTATGTGCCCAAGGTGACACGCCATGGTTTCACAGGCGCCCCAAAGCTAGAAAGGCAGTTTTTCATAAGGGGAACCCTTACCTGTCCCCAACTCCGCCACCAGCGCCACCCCCACGGAGCTTTGCTGAAAGTCCCCGCGTCCACCTGCCTTCTGTGCACACCTGGCTGCTGCTGATGCTGCCAACTCCTTATCTTGATGGCCTCCACCGAGTCGTACTTGTCCAGTTTGTTGGTGTGGTTGGTTATGCTGGTGTTGAGGGGGGTAGGCGAGACGGAGTGGACGACAGTCGCATTGTGGGATTGCTGTTGGTGCTGCTACTGTAGGTATAGACCAGCAGGCTGAGCCCCACGTGATCATGTGGAACACACTGAACCCTGGGGGGACAGGAGCAAAGTGGTACTGGCTCCCTTCCCCATCCCTTACTTCCCTTCCTGAACAATTCAGCCTTTGGGTGCAGAACAAGGCAGGCATGTGAGAAGGGCTGCCCTAGCTCAGGGGCCTCAGCTTGAGTAGCAGGGTGAGAAGCCTATCCACAGACAGGAGCAGCCCAGGGAGAGACGTGAAATGCTTGCTGGGCATCACTGCAATGGCAGGCAAGTCCACCTGGCTGCAAAGCAAAGCCTTCAGGGATCTCAGGACAAGGGGAAGGGCCTGTAGGATTTCCCCTGCACCCGAGGCCAGGGGTGTCTGCACATTAACCACTCCAGCCTCCTCCCCAGGGGTTTTCCAACCCACCTTCCCTGTGCTCGTGACCCCCGCCACCTGGAAGAGACTTTGTCCTGCCAGCGCCAGCCATGGGGTTTGATGTCAAAGGGTCACTCGGCCACTCTTCACTGAGTTCCCACCAGGCTTGGGTCTCCAGGGCTCTGCCTGAGTCCGTCCTGAACCTCATGTAACCCTGCAGTGGCCAAGAGGCCCCATGGGAAGCTGAGCCACAGGTCGGGAGATGCCATCAAGACCTCATCTGTGCTACTGGCAGAGGTTGACTATCCCTTTTTGTCCCTAAACCCTGAGCTTTTCCCTCTAAGTCATGCTCCTTGGCTGTTCTAGACACCATGTTCCAGGAACCCAGGACTTTGGAGCTGGATCTGCCCCCTTGGGTGCACAGACACTGTGAAGGGAGGCTGCCTTCTCTCTGACTCGCTGTCAGGCAGAACTCACAACACACTCCTGACCACTGAAGTCCCAGTGGGCAATGCAGTTCCCAGCACAGGCGCCCAATGTACTCAGCACTAAGGGTTGGATCATCCCAGACGACAGCACTAGAACATTCCACAAGCATCACCCACTCCCTGACAACCACCTCAACTTTTCACTTGCAGCTTAGTTGGTCAGTGGTTTCAGAATCTTTGGCCTTTTCTGACTCAGTCATGAAGCCTCTAGGGCTGGAGAACTCCCAACCTGGGACAACCGGATGAAGCATCCAGGGGGCATTCCACCAGCAGCCACTGGGACTTTAACTGTAACACTGAAGCTGTACTTAGATAAGCAAGAGCTGATTTCACACAAGTTCTTACTTCTCTGTACTTTAGCTGTTAGCACTCTCAGGGTCAATGCCTTGTACCGAAGGAAATACTTCCTGCTGCACTGATAACTCATGTTTCATTATAACATAGGGCAGATGCATGACGGTCTCCATATGCAGATACTGTGCCATTAGTCAAATGAATCATTCCAGCAGGTGCCTGGGAAAGGCTGGGACCAGCTGACATCTTTATGATGATTATATAGTCTTTGTGTCTCATGCAACTAAAAATAGCTCTCTAAGATGAAAAATTTGAATTGAAGCACATTTTCTGCATAGAGAAAAATAGTGCCCATTAAATCGTTTTTGAATCTGCTTGGTGTGGCGCTTTCTTTTCAACGTGGCTTTTTTTTTTTTTTTTTGCCATTATCGGCCAGTAAGCAGGGATGGAAACCATCCTGTTGGTTAAGCAAAGTCTGATTTTTCAATAAACAGAAGAAAGTCTACATTGTCTCCCTAAGCATCCTAGAGCAGCTTTGTCAGATAATCGCTTGTTTTTAACCTGTCAGTTCTAAAATAAAATCCATCCATTCTCTCATCTGCCTATTATGTTGATGTGTCAATAGCAGCAGCCTAAAGAGTTAAAACATCATTTCTGAAGATTATAGAGTAATTAAATTTTCTGTAAGTTTGATCAATATCAACGTGAGTTGGGTAATCAGTTGGCCTTGCTGGCTCTGACACACAGCAGCAGCATTTTAGGATGGAAATGGGGTATGTGTCATTTACCTGGTGCTCAAGGCCCTTGAAAAACTCCCACCTTTTAGCCCAGACAGGGTCAACCAGAGCATCTGTGTTGCTAACAGTAAGCCCCTCTTCTCCAAGTACAGTTGACACATAGGTGAGCACTTTCATGGCACACAGATGGCATCGACTGAAAAATCCAAATTTATTATGGAATTGAAGCAGAGAATGTGTTTTTCTTTTTTTCATCCAAGGTTGTAGAATGCCTCTAATATGTAGGTAAATCTTCATGCTCCATTAAAATTGAGTTCATTCCAGAGGACTAGAGACTTGGCACTGACCGTCATGGAGCTGCAATGCCAATGTACATAAATGCTTCAATTCTGTTTCACTCCAGTGATATTTCAACTAGGTATTATCTAGCCATCAATTATTGAATAACACATTTATAATTAACATACATGGCATTTGGGGTCCACGGAGTGTCTCCAGTCTCAATTTTGGCCACAAGACAAAGAAACAATTTATAAAAGATTAAAAAAAGAAATCATTAGAAAATATCAGAAAGTAAGTAGGTAAATAACTGACCTCCACATGTCCTCTCTCCTGAGTCCTGGATCTTGCTACAGATTCTTCTGGGAGAACAAAGAATATGGAGGGATGGTCACATTAATGCTTGTCTTTAAAAATACCTAAGTAGTTTTTATTTGTACATGACTTACAGTTCTAGAAGCTTATGACTAAAAGTTATAATATTAAGCCAGGTATTGAATATTTCTACTTCAGGTTTTATGCGTGTTTATTTGTACATCTGCTTTTGGTCAGGGATACCTTGAGGGAGGATGTAGGGAAGTTGCCCAGCACTGCCCCTCAGGCCAAAATCACAGCACTGGCCTCAGCCAAGTCCCCATGCTTGTGCTGGTTGCCTAGAAAAATGCACACTTCCGGCTGTGGAGCCCGGACTGTGCCTGCAGTGGTGGGCAGTGTTTCTGCCTCAGCTCTTTGGTTTTATCAAAGCCGGTGTTGTCCCATTTCCTGCAGAGATGGACTAATCCAGGAGAGCTCAAAGGAAGTCACCTGAACAAATAAAGTCCCTCTTCAAGAGCCTATGCATGCTCTTTGCCATCCCAAATACAAAACCCACAGGAAGCTGCCAGCAATGGGACATCTCCTATGTGTTTTAGCCCTCAAGCATAACACACCATACCGTGAGTCCAGAAATCTTTTTCTTTTGGAAGATGAGAATTGAAAATGGGTCATGAGCTGGGCTCGGTGGCACACACCAGTAGTCCCAGGTACTCGAGAGGCTGAGGTGGGAAGATCGCTTGAGTTCAACATAGTGAGGGCCTGTCTCTAAATAGAAAAGAAAGATCACACCCTTACGATTTTATTCCAATATTTAATCTAGGTGTTGATAAGGTGAAAGCTAATAATTCTCTCTAGAACAGTATTATCTTCACTATAAATAAAAGAATAAAAGCAAACAGGAGAAAAAGAGCAAAAACTTAATGTTTTCCACAGATTGACCTTTGCTTTGGTTCACATCAAGACCCAGATGTCCATTGTGGCATATAGGAAATGATTTACATGTATACAGCATTACTCCTCAGGTGGGGGTGCAGTATCTGTTTGAGTTCTTTTGGAAAGCCTGTAGCATAGGGGCCCACCTGCTCTCCAAAATAAAACTGATGAAGGCTTTCTATTTTTCCATGTACATTAGGATCTCTTAAAGAAAGTGACTCTCTGGTTGTGTAAAATTGTATAACCAAAAATCAACACCATATTAAAACCATTAAAGGAAAGATTTTAATAGTTAAAATCAAAATTGGCTAAAACATAGTTAACAAACTAGGAAAATCACCATTCTAGAAAAAAATTAAATAATGAACTAAATTTAAGTTTTCAACTTTTGTTTTCTACATATTCATATTCTAAAGACCATGGGAACACAACAGTTGATAAACCCTATTTAATATTACATATTAAAAGCCAACTATTCAGCTTCCTTTTGACAAGTGCGGCCTGAAAAAATAGACAATTTTTTCACCCATAAATCTTTTTATCTTTAATTTTTGTGAATACGTAACAGTTGTACATATTTATGGGATACATGTGATGCTTTGATACAAGCATACCATGTGCAGTTATCAAATCAGGGTAATTGGGATATTCTCATTGCCTCAAGCATTTATTATTTCTTTATGTTAAGAACATTCAAATTTCACTATTCTAGTTATTTTGAAATATACAATACATTGTCGTTAACTATGATCTCTCTATTGTGCTACCGAACACTAGATCTTATTCCTACTATCTAACTGTATTTTCGTGCCCATTAACTAGCACCCCTCTATCCCCCACCTCTGCGCTACGTTTCCCAGCCTCTGGCAATCTTCATTCTACTCTCTATCTCCATGAGGTCAACTTTTTCAGCTCTCATATATTAGTGAGAACATGCAATATTTATCTTTCTGTGGTTGGCTTGTTTTACTCCACATAATGGCCTCCAGTTCCATACATGTGGTTACAAATGACAGGATTTTATTTTCTGGGGGGCTGAATAATATTCCATTGTGTATATATATTACATTTTCTTTGTCCACTCATTAATTGATGGACACTTAGATTGATTCTATGTCTTGAAGCTGTTGTGAATAGTGTTGCAATTAACAAGGCAGTGCAGATATCTCTTTGATATACTCATTTCTTTTCTTTTGGATATATGCCCAGCAGTTTAGATGATAGTTCTACTTTTATTTTGAATTAATAGATACTTTTATTTTGGATTAGATGATAGTTCTACTTTTATTTTGAGGGCGACTTCCATATTGTTCTCCATAGTGGCTGTACTAATTAATTTACATTCCCACCAACAATGTACAAGGAGGGCTCCCCTTTCTCCACATTCTTTCCAGCATCTGTTATTGCCTTTTTTAAAATAAAAGTTATTTTAACGTGGGTGAGATGATATTTTATTTTAGTTTTCTACAAAGTTGTAATAACCAAAACAGCATGGTAGTGGCAGAAAAAATAGACACAAAGACCAATGAAACAGAATAGAGAACCCAGAAATAAGTCTATGTATTTACAGTCAACTCATTTTTGACAAAGGGGCCAAGAACATGCACTGGGGAACGAACAGTCTCTCCAATAAACGGTGCTGGGAAAACTGAATATTAATATGCAGAATAATGCAACTAGACCCTTAGCTCTCACCATATACAAAGTGGAATCAAAATAGAGACTTAAATAATAGACCTGAAACTATAAAACTACTAGAAAAAAAACACTGGGGAAACTCTCCAGAAGACTGGTCTGGGTAAAGATTTCTTGATAAAACCAAAAGTGCAGGCAACCAAAGCAAAAATGGACAAATGGGATCACATCAAGCAAAAAGCTTGTGCACAGTAAACGATCAACAAAGTGAAGAGATAATCTACAAAATCCATCTGACAAGGAACTAATAGCCAGAATATATAAGAAACTCAAAAAACTTAGTAAAAAAACAAAGAATCTGGTTTAAAAATGGGCATAGATTTGAATACACATCCCTTAAAAGAAGACATACAAATGGTCAACAGGTATATGAAAAATTGCTCACCATCACTAATCATTGGAGAAATGCAAATCTAAACCACAAATCACTTACAAATCTTATTATCTCTAATTGATGTGTCTGCCCTCACCTAGAATAAAAAGTATACAACTAGCTTTCCATGGTGTTTGCAGAACACCAGTTTTAAGAAAACACTAGTTTTAAGAAAAGAGACATTACCAGAGACAGAGAGAAGGCAGTTTCATAATGAAAACATGCCAGTTCATCAAGAAGAAATAACAATTCTAAATTTTTTGTACATAAAAATATGTGTTTTCAAAATATATCAAGATAATAAACCTGGTAAAAATGAAATAATTAAGAGATTAAATTCACAATTATAGCTGGAGATTTCAACACCCCTTTCTCAGATATTGATAAAACATGTAGACAGAAAGTCAGCAAGGACATAGAAGGTTTGAACAACACCATAAAATCAACTTGAGCTAATTAACATTTATATAAGTTTCTATACATGCACGTTGTTCAAAAGTGAACATGAAACATAACCAAGATAGACCATATTACAGGTCATAAAAGAAGTGTCAAACATTTCAAAAGTCTTTTATTATACAAAGTATGTTCTCCAACCATAGAAATTAAATTAAAAATTCATAACAGAAAGATATCTGGAAAATCTATAAATATTTGTAAAGTAAACAACATACTACCAAATAATACATCAAGCAAAGAGGAAATAATAACAGAAGATTAGAGTATTTTCAAATAAAGTCATGACATCAAAAATCATAAGATGCAACTTAAGTAGTAATTAAAAGGAAATTTATGGTGTTAACACTTACATTAGAAAGGTTTCAGATCAGTTACCTAAGCTTCTGCCTTAAGAAACAAGATTTTGTTAAAATATCATATTAAACCCAAAGTAAATGGAAGATGGGAAAATATAAAGTTAAGAGCAGAAATCAATGACAGATGACAGAAACACAACAGATAAAACCAATGAAACTAAATCCTGGTTATTTGAAAAGATAAACAAAACTGATAAACTTCTAGCCTGACTAGTCATTTGAAAAAAGAGAGAATCCATCACAACAGATTCTATAGACAGTAGAATGATAATGAAGAAATATTATAAGCAACTTTAGTCAATAAATTTTACAACTTGAATGAAAAAGACAAATTCCTTAAAAAACTAATTCAAAAAGAAATTGTCTCACACTACCAAATTTTCCTCACAAAGAAGTAGATGACCTGAATATTCCAATACCTATTAAACTAATTGAATTTATAAATAAAACCATTCCCACAAATAAAACTCTAGGTAGATTCACTGGTGAATTATACCACACATTTATGGAGGAAATAATACCCATTCTACACAAATATTTTCAGAAAAAGAAAGGAAGGAACATTCCCCAGAACTCATTCTGTGAGGTATTATCCTGATTAAGAAAAAAAAAGACATTGCAAAATAGAAAACTACAGGCCAATATATGTCATGGTAATAGATACAAAAGTTATTTTAAAAAACATTTTAAATCAAATCTGACAATATGTAAAAAGGATAATATGATGGCTACATAGGTTTATCTTAAGACAAAGTTACTGTATTATTCAAAAATTAAGCCATTTAATTTACCATGTCAACAGACCAATAAAGAAAACCCCTATGTACATCTCAATACATGCCATCAATATTTAACAAAATCCAACATCCATTAATGGCAAAGATTCTCAGCAACTTAAAAATAGAATGAAGCTTCTGAAACTGGATAAAGGGCATCTATGAAAACCCTAGAGGTAACATCATATGCAATGATAAAAAAAAATGGGCCAGGTGCAGTGGCTCACGCCTGTAATCCCAGCACTTTGGAAGGCCAAGGCAGGCGGATCACGAGGTCAGGAGATCGAGACCATCCTGGCTAACATGGTGAAACCCCATCTCTACTAAATATACAAAAAATTAGCCAGGTGTGGTGGCGGGGGCCTGTAGTCCCAGCTACTCAGGAGGCTGAGGCAGGAGAATGGTGTGAACCCAGGAGGCAGAGCTTGCAATGAGCCAAGATTGTGCCACTGCACTCCAGCCTGGGCGACAGAGCGAGACTCCATCTCAAAAAAACAAAAAAAAAAAAAAAAAAAAGTTTTCCCCCAAAGATCAGAAACAAGTAAAAAAATCTCTTCTCCCCACTTTTATTCAACATTATACTGAATGTTATAGCCAGTGCAATAACACAAGAAAAAGAAATAAAGTATGCGAAGACTGAAATAATAAAGTATAATTTTCTTTACTTGCAGATTATGTGCTTATCTATGTAGAAAATCTTAAGCCATTTAAAAAACAGCTATTATAACTAATAATTGAGTTATCATGGTTACACGATAAAAGGTCAATATACAAAAATCAATTACATTTCTACGCACCAGCAATGAACAACTGGGAATTGAAACTTTTAAAAATACCATTTAAAAGCACATGAAAAAAATGAAATATTTAGATAAATTTGACAAAAACTTTCTAAAATGTGTACACTAAAATTTATAAAGCATTGCTGAAAGAAATTAAATGTCTAAATAAATAGAAGAGTATCCTATGTTTTATGAAGGAAAGACTCAGTATTGTAAAGATGTCAGTTTTCCCCAATGCAATTAAAACTAAAGTTTGAGAATAATTTTTTTTGCAGAAATTGAAATGCTCATTCCAAAATTTGTATGGAAATGCAATGAACCTAGAAATAACATATTTTATAACAGAAGAACAAAGTTGGAGAATTACACTACTTGATTTCAAAACTTTGTAAACCTATAATAGCTAGTTTTGTATGGGCATAAAGATAAACATAGAAATCAATGGAACAGGTTAGAGAATCCAGAAACACAGCCACACTGTACAGTTGATCTTTGAACAACACAACTTTGAACTGTGCAGTTCCACCATATGTGGAGTTTCTTGCACTTCTGCCACTCAAGAGACAGCCAGACCAACCTCTCCTCTTTTGCCTCCTCCTCTTATTTGCATTCAACATGAAGACAATGAGGATAAAAAACTTCATAATGAGTGCCATAATGAAACTGGTAAAGTTTCCAGTCAACAGCAAATTATTAGTAGTTAAGTTAGGGGAAGTCAAAAATTATATGTGGATTTTTGACTACACAGGGAATCAGCATTTCTAACTTCTGTGTTGTTCAAGGGTCAACTATTGACGAGCAATTCAAATTTGACAAAGGTACCAAGGTGACACAATAAGGAAAGTCCAATTGTTTAAATAAATAGTGCTGGAGCAAGTGGATATCCATTATCCATATGCATGAAAAATGAACCACAACCCTTACCTTACATAATACATAAATACTACCTGAAAATGGGTCATAAACCTAAATTTAAGAGATAAAATCATAACATTTCCCAAACAAAACATAGGAGAAAATCTTAGAGACCTTGAGCTTGGCAGATGTTTTTAAGTAGAACCCAAAAGGCACTAACAATTTTAAAAAAGGAAAAGAACTTTGGACTTCATTTTAATTAAAAATTTCTCCTCTCCAAATATGTATTAAAAATGAAACTGTAAGTCACCAAATGGGAAAAAATATATATTTGATGAAAACTTTTTTCTGAATATATAAAATAAAACTCTTACAGCCTAATGATAAAATATAAAATATGGAAAACAGTTTTGAACGGACACTCTACCAAAGATGATAAATGAATGGCAAATAAACAGCTGAAAATAAGCTCAACATCAGTAGTCATTAGGAGAATGCAGGTTAAAAGCACAATGAGATAACACAACACAAACATGAGAATAGCTAAAATCAAAAGAGACTGACCAGAACAAGTATACCTGGTGAGGATGTGAAGCAAAAAAATAAAAAATAAAAATAAAACCGTTTCTTATAAAGTAGCACAACCTCTTTGGGAAACACTTTGGAAGTTTCTAAAAACATTACCTTCACATGGCCCAGTTATTCCATATCTAGGGATCTGCTGAAGTAATAAAAGCATATAGTCACACAAATTCCTGTGCACCAAAGTCACAGCAGCTTTATCTGAAATAGCCAAACACTGGAAAAACCCAAATTTTCATCAAAATGTGAATGAATCAGCAAATCATGATATATTCATACAATGGAATATTACTCAGCAATAACAAGGGATAAACTACTGATGCATGCAACAACATAAACAAATTTTAAAACATTTATGCTGCCTGAAAGAAGTCAGAGAAAAGGAAAGTACATAGCATATGATTCAATTCATAGAAAGTTCTAGAAAATGTAAAGTACTCTATAGTGACATAAAGCAGACCCTCGGTTGTTTGCAACAACAGGGGTATTGAAGTGATGGAAAGTATGTGTTTCAAAGGGTCACAGAAAAGTTCTTGGTGTTCATTATTTCAACTCAGTGATATGCAGATGTCAAAAGTCACCATATTGTGAACTTTAAACGTGTAGTTGATTGTATGACAGTTATCATTCAATAAAGCTGTAAAAACTGTGATGCAATAACTGTTATGGATTGAGTTATATCCACCTTCCCAGGCTTATACGTTGAAGTCCTAACCCCCGGTACTTCAGAATGTGGCTATATTTGATGATGGGGTGTTTAACGAGGTAATTAAGTTAAAATAGAGTCATTAGGGTGTCCAGTATGACTGGTGTCCTTACAAGAAGAAGAAATTTGAATACAGACATATACAGGGAAAATACCATGTGACAATACAAGGAAAAGACAGCCATATACAAGCCAAGGAAAGAGGCCTCAGAAAAACCTAACCCTGCTGACATTGATCTTCTGTGCTTCCAGAACAGTGAGAAAATAAATTTCCTTTGTTTAAACCACCCAGAATGTGGTAGTTTGTTATGACAGTCCTCACAAACTAATACAATAACTTACCTAAACTTTCAGAATTCAACAACATTTTCTCTTTCCAATGTCCATTAAACATATTTCTGTTAAGGGAAAGTGAGGAATCGATCAAATATTTAACAAAAGTTATAATACTAGTAATAAGAAGGCAGCCATTTGCCTAGAACTTTATAATTTTTGAAAACACTCTCCCATATCTTTTTTGTCTCAATAGAACATTTGCTGGTAGTTTTTCTTTTTTCTCAATCTACACTGAGTTAACACTTGTATAACCCGCATACTAAGAAACAGAAGACTATAGATGGAAAGCTCCAGTTCATACAGCTTGGCTGCCTGGATGTACAGAGGAAGATCAAGGTCTTGTCAAGATGATGTCACTTGTTGAGATGGTGTGTGAATGAATGGCTTGTCAAGATGGTGTAAGAACCAGCCTTGGAACCAACTTTGTGATTCGAGTTTCCTTGGTTTAAAAAAAAAAAAATCCAATGACATTTCTATGGAAATAAGCCTAAGTGGGCACGTTCCCACTCATTCTAGGATCATGCACAATAATGATGTCACACCAGGAAGCTGAGGCTTGTAAGCTTCCCTGTAGTATTTCAAACAGTATTTATTCCCATTCATTTTCCAATACCTACACCAGTTTGTAAGTGATCTAGCCTAATGGTTGCCCTCGTCCAAACTGCCCTTCGAGTTTTATAATGAATTCTCCCAAGAAAAGCAGCTTTGCGGTGATGTGGAGAGACAAGCTGTTTGAAATGTGAGCAGGATGAGGGAGCCCTAGAGGTTTATGTGGGCATTTGTAATAGAATCCAGTTCCTAAATCATTCTTACATGTGTGGTTCAAAGTAAACATTACACAATACCGCTATCATTTCCAATTTAACTGCCCTGAGGGCTAAATTCTGAAAGCCAAGGAAATAGATACTTTTATTATTAAGGTAAATTGAAGAAGACCTTCATATACCTCTTCAATTTTATGTTTGCTCCCTTTGCAGAACTGCCTGCTTTGGGAACCTTTTCACTTATTTCTTCCTTCATCTCCTAGACTCATTTCCATTTGTCTGGAGGCTGGCCTTTTATTCCACTGAGATCCCAGACACTTGCAGGATAATTACAACCAGCAAAAAGAACCTCATCTTCATGGACAGGGCTTTGTTTGCTGACACCTCCCTGAAGGCTCCTTCCCTCTCCTATTCTAACCCCTGCCTCTGCCTTGACCCTGCCACAGCTTGGGATGGGGCCTTGTCACCTTCATCCCTTCTACCTGGGCTTCCCACAGTCATAGGGTCTTTAACCCAAAGCCTCACGATCATATGCGTACTGTTCTGTGACTATTGATAACTGCATTTGACGTCTGTCAGAGGGAAAGCTCTGTGAGGAGAGGTACTACACTCACCACAGTGACCTCAGCTCCCAGCATAGGCCTGGCACACACTAGAAATACCTATGGATGATTGTGGAATGATGAGGAAACAAGAGTTGGCTAATTGATCTTCCTTGCTGCCAGAGCACACCATTAGTTCATTCCATTTCTCCAGCAAGCATTTTTGGGTAACCCACAGTGCACCACTCACAGGGATTATGAAGATGCAGTGCTATAGTCCAGGCCAAAAAAGAACTTAGAGCTCAGTGAGGTGGCCTCCTGTGAACAGTGTCAACCCAGTATGGTCACTGGCTAGTGGTCTGGTGACAACAACAGGCAGTGGTTAAATCAGCCAGGAACCAAATGAGCCAGAATCATGGCAGCTACACCAAGCAACCTCTCCTGGGCTGAGTTTTGAGGGATGGGAAAATTGGCCAAGTAGACAAGCAGAAATGGGGAATAGGAGTCATTCCAAACATTGGTTACAGTATTTAAAAGGAATAGAAGCCTGAAAGTGTGGCATATTTTTCAGGAGAAACAAGCAGCTTTACGTTGCTGAAGTCTCAATAAATTGAGACTAGGAGTGGTGATAAGAGTGCCTGAAGAGACAGACAAGGACAGAAATTCTCAATATGTTTACAGTGTGACTTATCTTAACTATTATCTAATAATTTATCAATTAATGTAATTGTCTCCCACCCTAGACTGTGCATTCTTTGTGGAGCACCTAGCAAGGAACAGGTTTGTAACAGGGGCTCACTGAGCATTTGTTGGATGGAGGGATGGACGGATGGATGGATGGATACATATGTATATAACACTAAAAACACACAGGTCCAAGCTTTTTAGCTGAAGCTCCCAATAATGTTTCTGTTTGTACAGCTACATGGCTCCTCCTAAGGTGCCTCTGCCTGATTTTCTCCACCCTCAGGAGACTCTTCCCCTGCCCACCCAGCTTTCCCACCCAAGCTGATGCCAAGAGGCTGGAAAAGGTCACCAAGCTGCTCTTTCCCAGCCCCAGTAGAAGGATTCTTTCAAGTGGGGCTGAAAGGCAGCCCATGAGTGGCTTCACTGGATTCAGGTCCACGATTGTAAACTGGAATAAGGGCAGGTGCCATGGGAATGTGAGGGTGCCTCCACCCAACTTTGCCCCCTGGCATTACAGATTTGATTCCTCATTGCCATCAATAGAATGTGCAGATTCCTCCAGATGCTTGGGCGCTGTCCTGGTGCAGGAGTGCGAAGGGTCCCTGTCCATCTCAGAGACACTCCATTAACCTGATCCGTTGGTTGCCTTTATTTTGGTTGATTTGGCAGTCAAACCAGAACATTTTCGATGCAGCCTCAATATCTTGGCCCCATAGCTGTTCCTTCCCAACTTCTCTTGCTAAACAGAAGCTGCTCAAATAAAGACTGATAAACGCCAGAACATCCTTCTTCTAAGAATAATCTTGGACTAACTATTCCAGAAACTAGCTAAACTTAGGCCGACCCACTCGCTAAGGCTCTATAAAATTTCACCTCTCCTTCTCCAAGGCAGAATATTCAGAGGGAGTAGTCTGAAACCTCGGTATCCTGATTAATGGTTTACATTAACCATGCTCTGTGCTCTGGTTGATTTTCCTCCACTGAAGGATGCATCTCCCATATTGAACCTGTTCTGTGTTACACAGGGAAAACTGAGAGACAGGGTTATAATGCAGATTTAATTGACTTGGGACTTTGGCTCAGGTCAGCTCTGAAGCATTGAGGGAGAAATTCCGCCCTATTTAGGTACTATTTAAGTTCTTTTAAGAGAACCAGGTCATTTACTGCTCAGTAGGGGAGTATTTTGAGTTTCTCAGCTACAATACTTTGATTAGACAGCAAGTGGAACTGTAGATCTAATATTCAAGGGAGAAAATGGGCAAGAAGTATTTCCCATTTGCTTTTCCCTTATTTTTTGTATTTCACATTCAGTAACTTTGTCCCATAGAATTTCAACATGTGTTAGTTGTTGGATCTAAAATTATTAAAGCACATCAGTGCATCACTAAGGACCATACTTGGCTGCCTAATCACAGTTTATTCCCAAATCTTACTGGATCAAACCACATTCATCCTCTGGAATTTTCCAGTCTAACTCCAAATGAAACCATCTTGAGTTAATAAGGCAGAAATGCAGGTGAGTGATAATTTGCTACAACTACAGATTAACTATGTGTAGTTGCTATTAAGTACGAGTGCAAATGGGAAAACAATTTGTGTATGTGGCTGATATGGTTTGGCTGTGTCCCCACCCAAATCCCATCTTGAATTGTATCGCCCATAATTCCCACGTGTTGCAGGAGGGACCCAGTGGGAGGCAATTAAATTATGCAGATGCATCTTTCCCATGCTATTCTTGTGATAGTGAATAAGTCTCACAAGATCTGATGGTTTTAAAAAGGGGCATTTCCCTGCACAAGCTCTCTTCTCTTGTCTGCTGCCATGTAAGACATGCCTTTCACCTTCTGCCATGACTGTGAGGCCTCCCCAGGTACGTGAAACTGTGAGTTCAATAAAATTCTTTCTTTTGTAAATCGCCAAGTCTCAAGTATGTCTTTATCACAAGCATGAAAATGGACTAATACAGTAAATTGGTACTGGTAGAGCATGGTGCTGCTGCAAAGAAACCCAAAAATGTGGAAGCAACTTTGGAACTGGGTAGAGGTTGGAACAGTTTCGAGGGCTCAGAAGACAGGAAAATGTGGGAAAGTTTGGAACTCCCTAGAGACTTGTTGAATGGCATTGACCAAAATGCTGATAATGATATGGACAATGAAATCCAGGCTGAGGTGGTCTCAGACAGAGATTAGGAACTTGTTGGGAACTGAAGCAAAGGTGACTCTTGTTATGTTTTAGCAAAGAGACTAGCAGCACTTTGCTCCTGCCCTAAGAGGTTTGTGGAACTTTGAATTTGAGAGAGATGATTCAGGTATCTGGCAGAAGAAATGTCTAAGCAGCAAAGCATTCAAGAGGTGACCTGGGTGCTGTTAAAGGCATTCAGTTTTAAAAGAGCAACAGAGCATAAAAGTTCAGAAAATTTGCAGCCTGACCAATGTGATAGAAAAGAAAATCCCATTTTCTGAGAAGAAATTCAAGCAGGCTGCAGAAATTTGCATATGTAATGAGAAGCCCAATGTTAATCAATGGGGAAGATGTTTCCAGGGCATCTCAGAGACCTTTACAACAGCCCCTCCCATCACAGTCCCAGAGGCCTAGAAGGTAAAAATGGTTTTGTGGGCCCAGGCCCAGGGTCTCTCTGCTGTCTGCAGCCTAAGAACTTGGCGCCCTGCATCCCAGCCACGCCAGTCATGACTAAAAGAGGCCAAGGTACAGCTTGGGCTGTGGCTTCAGAGGGTGTAAGCCCCAAATCTTGGCAGCTTCCACATGGTGTTGAGCCTGTGGGTGCACAGAAGTCAAGAATTAAGGTTTGGGAACCTCTACCTAGTTTTCAGAGGATGTATGAAAATGCCTGAATGTCCGGGAACAAGTTTGCTGCAGTGGCAGGACGTTCATGGAAAACCTCTGCTAGGGCAGTGCAGAAGGGAAATGTGGAGTGAGAGCCCCCACAGAGAGTCCCCACTGGGGTGCTGCCTAGTGGAGCTGTGAGAAGAGGGCTACCATCCTCCAGACCCCAGAATGGTATATCCACCGACAGCTTGCACCATGTGCCTGGAAAAGTCACAGACTCAACCCTCCCATGAAAGCAGCCAGGAGGGAGGCTGTACCCTGTAAAGCCACAGGGGCAGAGCTGCTCAAGACTATGGGAACCCACTTCTTGCATCAGAGTGACCCGGATGTGAGACATGGAGTCAAAGGAGATCATTTTGGAGCTTTAAGATTTGACTACCCTGTTGGATTTCGGACTTGCATGGGGCCTGTAGCCCCTTTGTTTTGGCCAATTTCTCCCATTTGGAATGGCTGCATTTATCCACACCTGTACCCTCATTTTATCTAGGAAGTAACTAACTTGCTTTTGGTTTTACTGGCTCATAGTCAGAAGGGACTTACCTTGTCTCAGATGAGGCTTTGGATGGTAGACTTTTAACAGTGAAATGAGTTAAGACTTTGAGGGACTCTTGGGAAGGCATGATTGGTTTTGAAATGTGAGGACATGAGATTTGGGAGGGGTCAGGGTCGGAATGATATGGTTTGGCTGTGTCCCAACCCAAATCGCATCTTGAAATGTAGCTCCCAGAATTCCCATGTGTTGTGGGAAGGATCCTGTGGGAGGTAATTGAATCATGGGGACGGGTCTTTCCCATGCTATTCTCATGATAGTGAGTAAGTCTCACAAGATCTGATTGTTTTAAAAAGGGGAGTTTCCCTGCATAAGCTCTCTTCTCTTGTCTGCCATCATGTGAGAAGTGCCTTTCACCTTCCACCATGATCATGAGGCCTCCCCAGCCATGTGGAAATGTGAGTCCAATAAACCTCTTTCTTTTGTAAATTGTAAATTGCCCAGTCTGGGGTATGCCTTTATCAGCAGCGTGAAAACAGACTGATACAGCGGCTAAGTCCCTCAGCTGTACTGGGTCTTGTGACAGTAGCTCACATATTTTACAGAGAAACTTCTTACAAAGAAATTACAACTTTCTCACTTCCCCTTGAAAATACTGAAGCAAAAGAAAAACTTAATAACCTACAGATATGTTCTGAAACAAAGGCAGAATTTAACTGCTCTTATACACAATGGAGTCATGATCTTTTGTTAAAGTCATCCACCTGGAAAAATAAAAACATGATTTAGACCTTTTCTGAACCTGTTCTTTGCCTGTTAACCTTTAGAAAATGAATTAAAGCTGTGAAAGGTGCTGAGTTAACTGCTACTGAATAAAGGACCATGGAGACAGATGTCTGCTCTGGAACCATGTGATGAGCTGGGCACTTGCCAGGAGAACTAAAAACACATCAAAATGACCTTGTTGTACATTAAATCCTTCTCCAAAATTCAGAGCACACCCATCAACCTGGTGTTTCTCCAGGAACATTTGTAGAAGTGATAGTAGTAATAGTAATAGCAGTAACAGTAGCATAAATACTCATACATTTTAAATACTTATTTTGTGTCAGATATAGCTTTAAACACTTTTATTAAATAAACTAATGAGCCACTATCAAAATTCCTATCCATTTAGGTTAACATGCCTACCCAATTACAAAGGTTGATAAAGATTTAATAATTTCCTCAAAACGAGGACAATGTTACAAAGGCTGTTAACACCAAATCTGCAAATCAAAGTTCTTGGTTGAACGAGAAGGCCAGCAGACTGGAGATACAGGAAACATTATTAAGCTTTACTCCTTTTTTTGTTTACCCAGAGCCCAGCTCAAAACACAGGAAGGAGTGTTTTCAGAGAAAATGATTTAGTGTGGATACTATTTTGAGTAGCATTTGAAGCCTTAAGCCATACAAGTACTATACATACACACCCACACACACACACATATATATATTTGACATTAAATAAGATAAACATTCAGAAATTAAAATGTAATTCATATATTCCGAAGTACCATCGTATATATTCTAATCTGTTGTGATTAAAAAAGATACTGAAGAGTCTACCTTGCAAAAGGATAAAGGTAGTTTAAGATGACAAACAATCAAGAAAATGTACTATTTTTTTAATGGCAGAAATAGTGAAAGGGAAATGTTCCATTTTCTGACTTCTGCATTTTAACGGAGTAGAAAAATATAGAATGTTAATAAAATGGTAAAATTTTTAAATGTTTTTCTATTATTATTTTTAATGAAATTCTTCCTGTAGCATAATAGAAAGCTCATCACTCAGGACACTGTATTATTTATTATGATGATCCCATGTACTTCCTCTTTCAAAAGTTATGCTTTGGTTCAGCAGTGTTATCCATAACACATTTGAAACCCAAGCAGATAATGGTTTATCACATCCCTTATGTGACAAAATTCTTTTCAGTAGTAATTATGTAATGAAACATATATTAATGATGGTGGAAAATAAACACAGTAAAAATGTTCACAGTCATTAAAAAGCACAGTCAGTAAAACACGGTCAGTAAAAATGTTTACAGTCAGTTAAAAAAAAGTTTTACTGAACCTCATCTATGTATATATCATTCCAGTTAAAAATAAAAAGTAAAATAAGTATTACAACTTAAATGAAAGCTTCCCATTCCAAAATGGTGGTGTAGAAACAAGTTGGCCTCATTACCTCCTCCCCACAGAAACCCAGAAACAAATACACAGTGCCAAGATTATCACCAGTAGTATTCCAGGACTCAGATGAGAATGAGACAGTTCCTGGAATCACAGAGAATTGAACAAATTTTAAGCAGACAGTAAGGGAATCAGACTTCCATATTCATAATGCCCCTCCACCCAATCTGCCCATCACAAAGCATGTGGAAAATTTTCCCTCAACATACAGTCTCTACACTGAAAAAAGTGACATCAAGGTGGACAATCAGCTTCCCCACCATTCAGGGCACCCTAGTAGGAGACCTTTCCCTTTTGCCCACAGAAACTATCAGTAGTGTCTGAAGGGAGAAATATCCCTGAGAACAGCCAGAGACAAAGAGGGAAGGTGGAACTACCATCCCTAGGCCTGAAAATTTTGCTCTGTAATTTGGCCAACTAAAACACTAAATCAGAGTGGCTCTTCAGTAGCATGATGCTGTAAGAGGTTTGTTTCACAGGTCCTCTGGGCATGAACCCCCAGCCTTCTCATACTACTGGGATATCCCCTTTGAAACCTTCTGATTTGAGATAGGTGGTACTCTGATTGCTTACTAGAACCAAGGCAAACTTGGTCTTAAGGTGTCATCTACTGCTGAAAAGGGAGCAGCAACCTAGTAGGGGAAAAAAAGAAAAAATATCAAAAGGTAAATTATAAAGGATCTCTAAGAAAACATATCCAATAAAAAACAAAAATGTCAGAGAAGACTAGAATAAATAACTAATTCTTCAATGAAAAGACACAGATGTACATCCAACAGAAACAATAGCAGAGAACCATGATCTCTCCTAAATGGACAAAGCAAGGAACTGGCAACTGACCCTAATGAAATGGTGATATGTGAACTCTCTGACCAAGAATTCAAAATGGCAGTTTTAAGGAAACTCAGTGATATTCAGGATAACACAGAAAAGCAATTCAGAAACTTATCAGAGAAATTTAACTAAATGATTGAAATAATCATAATAAAAAGTCAAACAGAAATCTTGGAACTGAGAAATTCATTTGCCGAAATGGAAAATTCATTAGAGGCTCTCAGCAGATCAGGTCAAGGAGAAGAAATAATCAATGAGCTCTATGACAGACCATTTGAAAATAAATAGTCAGAAGAGAAAAAATAATGAAAACAAATGAAGATTGGCTACAAGATATAGAAAATTACCTGAAAAGATCAAAACTAATAATTAGTGGTATTCAAGAGGGAGTTGAGCAAGAGCAAGGGATAGAAAGCTTATTCAAAAAAATAATAACAGAAAACTTTCCAAAACTTAAGAAAGGGATAAATATCCAGCTTTAGAAAGGTCAGCAAACGCAAAACAGATTCAATCCAAATACAACTACTCCAAGGCATATAACAATCAAATTATCATAAGCCAAAGAAAAAGAGAGGATCCTAAAAGCAGCAAGACAAAATCAACAATGTACAAAGAAACTCCAATTCATTGGGCAACAGACTTCTTAATGAAAGCTATACAGACCAGGAAACAGTGGGGTGACATTTTCAAAGTTCTGAAAGAAAAAACGCTTCCATTCAAGAATACTGTATCCAGCAAAGCAATCCTTCAAATATGAATGAGATATCTCAAACAAAAGCTGAGAGAATTCACCAAGAGACCCATCTTACAAGAAATGCTAAAAGGTGTTCTTCAATCTAAAATAAATAAAAACACTTCAGTGAAAAAAGAAAACATTTGGAAGTATAACACACACTGATAGAATTAAGTACACGGAAAACCAAGAATATGCTAACACTGCAATTATGGTGAGCAATCCATTCATAATTCTAGTATGAAGAAAGAAAGACAAGTCTATCAAAACAATAATAGATACAGCAACCTGTTAAGAAATAGGCAGTATAAAAATATGAAAATTGAGACAATATAAAGTCAAAACTGGGGGATGAAGTATATAGGCTTTTTTCATTTTTTCTATTCTTTTCTGTGTGATCTAAGATAAGTTTTCACCTCTTTGAAATAAATTTTTACATGTATAAGTTGGTTTTTGTAAGCCACATAGTAACTACAATGCAAAATCTATAATAGATTCATAAAAATAAAAACACTGGCATGTAGAGGTCCAGAATAGACCCCAAAAGTCCAGAATAGCCACAAAAAAAGTATCAACAAATTCAAAAATGTATAAATCATACCAAGTATCTTTTCAGACCACAATAGGATAAAACTAAAAATTAATAGCAAAAGAAACTTTGGAAAGCACACAAACGCATGGAAATTAAACAACACGGTTCTGAATGACCAATGGGTCTATGAAGAAATTAAGAAGGAAATTAAAAAAATATTGCATAGCCTCACTCATATGTGGGAGCTAAAAAAAAGTGGATCTCATGAAGATATAGAGTAGATTGGTGATTACTGGAGGCTGGGAAGGGTAGAGGGAAGGGGAGGATGAAGAAAGGTTTGACTAATGGGGACAAATATACAATTTGTTAGAATAAATAAAACCTAGTGATTGATAGATCAGTAGGGTTAGCATAGTTTACAATCATCTATTAAATATTTCAAAATAGTCAGAAGGGAATAATTTGAATGTTTCTAGCATAAAGAAAAGACCAATATTTAAGGTGATGGGTATTCTAGTTACAGTGATTTTATCTTTACAAATTATATAAAGGTATTAAATTAGCAGATATACCCTCAAAATTTATATTTATTGGGATAAATTTAAAAAATTTTAAAGACAAAAAGCGATAAATTCTTTTTAATTGCACTAATGTGTTTTTTGGGAAAACAAGGGAAACTTACACCTACATATTGGTCTTAAACCACTGCGAATTATATTATAGTATCTGCTTTTGATCTGTAACTTCTGCATATTTACAAAAATTAATTTTTGTATATTCACATTCTATGGATATTTAAGAGAATTTATCAGCTTTCTTCACTCGAATTGAAAAACTTCTTAAATTTTAATTTTGAAAAGTTTTTTTCATGTGGAGTCATAGATGTATGAAGACTTGGAAAAAGTCTTAAGTACGAGGATGAGTTTTTCAGAGATTCATAAAAATCACATTTTACAATAAGCTCCAGAAATTGAAATACTGTTCATGTTTTTCTTTCTTCAGGATGGATTATAATAGTTTTCAAACATCTCTGCAATAGAAGAAATTCCCCTAAGATATTTTCACCAGAAAATTCATCATAAGTTTCTATTACACTGGGTGAAAGCTTCTAAAGTTTTTCTTCTCTGCTAAAAGAATATGAGAAAATGGGCTAAACATTAAGGAACTTGAGAATGCTTAATCCACCGCTTTACAAGTATCTAGTTCCTGGTGGAAATAATCAAAATATTCAACACACCCTGCAATTCCTTCTGCTGCTGCAAGGCCAGCAGTTGTTGTTCTTTTCCCTAATATTCTTCCCAGAAATTTCTTTTTTTTTTCTGTCTAAATGTCATTGACCTTTTTGTTGTTGTTACATAGTTAATAATTTTCTACACAATTTTTGTGTGCTGCTCTTCAAGGAACAATTTTAAAGCTTGAGTTTCACTACATCACTTTTAGAGTTGATTTTGACTGTTTGCAAATATTTTTATATCTGACTTACTTGATTTACAATTTCATACCAGAAAAGAAGATAACTCAAAAAAAAAATGCAGCAGAGGAGGAAATCTGAGAAGAAACTCTTGTGTCCACATTAACTTTCAGAATTCACTGCCCTTGAAGTTGAGACAGACTTTCCAACATTTGTCTGTAGTGCATGAAAAGCTTCACAGTGAGCAAATCATAACATCAGGAACAGTCTTTTCACAGTTATAACTATATTCTGAAGCATTTTTCATCTATGAGGTGAGACTGAAAGAAATAAATGTTTTCCAAATGTTTAAACAAAAGTCATCATGAGGAAAAATTCAAGTGGTCACACACACAATAACAGAACTAAAGTAACTCCATTTGTATTTCTTCGTGTTGTTTATAATTTCTATGCTATCATTTTAATTTTGAATCTACTGTTTAAATGCACAGGGACTGGAGACATGGACTGCACCAAAGCAAACTCTAACAATGCTGAACTCTTCAAAAAGGTCTCTCAAAAACAAATCCATGAACTCTCATTCCTTGTTCATGGGAATGTAAAATGAGACAGCTACTTTAGAAAACAGTTTGACAGTTTCTTAGAAATTAAAAGAAAAACTTAGCATACGACCCAAAAATCCCACTCTGATGTATTTATCCAAGTAAATTAAAAACTTATATTCATGCAGAAATATGTATGCAAATGTTTACAGCAGCTTAATCATAATTGTCATAAACTGGAGGCAACCAAGATTTCCCTCAATAAACGAATGGATAAATAAACCACTGTACATCCATACAACAGAATAGTACTGAGCAATAAAAAGGAACCAGATATCAATTCACACAACAACATGGGTTAACCTTAAATATATTTCACTAAGTGAAATAAGTCTGACCCAAAAAGCTCAATGTTGTGTAATTCCAGTTGTATCACACAGTCTGGAAAAGGCAAAACTATAAGCATGGAAAATAGCTAAGTGGTTGTCAGGGGTTCTCTGATAAAAGGAATTGTGACTTACTGGAGAAATGGTTCATTCTTAACACTGGGATAGGTAAAAATCAAGGGCAACCTGGAGCATTTTAGACTACCAAAAAAAACGAAGTGCTGAAACAGTGAAACAAATGATACATATTCCAAGACATCATGTATAAACAGCACTCATACATACGTGAAACTTTAAAAAACAGGAATAGTTCTGCAACTGCAAAGCCTTTAAGATTCTGGCCCAGCCAAGGATGTCAGATCTCACTGTCATCAGCGCTTCTTTGTCTCCCTTTCCATTCTCCTTAGTAAAATGGCTTGGCCCTCCTCCCCAACAAAAAAGGAGAGCATGGCAAAGGAACACAACAGTCACCCTGAGAGACGTCACATATGATCATTTGAGCAATAAAATAAGTAATACAGTATTATATTATAACCCAAAGTATTAAATAAATATCCATGAGTCCATACTTCCAGAAATACATGATAAAATAAGTAACTAAATTGGGAGAAGGAACAGCTTTTCCTTGCAAAAGAATTACAAATTATACATGTAGATAGTAACCCCTCCAGGAGGTGGAGCTTAATTTCTCTTCCTTTGAATGTAGGCTGAACTTAGTGACTCATTTCCAAACAATGTCATATGAAAAGGGAAAAAGAGTAACCTTATAGTAGAGAAACTGGCACATACCATCTTACCAAAGAGATCAGGGTTGAGATCCCTAGTGATTAATCATATTATACCATATACTCCATGATATGAAACGATGAGAAAAAAAAAAAACTGCTAGTGTGCTCTCCTCAAAACCCAGAAACCCAGTGTAATTGTGCGTTTAAACCTCAGACAAACCCAAATTGAGGAACCTCCTACAAAATACCTGACCAGGGGCCTTCAAGGTCATGAAAAACAACAAAAGATGAGAAACTGTCACAGACTGGAGAAGACTCAGGAGGCAAAAAACGAAATGCAATGTGATGTCCTGGATGAAATTCTGGAATGGAAAAATGTTGGTGGGAAAAGTCAAGTCGGAATAAAGCCTGTGGTTTAAGTTTTAAAAATGGGCATGTGCACAGCTTCCTAAGCACACAGCGGGTGCTCACTTCCCAAGGGTAAGGGAGGCACTGAGTGTGCGGGCAGCCCACCCTAAGGAAAGAATCGTGGGAAAAGTGCCATCCTATAAAGTCCTAGCATCACTGTTAAACAGGGCACTTGATCTTGGTGCCAGCTTGGGTCTCTTCCAAGCATTCTCTCCTTTCCTTTCTTCCCTGCTCTACAGCCTTTTAAATAAACTTCCACTCCTGCTCTGAAACTTGCCTTGGTCTTTTTCTGCCTTATGCCCCTCAGTTGAATTCTTTCTTTAGAGGCAAGAATTGAGGTTGCTGCAGACCCATACAGATTCACTGCTGGTAACTCAAATACCTTCCACTGTTAACACTGACCAAATGGATTTGTATTCACAGTAAAAGCCAAAATCCTATGACGATCTGAAACCATTATCAGACCTCCCCATTTCTCTCCTGTCGTCATCACTTACTAGTTTCCCCCTTTGTCACTGCTCAATATCCAATGCCCTTCTTGCTGTTCCAACTTGTCTGGCAGTTCTCTCACAGGCGTTTGAACTAGAGTGACTCCATCTTGAATGGGGCAAGGCAAAATGAGGCTGAGGCCTACTGGGCTGCATTCCCAGGAGGTTAGGCATTCTTAATCACAGGATGATAGGAGGGCAGCAGGACTGGTATCACAAGATACAGGTTGTAAAGACTCTGCTGATAAAACAGGACGCTGTAAATAAGCCAGCCAAAACCTGCCAAAGTCAAGATGGCAACAAGTGACCTCTGGTAGTCCTTACTGCTCATCATACGCTAATTATAATGGATTAGCAGCACCATGACAGTTTACAAATGCCATGGCAACATCCAGAAGTTACCCTATAAGGTCTACAAGTGGGAGGAACCCTCAGTTCTGGGGAAATCCCCCCGTCTTCTTGGGAAAACTCATGAATAATCCACCCTAGCATATTATCAAGAAATAGCCGCAAAAATAGCCAACCAGCAGCCCTTGGAGCTGCCCTCTGTAGTTGCCATTCTTTTGTTTCTTTACTTCTCTAATAAACTTGTTTTCACTTTATGGATTCGTCCCAAACTCTTTCTTGTGTGAGATCCAAAAACTCTCTCCTGGGGTCTGGATTAAGACACATTTCCTGTAACCATTCTATCTCAGGGCCTTCGTTCTGACTCTTCCCTCCACAAGATACTCATGATGGCTGGCTCTTTTGTCTTTTTCAAGTGTTTACCTTCAGAGACTCCCTGAGTATGAAGTCACACCAACCCTACAAGACTGCAGGCCACACATCCCATTTACTCTGACTTGTCATCCTCCATAGCCTTTATCACCTTCTCAGACCCCATGCAATTCACGGATTTTTTATTTTATGTCTCTCCTCAATGTAAAGCTCCCTGAAAACAATGGTGTTTTAACTATTTTGGTCACTGGGTGCACAGTACTTTGTGAAATAGATGAATCCTCCCCCTGGGTATTGTTTCGCCTGAATTCCATGTGCACATTTAATAATTTAAGCTATGAATCATCTGCATGTGTTTAAAATGTTTCACTGTGGCCTTTGTGGGTTTTTTTGCAGTTGGTTTTTTATTAGAGTCAGTGAACAACGCTTTATTTCATGTAATTTGCTGAGTTTTCCTTTATGGCTTAGTTCATGGTCAATGTTTTAAAATGGTTCAAGTGTATTTGAAATCAACATGGGTGCCCAGTTTGTTGGGTGTAGCATATATGTCATATAGTTTGCAGTGAAATCCAAATTCTTTTTTTTTCCGGTAGTTTATGACTCAATAGAATGATTGTTTCAGTACAACAGTGTAACTCACTTTAGAATAATCCACAAACACTGTATAAGTCTGAAGCACAGAAAGGAACCCTCTAGATGCAGTGAGCATTCTAATCAGAAATGTCACATTGCAGAACTGCCTACTACAAGCTCTTTTGTTAATTTTATCACTGATCAGTATGAAGACTGGCTATTAAAAATAATGAGCGCTACAGTGGCTTGTTAGAATAGCAGGTTAGAAAAGGTCCCTCACTGCTAACTACTCCCTACTCCTACATAAGCAAGGTGAAAGACTTTATCTAGCAAGGCCCTAGGGTGATGCCTGAGGCTTAACTCTGAAATAGCATGTCCAGTCACTAGGTTAGAGGATGGTTCACAGTAAGGACAAAATTTTGCCCCTGGAGCAGTCACATCCACGTTGTGACGCACCTTGAGTAAACTCTTCCTGCGAGATGTGGTGGAGTGCCTAAAGAGACAGCTGGAACTTCATTAGGCTTAGAAACTAGGATAGTAGAGCTGTTTTGTGCCTGATTACTAATAAATCATAGATAATAATAAATAATAAAAATAACTAGTAAATAGATAATAAATACATATCTGTATGTACAGCAGCATTTATCATGAAATGTATTTTCACTATCACTAGCTCGTAAGTCTGCGGGGAGCAGCTGAACGATACCCACCTAAAACTTAGATAATCCAGCAGTTTCTAGACATAACTTGGATGCTGTGTATAAGCAAATTGGCTTAGGTCAGTTTCCAACACCAAGTTATGATTGACTATTTGTCAGTTTCTTTTTATAGATAAAAGTTTTGGGTCATGTAATTATAGACAGTATTGGTAGGTGGACACAAGTTCTTGATTGTTGTATCTTATTAATAAGGAATATTTTTGTCTCTTTTAATGTTTTCACCTTAAGTGTATCTTGGCTGATACATACAACTTACACATGTAATTATGTATGTTACATAGTACTTGCTTAGTATATTTTCCTATCCCATATTTTTAGATTGGTTTCTATTATAAAATATATAATAATGAAGAGATTACACAGCCACAAAAACTTACCAAGTTTTAAGATTATGCCATTTCTTTCAGATCTTTATTTCTCAAAAGGATCAAAAGCCTTCAACAGAGATGTTTTAAATCCCAAGCTATCAAATAAAAATACAATATATATTAGAACAGTGGAGAAAGATTATCATAACATTTTGTTTTGTTTGTGCAAATTATAACAGGGAATTAGACACTGGGAATCTAAAAATCCAAGGATACTAACTAAAGTCAGTATTTTAGGTCCAGCACACTGCTTGAGTGGTATCATGGAGACAAATAATGTGGGAAAACTCAAAAATGTGCCAAGCAGCAGAAATAAAAGGAGTGAAAATAAAAAGGTTGTATCTTTCTATTAAAATATGTACGTACTGGTACCTGTAAATTGAATGCAAATGTCCCAAAATTCTGAAATTGTGACTTAAAAAAAAGTAATGGTGATAGATAAATCATATGCCAGAGTGAAATTTTAAAATACATTTCATATTTCCAGCATCATAAAAATAAATCCCTCTGTAGGCAATTATCCTAAAATATTTTTTATCAGAAATATAGCTTTAGTAACAAATAACCATTTGATAGTTACATAAACATATAACAGATATGCTCTACATGTGTAATTTAAGTACATTAATATGAGCATTCTTTATGGGTATACATCATATAAAAATAAATCATTTTCATACTTTTTTAAATGTTGGCACTGTAAGTCACAAGAATGAGCTACTCAGTCAGTCTCCCTATTTCAGGAAGCCTTTGCATGGAAGGACAGAGTCTCTGTGAAGTTCTCTGGGAAGTAAAGGAGGCGCTGATAGGGACTGAAGGCTGCCTTAGCTCAGAAGAGCTCAAGGCAACAGGGCAATTTGGGGAGAGTCACAGGCACAGGAAGGGCGTAGATAGAAGATACGTAAAATCAAATCAGGAAGTTTTGTTATATTGTTAAATGATCCAATCTCCACTCCATGTCCTTCAAGAAATGTTGAAAGAAAATTTTCTTTTGAAAATTTAAAGGTTTGGCACTAGTAAAGCTGACTTTTAGTACTTTCAGTCAAAAAAGCTTAATCCTCTTTCTTTAATTTCTGGTTTTATGACCAAATATCCTGAAGGTAGCGTTTTTCTTCTTTTAAAGTGGCCAGGGTTTTCATTGCTTCTAGTTTTTCAACTCCAACCTCTTTGCTTATTATTTGCACAAGGGCATCATGTACATCCTTGGCCATATTCTTTGCATCTCTAGAAAAGAAAATAATAAGATGACTGCTTACAAACAGGCATTTTTAGTAAATCCTCCTTAATTCACAAGTCTAATTCCTTTTGACTGTACCACCATAGTTCTTCCCTCCGTCTTCTCAGAACATCTCACACAGATCTCCCAGCCTCACTCATGCCCAGGCCAGGCCTTTGCCTACAGTGACTGTTCTAGGAGACAGAGCTGACCACACGGTTCTACAGCTCCCAATCCTCCACAGGCTCCAGGTCCCGACAGTAGGCCAAGGATTTCCTAGGTGTCAGAGAAGCATCTGAGGTCCTGCCTGGCTCCGACCCACCTGCTGGCTCACCCCTCATTCCCTGCCCTCCACTCTCAAAGCACACAGTAGACTCGTGCTCCTGAAGGGAACCAGATCTCTCGCACACTTCTAGGTCTTTATACACATACAGTTAGTAACAGACACCTTTATTGAGGACTTACTATGTGCCAGGTCCTTTTGAAGTGCTTCTACATCTTAACTCTTCAATTTACAAGAAGGGGGCGGTACCCCTCCTGGGTGCTCTTGCAGTCCTCTCTGGAACACTTCCGACGTTAGAAACGTCTGTTTATATGTAGCTTTCTCACCAGGGAGTAAGTTGTTTGAGGGTAGGAAGTGTAACTCACTTATCCTCTGATCCAGTTTGGATGTGTGCCCTCTCCAAATCTTTATGTTAAAATGTGGTTCCCAGTGTTAGAAGTGGGGCTTGGTGGGAGGCGTCTGGGTCATGGGGGCAGATGCCTCATGAATGGCTTGATGTTATGCTCGCTGTAATGAGTGAGTTCTCCCTCTGAGTTCCTGAGAGATCTGGCTATTTGAGTGTGTGGCACCTCCCCCTGCCTCTTGCTCCCTCTCTTGCCGTGTGAGGTGCCTGCTCCCCCTTTGCCTTCTGTCAGAGTGGAAGCTTCCTGGGGTCTTCACCAGAAGCAGGTGCCGGCACCATGTTTCCTCTACAGCCTAAACCGTGAGCCCATTAAATCTCTTTTCTTTAGTCTCAGGTATTCCTCAACAGAAAAACTAATATATCCTCGTATCTATCGACATCTGAATATGCCCCAAGCACTTAGCCAGCACTCAGGTGTTTGCTGAATGAAGCGAAGTGTCAGACAAGACTCTACTATGTTAGGAACTGAACATGTCCTGGCCCCTCACAGTGAAATTTCTTGAGAGGTGTCTGTCTCACCTGTCTCAAGAGGCTCTCCTCTCCACTATTCTCAGGGAACTTATACCCCAAGATCCTGCTCCGCTGTCTTCTCATTTGACTCATCAGCAGTACAGGCTCCCTCTCTGAAACAGCACCCTCTTGGCTTTGGGACAATTTTGCTTCTTCAGTGGCTGTTCCTTCTGTCTACTTTGTTCCTGCTTCCCTGACGGACGATCAATGTTCAAGTGCCCCAGGGTTTCCTTCTGAGCCCTCTGACCACTGCTATTAATGCTTCCAAGTGCATTTCACAAATGTGACAAAGTAAAGCACCAGTGATTGGGAGGAGCTATTTCTGGAATAATGTTTTAGGAGTCTGGACATTTAAGATATTCTCCAAGTTCTCAATGACCAGATATCTGTGATCTGTACAATGAACTCTGCCTCTACTATTTAGAGGTGCATCTCTAAAACTCCAGCCTGTATTTGACCACCGATGACACTGTCCTCGCCAAACAAAATGCAGATTAAATACTTCATTAAAAGCGAAGGAAAATGTAAACCAAAACAATGTCTAGAATTTCTGCCCTTTATTGACCTAAAGCAATGTTTTTCAATTAGGAGTCAAAATCTATTGAAAGGACATGAAATTAACTTAGTAGCCAAAGCTAGCTTTTAAAGCAAACTAAATAAAATGGAAGAGAAATGATCAGAATGTGTTATAAAAACTAAACAGAAAACGTTGCTTTGTTTCATGAAACTTGTTTCAATTATCTTTATCCATATGTTCTGGGTCACGATGCCAGTATTTTGTCTTCTACATTACAGTTGAAAAAAAAAAGAACCTGACTTAGAGAATGTGTTAAATCCTAGGAATGTGTTTGGATGAAAAAGTGAATTTCTTACTTCAAAACTCCTTTTTAACTAGCAGAAATTTTTTGAGTCTTATCAAAATAAGCAAATAAGCGTTAAACAATTTTTCTATGGCAATTATGGGTTCCTGTAACAGATCTTGCCTCAGAAAGTAGATCAAATTCAGTAACACAGAACGTTTCAACTTTATCACCAAGAATTATGCCTAGCAGAAAAAGAATCCTAGTATCCACATTCTCAGCATCAAAAATCATACTTTTTCTTTCTTACTTATCAATAGTTCACAACAGCACAAATCACCTATTCTTATATATAACAAAATCAATCTGGAGATTTCAAGTCACATGATTAATGTAGTAACATGAGTGTAATTTTCAGAGGCTAAAAACAGGTAAGTAAATGGTACCAAGAATGTACAATGCAAGCATTAACTTTCACCACTATTTCCCTGATAATAACAACCTCTGGGCTATTAAATATGTCAAAATCATTTCAGAACTGTTATTTCTATTCCTGTACTTAAGAATCAAATGTCTTATCCCTACATATCTAGATTATTGGCTTCTCGGTCCTTTTTTTCTTCTACAGACATCACTGATGGCCCTCTCCTACCCGACTTAGGCACGATAATGACTCACCCACACACATAAATATGGCCGTTCTCCTGGAGGAGGATTCTCGCCACCTGCTGGCCATGAAGCTGGATGTTGTCTTGCACATACTTTGCTGGGGCTTCCTCCTCCCCAACAGGAGCATCTCTTGAGAAGGAAACCTTTAGATGAGTTAAGATCCCATGCTTAAGGAAATGTCTGAGCTCTTTTCTGAAATATAATATATAATGGATCACTAAAAGGTTGTCAAGCTGAAAAAGTCTGAGAATTAGAATTGTACACTCAGTGGTTGAGTACAATACTGGAATTGTACAATACCTGAATAGATAATCCCTATCCTTATGCCTGCAGCCAAAAAACAACCACATTGCTCCAAAATTTCCATCTGGGTGTTGTTCTTGGAGTTTCTCTCTAAGTGGAAAAAAAAAAAGTTTAGGTGTGTGATATAAAGAATATGTAAAACCAATCTCTTTCATTAGGAACTACCACCAACAAACTCAGACGGATTTGTAAAATCCATCTCTGCATTTGAACATTCAGTCATTTAATTAGCATTTTACTCTCCACAGGCTGTCATGGCCACTCGAGCAGATGCCACACTAGGCAAGTGTGTGGAGAGGCAGCTACATCCGACATACACAAAATGAGGACAATTCAAAGTATCACACTGTGAGATCTAGAGAGAGCTCTACATTCAATAACATTAATAGCAATTTTATGAATAAATGAACTTGTACTATGGAAAAGTGGCTCAGGGCTGTTAAAGGCAGAATGTGTAAAGTGTCTACGAAATGGTGAACACACTGATGAGACAGAGACATCTGTGATTATGCTTTTGCTTAAGGAAAAAATTAAAACGAAATAAAATAACTGTCCGAAGGACAGGACTCTACTATCTGACAAATAGTATCTAAGACTTGCTCATTACTTCACAAATATAAACAGAAGTACAATTTTATTTTACTTATTTCATATCAAATACTTCTGTTCTGATATGAAGTTAAACTTATTAACATTCTGTTGAAAATTACTGATGTTTGAGTTTAATGTTGAAACTTTTACTAAAATTGGATCTCTGTCACTACCAATTGTATCCAATTAAGGGATAGATACAACAGCTGTATATCATCACAGTACGAAGGTATGCCCAATATTTGTCCCCAACCACATATGCTACAAACCAGTGTAGCTGAGAAAAGAAAAAACTAAAAGTGCCACAGTAAAAAAGGAAGTTCTAGTACAAAGCACAATCTCTACAACATTGTGTTTACTTTTCCCATGGTGACAAATTATGTTATCGCACATTGAATAATAATTTTTTAAATAAAAATTTTACAAAGTCCAATTATCCTCAAAATGACTAAAGAAACAAAAACGGTTACTCAGGAATACATTTTCCCATTAGCCAAAAAAAGAACATACCTATGTTGTAGGAACCCAATAAACGGGGCTATGCCGGTTCCTGGACCCACCATTATGATGGGGATTGAGGGGTCATCTGGTAAGTGGAAAGAATTTGTTGTTCGAGGAGAGATGGATATCTGAAATATTACATCAAATGTGGTAAGTATGAAAGAAAACCTAGGCAAGAGTATATAATCAAGATGATCTTTGCTAAACAAATCAGAAAGGGAAAATTCCCATCAAAGAAACATCACTAAATAGTGGCATCAGATTTTATTGAAACCATGAGCACATTTGTCACTACAGAAAGAAGTTTGTCTTGCAAATTTTTCTTTTCTATTCAAATAAAAAATGTTGTAAAAAATGATAGGCATGGTGTCTTTGAGGTAGAACTCTAAATAGATAATCAAATCATGTTTCTTGGTCTATGGATAAGATCTGCTTTCTGGTGGGCAGACAATAGCATATATTATGGAGAAATGTACCCTAAATATGAAGACAATAAAGATTAGCATCACGATGAGGTTGAAAAATTTTAAATAAAAGTCAGGCACCTTAAAAAGAAATTGAGGGGCTGCTCCAAATATTCCAGATAATGGTGCTGTATTTGCTATTCTGGGTCCAATATTACCCAGAATTATTTTTGTTATAACTAAACAAATCATATAATTATCAAAATCTTTTTGTTAAAATTTCAAAAGATATTTCTGAATCAATCTGAGTATGTTTCACTTCCAGTTTCACTGTCATATGCAAAAGTCATACTGATACCAAGATTTAAGAATGACAGGATTCCCCTCCACCTTGCATGGTGGTGTAACTGTATACATTTTAACTTTTAACTCAAGGACGACTGTAGGAAGTAATGACGAGCCTGAACACCATACCTTTTAAATGAAGGAATGGCAAAGCTGTGTCTCATTACTGCTCTTACTTGGGAATGAAACTAGTTAACATTACATTAGCCTTCTTTGCTTCATTCATTTAACAGATTTACTGAAAGTATTCACCATGACAGGCATTAAGGATACAGAAATGAACAAAACAACGCCCCTGTCTTTACGGAACTTACATTCTAGTGGAAGGAAAAGAAAATAAACATACACATTATCACATATATCCACAGAATGATGGGTAATGACTTCCCAATGTCTTAGGAAGCAAAATTACACAGGATAAGGAAATGATGGGTGTGGCAGTGAGCTGCTAATTCAAACACCAATGTCAAAGAAGGCCCATGTCTACAATGAGACCTTTGACCACGATCTGAATCAAGGGAGTTAGCCATGCCAGAGCATATTCCTGGCAGAAAAGAAAAACACATGTACAAAGATCCTGTGACAACAGCACACTTTCTACGTTCTGGGGCTCTCTTCCTCGAAGGCTGTGGGACTGCTTCACTTGAGGGTCTATGTGGAGAGAATATCATGGCAGATAGGAAGAAGAGAGCCAAGCTACACCACGCCCACAGGCTTAGTGCTCCTGCTTAGATGTGGCAGATGTCCTTCTGTTCACACAGCCAGGCTGAACATCAGTGGCAGGGTTAATCTGTGAATAACTGTACTATCCGCCATAGTAGGGCAGGGTGGGTGATAGGTCTTGCAAAAGTCAACATTCTGTATAATTTGTAATAAAACACAACACAAGCACAGGTAATTTCAGATAGTTTTAAATTATATCCTTCATATCTGCACTTCTACTGCATATAGATTGGATAGTTAATAAAAATCTGTTAAAATGGGGAAGGAAGGACGAAGAGAGGGAGGGAGGAAAGGAGGAGTAGGTGAAAGGCACCCATGTTTAGTGTTTACGATACATGATGGACACACATTGTTTTTAATGTTCTGGAGATCATCTGCTATCTTTATACAATCACCAAGTGACATATACTTGTATATCAGTACTATAATATTTCTTCTCAAAAAAGAAAGTTTCTGTAAGGTTCCTAATATTTTGATGTATAATGAATACATGATGTATAGAGAACACAATAAAGCATCTCTCTGTTCCAGGCAGCAGACTGGAAAAACATCAAGTTAAACGGCAATTTCAAGCAGCAATCATCCCTTATCCTCTCAAGTATATCCCAAGAAGTCCTAATCCCCACTATTGAGGTCTATGAACCTTTCAACTCTAATAAAGAAACCAAACTTCTCCTAAGACAACACTCCAAGTGAATCACTGATTTCTTCATTACTATGAAGAAAGAGGACTTCATGATAAAGCCTGAAATGTTGCTTTATTTCAACCATTCTTGTGGACAACTTTAAACTGTTGCCTACACACGTGGTCTCGAAATTCTGCTGAGTGCCGTATCAAAACATAAAAAGATGTCACTGAGTCCAAGTGTAAAGTGTCCACAATCTGTTGAGAAAATCACATAACCTTTTACTCCTAGGTGTTGTAAAAGTATTTACAGCCATATGTCTTCTCAATAATGGCACAAGTTCAGATGTCAGACACCACAGATAACAAAAGCAGAAAAACAGGGATGCGGGGACCCTACTAGCCAAAATTGGACAATATAAAATTAATCTTTAGTTGCCCTCAGACTCCCAATGTAAAACTACTTATTTGAGAGGCAGTATACATCTTAAACATAAAATGAGACTGTCTCTCATCACCCCCCTTAAATACTTCCTAGACAGTTCTCCACCCCTCCCCAGGCCAATGTACCAAGAATATCAACATAAAAGGTCTTCTTTTCCATGAATAGGACAAGCAAAGACCGTACTATATAAAATTCATGCTTTATACATTCAGAAAATACACACACTAGTTAAAGAGTACATGGAAGTAAACAGTTTTCTGCTCTTGCAATAGAGATTTTAAAATTCAAGAACAGCATAAATTTTCTTATGACAGTAATGAATGATGTGGGTGAGACAACACTGTTTTTTCTAATGAAACAAAGAGTATGAGTTAACAATGCTGAGGTTAAGGTACTAATTTCTTACCTTAGGAGCCAGGGCTTTCCCGCTGTCTTCATGGGATGCATGTATGTTTGGCTGAAGAACTGAAGCAACCAACAAGGCCAGCCAGCCTGTACATACTCCCTTCCGCAGAACCTCTGTTGTGGCAGTAGACAGAAATTCCACAATGTTGAAGACAAAATGGAGCTTTCCTGGGTGAAATAAACTTGAGCTGCAAAGATACACAGACAAGTTTTGAACTCGATATCAGTACTACTACACATATGGGTCAAACCAATCCTTTTATTCAGTTTAGAAATATTTCCTTATAGGCTCTAATCTACCTTCCAAATCCTCACAGAGGAAAGCCATTATTACGTAATTAAAAACTGCCCCCAACCTTCACACTCTCACACCCTACATTTTGTTATTCAAGAAAGTTTCCAATTTTATTTGCTTGCACTAGGACTAGATGATATTTATAAAATCTAATATGCCCTAAGGATCTTCATGTAAAGGATTCATTCACTCAATATTTATTATAAAGATGTGAAGAAATGGGGATAAATTCTAACAAATATCCATACATTATCTACTGGTAAGATCATAAAACTTGAAAGTGACTGAAGTATACACCCAGAAAGGAGAAAACTAAAAATTCAAAGTAAAAACATCTTTAAAAGACATCCCTACAAAAGTAGATTTCTTTTCACATTACACGGTAAATAATGCGAAAGAACTTGAGTTCATTCTTAATTCCCCTTTCAACCAAAAGAATGGTGCACCTTCTTGTATTATTACTGAAAGGCAAAACAGAGAGCCAGACGGGAAAACGGTAGAGGCTGTGCAATGGAATGAAGGCCACAGGGAGAATCCTATAAGCCAGTGCTCATCAAATATTCTTTTTTTTTATTTTTTTGAGACAGGGTATCACTGTCGCCCAGGCTGGAGTGCAGTGGCTCGATCTTGGCTCACTGCAAGCTCCGCCTCCCGGGTTCACGCCATTCTCCCACCTCAGCCTCCCAAGTAGCTGGGACTACAGGCGCCTGCCACCACGCCCGGCTAATTTTTTGTATTTTTAGTAGAGACGGGGTTTCACCGTGTTAGCCAGGATGGTCTTGATCTCCTGACCTCATGATCCGCCCGCCTCGGCCTCCCAAAGTGCTGGGATTACAGGAGTGAGTCACCACGCCCGGACTCATCAAATGTTTTATAGTGGAACTTTTCTGTCTCCCCTGCCTCCGGCTGCCACTCAGTGAAGGTGGCTGGGCACACGGACACAGGAAGCATGTGGAGGAGCCTGAGACTCCTAAGTGGGGAAACATAGTACTGGGCCATGGGAAGCCACCCAAGATGTTAAATTCTATGAAGTCCCAGAGGACAGGAGCTCTATGATTCTTCTTCTGCTTTATTATGCCTGGTACTGTCTTCCATAAAGCAGGTAAGTTTTCACTGAATAAATTAGTAAACTCTAATGATCTGGAAGCCTGAGTCTAAGATTTTGGAGAAACAATGCTATATATTACGTGAATAAATAGTAGTACCTTGCACACGAATATGGTCTGGGTTGAAGTTTAGGAAGATGTTCTAGAAAAAAATAAAAACAAGCAATTATTAATTCACTACTACTGAAAATAACCTTACCTAAAAAAAAAAAAAAAAAAAAAAATTCCATGTCTTATTTAGAATACTCAAATCATGTTCTAGTTTTAAATCATAGTTAAGCACTTGAACTTTGTGTTCAAGTAAAATATTACTATTTTTTCTTTCAACTCCTAAAGTTAAAAACCAGATAAGATGCATTTTCTTACTCTTAAATCAGTATTTCTACCCAAAGGCGAATTTTAAAAGCAAAGGCTTCTAGGAATGGGTCCATAAGTTGGCTTCAGAGGTGAGGAGCTCAGCAAACCCTTACTAGGTATATGTGCAGTTTTCTGCAGGGAGGTGCGCAGTTTTCTGCAGGGAGGTGCCCAGTTTTCAGATTTAAAATAAAGTCATGATCCCAAAAAGATTAAAGGCTACTCTTTCAAGAATTACTGAAAATGCTTAGGCTTGAAATATTTTCCATCTTACATTTAAAATAATTAAAGTGTTTGGTTTTTAAAAATTTATCAAAAAAAATCAGTGATTTCAAAATACGTAGGTATTCTTTCAAAAGCAGGTTAAATAATCTGTATTTAAATATTGAACTATCCACTAATAAACTTTGAAATGTTTTATGTTTTGGTATGTTTTATTTTTAGCAGTTACTTAATTGAAAATATGAAAAGGTCTATGTATAATGGCGTAGAGTTTTAAACATCAAAATAAGGTTTAGTAGGGTGTTCAACTTAATATCAAGCTTTAGATATTTTAATTGTTCTTAATTAGAAAATAATATAATTTTTTATAAGTCCCAATGACTTTAATTTTTTTATATAACTACGTAATGTGGTATTGTTACAAACATTCTAACATTCTAAAAGGTAACAAAAAATCTACGAAAAGAATTGAAATAAATTAGTATGCGATAAGAGAACTTTCTAATACTACTTAGAACTCCCCACCCTGTGTTCTGTCATCCTATTCCTGCTGATGGTTCTCGAAGACTTCACTGAAGAGGGTGAGAGGGCCAGCCTGAGGACAGGATGGTGAGAAGAGCAGCCTCATTCAGCAACACGGTCTTAGCATTTTGGGGAGGTCCTAAGTGGAAAAAACACTAAGAAAAAGGAGGAGAAATCAGGCCCTGACTTGCAAAGAAGGGTGCCTTTAATTGTACTGGGCATCGAAAAGGATCTTGCTGGCCCAAGAGTAAAAAGGACAATATACATTTTGGTGTCACCAAAGAAAAATGCAAATGTTAAAGGCATAACTACTTACCACTATGGGAAAGGAGATGACAAAGTTACAAGCACAAGAAAGTAATAAAGGCTTTGAAGTCCTATAAAGCGCTTAGTCTTCACCCCTAGCAAGCATTTTCAATCCCTTCCTGAGAGCCACAGAGAGGTCCTAGGACATCGACTGCTCAGGGACAATGCTGAGGTCTCTTCTGTTGGAGTATGAGGACTAGAAGAGTCACTCTGGGCAAAAAAATGGGTTACTCTTCATCTGAAATGGGATGATGGTTCTCTGCCTGGCAGTACCATGAGTATGTTGATTTGCACTGGTACGACACAGTCCCCTTTTGCTCTTGAAGGACCCTCGATCTGGACTTGCTCAGATGGGGGCATTTCTGCATTCTGCACACAGCACAGACTGCATCAGCCTCTTTCAATTAAATATGATGTTCGTTAGCTTTGAAAAAGAAAATTTTATAGGAAGCTCATTTTTAGACATTTAGCTAAACAACCTTTCTGAAAAAAGTTAAATTAGAAAAGATGCTCAATTCTGAGCCAAAAAGAGAGTAACAACTGACTCTATTAAGAGAGAAAATGATAGTGACACTGCTGGAAGGAAAAAAAAGAAAACCAAAAGTCTGGAAGGGGAATTCTGTGACTTCTGGAAGGGCACACAGATGTCACAGCACCCTGAAGACAAGATATAAGATGTTTACTTACCAATCACCACCATTCATTTAGATATATTCTTTAGGCATAGGATACAAAGGGTAAGACAAGAGCAGCAAATTTTCTTTACTACAGAAAGGTGGCCCGCCTACCAGTGCACGAACAGCCACCAAGGTGCTTGTGAAAGCGACTACTCACCGAGCAGGAGACTGAGTGGTGGCTGGCAAGAAGGGAAAGCGAGGAGGAGATCCAACAAGCAGGCACAGGCATCTCGTACAAAGCGGCTATAATCGGCTGCCCCTTGTTTACTGCACAGCTCCTGTAGCCTGCGCTTTTCAGCACTGTCACTGGTATAGTCCACAAGGGCTCGCAAAAATGCCTACAAAAAGGAGCCCGCCTTAAATTGTGACACAATTTGTGGGTAGAGCTATTAGAATATTCAGTTAAATGTCTGCCTAGGGATGCACCCAATTACCCAAGAAAAAATGAGAAAGCCACTAGGAGCTATTGTCAGGAGGAGGGAATTTAATTTACCATTTGCTTTAATGTTGACCTGTTAGAAAAATTCCACAATATAAATAAATAAATAAAACTAATAAAATTCTGAATCTCAATTCTCAAAGTCTAAATTCCTGAACAAAACATCAAACTTGCTAGTAAGAATTTTTTATTTCAATGCAATTACAAGTTATTAATTACAGGCAGACATAGCTTATTTCTCAAGGGCTCTTTAGGAACAAAGCACTTCAGTAATTATCTGCATCAAATGTTATGTGAAATGCTAATGGGTACTGCTACTTTAAATTCCATGGCTCAAGATGATTGTGTCCTGGACTTCCTTAACAGGGAGGACAAAATCACTGTTCCCAAAGGAGTCACAGGTTTCCAAAGGTTTGGCTGAAGAATCTCTGTCTAAAATACCTGGACACTAACAAATTACACGTGTTCCTCCAAGTGCCAAACTCAGCATTGACCAAAAACAACGACTCAGGAAACACTGCTGAATGGACGCCCCAAATCTCTGCAAAGACTTTGGCAAGATAATAAAAACATCTACCAATAACAGTTTGTAAATTCTAAAGCCAATACAATCTCCTAAATTAAAAGCTAAAACAGTGACAATTTTTCCTTTAACATACTTTTTTCACTTTAGAACTACAAAAACTTTATGGTACTACAACAGGAAATACTGCACTGTTTTTGGAGAACAAGATGACAAACCTGACAAACATTACTACAATTTAAAATGTAAATATTTTTAAAACAGCAATTCTACTCCAAGGAATTTGTTTTACAAATATACTTCAAGTAAGTGTTCAAAAATTAATACAGTACAAGAAAGTTTGCCTTTTTTAATAGTGAAAAAGCAAAAATGACTCAATTGCCCATAATTACATCAACAAATAATGGTGTATCCATAGTATCCATTAAAACTCTTTCCATCCTGAAATATACAGATTCTTGATTTAAGTTAAAAAGGCAAGTTATGGAACAGCACATATAATATGGATACCCATATTTTCCTCAGGAAAACAAAATTCAAGTGTTAACTCAGAGGGTTTGATTATAAAATACTTTGGTTTCCTGGGTTATTTCTGTATCCAGAATTTTTCCAATGAGCATACTATTTTTGAAAAAACCCATATATATATATATATATATATATATATATATATATATGCACACACACACACACAAATATATACATACACACACATATATACACACACATATATATACACATATACAGACATACACACACACTTTACACAAATTTTAAAAGGGTAGAGCTGAACCAAAATTGTGACTTAATCGGTAAGCTTTCATTACAGTAAATTAATTCTAAATACTCAAATTACATCTCGAGCTGATTACCAGGAAAGGAAGATGGAATATATATATATATAAATCTATATATATATAAATATACATATATTTATTTAGAGAGCTGAGCCTCTCTCTAAAGTACTTTACTCACCCAAGACTAGAAATGCAATAAACACATTAATAAAACGACACGAAAACCACACTGGGGAGATGGCGGCCTAATTACAACACTCTTTATGCTCACTGACAATACAAGTGTGGCAAGGCACATTTGAAAAATTGTATCCATTAATGGCCACTTCCGGGAGCTGGTTAGAAGAAATCAGTTACAAGTAGTTTTAAAAAAACAGTTCCTGGTACAATACTGACATCTAGTGGATTATTCTACCTCCAAGTTCACATAATAATTGATTATTACCTACCAAAACCCTTCCATTTTTCCTGAAGCTTTCTGTTACAGCAATAAATAGTTATGTAGTATTACACAAAGTAGATCTTAACAACTGTAGGAAGTGGCAAGTGGTGGTTGGGGGGAATCCTACGCTCTCATTAGCTTTCTGTCACCAATTAAAGAAGGAGCAGCAATGTGTAGCTGGGTAACACAAGGTCAACTGCAGTCACCTCCATCACTGTGGAATGTGCTACGTAGTTAATAACTAGTAAAAGTAAGACAAAGAAAAAGCCCTATTTAGACTAAGAAAAAGCCCTATTTAAGCCCTCATTTCAATAGAAAACAAAAATTTAAATGCAAATACAACATAAAAAGATTCATAGATGATAGTTACGATGATAGCACACACCCTTGGGAACTAATATTAAAAACATGCTATCAAGATCACATTTTTTAAGACTGCAAAGGGCATATTCTAAATTTGTTTAATCAATCCTAAATAAAGCTAAGCATATTTTAAAATAGTTACCTGAAGAAGACAGAAAAAAATACCTTTTTAGGAATTGCTCGGATTTCAAGACACCAGGTAAAAATGAACTGGAGAGAACATCCCGCAGGTATATGCTGGGGTAAGGTAGCTCCTTTTCAGGTAAAGACGGGAAAGGGGTTCATGACATAGAAGATGAAGAATAAAATGTTTTACACACTCCCCAAAACACAATTACTGTAGTACTTTACAGCGCATCAAAGTGCAACATGACTTGTGGCAATGTTTATTCAGCCAAAAAAATTCCCCAAAATGAATACAGTAAAAAACTCCACCTTACAAAAACATAAGAAGACTATAAATTCAAGATAGGCCAAATAAAAGAAAGGAAAATTATTTAAAATTAAGGAAATGAAAGCTAAAAAGACAGCAGTACTCCATTAGCATTATTCTTCTCAAAAAATCAATTTAGGACTACTTCAAGATTCTAAGTAAATAATATATTTATATTTTGAAAAATAAATAACTTCTCTTAATTATGGAAAAAGCAATTATTTTATATAATAAATGAGCAAAAACAAACATACTATGAGAAGTAAACATAATAGGAAAAGAATTTTTAAAAATAACCTAGGCCAATGCTTCTCAAAAACTACATTTACACTCAGTTTTCATGTCCACAAATGTCCAATAATTAGAACATCCATTATCTTCTTATTCAGTGCAATTAACATGAAAGTTAAGAAACTACCAATACCAGCGTATGCCTGTGTTCCCAGACCTTGATGCGCAGCTGAGCCCCAGGCATCTGTGCGGCCAACACACAGGACCCTGAACCTTAGAGCCACACTCTCACCATCAGCTCCAGTCCACTGGCCCACAACACCCCAACGTCACAGCATCAGGGCTGTTACCTTTCTTCTTTGTGTCTGCCTTTATTTTCAAAAGGACGCAGTGCTCTCTTTTATCTTCAAGCTGCAGTCTTTGGAGTAGGCTTTGTACCTCAGAATCACTGTTAGGGCAGATCACGCTGAAGGCATCTCCAGGCTGATAGGAAAAGTCTGTATTCTAGAGAAGAGCCAAAATGAAAAAAAAAAAATACATTATACGTGTTACATAGTTTAAGCTGTAGGGTAACAAAAATATAGTTTTCAATATTATGATTTTAATATGTGAACTCAGAAAATAGAATTTCAAAAAAAAAAACACACAATTGTTTTAAAAAATAAGCCCAACTAACCAAATAAACATACTTTCATTATTAGCAGTTACTATTAAAACGAAATCTGGTAGTTACCCAGTGTTTTGCCTTTTATCATACTTAAAGAATGGAAGTCAGACCTTCCTTGTTCTCTACAAAGTAAGGTCCTATGGTGTTTTCAATAACCCATGTAAATATAAAAATCCCTCTTACAAAAACATACATGCACACACACACGAAAACATACATTATGACCAAAAGAAACTAATTATGGTCAAATGCATTGGTTTTCAATTTTCTTCTCCTTACTTTACTCTTTTCCTTTAGGGGACAGGAAAGGGTACTTTATTTCCTTAAGTATAAAACATTACACTATCTGGCTCGATACTGGTTGTGAGCAAACATGGGCTGAAAAAGTCACCACTTCCCAAGTCAAGTCTATTACTAGGCCCATTGCCTCTAAGCCCCAGAGTGATACAGATGCAGGCCAGGGCTCTGGGGAGGAGCCTCTCACAATGACACAAGCTCACATTTCTTGCCAGCAAGGGAGAGAGACTGGACTAAGCACAGACCAACCCTTGCCTCTTTATGACAAAAATGTAAAATACCAGAATAAAAAATATTTTGGTGTACATAGTATTAATATTTATGGATGCAAAACCATCTAGTTTTGACACATTGTATTTTTTTCTGTTAGGAAGTTTGATTAAATCTACACCAACAGCCTTAATGTGCCCTTGCTTTTCTGAAAGAATAACCCACTTAACCTCTCAAGACTTTCATAAAATAAACGGTTGAGCTAAATGACTTTGAAGAGGTACTCAAACACTTATTTTAGGATTATCAGTCAGTTTCTTAACCTAAGGTCAATGGATTCCAGCAGGGTGTGGAGGGTAGGAAGGGGGCCCATGGAGGGGGTGCATCGAGGCACATCTCAGACTAAAACTGTACGTAAATGTTTCTATATACAGTTGGCCCTCCATATCCTCAGGTTCTCCACCCTCAGAATCAACCAAACCTGAATGGAAAATATTTGGGACGGAAAAAAACAATAAAAAATAACAATAAAAATAATGTAAACTTAAAAATACAGTATAGCAACTACTTACGTGGTGTTAGATACTGTAAGTAATCTACAGATGACTTAAAGTGTAGGGGAGGATGTGCATAGATTATATACAAATACTGTAACATTTTACATAAGGGACTTGAGCTTTGAGGATTTGGGTATCTGAAAGGGGTCCTGGGACAAATCCTTCGAAGATACTAAGGGACAAGTGTAATCATTTTTTGGGAGAGTCCATAATTTTTTCCAGATTCTCAAGAAATCAAAACCACTGCTCTGAGGAATTAACCCTAACCTGCCTGTCTGGGTTCTATTTCTTTTCTTTTTTTAAAAAAATTGAGGCAGGGTCTCACTCTGTCACCCAGGCTGGAGTGCAGTGGCACAATTACAGCCCACTGTAGTCTCAACCTCCCAGGCTCAAGCAGTCCTCCCACCTCAGCCTCCCAAGTAGCTGGGACCATCGGTACACACCACCATGCCCAGCTACTTATTGTATTTTTTTGTAGAGACAAGGTCTTGCCATGTTACCCAGGAACTCCTGGGTTCAAGTGACCGCCTTCAGCCTCCCAAAGTGCTGGGATTATAGGCGAGAGCCACCTCGTTTGACCTTAGGCTCTATTTCTAACTTCCTGGCTGACCTTAGTGGACAGCTTCCTTTCCTGGGCCTCTTATATATAAAATGCTGTTCTGATCCCATTATTCTTTCATGGCTTATTGAGTAAGCCAGCATCTTCCTCTCAGGCTGAATCTCCTCCAGCCATTCTTCCCTAGTCCTTCCCTGAAGTGGAAAGAAAATAGGTGTGAAAATAGAAGAGAGAAAAAAATGATGGGTCAGGAATAAAATGGCAAGATGTCCTGTCAGAGACCTCTCATTCTTCTGAGCATGTATAACCAAGCACCACACAACTCAGCATACATAACCAAGCACCACACAACTCAGCATATGTAACCAAGCACCACACAACTCAGCATATGTAACCAAGCACCACACAACTCAGCATATGTAACCAAGCACCACACAACTCAGCATATGTAACCAAGCACCACACAACTCAGCATATGTAACCAAGCACCACACAACTCAGCACATGTAACCAAGCCGCACACAACTCAGCATATGTAACCAAGCAGCACACCACTCAGCATATATAACCAAGCACCACACAACTCTTTCTGCACATCCTGACAATATTACTGTGCTGAGAAATAAATTTTGCAACTTACTGAAATGTCCAATTCTACCAGCAGAGTGGTTTTTATGGCATCATTCGTAGTAAGTTGAACTGCCTTTGAAATTGGCACTTGAAAAACTGGATCTGCTGAAGTCACAGATACTTGGCTTTCCTCCTTGAAAAACAAATGTGACAAAACGTAAGTGCAATTTTCAATTATACCCTTCTTTCAATTAGTGACTACGCAAGATCCACAGGGGCTTACAAAACTTCCTGGCTACTCAGTATTCATTTCCAAGGTAAATGAATGAGGGCAGATATATGGAGCTAGCTTTTCAGAAGAGAAGCTCAATTCTATCTCAAACGCTTTATCTATTAGACATTAGAATTTCTGAAATACAAATAGAAAATAAAAATACTGGCATGTTCATGTAAAGATCTAGTAGTTTTCCTAATAAACTACGTCAAGGGAAACAGAATGTCTGCAAATGTTTCAGGAAGGAGAGATCTTGAAGAATGTGACAGATGTTTAAGAATGCAACATGTGTGTAGATGGTCACAGGAACCCCCTAGTGTGGGGCAATGCTGTTCATATGGCTGCTGAAATATGGCTGGTGAAATACAGGTAGTGTCACTAAGAAACTAATTATTAATCTTAACAAATGTTCATTAATTTAAATTTGAGTAGCTATATGTGGCCAGCAGCTCCTGTACTGGACACAGTAGGTCTTGGAAAACTGCAAAAAATCCCAGTTCTTTATAATACTCCCTACTCCTTTTCTATATTCCTAAGTTTAAAAACAAAATATTTTAACAGTACTAGTCAATTAACTGTGGATAAGTGGCTATATGGGAAAGCTGGGATGAAGGTCAGTTCTGGGTGTCTGGGAGCCATAATGTGGGGGTACTGAGATGTACCCCTAAGAAGACTGCCTTCTGCAAAGGCTATGGCAGTGCTGACAATGACTACCTCTGCCACCTGAAAGAAACACTTCAGCATTCTTAGGTCACACCTTACCCCTGCCCACACCTCCTTTCAGAGGCAACCCACATCCAATGTCTCATCAAAGACTACAAAGGTCCAGCCTCTTCGTTCCAACTCAGGACAACTCTGAAGACCCACCAGCTCCAGAGAACCCTGTGGGATTGGCTGAGGCCTTTGCTGAGACTGCACAGCAGCTCAGCTTCTCACTGTGCCCAATCCTGCTTCCATCCCTCCATGCCCAAAGATGATGCTGTCAAGAGGATGCCCTAAAAACATCTCATTGTTTGACTCCTGGGAACCAGCCTGTGACAGTCAGTGCCAGGGTAGCCTGGGAAAGATGCTAAAATGGAGTCTAGAGCTGGATCATCTGCCTGTTTGACAATGAGAACACCACACCAGTGAGAGAGCAGACAGACGGCACTGGCACACAGCAACAATGCAACCGTAAGTAGCAGGGAGTGCCAGTGGAAGCAAATGCATCACCTTGCAAGATCCATCAGGTGCTTGAGAACTAGAGAGAAACAGCAGAAGAGAAGACTGGTGGGACTTGGGGGGCTACTGCTAAAATTCACTCGCACTTGAAAAAAAATGCAAAAAGCTTAAAGGACAAATCACCAATTAAGAACTAAGTAAAACTAAAATAGAACTAAGCCAGGGGACATCCTCAGGAGCTTAGAAAGACACAGTCATCTCATGCAGCCCATGACAGTGAAGGCAGAGAAAGCCAAGGACTAACTGGGAAAAAAAATCTTGAATACTCAGATTCCCTTAAAAATCTTGACTACCCAGAACGCCTTAAAAATCTTGACTACCCAGATTCCCTTAAAAATCTTCCTACCCAGATTCCCTTGAACTCTTTGAGCCTGCAGATGTGGCCAGTCCCTCCCATGAAGAGTAAGAACTCCCTTCTCGCATCTGGATGGTGTAAGGACCTCTGCCCACAGCACATGCCTGTACCCCCACTACCACACCCCATCCCCTCTTCTGGTTGCTAGACCAATAACTGGGGTTGTTGCGACACACTCGGCCACTAAAGCACTGGGCTAGCTAAGGAAGGTAAGGGACTAACCCCTAAGAAAGTATACGACAGAGCACTATGCCCCCACAGGAGCTAGGAGAGAATGCACACAACACAGCTGAGGTCCTAAATTGAGGAGGGCAGAACACAGATGTAAAAAATGGGCAGCCCACAAAGGCACTGGATCAATCCTTACAATGAAAAGAAATCAAGGAGGCATGTAAAAGGAGCTGTAGGCCGCTGCTCCAATAAAAACGATCCTTTGCCCTGTTTCCAGACCTGCAACCCACTGACTGTAGGAGAGAAGAGGTCCCTAGGAGGAGGGACTGTGAGACACTATAGAAACTGTACTTGACAATGGCTTCTGCAGTCCTTCTCCCAAAGGGGAAATGTACACTGGGCTAAGGGGAATGTGCAAACATTCCAGGGTCTGTTAAGAGGGGGTTCAAATGAATGTTGTTACCCAGGGACCCAAAGCATCAGCATAGCTCATCTATGACAGCAAGGCACATGGGGGCCAGGCGGTAAATGGCGTCCTGGCCCAGGACCTCCAGTGGCCACTCAGCAGCTGGCACAGGGCAACACCGAATTATTGGCCTATGACGTTAAGATCTATCATCATGGGGAGGGCCAAGAAGAAGTCTCTGAATTTGACGCCATCCTCCTCCCTAAACACCAAGATAGAACAAGAGAAACAAAATAGCATCCTGAGAGAAATGACATCCTTAAAAAGCTGGAGGACACAGGGGATGGTCTCTATCGTATCTCCATTTAATTCACCAGTTTGACCACTGCAAAAACCACATAAATCCTGGGGGATGACACTGAACTACTGGAAACTCAAACAAGAAACAGGTCCACTGTAACCTCCGTGCAAGCTGGTTTTCCTTAACAAAGTAGACTAGCATGGCCTCAGGTACACGGACAATGATTTAGTCAAAGTGCTCCTTCCCAACCCTATCACTAAAGAGGATCAGAAACAGTTCACTTTGCGCTGGAACAATGTATAAATTTACAATTATGCCCCAGGGCTATCATAAGTCCTGCCTGCTGTTATAAGAGTCTGAATAAATGTGGAACACCTGCAAAGCACCACACTAGCCTACTCTATCAGGGGCATCGTGCTATCAGACTGAATGAGCAACGAGGAGTAGCCAGGACAGTGCGGTCTTTGGTAAGACCCATGCCCTATGCAATTAAAGGGCCTGCAGTGCCAGCACAATTTTTAGGGTTCTAACAGTTTGGTGCACGTCAGGACATCCCCTCCCAAGTGAAGGCCACACTAGTGCACCTTGTACCTCACTTCTAGAGAGAAGCAGAACCACTGCTAAGTCTCTTCAGGATCTGTGGGTAGCACATTCCATACCTGGGAGGACTGCTGAGACCCAAATACCAGGTGACAGAAAAGGCCACCAGCTTTGCGTGGGGCCCAGAGCAGGAGAGGGCTCTACAGCAGATCCAAGTGACAGTGCTCGTTAACAGGTCCTGCCGCTCTACCACACAACCCAGAAGACCCTCTGGTTATTAGAGGTAATACTTCCACATGGCAGAAAGGTACCATATGGAGAGGAGCTGACTGAGGCCTTTGTTGAGACTGCATCGCAGCTCAGCTTCTCACTGTGCCCAATCCTGCTTCCAACCCCTCTGTGCCTCAAGGCAATGGTCCCAAGAGGATGCCCTACAAAACATTCTTTTTTTCCCAATTCTTTACTCTCTCAGTATATTATTTCATATTTATATTGTCTCTCTTAAGTACTTCAGATTTGTTAAATCTTTTAACTACATTATTAACAACTCAAGCCTATTTAATGACACTTTCTATTAAGAAAAAACCCAGAAACTTTTTTTTTTTTTTTTTTTTTTTGAGACGGAGTCTTACTCTGTCGCTCAGGCTGGAGTGCAGTGGCGCAATCTTGGCTCACTGCAACCTCCGCCTCCCGGAAAAAACCCATAAACTCTTAACAGATCTTCCGGCTAATTTAAAACTCCTAGTCAGATTAATGATTAATCTCTATCCCCGCTGCCATGAACTGATCCTGTCTGTGGTGCAACACTGCACTCTGCTCCCACCAGTCCAGGCATAAGTTGTGTCTGTTCCCAAACCAGACTGAGATACACTTACTGCAATTATCTCACTTAAACAATTCACAAAATAATGAAGTACAAGTGCAAAAACAATAGCCCATAGTTGTTTATACACAAAATCATACTTACATGAAAGCTTTAGAAAGACATTATAAAAGATGCTAAAAAAAATTGCTATCATACCAGGTGTTTACAAACAGTGCTAATATACAAGAAAGATGCTGCATCCAAATTATTTCTTAAATGTCTAAATCTGTCTTCATTAAAAAAAACAAGAAATTAAAACTGGTAATAGCTGCAGTAAGGGTGTGGTTTTTGTAAGAAAAGTCCATGTGGAACTCCAAACAGCCACTCAACAGAAAGAGGGCTTAGCCCTGCATTCAAAGACTGCCTGCTCTGGAAACTTATTTTAAGCAGGTTAGAAAAACTTCAGGGTACCATACACTGCCTGTGGGGAGAAATTAGCTATTATGCAATGTGATACTCAACTCACTGCCCACACAACTCATCTCTGTTTGACTCATCTAAAATGAGAAACCAAGTTGTTAGTTCTCCAAAATAATGATGAAACTGAGTTCTTATCTACTTCTTCAAATACAGAAGTAATAATACAAGACCTTTTGTAATACCTGGGTGGGAAAACTTTTACTGGAAGGGGCCAAATGCCTTAGGCATTGCAGGCCCCTGTGGTAACCACTAACTCTGCTATTGCAGCTCAAAAGCTGTCATAGACACTACCTAAATGAATAGGCATGGCTGTGTTCCAGTAAAATCTATTTACAAAAGAAAGGCTCTGGGCCACATTGGGCCAGTAAGCCATAGTTTGTTGACCTCTCTTCTAATGTAATAATAATTTAAAAGCCCAAAGCAAACATCCATGATTAAATAGCATCTATAGCATAAAGAAAAACTTCCTTACCTGGCCAAGAGACTCCTGCAGATGTACCTGTAAATATTCTGGGGGTAAACCAGGAATATTCAGAGAGGCTTGTGAGAGTGGGGGTACCGAACGGGTAAGTGAGGACTCAAAGTCTTCAATTACAACATTGGATTGGTTGCTGTTCACTGCATTTTGCTTCAAAACCTCAGAATCCTTTCTTCCTGAATCATCGAATCTCAGAAGCTCGACTTGAGATTCAATGTGTAGCAGCTCTGACTTCACAAGGTCTGTCCTCGAGGATGCAGGTGATGCCACCGGGAGTGCGCCACTTATCTCCTCTTGTCCTCTGCTTGACCTAAAATGCTTTCTGAGGGCTGGCCAGAGTCCAGCAATCCACGGCTCAACCACAAGTTCTAAACTGGACAGTAAAAACAAACGAAAAACAAAACAAATGCCTAAGTTCTCCATCTGAACACAGAACAGGATAATGACAGTCTGTCCATTTGGCAAAGTATGCACTTGTTAGAAACACTATGAAGACCATTCGGAATACAAAAAATACTTCATGATTAAGTTTTAACAAGCAGGATATATTATGTGTTCATTAGCACCGTAGCTGAAAACATGAGTATGTATAAAGGTAGAAGAAATGAAGAGGGATAGGAAGATATTCTAGTAATAGGATGACAGGAATAGAATTCCTCCTAATATTCCAGAATTGGTAAACTTTATTTTAAGAAGATATAATTTTAAATAGGCATACTAATGCTAACAGAACTTAACCAAAATCCAAGGCTACCATAATGCTGCAAATGCTCATTCCATCCATCAAATGCACCTTTTTTTTTTTTTTTTTTTGCCTAGCCAATTTACTGATCTACTGATCTGTTTCCTACAGATTAAAATATCACCAAGAAATCACTATGGATTAATGCCAAGTCCTTGGACTAAATAAATAGTTAAAGCCTTTATTTATTTTTTTATTTTAGTAAAATTCCCAGGGAGGCTGACAACAGGAGAAAAAAAAAGCAACCCTCCTTTGGGAAAGTTGAATTCATCATAAATAGATTTTTTAAATGTGGCAGTCCACCTACTACTAACAAATTATCATAACAACAGCCATTCCCTGAACAGAGAAGTTTAAGTAGAGTCAGTGGATAAGACTGTGGCAGGGCTGTGGAAATAACACCACTTTTAATCACAGCTCAAAGGAGGATCAATTAAATTCTAATTCCTAAAGCGAAATGAATACCAAGAGGAGGCAGATTTCAGGCCCGTGTGTCATTATGACTCAGGTTGTCATTTCACTGTGCTCGGGAGGTGCTCATGTGGTACACTACTCAAAATGTGGTTACACATTAGAGCTGCCCTGAGGAGCCTTTGTGAAAACAAGTTTATAAAACTACAGTTCAACAATAACAGCTACATGTAAAATATCACTCTCACAACTCAGAAATATTAAGGTGATAGTGTGCACAACCAGGAGGAGAACTAACGTTCACTGAGTGTTTACTACATGACGACAGGCACTCTTCTAAGAGGACGACATGTATTAATCCGTTTGACCCTCCTACGAAGCTTACACAGTAAATAGATTACTGTTATCTATTGCACAGAGGCAAAAACCAAGGAACAAAAAGCTTAACTAATTCAACCAAGATCTCAGTCAGTAAGTGGGGGATCAAGGATTTGAACCCAGGTATTGGACTCAAGTGTGCATTCGTAACCCCATTTAGTGTGGTGGCACATCAAGCAAGAATGTCTTGAAAATATCTTCATTTCAGAAAAAGGAAAAATTCAAGTAAGGTAGTTAGGTTGAAAATCTAAGCACTATAGTCTACTGAAATATACAGTCAAGCATTTCAATACTTACACCAATAAATCAACAGAGAAAATGAAAGCCTTTGAAGAGAAGTGAAATATGGATGAGTGATGGGCCTAATGGATGACACAAGCATTACATTAACAGTTAAACACAGCTCATACAAGACTGAGCATTTAATGTCAATGAGCTTCTGGCAAAAGAAAAAAGCTCAATATAAAGGTACAGAGCTAAAGTGAATTCCCAAGGAAATGTCACAAAGCTTTGTCACAATCAGGAAGAATATGTGTGCTGGCGATATGGAAAAAACCCATGGCATCAGAGCTGAAGGGAAAGACGGAAGAAGTGGGCACAGGGTGAGTTCAGCAGAAATACAGTATGCCGAAAAGCAAGACATTTGCTGAATTTGTAATTTTCTCATAAACAGATTATTCAGTAACATAGTGAGTGAAAATTAAATTAACACATGGACCTACTAGAAAAAAATTAAGGGTGTGTGCTGTTATCTGGCTAAAATAGTTGAAGGCTAAGTAAGTTATAGGACAATATCTGTAGGACCACTGAATAAACACATCAGGATGATTTGAAAGGTGGCACAATGGGTGAAATACTGACTTGTAAAAACAAAAATAAAAGTAATGAAAAGATAAAGTATGCGTCTGTAAACGTCTGATTGGCATGGTGGCAAATGGCCGTTCAGACGGTAAGAGCACGCCAAGCAATGCAGCCTGCAGCGAAGGCCCACAGACCTGTGTTCTCTAACAGCGAAGTGTGGCTCACCAGGCTCCCTCCATGTAAAGAGCCCAATCCAAAGGCTCCACGTGCATGGCAGAGAGAAGCACATGCACGATTAAAGTTCCTAAAGAACAAGCTGATTTCTGCAAATACCTACACTGTTTAAAATAAAGATAACTGTACTGGAGCACCTTTTCTAACTCTTGCCGTTAGCATATACTGACAAGGATGAGATGGACACAAAAGAAAATCAGCAAAATAGGTAAATCAATCTCTGGCTGACCCTCTTGGATCCTAAAGCTAAAAAAGCGAACAAAAGTAAAACATGAGGAAAATTTCAGTGTTAAGTGAAAAGCTGACATGTTTTACAAATCAACTTCCATCATGTATAGAGGGCTTATTGGAGTAAACAGAGAACACTGCCCTTACCCTACACAGTCATCTGCATGTCCAGTGTCATAGAAATGCCGGGCTCCAAGCTCTTGAAGTCGTTTATCAATTATCTTCCCCCCATTGCAAAAGTAGGTGTATTCTGAATCACCGAGACCTAGAGAACCCAAATACATAATTAATGCACAATAAAGTTTAAATTTAAGGACACAAAGACTAGGTAAATAAAATATCTAAAATAATACTATTTCATGCTCTTATGGATGGAGTAATAATGCAGAGCTTCACATTTTATTTTCCTTGAGTAATTCTATGCATGTAGGCAGTTTTCTTCTATTTTACAATATAAAAGTAGCAGATATAATGAAACAAAATACTTATTGGCCGCTGTTGAAAGAAAAGACTTCACATTTTCATCTCCATGACTATGTGTAAAAATATAGAAATCTTAAAACAAGGATCAGACAGGTTGCAAAACCACAATATCTGTCATCTGTACATTTTTTCTGATACTGAGCAGGGGTCAGCCAACCATAGCTTCTGGGACAAATACCATGCACTGCCTTTCTTTGTAAATAAAGTTTTATTAAAAGACAGTCAAGTCCACTTGTGTACATATTATTCATAACAGCAGCGTTGAGTAGGCCTGCAAAGCCTAAAATATTTACTATCTGGACCTTCATAGAGTTTACTGACTCCTGATATAGAAAGAAAGGTACACCAGCCATATAAATAACCACAATTAACAATGTGGTATGTTTCTGTGTTGGGGAAATCAAGAATTGCTTCTATGTCTCATGGTGTAAAAAAAAAAAAAAAAAAAAAAGCTTAAATCCCTCAGTTGTGCAGGCATCTCCATGTTCTTTCTCTACAAAAGGGTGAGAAATGAGTGGTTCCACGCTTAGGCCTAACATTGACTCGAACAGTGGGACAGGCTTCTGTTTCTGTCTTTTCTGGATTTTCAAACAAGTATGTGTTCTCTCTTTGAAAATACAGAAAGTATAAAAACTTAAGGTAAAAAAAAAATTATAAATACTGTGAAATACTCTCTTGAACATGTTATATATGACAGATCATTGCCAGGGTTACAATCTCAAATTTCTAATCAGTTATTTATTATACTCAACCCATCCTTGCTAGATACCCTCTCCAAAAAATAATCCTCAAAGATAAAACAACATAGGTCACAAGTCAGGAATGCAGACCCTCAATTCCCCTCTGGTATCATATTGTGCTGATCTGGTTCTTTTGATCCTTTAACATTTTTAAACTATGGTTCACAGAGTCCTAAGTCAGTTTTTCTTAACCTGGGATACATATGTTAGAATCACCTGGGAGCTTTTAAAAATAACGATGCCAGGGCCCTACCTTGGAATAATTACATCAGAATCACTGGAGGTGGGCCTAAGTCATATAATTTAGTAAAAACTCCCCTAGCTAATCCTGATGTGTAGCTGGGAAATGAAAATCATTCATTCTGGGAGAATCGTTCTTAGAGAAGTTATCAAAATCATTGGGAGTGTTTTGTTTTGTTCTGCTTTTCTAAATGGAGGAATGGCATGAGGGGTTGCTTCTTCAAGGACTGTTTCAGTAGGTTTAGGATGAGGCCCAGCCACTGCTATTCTGAAAATGTTTCATGGCTGCATCTGAGGTGCATCCTTAATTAAAATGCTACTCAAGAGGTTCTGCAGAGGTGTGGCTCTGGGGTAAAGTCTGGGGAAGATTCAGAAAAGGTAGCACATTACATACATTTATATATACATATACATAATATTTACATAAGAAAGACAAAACCTATATGATCACACTTCATAGTTCTGAAAGATAATTCAGATACCAGAGATATCAATAGTATACTATAGTAAGATCAGAAGAGAGAGTCCATTACCCAGTAACCCATACCGCAGGTGAGCAAAGAAATCAACCGGCAGTGTTTGGTTCTGTATTTCCTTAACAAACTTGCGGGCTGTGTCGGGTGGGTCTCCGGTGCCCGTGGTAGAAACCACAACAACAAGAGGAGCTGTTTCGGTTTTTAGGTCATACTACAAAACAAGGATATCAAGTCAGGGACCTAACACTACATGCATTTTTGATTTAACTCAGCAGCAAAGCAATCAGCTTAGTTTCCTGTCTTGTATTTCAATCTTCTTCCTTGCCAGTTTTTTTGAGACGACCAGTCCAGTGACTAGGCGCTCTCAGCTTAATCAATTTGCCTAATGCAGGATGTCATTCAAGGAAACCATGCGTCTGTTTTGTTGATGCTCATCAAGAGGTTGGGGGGGATTAACACGTCTTTCTCTTCATGTTGTGTACGAAAGGCAGGGACAGGCACAGACAGTACCCATCCCAGGTTTCCATCTAGTCCCAGTCTTTCATTTTTAGAAAAATCAGAGGAAATAGGATATAGTCAACTCTTTGCCACTGAGTCATGGGCCAAACATTAACATGAGCTCAAATCTGCAAGGCAAATCAGCACTGCTAAGAGCCAAGATGAGGCACCTAGGCACTGTGATGAGCTGCCAAGGAGGAACAGCAGCTAACTGGGTGGAAACGTCTTTTCATAAGAAAGTAAAAAAAAGCAAGGAAAGAGGTGTTAAAATGGGGATGGGGAGACTCAGAAATAAAGAGAACTGATACATAAGCACTCAGGATTAGAATGCCAAGACAAGGAAGCAACAAGTAGAATACTGTGGTAAAGAAAAACAGCAATAAAAACACAACAGCTCTGAAATCTTCAGCAAAATATAAAACCAGCCATGTGTACTGCATGTGACACTAAGGCAGAGGGATAACAGGGCATTTTAAAACTGGGAAATTAAAAGTGTTACCCCTTCTAAATCAGGGACCTGGCTATCAAGAACCGCTCATTCCCTCAGGTTTCCAGAGAGCTGAGAATATCATTAGCTATAAGCGAGCTACAAACTCTTACAAATCAAGTTTATTCTTATTCTCATGTAAGTTTAAATATTTCATATAGAGCATTTCACTGTCTTAACTCTGAGAATATCATTAGCTATAAGCTGAGCTATAAACTCTTACAAATCAAGTTTCTTTATTCTTACTCTCGTGTAAATTTAAGTATTTCAAATAGAACACTTCCTTGTCTTACTTGTAAGACTCCACAAGCTTTACTGCCCATGAACACCATCGAATTTGGCTCCAAATAATTCACCTTATTTTTCACACTGATAAAAGAGGTAACAACTTAACTTTTTACCGAAGTATTTAATGCTTCCAAGACTCTATGTAAGTTGTGTGTTAAACTCTACATACAGAGTTTGTATAAGTAATGTCAGTACCTTGAAAAGGACTATGTGAAATAGGAAGGATATTAGATTATGAACAGCTAGACGAAACCATCAGCCAGGGAGGATAAATAGCATGACTATCTTGGTGTTAAAAAAAAAAATTCACCATTCATCTGACTGCCAAAACACCTGCTGATCAACTTACTGAGGTCAACCACAAGGGGCCAAATCAGGACTAGTTTTATGATACTGATGGCTTTGGTTTTGTCCAAAGTAACAGATTCAGATACTTCATCATGTGGCACTGCAATCTGAACTTAAGTTACTGTAGAATGACAGAGTCTGCTGACTGGCAGTCTCCTCCAGGAAGCTCCCTTTTCTCTGGTGTCCAGAGTTACCGTGGCAGGGCTGCATAAAGGAACTAGGTGAGTCTCCTTCCGTGAGCTGGGTTTATAATTCACTTGAGCTGCACACAGTCTAGTGTTCTGAACTGGAGTTTTAGGAAAGGCCAGAGAGGGTTGTGCACTTGGGTGAGAGAGCACTGGCAGGACAGTCTCTGAAATGTTGAAGTGAATTTTAACTGCTTAGCGGCTGGCAAATCATCTTGTGGTATAAAGCCCCTGCCAACTGTTATCGCCTGAATTGTCTGAAATAGTATAATCTGGAGGCAGCAAACTAAATAAAAGAACACAAGATGGTAAAGTTGCATATACCCTAAGGTAGGAACTTCTGCAGAGACTGAACATAAACAACTAGTCCCTGAAGAAGCAGCCGAGTTTTTTCCAGATCCTTACACTACTACTTTAAATTCTATTTCACAAAAGAATCTAGGCGGTCCTTCATCAGGAGGAACTCTAACACGCACGGCAAGGCCTTTCTTTTGGGGAAAAAAGTGGGACACTGAGATTCAAGAGGTGGAAAGCACACCTGAGCAGGCAAACACACATCTCACTTGTTCTCACAGCCACCCTGTGAAACAGACACAGCATATGCTACTTCTGTCATTTACAGTTAAGGAGTTGTTACTTGTTTCAATTTTTGAGACCATTTAGTCTAATTCAACTACACACTTCTATATTAAAAAAATGCTGGTGATATCTTACTATACCATTGAACAAACACATTTCTGTTAAAAAACAAAGACTATGTGGTGGTATTAGTGTCCTTTTGTTTCATAAATATCACTTCCCAACCAAAATTCTTCAAAGCACAAAACGGTAAAATCCACTGTAACGGCTCTAACCTTATCGGATTCACTAATACAGTGAAGATCTGCAGAAAATCCATGTACCACAGCTTGCTCACATATTTCTTCTGCGATGGCCTTTGCCTGTCCCTGCTGTGTAGCATATAGTAACAGAAACCTCCTCATCACTTCAAGGCATGTAACAGTGAAACTGAAAAATGGGGGAAAAAAGATCCTCTTTTTAATGAAGCAGTAACAACCTAAAGATATTAATTCTCCCTCAATCTTTAAGAAACAATGCAACAATACCCACACATAATATGAAATGGCCTTTTCTAAATTTGTTTTCAGCACTAATCTCAAATGAGCCTAAATAAGAATTCATCAAATTAAGGAGAGTGTACGAATGAAACTCTAATTCCATGGCTCAGAAATCAGATGATCGGCTCGAAACTACTTGGGCTTGAATCTGTGTTTCCTAAGTGCAACCCTGTAGACAAGCTCCCCAAATGATCCGTACCACAGCTCCTTTATCCTAAAAATGAGAGTATTACCACCTACCTGAAAAACGATGTGGCACAAGCCAAGAACCTGAACAAAACTTGAGCCACAGTATCATTCACAACAGTCTTAAATAGCTTTTGGTTTCCTCTTTTTAAAAAAAGATAAAAGTAAAAACTATATTAAAATGATAGGATTCTTGGTTCTTATTTGATCCTAACGCTAAACAAACTAATCATAGTACTAAAGGTAACTGAAGCACATACTCTCCTTCATTATTTAATGCAAATCAAAAATATGTGAGTGTATGGGCATATATACAAACGGGTGCATATAACGAAAAAATATTTCCAATCCACTTAAACATTTTACTAACACGTTTTTCCGCAAGAGATAAGCAGTAGTAAAACAAACGACACTCACAGATTTTTTTCCATACTCATCTAACGGCTAAAATTGGTGGGCTGTCAATTTGCAGAGACAGATTTAAACTGAAACCCAAACCAAAAGCTTGGCTTTCGGTGAATGAACCGCCCAGAACGGCACCTGGCATGAAACTGGTACTCGATAAGTTATCTGAATGAGTGAATAAACAATATGAAAACACTACACATTGACAGCTCACAGAAAACGGTGGAAACGATAATGAAAACCTTACTACAGCTAAAATTTCTATCACTTCCCATGAAACACACATCCTGAGGGCTTCCCAGGATCAATCAACCCCTCATCCCTGCTACTGCCCCACAATCCGGCACCACCTTCCCACGACTCTCAGCGGAGGCCCGGGCCCCAGCAGCCCCGGAAGCGGCGCGGAGGCGGTGGGCAGAGCTCACGGCCGCGGGCAGAACTCACGGCCGCGTCCCGCCGGGTGGGCGCTCGGAACGTCCCGGGTTCCCCGGAGCGCGCCGCCCCAACCCGGCATGTTCCCCAGTTCCCCGCGTCCCCGAGTGCGGTTTCCCTAGGCCTGGAAAGCGCCTAGAACCAAAGGCAGAACATGAGGAGAGACCCCACGCCGCCCAGGGGCCTCCCGCGGCAGAGGCCGACGCCGAGCCCAAGGACACGCTCCCGGGGACACCAAAGCCAAAGGCCAAAGGCCAAGTCCGAGCCCCAGCCCGCGCCCGCGGCGACCCCCGGAGGCCGAAGGGCGTGGGAACCACGGGCGCAAGCCGGCTGCCCACCCCCGCCCCGGGCCGCCTCTCCCAGGAGATTAGTGCAGGGCGAGCGGCCGGAATCCGGGAACCGTAGCCGACAGGCAGCTTACCCACGCCGCGCCAGCCGGGCACGAACCTGCACAACGCGACTTCCACCAACCTTGCGCCAGCGCGCACTGACGCAGCGCCCATGCTCGGTACCCAGGACCAATAGAAAGCTCCGAAGGGGACCTGGGCCAATCACATTGCGCCGCCCTGAGTCGTGCTCCCGCCCCGCGTTTGCTACGGAGGCCCACGACGCCCAGGCGCTTCCGCGACCACCCGGAGTGATTGCCCGGCAGAGCGCGGTAGGTGTCAACGCGGGGTCTCCGCGCAGTTGGTCCGGCTGGGTGTCAAAGACCTGGCCGGCTTTCTCCTCAGGCTGCGCCGCCCGGCCCGTGTCTCAGCGCAGGTCCCCGGGGCGCCGAGTTTGGGGGTGCTCGCCCCGCGGGTCCCTTTCATTCCTAGGAAAACGCGCCGCGGGGCCTCCCGTCTGTCTGTCTTGCACACACGTGTTGCCAAATCCCCCCGCACCGTCTTTAGATCTGGACTGGCCGCCCCACCTTCTCCCTTCATTGATCTATGTTTTGCTTTTTCTTTTCCTACCTTGTTTCCATTGACAAAGTAGACCCTTTCCTTCAACACTAACCTTCTCCCGACACCGAGGGGAAACCAACAGCTTAGGGCCTTTCCAGCGCGTTTTTACCCTTGCCTTGCTCTAACCTCGCCTAATTTTGCCCACTTTACCTGTTCTTTGATTTCTATCCAAATGCAATTTCTTCCTTCAACCAACATTTAAGGGCCACCCTTAAGAGCTACATTGCCTGAGTTTGAACCCTAGCTCTGCCACTTAACCACCTGCATAAACTGGGCAAAGTAACTTTGTGCTTCAACTTCTTCCTCGTGTAAAATGATAGTAAAAGTACTGAATCTGTGTAAGTTAATAGAATACCTACAACAGTGTTTAGCAAGTAATAGCGATTGTTATTGTTCAATGTCAGCCACTCTTCTAACTCTAGGATGCAGAGACTTTGCCCCTCTGGTGTTTATATGTTAACCATCCTTTTTTTTTTTTTTTTTTTTTTTCCAGATACTCGTTTGTAGTTTCATAAACATTGATGTTGGGTCAATCATGTTCTCAATGTATTTAACCATGTGTTTTTAAATTTTTTAATTTAGTTATCAAATTGAGAATCTGATGGTATGGCATTAATCACCTTGAGGAAGAACCTTTATCGTTTATCTGATTTTCAGATGCATAGAGCTCTGGCTGCTTTAAAAAATAAACCTCTAAATCATGTTCACAAGGTAGTCAAGGAGCGTCTGTGCCCTTGGTTGTGTTCACGACAACCTGAGCCTTTCGGGGTCAAATTCCATCATGCCCATTGTAAAAAGTTTCATTCGAAAAATGGAAATGACCTTCATCCACTCGGTGGACCAGTGTTCTCTCAAGTATCTGACTGCGACAGGCTTGAACAAAATGTTAAAAATGAGGAGAGTCAGATGTTTTACAGGAGACTGAGCAACTTGACTTCATCAGAAGAAGTGCTAAGTTTTATAAGCACGATGGAAACCCTGCCTGACACTATGGCAGCAGGAGCTTTACAACGAATTTGTGAAGTGGAAAAAAAGGATGGTGATCAAGGGCTGCCAAAAGAAATACTGGAGAATAGCATCTTTCAAGCTTTATGCTTTCAGTTTGAAAAGGAGCCCTCACAGCTGTCAAACACTAGTTTAGTGACTGCTTTGCAAGCTCTGATTCTGTTGCATGTGGATCCTCAAAGTAGCCTGTTGCTGAACCTGGTGGCAGAATGCCAAAATCGTCTCAGAAAAGGTGGCATGGAAGTTCGCAATCTTTGTATTCTTGGGGAAAGTCTGATTACACTGCACAGTTCAGGTTGTGTGACACTAGAACTCATTATAAATCAACTTCAAGGTGAAAAATTGGAAACATTTACCCCGGAGGATATTGTGGCCCTTTATAGAATCTTGCAGGCATGTACTGAAAAAGTGGATGAACACCAAACATTTTTAAATAAGATAAACAACTTTTCCCTATCAATAGTTTCCAACCTGAGTCCTAAATTGATTAGCCAAATGCTCACTGCCCTGGTGGTTCTTGATCAAAGTCAAGCATTTCCTCTGATTATAAAATTGGGCAAATATGTCGTGAGGCATGTCCCACATTTCACTAACGAGGAGCTTAGGAGAGTCTTGGAGGCGTTCATATATTTTGGGCACCATGACACATTTTTTACAAAAGCCCTAGAGCATCGTGTAGCTGCGGTGTGCCTCACGTTGGATCCTGAAGTTGTCTGCAGGGTCATGGAGTACTGCAGTAGAGAACTGATTCTTTCAAAACCCATCCTCAATGCAGTGGCAGAAACTTTTGTTTGCCAAACAGAAAAATTTTCACCTCGTCAGATTTCTGCCTTAATGGAACCATTTGGGAAACTCAATTATTTGCCACCAAATGCCTCTGCTTTATTTAGAAAGCTGGAAAACGTGCTATTCACTCATTTCAATTATTTTCCACCCAAATCATTATTGAAACTTCTTCATTCATGTTCACTTAATGAATGCCATCCAGTCAACTTTCTGGCAAAAATATTCAAGCCTCTTTTCCTTCAACGGCTGCAAGGTGAGTTGGTTATAAATTCTGACAGTTGGAAAAAAGTAACCTTTGAACTGGCAGTGGTTTCAAGTCACATATAAAGGCAATATGTTGCCTTTAGTTTTTCTTCCATAGTGATCCGAAGATGAGACCTGAAGTTAACAGATGCTGGCATAAACACAGTTAAAGCATGCTAGGAAATCATGTAGAGGGAAGAAAGCTGTCTCAGATAAACTGACTTTTGCCTTATCTGAGAAATTGCAGCATTCTTAGGAGATATGGTAATGGCAGTGGAAATAGCCACATTAACATGTTAGAACTTTTGATGAGTGAGCAACTGTATCTTTTTTTTTTTTTTTGAGAGGATGGTATTATTCATCTTAATTCAAGGCCACCCAAATATGTCAAATTTCCGGAACTCCATAGTTAAAGGAAATTTCCACTAATTCTGTGAACATATTTTATCTCTTTTAATTGTATTCTGTAGCTAGGAGCTTGGGTTCTTGGAAGTCAATTTCATTGGTGGCAAGAGGAGGGCATAATTAATTCTAACAAGTTCATTTCATAGTGTCATTTAAAAATAGAATACTTCTGTCTGGAGTGTGTAAATTGATGTTGAATGTTCATGATGTTCTCTCATACATACCTCAATTCAGACGTAACTATGACTGGGATGCTTTCTGTTTCAGGTAAAGAATCTCATTTGGACACATTGAGTCGGGCACAACTGACCCAACTTTTCTTAGCCTCAGTCCTGGAATGCCCTTTCTATAAGGTAAAAGCATGAACTATATGTGGCTTTATTTCCCCATGGGTGCAGTTTCCTTTTAAGTTCCTTTACTTCTGATCTGTCTCAATAACCTGAAAAAGCAGAATTTCATTTACTTGGAGTCAGTTGCCACCAGATAGGCTTTTCTTTGATAAATGGACCCCATTTTTGTGTTCTTGTTCTTGAAGGAACAATTTCCTGCTGTTTAAGATTTCTTAGGAGGTTTTATCAAGTGCTGCAGGCATGTGAGTTACAGTATTTCTCCATTCTCTCTGAAGGTTTTACAGGGTTTTAGTACTAGGTTTACTACTAGGTTTCCCATAGCTGTTTGTTATCAAAGTGTGAATGTCTGGACTGAACAAATACCTAAATTATTTGCAAGTACAGTATATTTTTAAGCCAAGCCAGAAATTTCACTTTTATCTAATAGAGTTTAGTTTATCTAGAGTTCGCTCTTCCCATAAAGACCTATAAAGATTTATCCTATTACCTATCACATTCCTTATGTAGAATCAGAAATAGCACACCAGACTATGACATTCTCTCTCTGCTTCTCTCTACTTGACTCTGAATCATAGTTTAGAGTATCTGATTTTTGAAATAAGGTAATAAGAATGGAAAAATACCCCTTTTTTAAAACAGCTTAGACAGTACTAAGTTATATAAAGATAAATAATAGTTAACCCCGATCTCTTACCATTTCTAAAGGAACAGTATTAAAAGCAGTTTCTACGCCCAAATGTATACAGATACATAAACACTGTCTATTTTTTTTCTCTTTTCAAGGAATGAGACTCACTAATCAAAGTACAATTTGCTTTTATGCGCAGTATATCATGGCCATCCCTCGAGGCCAGTGCATACAGATCACATGCATTCTTTTTAGAAAGGCATGATATTTCATGGTGTTTATTCTACTATTGATGCACTTGGAGGTTTTTGCAACTTTTGTCTCTATCGGGAATGCTATAATAAACATTCTTGCAAATCCTGTCATACTAGAGCCTTTTTGGTTTTTTTCATATATAAACTAGATTCCCAAAAATGTGATTAGTGGATTAATTTTTGATGGATACTGGCAGATTTTTTTTCCCTAATAGTTACAGATGTCACATTTCCCCAGCAATGAATGAAGGTGGCCATGTCTCCTCCACTTCTATTGCAGTGTGTTAGTAGTCTCTTTAATTTGTGTTACTCAACTACATGAAAGAGGATATCATATCATATATTTAAGTTGCATTTTAATGAGCATTAATGAAGTTTAGCATATTTTCAAATATGTGTTGGCCATTTACATTTCTTTTGAATTGCCTTTCTACACCTTAATTTATTTCTGTTGGATGGTTTGTCTTTAAGGACTCATTGTAAAACAGATATTAACTATTATGAATGTTGTACATATTTTCCCGATTTGTACTCTTTTATTACTTTTTAATATTACTTATGATGTATTTTTAAATGTTCTGTAGTCGAATCTGTCTTTTATGACTTCCGAGGTTCCTATCTCAAGAGCATGAATATTTTACATTTTTAAAAATAATATCTTTTAAATTTTATTTAGATCTTTGATCTAAAAGTAAAATTGAATTTTTATTTATGTATTCTAATTAACAAAAATTGTATATACTTATTATGTTCATGTTGTTTTGAAATATGTATACATTGTAGAATGGCTAAATCAAACCAATTAACATGTGTATTACCTCCATATCTATCATTTTATTTTGTGGTAAGAATATTTAAAATGTACTCTTGCCGTGCGCAGTGGCTCATGCCTGTAATCGCAGCACTTTTGGAGGCCAAGGCGGGTGGATCACCTGAGGTCAGGAGTTCGAGACCAGCCTTGCTAACATGGTGAAACCCTGTCTCTACTAAAAATACAAAAAATTAGCCGGGCATGATGGCACACGCCTGTAGTCCCAGCTACTCTGGACTCTGAGTTAGGAGAATCGCTCAACCCAGGAGGCGGAGGTTGCAGTGAGCCGAGGTCGCGTCATTGTACTCCAGCCTGGGCAACAAGAGTGAAACTCTGTCTCAGAAACAAAAACAAAAACAAACAAAAAAAAAGGTAAAAAAGTACTCTCAGCCATTTTCAAGCACGCAATCATTCTTATTAACTATAGTCAGCATGTTGTACACCTGGAATTTATTAGCATCTGTCATGGATGACAGAAGTTTAATTTAGTTATTTTCCAAATAAATAACCATTTTCTCCAGCATCGTTTATTATATTGCTATCCTTTTCTTCCTAAACTGGAATGTCATTTATATCACATTTTCCATTACAGATTGAGTATCCCTTATCCAAAATGCTCAGGACCAGAAGTGTTTCAGCTTTCAGATTTTTTCATATTTTAAAATATTCTCATTATATTTACCAGTTCAGCATCCCTAATTCAAAAATTTGAAATCCAGAATGCTTCATGAGCATTTTCTTTAAGCAGCCTGTCTGTGCTTAAAAGGTTTCGGATTTTGGAGCATTTTGGATTTTGGATTTTCAGATTAGAGAAATTAAACCTGTGTTGAAAACTTTAGTTGTGTGTACTTAAGACCCTTGGGACAATTCTCAGTTCTAAAAATGTTTCTTGAACTGTTAGCATTATTATGTTTCTTCTCACTCTCTCCTCACTCCTTTTTACCTTCCTTCTTTACTTTTCTTTCTGTTTATGGTAACCAGTGACTACTGTAAAAACACATATAAAAGACATTTTGAACTATTAGACTTGCACTGTAAGAAGAGAAGTTTGCATTATCATTTTGAGAGAGATGCCTGTCCCAATTCCTGGAAAAGTATCATGCCTATAAAGTAATGTTATATCAAACTTTTCTACCTAGGTAACCTTCAATTTATTCTCTGTTGTTATATCTTATTTTTCTTTCTCACATTTGCACTTATGATTTTTTAGGGTCCAAAACTCCTTCCTAAATATCAAGTGAAGTCATTTCTTACCCCATGCTGTTCCCTGGAGACCCCTGTGGATTCTCAGCTTTATAGATATGTGAAGATTGGGCTGACTAACCTTTTAGGAGCAAGATTATATTTTGCTCCAAAAGTGTTGACACCCTATTGTTATACAATAGGTAAGTAGTATAAGGAGTTTTGTTGTTTTAAACCTAAGCATCCTGTTCGATTTTGGAGATATATGGGACTTAGAAGCAATAGAAGTTCTCTGGAAATGCAAAATGGAATGGTCCCTTCCCTGAAGGCAAGTTGGGGTTAGCAGCAGAGCCGTTGAGTCAAGACTGTCTGGGTTTAAGTCTCAAATATTAGCCACGTAGTAGCAGAATATCCTGGGCAGAATATTTAACCTTTTTCTGCTTGCTTCTTCCTCTGTAAAATGATAGTAATATTGACCTCAAAGACTTACTTAAGGTCTAAATAAAATAGTACCTGGAACGTAGGAAATGCTCACTAATTGTTAGCTACTACTATAACCTAGGCTTGTACTGTCCAAATATAGTAGCCACTAGACCATGTGGCTATTTAAATTTAAATTATTAAAAGTTTAAGAAAATTCAATTCCTCAGTCACATTGTAAGTGCTCAGTAGCCACATGTGGCTCATGGCTGCCAAATTGGACAGCACCATTATAAAGATTTCCACATCACAGAAATTTCTCCTGGACAGCACTGACAAGAGACTCCAAGTCCTCCGTCCTTACAGTTCTTCTAACTTGATGAGCAGAAGAAAGCCTTCTCGTAAAGGACAGCAGTTCATAGGCTTCAGATGGTCACTTCTCTTCTCTTTACGAAGGGAACTGCAGTTTACCAGAGGGGAAGGACAGTTCGGAAGCCTTCCGTGCTCGCAGACCAGGTGTCTGGGTGTGGCATGCTTTCTTTACTTACCATGGAGGCACTGCAAGTTGGAATGATGGAAGTTATGAGTTGCACAGATGTCTAATGTCTTAACTCAAGGGTTTTCTTCACAGTCTGGATTGAAGGATCTCTGCCACCTATCATAAGGGGAAAGAGAAAGCATGCATGGTTCTTGTCATACCCCAGATAACTTCAGAACCCATTCTGTGGTTTAGCGTTATTGAGCTTTCTTAATTTAAGGCTGACTTGATTGATCATAAAGCCAATTGAATTAAAATTCTCACCATTGTTTGGTTGTGGTCATTACTTTGCAGCCTTCAGTCCAATTGATCAATGCAAGGTGGAAGGAATCAAAGCAAAGCAAAGGAATGAATACAGGAAGATAGTGTTTGTGAGGGTATCACACGAGGAATTTTTCCTTTCTTCTCTCACCAGATGTTGAAATTAAATTAGATGAAGAAGGATTTGTATTGCCATCCACAGCTAATGAAGATATCCATAAAAGGTACAGGAAAATGTTGTGTTTTTCACATTACAAGACTCGTTGAGGCTAATAAGCAGCGGTATCTTTTTCTCAAGAAGGTGAAAAAAATAGATATGATTCTGGAAATTAAAATACTACATTTCAGAATACCATGTTGGGAAATTCCTTGTAATATTTTATAAACATTAATATTAATAAGATCAAATTCATGATTCATTTGAAAATAATATTGGCACATAGTAATAGCCAAATCCCAAATAAACTTTGGCAACTAAAATATATAATAAATATTTTGGATTATTTAAAAAATTAAGTATTTTTCTCCTTTTTTATTTTTCAGGATAGCACTGTGTATTGATGGTCCAAAAAGGTTTTGCTCCAATAGCAAACACTTACTGGGGAAAGAAGCTATTAAACAAAGACACCTACAGTTACTCGGTTATCAAGTTGTTCAGGTACGGTTTCACCTATTTTTTTTGTTTCCCAAAAGCAAATCCTATTTCAAAATTATTTTTCCAGGTTACTTTTAAAAAGTAATCTGAGGCACAGTAAAATTTTAAAGAATTTGATCAGGCAGCAATTATTGAACTGGACAGCACAAAACTCGAAATGGCTTGGGAACCCAAGAGGGAGGCTTTTATAGGAAGAACACAAGTACACAAAGAATCTACTTGACTGGTTACAGTTACATATTCTTGCTGCCTTGTTTGAACTATTCTGTGGAAAGTTCCTAGTTATATAATTATTAGTTTGTGAGATGCTTCTGATTGGTTGAGCTTAAGTTCTGTTTTTCTGTAGTAGAAGCTTCTACAAGAAATAGCCCAAGTTAAATTTTGCTTAACATTTGCACTTTAAGCAAAGTTAAGGTTATTTTCAAGGCCCAACTGGCTTGGTCTGCTCAGGGATTTTTCAGGCACAGGCTCCATTTTAATTTGCTTTTACAGTACTAACTGGTTTGCCAGCCCAGTGGACCACCGATCTTACGTCTAGTTTAAATCCCAACGTTGTTAATTCGGCTTAAATCTCTTGACTTATATTTTGAAATACAGAATTTTCAGAGCTTTGATTTTTCAAAAGTGGGGCCTACCTATATTCATTATAAGCTATGCTTAACCCTGCTTTTAGAATTACTCAATTGTTGGAATATATGTTCTGTTTTAATTTCTCCTTGATTTAATAAATAAAAATGAACAAGATAATCCATTAAAATAAGGAGCTTCACCAACACTTAATATTTAAGACCTTTTAAATATTTCACTGTAGATAATGTAAGAAGGTCTTATGTGAGGGCTCAGCAGTGCGTGAGAATGAGCGCTGCCCTAATTCTCTAAGCTGTCAGTACTAGGCAGCACTGTGGTTTCATATCTGCTGACTTTTTTCTCCATCTTGCACATCCCCAGCTGAATATTCCTAAAACTAATCATGCCAGTGTCTACTCAGAAGCTTCAATGTTTCTTTACTGCTTACAGAATAAAGTAAAAACTTCTCTACATCTTAACATTCAAGACCCTCCAATGGTTGGCCTGCAGCCAGGCTGCAGGCACATGATTACTACCTGGCCCCTCTGCTCCCAGCTGAGCAGACTCTCTCCTTTGCTGCGCCTCCTGCTCTCTCCCTCTTCATTCCCTCTTTGTCCCTGCTGCGTCCTCCAGCTCTCTGAATACCTACCTTCCAGCAGTTTGTCGGCATCCCCACCCTCATCTAATGAAATGCTCACTCCCTCTTAGCACTAGATCACCAACCTACAGCTTGTTTTTTATATTTATTGTGTAATTTAACTTGCCACCCAAGTTGTGAACTCCTGGAGAACAAGAGATCATGTTTAATTCTTATTTGCATATTCTACATATTAATTCATCAAATATTTACCAAGCCCCTTCTCAGTGCCAGGCACTGTTCTAGACATTGGGGATACAGGATGAAGAAGCTGGTTGGGATATTTGCCTTCCAGGAGCTTACATTCCGCTGTGGGGAAGCGTGTAAGAAACAAACAAAGTAACCAATAGCCAGAGGAACCTCAGATTTTGAAGGATCTTGACCAGTTTTACTTTTCTACCTTTACAGATCCCCTATCATGAGATTGGGATGCTAAAATCAAGACGTGAATTGGTGGAATATTTACAAAGAAAACTGTTTTCTCAAAACACTGTTCATTGGTTGCAAGAATGAATACTGACTTCAGAACTCAAACAATGGAAGAACTTGCATTTTTATGGAACTCAGTATTAAAAGAAAAATATAATGTGAATTAGCCACTTTGCAGAATATGTTCTAGACTGGTGATCTGAAAGCATCTGTAGTTTTCCTTATACTATGTATACATTTATTGTGGTAAAATTTAAAATTAATTTTAATTTAATACTAGTGTCATAGATACTTTTTGTACATCAAACAATTGATCATGTGCTGTAAAGGAATTCAATGAATAAATGTTATTTTTAAGTATTTTGTCATAGTTATCTGCTAAATGAAAATATTTTGCTCTTTAGAGACCTTTTGTTTTCTAACAGATGGAGGAAATTTTTTCTCTTTGTGTGCTGTGAGTGGAAGTGAGATTTACCGTAAGGAAAAGGAGCAATGAGAAATAGAGTACAGTGCTTTGGATATAAATATTATAGAATTATGCAGAAACAATCTTCTGGTTAATGAGATATATTAGTATGGAAACTTTTTTTTAATAAATATTTAGAGAAATGGAAAAGCAATTTAGGTAGGTTTTTTGGGGAGCTGTTTGATTGGAGGGAGGATCTTCTAAATTATAAATCAAGAATGAATTAAATTGTCATTAGTTCATTGCAGAGCCTTCATTGCCTCATCACAGTCAGGTTACAGTTTCAAGGAGAAGAGGACAAGAGAGCCGACTGGAGTAGCAGAGTGTATTTTTTGAAGGAGGGAGGAGGGATACAATTGAACCTGTAACAGGTTGAGATGATAATTACATAAAGCACTTAGAAAAGTGCCTTGCACAGAGTAAGCACACAGTGCAAGTTAGCTGGTGTTAGTCTGAACGTCTACCCCATCATGGTTTTTACTTCACTTTAGCTTTTTGGGTCTATTTACTTATCTTTAGAACAGGAAATGGAAACTAGATGAGCTAAGATCATTTTTTGTCTCCAATTACAAAGAAAGAGAGAGGCAATGGAAGCAAATTGAGATTGAGCAGGAGATAAGCACGGTAGATTCTGATGTATCCGGGTACCCAGCTGACCTTGCCGCTCATTTGGGACCTGGCTTGGAAGGATTCTCACAGCTCTCTGAAATCTGGGTAATTAGATGATTTACACTTTTTCACAGCTCTTAGATGACTTAAAACAGGCATTCCTGACACTGAGCCTAAGATCTGTTCCAGATCATATCAGGCCTCAGAAACCCCTTTCACACCTCCTTGCAGCTAATATCCAGTCCTGTGTCTTTTTCTGCCTTTTTAGTGAACTCAGGTTCCCTCCCTGGCCTCTGGTCCACCCTCACTGTGCTGTACACCTCTTCCTATGACTCAGCTAATTTTTGGTGCGAAACTCAACCCAGCAATGTGGTGTGAGGTTAAAAGCATTCAGTTTAAGGAGCAGAAAGGGACTTAACCAATTAAACAGCCACACGAAGAGGTAATGACGGTCTGTTATAAATGCTATGAAGAAAAATACAGCACGAGCGTTCTTCACCTGTGCTGTTGATGTAAGTCCATCTCATCCATTGCAAGCTTTTCCCTGTTTGCTCATCAGAATCAGATGCTCCTCCTTCTGCAGTTTTCACTTACAGCCTCTGCTGATCCTGTCTCATTTGGCTCTCCCCTACCCTCTTCACGTACGCATTCAGCAGACAGTTCTGATCACGCTGGGCACACTCAATGCTCCAGCTCTAGGGCCAAATAGGAAAGAGCCCCTGCCCTTGAGGGGCTTGAAACAGGTGAGATTAGTGAGCAGGCGATGGGAGTGGTGAGGCCTCCGGCACCCTGACACACAGTCAAGGCTCTGGGAACACAGAGACCTCATGCCCACCTGGGCAGTGAGAGAGAGCCTCAGAGTGATTTGTAAGCTGAGTTTTAGAAGGAAGAGAGCAGGGTCTAGGGGCGCAATTGTCAATGGCTGGAACACCCAGTGTAAAGCATACAGGGTTGGCCCAGGGAGGGAGGCTAGACCTGCCTCTGGCCCTGTTCAAATTTTAATCCCGAAGTACATGAAAATAATTTAGGCTAATAGAGAGATATAAGGTTGCTGGTGTCACTAACGAGCAAATTTGACAAGCTTTGTCAAATCATAAAGCTAAGTCCTTTTAAACTGAATTCTCATGCTGATGAATTCATTGGTATGTCTATACCTGTACAAACAAAAGTGATCTGAATGTGTCAGTTGCAATTACATATTCAATATGATGGCTCTTGCAACTATATATTTGATAATATTTTTAATAATTGCATAACCTTTCTATATTTGTTTTCAAAAGTAAAGCAAAGCAAGAAAAATGAATGAAAAAAAATTGTTTTACTTGCTAGCACAACCCCTGCAGCAACAGTGATAGTCTTTGGGCCTATCAATAGGGGGCAGCAAAGTTCAGGACTTTGGGCTGCAGCAGTTGAAACTAGAGGATCTCTGGAGGAGAGAGTGGATCCTCTCTGAGTGTGTGTTGTGAGTGTGTGTGTAGATGGCAGGCAGGCAGGAGCTGTGGAAGAGTGTGGTGACAGTTCTGCCTGAACAACACAGGCAGTCTTCTTTACCTTTCCTTGCCTTCCTCTATGTGAGGAATGTGCGTCGCTTGGGTACATGTGGACACTTGAAAGATATTTGATAGAATTCTGGGAAAACGGAAGCAGTCAGTTCCTCCTAAAAAAAAAATAAATAAAATTAAAAAAAAAAAAAAGTATACCTACCAGAAGATGATGTGCGCAAATCCAGAGAGGGGTCTTGGCTCAGTGAGGAACCAGGCAAATTATCCCCTTAGGGCTGCGATCTCCCAAATTGGGAATGTGCCCACCCCCATTTGGAGTCTAAATACTTAGTGTAGATAGTGAAATGAGACACGTCTTGTAAGCTGTTTAGCCCAATTCCTGGAAAATAGTAAATACTCAGTGAACATTGGGTGCAATTATTGTTATTGGTACACGTGTGTTCCTTCATTCTCAGTTAAACTTTATCGTACAGCTCGCGGTGAAGGGTCATGTAAGGAATGGTCTGTAAGAAGGAACATGGCTAACTTGCTGGTCAGGACTTCTAGGGGTGCCACTGTGAGCCTTTGACAACTGCCTTTGTTAATTATCATCAAGGACATAGTGCTAAGAAACTTTGTTCTCTAAAGCCTTTGTTGTTTGAAATCAGAGCAATAAAATGGAACATCTAACTGTTGTCTATATGAGCTGAGCCACATGGGCCAATCTGACCAATGGAGAAGTAGCTTCAATATCCCCCTCAATTGCAGAGCTCTAGACGTGGGAATTTTGCATACAACGTTCCACATTTCTTTTCCCTTTGAGGGACCTGAATCGGCTTCTTAGGTCAGGGTTACTGTTAACTCTTTGGCACACTAACTTGCTGTGCTTGAGTCTCTCCAGCTCAGCTTCATTAAATTTTACCTAAATTCACCCCTCCCCAAATCCTACAACAGCCCTGTCTAGTCCTATGTTTGACTCGATGTCTCTAGGCTCCTGTGGTGTGCAGTCTCCCCTGCTGCACGAGTCAGGAAACCTGCCTTCATGTTGATGTTCTCCCCCTGTTGGGCTCCATCAAAAGAAATTTTGCCTTCATCCAGTACTTGTAATCCCATCCCAGAAAAAGCAAACATCTCCCTCCCACTCCCACAGTCTCCGATACAGAGTGCTCACAGTGTGTGGGTGGAGTTGATATTTTGGGTTCTAATGTTTACAAGAAACAATCTTAATAACCCTACTGTTTTTGCTTGTATTACAGGAAATTTTGAACACACATAAGAATTGAAAGAAAAGTATAAGAATTGAAAGAAAAGCTGGCTCAGTGGCTCATGTTGTATTCCCAGTGCTTTGGGAGGCCACGGCAGGAGGATTACTTGAGGCCAGGAGCTATGATCACGCCACTGCTCTCCAGCCTGAGTGGCAGAGCAAAACCCCATCTCTAAAAAAAAAAGTATAAGTTTGCAAGTTCCTCTATTCAGCATGAAAATTACCATAATTTTCCAATCATGTTTCATCTATTCTTTAACTTTTTCTTTTTTTTTTTTCCACTGGAATGTTTCTAGAGAAATCCAAGCTATCATATTATTTTATCCTAAATACTTCAGTATTCATCTATAATTGATAAGCTTTTTTTCTTTTTTTATCTAATCATTCAGCCATTGTTACAAATAACAAAATTAGTTATTATTCCCTGTCATCATTTAATGTGTAGTCTATATTCTAAATTTCCTGTACTATCTCAAAAATATTTTTTAACTGTTGATGTTTTTGAATCAGGATCCAAAGTCCACGTATGACTTTTAGAGATTCTACCACTGAAGTCTCTTATGTCTCTAACTGCTACTCTTTCTCACGTAGTTTTCATGTCATTAAGTTATTGGAGAAATTAGATCAATTGCCCTGTAGAATGTCCCACACTGTTGATTTGGTGTTGTCTAACTTGTTTCTATATCTATCTGCTGCATTTCCTATTAAACCAAAGGGCAGATCCAGAGACTTGCTTCAATTTGGCTTGAATGCCTTGGGAATGATGCCAGAATATAAAAGCAGGCAGAAGAAGGTGAAAGACTAGACTGGCTTAGCCTCCCAGCCTACCTCTTTCTCCCGTGCTAGATGCTTCCTGCCCTTGAACATCAAACTCCAAGTTCTTCAGCTCTGGGACTCAGACTGGCCTCCTTGCTCCTCAGCTTGCAGGTGGCCGATTGTAGGACTGATATGGTTTGGCTCTACGTCCCGACCCAAATCTCCATAATTCTCATGTGTTGTGGGAGAGACCCGGAGGGAGATAGCTTGAATCATGGGGGTGGTTCCCCCATATTCTCGTGGTAGGGAATAAGTCTCATGAGATCTGATAGTTTTATCAGGGGTTTCCGCTTTTGCATCTTCCTCATTTTCTCTTGCCGCCACCATGTAAGGAGTGCCTTTCATCTCCTGCCATGATTCTGAGGCCTCCCTAGCCATGTGGAACTCTAAGTCCAATTAAACCTCTTTTCATCCCAGTCTTGGGTATGTCTTTATCAGCAGAGTGAAAACGAACTAATACAGGGAACTTGTGATCACGTGAGTTAATACTCCTTAATAAACTCCCATATAAAAAAATATATATAATATATATCTTTACATAGATATATATATACATCCTATTAGTTCTGTCCCTTGAGGGAACCCTCACTAATACACTATGTTTAACCCAGCCCCAGTGTGTGTCCTTACTCTATTAATTTGCCTCCTTTGAGAGGAGGGTTTTTATGCTTCTTTCATCCTCCCCTTCTCCGGCACAGAACTTTTGAGTACGAGTACAGACATGAGGAGCCTAAATGTATGACTCTGTGACCTTGTATTCCACTCATGTACCTGGGAATATATAATAAGATCATATAGGAAAATACTTTTTTAAAAAGAGTATTTTTAAAAAAGGAACTAAAGCCTCTTAATAATCAAAATTGCCAAAGTCTGCCTTGCCCATGGTTTCATCTGTCTCTGGTAACCTGCCCTGCATCCTCAGGGCCTCACATCTCATTCCACCCTCATCTCTGGTGGACCATTCCGTGGGGCTATGACTCACCTCATGAAAGAAGCATCTCACCTCCAGTACATGCCCCTGTCTTTTGCTGTCAGCCCTAGGGCTCCTCGGACACCAAGGAGGCAAGACACTCCAGGGGAGACTGTGAGGCCCTGGGGCAGTGGTCGTACAAGTTCAGGAGTCAACAACTGAAGGAGCGAGCCTCCACCGAGCAGACAGGAGCAAGTGATGAAACATGCCTCCATGTTGATCCTCTGGGGCAATTCTTCAAGGCCTCTCCAGGCCCCTCAGAAAGGTTCATGACCATTCACCAGTTGCCTTCAGCAGTGACCTGGGTAGTGCATCCTTGGTGTCTCTCCTGCTTCTTGCTCCTCTTGGTCCCTCTCTCCTGTTCCCTGGAATTACCTCCCAAATAAACTCAGGCCCTTGTCTCAGACTCAAATATTTGACTTCCTACTGTATGCCTGTATGCCTGACTTGAGCCATCTGTATAAGTTTGTTCTCATGCTGCTATAAAGAAATACCTGAGACTGGGTAATTCATAAAGGAAAGAGTTTTAATTGTCTCACAGTTCAGTATGGCTGGGGTGGCCTCAGGAAACTTACAATCACGGCAGAAAGCAAAGGGGAAGCAAGGCACCTTCTTCACAAGGTGGCAGGAAGGAGAAGCACTGAACAAAAGGGGAGGAGCCCCTTATAAAACCATCAGATCCTGTGAGAATTCACTATCACAAGAACAGCATGGGGGAAATGGCCCCCAGGATTCAATTATCTCCACTTGGTCACTCCTTTGACATGTGGGGATTATGGGGATTACAATTCAAGATGAGATTAAGGTGGGGACACAAAGCCTAACCATATCTCCATCCAAGAAGAAAAAGATGTAGGTAGCCTTGCCCTCAAGAGCTCTTGGTCTAGGACATGACAAAATGTCACCGACTGAACTGAAGTTAGCAGATTCACATCTGTATAACTGTGTAAACTTTACTAATTTCTTTTACTAAGAAATTATCTCGGTCTCAGTTTTAGCTGAATTCCCAAGATAATTGGTTTCAAGTACTTTCACTTTCCAAAGTATGATACTGGGTCACCAATGCAAAGCTTACAAAATCTTGTGACCATTAGTTGACCTCTCTTGTGTATTTGGAGACATTGAGAGAAGTTGAGAGAGGCAGTAGATTATAAGGGCTTAAAAAAAAAAAACATATTTGGCTGCTGCTTTAATGAGGCCAAAAAAGCAAAAAAGTATGAGTCATGCCTTTCATGACTTCAGCCCATGGGAGAAAAATAAGAGCCCCTTTTCCTTTGCTTCACATGTAGGAGAGATGGTGCTCCATCTCCAAGCACCAGGGATATGTCACCCTCTCCAAGTGGCTCCAATGAGGTTGCTAGGTCCCCTGGGGCTTAGAGACATGGTGGGCAGGTGTCTGACCCTTGACTCATGGCTGACTTGTGTTCTGCCTGGCCATGGAGCAAAAAGATGTGTTAGTGGGACAAAGAAGGCACATGGGTTTCTCAGGAAGCTCATGGGGACCCACGAGAGAGACAGATATAAATAAAAAGAGAGAGAAAAAGCGTGGTGGCACCGGGATGTCTTAAATCCTGCCCAGAAGGATCTCTAGAACTCTGGAGACCTCTACAGAGTGGATCACCAGGTGCCTCAGAATGAGAGAGGCATCTTAAGCCACCAGCCTGCATCACAGAATGGCAGACAAGAGATTCCTACCTAGTTGCAGGGATGGGGAAGAAGGCAGGGCACTGCTCCTTCCATCATCTGTAAGATCTCTCCATCAGGCCCCCACCTATCTGTTCACCTTCACTTCCTACCAGTTTCTGGCTTCATGAGGCCACACCACCCCACTTCCTGCTGCCATTCAAACACAAGATTGTCTCTGCCTCAGAGGACCAAGTTGGCTTGGAAGGGATTGCCAGACTCACAGAACTGGCTTCTCATTATCGCTATGCTTCATCTCAAACACCACCTTCTCAGCAAGGCTGGCCTTCCCAGGCACGCTGGCTAAAGCATTTCCCAAGCCTTGGTCATCATGGCTTTTTTTGTTTGTTTGTTTTTAACTTTTCTTGGCTGTACACCCACCAATCACGAGTATACAGCTTAACACATTTTCAACAAACGGAACGCAGGTATTGACCCAGCATTCAGATCAAGGGCCAACGTAAACACACTGGCAAAGGATTGCAAGAGCCCTGTCCACAGCAGCTGAGTTCTGCCAGATTCTGTAAATTCATGCAGCCTTACACCTGCACTGGCCAATACTGTAACTGCTAGCCACACGTGGCCACCGAGAGCTTGAAAGGCAGCTAGTGCCATTTGTTGAAATGATAACGTTTTGGACTTACTGAGTCAAATAAGAAACGACACACGTGGCTCTCATCATGTTTCTATTGGACAGCGCTGCCCTGGAGCCTCGGCAAGTCATTTGGCTTCTTCGCGTCTTTCATGTGTCTTCTCCAGACTGTAAGCTTCCTGTGGACAAGGCCTGCTCCGTTCAAGGCTCAATCTCCAGCTCCTGACACACCATGCGCTAGGTGCTCAGTCACTAATGGTCTCGCGAAGGAGTGATCAGTGAGTGAAGCAGGGGCTGCTGCATGGGAAAGGTGAGCGGGCTGGAAATGGGTAGTCCCCGCGGCGTCTCCCAGTCGGGCTCCTCCCGAGGAGGAAGGAAGGAGAGACCCCAGGTGTAGTCGAGGGGCCGGGAGGGAGGAGGGGAGGGTCGCTCCACCCTGGAGCGGGAATGCTGCAGGGCAGCTCCGGGTCGCCAGGCGGCGGTTTCCAGGCAACGACCGAACACAGACGCGGGCTAGACGCTGGCGCTGAGCAACCTGAGGCCTGCAGACTCCGACTGGGCCCCTGGGCGGGCGGGACGGACCGCGGCCAAGGCGGGGGCGCTGGACGGTGGCGGCATGGAGGACGACGAGGAGGAGACCACCGCGTCCACGCTGCGGGGCAAGCCCAGGCCGCCGCCCGTCTCGGCGCAGTCCGCCTTCAGCTACATCCCGCCGCGGCGCCTGGACCCCAAAGAGCACAGCTACTACTACCGCCCGGCGCGGGTGAGGACCGCGGACTGGGCGCGGAGACCGGAAGGCTGGGCGGCTGGGCGGCTGGGCGGCTGGGCGGCTGGGCGGCTGGGCGGCTGGGCAGGGGCGGGCGGCCGCGGAGGGGCGGGGGAGAAGGGATCACCCCAGCGGAAGGGTCTTGGGGCGGGGCTCTCCCTCGGAGGGAGGGCGTAGGGGCGGGGTTCACCTTAGGGAAAGGGGCCTGGGGGCGGGGCTCACCTTAGGGGCGGGGGCCTAGGGGCGGGGCTCACCTTAGGGGAGGGGGCCTGGGGGCGGGGTTACCTTAGGGGAGGCAGCCTGGGGGCGGGGTTCACCTTAGGGACTGGGGCCTTGGGGCAGGGTTCACCTTAGGGGAGGGGGCCTGGGGGCAGGGATGCGCCGCCGGGGACTGGAGAGAGGAGCTCACAACGAGGAGGGGCCCTGGGAGGGGCTGCACCGCTAGGGATCGGGGACAGAGCTCACAGAGTAGAGGGGCCCTAGAGGAGGAGCGCACCTTCGGGCAGGGACCCTGGGGGCAGGGCTTCACTACCAGGGGTGGGTTCCGAGGGGCGGGGCTGGACAGCCTGTGGAGGGGGCCGGGTGGGAGCGTGCGGAGATGAAGGGGGCGCGGCAGGGTCAGCTGGGGAGACAGGGAGGGTGAGCTCCCGCCAAGGCGCCTGGGCCCCAAAGAGTACAGCTCAGGCGACTACCAGTGTCAGCTGAACCCCTGGGACGAGGATGTGGGAGAAGCCGGGTGCGCGAATGGGTGTCTTAGCTGCGATCAGGGGCTGGGAGTCGCGGGAATGCTCAGATAGGACCCGGTGCTCTTCGGAGAAGGGAGCGGGAGCCACTAGGTGTCAGGATCCCTCAAAAGCACAGTGGCTCTGTCGGGACAGCAGGGCGCTCTTTCTGCCCAGGGTCTGGAGGGGGTCGCGGGAAGCCGGGGCCGCCCAGCGGGCTGGGCGCGGCTCCCTCTGGGGTCTGTCTGCGGCAGGCCCAGGCTAGCAAGGAAAGAAGGCCTTGCTGCCGGGACTACGCCCGGATGGTCCAGGGCGCGGGAAACCCTCTGCCCTCCTGCAAACCGAAGACCAGAAGGAATAGCTGGCGAGCCGCCTGCAGGGAGGGCTGGACTGAGAGTGGTCCCTCTGTTCTGTCCTGGCCACACCGGCCCGTGCATTTCCTGGGATGGGATCTGCGAGTCTGCGAAGGCCACTGGGCACCCTGCATCTCCCACCAGCGGCCAAAGGCAGGAAAAGTAGTAAATTCAAAGCCAGTTGAGGGTCATCTACTCCTTTCTTCTCACCATTGTTCCTAAATGTCCCCGGTTTGTCTTGCTCAAGATGCAGGGGCAGGGGAGTCATTACTGAAAAGGAGCATTCATTGAGGACCCTCAGCCTGCAGGCGTAACTGGGACAGGTCTTTCTAATTCTAGCTGTCCTGGTGGCTTGAGTGGGTAGAGAGGGATATAGATTAGCCAGGTGTCTAGGGGGAAGGAGATCGTTCCCTTATGGTGTATAAGGTGTTCCCAGAAAATGCATCCTTCCTTTCCCCACCTCCTGCCCCCACCATCCTAGACCCTAAATAAATTCCCCTTCTGACTGGGTTAGCACACACTGGCCTGCATGCCACACATAAAGTGTAAGCACTCTTGGACAGCCTCACCAACAGAAGCAATCGTGTTTCTAGTTTAGACAACTGCTGTCGGTTGAATTGTGTCCCCTTGAAATTTATGTTTTGGAGTCTTAATCCCCAGTACCTTAGAATGTGAACTTATTTGGAAATAGAATTTTACAGAGATAATCAAAATAAAATGAGGCCACTAGGATGAGCCCTATTCCAGTATGACTGGTGTCTTTGAGAAAAGGGGAAATTTGGATATATAGAGACAGACATGCATGTATTAGTCCTTTCTCACACTGCTAATAAAGACATACCCAAGACTCGGTAATTTATAAAGGAAAGAGGTTTAACTGACTCACAGTTCAGCATGGCTGGGAAGGACTCAGGAAACTTATAATCATGGCAGAAGGAGATGTAAATATGTCCTTCACGTGGCAGCATGAAGAGGAATGAGTGCACAGTGAAGAGGCAAGACCCTTATAAAACCATCAGGTCCTGTGAGAACTAACTCACTATCACGAGAACAGGATGGGAGGAACTGCCCCCATGATTCAATTATCTCCAGACGGTCCCTCCCAGGACATGTGGGAATTATGGGAACTACAATTCAAGATGAGATTTGGGTAGGGACACAGCCAAACCATATCAGGGAGGATGATGTAAAGGGACACAGGGAGAAGACAGCTGCCTACAAGCCTCAGGGAAAGGCCTGGAACAGGGCATTCCTTCACAGCCAACTGCTTGATTCCATACTTCTGGTGCCAGTACTGTGAGACAGTGAATTCTGTTGGTTAAGCCACGTCATCCATGGTACTTAGTTTGTGCAGCCCCAGCTGACAAATACGGCAGCCATAAACCTCAGCCTGCTCCCAGGAGGATCTCTGGTATCTGATAGCTCCTCTCTGCTTGGCTTTGAGCAATATGCAAGGACAGGGGGAAAAGGGACATTTGCAATCAGATCTGTCTCTGCAGCCCTGTTTGCCTGTTCTCCCAGGCTCGATTATCCTCTGAATATTAAGACAGGAGGGAAACACGAGGGAATGGTAAGTTCCCAATCTCATTGCCACCAGGGACTTCATTTTTTTCCTCCTGGGAGCAATATGTTTTGAAAGAACTGTTACCTATACATAATCTCATTTATTAAATGAATTTTACATTTTAAGTATGCAATACTCATGTGACTGCCAATCAGCTTATGATTAATGCATAGCAGTAATGCACCGCATGAGATAAACAGTGGAAAAAATAAGGAGTGTTTTTGTGTTAACTTGTTCTATGCTGTTATGTTGAAAGGAAATAAAATTCATCTGGCTGTTGGACAGAATAAAAACATTGGTAATAATGCCATTTGAGGGATCCTGTAAATAAGATGGGGGCACCAGGAAAAAGAGCAGAATCTGCATCTCCTGTGGGCCAGCTACTGCCTAGGGAAAGGCGGTGAAATTGATCCTGGCAGGCACAGTTCATTCTTGCATTTACCAGTCTAATTAACGTCTCCACCTTCCTGGGACCAAACTAACCAAAGGGCAGAGAGATGCCTGAAGTGTGAAGTGACTGGGACTCCATCACTTGGAAGGAGGTCCGCTGGGAGTGGGCTGGAAATCTGCCCCTTTAATGCTGGGGTCAGTAAACCAAGGCTCCTTGGCCAAATCTGGCCAGTTGCCTATTTTAATAAATAAGGTTTTCCTAGAACATAGTCTCACACCTATGTGTTTGCATGTCTGTGGTTACCGCAGAGAGCTGTGTAGATTTGGCAGAGACCATGTGACCTGCAAAGCCCAAAACAGTTACTACCTGGCCCTTTACAGAAAAAGTTTCCCACCCCTGCTCTAATGTATCACTACCTTCTGGAAGGTAGGTATGGAACTTAGAACAAATTAATGCAAAGTGGATTTTTGAAAAAACAATTTTTTTCCATGCAGTTTGGGTAACTGAGGTCACAAACAAATTCAAGTTCTGAGGCCTTTAGTACCACGCAAAAGAAAACGATGCTACAGAAATGTTAACATCTAAATTAAAACAGCCTCGAAACAACAAGAATAACAAAAGCATTTTGAAGCCCATTTGACAAATAGCTACCAATGGTAATAATCCACTCCTCAGGATGATATGAACTGGGATTTAATCAGCTGCAGGACCAAAGAAACTGATTCTCTGACCTAGAGACTATTTGGAATAAAGAGGGTAAATTCTGCATCACAGGTTTTCTAGAGAACTCAGTTACACCTAAATTTACTGTAAACAATTTCAGGCTCTATTTTAGGAGACTGAGGAGGGCAGATCACTTGAGATCAGGAGTTCAATCAAGACCAGCCCAGCCAACGTGGTGAAACCCCATCTATACTTAAAATACAAAAATTGCCAGGTGTGGTGGCCATACCTCTAGTCTCAGCTACTCGGGAGGCTGAGGCAGGAGAATCACTTCAGCCCAGGAGATTGAAGTTGCAGTGAGCTGAGATTGCACCACTGCACTCTGCTCTGGGTGACAGAGTGAGACTGTCTCCAAAATATAATAATAAAAGTAAGAAGAAGAATAATTTCAGGCCCTAATCAAGCTGAGTAGTAAAAACAGTACAGAATTAGTTCTTAAGCCAATGCTATGGTCTGAATATTTGTGTTCTCCCCAAATACATATGTTGAAATCACAACCCCCAACATGACAGTATTAGGAGGCGGGCCTTTGGGAAGTGATGAGGACATGAAGGTGGAGCCCTCATGAATGGTATTATCACCCTTGTTAAAGAGACTCCAGAGAGCTCCCTCGCCCCTCCCAGCATGTGAGGACACAATGAGAACGTGTCATGTAGCAACCAGAAAATGCTCCCTCACCAGACACCAAATCTGCCAGCGCCTTGATCTTGGACTGCCCAACCTTGAGAACCTTGAGAAATAAGCATCTGTTGTTTATAAATCACCCAGCGTATGGGTATTTTGTTATAGCAGCCTGATAGGACCATTCTGTTTAGTTTATTTCTATGTGACACACAGTAGTGTGTGTACTGATTAGTTGGTAGCACAGGCTGAGTCATCCTGGGTAAAAATATTGGCTCCATGTTGACCAGCCATGTGGACCTGCCACATTAACACACACTGTTTCACTCTACCCACCTTTGAGGCAAATGGTGCCAATTTCATAGAGCTATTATATGAATGACTTTAATTAATCAATGCAAAGTAGCACATAGTAAGCCCAATGCAAGTATAGCTATTATTATGATTTGCCTTTGTTAGTGATTATTAGAGCTTCTTTTCACTAAGTGCTGGATCCCAGTCGCAAACCTCATATCCCTGACCCTCGTTTGCTGTCAGAAATTAACACAGGTGAAGGCAAAATGTGAGTGTCAATCTGTGGCTTCTAATCCTCTGAAGCAGCTCCCTTCAGGGAGCCCACAGAGTGGACGCACTGAAGGCTGCACACTTATTTAAAGCCCCAGTAATGCCTCTGAATTGTAAGACAAATTTGTCATCTAAAGCTGCCAGCAAAAATGTGATCGGCTCCTGTACGGCTCCCTAGAGAGTTCTAGTAGCGTGGGCTTTGCCCATAAAATATGGTTCCTGCGGCAGCAAAGCAGATTCCGTTCAACGGTGTTCTTCAATTACTTTTTTCTTCTTCTGCCTTGTGCAGCATTTCTGCTGCTGAAATGAAAAAGCAGTCAAAGGACAATGCCATTTTATGAAGGTTTTGATTAAATTCCTCAAAGTCTAAGAGCTGCATTTAAAGCAATTATAACTGGTTTTAGAATCCGCTTTCCCTCATGCTGAGGGGGCTTGTGGATAGCTCTGTCTTGAGTGAGGCTTTGCTGTAAAGGCCCCACCTTAGGTTTGGTGGGATTAGCTGGCTTTTCTTCTCTGTGTATGTTGGGGACAGAAGCTGACTGTTTCTTTATGCATCAAGGACTCTACCTCCCTGAGCACTGAATTTCCCTTTGCCAAGTGCAGCCAAGCACCTATACAGATGCATGTTGATATGGTTTAGCAATAAGTCCCCACCCAAATCTCATCTCCAATTGTAACCCCCACATGTTGATGCAGGGACCTGGTGGGAGGTGATTGGATCATGGGGGCAGTTTCCCCCTTGCTGTTCTCATGATAGTAAGTGAGTCCTCAGGAGATCTGATGGTTTAAAAGTGGCACTTCCCTCTTTGCTCTCTCTCTGTCTCTCCTGCCAGCAGGTGAAGAAGGTCTTTGCTTCCCCTTTGCTTTCTGCCATGATTGTAAGTTTCCTGAGGCCTCCCCAGCCATGTGGAACTGTGAGTCAATCAAACCTTTTTTTCTTTATAAATTACCCAGTCCTAGGCAGTTCTTTATAGCAGTGCAAAAATGGACTAATACACATGCTAACTGTCCAGAGGCACAAAGGGGAATCTCTGAAGGACCTGACAGTATGCAGACAGTGCTCAATATGAGCCTCCCCAGGTCCTCCCTCTATGGGTCCTGTCTGCTTAGGAACCAAGCACCTTTACCACACACACTCAGCCACTCCAAGGGGGCTGTGTGGGGAAGGTGAACTCAGTTCTGTTGCTGATCTGCCTGTCATTATCTAGGCAACTCCCCATTATCCAGCAGACTCATAAGCTTACATGCCTTTCCAAAAGAATTTGTACTGGCCCAGTGAAATTATGACCTCTCTGCATGGATACCTCTTTCCTTCTCCCTGCCTATTTTTCTCCTTTTGCCTATTAGTATCTAACCTGCTAAGTATTTTCCTTAGTTATCTTGTTGTTTTCTCCCACTAAATGTGAGCTTTGTGAGGACAATGATTTACCTTTATCACAGCTATGTCTTCAGCAATCAAAAGAGTGCCTGTCTCATAGTTGGAACTCCATAAATACCTGTTGCATGAACAAATGAGGAATGAATAATCGGAAAGCCAATTTTTAAAACAAAGGGATAAGTCACCGACTTACAAAATTTGCTTCTTAAGAGTAACTTGGGGGTTTCGGTTTGGATTATCTGCTGCTTTGCTTATCCCTGTCCTCGTTCTCCTCCTCTGGTATCGTCAATGGCAGTGGGCTATAGTTTCTTCTCTACTTCTCTAGTTGCATTTTCACTCTCCAGTGACCTGCCCCTGGAAAACTCAGGGCTTGGGGGAATGGGGCTGAATATCTTCCTCCAGGGCAGGTAGCTCCTTAAAAAGGGGTTGGTCGGGGGGCTGAGCCCAAGGCCCAGTTTCCCTTGCAAACCCATTTATGAGAGAGGAATGAGTGAAAGGGGAGGCAGGCATGTTCTAGTGGAGACCTTTCACATGGTACGAAACACCGAGAGTGAGGAATCCATGTTCCAATGAATCAAAACTCCTGTGTGAGCATGTGCTCTGTGTCTTTTCATTGAGTGCATGTTTGTCGAGATACGTATCTAATGTTTTTTATACAAGAACATATTCACACACAGATCACACAAATATGGACACATATATTGCAGCTTGCCCTTTTCATTTAATAACATATCTTAGTTTTTCAAAATCACCCCGTTTTAAGGGGTACAAGCAAATGACACAAGAAAAGAGACAACATTTTTCCCAATAACTTTGACCAAGAGGAACATATAAGATTGAATTCGAGTTTCAGCCCCTGTGGATCGCTGTTTCTTCCTGAGTTGTGAATTGCTGGGCTGGGGGTGAGGGGTGAGTAGGGAGCTGGTATCAGTGGAAGAGGAAAAACAATTGACTCCACAATCACCAAGTTTCCAACTGGTGACAAGTTGAGCACATAGATGAATGTAGAACTCTCTGAATCAGAACACTCTTAGAATTTGACACAGACACAAGATCAGAGGGAGGAATTATCTTGACTTCAGTCTGATGGTAAAATATCCAGATTATTTGAAAATTTATAAGAATTTCTAAAACTTGTGATATTAATGTACCAGGAGAGGACATAGAATCTTTTCCACAGGAAAAATCAAAAACCCAAAGAGAATAGTTGAGTATTGTCTTTTCAAAAAAACCTAACATTGTGTCCTTCGCAAGCAACAGTCCTCTGAGATACAGAATTTTGAATGCTGTTAAAATGAATAAAAATGTCCTCATTAAGCTTCACACAATACCAAACCTCCAAGGAGATGCTCTGGATTTATTAGAAGTAAATTGAGGCCCTGATGAATCAAAGGAAACTGTTTTGGATCACCTTGGGGGTTTTCAGTTTTAAAATTAGGTTGTTTATCCCTGGACAAGCAAACTCACGGAAAGCCTCAAGATGAGGAGGTCATAGTGCTGTGGCTTCTGAGGACAGGAAATGAGGTAGCCCACTCATAGGTTGATTAGCATATTAGACAAGGTGGGCTAGGATGTGCTATGGAAACACACCCTAAACCCAAAAAGTCTTAACCGCCGGTGTGCTGGAGCTGGCTTGTATGACTCACAAAAGCCAACTGTTAGCATTTCTTCTAAGCTCTGCATTTAACTGGTAGCCTAAAATTGACCATGACCGAAGTATTTACACCACAGAAATCATCAAATACTACAAATCAGATTTTTTTCTCTCCAGAAAGTGGGTTGTTAAACATAGGTGCACCAACGGGCTTAACATAATAACCATGACATCATAGAGGCTTATTTTTTTCTCATTCATAGCCCAGCATTTATGTTTCTCCAGGGAGGCTCTTGGTGCAATTGCTTGGAAATCCAAGTGCCTTCTTTTTCATGGTTTCACTATTACTAGGGCCTAGGAGTTTTTAGGACTTTAGAGTCATTTATTGGATGCTCTGAATTTATTAGCCAGTGAGTGGGGAGAGAGGGTTTGGAGGACTGCCTGAGAGTTTTTTATGGACCAGGACTAGAAGTAGTATTTACTGGAGTCACCCACATTCCTGGCCCCAGCCTACTTGTGGGGCAAACTGGGAAATGCATCTTCTGCTTGTTCTGGAAGAGGTAGTATGTTTGATGAGCACATAGCATTACCCCTGCCACAATTACATGACAAAAGGTATTAATTTTTTTCTGTTGTTTTTTTTTTTTTCTTTCTTGTAGAACTTACTGGTCCAACCTTATGGTGGAGAGTGAATTAATGCTTTAAATACTCTGAAAGGGAGGAGAAAATAAAGGACTAGGGTCCCAGTTTGCTCTAAAACTTACCCCAGTTATTTGTGTGCAACTTCTGGGAGTAAGAGTGCTTCTCAGGTTGGGAGGAGTCATGGGGCACGATGGCTACTTCTTGCCAAGTGTGTTTGCCTGGGCTACCATAAAATGTACCACGGACTTGGTGGCTTAAAACAACAGAAATTTCTTCTCTCTTAGTTTTGGAGGCTAGAAGCCTGAAATCTGGGTGTCACCAGGATTTTTTTTTTCTAATTTCCAACTTTTAATTTGTGAAGGATATGTAGGTTTGTTACATACGTAAACGTATGCCATGGTGGGTTGTACAGATCATCCCATCACCCAGGTAGTAAGCCCAGCATCCATTAACTATTCTTCCTGATCTTCTCTCTCTTCCCACGTCCCGTCCTCTGACAGGCCCCAGTGTGTGTTGCCCACCCCCCATGTGTCCCTATGTTTTTATCATTTAGCCCTCACTTGTAAGTAAGAACATGCGGGATTTGGTTTTCTGTTTCTGTGTTAATTTTTTAAGGATAATGGCCTCCAGCTCCATCCATGTCCCTGAAAAGGATGTGATCTCATTCCTTTTTATGGCTGCATAGTATTCTGTGGTGTATATGTACCACATTTTCTTTATCCAGTCTATCATTGATGGGCATTTAGGTTGACTCCATATCTTTGCTATTGTGAGTAGTACTACGTTGAACATACGTGTGCATGTGTCTTTATAATGGAATGATTTCTATTCCTTTGGGTATATACTCAGTAATGGGATTGCTGGGTTGAATGGTATTTCTGCCTCTAGGTCTTTGAGGAGTCGCCACACTGTCTTCCACAATGGTTGAATTCATTTACACTCCCACCAACAGTGTAGAAGCATTCCTTTTTCTCCACAACCTCACCAGCATCTGTTGTTTTTTGACTTTTCAATATCCATTCTGACTGGAATGAGATGGTATCTCATCGTGGTTTTGATTTGCGTTTCTCTAATGATCAGTGATGTTGAGCTTTTTTTCATGTTTGTTGGCCACATGTGTGTCTATTGAGAAGTGTCTGTTCATGTCCTTTGCCCAATTTTTAACGGGGTTTTTTTTTCTTGTAAATTTGTTTCTTGTAGATGCTGGATATTAGACCTTTGTCAGATACATTGGTTGCAAAAATTTTCTCCCATTCTGTAGGTTGTCTGTTTATGCAGTTCGTAGTTTCTTTTGCTGTGCAGAGCTCTGAAGTTTAATTAGATACTATATGTCAATTTTTGCTTTGTTGCAATTCAGCCGGATTGGTTCCTTCTAGGGGCTGTGAGGGAAGGCTCTGTTCCAGGCCTCTCTCCTTGGCTTGTTGACGGCCATCTTCTCCCAGTGTCTCTTCACATCACCTTCCCTCTGAATGTTCATGTCCAAATTTCTCCTTTCAATAAGGACATCAGTCATATTAGCTCGGGGGTCTACCCTACTCCAGTATGACCTCACCATAATTGATTATATCTTCAATTACCTTATTCCAAATAAGGTCACATTCAGAGTTCCTGGGGATTAGGACTTCAACATGTGAATGCTTGGAGGACACAAGTCAGCTGACCACATCCAGTGAGGTTGTTCGGCAGTGGTTCTAAGTACAGCAGTGTGGTGCAGTCTCCCATCTCACCTTCAGTCACCTGCACTTCCTACCCTCAGCCCAAGCAATTGCCCATCATTCATTCTTTTCTGCTACTGTACTTTGTGCACACCTCTCTTATTCCATTTATATTTTTCTGTGGTTCATAACTAATGGGTTAATTTCTCTTCTCAGTCTGTGGTCTCTTTTAAGGTAGGGACTCCCCATTTCTGTCCTGGAGCCTGGCATAGTGTCTTGCACAATAGTAGGCCTAATGTGCTGTGGAGGTTGAAAACTGGAGGCCTCCACTCTACCCACAGCATCTGCCCAGGCCGCCTGTGGACCAGAGCAATTTCTCAGGATCAGGGGTGGAGGTCACTGTGAGGGAAACTGAGGGTAGGTGATCAAGCACCATGACCAGGCTAAGGCCATGCTACATTTTAACAATATTCAAAACACAAAGGGAGAGATCACAAGGTGAAAAATGGATATTTTGTTTTGCTTTTTTTTTAAAGGAACATCATCTGTGAAATAGAGACAATTCCTTGAGGGATTTTAATGGCAAAATTTCAGTAATTTCAGAAGCTCTGTCTTGTGATAGCATCTAAATCCCAACTGGTTTTTATTAGTATCATCTTGCTTCAAGCCATACGAGAATAAAAGAAAAAAAAAGAAAGATTAATAATTAAAATCCTGGGAAAAGACAGATTTCCAGTTTGATTAGTTATTGAAAATGGATAGTCACATTTCAAAGCGAGGCTGCCTGCCTGCTGATGAATTTATTTTTTTTGGTCCTTATTTTTCAATGATAGAAAAATTCACTTTTACTCTGGAAAGTTCTGAATATGCAAAATCTGCACAAAAATAAGCTTCCTAAGACTCTGATCACTCCACACCCACAAGCAGTGAGATTCCTAGTAAACACTAAGATGTAGAAGACTGTTGGCAACTAATCCAGGGATTGTGAGGCAGGCATGGCTGCTCATAGTGGTTACTTTTATAGTGTTTCAGGAGACCTGATTAGAATGAGAAGAAATAGGCATTTTCTCTGTAAAGTTGCATATTACACTGGGCTTCTTCAATATAGGGAACAAAATGAATGAACATATCCTTTCTCATTCTGATAACAGTAATTGCATTCTCATTCTATTCTTAAGTCCATTCTTCCTTCTTCAGAGTTTTTCTCCCAGGATAATCCAAGCACCCCAGTGGGGGCTCACTCAGTTCAGGAGGGTTGGACCTGATTAAAAGCACTGTGCAGAAGAAAATACAAGACCAGGCAGCCACTGGAGGATCTATTTTCCCTGCTGTTCGTGCCATCCACTCTGAGGGGGCTGTCCCTCAGACCTGGGTGATATGGTTTGGCTGTGTCGCCACCCAAATCTCATATTGAATTGTAACTCCCACAATTCCCATGTGTCGTGGGAGGAACCCAGTACAAGGTGATTGAATTATTGGGGTGGGTCTTTCCTGTGCTGTTACTGCGTTAGTGAATGAGTCTCATGAGATCTGATGGTTTTAAAAAGGGGAGTTCCCTGCACAAGCTCTCTCTCTGGCTGCCACCATGTAAGAAGTGCCTTTCACCTTCTGCCATGATTGTGAGGCCTCCCCACACATCATCCACACAGAACTATAAGTCCATTAAACCTCTTTCTTTTATAAATTGCCCAGTCTTGGGTATGTCTTTATCAGCAGCATGAAAACAGACTAATACACTGGGTGAGGGTGGCTGCCCACCTGCAGGGAGCATTATAGGGTTTGAGGGGCCACCAGACAACACCACTTTGCCACAAGGTTCTCAGGGTGCAGGAGGAGAGAGTGCTTCTTGGCCATGGGTGTAGCTTTCTCCCAGGGGTTCAGTTCTAGAGACTAGGTCTTCACGTTGTACACTGCAGCTGTTCTCCCCAAAACGCATGGAACAGGGTCAGCCAGGTCAGGAGGGATTCCAAAGGCAATAGGACACCTAGATGATGAGCAAGAGCCTGGCTACTATTGAATCCCTTAAAATATTGGGCGTATGTGGGGTGGCATGGGGGTGATGGAGATCAAGCTATTGGCTGGCCAGTGTCTCTGAATCTCAAAGGAAAGGTCTGGGTGGCAATGTCTTTACTCTGGAGAATTTATCCTCCCTCATCCTTGCAGAATGTGTGTGGTATACTTGGGCTTCCTGTGTGTTACTGGGCGGCCCATCCCAAAAATGTTTGCTTAGCCTCTGCAGGCCAGCAGCAAATTAGCTTCTGTACCAACAGCTGCCTATGTTATGGATATTAAAGATATCGAGATTTCTCTATCATGTCTTAAAATGTTTTTTTTAAAGTTTTCATTTTATTTGATAAGCAGATGTCTAATTTGTATGTAGTCAAAGTGATTGATATTTTCTGACATTTTTCCTATTGTTTTCATGTGTACGAGTTTTCTAATGGGTTTTCTTTTTCTCCTATTTTTCTCATCATCCAGAATTTACTTTTGGCTATAATGTGATGTGAAGGTCCAAAAAACTAGCCAATTGTCACAATACTAAATGTTGAAAGGCTTATCAATTCTCCATTGATTCAGGCTTTTAAAAAATCCTATGGGTACATAGCTATAGGGTAGGTTGCCATCAGGAGACATGAAGGCCAGGGTGGTTTGACATGAACACATCCAGAAGTTGAGTGAGAGTGAAGACAATAATAAGAGATGCTTGTGTCTGGTGAACTCATAAAATGGCCAGCAGAGGCACAGAGGCAGAAGCCACAGCTCCTGGTTGGAGGTTGCTTTCCTCCTTCAAGCGGATTAGAGTGACTCTGAACTAAGACATACCAGGATCCCGCAGTGGCTGGCCAGGGGCCTTACACATGTTACTGTTGGAATTCTTATGAATCTTAAAGTAATAATTCTTAAAGACCATGTTGTTTCCTTACTAGACGGCTCATTGAGTGAGGACAGTAGCCACGTCTGAGTTATCTTCTAAATTCCCTCAGCAGGAGCACAGCATGTTTCACATGACAGATGATCTGTGAATGATTTGCTAAGGATTGGCCAAAGCTACGTTATGCTCTAGTTATTCCCACTACTGGCCAGAGTGCCAAGTTCCTGCAGTCAGTGTGAGTGGGCATTATGTATTTTCCAACATACTGTATAAAGTCTTGCATCCTTTTCACTGCCTACTTCTACCTCTGTATCCTCCTGTTGGAGGGAATCATTCTAGCATCACTATCTGGGAACAAAACAAAACAAAACCAACCAAGCATAAGCTAGAGACCTAATGCTCCCAAATCCCATGGAGACATGTCTGAGTGTGCTGCTGGAAGATTTAAGGCAGCTGGAATAACATAAATGACAAGCCTGACCTACAAGGTGAAGATTAAAGACCAGCTAACACATGCATTCTTTTTTCTTTTACTAGATACCGAACAAGGAAGATTTTCTTTTGTACTCAGAAAAAGTTGGGATGATAAAATGGAGATAATACAGATAATGGCTCTGTTAATGGGTCATTTTCTAATACATCAGAGTTGTGCATGTATGTAAATTACATACATATGATATATACATGTATATTAAATATATGTATTCATATATATATGGATTACCAAGTGTTACACTTATCACCTATGATTAAAGAAAAAATACTTTTATCTCTCAAGAGAGGGGTTTGCACATAGCCTGACTCTTGGCTAGTGTTAGAGTTCAGGAACCAATACACCAAAATATGGCACTCTGACACTCTGGCCTCAAGAAGAAGGCTCAAGTTTTCTCTGACCACCCCCTACCCCCACCCCTGGTTCTTGTCTCTCAATCTTGTCTCTCCCAAAGCACTTGATGAAGTCGGTCTCTAAAGTTCGCTTATCTGCCTGAAGTCTAGACTCACCAAGGAAGAAAACAATGACCCCTGGTACCTTCCCTGAGTTTTCATTAACTGCATTCATGTCATGGGAAGACAGGTTGAAGTCTGTTAAGACACCTGGACAGACTTTTGTCATAGACCATCATCTGCTCTGTGGGCCAAACAGACTTTCTCCCAGACCATTGTATCTTCTCCAAGCCCATTGTATCCCCCTAAAAATAACTTACTACCTCCCTAAAATCATCCGCATTTCCCCATCTTCCTTTCTCGTATGAAGAAGGCTATACAAGCATCTGTAGCCCATGGTATGGTGGGGTAATCACCCTGAGATGTCCCCCATGCACATTAATAAAAATGTGTATGCCCTTTCTTCTTTTAATCTCCCTTCTGTCAGTTGATTTTCAGGCAACCTTCAGAAGGCAGAGAAGACGTCTGCCCTTGGCTCCTGCACTAGCGACTTAAAGGATGACTCCTGTTAAGTTTCATTATCCTAGTATGTAGGTATTGTTTGTTTTTCAAAGAAGCTCAGGCTTATTATAGAGAATTTGAGAACACAAGACAAGTAGAAATGAAGGAAAAGTACACACATATATAACCTTAGAAATGTCATTTTGTTATGGTCTGAATGTTTGTGTCTCCCCAAATTCGTACGTTGAAGCCTCACCCCCATGTGGTGGTATTGGGAGGCGGGGCCTTTGGGAGGGGATTAGGCCTGAGGGTAGAGTTCTCATAAATGGAATTAGTGCCCTTATAAAAGAAGCGTGAGGGGGCTTGTTTGCCCTTCCAGCATGTGAGGATACAGGGAGAAGACACCACCTGTGAATCATAAATTGAGCCCTCACCTGACACCCAATCTCACAGGGCCTTGAACTTGGACTTCGCAGCCTCCAGGACTGTGAGAAATACACTGCTGTTGCCTATAAGTCACCCAGTCTATATGGTATTTTGTTACAGCAGCCTGAATGGACTAGGACACATTTTTATTTTAAAGTTTGAGCTCTAGCAATGGAGTCAGACAGCAAGACAGCTTGGGGAGCCACCTCTGTCAACAAGGGAGGAGAAAGTTGAGAAGTGCCATGAAAATGTCCCTGCTTCATACTGGGCCTCTCAGCAAACTTCTCTTGCTGGTGAGGCCTGGGCTTCTCCCTGCTCCACGTCACAGCTGGTTCTGCTTGGTGAGGTGAACTTTCCTACCACATACTCACCACATGCACCTCCAGCCTCCCTTGGGAAAGAACTGGCCTCTGTGCTCCATCGGGCCTCAATGACCCAGCCTTCAAATTAACCCATGGCTTTCTTTCTCTTTTTTTTCCTAGACAGGAATTATTTCCCTCTATGATTGTATTTTTAAGAGGCGCCTAGATTATGATCAGAAGTTGCACCGAGATGACAGAGAACATGCAAAAAGCCTGGGACTTCATGTTAACGAAGAGGTAATATTAAGACAGAATATTAACAAGTTGTCAACAGATTAACAAAACTTTATAGAGGCATATCTAGTTTTATTACACTTCACTTTATTAGGCTTCATAGATACTGTATTTTTTACAAATTGAAAGTTTGTGGCAACCTTATGTCAAGTAAGTCTATTGGTGCCATTTTTCCAACAGCGTGTGCTCACTTCCTATCTCTGTGTCAGCATTTTTTAACAATAAAGTATTTACAAATTAGGATCTGTACATTTTTCAGACATAATGCTATTGCACACTCAATATACTATAGTATAGTGTAAACGTAACTTGTATATGCACTGGAACACCAAAACGTTTGTATGATTCACTTAATAGTGATATTTATTGCCGTGGTTTAGAACCAAACCTGCAATATCTCTGAGGTATGCTTGTACGTGTGTGTGTGTGTGTTTGGTGCGGGGTGTATGTACAGTCATGCCTTGCTTAACAACAGGGATTCATTCTGAGAAATTCATTGCTAGGTGATCTTGTCACTGAGTGTACATCAGAGTGTACTTAACACAAACCTAGATGACATAGCTTACTCCACACCTAGGCCATATGGTACAGCTTATTACTCCTAGGCTACCAATCTGTACAGTGTGTTATGTATAAAATATTGTAAAGGATTAAAACACAATGCTAAGTATTTTTGTATCTAAACATAAAAAGGTACAGTAAAAATATAGTATAAAAGATAAAAATGATACACTTGTGTATCATTTACTTACCATGAATGAAGCTTGCAGGACTGGAAGTTGCTCTGGGTGAGTCAGGGAGTGAGTGGTGAGTGAATGTGAAGGCCTAGGACATTACTGTACACTACCGTAGACTTCATAAGCACTGTACACTTTGGCTACACTACATTTATTTTAAATTTTTTTCTTCAATAATAAATGAACCTTAGCTTACTGTAACTTCTTAACCTTATAAACTTTTTAATTTTAAAAACTTTTATGACTCTTTTGTAGTAACGCTTAGCTTAAAACACACATTGTACAGCTGTACAAAAATATTTTCTTTCTTTAGATCTTTATGTCTATTTTTAATTTTTTTAAGCTTTTAAAGTTTTTGGTTAAAAACTAAGACACAAACACACACCTTAGCCTCGGCCTACACAGGGTCAGGATCATCAGTATCACTGCCTTCCACTTCCACATCTTGTCCCACTGGAAGGTCTTCAAAGGCGACGTCACGCAACACGCATGGAGCTGTCATCTCCTAGGCTAACAATGTCTTCTCTGGAATACCTCCTAAAGAACCTGCTTGAGGTTGTTTTACAGTTAACTTTTAAAAATAAGTTGAAGGGGTACACTCTTAAAATAGTGATAAAAAATATAATAAATACATAAACCAGTAACATAGTCATTTATTATTATTGTCAAGTACTATGAGCTGTACATAATTGTATGTACTATGTTTTATATGACTGGCCGCACAGTAGGTTTATTTTCACCAACATCACCCAAACACATTAGGAATGTGTTGCACTATGACATGACAACAGTTATGACATCCTTAGGTGATAGGAATTTTTCAGTTCTATTAGGTTTTGACATTTTCATGGCAAAAACAGCAATTACTTTTGCACCAACTTAATATTATAACCTTACGGGACTACCGTCGTATATGAGATCCATCATTGAGTAAAATGTCATGTGGCACATGACTGTATGTGTATATGTGTATGCATGTATATAGGCATACATGTGTGTACATGTGTGTATGTATATATGTGTGTACATGTATGTACAGATATGTATATTTGTATATGTTGTACATATGTTTGTGTGTGGGCATATGTGTAATATGTGTACCTGTGTGTATATATGTGTGCATGTGTTTGTGTATATGCATGTGTGTATGTATCTATTATATATGTGTGTATATGTGTGTGCATGTGTGTGTGCCTGCTTGTGAATGTGTGTAAATATGTGTATAGATGCATGCATATATGCATATGTAGGTGGATGTGTATATATTATGTGTGTATATATGTGTGAATACATGTATATATCATGCACATGTGTGTATATTGTATGCATGTACATGTGTGTACATATGTGTGTACATGCATGTGTGTGTGCATATACACATACATATTTAATATTGTGCTCAGCTGCTCTATGTAATTTTCTTTATGCAGCTCTCCTCTATCTTTTTGTGCCAAGAAGCTAAGGCTAAGGTACTATTATATATAGTTCCCTCTATTCAGTCATGTCATTGTGTATTTTTCTTGATATTGTTGTTTGGTTCTTTAGAATTTAACAATTTAAGGACAGCAAAGCTAAGACATTCCCTTCAACGGATAAAACAAGTCTCTGCTTAACCTCTGAGTCCTGGCTTTCATAATTTTTCTAGAAAAGTTGGTCTTGCGGAGCAGAAATTGCACACACGAGAACATTTCTTCCAAGTTTAGTTACCAAGCCACCATAACCAGCACATGTGGTGCATTCTAAGTTGATGCAAAGTTATTGTCTTCCTCAGGAGAAAACTGTGGCAGGTAGTTTTTCAGAAAAAAGCCCTCTCAGAGCTGCCATTCCTGAAGGAAGAGAGAAAAAGGCAAAGAAATCATGGGCTGGGTGTGGTGGCTCATGCCTGTAATCCCAGCACTTTGGGAGGCCGAGGTGGGTGGATCACTTGAGGTCAGGAGTTCGAGACCAGCCTGGTCAACATGGTGAAACCCTGTCTCTACTAAAAATACAAAAACTAGCCGAGCGTGGTGGTGCACGCTTGTAATCCCAGCTACTCGGGAGGCTGAGGCAGGAGAATTGCTTGAACCTGGGAGGCAGAGGTTGCAACCATTGCACTCCAGCCTGGGCGACAAGAGCAAGACTCCTTCTCAAAAGAAAAGAAAAAAAAGAAATGATGAGCAAATTCTAGGTAGTGATGAGTGGTATGAGGGAAGAGGAAGCCATGTGAGGATGTAAGATGGGGAAAGTGAGAGGGATGAGCAGGGAGCTGGGGAGGGGAGGGGTCAGGGAGGACCTGGACATCTGAGCCAGGATCTGGGTGGTGGGAAGGGACCAGCAGCAGCAGGAGCTGGGAAATGACCAGGAAGAGCACAGGGACAAACGGGTAGAGCAAATGGTCCGGCACAGTTTCCCAACATGTCCAATGAATACACCAGCCAGCCTTCTAGCAAATTCAACGGTTCCCTGCCATAGGCTACTTCCCTGTGAAGCCCCTGGCTTCAGCGTGGAGGTTCCCTCTTGGTCTACCATGGTGGGACCCAGGCAGAAAAAGCTCCCAGGACCCAGGCTGATGGATGCACGGGTGAGCTGTGCTGGCGAATGCAGTGGTGCTGACTATGTGCTTTGATAACTTTCACCAGGAACAGGAGAGGCCGGTTGGAGTGCTGACGTCTTCTGTCTATGGGAAGCGCATCAATCAGCCCATTGAGCCCCTAAACCGGGACTTTGGCCGTGCCAACCATGTGCAGGCTGACTTCTACAGGAAGAACGACATCCCCAGCCTCAAGGAACCCGGCTTTGGGCACATTGCTCCATCCTGAAGCATCCCCGTGGCCCACAGGGCATGTCCGATACCCTGTGGCCTGGCAAGTTTGCACAGCGAGAAGGTGGCATCTGGAGCCTCCTTTCCCCTTCTCATGACGCCTAGGAGCTTGGCTATGCCTGTGTTGCATCTCTACAGTGGGACACATGAACACGTTAGCAGCCCCCCTCAGGTTGCTGGGTTAGGAGCCTGACCAACAACACCTTTAGTACATGTGAAGAGTCTCTGATGTGATGATTTTCAGCTGGAATTATTTTTGATCAAATGAATCTGGAGACCGATTCATTGTGAGCACCTGAATAAAATGAAAACTTTGTTTCCCCTTGGTAACTGTTGGGTTGGTTTCTGTTCACTGGCTCTCTACATTTGCCAGGATTCTTTGGGGAGGCAGTCACAGGAGTGAGGTGCAGTTGCTTTTCCCACGAGTTAGGGGAACTCCTGCTGCCTGAACACAAACAACCCTGACATGTTCCCTTCTCCAAGAGGAGATGTGATGACAATTGTCTTTTGGCACAATTGAACTCTAGAAACTCCATTTTTGTTTTTCCAGAGGTCTGAATCCCAAATAACAGAATTTTGTGCAGTAGGGACCAGGAGCCCTAGTAAGGATGGGTGGCCCTGGTGGCCAGCAATGCTCACTATTACTGCTCAGAGAGAGGGGGCCAGTCATGGGAAGAGGCTAGATTTCGGTGTTCAACAAACTTGGGTAAAATTCTGGTTGCTGCATTTTCTAGATTTGTGTTCTAGGGCAAGTCATATCATCTACATGAGCAGACATTTCCTCATATTTAAAGTGGAATTTCCAAACCTAGAGGAGTTCATGCGGGAGGCAATGAGCTGCTGGAGCACAGGCATAACACAGGTACCCAGTGTGTGCCCCACCCAGTGCCCCGTCATCACAGCAATGACTTGACTTTAAACAGTCTTCTTTTTGGAAGCAGTCGCTTGTAACCTAAGTTGGAAATACTTACTTTGGAGATAATTTGAAACTTACCCAAGTATTAAAGTATCATCAGCTACATTTTTAATGAATGGATCCCTTGGAAGAAATCATCTCTCATCTACCATGATTAAATTTCCCACAGTTTAGCAGTGAATGGGCAGGTGGCCTAATTAATTTCAATACTGATCGCTCCATCACTGGTTTTATTGTTTTGAATATGGAAAAAGGATTCTCTAAAAATAAATGACACTGAATTCCGGCAATTTCAAGGCTGAGTGACTCCTAAGTATTTCTTTATTTTTTTGAAAACAGTTTTTCAGTGTAGGTGTCTTTTATTTATTTCAAACAAATGGCAGTAGTTTATTTCGAATGCCTTTGGGTGCATTATACCATATTTATAGTAACATAATAGAAAATATATAAAGTTTGGGTTATAGAAATATTTATAAATTATTCATTATTCAGACTTGATTTCAACAAAGACAAGGCATCTGTAAGTGACTGTAATAAATCAAAGTCAAACTAAATTATTTTCATTTACTTTCAGTCAGACCTTACTCCCTTCACCTTCTACTACATACTGACTTTCAAAAGGCAGGGCTGTAATTGGCCAAGATTTCAAAAGATCTCACATTTGTTAGGCCATAAGAGAAAATGAAGTATATTTCTCTCGGTATCCCAATGTTTATCATTTAAAGCCAATGCATGAATGCTTGTTAAAGCCATCACACATCATATCTTCTTATATTAATGGATTGTTTTGGTTTATCAAATTTTCATCACTGGGCAATTATGTTGCTTTTTCTTTTTTTTCTTTTTTTTTCTGAGACAGAGTCTCGCTCTGTCACCCAGGCTGGAGTGCAGTGGTATAATCAAGGCTCACTACGTTCTGGACTTCCTGGGCTCAAGTGATCCTCCCACCTCAGCCTCCCATGTAGCTGGGACTACAGGCACGTGCCACCATGCCAAGCTAATTTTCTTATTTTTTTGCAGAGATGGGGGTCTTGCTATGTTGCCCAGGCTGGTCTCAGACTCCTGGGCTTAAGTGATCCTCTCTCCTCGGCCTCCCAAAATATTGGGATTATAGGAGCCACTGCACCCGGCCTGATGATGTTACCTGGTCATTCGGTGTATCCAGAGCAAAGGAAAGATGAATGGTTGCTGCCTTTAGGAGCACAGTGAGTTGGGAAGGAAGAATAACATCCTGGATTGATGACAAAACTTAGACACTCCTAAACAGATATGTAAAACACTGGGGTTTTTGGGAAACTGGACTGGAGGCAATTTCTATGAGAGGCTTCCTGTAAGACTTAAAGGTTAAGGAGAGCATTGGGGAGAGATTTTTTTTTTTTCTTGAAGCCAATGGCACTGGGACCTGGGCTGATGAGAGGTGCACTGCCAGTTTTCTGCCTGGCATTTTTGCTCACAGGGATGCTTTTAGCTGCCCAGAACTTTAAGGAGCTTTGACCAGGAATAATGCTCTTTCAGATTCAAGGAACAGGCAGTTTTCCATTCTAGCCTGGCCTCAACTGCTAATCAACTGTGGAACTCTGAACACATGTGCCTGAATTACTCTGCCCCTGTTTCCTCACCTGCAAAAACACTGGGGAGGGAGGGAGGTCTGAAGCTTGATCAGGGATCAGAATCACCTGGAGAACCTGTTCACTAAACAGCAGTTGTGCTGGGCCCCAGCCCCGGGGATCTCAAATTCAGGGTCCTCCTTCAGGTTGGGGCCTGAGAATTTGCATTTTTGATAAGTTCACAGGGGATGCTAAGGCTGCTCCTATGGGACCACACCTAGAAGGGACCAGGTACACACAGAGCTTCCCATAGTGGATTCTGACAATGACTCAATGCTTTTAAAAGCCTATTGTTTGGTAAGACTGGTGATATGGCTTTGGGAGAGCACAGTTCTCCTTTTGAGTTCTTTTTAGCGCAAACCCAAGTTCGGTGCACCCCGTGGGGGAATGGGAGGGACTCTGTTTATGAGAACTTGGTGGACCACCCAGCTGGGGGTGTTCACTCAGGGTAGGTGAACTAAGGTGACCTGCGGATGAGTGTAGCAGGATGTAACAGAGGAAGAACCCACGAGGCACGCCTGCTGCTCATCCTTACACATTTTACACCAAGGCCAGTTTGAGCTCACGGAAACGCTACGGCATCCGTGAAGAATGAGTTAGAGGAAAGAGAAAAGCCCTTGTAATAATTCTCTTGCTTTAATCACTGTTTTTGGAGATTTAGGTATATTAAGGCCAATGCTGAGTTGTGATTACAGGATCAAAAAATTCCCCATTGAGGCAGAATACTAAATAAGTCATGCTCTACTCACACTTCGGTGATGAAGGACGGTTATCAGCTTCGATAAGTGCCTTTTACTGGGAATGAGTCACAGTCCTGGCACAGCAGCTGTGCCCGTGCTGTGAATGTACCACGGGGCACCTGCCAGGCTCGCTCACAGTCATTGCCTCGTTTAATCACTAGCGAGTCCATAAGTTGCCAATAAGGAAAGTACTCCTAAGAGGGACTAAGAGATGTGTTCAAAGTCACACAGCCAGTAAAAAATCAGAGCCAGGATTCAAACCAGGAACTTGTGCTTCAAGTTCGAGTTCCCACGAATAAAAGGCTTCCTAAGAGATCATCTGGGTTCTCTACTTCTTACAGATGCCTGCCATGAGTTATAAAAAGAAAACAAGTTTGACCAACTGGGCTACAATTTGCAGTTTTGCTTTTAAACATTAGCTTATACACGATTGCTCTACTTTTCACTATTTGGCAAAGTATGATTTCTTTATGTTAAAAGTACCAAACAACTTGTGTTGGATTTACAAGAACAAATTCTTCAAGGCCTTCTGTCTTTAAAAATGCATGAACGTTGGCTGTGTGTCTTCTTTAGCCTTCTCAGACTTAACAGGCAGTTTGTGGGTCTTAGTACTTCTCTCAGTTAGCTCACGCTATTGTGAGACTGATTTGCATAGCTGATTCCAAATTATTCTTTTGCAGTCTATGTCTGTTAGCTCTAGCAAAACATTCTTGGAGACAGGAGCGTAGTGGACGGAGGGGGCACTGTTGCTCGCAGAGAATCTTTTTACTATTAAAGTATTTTTCCCTGAAAGCGTTCTCTAGAGATGCCCAAATTAAAATCAGACCACTAGATACATTCAACATGCTTGCCTGCTTTCCAGGGAGCTGAGTAACCAGTTATCTGCGTCACACACTGTGTCCTAATCTGAATTACATCTCAATATTGGCTTCTGGAGAGCTCTTTCTGAAACAACTGTGTCAAAAGGGAGAATGGATGGAAAACAAACCTTAATTCTGGAGCAAACCACAGGAGAAAGAAGACAGGAAAATAAAAGATACAGGCACTGTAAATCAAAGTACATAAAACTTTTAATGAATTAACTTTACAAAAGACAAATGGCATCAAAACATCAGACGAGTTTGATACAAAACTGGTCCTAGGCTGTGAGGACTAATTCTGGTGACGGATGGCGACGTGCTGCTGGCATGAGACACACGGAGCAGAGGGACGAGAGCCGTGGGTCCCAACGGGGGCCCTTGGACACCACTGGCAATGAGACAATGGGTGAGCACAGAGTCCACGTGGGGGACAGAATCAACTTATTCACGAATACTGTGTGTTTGAATATCAGATGAGCAGATGCGGTTGGCGAGCTACCATATTTTCCAGAAAAGAACATGCACCAGAAGATAATATACACCCCCTAGTTTTATTGCCTTAAGAATGTGTGTGTGTTTCACCTTTCTCCTCTGTTAGTTCTCCCAGTGCTTTTCTTCTATCACGCGCGCTCCTTTTCCCTTTTGCTTAGGAGCAAGCACAGTGCAAGTGGCAGAACGATCTGGGCACACATCAGACACCAAACGGTATGCCACTGGGTCACGAGAACGAGTCTGCAGAGGCTCCATAGGACAGACAGCACGCACATCAAAAACAAGGGACAGAAGTTGCAGTCAGAAAGTGTGTGATACCTTCCTGAAAATACAGTCTTCTTGCCAAAATGAAGGTGACTCTTCAGGATGCCACGTTGCTCTGGGAAAGGGACCTTGACATTTCTGTGTTTACAAAGTACGTCTTCAGGTCCCCCTTTCCTTTCACGTTGATTATTCCTCGACAGGTGCACGTGTATCCGAGGGTCTGCAGGACGAGGCTCGTCTCCTCGGTAACCTAGAAGGCACAGGAACACGGGAAAACGGGCTTAGTACATACATTGATACAACCCATCTGACTCAAGGATGCAGAGCTAAAAAAAGCACCATGCTCTTTGACCCAGGAATTCCACTCCTGAGAAGTTAGTAGAAAAGTGAGAGTAATCCACAAGAAAAAAAGGTTGTAAAGGACAATGTTGTTTAATTCAGCGCTGGGATAGTGAAAAACTGGAAACAACCTAAAATTCAAGTAACTCCAGTAAACTACGGTGCTACCATGATGCTATCATGGATGACACAATGTCAAACCATTTCACCCAGAAAAGGAATTGAGCCTGGATCCAGGCTATGATTTCAACCACATGATGTTATGTATTCACACTGAAGAGACCTGGATGAAAGAGAGTAAACCAAAATAGATTGGAGTGGTGGGATTCTGGATGATGTTTATACATTGTCATGAATGTCCTTTCATGAAATAAACATTAATCATAGATGTCAGTGTCGATGGGAGGAACACCCCGAGAAGGAGCACTGAGCACTGTAGACTCCTGCCAATGGTCGCGTCTGTCAGGTTTGATGCCTTTGAGTGAAGTAACCTAAAACTGAAAGAGCTGTAGGAATTTGCACTGGTGTCCGCATGAGCATGATGCTCCCAGTCAAGTCTCAAAGGTCTCCTCGCTTCACTGCATTGAAACGGGGGCTAAGGAGGGCAGCCCCTCTTGCAGGCTGCTGGCTTGACAGGACCACTTATTTCCTGCCATTGCACCGACAGGCGAGGGACCCGGCAGCTGAACCATGTCCAGGCCCTGCAGGTCGGATGGCCGTGAACTTGCTGGCTCTGACAGCTTCCTCCTCAGCGGAGATGCACTGTCCAGTACTGGCTCCCTGAGCTTCTGCGTGTGCTGCGCCTTCCTTAGGACACCCTGTCTGGGACTGTGGGCCCGCGCCTGCCTGGGCTTGGGCTGCCTGAGTGTGGAGGAGCTGCAAAAGCAGAGAACCAGTGAGACACACAGGCGTGGTCTGAGGGTGAGGCCTCAGCTTCTGAGGCCAGGGAAGACCCCTCTGTTGGCTACCTGCTCCTCCACCCAGTGTCCCCTAGCAGGTATCTGAGTTTGGGCAGACAGAAAGCCCTGGTAATGCTGCTTTGGAACCATGAGAAAAAGGCACAAAGGAGCAATCTCCTCCCACTTCATCTGAGAAGGCAGCTGGCATGGCTGCAACAAGGGCACCTGTGAGACCCTGGCCACCTCCAGCACTGGAGTGACAAACCTGTGCCAGGTGGGTGTGACAGGGCTGGGCAGCTTACAAGCCACATAGCAGTGTTATGGCACACAGCAGTGTTGCTATGGCACCCAGCAGCGTTGTTACGGCACACAACAAGTGTTGTTACAGCACACAGCAGTGTTATGGCACACAGCAGTTTTATGGCGCACAGCAGCGTTGTCATGTCACACAGCAGCATTGTCATGGCACACAGCAGCGTTGTCATGTCACACAGCAGCGTTGTCGTGGCGCACAGCAGCGTTGTCGTGGCGCACAGCAGCGTTGTCGTGGCGCACAGCAGCGTTGTCGTGGCACACAGCAGCGTTATTATGGGACACAGCAGTGTTGTTCTGGCACATAGCAGTGTTGTGGCACACTGCAGCGCTGTTATGGCACACAGCAGCATTGTTCTGGCACATAGCAGTGTTATGGCACACAGCAGTGTTATGGCACACAGGGGTGTTATGGCACAATTTTGGTTGTGGTGTGTCCCGGGGAAGGTGCAAAGGTGGGGGCCGTGTCAACAGCAAAGCTCCAGCCTCCTTGGACTTGGAGACTAAGAAAGGCCTTGAGGGCAGACATCACTGTTGGGGCAGAGGTAGAAGTGCAAGGAAACCATGAGGGGCTGTGCTCATGAGAGCCCAGGACAGCATCCAGGGACGCCCAGAACCAGGGTGAATCCTCCATGCGCAGATCTCAAGGGCGGGCTATGGAAGAATCATCCACCTTTCTGCAATGTCATGGAAGGACAGCCCCTAGCACAAGGTCCACGTGTGGGTCCTCGGGACCCTGATGAGCAGAGCAGAAAGGAAAAGGAGGCACAGGTGCCAGATGTCCATGTCCTGCTGCTCTGGTCTGGCCCAAGTCCTGGGAGGAGGGCAGGAGCCCCGGGAGTGCTTTGTGTACTGGATAAGAGCTGAAAGAAGATGAAGAAAACCAATGAAACTCAGGTTTGCAAATTCTGCAGTCATTGGACGAGCGGCCTTCCACCAAAAGTGGCCTTTTGGTGCTTTGGGGGTTAACTGTTGAGGTATTTACTGGTGCTAATGTCACTGGCATTTTAAAACTATCCACTGGTGTTCATAATGCCGAACCACCCGCCAATCAGCACCGCATGATTAATGGGAAACCGGGAGGAAGAAGCTGTCCATCTCGATGCACACCGGTTACTATGCCTCCAGGCCTAGGAGAAGCCGCAGGGTTGCTGAGTGGGCTTGCTATGCTGTTCTTGGGGTTTCCAGGCTAGAAAGCATGCTGGGAGTTAAATGCTCTTTAATAAAAAGAACCCGTTCCTCAGGCCTAGGAGAAGCTTATTAATGGTCTGGGCATCGTTTTTTATTTTCCTGGCATCTCACTACTATTTTTTGCACATAAATGGAAAAGAGAGCTTATTGGAGTGAGGAAGCAAGCCACACCTTCGGGATTAAAAACTTACCCAAATGCAGCCCTTCAGCTTCCGTGCTAAGGAAGCAAACACAGGTCTACAAACATGGCTCCCTACTGACAGGCAGAAACCTGTCTTGTTTCCCTCCAGGGATCAGAGGTCATGGAGCCGGTGTAGGTGGCCGACCTGCCCTGAGTCGCATGGAGCTTTATGAAGCCCAATATCCTCTTTGAGACACATATGAGCTCAAACTCATTTCAAACATCGACCTCTAGGAGATTTACGATCTCCAGGAGGGAGCACTCTCCATGACCTGCCTCACTCAAATTGCTTTTGATACTTCTCCCAAGTGCTTAAAAGCTGCTAGGGGATCTAGAAAGCATATTAAAAACTGCCATAAATCGTCGGAATATTCCGGGTGTTGTGCTGGGGACATGGGCTGGCCTGCAGGTGGGAAAGTGAGTCCTTGGTAGGGGCAGGCCTCTCTTCCCTGCCAAGATAAGACCTGGGGTTGTCCAGGATTGCAGGAGTATCCCTGGGCATTAGAAGTGGCTAGCGATGTTTATGCAGAAAGTCCCGGAAGCCTTGGTACCATCAGAAAATGATTAGACTAGGCTGCCAAAACGCCCCACGATTCTTGTTCTGGCTGGGCAACTGAGCAGTCTCCACAGATGATGACCACAGCTCCAGCCCCAGGGAGAAGAGCCTCGTCTTGCACCCTAGCATGAGAGGGGAGGCAGCTGGAGCCAGTGTTGGAAACTCACTCCAAGTCTGATCTCGTGAGCAGATCCTTGGCAATGGCCAATTTGGTTGGAATATTTCCTCCCCACCTCCCATTAGTTTTCTTTTATCTCTTCCTTCTCTTGGTTGGACTTTTACTTACTTTGTAGCAAGTGTTGACTCAATCTGAATAAAAGAAGGCAGATACTTAGAAGTAATGTTTCCTCCATTCCATACAAAAATTAAAGATATCCTTTAGAAAGACCAAAGGAATGAACGAGATGGGGTAAATATGAAAGGCAGGTAAGTCGAGGTTTAATAAAAAGCCCATTCTGACAACAATGGAGGGGACAGTCTTTTAAAGAGGAAAGGACTGTGCCAGTCTGTGCAGTCAATTTTAGGAGGCAAGGCTATTCGCATGTCTTGGCTAAGCTGAGACACACACTATAGGGATTTATCAAAAGCCCAGAGGACCACCATGATAAATCTATAGTGCAAGTCCGGTGACTTTCATATAAATTTTCCATTTAGCAGAAATTCATTTTCCAGAATGTAACATAACGGGGGTGAAACGTGAATCCACTGCTTTCTGAGAGTGAGACAAATAGAGTGTTCAGCACAGACACACACACACACACACATGCATGTACACACACATGCACACACGCTTCTCACTTGCAGATCCCAGCCCTTCTCTCTGGGTGTCTGGAACTGTGTACAATCAGGTGTATGTGTTCCAGCTGCTGATGATCAGCTCACTGATGAGCTCACTGGAAGGCAGATTGAATTTCACTAATTTCTAGCTATTAATAGAAGCAGAATTTTGAAGAAGGCAAGGAAGGACCATAAAACCTTGGTATCTCCAAGCTCTTCACTGAAACACATTCTGTGTTGCTAGATGTTTGTGCCTCTGAGGGGGACAGATATTACACTGGCGTGTCATTTTGTCATTATGATAGCAAGCTTCAGGATAGCTTCTTGGTGTAATAATGGTAAAATTGAATGAAATTCTAGTATTAACCAAAATATATTAAGTGGATTTGGGTGTGGGTTCAATGATGAAAATTAAAAAGATAATCTCTAACCACAGTTTAAGCAAAATTTCCAAACCATGATACAAAATGGCTTTTGCTATAAATATATTTAAAGTTACATCTAAACCTTGTGAACATGTTTACCATTCTACATATATTATCCAAGAGTATAATGGTAGATTTAAAATGTAATGACATGCACCTCTTTATCTTCTTCTTATTCTTTTCTTAGCTGAGATCCCCTTCTTTCTTCCGAATACTGGAATGAACTGTAGCTTCCTGTTTCCACTCTTGCACCCTTCCTTCTTCACTTTTCTCCGTTAATGCTGCAGATGTTGCTACTGAGCTGTGAGCCCACTCTCCAACCACACACTGTTCCAATCTCCTTCCTTCACCGGGGGAACCTCAAACCACCTTTATTTTCACTGGTCCCCTCACTCCGTTCTTCCTGTGAGCATTGCCCCTGTTCAGGATAATTCTTGAACGCAGCCTTGAACTCCCTTCCCCTTCTGCTCCATCAGCTCACTTCACATCTGAAAAGGTGGTCTTCACACACTGTCTCCAGTTCCACACCTTTCTTACTCACACAGCCTGTCGTCTGAAAATCGAGTTCTCCAGAGCCTTCCCCAGCCACACAGGCCAGCTGAAGTCCTCCAGCACAGTCACACTTGCAGTGGCACCACTGTGACTTCTGGTGGCTAACGGTCATCTCCAAGAGAACATTCGCTGTACAAGGGCAAAGTTGAGTTTGACTTGCTCATGCTGTAGCCACAGCATCTAGTCAGCACGTGGGAGGAGCACAGGACGTGGGTGCGGAATTATTGAAGAACAGGCTTGACCAAGCTGCCATCTTCGTAGCCTCCCTTGTTTCTCTTCCCGCTCTTCCTTGATTCTGTCACTGTCAACCTGGGCAGAACCACTGCTCTTTTGTAACTGGGGGGATAGTTTCAGCATAGTTCTAATAACAGATTTTTTTTCTATTATCTTTTCAGTGATTTTAAAATACTTTTAAAAATACAATATTATTAGTGCTATTGTAATATAGTTACTTTAACCACGATTATAATTGATTTAATGAGCAATGGGAATAGTCACATAAAATAATTTTAGTTTTCTCCAACCACTGCTTTTCATTTGTTACACCTTCCTTTCTCCCTCTTGGGTGGATTCCAGAGCTGCCATTCATATCAACCTTCTGTTTCATCTCCCACCTCTCCGAAGCCTACCACTTCCCCTCCTCCCAATTCAGCTTGAGAGAAGAAGGTGAGGGGTTGTGTCTGGTTTTGGTTGCATGTGATCCCTCTCGTTTGCAAAGTCCTTTTTAAGGTATTAGCACCAGGAGAAGTAATAAAGGTTCTCCTGTACTGAATGCTCAGGGCTGTTGTGCCATCATGCTGGTTGCTGCTGGATCATTTGTTTTCACAAATATAATAGCCTTTATATTGTTAGAATTTTGTTGTTGTTGTTAACAGTCAATACAGAAACTGACATTTCCCCAAAAATTGTTCTCCAAAAGATAAGTAAATTTCAAGGTTTACTTTTTTCCTTTGTTTTAATATATTAGTATCCTTATTATACTTATTTATGGTTCCCAAGAGAACAGACATGGTTGATGCAGGCAGCGCAGACCACACTCTGCATTACCTGTATTTTGTCCAGGACTCCGGTGCTGTCCATCCTACTGGCCACATTGACAGTGTTGCCCCAGATATCATATTGTGGCTTCTGAGCTCCAATCACACCAGCTATCACAGGTCCATGGTTAATACCTGTGCCACATCAGAGTTGAGTTAGCAAGATTCATCTTATAACCATTGTCTTTTTATTTTTTTTATTTTTTGAGATGGGGTCTTATTCTGTCACCCAGGCTGGAGTGCAGTGGCGCAATCTTGGCTGACTGCAACCTTCACCTCCCAGGCTCAAGCGATCCTGCCACCTCAGCCTCCCAAGTAGCTGGGGCTACAGGAACACACCACCACACCTGGCTAATTTTTTGTATTTTTGGTAGAGACAGAGTTTTGCCATGTTGCCCAGACTGGTCTCAAACTCCTGAGCTCAGGAGATTCACCTGTCTTGGCCTCCCAAAGTGCTGGGATTACAGGAGTGAGCCACCGCGCCAGGCCAAAGCTTCCCCTTTGCAATGGAAAGTTAGGTCAGGAAACAGCCCCAATACTGTTCCAAGCAGTACCTTTGCAGGTACAGAAGAGGTAAGAAATAAATTCTCCTTTGATTTTGTGGCATACTCAGGAAAACACACTTCTGGTTTAGGCATCTCAAATAATTTATTCCAGCTCTGGCACAGGTCAGAGCACCCAGGGGTCAGCCGCTGGACACTGGCCTGCGGTTCCAGCCTTGCATCTGTCAGCTCAGCTTTTCTTCTGGCCACTGCTCATCCCTGCTTGGTCAGCAGCTCTGGGGGTGGGGAAGAGCCTGGACTGATTATTGCTGGCAACATGGCCATCTCTAGTTAGTGTAGGAGTGTGCTTGATTTGTGGTTCCAACTGATTCTACAGCTAGATATGCTGAAAAGGATGCTAGGAGTGAATTCACCTCATTATTTGTCCCATCGCTTTTGTTGGCAATATTATTCTTCCACTTTGCTATCCCTGAACTACCTCTGGATGTCACAGTGCATGGAGGTCAAGCAGGGAAGTCCCCTCCTGGGAGAGACAGAGGGTCGGGGGAAAGGGAGAATCAAAGGCCAAGTGAAACGTTGAGTTCAGGCTTCCTTAGAAATCTAACAAGGCTGATATATGGGGTTGAGGGTATAGACTTTATCAGTTATTGGACAATCAGGGTAAAGTAGACATTTAATGTCAATAAACACCACTGGAAGGAGGTCCATTCAACAGTTCGCGTGAATCTGAACAATATCACTGAAGTCTAGACCAGGAAAATGGCACGTTGGAGGTAGCACATATGACTGGCAAATAGCCGTTCTGGTCCCATGCTGCAGTGCAGGGCAATATGATTTTGGTCTATATAAGTTTGATAATAGAAGAGGTCATTCTCCCATTGCGATAGTTAATACTAAATGTCAAATTAATTGGATTGACAGATGCAAGGTACTGTTCCTAGGTGTGTCTGTGAGGGTGTTGCCAAAGGAGATTAACATTTGAGTGAGTGGATTGGGAAAGGCAGACCCACCCTCAATGTGAGTGGGCACCATCTGATCAGCTGCCAGCGTGGCCAGAATAAAAGCAGGCAGAAGAACGTGGAGAGATTAGACTGGCTTCACCTCCCAGCCTACATCTTCCTCCTGTGCTGGATGCTTCCTGCCCTCCAGCATCAGACTCCAAGTTCTTTAGCTTTGGGACTCGGACTGGCTTCCTTGCTCCTCGGCTTGCAGACGGCCTAATGTGGGACCTCGCCTTGTGATTGTGTGAGTTAATACTTCTTAATAAACTTTCCTTTATATATACATCTATCCTATTATTTCTGTCCCTCCAGATAACCCTAATACACCCATGTAATACATTTTTTTTTATTTTAAAGAGGTATAGTAGCAAAATTTGAGGAGCCCATTTTCCAAGCTGTCAAAACAGTGTAGAGTCTCTGGGGTCAAAGGGACACGCCCATGTTTGGTGTGGTCATCTCATCTTTGTGTAAGGTAGAGCCCCCGATAGGGGTTTACTATGCACAGAACTGAGAAAGTAGAAAGAAAAATATGGCATTTTGGGAGACTGAGGTGAGCAGATCACTTGAGGTCAGGAGTGAGAGACCAGCCTGGCCAACATGTCTCTACTAAATATACTAAATCTACTAAATATAAATAGTAGAGAAATCCTGTCTCTACTAAAAATACAAACATTAGCCAGGTGTGGTGGCACATGCCTATAATCCCAGCTAGTTGGGAGGCCGAGGCAGGAGAATCACGTGAACCCAGGAGGTGGAGGTTGCAGTGAACTGAGATCGTGCCACTGCACTCCAGCCTGGGTGACAGAGCAAGACTCTGTCTCACAAAAGAAAAAAAAAAAAAAGAAAAAGAAAAAGAAAAATATGATTAAACACTGACAACTAATAGTACAAGTGGAGAAACACATCTCATTTGTGAAAGAGATGTAACATATTTTGGATTTAAATGACATTCAGGACATACCCATAGCAAAGGAAGAAAATGGCTTTAAATATTCAGATTTCTTTTTAAAGTTGAAATTTGTATGTAAGAGAGCGTTAAAAACCATTCAGATAGAATTTGCTGCCTGAACTGCTCTTATATAAACTGACTCTCAGAAGAAGCAAAATGTGTTGCCAAGAAAACCATAAAATGGTCAAAGAAGCTCTTAGAACTCTGAATGGTTGCAAGTAACTGCACACATCGCAACCAAGCTGTGTGTTGACTTGATGGCTTAAAACACACATTTAAAAAAACAACAATTTGTAAAAGGCAAGTCATGAAACATGCTAAAAAAAATCAACTTAAAGTCTGTTAAAAATTTAGAAATCAGGAAGCCTTTGTTTTCAACCAAGTAAACGTTACTTTTTTTTTTTTTTTTTTTTTTTTTTTTTTGGTGACAGCGTCTCTTTCTGTCACCCAGGCTGGATTGCAGTGGCACTATTATGGCTTGCTGCAGCCTCAACCTCTTGGGTTCAATCAATCCTTCCGCCTCAGCCTCCAAAGTAGCTAGGACTACAGGCGTGCGCCGCCAAGCTCAGCTAATTTATTTTTTGTAGAGATGGGGTCTCATCATGTTGCCCAGGCTGGTCTCAAACTCCTGGAATCAAGTGATCTTCCCACCTCAGCCTCCGAAAGTGCTGGGGTTACAGGCATGAGCCACTGCACCAGGCCTAAAGGTTATTTTTTAACAATATTATAAAGAAAGCTGGATTTTTTTTTCTCTAGGATTTGAACACAATCGGAAAAGCTGTCGCTGTTTCAGAACCTATGACACATTTGGTGTTCTTACAGCTTGTGGCCCCAGGAAGATGGAACTGTATTGCAACAATTCTAAGATCCACTTTTTTAAAGAAAATATTTTTACATCTCTGAAATATGGGTGTATCTTATAGTTAGTGGCAGGTCCCAGTTTAATTGGCAACAGCCCATAAAATAATGTAGCAGCTCTTAGTGGATGTCTCACAGTGAATCAGCAACGCAGGATGGCTCAAGGCTGTGCGTGCCGTGTTTGTAGACGCGACCTTGACTGAGTGCAGGTAGCCTAGGTCCAATCAAAGGGTTTTTTTTTTTCTAATTTGTTCAAAAGTGTCCTTCCTTCTGTCATCCAGTCTTGCAACGGGATGCATTTGTAATTGTTCTACTCCAACACTGAAAGGATCATCAATATCTCCTGACTTACTCCTTATTCCACATCTTTGCCACAACTGAAACCGAGACCTCTTTTGCAGAACGTACCCACTCGCAATTTGAAGTCGTTGAAGGAGTGCTTGTTGATGGCATCCAGCTTCCCTACCAGGGCAAAAGCAAACTCCACCATGGTGCCAATGTGCATGTACTGCCGCTCGGGCTCCTGAGAACAAACACACACAGGCAGATGGAAGTTAGAGCATCACAGCTGGAAACTGTTCCCCTTTGTCCCAAACCTGAGCTTTAGGCAGAAAGGAATGCAGGCAAATTCTAATGCTACAAGGCACTGCAAACATTCTATAAGAATCAAATCCCATCTCAAGGAAGCACTGTGTGGCCAAGGGGAGACGTTAGGTGCTAGAAGACACTGACTTCCGTGTCTCAGGCCCCCTCAGGCCAAACGCATCATGCGGGCTAAGGCTGACCACGGGGAACCTGTATCGTATTAGTCCAGAAATCACCAAGGGAAGCTGGCTTTGAGGAGGGGCTGGCGCCTTCTTCCCTCCTTTCCCCTCCACAGCCGGCCTTTGCCTTTCTCTGCGGGGCTCTGGCTCTGGTGGCCTGACCGCTAGGGGGTGCCCGCTCCTTGTCCTTGGGCTGCCAGTGGCGATTGCCCAGTGGGAGGTGCAGTGGAAAAAGAGAGCAGGGAGGAGGCTTGGGGCCTCGTTCCTCCTCTTCCCTGCTCACCGCAGGCTTTCCACAGGGGTCAGTCTTCTTCACGGAGGACAAGGGCTACTGCCCCGGGTGGCAGCTACTGTCTCTGCACTGCAGCTCTCTCTAGTTCTGGGAACATCCCCCTCCTTTTGCCCTCTTAGGCCTTGAAATGGAGGATTTTAGGCTAAATTGTGTCCCTCCAAGTTCATATGTTAAAGTCCTAACCCCAGTCTCTCAGGATATGACCATATTTGGAGATAGGGTCTTTAAAGGGGTGATTAAGATAAAATGAGCTTATAAGGGTGGGCCCTAATCCAATATGACTGGTGTCCTTTTAAGAAGAGGCAGTTAGGACCCAGTCACCCACAAAGGGAAGGCCGTGTGAAGACACAAGGAGAGGAAGGAAAGAGGCCCGACAGGGGGAGAAGAGAGGCCTCAGGAGAGACCAACCTTGCTGACGACTTGATCTTTGGTTTCCAGTCTCCAGAACAGCGAGGCAATTAACTTCTGTGGTTTAAGTCCCCCGTTTGCAGTACTTTGTTATGGCAGCCTTAGCAAACTAATATGGAGGGTAACAATTTCCTCATTTACTCGTCCTTGAGGGCTGTGTCATCCCACGAGGAGGAGGGAATTACAGAGCTGAAGGAGAGAAGTCCTGAAGATTTCCCAGTGGGAAGAAGTGAACATTTCTATGCAGATTTCCTATTAATTTCTGTTTATCATTCCTGTTACCTGTTTATATTTAACATGAATTTGTAGCACTTACTATATTTATATTTGGAATTTCACCTTTTTAAAAGTTTCTATTTTTTGTTACATTATTAGTATATGCGTAGAATTCATTTAATTCCTTTAAATGTCCTGAAGGTTTCTGCTCCCCCAATACTTAACGATTCTGTGCACCAAAGTGGGGTGGAGCACGGTTTCTGTTCCAGCCTGCCTGCTGGGCTGCTGGGCCTTCGGGGTTTCAATGACATGCGGTCCCAGGCCTGCCGGGCATGGCTGCTTGGCCGAATGGATGTCCGTGTTAGCACGGAAGCCAGTGCCTTGTGTCTTTTCAAGTCGGCATCCCTCACTGGTTTGTGAGCTCCACCAGGGTAGAGACTTTGCTCTATTAATCTGTGTCTCCACAGCAGAATAAAGTCCCTGACAAAGAAGAAGAACTCAATAAATGCCTATTGAATAACTATACTTAGGTTGGCAGTGGGATCACCAAGAGGAAATGGCTGGGAGGAATGCAGACACGGACTGGTTAGGCTTTGGCGGAAGGTCAAAGCTGACCGCTGTGCATTCGAGAAGCACGCACCCAGGAAGGATCGTGAATGTGCCCACTACAGCAGGTGAGGGCTCCAAGGGAAGAAAGGAGAGTGGGATACCAGAGGGTTGAGCTGGCAATATGCCCTGGGCTAGGACATGGGTCGGGGGGAGGGGAACCAGCAAGGCACGCTGGAAAACAGCTGAGAGACCAGGAGAAATGGAACCTGGGGCTGCTGCGGGCCTTAGGCAGTGACTTCTGAGATGAGCGTTGGAGCCCAAAGGGAGCTAAATCAGAGATGAAGAAAGGTCCGGGGACAAAGAGGAGCCACCTGCTGACCTTGGGTCACTTTCCTTTACGGAAAGTGAAGAGAAAGCCCAACTCTCAGTGACTCAGAAGGGACGGGTGAGAAGATAGATGGAGACTGTAGACATAAGCACCTATTCAAGGTGACAGCAAGGTAGAGAAAAGCTGCTACTAAGGTGGTAGCTAAAGGGGAGAGGAAAATGAAGAAGGGGTTATTCATCTGCTCCACACAGTGTTTAATAAGGAGTGTGCATGGGGATTGCAGTAACGCAGGGTTTCTCAGCCTTGGCACCATGGACACTTGAACTGGGTTGAACTGGGTTATTCTCTGCTTTGCGGGCTGTCCTGCACATCACAGCGTGTTTAACACCATCCCTGGCCTCTGCCTACTGGACGGCAGGGGCATCCTTCACCTCTCATTGTGACAACCAGAAATGTCTCCATTGACAATAACAATGCTCCGGGGGGCGGGGGGAGGAGTAAAATTGCTCCCAGTTGAGAATCACTGCACTAAACAGTATAAATATGAATGGAGAAGAAGAATTAAATCTCTGTTCAAGAGGGAAAGACATCTTCCTATCCTCAGGTGAATTATATCATTCCAGAAAAAGTCAAAGGAAACAGAACTATTGCAGTAAATTCTCAACTTACAGTTATGAGAGAAAAACCATGTAACTACAAAATTGGAGCTACAAAGTTGACCGTCAGCTAACTTTGGTGGAATTTCAGAATGTCATTTCTTAACAACAGTTAGTCTTTTCTATCATAGCTCACTAGTATTTTTTTTTTTTGTCTCACGACTTATGGGGAAAACCTGATTTGGAGGCTTGTGCAGTCAGTTGGAAAACATCTTGCTCCTTAATAGGAGGCACAAGCTGTTAAATCAACAAGCAAAATCTTGTGTAGTAAAAATTACAACTGCCCAAGTAAGGAGGACATATTTGCCATGGAGAAATGATTTTGCTTTTTACCAAACCAAGGTGCAGCAAACAAGCTCCGCTCCTTGAGAAATTATTGCCCAATCTGTTTTCACACAGTTGGTTTAAACTGGAGGTTTTAAGTGACGTCAGTAATAAAAGAAGAGATTGAGTTCTGGGAATGAAGTTTAATTCAACATCAGTAAGTCATTTGGGCTTAGCAAATCCTAGAAAAAATTATGTTCAGTCTCTAGAAGAACTCAATTCATTTCAACAAGTCTTCATAAGTTTGGTCTCGATAAATACCTGATGGCAGTATGAAGCAGTTATTTCTCCTATTATCTGAATAATTCATGTTACATATCCCCAGCTATTTAACGGGCTTCCAGCTACACAGAGACTACTCGCTCAGTTCTCTGAAACATATTTTATAAACTGGTTGTTTTGGAAGTTTCACCAGCAAGGAACATTGCTTAAAGTAGATGCATGTTTACCAAGATGATTTTATAACCCAAGTGTCTGTTTGGTAATAACCGAGGTAATTTTTTAGGCTAAAATAAACATAACCTTCCTCTTCTGTACTCTCTTCTCCCTCTTCCTTCCATAAATATTCACTGAGCATTTGTCATGTGTCTGGCCCTGTGTTCTATGCTGAAAAACTTCTGGTGTTCAAGTTCCCCTGTATCTGATTTGGAAGATAAATGGGGATTGTTATCTAAGGAGCATTCTGTTCTCCTGACGGGCTTCTAGGAGATCTCATCAGACTTCTCCCAGCTGAGCATAAAAACTGCATACTGTGATAATCAGCTTACCTGGGAGAGGGTTGCCAATGGAATATTGCCTGCATCAGGCAAAAATAGGTTCAGCTCCAGTTTCTTCAATCATTAGCTGTGTGGCCTTGGTAGAGTCATTTAACTTCTCTGGGCCTCAGTTTTCCTCACCTGTTAAATGGGACAATAACGCCCTACCTTTCTTTTATTTTTTTTTGAGATGGAGTCTTGCTCTGTAGCCCAGGCTGGAGTGCACTGGCACCATCTTGGCTCACTGCAACCTCCGCCTCCCAGGCTAAAGCCACTCTCCTGCCTCAGCCTCCCGAGTAACTGGGACTACAGTTGTGTGCCCACCAAGCCTGGTTAATTTTTTGTATTTTTAGTACAGAGAGGGTTTCACCGTGTTGGCCAGGTTGGTCTCGCACTCCTGAGCTCAGGTGATCCGCCCGCCTTGGCCTCTCAAAGTGCTGGGATTACAGGCACGAGCCACTGCACCCAGCCAACTCCCTACCTCATTGGGTTTCAGTTAAGATTGAATAAATGGATACAAGCAATGCATTCAGCCTGCATCCCTGGGTCTTGGGTCTTAGTCTCCTTCATGATAGTGTAGAGATGCATGTCACTCTGCTTGACATGACAGCCACCTAGGAGGAAGATACTAGTATTGTTTTATGGCTAAGTGTGGTACTTTTCCCTCTTACTTACAGCTTTAACAACGACCAAGGTGTCTGACCTTTTAAGTGTCTTTGAGATTCTCTGTATGTATAGTGAACAGGGACAGTTCATTTTCTTTCCGTTTTGAGTTTCCTGTTAACAGCATGAGAGCAGAAGGAAATTTCTCTCTTCTTCTGACACATCATGACAGCTTTGGTGTTTGCACAAAAATACACAGACTTAGGATTTTTTGCTTTTCATTTCCACAGAGACCTAAGCTATTCTCGATTCTTACCAGTGAAGGGAACTGGGGCTATTAGTTTTAATGGACCCCTTAACTACTATGACACTGGCAGGGACGGTCTCTGTATGACTCCTAGCTTCCTCTCTGGCCCATTTGGCAGGATCCCTCTAATCTTCGCAGATTCTCTGTGCCCACCTCACACAGGAATTGCTGTTTGTACTCCCGGTTCACTCCCAGACTGTAAAACTCTGTGAGCAGTCACCAGCATGTACCTGGAACTTGGCTCAGTCAGTAGAGAAAATGTCTGTTGGATGACACAGCAGCCACATAAAGGTCCTAACTCGGAGTGGTCCTCGGGAGTCAGTGGATGTGGACAGCAAGTGTTTCCTGTTCATTGTTTTGTCAGCTCAGTTTTGCCAATAGACTAGGAGGGTGAGGGTAGGAATCTCAGAGGTGGCTCAGATGGAGACTAGGGTCTGATTTGGGGGAAGGAGGGAGCAGAATAATGGAGCAAATTCAGCAAGAGCCAGTGGAGCAGGAGGTCACGCTTATGAACTAGTGATGACCTTCAGCCCACAAACCCAGGCCTGCCATTGGATTTGTTTAGATATAATAAGTAACTAAAATTATATATTTATTTTAGATAATATTTGGATAAAATAATTGTTTTAAAAAATAACATAATTGAAAAGAAAGCAAAAACACAGATTTTTTTTCTTTTTTTTTTTGAGACAGAGTCTCGCTCTGTTGCCCAGGCTGGAGTGCAGTGGCGGAATCTCGACTTACTGCAAGCTCCGCCTCCCGGGTTCACACTATTCTCCTGCCTCAGCCTCCCGAGTAGCTGGGACTACAGGCGCCTGCCACCACGCCCGGCTCATTTTTGTATTTTTAGTAGAGATGGGGTTTCACCTTGTTACCTAGGATGGTCTCGATCTCCTGACCTCATGATCCACCCGCCTTGGCCCCTCAAAATGCTGGGATTACAGGCGTGAGCCACTGCGCCCGGCCCAGATGTTTTTAAGAATAGAAGCAACACCAGTGCTGACACCTTGCTGGAGAACAGCCCCCCTTTCCTCTTGCTCCCCTGCCCTCCCCTCCCTGTCTGTTCCGGGAGTACAAGTTCTTTCCTTCCAGGTTGTTGGGGGAAATGGGTGTCAACCTGTTAGAAACTGTGAGTAATGGCTAGAGGTACTGCATATTACAGCAATACTACAATCAAAGCATGGGTCTGAATGAAAGTTTCCTTCCCTAAACTTTGCTTTTGACTTCAGTTCCTAGAAAAATTTGTTTGAAAAAGATCAAAACTATTTACATACTTGTTAAGACCAGAGTTATCTCTAATCTTTGATTAGGGCAGATTTCCACATCTGAAAAGCCCCTCAGATGTGGAACAGGTGAGGCTCTGGAGTGCAGCAGAAGGAATGAGGCAATAGGGAGTGGTGTGGACTATAGTAGTGGAGAGAACACTCCCAGTCTAATGAACAGTTGCTTCTATGCTCCAGCTGGCTGTTGTCATCAGGATGAAGATCAGGTAGATAACCCACCAATCAAACAGATAACCCACCTACCAGGTAGATAACTCAGGTAGATAACCCACTCATCAGGTAGATAACCCACCAATCAATCAGGTAGCCCACAACCAGGTAGGTAACTCACCAATCAGGTAGATAACCCAGCAATCAAGCAGATAATCCACCAACCAGGTAGATAACCCATCAATCAGGAAAATAACCCACCAAACAGGTAGATAACCCACTAATCAAGCAGAAAACCCACCAACTAGGTAGATAACCCACCCATCAGGCAGATAATCCACCCATCAGGCAGATAACCCACCCATCAGGTAGAAAACTCACCAATCAAGCAGATAACCCACCCATCAGGTGGATAACCCACCATTCAAGCAGATAACCCACCAATCAGGTAGATAACCCACCATTCAAGCAGATAACCCACCAATCAGGTAGATAACCCATCAATCAGGAAGATAACCCACCAATCAGGTAGATAACCCATCAATTTTCAGGAGTACCTGGATCATTTTCCAGCAAAATATCCTTTTTAAAAAAAAGCAAAACTCTACAAGTCAAGGAGAACACACCACAGCCACCAGTTTTCTCTAAAGTCCATGGAAAGAAACAAGCAGGGGCTGCAGGTATGAGGCTTAGAAGAGAGTGAGGTCTTGAGGGCAAAACGAAGGGCCATTGAGATGGGCAAACTCTCATTTTCTACCGACCACTAAATCCAAGCCAGGGTGTCTACACCTCAGGGAGTGTGCTCAGGGAATGAATGAAAGCCCATTTCCAGTTTAATATTTCCTTTCTTGACAAATGCCTGTTTCTTTTACAAACAACAATCAGTTCTTACATGTAATGCAACCATTTAGCCACATTGTTGACTTAAGCTTAAAATTAGAATGGATCATTTCATTTAAAAAGTACAAATGAGGCAAAACAGAGCCAGGCACAAAAGCCCTGCCTCACTAGGTGCTGATATACTTCTGTGCACTTGTTTCTCCATGGGTAAGTATGTTGTTACTGCAAACAGAAAATGCCAAGGTAATTACAAATAAAGGCTAAACTGCAAAAGGCCATTACCCAGATAATTTGCCTCTTTTTGGATTTAAGAAAAAGACATTATTCCTTGGGTTACCCTATATATTTTGTAACTGAATATCTTTTGTTGCCAGACTAAAGATTTGGCTAAACAATAAATAGAAAGTATTTTGTTCATAACTAGAGAAGCAAAGGCTTAAGCCCATTTTGGGCAGGTTACAAAAGGTAAAAGTGACATTCATTTCTTATAAAAGTAACTAATATTAGCATGAATATTTATCAGGTATGTTATTTTCCCCAAATCAATTGTAATGAACTTTCCTTTCAGAATACATTCATTGCACTTCAAAATATTTCTAGGATGCCCTTATAAAGAATCTAATTAAATGCTCTAATCACAAATAGCACATACAGTACTGAGAGAATTTCCCTCCATGGATATGACTACATATCATATTTCAATGTCCTAAAACTCTTATCTCTGTTCTATTTGAGTCAGCAATGGTACCAATATGCAAAACACGGTACAAACCACAACTATATTATTATTACTGTTAGCATTTTTATTACTTACTATGGCCATGGAGTCGATTAAGTATTTTGCATATTAAATATAGTCTTCTCAACAGCCTCATGCAAAGGGCGTGATCACCATTTCATGCGTAAGGTAACAGAAGTGCAGAACACTTAGCTATAATAGTAAGTAATAAGCAGTTTCATTTGATAGTCATGCTCTTTCAACTCTACCCTGAAAACAGTCATGTGTTAACAACAGTGGCTGGGTTTGAAGTCAGTAAGCCATTCAATGATAACTAAGAAGACAAGTTTCATTGCTGGGGCAGCTGAGGGTGGAGGAATGGGGCTCCTGGCAAGGGATTTGCTAAAGGGCTGGGAGCAGCGATGAATGAATAGGATAGATACAAATGTAGGGGTGCAGGGATGCTCAGGAAAGGGTGGGGGCTGGTGGAGGGGCAGGTGAGCCAAGGACAACAGGAAGCAGCACCAGAGAGGCTGCCATGTGGAGCTCTGGACAGACAGATACACCCAGGTCTGAGCCCTACTCTATGGCTACTTGTTTTCCCTAGAACATGGAGAAAGTTACTTGACTGCTCCGTGCCTCAGTTTCTCCATCTTTAAAATGGGCAAAGAGTTTTACTACTTACCTCCTAGGCTTGTTGTAAGGGCTCAGGAGCCATTCAGTAAAGGTTCAACAAGGTCAGGGAAAGAATTTAGAGGGTTTGCATTGGAAGTGGCAGGTTTGTAAAACAGAGTGAAGGAAGCTAAACACTGTCTGGGAGGTGGACTGGGCACAGATGCAATCACTCCCTGAACAAACACGGGTGATCATTTAAAGGCCCTGCTGGGGACTTTGAAGGCCACTGCATAACACATAGCACCTGTTATAGTCTGGATGGTGGCTAAGAAACATACACACACTTCCAGGAAAGTTGAAAATGACAGGTAGCAAACAGTGAAGAAAGGAAATAAGATCTGGACTCAGACAGCTAGGTAAGGCAAAGCTCCCCAGGTTGGGGCACGGGAAAGCCTTCTGTGAAAGTTGGAGCCTTGGCATTCTGATGAGTGAGATTCTGAAAGGCTCCTTGACCAGGCAGGGCATCTTCTGTGAGCATCAGAATCACCTCGGTAAACTAGTGGAAATGGGGGTCCCCAGCCCACCCCAGAGACACAGCAGGCTTGAGGCTGTCCCTGGAAACCACTGTAACAACCACCACAGGTGGTGCTGCTACAGGTCATGGGTGCACCATACCTGGAGAGGATGTGGATAGGACCCAGGTTGGTCTGCACAAAAGCACATGCATGTTTGAGGGCTGGTGTAGAGACTGTAGGGAGAGGTAGGGGATGGGTCAGGGCAGTAGGCTGAGGCAGAGGGTTGGGGCCCTGTTTCCAAAGTGGGGAGGACAAGAAGAAAATGGCAGTAGTGTTAGAAAGCAGGGTGTCTATAGGAAGCTGGAAGTGATCCAAGTCTGGCCCAATGGTCAAGATAGCGGATAGAGGTTTTGGTGGAGATCGAATGTGCAGAGGGGATAGATAAAGTCTTAGGAGAGGTCCCTGATAGAGAAGAGGGGTTGGGGAAAGAATATTACAATGTCCCACACAGAGGGAGCACAGGCTGGGGCCAGACAATGGAAGGGCTCAAAAGCCAAGGGAGGATTACCAGGCAAAGGCAACGGCCATCCACAGACAGGGCGTCACCTAGGACGAATGCTCAGAGAATGTGATTGGACTGGAATTTTGGAATCTGGAAGTGTTTTTTTGGTCATTAAGAGTAGAGTTCCTGATGGCATTGGTGAGGCAGGATTGTGGAGGTGTAGAGAGAAAGTAGAAGGTGAAAGATAAAGGCAGTGGCTATGGACTCTCAGTCTATAAAGCGTGGCTGCGGAAAGGAAGAGAAAAGACCTGGAGACTTTTCTTGAACATCCAGAAGACTGGGTCTGATGGAGGCAGAGTTAGGGTCAGGAAGAACAGGCAGACACGCACCCTGGGCTGTAGAGTGACACTGATTGTGGAACAGGTCTTCATGTGGTGGTGCCTCGGAAGATCTCCCACTCCGAGGCCCTGCCAAAGTATTGTTAGTTGGCTGTCCAAGAGCAAAGGGCTGGAGTGGATGTGATCAGGTGAAGTGCTCCTGATGGCCCTCATTAGATGAGCTGGAGAAGCCTCCAAGTCATAACTGGATGAGGGTGAGGTAAGTGAGGCACTCACCTCAGGAGAGAAACTTCAGAAGGAGAAAGAAGCTCAGCAATCATGAGAAATAATATGCTAGTGCAATATTTTTAAAAATCAAAATCAATGCAGAAAAATTCAAGATGAACTAAAATAATGAAATTTTAAATAAAGATACTGCTGTGGACAGGATTGTGTCCTCCCTAAAATTTATATGTTGAAGTGCTAACCTCCCAGGTGACTGTACTGAAGACAGAGCTTTGTTAGGAGGTAATTATGGTCAACTAAGATGATAAGGGTGGAGCTCCGATCCAACGGAACTGGTGCCCTCTTTAAAGTGGAAGAGAAACCAGCTCTCTCTCTGTCTCTGTCTCTCTCTCTCTCTCCCCTCCATGGGAGGCCTAAGAGAAGTGAGAAGGCTGCTGTGTGCAAGACAGAAGAGGAGCCCTCAGCAGACACCTAATCAGCCAGCACCTCAGTCCTGAATTTCCCAGCCTTCAGAACTGTGAGAAATAAATTTCTGTCATTTAAGCCACCCAGCCTGTGGTATTCTGCCTGGCAGGCCAAGCAGACTAAGACACATAGGTCCTGACAGTGTTGTGCTGAGCATCTTAGAGCCTGAGGCAGTAAGAAAAATGCCTGTCTCTATACATGTCTTAATGTTATTTTTTTTTTAATGGTCAATGTTTTCCAGAACATTAAAGGCATTGGAGGAGCATATATTTGTTTCCATGAAAGCCAGGAAACTAAAATTGTAATTAGTTCTGGTTTGGGTTATAAATAGAATATTTAAAATTAAAAGAATGTTGTACATTTTAATATCTCGATTTTACATTTTTTCAATTTTTTTAACACTTTAATGTTCTGGAAAAAACCCTAACCATTAAAAATCTACAACACCATGCAGAGGATACAGCAGTTTTCCTTTGGCCACAGACTCCATGATGGCTTGAGAGGGTGTTGCTCAGAATTCAAAGGCAAGGTTCTTCTGGGGTTTCTTTTATGGCTTGTTTCTTTTATTTTCTTTATTACTGAAGTAATGCATACTCATTAAAAAATAATAATCTGAAGGCAACCACCTGAAGAGGAGAACCAATGGAATACATATCACTCCAATTAACTGGAAGAATGCTAGGGTTCCATCTTGAGTCAGACGTCTATCCATGTTCTACTCTTTGCCCATGAATGCATGAATGTTAAGCGGGAAACTAGGACCCTCTCATGATATTCCTGGAAGAGGGAGCTCTGTTATGGTGCCTGCTGCCTCTCTCCCCACTCTCACTCTTCCCATGGGAGGTGGTTATGGGAGAGGGGCTCATACATGGTACTCAACCCTTCTTCTCTTTGAGAACCTGCCTGTCCACAGAAAGTGTGTTCTGGTAAGTGCAGTTTCTCTGTGGTCTGCCCAGCAGAGGGCAGGCTCCACAGCAAAGGCCACTGTCCTGAGGGGAAAGGAGGTCTTTTTTACTAATATTCCAACAAGTTACACAAGCATGTCTACATACATGCTGTCTCTCTCTCTCTCTCTCTCACACACACACACACGAGAAAATCTCGAAAACCTTAGTTGATTGAAGATATTCAATTTTGCCCAAATGACCTTTTCAATGAAATTTCCATGTGGCCAACTTGTTTTTTGACCACATTATTTTATTTTAATTCATTTTTTAGATGCGGTGTCACTCTGTCACACGGGCTGGAGTGCAGTGGTGCGATCTCAGTTCACTGCAACCTCCACCTCCCAGGCTCAACCATCCTCCCATCTCAGCCTCTTGAGTAACAGGGACCACAAGTGCATGCTACCACACCTGGCTATTTTTTTTTTTTGTATTTTTGGTAAAGACGGGGTTTCACTATGTTGCCCAGGTTGGTCTCAAACTCCTGAGCTCAAGAGATCCACCCACCTCGGCCTCCCAAAGTGCTGGGATTACAGACGTGAGCCACCGCACACGGCCTTGACTATATTCTTTTAAATCAAAAGACCTGGATCCATTCTTACTGAGTCTCCTTCAAATAACTAGCTTTCATCTTCTACTTCATTGTGTATTTATCTGGTAACAAGCAGCTACTGATTGGTTTTTCTTCTCCTGTTGGCCAGCAGAAGGAGTTCTGTGAACAGATCCTCTGGCTCTAAGAAGTCTGGAATTTTCATCTTCTCTCATAGGACCTTGACCCTGAGCTTTAGGTTGTACAAAATATACAGTTCTTGGGGCATTTCATGGCTGTTTTGGTCCCAGGGTGGTTTGTGGATGGGGTTGAGGCTCACCTGTGCCGTTAAGTGGCCAACGCGTCTTACCTGGGAGTGCTCCTGGCTGGGCACAGCGCTCAGACCTGTTGCTGCCATGTATGTGCTGCCAATGGTCTTAATCTTTTCAACTCCACTGAATTTTGGCTTGGAAAGAAGCTGTGAAGCAATGACAACCGTCCAGTTACTCAGCTGGATGCTGACCTGAAGCTGAGCATTTTATAGAGACATTCTCAAATGCTGGTTCACAGTAATGCCGTGACTTGTTTCAACCACTGCGTATGCACCCTTGGGCCCTGGGCTTTTCCAGGAATGAAAACTTCTTGTATTTCATACAGCGCATGTCCTTGGAGGAAAGTACAGCATAATGATTTACTTCCAAGGAACACGAATTAGCGTTCAAACTTTGCTAGTGAAGGAACCAAGATGAATTATGATGCAAATGACGATGGGCTTGAATAAATTTCCTGACTATGTATTTGAAAGGCATAAATATAAAATTATGATTCAATGAGTGAGCTCTTTCTTGCATGGTCAGAATGATTTATGATCAATTATTAGTGCTGAGGACTGGCTTTTGCCCTCTGAGTGCTTGAGGTGGATGGAATAAAGATCTAGAATGGTTGTCATCAGCCCTAGCCTAATATATGTATTAGGAAGAGAAACCAGCTCTCTCTCTCTCTCTCTCTCTCTCTCTCTCTCTTTCCCCCCTCCATGGGAGGCCTAAGAGAAGTGAGAAGTCTGCTGTTTGCAGGACAGAAGAGGAGCCATACGATATACATGTGTGTGTGTGTGTATATATATACACACACACATATATATAAAAATATATATATATATATTCGAGACAGAGTCTTGCTCTGTCACCCTAGCTGGAGTGCAGTGGTGTGATCATAGCTCAGTGCAGCCTCCATCTTCCAGGCTCAAGTGAACCTCCTGCTTCAGACTCCCAAGAGGCTGAGATCACAGGCATACACTACCATGTGCAGCTAATTTAAAAATTATTTTGCAGAGACAGGGTCTCCCTATGTAGCCCAGGCTGGTCTCAAACTCCTGGGCTCAAGCGATCCTCCCACCTTGGCCACCTAAAGTGCTAGGATGACAGGCACAAGCCACCACAGCTGGCCCGAGCCCTACTATTTCTTGTCTTGGAATTAGTTATCAGCGTCCCACTTGACTCCTCCTTAATCTGCTGAGTTAGGCTTTCAGCTGGGATGGAGGAAAGGTAGGGATAAGAACGGAAGCTGTAGGAAGGAAGAGGAATGGGCTTGAACATGAAGGATGCCCTGGAAGGTCTATACCCGCTCAGGAGGGCAGGGCTCAAATGGCGCTGACCGGAGACCAAGAGCGTTTTCTTGCCCCTCCCTTGGATCTCTTGATTTCAGAGGAGATTCCTCCAGGATTACATATCTAATAATTTAAGACAGATGAGCAAATCCCTGTATCACCTATCCACATATCCACTGTCACTCATTCGTTAGTACTGGGGAATGTTTATTTCACTGAGGAGCAGCTGAGACCCCCAGCCGCTATTTGTCATGATGCACCCAGGATCACAGTGGTAATCGCTGACGGTCATTACGTCACCATGAATATCTAGCATCAACCTCACAGTGATGATGGTGGTGACAGAAAGTGCACAGGGCCCACAAGACATTTAGGAGGTTTGCCTGAAACCACCGTGTTATGTAATCTCATCACTGTATTTCAAAATTCCATGAATCATCATTAACATATGCTCCTGGACAGATGTCAATTTTCTTCTATTTTGCAAGATAGTGATAAGAATAGTGTGGCTGCAATATCCTTAAACCAGAGGGGCGTTTGTTCTTACTGGGAAATAGAACACACTATTCTCTATGTAGAAAGTTGAAAAATAACATCTATTTCAAATTCTAAAACAGACACTCTGTCCCTCCTAAAGTATGTTGTATTATCCCCCCATACAGATTATAATTTTAAGAAAATGTCATCCATGCATAGTGCAAGTTGATATCTGACAAAGGCATTGAAGTAGGCACAGACACACCAATAGTCTATTATAATTCATTATCTTTTTATCTAGAAAGGGATGGGCAAGTATTTTACCGCGAATTCAAGCCTTTGTAAAGAATCCACTAGCACACTGGATACACATTTGATTTAACAGATTTTGGTAGCTGTTCCTAGCAGTCATACCAGCTTCAAAAATACAATGTATTTGTCTACCTTAAATTAGTCAGAGACCTAAATAAAGCAAAAGGCTTTAATGCCATCTGCCAGAAATTATGCCAAAGGACAAGTTTTTTTGGGATAGGCCACTATCCTGAAGTAACTTCAAGTGCACAGGTGTGAGACTGAGTGTACTGCTGCCCTTCGAGGGCAACTCTCAGTACCTACATCATCAAAGTCAGCGATGATCTCGTTCAGGAGCCGAAGGCATTCCAAGCCCTCCTTGTTCACGTCGGATTCTGTATAAAATTCTTTGAAATCCGGAATGGAGGCAAACATGACGCAGACGCAGTCATAGGACTGGTGGTATAGCTCCTGCTTGGGAGAAAAGCAAGAGCTGATCACTAGGAGACTGACCTTTAAACAGAAACACTCCACAGGCAAGTGGCTTGTTTATGCCAGGATTCACACAGACATCGCCCAAATGCCTACTCCACTTGCCCCACCCCAGCCGCGGCCCAATCCAGATGCTGCCGCTGCTCTCAGGGGAAAGCTTCTAATGAGCTGGATTCAGGCCACTACCAGTTAAGAAGAGGTGCCTTGCCAGTTAAACCTCTCTGTCATATTGACTTGAGACAATGACAACAGACCACGGAGTTCTGGCTTAGTAAAAAGTGTCCTTTCAACAACTGAAGGGAAACAAAATAATTTCCCAAACTCTCAGATTGTCCTGAAATAACTCATTATGGCTATAGTATTTGGATGGGAGTCTTGATGAATTTTCCTCTTCAGTGTCTCCTGAAAACAGCGTATGGAATTCATCAAGTTACTTCTTATTACACCAGAAAGAACCAATAGAGCTCCTCAGTCTACTTATTTATATTATATTAGACACTGACTATATTTATTCATGATATTCTTTTGTTTTTAAATAGGAAGAAGCTCATAGTTCTTTATCCACAGACATGAGTTAAATTGCAGTGTCTTGTAAACACAATTTCAAGGTGTTTCCATAATTTTCCCAACACAGTGACACCTTCGAATTCAATGAAGGTTCCAGAAAGGAAGAGTTGTTAGGTGGTCTTGGGGGCTAGTCCTAGGTGTGGAGGATCTGCCCTTCCACTGGCAAGGGGTCCTCAGACCCCTGAGATGGCCCTAACACAGGCAGACTAGCCGGGGCCACTGTGGACGCAGTGCAGCATGGGAAATGCTTTCTTCTCCAGGAAAGGTGAGGAGAGTTCTGTTAAACAAGATGGCTGACCTCTGAGGGGAGGGAAAAATGGTTGGTGCTTCCTGTGTGTCTGGCAGGGCGAGGGAATCCATTCTACATGAACATTATCAGTAAGCCCTGCTCTTTGGGGCACCCAGATGAACTCCTTTGCAGAGAGCAAGCACTTAAATAGTATTATAACTCCAAGGTTTGGTGGCACCTCAGAGGAACTGTTCTTTCCCCAGGGAGGTCCCGTCACAAACCCATCAGAGCCAGGGCAACCCAGGTGAAGGCCACAACAGTTTTGAGAAAAAGATGGACTCGTGTCCTTTTCTGGTTCTCAGGACCAGCCACTCTGTAATCCCTACTACTGCCTCAAGATCTGTACAAAGTACATGAACAACGAAATCAAGGTTTTCTTTTCTATTTTGTGCTCAATATGATTGTGCTGGTTTCTTGTGCAGAATTGTGTTTTCTCTCTCTCTGCAAAGTTGCCTTTGTGAACACTCATATCCTCGGTAGACAGCCTATGACAGCCAAGGCACAGCGCTGGCAATGCTGACTGCAGCCAGGGGTCAGAGAACAGGGATGAGAACCCCCTAGGATCTTGTGTGAGTTAAAAATGTCAGTTTTATAAAAATGGTATAAACTCCACTGATGTCCCTGTGCTTGAGGAAAAGGGTGCATCTAGCCAGGGGAGGACATACTTTTTTTTCTTTTTGAGACAAAGTCTCACTCTATTGCCCAGGCTGGAGTGCAATGGCGTGATCTTGGCTCACTGCAACCTCCACCTCGCGGATCCAAGCGATTCTCCTCCCTCAGCCTACTGAGTAGCTGGTATTACAGGTGTGCACCACCATGCCCAGCTAATTTTTTTTATTTTAGTAGAGACAGGGTTTCACCATGTTGGCCAGGCTGGTCTCGAACTCCTGACCTCGTGATCCACCCGCCTTGGCCTCCCAAAGTGCTGGGATTACAGGTGTGAGCCACCGCACCCAGCCAAGGACATATTTTCTATATCCTGCATTTCCCCACTCTCTGCTGACACTGTCCAGAGTGCTCTTTGGGGAATGATAATGATGACAAGAATAAGCACAATAATAGCCAGCACTTACTGAGCGCTCACCACATGGTAGGATGGGCACCTCTCTGAACACTTTAAGTGCATGAACTCACCACAACTACAACCCTGTGAGGCTGGTACTAGAGTTTTCCATCTACAAATAAAGAAACTGAGGCACAGAGGGGTTACATTACTTGCCCGAGGCTGGAGTTATCAAGTCTGACAGTAGAATCCACCCGTGTAAATACTATACTTTATACTTGATCAAGTCTCCGGGATGATCATGGGCTTCACTGCTCAGTTTGGGGGTAGCACAGGTCCTCTGACACTTGCGGGTCCTGTCACTTTACCTTTGTATTTTCCTCTGGAGTCTTTAAGGGTGTCTGGGAGTTGGAGATGATGAAATGCAAGACTGAACTGATGGGCAGTTTGGATCTGACATGTCATTTCATTACACAGGACCAAAATGGGGCTGCACGGGAGAATCTCCAATGGGACTTCCCAGAGGGCAGGTGCCTGGGCCTCCCCACTGACCAAACGACCCTCATCCCCTAGGCTGGGCTCCAAGCGCAGGCATTGTTTTGGAAAGTTCCCTGGGTTATTCTGCTGTTCAGCCTTGATTAAGAATGACAGACTACGTGAGGAAATGGAGCTCAGGGGAGCTGCGGTTGCCACCAAGGCTCTCAGCTGGCTAAGGGGAAGGGCCAGGACCAATCCCTGCATTCTCTGCAGGCCGTGAATGCTTCTGGGGAGCTTGGACTACAAACTGATCACCCACTTTCTTTGGCAGAGTGGTCTCTTGGAAGCTCTGAGGCTCTGAGGGAATGCCCAGGGTGAGCTCAGGTCACTGCTCACCTGGTCCTCAGATTCAGGGCTTCCATAAGACTATAACTACTGGGAAACCAGGGAAACTTCTAGGCTTCTGAAATTCTCTGGAGCCTGTGAAACTTGGAGGGCTGAGAACCATGCACTGAACTCAAGAGAGGTTCCCTCATGTGGTTGCATTGGGTGTGGGGCCAGAGAGGATTGCATGCTGACTGGTAGATGACCTGAGATTGTCTTAGACTTCCAGAGGACCTGGGGGCTGGAGTAGGGCAGGTGGGCAGCCTTTGAAGATAATTTGGAATTCAAGGTCTAGAATGGGTGACCCATGTCAGCATATGGCTACCCAAAAGTATTACTGAGCTTTAGAATTGAAAGTGAGTTTAGACGTCTCCTCAACATTCATTCACATGTAACCATTCTGTTGAACAAGCTCAAGGCATGAAAAAATAATCACAAAGCAACTGCGTTTCTGTGGCCACTACCCCTTTCAGTTTTTGGAGTGTGGCTAGATCTTCCCCATCTTGGACGAACACTCGGGACTACCCTGTGGCCCTGCATGTCACTGTGTGTAATGCAAGGTCCTCTCATCCATAATTAGAGGCCCCAGTCCAAGAAATAGTCAAAACTTGGCAGGGCGCGTTGGCTCACGCCTGTAATCCCAGCACTTTGGGAGGCCGAGGTAGGCAGATCAGGAGGTCAGGAGATTGAGACCATGGTGAAACCCCGTCTCTACTAAAAATACAAAAAATTAGCCAGGCACGGTGGTGGGGGCCTGTAGTCCCAGCTTCTCGGGAGGCTGAGGCAGGAGAATGGCGTGAACCCGGGAGGTAGAGCTTGCAGTGAGCCGAGATCGTGCCACTGCACTCCAGCCTGGGTGACAGAGCAAGACTCCGTCTCAAAAAAAAAAAAAGAAAAAAAAAAGAAATAGTCAAAACTCTTGCCCTCGTTGTACCTGTGGCTTGTGCCCTTCCCCAGTGTGGGCCTTTTGCAAGTGGAGAAGGGGGATCAGTTGGTTTCTACTCTCTCTCCACCACTCCTCCACTCTTCCTAACTTGCTAGCTGGGTTTTCCAAACCATCCAGAATGGAGAAGAGGGGAAGGAGGAAGAGGCTGCGAGGCAGGACAGCTTCCTATTAGCTGCATCCTGCTCCCTGAATACTCAAACCTGGCTTTCCTCCTGTGGATGTTTTCATGGGTTTTTGGAAGACTCCCTGCCATTTCGCCCATCCCTGGACATCCCCTCAAACCTGAGTCTTCTATGATGGAGGCCATGCACATCCCTCCTGCTCCTCACTACCCTCTCAGGTCCGGGCTTTCTCTGTGGAGGTGCCTTCACCTCCCACTGCCTTCCCCCCGTCACCCAGGCAGCTTTGTAACATTGGATCTAAAATAACCCTACACCAATTCTCTTTTTCTTGCTTGATCCTTGGGCAACACTGAGCACCCTTTGCTGTCCAAACAACTGACAGTCCAGCCATGTCCCAAACCACAGCTCCCCACCCTGTGTGCCCAGATGCCCCATCAGCACCTGCATTCAGTGTTTCCAAGTATCAGAACCTGCCTGCTATTGGTGTCCCCCAGTTGGAGATGCTTCCCAGGACCACTCAGAGACTCAAGTCATGGGGTGCTCCCAGGCTGAGCAGTTCTGGCCTGTTCACAGGCTGGAAGTGAGGGGGGATCCCCACCTTCCCCTCTAGGAGGGGGCTCATCCCCACTACATTCTACCCAAACCCTCTTTCAACCTCTAGTCTTCTGGCCAATTCATAAGCTCCCTGCAGGTCAAGGAAGGCGTTTGTAAGCTCTGCACACTGTTTAATGCCTCCTTTGGAATAAGAGAGCAAGCGTCTCTTAGTGTCGCAGGCTGAAATTCCCTCTGACGCCCTGTTACACACACACGTGCCCTATCAAAGGGCCTGCTGTGTGCCAGACTTCATACCAGATGTTAGGGACACAGAGGAAAAGAACACAAGCCCTGCCCTTAGGGAGCATGAAGTCTAGTTGGAGAGACAGAGAAAATCCAGAAAACATAATAAAGTGCAGTTGGTGCCGTGGGCCCAGGTGTGGAGGCGTCTGGGGCTCTCCATCCAGGTGGGCATGGGGGTTGGAGTGTTCTAGAAAACATTCAAAGCTGCCACCGGCGCTCAGGTCTCCCACCTCCCAGACCAGACTGGTGCTTTGTCTCACTGACTTGGGCTGCATAGAGGCTTTGGATCGTCCACGTTTCCCGAGTTGATCTATGTGGGAACCATTAAGCACCTGGTGTCCCCAACTGTCAGTTAATGCCTAATTTACTCAGGGGAGTCAAATGACTAGAAAGCACAGAAGCGTCTATTGAAACCCCAAGGGCATGCTAGCCTGACCCTCCTGCAGAGGACGCATGGGCATAGAGCTTAAAGCTTAGCACTGTTGAGTGATCTGCCTGGTCGTCACTGGGAGGGTTCTCACCAGCAGAAAGGGAGGTGCTGTTTGCACACGAGGGGCATTTCCCAAATTTCTGTGGTGGCATCCGTGGCTCATGTGGCTTGTTTTGATCAGGCATTGGCTCTCTCCGAATGAGGATGTCTGGCTCACAATCCTCTACCACCCGGGGACTTGGCACGGGGTCGATTTGGTGACAAAATGCAGTCTTCTCCCCAAGTGATGAGAGCTGGCTTTGATGCCCATTGAAGGGGCTTTTCAGAAATGTTCCTGCCACACACAGAGGTGGGGAGAACAGGCTTCCGAAACAGAGAAGGCTCCCATCTGGGTGCACAGAACTCTCCTGATGAGCCTGAGGGTTGTGTGGGCTGAATCTGGCCATGACAGTTAACAGCTGATGGAGAAGCTTCAGGAAGTTTTAAGTAACACAAGTGCCCAGGAGAAGGAAGAGGCACTGCAAAGCCAGTGTAGACACAAACAGCCAGCCCTATGCCCATGAGCCCGAGCATAGGCCTATGAGCACTTCTTCATTGAAATAAAACCTTTTCAGAATTGATTGTTACAGCGATTACATCATTCTTGACTCCCTATTTCTGAAGGGAAATTAATTTCCTTTTGTGCATTGATGCAGTGGGTAGGAGAGCAAAAATGACATGATCTGTGTTAATGCAGGTCTTGGCATAAGCTGTGCCATTTTCCAAGCATTGTTCCAGAAGCCATGGAGTGGAGGCTATCCAAAGACGCCCTGCCCTGGACTCAAAAAGTCATCAGCAACCACAGGTTGTGCCACAGAGAGGAATGGAACTGCCTCCCTGGTCTCTCCCAGAGTCCTGACCTGTCAGTTTTGGTCCCAGGAAGTCGTTCATCCTCAGGGCAGTGATTCTGCAGGGAAGCAGCCCCCATCCTGTTTATGCATGAAGTATTTCACTAGTTAAGTCAGAAAGGATGCAGGTATAAGCTGATCCCAGGCAGGGAAATAAAACATGACTTCAAGTCCTTTTTTTTTTGGCTTATAGGTAGACCTTGTTGTATTGCGTCTTGCTTTATTGCAGTGCACAGATATTGCATCTTTCACAAAGTGAATGTTTGCTGCCACCCTCCCTTGACCAAGTCTAATGGCACCATTTTCCCAACAGCATGTGCTCATTTTGTGTATCCATGTCAGCATTTTTTGCAATACAGTATTTTAAAGTTAAGGTATGTACATTTTTTTTTACACATCATGCTATTGAATACTTAAAACATACAGTATAGTGTAAACAATCTTCACATGTGCTGGGAAAGCAAAAATTTGTGACTCGCTTGATAGTGATATTCACTTTATTGCAGAGGTCTGGAACCAAACCGGCAATATTGGTAAAGTATAGCTATACTTGCTTTTGCCAAAGTCTTGTTTTCCTGTATTATTTCCAGAAGACTCACAGAGCAGTATCACCAAGAGTTTAGTGGAAATGGATTAGTGTGGTGGATGCCGGGGCAACCCACACAAAGGGGCTGAGGGCCTGCTCCCATCCACCCCATGCCCCAGAAGCCTCCCCCGGGGCCTCTGCATTCAGAGGCACTGAGCACTCAGCACCAGGGCTTGGCCCACCCTGCTGAGAGGGGGCTGGGAAGGCAGGCACTGCCCACAGTGCTTTTTATCCAATGCCAGGAACAGGAGCGAAGTGATTACATTGGGTTTTGTTTTCCACTTTATTCAGGCTCTAAAAATGTTGGGCAGGAGCCCTTTCTGAAAGCTTTTGATCAATTCCCAGGGGCAGTGATTCTCAAGTTTTGCATGAATCTGGGATATTTGCTTAAAAGATAGCTAACAGTATTTACTACATGCCATGCACAGTTCTAAGAGCTTCATCTAAATTATTGCTTCAAAAATTGGTAATGGTCTCTGAGAGGACTCTGAGGCCCCATAGCCAAGAGGTGCCAGGGCTGGGACAGATGCTTTGCTCTCAGTCACCTCTCAGGGCCCAGGAGGTCAAGGAAGGCTTGTGTGGGGACCAGTAATAGCTTGTTTAGCAGGTGCTTCACTTTCAGAAGCACTGCTCTTGTCTGCAGGGACTTCTTTGGTCCCAGCATCAGCCACACTCTGCCATGCAGTTTCAGTAAGGGGTAGGGCTTCTGCTTGGGGAAACCTTAGGGAGGAAAAGAGCTCAGGCAGGATGTCAGTATTTGGTCCTGACACTGTAGAGGGGACAGAAACCTTGATGATAGCTACACTCTTAAACAGCATGGGCACCGTTATCATTCAGCTGTGCAAGGCCACACAATATTAGCCCCACCTGGCCTGGGATTGCAAGGTTAATATTACATCATTAGGTCAAGGAAATAGATTCTTCTGTCCAGTGAGGAGGCTACTTTAGGGCAGCAGGGTCCGATGGCCACAGGAGACATTCCACAGAAGGGAGGGGCACGACTTTGCTATGCTTTATGCACGCAGGTGGCTCTTCTTATAACACCCTCATTATGTGTTTTCAGAAACAAACAAAACTCTCCCTTTCTGAGACTCACTGTGGGAACTCTGAGAACTTTTGGCAGGGGGTTGGTGCCTCTCTTTCTTGCTCAGGCCCTTTGTGTGGGCTCTGTTTTGCATGCAGTGCTGTTCCCATGGGGACTGAAGCCTCCAGAATCTCCCCACACTCACTGTTCCCGCAACTGGCTAGCAAACCTCCCCTGGGGGAGTACAGGGTCCTTGAGGAGACGGCATAGGTCTGCTCTGATTGTGGTGGGGATTGGGGGCTCCTTTTAATAGTTTAGTCCCCAAGTCTTACAATGGCTGCTAGAGTAGCCATCACCCCCATTGCTCACCCTATTAGACAGAAATTGGTAGTAACATTTGAAATGTTACAGCCAAGGGAAGATCTGCATTGTGTGATTAAGTACAGAGAACCCTGCAGCCCGCCAGCTGAGCAGAATGACACGATCATTTCATTTCCCAGCATCACAGTGGGAATGATGATGCTCTGATTTAAGGTTCAGTGTCCACTCTTCTCCCTTCCAGAGAACATGTCAGGTCAGCAGCGAGACTGCAAGCCTACCAGGCAGGAATCACTGGCCTTGAGCGTCATCCAAACACCCTTGGCATGCCTGTTATGGAACGTGGAGCCATCCATGCTGGTCCAAGTCTGAAGAGCTCTGAAACCAAGCTCTTTCATTCTCCTATAGGGCTGTAGGCTGCCCCCAGTCAGGTGTAGATTTGAGGACCCCGTGTTTCCCGAATGAAGGAAGGAACCATCTTCAGGTGTTGCAACTGGAAGCTTGGTGAACAGGCACTGATCATCTGCAGGGGGATTTATATCAATGCTTAAAGACAGGTCCCTATGTACACACAGGGCTACAGTGGCTGTGATGACACCCCCAAGGGGTTCACCTTCTTTATTTGACAAATACAGAAACAAAGCCCAGAGCTGGCTTCATCTAAATGTTCCCATTCCTGCTTTGCTCCTGGAAAGTTTCCGAGCTGCCCTTGCAGTGAGGCAGTGCCAAAACCAGGGCTCACCCCAGGTCCCGAGTCCCCACTCCGGGCTCCTGTTAGGCCATGCTGCCTGCCCCACTACTCGGCTTTACACCATGGAGCTCGCAGGGTGGTGAATGCTACAGGAGACACTGTGTGTCTTTTTTGTTGTTGTTGTTGAGATGGTGTCTCGTACTGTTGCCCATGCTGGAGTGCAAAGGCACGATCTCGGCTCGCTGCAATTTCTGCCTCCTGGGTTGGTGCGATTCTCCTGCCTCAGTCTCCTTACTAGCTGGGATTACAGGCACATACCACCATGCCCGGCTAACTTGTTTTTGTATTTTTAGTAGATACAGGGTTTCACTATGTTGGCCAGACTGGTCTTGAACTCCTGACCTCATGATCCGCTTGCCTTGGCCTCCCAAAGTGCTGAGATTACAGGCCTGAGCCACCGCACCCAGCTGACACTGTGTGTCTTTAACCCAACAGCAGCACTCCTTAGGAAACTTGGAGGAAAATGTCACGTCACCCTCAGGAGCACCAGAGGGTTGTGCAGTGGCATGAAGGTCCCTGGTACACAGCAGGGCCACAGGGGAAGTGGAGGAGTCACTGTGAGCTGCCAAGACCCGCACTTTGCTGCTGTCTTCCCTCTCATGCGTATCCCACCTGTGTGGATGTGGGTCCCGTGCACGCCTCTGTGAAATGCCCGCCTCACCTGGAGGACTGCAGTGCGAAGGCACCATGCAGATGTCCCTCAGCCTGCCTCCAGCAACTGGAAGGCAAGGCACCATGCTTCTTCTTTTATGGATGAGGACGGCGAGGCTCGGACAGGGAAGTAACCAGCTCACGTTCACAGGAACAGACAATGTTGGGAGTAAGATTTGAGGCCGCACTGTGTAGCTCTAGGTTTTATTCTCCTTCCCCATCTTGCCTTTCCTTATTATTTCCAAGGAGGGTAACTGTATTCTGATGCTTGCTTAGAATAAGCCAAGCAAACAGGAAAGAGCAGAGAGAACCTGCTACTCCTGGAGGTCTGGCCCAGGGAGGCTGTCAGGACATGAGACAGGGCTCTGCAGGGCTGTGAGGCTGAACCCTGGGGCCAGGGTACCTTCTGTGCTCCCCACAGACCTTCACAGAGCTTCTCGAGCTCCAGAGCTTTCCTCTGAGCCCATGTCTAGGAAGGGACCCTCCTATCAGCTCCCAAATTCTTTTAAAAATGTTTATTTATTTATTTAGAGATGGAGTTTCGCTCTTGTTGCTGAGGCTGGAGTGCAATGGCACGAGCTCGGCTCACTGCAACCTCCACCTCCAGGTTCAAGCAATTCTCCTGCCTCAACCTCCCAAGTAGCTGGGATTACAGGCACCCGCCACCATGCCCAGCTAATTTTTTTTTTTTTTTTTTTTTTTTTTTTGTATTTTTAGTAGAGACGGGGTTTCTCCATGTTGGCCAGGCTGGTCTTGAACTCCTGACCTCAGGTGATCCAAACGCCTTGGCCTCCCAAAGTATGAGATTACAGGCGTGAGCCACCGCGCCCGGCCTCAGCTCCCTTATCTCCCTTTGCTCTCTTCCTGCCTGCTCCAGTGGGCTCTTCTCAGGTCTTGAATTAGGCACTTTCCTGGTGCCTGTGGAAAAGTAGCCCCTTGGAGCCTGAAATGTTCTCTCCCCGTTCCTCTCTCCCCCTGGCCCCCGTCTCCCAGCTAGTTTCTAGCACTTTATTTCCAGATTCAGAAGCCACTTCCTCACAGTGGCAGCCTTTCTGGAGTACCATATTTACATCCCAGTGTCCTTGGAGATAACAGGATCCTATCCCCAGGAGGCGCCCACGGAGGATGAGGCCACCTCTAATCCCATTCATCTCTGTATCCTGGGCCACCACCAGCCTGGCTACAGGGCAGGGGAAACATGGGGACCTTGCTGAATTTAAAAATGGGCTGGAGACTCCTGTTAACGAGAACAGAGGGCCCTTTAATAGACATTGTAATTTTATTACCTGTGATCAATAGGAAAATCAGGTGCTGAAGAACCCACCAAATGTAGTAAACACCAGGAGAAGAGATAGGAAAGCCAGTGGGCCATGAGACTTGTTGTGTAGCCCTGGAAGGCCCACTGTGCCCTGAATATTTCCAGGAAGATGGGAGTGGTGATGTCTAGCACCTCATCTGCCACCTGGCACCTTCTTCTTAATGCCAACTTCAAATCCGCTACAGAAAAATACTGTTCCAAGGCTTCTCACTGCAGGTTGCTTTGTGTTCTGGTATCATCCAGGTTGAGCTTATCCATTAAGGAGTTCATCCATCTACAGGTGACCCCCACCTCTTTTGCGCATGCACTCCCATGCCTCAGTGAAAATGTCCTAAGAACAGGGGTTACACCTCTGAAAAAAAAAATCTCAGGACCCCAAACTCACTAAAAGTTAAGCTTGGGAACTGAGTCATGCAAGAAACTACCTGCTTTTTGTTCCCACACGGATGGCTGCAACATAGAAGGGCCACGGAGCACCCCAGGTGGCCTCCCTCACAACTGCTCAGGAAAAAATTCCTTGTGGGCCCTGAAATCTTTCAGAATAGACACCCCCCCAAAAAAAAACTGACCAGAAAACAGAGTTCTGTTGACTCTTATCCTGGCAATGCAAATTAATAGCTGATCTTCACAGGTACTGGACAAAGACAAGACCAGAAATCATCCCTCGGCTCAAGCAGAGGAAGGCATAATGGGCTTTTCCTGACTCCTCTCTTTTCATATGGAAAATGTGGTTTCAATGAGCACTAATCAAGCCTCACAAGAATGTAACCATCTCTTGTCTACCCCGTTTCTCTTTTTATTCCTTTTCCTCCTTCCCCTACTGTCCACTCTTTCCCCTTTCAGTATTGGAGTCTTCAAAACTCTCTTTGGGAAAAGCACAGGCCAGGAATCCTAGTGTAACTTGTGTTTCTTTTTCCTGGGCACCATCCTCAACCTTGGAAAATAAACTTCTAACTTGATTGAGACCTGTCTCAGACACTTCTTCGTTTACACATCTCAGACATCTGGGAAACACCACAGAAATGAGCGCAGGGCTTTGCGTACTGTGGATGCTCAGATACATGTTTCTCACGTTAAGTCCAAATGTAGACATATCTGCTTTCTCTTGCACTTCAGCAATATTAAAGACATCTCACAACATCTCTTCAAAACCCATTTCAATATTTAACTGACATTGTAGTCTTTGCAACTCTAGCTAATCCATTTGGATAAACACTCCATGAAATTCCCATTTCTATCCACTCTAATGGATGGACTCAAGTCTTTGGTCTGCTCTTGTGTAGATAACTCCTAAATCCTGTCACACTCACTGTGTATCTGATATCTTTGAAATTCTAAGAGCCTTGGAAGGCTGTCAGGGAAGCTGAGTGTGGGGAAACAGGGGGCGTGTGGGAGGCATGGTTTAACGTTGCCTCTTGGTTTGAGCCTCCATTGCGTGCTGGTAAGGCAGGCCTCCTCCCACAATGGGGAGAGAGCAGTGGCTTCTTTGGAGGCATATTTGGGATCCTAGTGCCTCATAAAAGACATTCAGAACTTTACATGATTGGGGAAAAAATCTCTAATAATGAATCCACCTCCAGACTCAGACTTTTAGAGGTCATTCTAACCCACTATTCTCAACGGATATCTCTACAACCAATCAATATCTCCTTGAAAACTGAACAATTCAAGCCAATCTTGGCCAATTTGAACACTCAGATGTGTGAAGTACTGCAGCCTTTATGTCACTGAAGAAGCTTTCAGCCCTCACCCAGGTCATCATGGCATCCAGCCCCCTCCCCCAGCCCCCAGCCCCCCTGGTCTGACCTCATTCTTCAGGCTCCTGGCCAGGAAGTGCTCAGCCACGTGCGCGGGAAGCACGTTCTCCAGCAGCACGCGGTTCAGGTTCTCCATGGTCTCTATCTCCTCCCGCTCTTTTTTGAATTTGTTCTTCCATAAGAAGTCTAACCTACAGTAATATTCATTCTGTTACAAGAGGACACAGAGGTAAAGAAACAATAGGCATCTTGTCCTGCCAGAGAGTGGAGGTTTTAAAGAGAAAACAAAAAGAACAAAATGAAACCGAAAAAAGAACCCCCAAACAGAACTTCCACCCTCCCCATAAAGCCCTCTGTGTCCCTGAAATGTCCTTCAGTCAACCTCTGACATGGATTTGCAAAAAACAAGAACCAGCCTCAGAAACAGGGAAATCAGCTATATGGAGGCTTAAATTCAAAGCGCCATTAAAGCTTCCTGCAAAGTTATGCTACTAAAAGAGGGCTCAAATTATTTTTTGAAAAGAGGCAATTGTAGAATATAAATGATGAATACATGAAAAATACCTCTGTAGAGAGAGTGCATTTTTTGATGATTTGAATAAAAACTGTATTGTTCGTTTATGGCAGTTTGCCTTTAGCATTTGTAAATTAGTTTTTCCCTAACACAAATTGTATAATTATGTAATCATTGCAAAATATGGATTTTTCTTCCACTTGGGATTGTGCTGTTCTGACAGAATGCCATTCGTTACATTTAGAGAAAAGTTCATTTTGATATTAATTAAGATAGTGCCTGTTAGTAAAAACCTGTGTTCATGCTTTATAATGTATTAAAATATAATGTATTTTAAAAGTAGTTATTACTAACATTGTAGGAATGGAGAGGCCCAATTACTGACAAAGAGTCTTTTGGGTCTTGGCATCATTTTGTGCCTCCTATGATGTAAATACTTTAATTTAATCATGAAATAGTCTTGAATGGATCTTCCTGTAATAGAAGGGCTTAGTGGAGAGTGTGTATTTCACACAGATAGTCACTTATTGACAAATAAATGCAAAGAAGAGCTAACTGCAAGTTTTTGGTTTGCTTTGTTGAGTTGATTAATTCTACCAATGACAGTACAAAGTAACACAAAACACACACACATGCACACAGATGGCCTCTCATGCACAAATGGGAATTAAAAAAATTTAAAATCCACATTTTGAAATTTGAAAGAACGATGATCATTCATTAGTTATGTTTGATTCAAATTATCTGTCATACATTAGGAAAACTCCTCCTCTGGTGTGGCATTTATGTTTATCTCATATAGCAAGGCATTTTCAAAAAACTGCAAAAAAGATATTTTAAAAGTTTGTTTATATTTAGCCAGACATGGTGGCTCATGCCTGTAATCCCAGCACTTTGGGAGGCCAAGGTGGGTGGGTCACTTGAGGTCAGCAGTTTGAGACCAGCCTGGCCCACCTGGCAAAATCCCGTCTCTACTAAAAATACAAAAATTAGCCGGGCCTGGTTGTGCGCGCCTGTAATCCCAGTTACTCAAGAGGCTGAAGCAGGAGAATCACTTGAACCCAGGAGGTGGAGGTTGCAGGGAGCAGAGATTGAGCCACTGCACTCCAGTCTGGGAAACAGAACGAGACTCTGTCTCAAAAACCAAAAACAAAACCCCAAAAATAAAAGTTTGTTTATATTTAAAGTTTCACGTTCATGCCAGATTTTCCACACCATGGACTGATAGAAATTATGCTCTACATTGACTAGAAAAGCCTTCTCACTTGAAGAATGGATTTAAAAAAAAAAATAAATCAGTGGTGTGACTGGCTTCAAACTAAAACGATAGATGCAACAAGTGGTGGGGGCATTGAGAAGACAAAGGTGCACACTTCAAATTAGACAAAAGTGAAGCATGAGATGAAACCACCTCCAAGGGAGCAGTTAAGGCAGCAAGTCCAACCCAAGTGAGCATGAAAGGTTTCCATGCGCCATGCTAGGATGTTGCTCAGGTTTTCAGAGCCATTGTTATTGCATAACAGGTAAGCAGTTTGTAAGTCTCCTACTAAAAAAAATCAGAGTATTTTGGAATACTCAGAGTATTTCGGTTCAGCTGTACTGAACCGAAATGACATTTTGCCAAATCTATTTATCTATCTACCTATCTATCTACCTACCTACCTTTCTATTTATCTATATCCATCTATCAATCATCTATCACCTTCCCAAGCAATGCAATCTGTTTAGAATCCTCTGTCTTATATGTAAGTAGCTGGCACATTAGCAGCTTGTATGAAAGGCCCCCTCAAAAAAGACTTAAAAAATCCCCAATCAAATGGAATGCATTGAATAATAATCCTCCAAAAGATAGTTCCAAGTCCTAACCCTTGTTATTTGCAAATGTGACCTGATTTGGAAATAATGTCTTTATGAATGTGATTCAGTTAAAGATCTCAGGATAATATCATCCTGGATCTAGGGTTGGCCCTAAACCTCAAGACGGGTGTGCTTACAAGAGAAAGGAGGGGGGATTTGACTCAGAGACATGGCGGGAGGCCATGCGCAGGCGTCTAGCAGAGGCCAAGATGAAGCCCCTGCCTGGGTGACTCAGGGAGGGCAGTGCTGCAGAGGAGACAGAGGATTCTGTGTGCAGGGGAGGAACAGGGAGAGACACGCAGGCTTCCTCAGCTTCGAGAGCCTCCCATCCCTCGGATTGTCACCCACCTCTCGGATTCTGCCTGGGGCTACTCTACAGGTTTTCAGGGGCCCAGATCCCATGAAGAGACACCGAATTTGCTTTTCACTGGCTCTATCAACAGTGAGTGAGACAGAAGGAAGAGCCCAGGAGAATCCTCCAGGACATGCCTGGGACCCCATGACCCTCCCTGCTGGGGCTCTCATCTAGCACAGCCTCAAGTGCGGTTCTGGGATTTTCTGATTCTGAAAACAACCTGAGGAACTGGAGGGCTTCACATCTTTCTACGTAGACAGAAGAACCAGTTACTGGGCTGGAGTACAGGGCAGTTGGTGACCCTGTAGATTCTTGGGTTCTAAGCTCTCCTACAAAACAACAGCTTCATTTTGAGGTCATGTAGACTGTCCCCTGGTTTTATAGTATAAATGTATCCCACCTCAATGTGCTGCTGTTTAAGCTCTGGTGAGACACTAAGCTTCTTTCTTTTTCAAAAGAGACTCCTGAGTTGGTTAACACATCTGTCATAAACTAGACTTTAGTACAGCAAGTAGTACTGTACCTGTTGCACAAGAGATGTGTTATGTTTTCATCAAGGCTACTTAGATACCTAAAGCAATATTTAGTATACTGATTTGCTCAGAAAGCAAACATATCTCCATCATTTCAAAAAAGATGGTCATGGAGCAGGAAAAATAACAATGAAAATAAGTTGCAAAATGCATATACTATCATTTAATAAACCAATCAGGAAATACAGTAACTGAGGCCATGAATGCTTTACTTATGGCACTTGAAAAATCTTATTTCCAATATGGAGTGTTTTGTGATATACCTCCCCTCCTTTCGGGGAAGGGAGTACTAAAGCACTGGATCACAGACTTCAAAGTTCTTACCCAGAAGACTTGGGGCCTTAGTAAGTCATTCACTCAATGATTTTGGATGGCAGGTCAGCCTCCTGGCTCACCTTGGTATTTCCCACGGTGTCTTATATAGATTCGGTGATTTATAGCTGGTGTTAAAGAATGGTTATGAAGAATGGTAAATCCTTTAGAGGGAGTAATAATTTTTCTAGGCCTCTAGATGTAAATATTACTTTTTGCTACACTAAAGACAAAAATGGAATGACTCCCTATGAGACTGGTATCAACCCAATTGTGTAAAATTGGTGCTCAATCATAATATTGAACACTTTTGATTATTTATCTTAATTAGAGGGTGATGGATCAACTGTCAGCCATTGGACTTAACCATAATTATGTAGTGGTACTGAATGTGTATCATCTCAACGACCAATAACAAAGTTGGGAGAATTTAATTTGATACGAGTTTCTTAAAATTTGCTGCTGTGAAGGAATCTGAGAGATGATTCTAGCAGGAAAAAGCATCCCCAGTATGAAATGGAGAAACAGGTGATCCCACAGAGGGGATGGCTGCATTGTTTTCTGAGAAATGATCATCTAGGTGATATTATTCAAGGAAGCGCAATTCTCTCACATCTAAATTATAAAGTACTCAAGGGAGAGCATGCCTGCCATATGAGTGAGAGCAGAAAGACGGCCAGTCGTGAGAAAAGAAAAATGGGTTGCAGGAGAAACCAGGGAAAAAGAACCGGATATGGTGCAGGTTGTCAAAACTGCAAGCCAAAGAATGCAGAACAGAGAAAATGCAAGAGGGGTGGTGGGGTGGGAAGAAGGGACCTCAAACAGCTTTGCAGCAGGACAGGACAGCTCGGTGCTAGGGAGATGGATGAGGGCTGCACCATGAGCTCCTACGGAGGATGCAGCTCACACTGCTTGGGAAGCTAGAGGACAGTTGTCCCGGACTGCTGGCCTGACAGCCAGATCCAGACTTGGTCCAACTGTCTATGCAATTACCAACAGCTTTTGGGTGGGGAGAACTGGAAGCCAACTGGAAGCCAGACCCAAACTCATAAGTATAGTGTACCTCTTAGATATTGGGCAGATTTAATGGAATTGGCATTGCTTCTTCATGGGTTCGTTCCAAATACATAAATCACTGCTTTTTGTTTGTTTCACACCACGCTTCATAGAACTTAAAACAGACTGTGGACGAGGCAGAGGTGCTTGGCTTCAGATGAGTCTTGTAGTCTTTGGGCAACTGTCTTTGTTGAAGGCAGAGGAAGAATAATTGTCTTTAAAAATCTTGCACCCACAGCCTCTGTGGGAGACCAGAAGGGTTGGAGGGACCAAAGAAGGAAGAACAGTTTCATTTGCATTGCAAAATAAAACTTTTTAACAGGGGATCATATTTCTAGGAATGATTGCAAATGACAGCAAAGGTATTCAGGCCCAGTTCAAACAAGTGTGCTACATATTCTGAAATGCAAATGAAAGCCCTAGTCAAGGGGAGATTTTTTTTTTTTTTTCAAATAGTGTCAGTTATTGAAGGAACACTTTTGTAGGCTTACAAAAACTACAAAATTTGTTTTGAGATTTAACAGGAAATTAACTGATTAAAATTTTGGCCATTCATAACATTTGCCTTTTGTGGAAAATACGAAAGATATTTTTCCTTTTGTCTATATCGAAGCATCCACACCCTGTACTAACTAGTTTTATCTTCAGTGATAAGATGATTCTAATTCTTAGACGTTTGTTTCCAAGAAGATTAACTACAATGCACAGCAAAGCACTATTAATACAGCACTTTAGAGAAGGTATACATACATATATATAAACAGACTTCTTACCTGTCTACCCAGAACAAGCAGTGTGATGAAGAATATAGAGAGAGACACAGAGCCCATGGTCTTCAGGTCTTTCCAAATGCCTGGTCTATTAAAAAACAGACAGACAAACAGACAACAATGCAACAAAACAACACGCATACAGGACTTAGAATTTGAATATCAACAAATATCAGATTCTCTAGTGCCTGTCTACATCATATACCAGCCAAACACAAGTTTCAAATCTCCTTCCAAACCCAGCTTGCATTAAAACAAAACAAAAATCCCTATTCTGAGAGCACAGTAAAATCATACAGACTTCCTACTTTATATCAAGCTATACCAAATATGAAAAGAAGACATACAAGAATATTAACATTTTCTTTATACTTCTGGGATCAGTATGGGTAATTGGATCGATGGTTTCTTCAATGTTTTCATCATTACTCTCGGAAAGAGACAGTATGCTTGAAATGAGTAATCACGTGAGGTATAAACATGAAGCAGGGAACTTAATTTCTGCAAGCTGAATTACACAGTTTCATATAACTTTCAAGCAGTCATCCAATCTTATTCACTCTTTCATATGATTTTGTATCACAAAGGCATAACAGAGATGAAAATTTTGGGTACACTGCCTGAGTGACCTCAGGTTCAAGTTTATAATAAATGACATCAGTCATTCATCCCTGCCAAGATGTCACTGCACTGGGTGGGCTCCCCCAATCCTCACTATCACATTCCAGGCAGTGAGCACCCACACATCCTTCAAATGCTGACATGCGAACATTACATAGGACTGTAACTAAGACCTGAAAAATAAAAATGGATGGTGCATGGACACCACGTCACATAAGCAGCATCGATGGCATTTGATCAACTACAAACAGCAGGTCATCACTTTCTGCTTGTGTGTCGTCCTTGTTTTTTTTATTTTTCCAGCTTCTCTGTGGGGGGTTCAAGGACAAACGAGATAACAAGAGGCTTTGGTGTAGTATTAAAAGCCCAGGTGGGCTTTAAAGCAAGAGAGCCTGGGTTTGAATCCTGAGCTATAGGACCTTGCATAAACCGCTTCAAACGTCACTTTCCCCATCAGTCAAAGGTGGGTACCAACCCCTACCCTGCAGGCTGTTTTAGCCACTACATTAAATACTTATATCCCTGGCACAGAGCCTGACACATAGGAAACTCTTTCCAAATGATACTTGTGATTTTTAACATTAATTACAGAATGATAAGGAAGGGGAGTGGGGTGAGGCTAAGAAACTAGAGAAAAAGATAAGGAAACACAGACTGGAGAATATTATTAACAGAAAGAAAGACTCAAGTGCAAAGAAAAGGTGGATTCCTGCAGGAATGAGGAAACAGAATTGCCTGGTCCCAGTGGCTTATGGGCTTAGAGCCACAGAGAACTCTCCAGTAAGGTTGTGCTTGCATTAGGAGTTCTTTCCTCCCCACCAAACCTGCCGCAGCTGGAGGAATCTGAGCTCGTGAAACTTAAGGAGGTCACCATTTCTCTCTGAGAATGAAGCTGGGGAGCAGTGCTGCCTTCCTGTTTCACTGGCTTTGATTTTATAAGATGAAGTTGCTCCTCTCTGAGCCTATGACTGCGGTGTCCAACAGCACAGCTGAAGTGACCGATGGGTGCAGATGTCTAAAACCAATTCTGACTCTGACTTTCATGAATTTTAAACTCTTTTTACCCTATATTGACCATGCTCATGCTATATTGAATAGTGAAAGTGGTACCACACAGCTAACATCCTACGAAGCTAATGTAGGCTGAGTTTTTAATTTGCATGCTGCTTTGTGAATATCACATTACTTTACAATTCCAAGGGGCCAGAAAAAGCATCTATGACATCCCCTTCTTCTACCCACCACCCTCATAATTCCTAAACTAAGAGTAAATCTCAGGCCAGGATTTATAGGAGCTTCATTAGTGCAACAAATCAGAACGCAAGTCCCCTTTGCATTTCTAACTAAAGGACCAGATGCCCCAAACATACAGAGCCAGCTTAGGTCCCTCTCACTGACAGAGACATAGGTAGGATCCTCTTAGACAATTCAAGACCTCGCTGGGTTTTCAGTTAATCAGACAGAAAATTCACACAAGCAACCTATTGGGAGAAATCCTGTCTGGGGAGTCCTCACATTAATGCATTTGAATCTTGGTTTATGGGGGTAGAAATACCCTGCTCACCCATCTCCCAGATCTTGAGTCTTCCTGAGGAATAGTGGTGGGTGGAGGGGGAGCTTGGAGGAAGCTAGACCAGCAGAGGCTCTCCCTGCAGGACTGGGGAGTGGATTTGAAAGTGCAGACCTAAATGGATCTCAGGAATCACGAGGCACGAGCAGCCCACAGAGCCAACTGGCATACCAAAACACGGCTGCCTTTTTCTCTTCTGAAGTTCTCTGACAACTACTAGGGACTCCATCTGGCTTTTCTGGATTTCACTTGGATTTCTGAAGACTTCTTTCATTCTGTTAGCAAAAGAGAACTGCCAACTCCTACTGAAGGACTTCTCTCTTGTGTGGGCCACTTGTGGATAGATGCTGTTAGGGCCCCTATGGTTTCAGTGACATTTCTCCACCGTAGATCAGTTCCTAGATCACCTCACTCTTTGTGTGTCCATGAGAAAGGTGGTGAGAAGGAGGGGCATGGAGCATGGTGGGAGTCAGGGAGAGGTACATTAAAATCCCAGGACATCTTTCTGGCAGAGTAGTCAGTTGTGTTGATCTCTGAATTAGTTTCCTAGAGTTGCTATAACGAGGTAGCATAAACTAGGTGACTTAAAATAACACAAATGTATCATCTCAGTGTTGTGGGGGCTAGAAGTCTGACAGTAGGATGTTCTCAGGGCCATGTCCTTCTGAAACCATTAGGGAATGCTTCCTTGCCTTGGTCTCACTTCAGGTAGTTTGCTGGCCATCATTGGCTTTTCTTAGCTTGCCACCACATGACTCCAATCCCTGCCTTCATCATCACGTGGCATTCCTGTGTGTCTGTCTCTTCACCTGGCCATCTCCTTAGGAGGGCATCACTTATACTGGATTAGGGGCCACCCTCCTTCAGCATGACCTCATCTTAACTACTTCCACTTGCAAAGATTCTATTTCCAAATAAGGTCACATTCTGAGACACTGGGGACCAAAGCTTTATATCTTATTTTGGGGGACACAATTCAGCCCACCAATCAGGTCAGCTGTTTAGAGAAATATGAGCTGCACAGCTAGTTGGGTATGAGCTCTCTCTCCTCCCTCTCTCTTTCCCTCTCTCTTTCTCTCTCTCTCCTTTATGTTTTAAGGATGAAATCTACTTCAGATCTCATGTGTTAGGGTGGCACCGTCATTGAGTTATGAAGTAGAGAAGACACAGCTAATATAACAGAAAGTTTCTAACTACATGATTTCCAACACAACGACAATGGTAGCCAAAATGTGATGGAACACACTTCCTTTCTTATCTAAAAATCAGACACTGGGGACTCAGATGCTCCCGTGCCGCACAGGCGTCTGCCGTTGGCCCTCCGCCTGAGGTTGTTAATGGAGTAATCATTTTGCTCATCAAGTTTCAGGAGTCCAAAAGAACACCACACCCCAACGTACTGGTGAGGGAGATGGAGGAATTGCTTAGTGAACCAGCCTCTAACCTGAAGGCAAACACTTCAGATGGAGTAAAAAAGGACATTTTCATGATTCTCAGGAGGGAAAGCAGTCCAGGCACATAGACACAAACATTATCCCACCTTCAAAAACTTTACATTTCTGTGGGTGAATATTTTTAAAAAGAAAAGTACCCAAAGGAGTCTAATTTCTCTTGTGCTGTTAACAGTGGTTAGCTGAGGTAAAATCATATCTTCTCAGGTCACTAATTGGGATAAATAAAAAAATCGGTTCACTGATCACTGAGGGCCACAGCTTATAAAGACCAGGCTAACAAGGAGACAATGACTTCCTTCCCCTTTACCCACACAATATCCTCATGGTCTTCAGCTAATCTCTCTTTTATCTTTCTTTCCTGCCTCTGGTTACACCATTACATTAGAAAATGCCTGGCTTTGTCCACAAGTGACCCCCAAATCCTCAGGAATCGTCAGTATCAAACGATGCAGAAAGCAAATGTCTTGTCCGAATTGATAATGCCACAAGGACGAGTCTGCTCACTGAGCCTCACTCAGCAAGGGATTGGGACCTCAATCACAGAGCCAGAAGACAACATTGTCCTGCGTAAAACAAGATAAAACACCCCAGAAAACTAATCTGAGGTTAAGATGCATAAGGCAAAATAAGTCAGTCCCATGCCTTGTCAGAAAATCTTCATCTAACTCTGACTTGAGAAGCAGCAGGGAATTGCTAAGACACACTCGGTCTACTTTCATGGTGTCCTCTCCTGCTGTGTTTGTTGCAGATCCTGTGGATTTCCTCTTTGGACTCTTCTCCCAAACTTGAGCCACTGAGGCAGTAACTTCCTCCTGGCCCGTGGCTGGCTGGTAAAGTATGGGATCAACAGCTTAGCCAGGGTTCCCACGCTCCGTATCAAGGGCATTCAATAGAAGTGTGTTGTGAAAATGAATAAATGAGTGGACAAATGACTGTGTTGGCTTGGAAATGGCTCATCTTCCCTAAGGGGTTTCTGGGCATTCTCTCCTCTCTGGCTTGGACACAGATGCATCAGAATGCCATGTGAACTTGCAGCAAAGATGGCCCAACATCTTCCAGGGACAGATGGCTCAAAGGCTCCCGCTTTTTCAGAGTTGTGTTCATAAATGCCAAGCCAGACATGCCAGTGCTGCAGCAGAACCACAAATTAAGGAATAGGCTCCTGCTTAGAAAAGAGCTCCGGAGGCAGTGGCAGGTCAGAAAAGATGACAAAAGTGTGTGTTGGGGGGGGGGTTGGACTGGGAGTGCTGGCCCTTTGCTGTGGAGACAATCATGTGACCTGATTAATGCAGTTGTGGTTTCCTTTTGTGAAGAAGAGTGATTTTAAGTCGGAAGCCACTGCTACCTCAGAGCGATCTGATGTGGTTGGGCGGGGCATGGCTTTAGCATCACATGGAAGAACTGATGATTAGAAACACTGCACATTCTATGGAGTCTATGCCACAGACCCTGTGAAACCCTTCCCCTATTCTAAAATCAAACAGAACAAAACAAAAGAGCCTAAATATCGAGTTTCTTCCTGCAGATGAGTCCAAACCACAGGACATTTTCTGTTTTAGGTCAGATAGAGAAGTAGTTCACTAACGGTTGCTCTTTATAGAAGGAAAAGAAGCTTGTTAGACCCTGCATAGCCCTAGGATGACTTGCTTTGTTGTTAAAGTTAGGCAGCTGGGATTGCTTCCCTCCCTGCTGCCCTGATAGTAGGTATCAGGCACAGAAAAGCATGCTGTGCTCCTCACTTTCTGAAATGGCATAGGGTGCAGGAAACAGGCAGAGTGGGGAAAGCTGAGATGGTAAATCTGAAAGGAATCGAAAATATTTTCAATATTAACTTGACTATATTATGGCTTGGAATGCAAATTTGAAATATATTCTTCATTTAAAGAAAAGACATGAAAACAATTTCAGGTTCTTGGGAATATCCACAGACCATCTGCCCCAGGGTAAGGTCTGCAGCTCTTCCTGACCTTTCCTGTGTGGGATAGGTTTTCTTGTTTTTCCTCAAGACTTTCCTTCAGTTCATCATCAATCAATCCCTCGTTAGGACATTGTGAAAATACATCGCAATATCCTAAATTCCAGCCATTGGGATTTCCATGAGACATGGGAAAATCAGGGAAAGCAGAAAAATACCACAAGGAAGGTGCTTAGTTCATGCATCTCAGTGACAGGTGCAAGTCCAAGCATCTCCAATGCTCTTCCTGATAGGAGGCTGTTGCTAAGGCTGGGAAGGTAAACTTTTGCAGACATTTCAGCCAGTTGCAATCTAGAGCTTCTGGATGAGGCTAAGCACTGTTTATCACTGCTGCTTAAACACCGTATTTATGTGCTTTCCAGAAAGTACTTATTTTACTGGGCTAAAGTTCCAGCACAGAACTAATTGGTCTTTAGGGATCCTTGTTAGTTAGCTGCTCTGCTCAAGCTCTCCATGTCCCATGTGTCTCTAGAATTAAAGGTAGATTTCTAGCCTCCAGGTGAGTTAACATAATGGCTTGGTCCAAGTGAAATAACACCCATCCCTTGAGACTTTTCAGTTCTGTAAGAAAAAAAACTCAGGAAAAATTTGACAACTTCTTGCAGACACAGTAGCAAGTTTTTGTCATGGGAAGGATAAGTGTCTTTGAGACAAAAACAGCTTCCAGCAACATCAGTTGTTATTAACATCACCATCACCTTGAAGAGCAGTTGGTGTCTCAACAGCTCTGGCTAAGGGATTTGGGAGACAGTGTCATAGATAGGAACCACAACCATTATTGATCAATTCACAGACAATATGGAGGACTGCTGTGAACACCAAAGAATAGGAAACATCTGAGAAACTGCCAAGCTGCCTTCAGCAGGAGGCGACTTATCCGAATCACGTCCCAGCAGGTCACGTTAAATACTGGGACACTCCTGACCTCCTTCCTAATGGATTTTCAATGGCACACTCTCTCTGAGTGGTCTTTTTTTCCTCCTGAAAAGTCTACTTTTCATACTCTTGAATGTGTAAGAATGTCTTAAATACCATTTTCTTAACTATTCATCGATACGAAGTTTTTCTAGTGCATACTTCTCCTTTTTCCGCTGCCAACTCCATTGGTTTGTAACATCTTGTTGGCTTGCCCATGAGCAATGCCAAGTTGGTTCTGAAAAGGCCTTGCCATAGGAGCCATGACGAAGTCACATGCAGGACAAAGTACAGAGGAAGATGGCTGGCACTGCCTTTAAACAGAGATGCCTTCCCTGAACTTTCCTTTGAAATATAAAGATATAAACAGAACCTGATGTGGATACTAAAAGACACATCCTCAGTGATCTGGAGATAGGCTCTGTCTTCAGGGAAGCAGGTGAGGCGAAGAGATTTCAGGAAGCTGGTGTCAGGCTCTTCCCATTGTTCGAGAGCATGACATGCTTTTGTTCATTCATTCAACAGATGTTTTTTGAGTACTAGATGCCAGGCACAGTTGCAGGCACTGTTCATAAGCCATGGTATTTAGTTCAGATCTTCTCTTCTGCATGATTCAGAAGAGTGTGTTAAAGTCCTCAGCCCATATGTGTATATCACAGAAAAGGGGTTAACAGGCAACAGAAGCCATGTCCCCTTCATCCAGGATGGGTACCTTCCACCTTTCCGGGGTGAAACAGGACAGAGGAGCTGCTTGGTCCTCAGGCACACCGAGGGGTGAAAGCCAGAAGCTTGAGGGAGGTCTATGTATTAGTTGGGGTTTTCCAGAGGGCTAGAACTAATAGGATGTATATATATATATATAGAAGGGAGTTTATTACCGAGAATTGGCTCACCAGATCACAAGGTGAAGCCCCATGACAGGCCGTCTGCAAAGCAGGGAAAGAGAGATGCTGGGAGTGGCTCAGTCCAAGTCCCAAAGCCTCAAAACCAGGGAAACCAACAGTGCAGCCTTCTGTACTAAGAACCCTGGAGATACTGCTGTACAAGTCCTGGAGTCCAAAGGCCAAAGAACCTTTGATGTTGGAGTTTGATGTTCAAGGGCACGAAGCATCCAGCACAGGATAAAGATGAAAACCATAAGAGCCAGCAAGCCAGCTTATTCTTCTTTCACCTGCTTTGTTCTGGTTGTGCTGGCAGCTGATTGGGTGGTGCCCATCACACTGAGGGTGGGTCTTCCTCTCCCAGTCCACCGACTCAAATGTCAGTCTTCTCTGGCAACACCCACGCAGACACACCCAGAAACAATACTTTACCAGCTACCTAGACATCCTTCAATCCAATCATGTTGACATCTAACATTAACCATCACAGTGTCGTCAGAGCACTCAAGGTCAATGAGGAGCAGGTCTAGGGGCCTGGGTGGACAGGAAGGACACTGACCTGCCACAGCCAAGCAAGGGTCCCAGAAAGAAGACCAGAACAGAAGAGAGAAGGCAAGGAGTAAGAATGAGGCAAGAATGTGGCGCCCAGAGACAGGTCACCAAACGGATGGGACAAAATGCCGTGACTTCAATGGCACAGAGGGGCTCAATCAGAAAAGGCAGTGCTGCCCGGCCGTCCTGTGAGCCAGCTCCCACCCTCAGAGGCACCTCTGGCTTTGGATTAAGTGATGTTCACTCTCAAGGCATCATGTTACACAGCTTTTTTTTTTTTTTTTTTTTTTTAAGGATCTCACTTTCATATTGGGAAGTGTGTGTCAGCATCAATAAGCAAGGCAAAGGATGAGAAAACTGATTTCAATTATTTGATGGGGAAAAGCTCTTGGATCTCAGAAAAGAGAAAGAAAACATTGACATTGATTGGTTTTACCTCTGGCATGAGTCACAGGGTTACGTAAAACAGGCAATGAGGCTGGAGAAATCGGGGGGCTTCTAAATTCCCACTCTTAAGGGTCTCCCATGTGGGGTTAGTTTTAAGTGGACATCATAGAATATTCATTGATTTTGAGGTATTATGCTTTTCTGCTATCGCATCAGTTAAGACTCATCTTTCCATTGAAGATGCTTCTGATAATATCGTGCAGCCCGTTCAGGGATCAGTTCAAGAAGTGCCAGAACTTCTGATGAAAATTAGGAAGTAGGAAAAAATAATGAGTAAGACCTACTATTTCATAGCACAAGGCAACTATAATCAATAATAACTTAATTGTACATTTAAAAATAACTAAGTCTGGGTGCGGTGGCTTATGCCTGTAATCCCAGCACTTTGGGAGGCTGAGGCAGGTGGATCACCTGAGGTCAGGAGATCAAGAGTAGCCTGGCCAACATGGTGAAACCCCATCTCTACTAAAAATACAAAAATCAGCCAGGCATGGTGGCGGCTGCCTGCAATCCTAGCTACTCAGGAGGCTGAAGCAGGAGAATTGCTTGAACCTGGGAGGTGGGGGTTGCACTGAGCAGAGATCAAACCACTGTACTCCAGCCTGGGCAACAGAGTGAGACTCCATCTCAAACAAACAAACAATCAAAACTAAAAGAGGCCAGGCGCTGTGGCTCATGCCTGTAATCTCAACACTTTGGGAGGCTGAGGTGGGTGGATCACTTGAGGCCAGAAGTTTGAGAGCAGCCTGGCCAACATGATGAAACTCTGTCTCTACTAAAAATATATACGTGTATGTATATGTATATGTATATGTATGTGTGTGCATACACACACACACACACACACACACACACACACACAAAGTAGCTGGGCATGGTGGCAGGCACCTGTAATCCCAGCTACTAGAGAGGCTGAAGCAGGAAAATCGCTTGAACCCAGGAGGCAGAGGTTGCAGTGAACCCAGACTGTGCCACTGCACTCCAGCCTGAGTGACAGAGCAAAATTCTGCCTCAAATAAATAAATAAGTAAAAAGTGTAACTGGATTATATGTAACACAAAGGATAAATGCTTGAGGGGATGGATACCCCATTCTCCATGATGCAATTATTTCACATTGCAAGATGTATGAAAACATCTCATGTACCCCATAAATATGTATACCTATTATGTATCCACAAAATTTTTTTAAAAAATTAGGAAGTGAGAGACAGGTGCGTGCCCCCGAGGAGGATGCTGGCTTTACTGATGGAAGTGAAGGCAAGTCGCCGAGGCTTCTCAAGTCAGTCTCCCTAGCTTCAAGGTCATTGCAAAGACAAACCGAGCGCAAATACAAAACACCTTTAATACAGAGAATGTGATCTAAAGGCAAAACTCCTTTTCTTCAACCTGATAACTAGTCTCCTGCTGCTAGGGTTCCATTCAGAGATTATCTCTTCAAGCGCCCCACTGAGGTCCCCAGAAGCAATTCTCTCCACACCAGAAACTTGCTAATCTGATTTCTTCTTTTGCTGCAGATGTGTAACATATTCAGGTGCTTTAAATTTAATAAAAGGAAACTTAGTAGCGTTATCAGCTGCGCGTGAAAATCAATAATGCTACATTTATTTAGGAATACAACACAGGCTTTCTGGATATAGTAGAGCAATAGTAAAGCATGTTTAGTTGGCAATTTTGAGAATTTATTGGAAAATTAACTTCCATTCTCATTTTGGCTAAGGAATCATAAATATAATTATGCATTTTTGCAACCCCACTGCCTTAAGCTTGATTACAGATTAGTAGAGTTTCATCGTGTGGAAGATGATGAAAATTAAATTAGGTGAAAAGAATGGGTTGCACCTTCTGCAAAGGTTCTTATTGGTAAGAAATGTCTACACAGTGGGATAACTGCCGTTCCTAACACCGGGTCTCCAGTGAAGAAATAGGTGGCCATGTACTGTCAACACAAAACAACTTTCTGGAGTAATAAATCAATGCAAATATTTAAGGCATTTATATTATTTTAAAATAAATGTAGAAATAAGATGGAGGACAGTGCCAAGCACTCCTAGAAAATACTTTGACATCTGGTGGGTTCAGAAATAAACCTAACACTTGTTATAAAATGTTGTTTTGCTTTTGAGATGTGATGTGGAAAGTATCATAATGATTAAAACAATTTTTTTCAAACAAATATTCATTATAAGCTTATGGAAGTAATTTGGTAACAGGAAACCGGTTATAAACCTCAGTGAGTACACCTGGTAGAATCATTCTTGCTGCATCTAGGCTTATGGTTGAAAGACCTAAAGCAACCATATATTTTCTTGGAAGTCAATTTCTCCACAGAACAAAGAATTTTCAGGACTGATAGTTCCCCTTCCCCATAACAGTATTTTAGAAAATCTCTAGTGAAAAATGTAACACTGTAACTTGTGAATACAGCTACTTATTTTTTCAATATTTTGCTTTGAACTGAGGGCCATTTTGCCTTCCTGAGGACATTTGGCAATTTCTAGGGACATTTTCAGTTGTCATGACTTGGGGCAGAAGAGACTCTGACTGGCATTCAGTGGGTAAAGGCCAGGGATGTCACTAAACACCCTACCTACCACGCACAGGACGGCGCCCGCAACAGAGAATTATTTAGTCCAAAATGTCAATAGTGCTGAGGTCGACAATCTTAGATTACTTTTGTCAACATAGTACAGTTATAACACAGTTCTTCTCTCCAAACCACTTCACATCTTCTATGTGTGTTTGGGAATACATAATCAGATGTAATCTATAACAAAAACACATATTGTCTTTCTGAGGCATCACTTCAAAGAAATTCTCTCAGAATGATTTATCAATGACAATGACATCGCTAACTTGCATTTACTCAACACACACTCATGCTATCCACAGGCTGGGAAAGAACTATAGTAAGAGAAGGAAGAGGCCGTGGCTCACCTCTCAAATAAGACCTGGCTGTAGTCGCCCAGGACGTGGGCGTGGGTGTGGAGTAGGATGGTGTTGTAGCCCACCAAGGCCACCATCATGATCAACATCTTCAGCTCATAGTTTACCCGCAGGAACACGGAACAGGATATCAGTCCCAGAATGCAGCTGTAGATAAAGTACTGAAACAGGGAAGGACACCAGACAGATACTTAGGATCTCTTCTGAGAAATGCTGAAACAATTACAATCAGGGGACCACCGCCCATCTCATCTGGTCAACATATAAGGTGGCTGTGAAAACAGAGGCTTGTTTCTCATCTTTGATCCAGTGGTAAATGCCTGGATATGTTAAATTCAGAAAAAAAAAAATCATCCAAAGCTTTCCGACTCAACCTTGCATGATAAATAAAAAGAAGCATGTATATTGCCACTTTTTAGAAATAAATTGTAAAAAAAACTTATATGGAAGACACATCACTATAAGCCAATGTTATCTATTTCTTGAAAATGAAAACACTGTGGCCTCCTATACATTCCTTAAATGTAAGTTAAGTCTATAGGATCTTTTTTGGCCTTTCAATTCTTTAATTCATTAAGAGAATATAAATCATTACAGATAGCTCTGTTAAAAGCATAAGGAAGCCCAGACATTTTATTAAAAGAGAAATTGTGTGTCAGAGGGCCTATTTAAAACAGAAGGACTTAAATTAAAAGCCTTGACCAGGGTGAGTCATGAATCCCCCCGGGAGTTTGACAGGCACCAGAAGAAAGCGGACGAACCAAGTGGCGGCCAGCGAGCTGGTATCTTCCATCTTAGGGCAGAACAAGCTGAAGGCAGGCCTGCCCCAGGTGAGCCATTTCCTCCCCATTTACCACTGCAGGCACCGTTCAGATAGGCTTTGGATAGCTCTGAATTCAACTCTTCACTAACTCATTAGCTCACTTACTTTCAGCCAGTGACCTAACTTGCTTATATCACAGTGTCCGCATGACACTGTAAAATGAGGGTAATCATATTCTCCTTGTAGGTCATTGAAAACAACAGAGATAAAAAAGTAATGCACAGAGCCCAGAGTCCTGCACGCCAGGAGGGACTTGCTGCAGGGAAACAGGTGCCATCCTCAGAAAGGCTTTATTTGCTACATTACGGGGTTTCTGTGAACAAGGGTTTGTGTTTCTATCTCAGCATTCCTAGAACAGAGACAACACTCAAAAAAATTAAGACTTTTAATAAAACATAGATCTTATTGATGTTTTTTAAACCTTGTCTTTAAAAATAGCCCAGCTTTTAAACTACTCCATTTTAATTTCATCATGTTGAGTAAGCCTGGTAAGAACTGCTTATTTTTGTCATTTGAGCTCTTCCTTTGATTTCCCCAGCTAAAGCCATCTACATTAACCTATGTGGAAGGCCACTGATATTAGCTCAACAGTCCTGTTCTTGTGGAAGGAAGAAAGAAAAGTTGGGAATAGGAGCTTGCAGTGATCATATGGCAGGCTTTCTCTTTGTAAGGGGCATGCTTGAGTGGAGGCACTCAAGCAGGAATGAGTAGAAATCCATCAGTAAGGACTTCGACCTGACACTGTGGCTTCAAAAGGAAGACCAACACCTCGCACTGGATTACACATCAACTGGGTCACTCTTCAGGGAGTTAAAGTCTTCCTTTGCATGGGAATGTGAAGGCCACCCTTCACTTCAGGTGGCAGCATTTTAAGGAATACAGAGTGTTGTAAGCACAGTTTCTTAGCTGCAATTGCCCGATGTCAAGTCTCCACTCTTCTGCCTCTCATGCCTTCCCACGACAGAGAACAGGAAAAGGAAAAGAAGAGATGATGTGGGTTAATGTAGTAAAACAATAGAATCAACAGAGCTGTGAACAGGTGGACAGGCAGTATCTCAGAGGGAGGAGGGGTCTAGCATGCTCTTTGAAAGGAGACCTTATTTCTATGAGAGTTCAGCCCTTGTCACCTTAGAGAAGTTACTAAGTATCTACTTCAGGGCAGGTCTGAGGCCTCTGATACAAGGTACATTAATGCTCCATGTTGCTTAGAAGAAGACCACTCAAAGTACAGCAGTGAGTTCTGCAAGACAGGTACAGAATGTGGATAGAAACTTGGCAGAGTGAGCTTGTTTCTGTTGAATATAACGAAATATGAGCTTGCATTTCATATGGCTTCCTTTTTAGTTCATTTTGCTGGTAATTCACCATTACATTTTTCAAAAGCATTAGTCTGTCATAGATTAGAAATTAAAAACACAAAACAAAGCGAAATGAAAAAAGGGCCTTCACAAAGAGTTTGAGAAGCCCTTATTTATAACCTAGTAGCCATTTAATCAATAGTCTTGAGTATTTTAAAACTGCTCCTTCAAACCCAGGAAATTGCCCCAGGAACTGGTGGGGGCAAGGCTCTTATTCAGTGATCCTGTCCCCTCGGATTCCCCAAAGCAGCTGATCTTAACAAGGCAATCCTGTGTCTTCCATGAGTCACTCAAAGTAAAGATGATGATAACACCCATCTTGGAGAATTCTCACGAAGATTAAGTAACAAAAGAGTTCAGAACAGCCTAGTCCATGAGAAGCTTGTAAATTCTGCTATTATTATGATAAACTAAAGTCCTTTGTAAGTTTTGGTTTTTGGAACAGCTCTGTTTCTAAAATTATGCTTGAAAACCACTGTTATAATTAAAGTTATCAACCAGTTCAGCCTAATCGAATGAGAGAGCAGAATAAGGAACCACTTATAAGAGGGTGTGTATGTATCAATGGGTATATGTGGATTGTTTGGTGTGTGGGGACCTGGGGTAAATTTTTAAAGTTTTTCACAGTTTGAACCTTTGAACTAGGTGTCAACACCTATAAAATATGCTAAGGTTTCACATTTCAAAATTCATTCTTAGGCTTTAAAATTTTTATTTTCACATTTCAGAACAACTACTAAAATATGTATGGTAATGGGAAGCATACTTTTAGTCCATTTCTGTTAAATGGCTTTCTAGAATGCTTGGAGACTGTGCAAGAGATGATCTGGCATAAAAAGGTAGGTTGGGAACCTGCAAATAGCCATCCAGGGATGTGTGGGAGAGGACACTGCAGGATACCAGGCTGGGAGCCTGTCCTGGCTCCACGGTTTAGCTGACCGGGTAAGGCTCCAGATAGTCAGCGATTCTGGCAATAGGATACTGAACCGACTTCTATTGGAGTGTACTTACTGGTAACCTGATTGCTAGTAATGTTTACCAGTTTTGACCTAATCATTGAAACCAACTTGCATTTTACAGTAAGGTAACAGCCACCATTATCGGGAGTAATTTATCAACACTAAAGTCTCTGGGTCTTAGCTTCTTCACTTGCAAAACGAGAATCCCAATAATATCTACTTCACCAGGGTCATTTTTGGATGAAATGATGTAATGCATACCAAGTGCCTGCTGTGGTACAAACAACTTGGCAAAGATCTTTATAGCTAATTTGGGTATTTTAAAAGGACTATGTTTTCCCACTAGAGAAATAATACACCAGATGTTAAAAATTGGGAAATATATGAAAGGATATATATAAAAATAAGGGTCTCTGATAATCCCCAACATCCACTTTAGCCACTATTCATTATTTGTATAGGTGTTTCCAGCCTTTTTCTTGCTACTTATTATTGGTAGTATTATTTTTAAAAATTAAAATAATACTGTTTTGTATTTTTTAAAACAATACTTTTCAATGAATAATTTATTATGCATATGCATTTATATGTCATTAATTTTTTTACAATGTCTTATATGGTGGTTAAGCATAACCTTATCGTGTGTTACAATAAAATGTATTTTAAAATTTGCATTTTCATATTTTTAGGTTGTTTTCTTTCTTTTTGTTGATGTTACATAAACACATGCACAAACATGTTTTTGGTAAACCTTTTCACTTTTAAAATTAATTTTCAAAATTAGTGTTACAGGGTAAAAAGTGTGTCTGTCTTGTGCTTTTTGATAACTATTGAAATTACCACTTAGAAGAGTTATATCACTTTATACCACCACCAGCAGTGAACTGGGCATGCTTCTCAGCTTGCTGGTCAACTTCAGGCATCACATAACATAGGGTTTGAGAGAAATGACGCCTGTTTGGCACACACTCACAAAATGGCTTTTCTACTGTTCCCTGGGATCCTTTAGGGAGGAAGCCAGGATGTCTCCAGGCTCCTTGAGGACTGCTAAACCCGTGAGTTCACAATGTGGTTTCTGGGCAGCCAGTCCACGTAGACCTGGGGCTTCCTTGGCAACGCTGGCCAGGATCTTCAAGGCCTCATGATTGGAAAGATAGTAGCCTGTTTACTAAATCCCACCTAGATTTGAGAGACCCTATTGTGTGCTTTTTCAGAATCTTTAAAGGTTGAGTAAATGTTGCCTTTCCCCACTTTAAGTTTTTAATAATTTTCTTTGATTGCAAATAAGATATTATACAGATTTACCTAAATGAAATTCATAATGATTTCCTTATTCTTTTAGTGATGCCAAGTGTGGTGAGTTGTTCGGCTCAAACATAGTGGAAGGAGAGATTTAAAAAAATATTGCAGCTATACATTTTTTTCCTGTCAAAATGCATCTTCATGTTAAAATTTTAAACTCAAAGTGCCACGTGAATGCGAAAGGGGGACTGTTTGGTCGGTGCACTCTCTTCCCAGCAACCAGCCTATGGATCATATGGATGCTAACGCCATTGGATCAAGGAGGAATAGGCAGGCCACACCGTTAATTTAAATATTTCTCTAAAAAAGAGAGCTCCAAATGGCCCACAAATGGCCCACAGTGAGATTACAGTCAATAAACTCTCACAATGACTCTAGCTTTTCACTTTTCACATAACTAAATAGAGAAGGCAACGCCTAGCCCTTACTGGAGTTTATGATAACACCTAATTTGAAGCGCAGGATCTTCTGGGTAGGGGATGAACCTATAGCACCCCCCTCTTCCCAAGCCCAAGGGGACATTGCTTTTGGACCTTGGTCATTTTGCCCATGACCTAGTCAAGGCCTCAGAAGCCTCCAGGAAAGAACACCAGAAGCCACTTCTTTTTTTTTTTCTTTTTGAGACAGAATCTCACTCTGTCGCCCAGGCTGGAGTGCAGTGGCACGATCTTGGCTTACTGCAAGCTCTGCCTCCCAGGTTCATGCCATTATCCTGCCTCAGTCTCCCAAGTAGCTGGGACTATAGGCACCTGCCACCACATCCGGCTAATTTTTTTTTATTTTTAGTAGAGACGGGGTTTCACCGTGTTAGGCAGGATGGTCTTGATCTCCTGACCTCGTGATCTGCCTGCCTCGGACTCCCAAAGTGCTGAGATTACAGGTGTGAGCCACCCCGCCTGGCCCAGAAGCCACTTCTATCTGTGCATGGAGCTGTGAGCTTCCCAAGAAATTAAATGATGGGAAGGGAAAAAGGACCAGAGCAAAATATCAAGGAAGCAAATCAGAGAAGGAGGAATAGGAAATAAATCCACTCTATTGCCAAAGCTAACGGAGTTAAAATTTTTGGTAAGGAATTTTGAAAGCGTACATATTAAATTACCAATTTCAGTCCCCAAAATAGTTCCCTTAGCATTGTCAAAACCCATTATTTGACACGGAAACTAAACGAGCATAATCTGCACTACTTTCAGATAATTATTTGGAAAGTGCAAAGGAGAGTAGCAAAACTTTTTTTTTTTCCACAAACGATTTATGGAAGGACAAAGTTGTTAAGCAGTAAATAACTGACCTAACTCTCCACTTAGAAGACTAATGTGTTAATAAGTTTTGAAGTTTTAACCTAGGTCCTTTGTGACACTGGTTAAGATGAGTCAGTTAGCAAGAATTACTAGGGAACAGAATCACTCAGCAACGTATGTTGCCAAAGAAGAGGGAAGATAATGAGATGTGGGCAGTTTTATCACAGCTTTAAGGGGGATAATATTAATTCACTGGAACAATTAGCAATGTCTCTAAGTAAGAAACCCAGAAACATAGTGCCTTATAATTGAATGCCATATGGTAGGAAATATGCTAGAAATGCTGTAGTGGTTAAGAGAAGAAGGAAACATTACTGGTGAAAGCATGACAATAACATTGTAAGTTTTCAGATATAAGTGTAGCCAGTTCCCAAGGGCCCAGACTTCTAGCAGAGGCTGACATTTGTAAATTCAGAACCACTCAGGGATTGATACCAGAGAGGAAATGCAAAGTCTAGAACAGATCTGAGACTAAAGGATATATGTTATACAGACTACGAGCATACAGGAGAGCCACCAAAGCAGTCATAATTGCAATGTTCTTACCGGGAGGAAAAATAAATTCTGCGCACGCAGAATCGCCACCTGATTATTTGAGGCTGAAAAGCTTGTGTTTGTTGTGTTGGCAGTTGGAGGGATTGTTTCCTCTGAGTCACTCAGGAAAAACTGCAAAGAGAAGGTTTTTTTCAATGAATTAATGTAAATTAGATTAAATAACTAGCAGGTGGGTGCTAACTTTATGAATTCTGTGTTCCTTATGCACAGTAAACAGGATTGTTTATGTGGACTCGGGAATTTCTATTGAATAAGTAATTAACAATTTATTGTTCTATACATTCAATAGAGAATTCCAGAACTTCAAAATTCACATTAAAGGAATTGGAGGCGCCTTTATCAAACAGTAAATTAAAAGTACACAAAGCTCTGGGCAGAGGGCGTGGTTAGAATTACATTTGAAACCGATATCACCTTTGAAGCCAATATCACCATATATACATTCAACTCTCTACCATCAAATCGGAGCCTTCGGAATGCTTTTTTCCCCCCAGTATCTTTGCCATCTTGGCTCAAACATTAAATGAGTCAATACAGTCCTATGAATTTTTGATGTTTAGAATGAAAATTAATTTTATGGGCAAAATGCAATCACCAGCCTCGACATTTGTATCTATTATTTGTGAGTGCCTGGCAACTCAGAATCATAAGGGGTGAAAAATTTAAAAGGATGGATGTTCTCTGGACTGCTGGAAAGGGGATTTAAACTAAAAAAACAAAAAAGGTAATGCTGAGAAAATAATTAGCTCTTATGTAATGGTCACCAATATAAGCATCAGAAGGACAGTATCAACCTGTTAGCAAGGCAGTAGAAATGTGTATCTCTCTTTTTCTCTCTCTCATCCTCTCTCTCTCTCTCGCTCGCTCGCTGTCTGTCCTACAGAAGCTGCACACAGACTAAATACCCACGGATCAGCCACTTTTCTGTCATGTGGCTAAGGGTCAGAGGAATGTTCTGGAAACAAACCAGAGACTCATGACTTCAGCCCATTCCTTTTACTGAAAGAAATTAATCTCATCCATAAACCTATTAAACAGCTTGTGTTTTCTGCATAGGGTTAACCATACATATTCAAGGTTTAAAAAGTAAAATTTCCCTATAGTTTCTATGGTTGCTTTTGTTTGTTTCTGTGGAGTTATTTCTCTGGATTGCATAGTTCTTGTCAAATACCTAAACTAATTTATTTGGACAGATAAGAAGACATTTACTTAGTCTATTCTTGGGAACATTCCTCTCACAGTCAATAGAGATACGAGATACGGTATTTCTGCCGTTATATCATTTGACTAAATTTGGCAAAATGCTGATTTAAGCATCAAAGAAACGTAGTAGATTTCTTTATGTATGATGAAAGAACTTGTAAAAATCATCACATCCCTGGCTGAACTACAAATGTGCTAACATTTTGGAAAAACTTATACGAATGGAATAATTGCTTGGCAAACATCAGGCTCCAAAAGGGTACAGATTTAGATTTAGATTTGATAGACCAAAAATTCAATTGATTTAAATATTAAAAAATCAATAAATGGCAAACAAAAGGAGATTGTTTAGCTTGGTGGGTTACTAGTCTTAAGTGCCAAGGATCTTAAAATAATTAACAAAAACTTCTTGATTATATATCACCTATAGGCAAAAAACTAGGTAAAATGAAGTGTTGCATTCTTGACATACAATGAATGAGTAGTTTACTTTGTGAAAAATGTGTCTTGCAAGGAGGTTTTGCAATAAATATGATGGTTGAACTTAAAGTACAAGAGAAAACTCCAATCACTACACACAACGTTTCCTAACCCACTTCTGCTATGTCTTTCTAGTATTTATTAATATCAACTACCCGTAAATTCAAGAAACTCTTCATTCTGTCTAAAATCATACTACAATTTTGAATCAGCTTCCCTTCCTCCGTCTTCTTTGCATTTTAAAGTAACAAACTCATGTCATTCCCTAATTGTAGCCAGTCAAATACTCAAGAGAGTTACTAATCCCTTGCCCACCTTCCCTCCAGGTAAAACTGCCCCAACTTTCTCCACTGAAAATATTTTTAGCATCATAATGATTTAGGCAGCTCTTCTCTGGACCCAATTTAATTTTCCACATCCTTTGTCACAATTGGGACAATGATGTCATCAATCTGTTCAAAACATCCTAAATAAAATGCTAATGAACACTGCATATTTTTAGTTTACTTGCAAATTTTACATTTCTCAGGCAATTTAAAACATATCAGAATTACATTTTTCGAATCACATTAAATTGTGAACAGGTGCTTTAGTATTGTTTTATGCCTGATGACATCATTGTGTTTGTCATTTGGTTGGAATTAGAAGTCTACCTGACTAGACTATAGTTAACTATGGCTAACTCCTTGTCTGGGTGGCTCACAGATTTATATATGCTTTACTTATAATAAATTTCTTGGAAATTTCTCAGAAGAAATTGCAAAATGCTGTGAGGAATCAAGTGACAACATTCTCAAAATGTCAGGAATAAAATGGCAGCACATTCGGCCACTCATATGTGATTCTCAACAGCTAGCTGGAGACTAAGATGGAAAAAACACTACGTATGAAACAAGCATGGACAACCAATTGTTTTTCTCCACTTTTGATTGAGGTGTTGGTATCACATGGATAAACATCAAGTGTTTAAGATATCCTGTTAAAATCGCACAATTCATTGGAAATAAAACTGACTTGGACATTTTGGCATTCAATACCAATGAGTAATGAGATTTAAAAAGCCAGTTCTCTGAACACACTGTTCCCGTTGACCCTGGCTTTTGTAAGGGTCATTAAAATGCAGGCTGGGAATAAATATCAGTGACTGGAAATTGACGTGGAGCCTCGGGATGAACCAGCCCATCCACCCAGTCAACAGCAGGGACAGGTCAGGGCAGCCTCAAGCCGTCACATGTTACTCCTAATGCATCTCTCCCCTTTGAGGTACAGAGTCATGGCAAGCGATGACAGAGAGGCAATTAATAAGGGCTGCTTGCCACTGGCTGGAAAAACGCAGGGCAAACCAAGGCTCACCGGCTGCAGAGGGACTGGGGCTTCCAGAAGAAAAGGAACACCCGAGGGCACGATGCCAGGGGCAAGGAGCCAGACACAGAGGGACAGATATTGTGTGACTCCACTCATGTGAGGTCCCTAGAATAGGCAAATTCATAGAAATAGGAAGCAGCACAATGGTGACCTGGGGCTGGGGAGAGGGAGGATGGGGAGTGAGTGTTTCATGGAGACACAGTTGCTGTAGGGAAAATGAAAAGCGCTCTGGAGATAGATGGTAGTGATGGTCGCGCAACATTGCAAATGTACTTAATGTTACTAAATTGTATGTTTAAAAATTGTTCAATAATATACCTTATTTATATATATTTTACATAATTAAAAAATACATTAGAGGCCGGGCGCGGTGGCTCACGCCTGTCATCCCAGCACTTTGGGAGGCCGAGGTGGGTGGATCACGAGGTCAGGAGATCGAGACCATCTTGGCTAACATGGTGAAACCCCGTCTCTACTAAAAAATACAAAAAATTGGCCGGGCGTGGTGGCGGGCGCCTGTAGTCCCAGCTACGCGGGACGCAGAGGCAGAATGGCGTGAACCCGGGAGGCGGAGCTTGCAGTGAGCCGAGATCCCGCCACTGCACTCCAGCCTGGGCGACAGAACGAGACTCCGTCTCGGAAAAAAAAAAATACATTAGAAACAGAAAAACAAACAAACAAACAAACAAACAAACAAAAAAAACAAAGAAAATGAAAGCACTCTTCCTCTGTCTCAAAGGGAAAACTTAAAAAAAATCATAGGTGCTATACATGAGGACATGATTGAGGCTATGTCTTTAAAACGATGAAGTTTTCTGAGAGCAAATTAAATGTTCTTCCCCGTGACTTAAAGCATATGCGCGCCCACAGCCCCCCACTCCACCAACACAAATAACTGTTATTCTTGCTGAAATGTGAGTCCGATGCCTGGATTAGTCTCACTGGGTTAACAACTGAGAAATAGAAATACTACTTGGGGATGGGGCTCCATCAGTCTGGAAAATGTGTTCAGAAAAAAAAAAATACGGAGAAAAACATGAAAAGCTGTACTCCTTTAACCAGAAACTGCTCCAGGATGGGCAGGTTAAAGTGGGACTAGGTAAAAAGGGAAACAACCCTGGGACCATTGAACTGCATGTAGGTAAAGACTAGGTTTCACTCACATCCTCAGCAGAAGGTGTCGCCTTCCTGACATGAGTGACAGGAGTATGCTTCCCTTGCACCACCCTGCACAGGTGCTCCCTCCTAACCTGCCTGTCTGCCTGGGCAGTCTGAGTGCTGCATCAGCACCACCTGTGTGTGGCCCCGGGCACTGCCTCTGCCTCACACAGTCAGAGCTCAGGGGCCCAGGGCATCTGCAGATCCTCAGGTGTGGCCAGAGGCAGAGCCCCATGGACAAGTCCTGCCTCTTCTGTGATTAATAAGACATTATAAACAAGGCTCTACAGCCAGGTCATGTTACTTCCTTTCTGTACCTAACACCAACTTTCCTACAGTTTTATGATTTTTCTTTGACATAAGTACAAGAGGAGCACCCGTGTGGTTCATGGCACCAGGTATCAACACAAATGGTATTTTTCTGCACTCTTGGAGGAATTCAGTGCTTGAGCAGCTCTGATTTCTTCTCCCCCTTAATCGATAGACAGGAAAAGTGGGGGAAGGTAATTTAGCTTATTTCCTGCTCCTACTGCTACAGAAGGCAGCTTGGTATGTGGAAAATCTGCAGAAGGCACATTAAAAGTATTAAAAAGTGTGATGAATGATTTTTGAGAAAGAAATACACCTCAAGGGTCATCCATCATACTTTTAATGTGTCTTCTGTGGAGGAAGGAAAACAACACTGGAAGACATATTTCTGTTGCTGAAGGCAGGTGTTCTCTCTCTAAAGGATCGTAGCTACTGTTGAAAGAATGTCTCCTCCTAAATGATCAGCTTGTCAAACATTTATAGACAGTGACTGAACTGTCTGTCAATCATGACTAATTATGCTATACAAAATAGAGTTAGCTTCCAAACCAGATTTGTTTCTCATTTATATCGTCTTTAAGAATTAGGTGATAAATCCTGGTTTTATAAGGTCAAACTAGATGTTACGAAAAGAAATCGTTTCTTATTTAAAGGGCTGTATGCTTACCTATTCATTCACTCATTCTTTCATTTAATAACTAATGAATGGAAGGCACTTTCCTAGGGCATGTGAAAAAAAACAAAGATCTCCTCAAAGTTCATTCTAGCATTATTCATAACACCCAAGATACGGAAACAATCTATCTATTGATGGATGATTAGATAAAGAAATTTTGGGCTGGGCATGGTGGCCCACACCTGTAATCCCAGCACTTTGGGAGGCCGAGGCAGTGGATCACGCGGTAAGGAGTTCAAGACCAGCCTGGCCAGCATGGTGAAACCGCATCTCTACTAAAAATACAAAAATTAGGTGGGCGTAGTGGTGGGTGCCTGAAATCCCAGCTACTCAGGGGGCTGAGGCAGGAGAATCATTTGAACCTGGGAAGCAGAGGTTGCAGTGAGCCAAGATCACCCCATTGCACTCCAGCCTGGGTGACAGGGCGAGACTCCATCTCAAAAAAAAAAAAAAAAAAAGAAAAGAAAAGAAAAGAAATTTTGATACACACACATACACAATGGAATATTATCCAGCCTTAAAAAAGAGAAAAATCTTGTCATTTGCAACAACATAGATGGATATGCAGAACATTATGCTAAGTGAAATAAGCCACGTACAGAAAAATGAATACTGCATGATCTCATACGTGGAATAAAACAAAGTTGAATACACAGAAACAGAGAGTAGAATGGTGGTTACCAGGTGTTGGGGAGGCCAGGAAATGGGGAGATGTAGGTCAAAGGGTACAAAGCTGCAGTCATGTGGGATGAATGCATCTGGATTTCTAATGCACAGCTGGAGGACTTAGTTAATAATATTCTGTTGTATTTAAGATTTGCTGAGGGAGTAGATTTTAGGTGCTCTAATCACACACACAAGAAGCTATGTGGAAGGTGATGGATGTGTTAAATTGCTTGCCTGCAGTAATCATTTCACAATTTATATGTATATCAAAACATCATGTTCCACAACTGAAATTTATACAATGAGAGAAAGAAAAAATGATCTCACTCTTACGTGTGTGTATATGATATTAAATGTATTGTCCCCTAACTCATATGTGCTGCTACTGGCCAGTGAAGGTCAACTCTCAGGAAGTGTGCTCAATTTGCTTGCATGCATGGTGAACACACTCCTGACGGGCCAGGAGGCGGCTTAATTTTACGGGCATGTGTCAGTCACCCAAGGGTTCTGAGTAAATTGGAACCTTAGCTTGTGCACCCTGCTGCCCTTCAAGTGTGCTTTCATCCTCAGCCCCTTGGCTACGGAGTCAACTTCCGACCCAGTCTCTCTCACAGCTTTCATCTACCAAAGTCCACTTGGTGCTTGGCAGTGCACTTTCCTGGGGAGCTGGATCTTGGAAGAGCAGGACTAATGCATAAATGCAGGTTACAAAGTCGAGCCCGAAAAACCCATTTTAGAAAACACACTCATGCTTCTGGCATCTCAGGCCAATGCCCCTTGCCTGCCTCTCTCTCTGTCCAGGTTCCTTCCCTGTGATTTCTTCACATCCTTGCAGTATCCAGGAAATTGCCTATGCAGAGAGCTGAGGCATTCTTGTGGCTCGTGGTGTGTCTGCAGAAAGGCTCTTTCAAGAAAGCCTCTCCTGTCCCTGTCTTAAATCTCTCATCTTGAGTTCCCCACCCTGAGGCTGTCCCCCTGAAGAAAGCTCTGGGACCATAGCAAGAACCACTCCCCACCACCCCCACCCCCCAACCCTATTCTTCAGGCAGAATACCCTGGCTGGCCAGTCTGGCTCCTATGAGCAGGTGCCTCAGGTAGATGAATGGAGCAGGTCTCCACCTGAGCCCTGGCGTTTCTATCTTTCTGGAGCCCAGTGGTACCCCAGGGAATTGCTTGTTGTCTAGACATGGCACATTTTCCCTCTTCAGCTGTTTCCCATTCCCTCTGGATTAAGCCCTAATTGGAAATAAATGACGTCACCATCCAGGCACGCCTGAGACCTAGAAGAGGAGGCCTCCTCCCCCAGAGGGAGGCCTTATGATCCCTGCAGCAGAAAATGAGCCTCGGGTGATGCAAACACCTAAGAAGAAGGGGAGACCCACTTCGTGCCACTCGCTCATCTTACAGAAGGGCAGGAGGAGGGCTTCCAGCGGTGGACCTGGCCTGTCAGGACCTCTCCACAGGGGACTGCCAGCCAAGGGCCTGCCTTAGCCCTGGGAGGCTGTGGCCTGCATGGACTTGCCTGGTGAGCCCCTCCTTCCCCAGCAACAGATGAGCCTTTGAACTAGCTGCTCTGGAGGCTGAGCAGGTGGCTGGAGGAGGTAGCTGTGGTGGCACCTTTCAGTGGCCCGCATGCCTGGGGAGCCCACATCAGGGCTGGCCTCATGTTCTTTCTTGGGGAGCTCCTGAAATGGAGCTGGGACACACAGGCAGGTGAGGTAGGGCTGCCAGCATACTTGTCCCCAAACTCATGACACAGGAAAACCTATGGGAATTGCACACATTCACCTCTAGACAGCAGGGAGGACAAGCTACAGCTTCTCTCTGAAGGCCCCTTTGCAGGTGTCACTAAGATCAATTTCCAGGCTACACAAAGCGATGGAGAGGCCATCCCACCCCTGCTGCTAGTGCTTGGCCCATCTGGGGTCCAGGTGGCATCACCCTCACCTGAATCTGCAGGTGTTTGAGAGGAATTTACGATCTCTCGCGTGACCTGGAGGACTGACCCCATGTAAACATTCAAGGTCCTAACCCACTTCTTCAGCCTTGTTTTTCTCTACTTCGTAATATGAATTTCTACTCTTGTCCCAGATGCAAACATCCCACCTTCTCCCCTTCCGCCCACCTGCCCTTGCCCCTCACTTCCTCCAGGCCCATGTGGCAGACTCCTCCTTTCCGCCCTCCAGGATTCCATCGAGCAGGCCCTGCTCTCCCTTCCCCTCATGCCTCTGTTGCTGCCTTCACCTCCTCATTTCAGAATGACTTGATGATGAGGTTACCCAGCTGTCTGTCTCCTACTCCTACTCCTGGAAGGCAGAGAACTGTCTTTGGGGTCTGAGCATGCAGCACATACCAGACACATCTTTATATACAATAAATATTACATTTTGCTGCATGAATGCTTTCTACTTTATAAAAACGACGTTATTATTATGAAATAATATATGGTCTGTCACCACAACCTGGCTTTGGGTCCCTGGAAGGCAAGGACTACATCTCCTAACACTGCATTTCCCACAGTGAGTGAAGCCTCCACTACAGGAAGCATCAGATCTCCTACAGCTGCTGCTGCTGATGTGAGAACAATAAGGACGTGTCTCAAAGCACCCTGATGAGCCAAGTGTCTATTGTGGGGGAGATAACCGGCACTGATGAGACTGATATAGTCAGAGTGGCCATTGGTTCAATAGTTACAAAATGGCCAGGACTGTCCTAAGTGTGGTGGGAACACTGGCTCATTGAATCCTTAGAACCACCTTGGTAGAGAAGTCTTGGTTCCCACTTTCAAAGAAGTGAAAATGGAGCCTGTGGAGTTCAATGAAAACGTCTTTCTAGTCGTGCAGCTGGTGAGACGGGGAGCAAGGGGTTGCAATCGCATCATTTAAACTCCAGGGCAGGACACCGCACTCTCCTTAGTTTGAGGGTTCCTTTGTCCCTCATGACTATCCTTAAGACATTGCAGTTATTTCTGTAGCCTGTTGAGGGGCCACCATGAGCAAGGAAGTGGGGAACTGATCCAAGGAGTCACCCAGTCTCTCAAGGTGGCTCTGTGAAAGCACCCCTTTCCTTAGAGAAATGACTGCTGTAGCCAAGAGATGCTAAATTTAATAGGCAGCAACTGGTGTTGCAAAGGAGCCAAATGCAAGTTTCCAAAATTCCACAGAACAGGTCCCAGAAGGGAAGAACGCCCTGCCTGCTGTGAGCCCTGACTCACCCCGGGGCTGAGCATGTTGAACACAGCTATGGTGTGGGGCTTACCATGTTGAACACGGCTGTGGTCTGGGGCTTACCATGTTGAACACGGCCATGCTCTGGGGCTTACCATGTTGAACACGGCCGTGCTCTGGGACTTACCATGTTGAACACGGCCATCATTAATATGATGGCTGTGGTGATGATCGTGAGAGAGATCCGTGGCCAGGGGCGGTTGGCAATGATGCCCGAGGACTTCAAAAGCCACATGAGCAGGGGAGAGGCTTTTTTGCTGCATTGCTAGGAGAAGAGAGAAAGAAAAAGAGAAGCATTGCTAGCTGATGACTTCTCTCCAGTTTCTTGATGACAATGTTTACAACCACAAGAAGCACCAACATTGTTCATAGACTAAACATGTAGATTCTATCCTCCCCTGGGGACCCATACGAAGTCACAAACCTTATTAAAATTATGTTGGCATCATTGCTACCAATTGAGAACAAATTAAATGCCTATGACAAAGGTACAATGTGCTTGTATGTCTTTTAAAACAGACCTGAAATTATGTTTTTAAGTGATTCCTTTCTCAAAGGAAAAATGTCAGTTAATTAAATCACCCTGGGGGATGTGTTGGGTCTCTGATCACAGCTATGATGAAAGTTATCATTTATTCAGCTGATTTATGTGGCAAGCGATCAACACATCTCCTAACCCTTTTAACACTGCATTAGCAGATTACAAGAATACAGCCCAGGCCACAGACTTAGTTTGGCGCCTGAACTTACAAATACGGTGTCTGAAAATCTCAGGCACGAGGCTTGATGGCTTTGTGTGGTCTCGTCTGGTCTTGTGGGGGTTTTCTCCCACACGGAGAAGCTCCTTTTTTCCCTCCAAACAATTTTTAACGGTGTTAGAAACACATAATATAAAATGTGCCCTTTAAACCATTTTCAAGTGTACAGTTCAGTAGTGACAACCACATTCACATTGTTGTGTAACATCTCTAGGATTTTCAGTCTTACCAAATTGAAACTCTATACCCATGGAAAAACAACTCCCCGTTCCTCCCTCCTCCCAGCCCCCGGCAACCACCATTCCCCTTCCTGTTTCCATGACTGTGACTATTCTAAGACCTCCTATAAGTGGAACCATCTAGTAGTTCTCCTTTTGTGACTGGCTTATTTCTTTCAGCATAATGTCACCAGAGATCACGATGTTGTAGCATTATGCCAAGATTTCCTTCTTTTTTAAAGCTTGAATAAAACTCCATTGTATGGATCTATACTTTTTTTTATCCATTCATAAAATGGACACTGAGTTGCTTCACCTCTTGGCTGTTGTGAATATGCGGCTATACATATCGGGGTTGGGGAAACTTTTTTGATACAAGAAGGAATTGAGATCTTTGGGGAACGACAGCCAGCATTTGCTCCCCATTCACCATGGGGTCTCAGTGCATAAGCTCACCCATCTTGAGGGCCACCTTTCCAAGGATTCTCACCATATTCTCCCAGGTATGAGTGTGGAGCAGTACACAGAGTTCCACTGAACTGTGGGTGACATCAACTCTGCCTATGCAGATGCTGCGTGGGCATAATTTGCATACGTTATCTGATATGAGAAGCAGGAAGTAAAAGTCCTCCAGGGATTGACATTGTTATCTTCACACTAACGGGCCTGTGGTCCCAAGGCTATGTGTCTTGGAAACAAAACAAGGTGATGATTTCAAGAAATTCAGAAGAAGGAATAACATAAATTATGCCCTTTGATCGATACTACCAAGTTAACCTATTGGCAAACAAAGCTGGTGTGACATCAGTGAAATTCAAATTCAAATAAAGAATATTCCTGAACAGCACAAATAGGCTGCGCTTTCAGTTCTCTACTTCTTTCACATCTTATTTTTGTATTGTTCCTAAAATTATTGTTGCCCTAAGCATTGCTGTATGTTCAATGTTGATACAACAGTTGAATGATCGTCTAAACACAGGAGAGAGGAGTTGAGAAGGTTAAAGAATCAGCCATGGCCTAGCTTCAAACCTCTACTGCTGGGAAACTTGCGCAAATTAATGATCCTCTCTGAAATGGGGTCCCAGTTTCTTCCTCTCTGAAACGGGGATAATAACAGTACCTGCCTCCTCTGTCTTTGCAGAGGTTTAAACGAGTTAGAGAAGGTGCGTGCAACAGGACTTACAAGTGTTAGCTCTTCCTGTTATTTCAATGAAGAAAACACAATGTTTCTTAGAAACATTTTAGTGACCAAAATCCTATTTCCTTTATATCTATGTAAACAACAACAAAATCTCCTCCTCTCTACTCCTTTCCACCATGTTTTTTTTTTTCTTCCTTCCAGCTCCTGATAGGAAAAGATGAACAATGTTTGTGTACAGCGCACATGCCCCCCTGAGGGAGACGCAGGACCAGGTTCCGGGTTCACTTCTTGGGCTGATTTTCCTGCGCCCTCGTCTCATTTCTCTGAGTACCTACCAGGGAGCTTGAGCCACTGCTGCCCTCAGCCGCACAGGCTGCCCAGAGCTGGACTGCTGACTGGCGGCAGGGGGCGCCCTCGGCCCAGCTCTGCAGGACATCTGATCACCGGCAACAGAAGAACCAGATCTGTACTTGACGCTTCTACTTAAGAGCAGGTTTGGATAGGGGTTGGTGATGGCAGGAAATCTGTCATGCAGCAAGATGTCCCTTAATGCTCTGAACATGCAGCATCTTAGAGGGTCAGGTAGCCAGAGAACATCCACCCACGAATGGTTATCATTATTGTTTAATGCATGCTACTTCTAATAATACTAATATCACAAAACACAGTCAGATCTGTGTTCCGTAGAAGAAGGTTTTTTGTTTTGTTTTGTTTTGTTTTTTCTTTTTTTTTTTCCTGAGACGGAGTCTTGCTCTCTCACCACTCAGGCTGGAGTTCAATGGCACGATCTCTGCTCACTGCAACCTCCGCCTCCTAGGTTCAAGCGATTCTCCTGTCTCAGCCTCCTGAGTAGCTGAGTTTTTTTTGTTTGTTTGTTTTGTTTTTTGCCATTACCTTTAAACCGCAACTACTTTTGCACCAACCTATAATACAATATGAAGAGCCGAGCTTCAAATGAAATATTATGCTCATCTAGCTCAGATTCCATTAGATAATGGCATTTGGTTTGATTCTCACAAATTAAGACAGTATTTATATATTCACATCCAGATTGACTACAGTTAGTACCTTTAAGAGAAAATTATTAAAATCAATGCTCTTATATTTGTGAAATTATGATAATTTCTGTACACAGAAATTATCAATAGATATGATAATGAAAATGTTAACAGTAGAACATTTAAAAAGTTTATTACTTCAGGGGAAAATGTACATCTAGCTAAGATTGCATATCACTGTCAATTAGGTAAAATATTAGCTAGTTATTACACAGACAAATTTTTGAAATTACAAAATTAAAACAAGTTACTGTGTTTGAAGATTTAGAAAAATACGTGGTGATAATCTTGTCAAATATGCTAATCTAATAGGAATATGTTATATTCTGCTCATAGGCTAGTAACTTACTAAAACAGACCCGGGCAGATATGCAGGAATTTTTTTCTGTTCGTGTGACATGCCAGGCAAAATGACGAATCGGCAGCACTTGCAGCTACTTACTAGACGCATGGGGGTTTGGCAGACATGGGTTTGGCACAACAGGTTCAGGATGCGCTTGGTTCAATTATTCACCCATGCATTTTCCATGCATACCTCAAAGTTCTCCCTCACAATTGTTTTAAAACTTATGCCAAATGTGTTGTTCCAGAGGTCAGGGAGACAGGCGGTATCTTTCCTTGTCACCAAGCAGTGACAAGGTAAGTAAACCTGTTCTGAAGTGTAAAAATTGGTAGGCATTGCTGCTGGCAAGGACAAGAAAGTAGAAGAGAACAGAGAGGTGACAGTTGCAATGACAGGGATGAAAGAGGAAGTGGAGGATCAAGCTGGTGGGGGGAGCAGAAGAAACCAATGATGGGGATAAGAGGAGAAACAGGACTAAGATTCTAAAATGGAAGGAACCTGATTAAGAAAAATGGAGACCCTTGATTCAGTGTGTAGCTCTGTAGAAAAATTACAACTTGGCTCTTGATATGATCATTGGCTTCAGTTTATCCTGTTTTTGATTAAGTATTAAAGGCTCTGGTGGAAAAATGTTTATCAAAATTCCGACCATCCTAATTAAATGTTATAAATGACAACATCTCAAAAAATATTTTGGCCTTTATTTGGAAGATACTATTCAACTGAAAATGAGAAAATGCCTGCTGTGAGCCCAGTCAGTGGAGTCATTTTCTTTGATCTTTGGTTTAACTCCTGGCATAATTTCAACCACATCTGTTTCCTCCCTTCCTTGATCATCTCACTGAACCCCATGATCGGCTCTTACTTACAGTGAGCTCACCGTGTACCTTCTAGAAATGCACTTGGATGTGAATATCACATTCATCCATTAACAAACAAGGGATTGATACTAAATGCAGTGGGAGATGTAATAAAAGAAGAAATATATAGGAAAATCCTAGCCAGGCACTGTGGCTCACGCCTGTAATCCCAGCACTTTGGGAGGCTGAGATGGGCAGATCATGAGGTCAGGAGTTTGAGACTATCCTGGCCAACATGGTGAAACCCTGTCTCTACTAAAAAGACAAAAATAAGCTGGGTGTGGTGGCGGGTGCCTGTAATCCCAGCTACTAAGGAGGCTGAAGCAGGAAAACTGCTTGAACCCGGGAGGCAGAGGTTGCAGTGAGCTGAGATTGCACTACTGTACTCCAGCCTGAGTGACAGAGCAAGACTGTGTCTCAGAAAAAAAAAAAAAAAAAAAAGGAAAATCCTATCATAGAATTGATGATGGGGACAACGAGCAGTGGGGTGTGGTAGGAAAAACGTGGGATGAATCCCAATGTTCTTAATCCAGTACATGCAGATCTTCCTCAGAAAAACAAAATGTTCATACATGCTCCACCAAAAATATCAGCCAGCTTCTCTTCCTTCCCTCTCTCTTTCCTTTTTTTTTTCTTCCCTTGTTTTGATCCACTTGCAATGGAAACAACTGGTAGTCTCTCAAATTAAGTTAAATCTAAATTTTTCACTCTAAAATTAATTCTTCATAATTTAACTTAATCATTATAAAAGTAGACTTCATTTACAGTTTCATTAGTTTCCATTTTAACAATAAGATGAGACACTTGAAGAGAAGTAGAAGCTCATATTAAGTGAACTTAATAAAATGAAAAAAAAAATCCAGAAAAGTTATAAAGATATCAGAGTGGCTGAGAAGCAAACTTTTATTATTAGAAAAACGAAATCCATCTTAAAAATCTTGCTTGGAAAATATAGTGGTTTCATGTTTCATATAAACATGTACTTTTGTGTATTTGCCTAAAGGAACATCTACTTTGGCATTTTAATTAGCTGAGGACCGTCATTCTGAATGGCAGGAATAAGCCGGAGCAATAATTACTTGTAACATTTAATGTCACAAAGACTGTGATGTGTACTTTGATTATTTAATTGTCCTTTAATTTCCCATAGGAAGACTTCTTTATGCCAATCAATCATATTTTACAAAATCAACCTGTTTCTTCTTTTCGCCCTGGGTGAGCCACATCCCTGCACTGTTGCTCCACTGGGTACCACATTGCATCATTTTTGCTGACATGCTTGTCTCTGGCCAAATGCAGAGGTGGTTGAGGACAGTGACCATATCGCACTTGTCTCTGTTTTCCCAGAGGCCAGTATAGTGTTTGTTAAATGGTAGGAACTCGTCAAATACGTGTTGATTCTGTTTACTATTTTTAATGATGGACTCAAAGGGAAATTACCAGGGCACAGAAACAAAGAGAGAGCTCAGTGATAAAGGAACTGAGGCTGTGGGGTGGGTCCAGGAGTGTCCTGGATCAGGACTCAGGCTATGGCACTTAGGGGGTGAGCTTTTAACACCCATAGGGAAAAGAAGATATTTCCTTGGGCCAGCCAAACGTGGACAGCTGCAACTAAGACTCTTGAATAAAATCCAGAGCCTCAAACTGCTATACTTTCTGTACAAAGAAGTCTAGAAGAGCCCCATTCACTAGCTCAGGGAAGTGTCAATAAGCTTCCAAGGATCAATCCAAACCCTAAAGTGTTGGGTTTGAAATCACATTACCTGATTCATAATAAGAATTCCAAATTGAAGGGTTGTTAATTAGGTCAAAACCAGAGAAAATCCTTGGGGCTATGGCAGAAGCAAGAATGACACTGCTGGTAAATGATACTTTAGACTACAGTGTGCAGGGATGTCCCATCTGGGGGCTGGGGCAGTTCCTCCTGAACATAACCTCACAATAAAAACCAAATTATAAAGTACCTAAGGCAATGGACCATATGAGGAAGAATCAAAAGACATTAGAGGTAGTCGAATTAGCACCACGAGATCTGCAGATACGACAACAACCTGAAATAGCTTCTAAATTAAGATTAAAGTAACAAAAGAGGGATTATAATCCATATGAATGAGTGAGTTGTTAAGGAAAAATAACAAGTATTTTTTAAAATGAGCCACATAAACTTTCTAGAGATGAAAATGTAGATATTGAAATTAAAAACTAAATGGTTATTGAGGAACTGGATGAACTGCCCGTGAATGGGAGAGGCTATGAAACATCTCAGGAAATAAACCACAAAATAGCACAGAAAGATAAAGAAGTGGAAAATAGGAAAAAGAGACTGAGACACAGAGGATATGATGAAGAGATTCAACATACCTCTGATAAAAGTTTGAAAAAAGCAGAACAGAAAGACCAGGGAAGAGACAAAACACAAGGAGATATTGGACAATGACGTTGCAGACCTAGAGCGGATTATGAGGTCTGTGGTAGAGAATACACAGCTGAGTCTCAAAAATAAAAGTCAGGCTGCACTTTGACACCTGGAATCTACTGCCCATGATACAAAGAGCAAATCCTACAAAAACTCCCACCGAGACAAGGGACCAAGTGTCTACAACAGTTAGATGGACAGGAGAGTTAATCTCATTCCCACAGAGGCCAGGAAATTATGGAATCCTGTTTTTAGAATGTTAGAAAAAATTATAAATAATCACAATGGGGAAAAGATAAAGACTTTTTAAAATACAAAATCTGAGTGGGTATATTATATACAAACCCTCATGGGAAGGATTATAAAAGGAAGCATTTTAGTAATATGGAAACTGAGTCCAGAAAGGTGGAATGGTATTTGGAAAAAATAGTAAACAAATACATTGTTTAACAAAAACAGGAATAAACATTGAATAATTTGAGCAGTTTAAGTTTAGAAAAATTTAAACCATGCTAGTATGGAAGATGAGAAAAATTACCAGACTCAGAGCATGGTCCCTGTATTGTTCAACAAGAAAGTGGAGATATTATTAATAATATACTTTGTTAATCATGTGTACATGTTACGGTTTTAAGGTAATAACTGAAAAAACAAACTAGAGTATATAAGTTCCAAGTCACTAGAGAGAATAAAAGAGAATAAACTCCAGGAGTCCAAAAGAAGGCAGAAAAGAAGGAAAAACAAGTAGAAGCAAAAAGATACAAATTGGGTTTTAAAAGATTTTAGTAATAATTATAATACAGGTAAATGGATCACACTTGTCAAATAAGAGAGAGAGATGTTTGGATCAGAGAAAAGGACATAGAGCTACATGCTGTTCACCAGAGACACACCTAAAACCTATATCCTTTTCATTGACAAGGAAAAGCTGAAAGTAGAAAGATGGAACAAGGAACACCAGGCAAATACTAACCAAAAATAAAATATGGTGGAGGGATATTGACAGGAAAGAAAACAGACTTCAAGGGAAAAACACTGCTGTGGGGTAGAAAGCTTTTCTATTAGCTGTGTGACCTACTTTCCCTTTCCCGAGGCGACCTCTCTATTTGCGCTTTTATCTCTGCCTGGAAGAACGTTGGTGGGCTGGCATCGTATTATCTCTGCTATTGAAAGCACAAGGTAACAACACTGAGAGAAAAATTTCTTCTGATATTTTCTGGCATTTTCATTTGCCGTATCCAGCATATGCGTTCTAAAGGTGTTTTGGGGGTTGGTTTGTTTGGTGGAATTTTTGGTTAGAGTCACTCTCTTGTATTTATCATAGAAAGGTAAGTCTGCCTCAGGTAGTTTAGAAAGTTAAATCTGACTGTGAATGTGCACTTATTACTATTACTGCTACAATGACAACTAGTACTATTTTTAATTGCTAATTGTAATGAAAATGTGAACTTGAATCTCTTATTCTAGTCTTAGCTTCTGCCTAGATAAAATGGATTATTTTCATTATCAAATAAAATAATGTCTGAAAATACTTTGAAGGACTATTATATGTATAAAACATTTTGTAAAGTATTATTATAATACTGAGTACTTTCTTACTAGATTACTTTAATCTAAACACAATTATAAATTAACTTAAAAAAATTATCAAATGTCTTTTAAGATGAATTTACACTTTGCCCAGAACCTAGTTTTAAATAAATGGGACCAACAGCTGAAAAACATACTTTAGGAAACTAGAGTAGAGAAGAATAAGAATAGGTACTATGTGAAGTTACCATGACTTACCAATGTGATTTTGATCAATGGGTGCTGAGTAGTCACAAGGCAACTTTGGTGCCATGCTGGTCCATGTCCATGAACATGGGCATCCCTGCCTAGTGCTGGGCACCGTCTGCCTGTGACTCACCCCACACACAGCCTGGCACCCTCTGCAACCTGCTTCTACTATAAGGTTCCAAGGCTTGATTCCAATTCTGGTTCCAACACCTACTTGCTATATACCACTGGGAAGGCAAGTTATGTAGCATCTGTGAGCCCCGGTTCTATTAAACTGTCAAATGGATATTACCTCCAAGGGCCCTTGTGACCATAAATGAGCCAGTAGAAGCTAAGTGCCTAGCAGAGTAAGTAGGTATTTTTAATATAACATTTACTACTTATAAACTATGATGAGGCTGGAATCAGAACCACTCATTGGGATCTTGCCCATCATAAATAGTTTGGATTTATTCCAAAGGTTCTTACCCAAGGATAGGAAGCCTTTGCAGACCTCATAGTCATTGCATTCCTGATTCTACTCCAAAGCCTCCATTTGCATCCTCAAGAAGCCTGATTACAGCTTCTTCAGCATTTTGTGTGTGTGTGTGTGTGTGTGTGTGTGTGTGTGTGTGTGTGTGTTGGAGGGTGGGGGGAAATGTTTATTTTAAATAATTGGAAATAAAAACTCACTTAAGTGGATGGCACCTTTGGAGTCCTTGGTCCCTCATCCACAGAATTAGAGGCTGGATGAGGTTATCTCTAGGTTCCCTCTCACCTCTTGAGTTTTAAATTCTGAAATGCTAAATAGCATCCGATGTAGAAAGCATTTCAGAGTCAAGGAATCATGGTGAATGTGAGCAAGAAATTTCAATGCAGTGTGACGAAGGCCACCGACTTACCATCCCTTCTCTCACCCACACATTCCTTTACACATAGAACCCGCCCTCCTGCTAAGCCATCTGGAGAAGGTCCCCTAGGGCACATATTTCTCTGCCTGAGAATAGCTGGCAATGGTGAGATGAAGGGGCTGCTATATGGGCCTAGGAAGGCACCTGAGGCAGAGGTGTCTAAGGAGATCCAACAAGTGAGAACATCAGGATGCCAGGCCCAGATGCAGAGGCTGGGAACCCGCCAGAATGCGGAGCAGGATGCCATGACTGTGAGCTGGATTCAGAGCTTCAAGTTCGGAAGGAGTCCAGTTGGGGTGAGAATGGGGGTGGAATGTTTTCTGAGCAGTGGTACCAGGAAACCGCACTTGGGTGCAACCCAACATTCCTTCAAGCAGATTGATATTAAATATTTATCTTGTGTTTTTCAAGTGCCTGAAGTAGTACAATGAACAAAATAGGGCTACAGTGAACTCACTGAAGATCTTTCCATCCACAAGAATAAAAGTAATAACGCAAAATGGGAATCCCGGCCAGCCAGCATGAGAGGAGTTGGTGGTGCAAAGGCGGGCTCTTCAGAGTTGGATTATGAAAGTTAGATGATAATTTCCAACAGAGGAGACAGCTGGAGGCACGTCAGAGTCAAGGAATCATGGCATATGTGAACAAGGCATTTTGACGCAGCGTGATGAAGGCCACTGACTCACATTCCTTCTCTCATCCACGTGATCATTGACACATAGAGTCTGTCCCCATGCTGGGACATTTGGAGAAGGTTCTGCAGGGGACACCTAACTCGGCTTGAGAAAGGTTGGCCTCCATGAGATGAGGGAGTGCTAACCAGAGCCGGATGAGAGGAGAAAGTAAGAAAGGACCCCATAAAAATGCTACAGTACAAGGAACTCTATATATTCAAGGGGAAACAGAAACAATTTAGAGGTCTCAGTGAGATCTTATATGATGGAGGCTAAGCTACGTGACACAGATTGTCAGTCCCACGGTGTAAAAAGAAGGGCTTGGTGCAGTTTCAAGGTATCTTGGAAGGTGCCCGGTGGCTGGGCCCACCCACGTGCACAAGAACTGAGACCTGGGCAATGTGGGGGTAGCAGGGAGCCAGCATGGGGCATGCCTCGGGTGGGAGTGAAGGGGCCGATGGAGGCGAGGGCTGGGCTTCTCACAGAAATAATGATCACAGAAAAGAAATGCCTGCCATGTGTTTGAGAACATGTCACTGAACAAATACCTGTACGATTTTTCTATCAACAGGAAAAAATCTGCAATTCATCATCACCATTTTTTTTGCCTATTTTGATATTTTTCTACCTTTTTATCAAGGCCAGTTGTAAAACAAGCAATCAATTTGATTTATTGGCATTACGCTTTCTGTGCAACAGAGAATGACAGAGGCAAAGCTCTTGGAAGAAAACATTAGCCAGGCTGACCTCTCTTCAGCTTCCTTTATGAAGTATTACATTTTATGTTATTTCTTCATACGGAGAACTGAAAGCTGGTATTAGAGCACAAATACTGTCTTTGGCATCGAAGTTTTCAGAAAGTTACCATACGTTAATAGAAGGCAAGTTTCGGGTATTGAGTACTCTTTAATAAACTCAGTATTTAATTCATAATAAATGCAAATCATTATAAAACCTTACACAACTGGGAAGCTATTAAGAAGCCAGGGAATGAGCACTTAGGAAGTGACAATGTTTCTCCACGACCACTGCGGAATATTTGTGATGAGCAGTTTTTGACTGAATTTGGATGGCAGAGTGCAGAGTGCACTTAAGCCTTCTTAAATTGGCTGTACACCAATATATTTGATGTTGCAAATTAAAAAATCCTTAAAGAATGATTTAAACAGTAAAAAAGGACCTATTATTAAAGTGAAAAGAATTCCTTCTTGATTTTTTTCATGGATTACATCCAAGGAGGAGGAATTGCAGCTGGCCACTAGAGGGAGCCTCATTCACGGATCTTATGGAATCAAGTTTAGGAGGACCAAGTGTCGCCACGTCTAGGCTTCCTGGGCACTTTGACACCATCCAGGCTTCTTGTGAGGAGGAGGTAAGCACCAATGCATTTGTAGCATTGAAATCTTCCCTTTGTGATACCACGGAGTCAAAAAGAACTTTCTAGCATGTGGCCTGTGGAGGCCAGGGTCCTGGGAAGCTCCAGGGACGGGAGGGCAGGAGGAGCTGTGGGTGTCACCTTGACAGCTTACCGGGGCCTCAGGCTGGCCACAGGAGGAGCTATGAGAGGGGCAGCAGGGCGTGGGATTCCAGCGAGGCTGAAAGGGAGGCACCAGAGAGGAACAATGCTTTCCCACAGACGCAGCAGAGTTGTTCCTGAGATATTTTTTTCTGCCCCCAGCTCTATGTTTCTTTAATATAACAACTTAGAGAGTAGAATGAAAAAAAGTCAGCCTGATACCCTAAATATACCACATGCCCCCATATCCAAGACCAGATTCCCTGGGATAGAAAATGATAAATATGGCTAGTTAGTCACAATGATCTGAACTGACTTAATTAGAACTAGGTTGGGATTTCCAATGGAACCACCAATGATGGTTCCTGTTTTGGAAACCTGAGACATGGGCTTCAGGAGATTTGTGGGGGCAAGGAAGAGAGCAGGGGAGCCTGTGTGCCTTTCCACCTGAGGGATGATTCCGGGAACATAGAAAACCAGGCTTCTTTCTACAATAAGCGTTTTCAAACTTTGCCAAAGAGTTCCATCAGGGCCTTTCGGAGTGGATTCATATTAACCAAGGGTCTTCCCTCCTCTATACAACCCACAATGTCTTCAGGGGGTTTCAGAGAATCGAGATGCTATGTGTGCATTTGGGTAAAGCAGAAGCCACAGTCCCATTTTTGGAAGAGCTTTCAATACAATTTGAAACATCTAAACTATCAAACAGTAAACAAAATCCACACAAGTTTGCAAAGGTATAAGGCACAGAGGACAAAGTGCTTACAGTCGACTGCGGAAAGGCAGAGACAAGCTTTGGAATCTTAACCACCCTTGGCCAAAGCCTTTCAGCACATCAGACTGGAATGCAATGGACAGCGTGGGGGTCAGGACTGCCACTTTTCAGAGCTTTTGAAGGGAGGACGAGGATTCTAAGAGGCCACTATCGCGCTGTCCTGATGTTGTTGCTAGCAGTAGTAGTGTGTTTTATGAAAAGCAAAACAACATTGCAATAAAGCCACAGATGCAAACTATAAACGCATGCAGAATGAGAAAAAATTCTTTCATAGAAGCCACAATACTCCTGAGAGGTAACAGACAGGCCACAAACCTCAGGAGGCTTCCTTGGCGGTGTCATCTAAATGCGTTGTTACAGTCTAACCAGCAGAAGAAATCATAATTTTGACAATGTGAAAATATCTAGACTGTAGTCTGTAACTGCAGAACTCATATAAAATGCATCCATTGAAAAATATTTTAAAGAACATTTCTATTTATTTTTTATAATAGGTTATTAATTATCATGTAAAAATTTTTATTAAAAAAATCTCTGAAGCTTCTCTTGAGAATGCCCATGGGGGCAAGGAAGAGAGCTGCTGAGAAGCTCAGAGTGGCCTCTCTGTCCCAGGTCATCTCCATTGAACAAAACGAAACAGTGGCTTATCTTCAGGGCCTTCTATCCCATTGTTTGCATCCTTACGATGCTCTCATAGACTCATGGCCAGCTAGCAACACTTGCTTTAGACTTTCAATTTTAGGTTTAATCTGTATATCCAGAACTAGCATTTAAACCTGATTGGCTTAAATTAAACACTAATAAAAGATATTTTAACGTATGCTTTCTTCAACTACTCCAACATTTTATAGCTTGAAAGTGGATGTAGCAATGTATTAGGTTTACTTTTTTTTTTAAATTTTACTTTAAGTTCTGGGATACAGGTGCTGAATGTGCAGGTTTGTTACATAGGCATACATGTGCCATGGTGGTTTGCTGCACCTATGAACCCATCATCTAGGTTTTATGCCCCGCATGCATTAGGTATTTGTCCTAATGCTATCCCTCCCCTTTTCCCCCACCCTCCAACAGGCCCCAGTGTGTGATGTTCCCCTCCCTGTGTCCATGTGTCCTCATTGTTCAACTCCCACTTATGAGTGAGGACAGGCAGTGTTTGGTTTTCTGCTCCTGTGTTAGTTTTAATCCTCCTGTACACTGAAAGCCTCATATTATACTTGCATTTGCTGCTATAAATACTCTGAAAACTTAAAGGAAATGATAAAAATATATTGACACCAAATAAGCAAGAATGCAACTTCTGATGTGACATCGAACGTTTTGAATCATCTTCATATTCGTGTCTTGGTTGTGCATGAGGGGTCCCAGTCTATATTCCTGGTTATAGACCTGAAGGGTGTGTGTTTCCTTAACTGGGATCTGGAGTTCTTGAAGTGGTAAAGCAATAAGCTCCTTGTTTTGGAAAGTTTTAGGCAAGAAATCAGCTTTCATGAAATGAGCATACTTTTCAAAGAAGCGCCACATTTGAATACCTACCAGAAGCTGTCCAGCAAAGCAGACGAAGAGGATGAAGGCCAGCAAGAGAAACGCAGCCCCAAAGGAGATGCCCAGGACGGACGTTCTACCGGGAAACAAAAAGCAGCAAGTCAGGGTGGAGATCGTTTCTCTCATTCTGGAAAGCTACCAGTAATACTTTTGGGTTAACGAGGACTTTATTAAATGCAGACTGCAATCCTCACTAAATTTTTGAGAAATAAAAATGGAGCTAAAATGCCACATACATGTCCATAGAAAAGGGTCCACACAGCGATGGCCAATTAACTTATTCTGACTCAATAAAACTGCCTCAGAAGCATCAGTTCTTTATGAAGGATAAAGAATCTTTTTAAATGACTCGCCCATGTTCCTGGCAGTTTCATGTGGCACTTGGCCACATCCCCCATCTCGGTGGCCTCTTCACTGCCAGTGAGATCCTGGCAGCTGCCGCCTTAAGGACAGCCTCACCTTGATAGCCTGGAAGTCCTCAAGTTCCACCCTTGTTCCTGTTGACCCAGGAGACATTGAGTCCTCACCCTCCCCAATCTCATGAAACCAGATTCAACCTATTTTGTTCAACATAGATGCAGCAAAATGTGTAGCGAGGCTTTTTACATGCTTGAGTGAGCCAATGAACTCAAAAGCATCCCATGATCATGTGAAAAACATGCCTACTGAGTTGCAAATCCTGCTACTGACAGATTACAGGCTTACTTATAAGAATTGTATACATATCCGAAAGGTCCCTTAAATAATTAAATAATTCAAAGCCTTTTAAAACTTAGTTTAATCCAAGGATAGAAGTTTCAGAGGTATAAAAAGGACTGAAGCACAGTGAATCATCAAAGATGAAATGCAAATGGAACATCCAAGGAGAGGTTGGATGGTGTCTGAGACCAAAATGGAACCTCATGCCAATGAGGTTGGCTAGAGACAGTGAAGAAACAGAGGATTTGGCTAAGAAGAGGAGTAACATCCAGAAACAACGTATGGGATGGAAGAACCAGATATAAGCCAGCCACAAGCTGACATCCTCCTGCAGGTGCACTCCTGTGAGTCCCACAGAAAGAGAAACAAATTGAGCAGTTAGTGCCCTGAGTAAAGCTCCTGATGCTGTCATGATGAGAAGCCACCCTCAACTCTTTATCTCAGATACCTACTCCATTAAGAGGGATGACTACAGGGACACACATCAAACAACATCTACAAAAACTTGAGTTCAAACCAACAATTGGACCTGACCCAATCAATGACTTTCGGGCACTGAGTCATGTCCTAGACATGACTCACAATGCTTTCAAACACCTGGCCTGATAATAATACTTGTTCAGATTTTACAAGTGATGATAAGACTCTGCGGGAGGGTGTGTATATACCAAGTACACCTAGATTGTTGACTAGTCTCATGGGCCGGGCTCATGCTAGGCTGTTCTGACACAAAGATGAGTAAGATGTGATCCTGCAGCAGCGGGAGGAGTGCCAGCCCACATCTCAGAGCTATGGAGGGCGCTTGCCATTATCCTCATGACTAAAGGGGACCACAGTGATTCATCTGCTGAGCTTTGATTTGCTATCTTCTCTTCTGTTTTACGAAGGAGCTCTGACAGGTTTTTTTTTTTTTTTTGGGCACTATGCTCTCCTAGCTTTTTCTCGGTGTTAAGGTAATGCCAGATTCATAAGGCTGAGTTTAGAAACAACATTTCGTCTTTTTTTTTTAGGCCCCAAACTGTTTAAATACTGAATGAACGATATCTTCTTGGAGGTTTGATAAAACTCAAGTATAAAATTATCTGATGATGATGATGATAATAATGACGGTGATGGTAATGATGGTGATGATAACAGGTGATACAGTGATGGTGACAGGGATAGTGATGGTGATATTGATAGGGATGGTGATGGTGATGACGATGATGAGGATGGTGATGATGGTGATGGTAATGATGATTATGGGTGATGGTGATAGGGATGATGATGGTATGGTGACAGTGATAGGGATGGTGATGGTGATGGTGATGGTGATGATGATAGTGATGGTGATAGAGATGGTTATGGTGATGATGGTGACGGTGATGGTGATGATGATGATGATGATAATGAGGATGGTGATGGTGATGATGATGGTGATAATGATGGTGATGGTGATGATGGTGATGGTGATGGTGATAGGGATGGTGATGGTGATGGTGATAGGGATGGTGATGGGGATAATGGTGGTGGTGATGGTAGTGGTGTGGTGATGGTGGTGGTGGTGATGCTACATCCTAAAATCTATAGAGTATTCACTATGTGTCAAGTGCTATGTATATATGTACATATATAGTTCACTTTATCCTCACAATAATCCTATATAGTAGTTAGTATTATTACCTCATTTTGCCAGAGAAACTGATACACAGGGAAGTTGAGGAACTTGCCCAAGTTATACTTCTATAACTTCCCTAAAGTTATACCTCTATTAAGTGATGTTGTCTGGATTTATGTCTACCCAGTTGTATTCCTGATCCAGGTTCTGTTTTAGAAATAGACATGTCACATTTCTGCCATGTTTATTGGTTCTGTTTCTTGAGTCAATTTTGATGATTTTCCTAGAAAATTATCTATTTCATTTAGATTTTCAAATGTAAAATATTCTATATAATATTTTCTTATAATTTAAAAACTCTCCATATTTGTAATTTCTTATGCTTAATGCTATTTTCTTTAGATCAGATTTGTGAGGTTTTGCATGTTTTGTTGACCTTCTCAAGGAATAAGTGTTTGGTTTATTATTAAGGTCTGTTCTTTCTTTCTATATTAATTAGTTTCCGATTCAACTTTAAAAAATTTATTTCTTCTTCCTTAATTAAACTTATATACTTTATCTTGGATTGTCATTTGTTAGAAAATATTTTGTATTTTCTAATAAGTGCATTTAAGGACATAAATATTCTACTAGTTACTGCTTTTGCCAAATCCCACAGCCTTTAATTCATAGCTACTCATTATAACTCTTTTCTAAAAAGCCTATACTTTCAATTTCCATTTTCTTTTAATACTAAAAGTAACTCAGAAGTCTGAATTTTAAATTCCACAAGAATATTATTTTTGGTTGGTTCTTGTTATTTCTAATTTCATTTGATTTTATCAGAGATTGTGGCCTCTATTATTTCACTTTGACAATTTATTTTTCTTCTGGGATGTGATAAATATGCTCAACTTCTATGTCTTATGAATTTTTGAAAATTCTATGTGTTTTTTATGCTGGTAACAAAGTGTTTCTCTAAATATAACTATTGAAGGAACCTTATGAGTTAGTCAAATCCCTAATGGGCTGGCTTGCTTGATCTGTCAATGTTAGAATATATTAACATTTCCAACTAGGAGTGTAGGTTTGTCCATGTATTTGAACATTTTAACACTTTCTGCTTTATTTATTTCAAAGAGACTCTGAAGTGCATAAATATTTATGACTTAAAATTTTGTTGCCTGAATCATAATAAAAATCTTTTTTTTAAATGCTGAATACTTTTCATTTGAATTCTTTATTGTCAGGAATTTATATTATTGATATTTCCTTTATTCTATAAGCTGTTTCCTGGAATAGCTGTTCTATATCCTTTATTTCCAACCTTTCTCATTTTATTTCGGCTAGATCTCCTACACGTGGTGTAGATTTGGCCTTTGGTTTGTAGCCCCAATCTTTTAGCCTCTTTCCATGAATAAGACATTTTTATCCATTCACAAATATAAAATTTGTTAATATTTGACCAATTCTTTCTATCTTATTTTCTTAAAATGTTGGGTAGAATTCACACACAAATAATCTGGGTATGAAGTTTCCTTTGTGGGAAAAATTTTTAAAACAAATTCAATAAATAGATACATGCACAGTTAAATTTTCTATTTGTTTCAGCTTTTGGTAAATAGTCTTTTCAAGAAACTCATTTTATCTAAATTGTAAATCTGTTTGGCCTCAAGTAATTTATGGCATTTCATATATATCCTGTTAATATCTACAGAGTCTGTAGTGAGTCCTCTTTTTTCCCTTAAATTGTTAGTTTGGGTGCTTTGTGATTTTTCTCCCTGTTTTTCTTTCTTCATCAGTCTTGCTAGTGGTTTAGGAATTTTCAGTCTTTTTCAAAGAGCCATATTTTGGCTTTATTAATTTTCACTACTGATGGTTTTCTATTTTATTGATTTCTTCTTTTTAGTATTTATGCCTTTCTAATTGCTTGATTCTAAATTGCTCATCTTTTTCTGCTTCCTAAGATCGAAATTTGGACAATTGATTTTTAACTCTTTCCTCTTTTCTAATTTTAAAGCATTTTAAAGCTACAAATTCCCCCCTAAATTGCTGCTTTAATTGCAATCCCACACATTTTGATACATTACGTTTTGATATTTAAACATTTTTACATTTCGCTTGTATTTCATATTTGACTCCTGGGTTAGAAGCATATAGTTTAACACTAAAATATTTGGGGATATTTTAAAATATTCTATTGTTAATGATTTCTAATTTGATTTTAGTGTGGTTAGACGTCAGACTATATGATTTTTTTGTCCTCATATTTGTTTCTGTATTTTCAAATTTATGGAGATGCTTTTATGGCCTAGTATAAGTAATATCTTTGTAGGTTAATGTTCCATGTGCACTTTAAGTAAACAAGTATTTTTCAATTCAGTTTAGTGTTTTATGAAACATTAATTAGTTTTAGGAAGTTGATATTGTTGCTCAGACCTCCTATATATTCCTATTGGTATAATAATAATAACTAGAAAAGAGATACTAAATATCTAATTCTGACGTAGATTTGTCTCTTTTTTTCTTTGATTTTGTCAGATATGCATAAGATGCTTTTATGGTCTACTGTAGGTTAAGTGCTTTCATATCTGTCTTTTATAGATCCGTTATTAGGTATAAGCACATTTTATGATTTTACGCCTCCTGGTGAAATGACCTTTTTATCATTACTCACTATCTATATTTATCTCTGTTAATATTTCTTGCCTTCATAACTACTTTGTCTGATATTAATATATGTATAGTAGCCTCCTTGTGCTTATTGTTTACATCAGATACGTTTTCCATCCTTTCACTTTCAAGCTACCTAACTTGTATTTAAAGTGCATCTCTTGTAGAGAGTATATGGCTTGGTCATACTTTCCTTTGGAGTATTTAGTCCTTTCCCATTTATAATGTTTGAATTTAATCTTACCCTCTGGCTATCTATTGTTTATTTGCCCCATTGCTTTTATTTGTATAGTGTGGTCTGTCACATTTGTTGCTACTACTTCAAACGTACCATTTTACTATCTGTTTTATATTTGTCTCATTTATTTTTGTTTTTCTGTTCTTCCATTATTATTTTATTAATTAAATATTTAAAAGTATTTTTCATTTCCTCTTGGCTTTTTAGCTATCCTTATTTTATTTTTAGTGATTGCTCAAGGCTTAATACACGCTGTCCTAACTTATCATTAGTTATTTGGCATTAATATTGTGCCACTTCAAAAAATACATGACACAACAATTTAATCCCATTCTCATAAGAATTCTCAGTATATGTCACATGTCATTGTTTTTGCATCAGATCACCTGTTGTCTTTTAGAGACATGAAAAATAAATACATTGTCTTTTATACTCTCTCATAAAGTAAGCATGTCCAATACTTTCCATTCCTTCCTTAGATTCCTTTTTCCTTCTGACATAATTTCACTTTAGCTTGAGGAACTTCCATTAGCATATCTTGTAGGTTTGCTGGTGATGAATTCCCTCTTTTTTTACTTGCAGAATGTATTTCATCTCGACTTTGAAAAGGAATATTTGAGTTGAATGTTTAATTCAGGGTTCATCATGTTCCTATCAGTGGTTTAAAGATGTTCAAGTGTCTTTTGCTTTCCATCATTTCTGATAAGAAGGCAGCCATTTATTCTGTCATTGATCCCTTGTATGTAATGTCTTTTTTTGTGGGTGCATTTAATGTTTTTCTTTTTTCTGGTTTCCAGAAGTGTGACTATAATATGCCACATGTGGTTTCCTTCATATTTATCCTGCTTGATGTTCATAGAGATTCTTGCCTTTGGAGAGTGATGGATTTTAACAAATTTAGGAAAATTTGTCACTAAGTGTGTTGGTAATTTCTTGTTTGCTTTCAAGTATATTTCTATCCATCTCTTAGAGACTTCATTTCACAGACTCTTTGTCAAATGTCTCTAGCTAGTTTGGCCGATGAGAACTGGTGGGAGACTGGAAGGCAATGGAAAGAAAGAGATTGGGTATTTCTTTTACTCTCTACTTAGCAGCCATTTTCTGAATGGCCTGCAACTCCTGCCTTTTCTAAAATTCCAGATCCTTGTCAGACAACACCTTACCTTCGTCTAGCTCTAGCTTTGCATGGTTCTAGCATCTGCAAGAAAGCCCAGGAGCCTGGGTTTCTGCTAACAACACCTCTATCCTGTTTCCTTACAAGTCTAGAGGTGGTAGGAGGTTTCTTCTGTTGCTAATATCATGGCTAGTATACTATCCCCTATTTGGTTTATCAGCTTTTCTCTCATTCTGTAAATACTTCTTTATATTAAATTCCCTTTCGGAAATACCTAAGACAATTTGTTTTCTTTATTGGAGCCTAATCCATTAACTAGATAAAGCTTTCTCTGGGCACTATAATATCATTAATAGTTAGGTAGAAACCTAGGGAAGAACTGTAACAGTGACTTCCCTAAATTCCTTCCTTTTTCTTTTGAAAATAGCAAAAAAAAAGTTTTTACTTGAAGTATTTATCATTAGAAGTATTGAGCAAATATGTATATATTCCTTGGGTTATGCCATACTCTAATTTTTTTTATAAATGGAACAAGGGATTATGGAATTATATTGGCCTTCAATTAAACACATATCAACTGATTTAGAGACAATTATGTGTTAATCTACTAACAAATCATAAGGTTTATTTTGTGAATCAGAGTTTAAATAATGGATTCTTGTACTACAATGAATTATATAGGCCTTTGTTTCCTAAAATGCATTTCAATGTTTCTTTTTTTTTGAATAATTATTCCACCATGAAGAGAGTTGACAGAGACATTCTGAAGTCAGGTCAAATAGACCTAAAAAACAATAAGGGTATTAAAATGTGACTCTTCCTATTTTATAATAATATGCTGGACACAGTGAAGAGCATCCCAGAAGAGTTGTTAACATTTTTTTGTGAATGTATCTGATGACCACTGCTTACTCCTTCCTCAAATGTCAAAATCTATTAAGAGCTGATAAAGGAATAGAGTGTTACTAATAGAGCTGACTATCTGTTTTTGATTTGCTGTAACATATGACATGCCCATTTAAGCAGGGATGATCATTCTTAAGAGTATGTTGTGACACACAAAACTGACTAAAGAAGAAATGAAAAATATAAATAGGCTTACCTATAAAAAGTAAAGAGATTAACTTAGTAATTAAAAAAATCTACTTACAAAGAAAAATTCATGTGCAGATGGCTTCACTGATAAATTTTCCCAAACTTTCATTTCATTTTTAATTTTTTTTTGAGACAGAGTCTTGCTCTGTCACCCAAGCAAGAGTGCAGTGGTGCAATCACAGCTAACTGCAGCCTCTACTTCCCGGGCTACAGCCATCCTCCTGCCTCAGCCTACCAAGTAGCTGGGACCAATAGGCCTGTGCTGCCATGTATGGCCAATTTTTGTATTTTTGGTAGAGAGGGGGTTTTGCCCCTTTGCCCAGGGGTTTTGCCATGTTGTCCAGGCTGATCTCAAACTCTTGAGCTCAAGCAATCCACCTGCCTCTGCCTCTCAAAGTGCTGGGATTACAGGTGTGAGCTAGCATGCCTGGCCCAAAACTTTGAAAGAAGAATTAATATCCATTTTTTACAAACTATTCCATAAAATGGAAGGGAAGGGAACAGTTCTTAACTCGTTCTGAAGCCAGTATCACCCTGACACCAATACCAAAGACATCACAAAAAAAAGTAGAAATCAGTATCTCTTATGAATGTGGATACAAAAATCCTTAACAAAATATTAGTCAATTGAATCCAGCCACAAGTAAAAAGGTTTGTATATCAATACCAAGTGGGGTTTACCCAAGAAATGTAAGGTTGCTTTAATATCTGAATATCAGTCAACCTATTAATAGGTCACATTAATAGAATAGAAGAAAAAACACATTATCATCTCAATAGCTGCAGAAAATGGATTTGAGAAAATCCAAACTATTTCACAATGAAAAAACTCAACAAACTATTAATAAAATGGAATTTCCTTATCTTGATAAAAGGTCACCATGAGAAACTCACAGCTAACATCATACTTAATGGTAAAAGGCTGAATGCTTTTCTCTTCAGATTGAATAAGAAAGGATGTGTGCTGTGGCTACTTCTATTTAACTTTGTACTGGAGGCTTTAACCAGGGAAATTGGGCAGGAAAATAATATAAAAGGCATCAGATTGTAAAAGAAGAAGTAAAACTATCTTAATTTGTAGGTGATATGGTCTTGCATATAGAAAAGTATGTGACAACCTGAGATTCAGACTTGGGGTGGCTCAAACTCTCACCAATATGCTCAACTTCAGGCTCTTCAGTATTCTAGTCTGTGGCATACTGGCATTTATGTTCAGATGGACCTCTCTTCCATCTGAGTTCTTATGGGCTTAATGCTTCTGTCTCCCAAAATCTATCTGTTGAATTCCTAACCTCCAATGTGATGGTATTAGGGAAATGGGGCCTTTCGGAGGTGACTGGGTCATGAAGGTGGAGACCTCATGAATGGCATTAGTGCCCTTATGAGAATTGGCTGCAGAACTATTTCTTTCTGCCATGTGAGGATACAAGGAGAAGACAGTAGTCTGCAACCTGAAAGGGAGCCCTCACCCAATCCCACCCATGCTGGCACCCTGATGTCAGACTTTGGCTTCTGGAACCATGGCTTCTAAATTTCTATTGCTCCTAAGCTACACAGTCTATGGTCCTTTGTTAGAGAAGTCCAAATGGACTAAGACACCAGGGAACAACAAATACTGTGAGACAAAGTAATGGTTGGTCAAACGCTCTTAATTTTAACCATTTATCCTGCCTGTTCTGTCAAAAGCATGTTCAGGTCCATTAAGTATACCAAGATGTTGGTGTAACTTAATCAATTTTAATTAACAGCCCAGTTGCAAAACTGCTTCTTTTTAACCCTGAAGCATAACTTATTATGTACTTACTGAAAAACAACCTCGAGTCTTCCCTGTCATGAGGCAAGAAAAATTACTTTTAGTGTTCATTTTTGACTTTGGTGCTTTATTCAAGTGCATTGTTATGGAATATGGAAGAGGATGATTCTGGACAAGGTCCTCCTTCCTTTCTGCTTTTTTTCCCAGTCAATGAATTGCTTAAAGGTGGCCCTGACAGGGGTGAGAAACACATTTATTGATGAGATAAGTCCAGTGGAGACACACATTCCCCTCAAAAAGCCTACGAAATGTATTAATTACAAGCTATCTCTCTGGGTAAATAATGATGTCTTTGGCATTCTATTGAATGTCATGACTTTCACGGACTCTTTCCTGGTTGACTTCATTTCCCTTACTTCCTCCCTAAAGCAAGCCTCTCATCAGCTCTCCACTCACATCTGTTGCGTGGGATTCAGTCAGAATGATAAGAACCAAAGGAAGCAAACTTTTCTTTCAATTATAAGTTAGCATGAAATAAAAATTCCTCTTTTTTAAATGATAGAACTTCAAAATGAAAGGGAATTCAGTGAAAAAGAAAAGAAGAAAGAAAGAATCAAAAGTTGAAAGGAGGAAATGGAATTTAAATATTCATCACCATTACAGTAGCCTTTCTCTGATGAGAGGACTTAGCTTTGAGATGTTATGGACACTTGAAGGTTCTGAGATGTGGGAAAGAAAAAAGAGATGATCTTTGGCCAAGTAAGAAGAGTTCTACCTTTACAGCAATGATAAGGGCTGAAGATCTGAATTTTCAGACACACTGTATTCCCCAGAAAGTACAGAGTCTTCTCTTCCTATACCCTCTACTTGGGGGAGCTTATCCCATCTCTTGGATTTAAATACTACATAGGTGTGGGTTTTTCAGACTGTATCTCCACCCAGCTCTGTAGAATCCATAGGAGCTCTAGGGGGTTCAACAGAAGTTCTATAAATTCTACAGGTCACAAACTCCCTTTTGTGTGAAACTCCAGCACCTGATGTGTAACACGCACATGTATCTAATGTCCAGAACTGAGCCCTTGAGTTTGCTGTCCCTCCCCAACCTGTGCCTGCCCCAGGATTCTCTCTGTGTAAATGGCAGCATTTTTTCCAGTTGTTCAGGACAAAATAAAACAAAATTAAAAACCCTGCAAAACTTACTTTCTCAACTCCTTATATCTAATCCCGCAGCGAGACTTGTCTACATCACTCTGTACAACCTATCCCAGGATTTGAACACGTTTTACCACCTCTAGTATTGAGTGTTGAAATAAGTAATGAAACTGATACTAGAGATCTGAGTAGAAATAATAATTCTAAGACATTTAACATTATAATTTGGTTTATTATTTTTTCTTAAGTAAAACATCATTATTCTTAGTTTTTCTTGGGCTAATGAAACACATGTTATTTACCTAAATTGTGCTAGAAAAAAATTCATCCTTGTTTTAACAATTGCCCTCATGACTGGTTAAACATAATCCATTTAGTTTGGCAGATAATATGAATGAAACTACTTAAAAGCAAAAAAAGCAATTCATGCTTGATCATTTTTGGTCTTTGAAGGTAGCTCATGTTTCTAATAAAGTTATACTACAGGGCAGACAGAGTGAGAGAGCAGCTCCAAAAAGAGGAGTCAACCAATAATTTAATTCTATCTATTCAAATTCTGAGACTAGAGCCAGATTCAATGATTATAGGCTGAATAAGGATCATGTTGGGCTCCCTTTCAGGAAAACACCTCCCTTTAGTGGTCCTTTCCAGGTAACAAATTTCTCCATTATTAGTTTTTCATTCATTCATTTACTCACTCACTCATTTAATTCTTTCCCTTTTTCAAAAACACATGAGGCAATTTACCAGAAAGAAAGCTAAACAAATGAAACAAAGCAAAAGTATAATTAATGAGTTAAGAAAACAAAGTCAACAGAAGTGAGAGCCACCATTATTCTAACAAAAATGCCTCATAAAATACGGCAAAATGGTTTCTTTAAAGAGATGAGATAATAGGCAAGAAAGAGAGATTCCTGGTACATAGAAGGTATTCAAATCAGACTGCTGAGAGGTGCTGATGCTAAACGGCCCAGGAGAAACCAGGGACTAATACCTCTTGGTGTAGGATTGATGTCTACCCAAGGAAGGTGATGCTCCCAGGCATTTGACTAACACGAAATTAGAACTGAACTCTTGAATAAAGTCAGGGGCCCTGAAGGGCTGTCCCGCCAAGAAACAAGAAACAGAAAACCTCTCCACCAGTCTGGTAATTTTTAGGGAAGATAACCATCTGACTGGGGCCATAAAGAAAAGGTCAGTTTTGAAAATTGGGATCACCAATCTTGCTCCATGCCAATAGGTGTTGACCCAAATTCACTTGACCTCCTTAGTGCAGGAACCTTAGTCTAAGGATTTAATAAAATATTTTGACTTGAATTGGTGAATCCCAGAGATACCTGGCAAAGATACACTGAAATCTATCCCATAGTGATGCCATTACAACTCAGAACATACAAGACTACCATGGACCCAAATCCTTGCTGTTGATGAACGTACAGACAAAATTACAGATAATACAAGGACAGACTTAACAGATAGACTAAATGGCAGAATCACATATTTATCAACCCTAAGGAACATAATAAAATAAGTGATATTTCCACCAGGCATAGTGGCTCACACCTGTAATCCCAACACTTTGGGAGGCCGAGGCAGGCGGATTGCTTGAGGCTAGAAGTTTGAGACCGGCCTGGCCAACATGGTGAAACTCCATCTCTACTAAAAATACAAAAATTAGCTGGTGCAGTGGCAGGTGCTTGTAATCTCAGCTACTCAGGAGGCTGAGGCAGGAGAACTGCTTGAACCTGGGAGGCAGAGGTTGCAGTGAGCCAAGATGGTGCCACTGCACTGCAGCCTGGGTGACAGAGCAGAAGTCTGTCTCAAAATAATAACAAAAAAAAAATAAAAGAAGTGATATTTCCATATAATATGTTTAAAATCTCCAAGTAGGCCAGGTGCGGTGGCTCATGCCTATAATCCCAGCACTTTGGGAGGCCAAGGCAGGCAGATCTTTGAGGTCAGGAGTTCAAGACCAGCCTGACAAATATGGTGAAACCCTGTCTCTACTAAAAATACAAAAATCAGCTGGGCGTGATGTTGGGCGCCTGCAATCCGAGCTACTCAGGAGGCTGAGACAGGAGAACTGCTTGAACCCAGGAGGCGGAGGTTGCAGTGAGCTGAGATTGTGCCACTGCACTGCACTCTAGCCTGGGTGACAGAGCAAGACTCCATCAAAAAAAAAAAAAAAAATCTGCAAGGAAAACAAAACAAAATTCCATAGGCAAAATATAAAATTATATATACAAAAAGGTTAGGTTTTAAGAACAACATAGACTTCTTAGATATGAAAACAATAATCATAAAGATTATAATCTCAATGTTGGGTGAAGAATTTATCAGAATGCAGACCAAAGAAATAAAAAGTGGAAACTGGCAGGAAACATGAAAACACCTGGAGCCCAGGATGAGAACACAATATGCAGCTACAAGAACTCCAGAGGAAAGAATAGACAATCGAGACAATCGACAGCAACATGTAAGAGATAGAGGCAGAGAATTTTCCAGAACTGAGCAGAGATATGTGTCCTCAGATTGAAAAATCACACCTAGTCACTTAGGTTGATGAAAACAAATACACTTATGGAAACAATATAGTGAAAATACCGCCCCCCGACCCCCAAGCAAAAAAGATACCTAAAAGCACTCAGAGAGGAAAGACAGACTCCCTAGAAAGGAATGTAATGAGACTGACAGAAATACTTCATTAACAAAAATAGAAGATGTAATGCCACAGAGTAATGTCATCATAATTCTGAGCGAAAATAAAAGTTAACCTAGACTTTTATGCCCAGTTAAACTATTATTCAAGAACTGTGAAATAAAGTAGATAAAGAAATTTTAATATAAACAAAAAAGGCAGCTATTGTTACTCATAGACTCCCCCTCCAAAAACCCTAACAAATCATATACATCACCAAAAATATAAATAAATTTGAAGAAACGAATAATTTTTAAAAAGCATTGATGAGCAAATTAATTGGTAAAGAATGTGGCAGATTTAAATAAACATTGACTATAATTACTGTCAGAGCTAAAATCCTAGGAAATAATGACATTGAAGAGAGATTATGAATAACTTCAGAATGTATTGAATTAAGCATAAATGTTAAAATTCAATTCACAATTGCCAAGATATGGAACCAATGCAAGCATTCATCAACCAATGAATGGATAAATGAAATGTAGCATACATACACGATGGAAAATTACTCTGCCAAAAAAATAAAAGAAATAATATCTTTTGCAGCAACTTGGTTGGAGCTGGAAGCCATTATTCTAAGTGAAATAACTCAGGAATGGAAAACCAAATACTGTATGTTCTCACTTATAAATGGTAGCTAAGCTGTGGGTATGTAAAGGCACACAGAGTGATACAATGGACTATGGAGACTCCAAAGGGGGAAGGGTAGGAGAGGAGTGCAGGATAAACAACTACATATTGGGTACAATGTGTACTACTTGGGTGCTGAATGCACTGAAATCTCAGGCTTCACCACTCTACATTCATCCATGTAACAAAAACCACTTCTATCCCAAAAGATATTGACCAAAAATATATAACATTAAAAACATGTAAATATATAATACATATTATAAATAATTATATATTTTATTCTTTAATATAAATAATATATATTGAAATTTTAATGATAATCACTAAAAGAAAGATATACATGATGTATATTCTATGAACTTTAATAGTAATCTTTAATGAAAAAAATATATATACTTCCTAATGAGTAAAAGAAATAAAAGAATAAACAGGCTGCTCTGCCTAAGGAGTAGCCATTATTTTATTTCTTTACTTTCTAATAAAGTTGCTTTTAATTTACCATAAAAAAAAATGAAAGAACTTGATCAATCCATTAGAAATCAGAAAAAAGAAAAAAAAGGACCAAAGAAAAGCAAGGTAAATAAAACACAAAATAAAATGGTAGAAGTGGGTCCACGCACATCAATTATAAAATCAAAATACAGATGACAAAATAAATATAGAAGAAATTAATATAAAGAAAGATATCAAATTGAATAAATAAAACCAAAATAAAAACAGGTATTGTTTAAAGGAAGCATACCCAAATAATAACAATCTAGAGGGTGGAAAATTGTATCTACAGTAAAGAGCACACAGGGTAAACATTTGCAAAAGTCTGGATTGTGGACACGTGTGTGTTTATTATATCATACTCTGTACTTTTCTGTATCTTTGAAATATTTCCTAGCAAGATTTTTTTTAAAGAAAAAGAAAAAAATGAAGATATTAACATGAAAGAAAAATGAAGAAGTCACAGAACAAGAAGCCTGAGGCTGTTACAGCAAGTGCAGGTCTGGGGACTCCATTAGATGAGGCTGTGGATTTTCCTTAGAGCAAATGCAACCTGTGTGCACCCACAAAAATAATGGGTGATGAAGCTTGAGAGAATGAACATCCATGGGTCCTCATAAAGATGCAACACCACAGAAGAGAGACAAGAAAATCAAAGCCAAGCCAGCAAAGACATGACGAGGATGTGTTTCTTAAAAGTGAAATCCCATGAAACGTTTTTCCTGGTTCCTGGAAGTCTTTTTGTCTTCTTTGGAGGCATCTTTTAAAATGCCCCCAGTCACTCTCCCCATCCCCAGCACCTCCCAGTAGGTGACAGATCCTGTATTACTTATAATGTAGAGAATATAGAAATGCTCATCCAAAAGGAAGATGTAGAAAAATTAATGAATCTATCTATGTAAGAGTAACAATAAGGACCCATTCCCTGGGTAATAGTTATTTCACGTATGTAGCTTTCAAAATGCTTTTCTGCTCTACCAGTCTATAAGCCACTGTGTACTGGGATGGCTGTTTCTCTCCAGTACCATGGTACAGGCCTGACACTAAGGAGCTTAATTTGTTAACATTTGTTTGAATGGAAAACTGATAATGTTAACATTGGGAAATTTCACTGAAGATTCTGTAAGTCCTGAAGAAGGGCTCCTTTGGTCTATGTATTACACCTCCAATCATGGGGAGAGGAGAAGTCTACTGGAAACCCCTTCCACAAGGGAGCACATTGCTAAGGAACTGTACATACATGAACAAAACTTTCACCACTCTACAATTCATCCATGTAATCAAAAACCACTTGTATCCCAAAAGTGGTTTTTGGCTATTTGGCTCAGTGCCCAGAAGAAAATCCTTTGAAGTACAGAGGCGGAGAAACAGACAACTTCTTTGTAGTTTGCTCAGCACGTTCATGAGACAAAACGCTACTCAATCTAAGCAGTTTGAGTTGCCCACAAAGGCTGGCTGCACCATGAGAGTTAAACGCAAGCAAACAATTGAATTCTACTAGATTGAAAATGGTTGCTTTGACCTTAACAAAATAGGTTAAGAAAGAAAAAAATATATGATCAGAAGGAAAAAAAAATCTATCTTAAAATTTCTTTCCATATCCCCAGTTATTAAAAGAAGGACAAGAATTTTCTTTAGATCATAAAATGAGAATTAGCTTTCTTGAAGAAAGTCACCTGATTGGTCTTGAACTAATTAAGAAGGTGCAAGAGAAAGATGACCTAGGGATCATAAAGCGATTCGTTTTTCACCATTAAGTGGAACCAGAAGGAATTCACCTCGAAGCATGAAATGTGGTTTGCTCAGATTCTCCCATTTGTACCCACGTCTCTCCGGGGAGAGGTCGGCTGAACCTTGACCTATAACAATCAAAGACGGCTGCAGAGTGGATTTCAGAGAAGAGAGGGCCGTGTAACACACAGAACTTGGACAAAATGGATGGGTGGGCAAAGTGTGTCTTATAGTGAAAGGTCATGCCCTTTCAATATAAGATAATGGTATTTGTTTATTAGAAACCACATCTGGGGATTGCACTCTTTGTGGGTAAAGTTTATTGGGCTACATTTCCTAGACTGCGCATCAGAGTAATACCAACATCAAAACAAGAAGGTTAAATTGTTTTTTTCAATCCCTAGAAGTTTGAATCAACATGTCCACTTTGAAAATCCAACATTATGCTAAGGAAGACACATGGGGGCCACTTAACCTCCGAGGTCCTGGGTTACTCTCCCTTTACCATGACATTAAATCACCCCTCTGTCTAAACATTAGCATCCTTTCACACCTTTAAATATAACTGGGCTCCAGTGGAAAGGCACCCCAGGTGAGAATCCCAGTGGAAACCAGAAGTACTTACTTTGGCAGCACGAGAATCTGCACAATGAAGATGCAGAAGAATATGAGACAGGCACAAGTCACATAATACTTGAACGCTGGCAGTGCCGTGGCCCGGTACTGAGGGGGAGAAAGGAACCTGTGAGTGACAGTTCTCCAAGAGAAGAGCTGCACACAGTGTCCAGCAGCCTAGTTGTACCCAGAGCATGCACCACACTCAGAAATTGTGCAGATTGCAGCCAACGTGAGCTAAGGAGAAAGCCTGTTCATCTCAGCAATGAGTTTTTCCTTCCCCCACATGAACTGTGAAGGAGTGACTTCCAAGGACCACAGTTTATGAGTGGAACTGTTCTCAAACCCATCTATAAGTAACTGAATCTCTCTAGTAAGGAGAGAGGCACCTGACCAGAAGGTTGAGTGAGTGAACTGTGAATCGCGCCTGTGACCTGGGTCCCATGAGGGTCTGTTGTCTATGACTACTGAGGGAAAGGGCATGACTTCTCATATACTATCTTACTTTTGAATACTACTGAGGAAATGCAAGACATATTCATTTATTTTAGTATTTTATTTTATTATTTGTCTTAATGCTATTGAGAGGTGATGGGTAAAGTTATAAGACTGAAAAGGTTTGCCAACTTGGTTCTTAGCTGGCTTGTTCTGAGCCTAGCCAATGGGATCCCCTTCCTTTCTCTCGTCCAGTGCATTCATCAGGGGTCCACGTGGTTCCCCATGCCATGAATAAGCTGACCAGCATTAGCTGCCTACCTAGGTCTGACCCTGCTTTACTTAGGCAGGATAAAAATTCCAGATAGGGCTATACTTATGATGCTGATGATGACCCCTGCCACATTCAGCACAGTGCCCTGCATTCCCTGCTTTCCCTGTACTAATCATTCAATCCACACAACAGCCCCTATTTTTGGATGAAGAAACTGTGGACTGGAACAATTGACTACAATCAGTGAGATACAGTGCATGGGAAACCAGGACCTTCACCAGGCTCTGAACTCAGACTCTCAACCATGAGGCTCAACTGCCTTACGAAAGGTTGTATGGTAAAATTAAAGGAAATAAAATTTTGTGCCAATGCCATTGAAACCTCCTGAAAATACTGTCAGGTTGCATTGGCTACATTTGCATAAACTTTCCCAAGTTATAGGGACACATATGTATTTCTGGGATTTTAGCCTCTCTAGTTTAGTGCTGCATGAGGGATCTCTGAGGGGTCTCCAGAGATTTATCTTCTGATAGCTCTTGTGACCTCTTGCCCTACCTCATGCTCTGACGGGCAGGCTGAGGACAGATGGACAAAAACTGAGCTTAAGTCTTGCTGCTCTCTAAAATTTGCTTTAAAGTCGGCATCTGCAAATATGTGTACATGGGGAATGTAAAGCTGCATTTTTAAATGATCACTTTCTGTTTACTAGAATTTTGGGGGGTATATTTTGTGACTTAGTAGCCAGCATAATTTCCATGCTCATGAAGAAGCTACATTAGCATCATTGCTGAAATGTGATTACATTCTATGCACTCAATTAAATCCTTATCTTTTAACTTCTTCAGGCCTTTGTGCAGAGATATGAGTAGGAATTTCTTTGTGGTATTAACAAAGAAATGGACTTCTATCAGGAAAGAAATAATGTAGCAGCTAAGCAATAAGTAGCCATTAATATTTGCTAAAGTTATTAAGTATAAGGTGGTCAATAGTTGTGCATTATAACAAGCATCAATTTGGTAAACTGTCTGCAGTCAATGGTCAGAGTCCTCTACTTAGCAGTAGACAACAGATCCTCTTGACCACCAACATAAAAAAAAAACCTTTTGGTGTGTCCATAGATTTTGGAAGGAATTATCATATTTAATATTTCTATTTGATATTCATAAAATAATGCACTAAATTTTATCAACATAATTTTAATACCAGAGCTGCGAATGCTACCATTAATGTAACTTTTGTTCAAAGTAGGCCTGTAATTATATAGTTGGATGATGCAAATTACTTCTAAGTCTGGTTCCTTCTCCAGATCAACAAAAAACAAAAGGCGAATAAAATAAAGTTGAGCTAGAAGAATGGTTGTCCTTTCTGCAACAATTAACTGAATTCATTTTGGCAAACCCATATATAGCTTGACATGTAAAAACTAAATGTCTGCTTACTTATTTGTGCCTGAAATAGCTCTTACTTTAAAAGCCATAATATGAAAGTATTAAGGATGCAATAAAGCTTAAAAGTTCTAATTATCTGGAAAAAGCATTGAATGTAAAACTCATATTTTAGTCAACATATTAAAATAATTTGTGTAAAGACATTGCAGATTTATCAAGAAGAATTCTGTTTTTTTTAAGACTTTTCTGAAAGAATTTCACATTGAGAAGAGTAGATATCTCCCACATCTTTCATTTAATTGGGATATTTCGCACACATTGCAGATACCATTTACTATCGAGAGGGTTGAGAATGGTAACTGATCAAAGATGGAATCTTGGTAACAAGAAATACCGTAAAGCAATATATGCATGAAAGAACCACCAGAAAAGCCAGAAAGAGTTCGAATATAGTCAGAGGCAGTTTAAATGTCACATATAAAAAACATGAGCACAATTTCATGAAGAAATTCAAATTTCAGAAAACTCGATTGATGATTTTGAAGAAGAAAAAAACTTACCTCTTTTTCTAGTACTTTGTTATAGAAAAGCAGTGAGATTCTCTGAATGTCTTCAGACTTGAGCCATTGCCTGGAAATAGAAAGGGCCAACACATCATAAAACTGAATCTCCAATCAAACATCTGGAACTATTTTTTAAAATGACTTGCGATCTTCTTTCTTTATTGTGTATCATTCCGAACAGCATTTAAAAAAAAAAAAAAAAACACGTGATGCCAACTAACTGGATATGGAATCTGGATACTGCTAACAGGATCTGAAAATAGAATATTCCTAATCACACACTGCCCTCCTTGGAAAATTCTATATTATAAACTAACTGTCATATCAATTGAAACTCAAGGGATCTGAATTAAATAACAAGGGAGATAAGTCGTCTAAAGGAGTAAAGACATCAATAATTTGATTCCTTAATGTTTTTCCGAAATCACACAGTGGTTTCACCTCCTTAAGGATCTAGTTCCTAGAGAAGCACCTTTTTTTTTTTTTTTTTTTTTTTTGTTAGCTTCTAGAGGGCAACAGATCACAGAGCATCCAAACCATCAGAGTGCTTTTAAGATTTGGGTGAGAAGGTTTTGCTTCTTTCAGACTTAGTGAAAATACTTTCATTGTCATTTTTTTCATTTCTAGAAGGTAAAAGTCATGCTTGAATAAAGTTTTTTCTTTTCTCTTTTTTTTTTTTTTTTTTTTTTTTGAGACTGAGTCTCACTCTGTCACCCAGGCTGGAGTGCAGTGGCATGATCTCGGCTCACTGCAACCTCTGCCTCCCAGGTTCAAGCAATTCTCCTGCCTCAGCCTCCCAAGTAGCTGGGACTACAGGTGCATGCCACCACGTCTGGCTAATTTTTGTATTTTTAGTAGAGGTGGGGTTTCACCACGTTGGCCAGGCTGGTCGTGAACTCCCAACCTCGTGGTCCACGCGCCTCAGTCTCCCAAAGTGCTGGGATAACAGGCGTGAGCCACCGCGCCTGTCCCGAGTTTTTAAAAAATTGATAAAAATACTAATATAATTAGCAATCCGTTCAGAATAGGTTGATGCAAACATAAAAACGCATGCATAAGTACTATGTATCTCTCAGTTGTTGACAAATAAATAAAAATTATATGGAAGTATGCATTGTACCACATTGTCTGACTTTTAAACATCTGTTTTCAGCAAGTAATTTGGAAGACTCTCACTGCCAGGCACACACCATGATTAGCTTGAACATCCCAGGAACTAGACCATCCCACAGGGCACTTTCAACTGGGGCAGAGAAGTCAGTAATGTATTCTAGACTGACTGCCATTAAAAGTGAGAAAAATAAAAATACTTCTTTTTAAAAATTTTTATTTAGTGCAGGATTGTCACATAGGTAAAATTTGTGTCATGGGGGTTTGTTGTACAGATTATTTCATCACCCAGGTATTAAGCCTAGTACCGATTAGTTATTTTTGCTGATCCTCTCCCTCCTCCCACCCTCCACCCTCCAACAGGCCCCAGCGTGTGTCATTGTCCTCTATGTGTCCGTGTGTTCTCATCTCTCATCCCACTTATAAGGGAGAATATGTGGTACTTGGTTTTCTATTCCTGTGTTTGCTGAGGATAATGGCCTCCAGCTCCATCCATGTCCTTGCAAAGGACATGCTTTTTTTTTTTTTTTTTTTTTTTTTTGAGATGGAGTTTCGCTCTTGTTGCCCAGGCTGGAGTGCAGTGGTGTGATCTCATCTCACTGCAACCTCTGCCTCCCGGGTTCAAGCGATTCTCCTGTCTCAGCCTGCCAAATAGCTGGGATTACAGGTGCACACCAGCATGCCCGGTTAATTTTTGTATTTCTTAGTAGAGATGGGGTTTCTCCATGTTGGTCAGGCTGGTCTTGAACTCCTGACCTCAGGTGGTCTGCCCACCTCGGCCTTGCAAAGTTCAGGGATTACAGGCATGAGCCACCACACCTGGCAGATCTCATTCTTTTTTATGGCTGCATAGTTCTTTGATTCAAGGGTATAAGCTGTAGGGAAACAAACTTTTTTGGTATTTCTTATTACTGTACCAGCTGCAGAACTATTATTCTATTTCATAGGACTAGATGGAGGAATCAAAGATTGGTTAACATTAAAATGAGCAGAAAATACAACTTAAGACAAATTTTAACCATACTCACTTTCAGAACGGTGTCTTTATCAAACTATGAATAATATATGCAGGTAACTTACTAAAAACAGTATTTCCTTTACTGAGAAAAAAATATAGTTTATAAATGCTCCTGGAAAATGTCAGCTTGCGAGTGAGAGTGAAATCAAGGAAGTGAAAATAAAACCAGCACCTCCTTTACTAGTTGGGCCAGCATGCACCCAGTCTAGGTTTCCATGGCCTGTGACCTACAGGTGGACGGCAAGGGCTCAGGATCAGGCTTCCTTGCCTTAAGTCCCCAGAACCCATGTGGTGCTTCGTGAACCCCAGCATTAGATCTGTGCTTGGGGACACGACTGAGTCCCCACCAGTGGACACACTTGCCTCCCTTTGCCAAAGCACACCGGGTCTGGCTTGTGGCTTCTCCCTTGCAGCAATGATGGATGGGCCTAATTCTCACCTTGTCTTCAGAATTAAGAAGTGTATATTCTTCCTACACACTTAATCACCTCTGTGAATCTTCTGAGGTGGCCTCCACTCCCACTACTGGTTTAGAACACAGATATCTCAACATTAATTTTGTAATAAGAACAGATGCATTTTTGATGGATAGTATCTAAAATTTGAAGATTTTCCCGTATAGAATATATCTTTTAAAAATGTGATTGGAGGTATCACACTACCTGACTTCAAACTATACTACAAGACTACAGTAACCAAAACAGCATGGTACTGGTCCAAAACAGAGATATAGACCAATGGAACAGAACAGAGCCCTCAGAAATAATACACACATCTACAACCATCTGATCTTTGACAAACCTGACAAAAACAAGAAATGGGGAAAGGATTCCCTATTTAATAAATGGTGCTGGGAAAACTGGCTAGCTATACGTAGAAAGCTGAAACAGGATCCCTTCCTTACACCTTATACAAAAATTAATGCAAGATGGATTAAAGACTTAAATGTTGACCTAAAACCATAAAAACCCTAGAAGAAAACCTAGGCAATACCATTCAGGCTATAGGCCTGGGCAAGGACTTCATGACTAAAACACCAAAAGTGATGGCAACAAAAGCCAAAATTGACAAATGGATGCTAATTAAACTAAAGAGCTTCTGCACAGCAAAAGAAACTACCATCAGAGTGAACAGGCAACCTACAGAATGGGAGAAAATTTTTATAATCTACCCATCTGACAAAGGGCTAATATCCAGAATCTACAAAGAACTCAAACAAATTTACAAGAAAAAATCAAACAACCCCATCAAAAAGTGGGCAAAGGATATGAACAGACACTTCTCAAAAGAAGACATTTATGCAGCCAACAGACACATGAAAAAATGCTCATCATCACTGGCCATCAGAGAAATGCAAATCAAAACCAAAATGAGATATCATCTCACACCAGTTAGAATGACGATCATTAAAAAGTCAGGAAACAACAGGTGTTGAAGGGGATGTGGAGAAATAGGAACACTCTTACACTGTTGGTGGGACTGTAAACTAGTTCAACCATTGTGGAAGACAGTGTGGCGATTCCTCAAGGATCTAGAACTAGAAATTCCATTTGCCCCAGCCATCCCATTACTGGGTATATACCCAAAGGATTATAAAACATGCTGCTATAAAGACACATGCACATGTATGTTTATTGCGGCACTATTCACAATAGCAAAGACTTGGAACCAACCCAAATGTCCATCAGTGATAGACTGGATTAAGAAAATGTGGCACATATACACCATGGAATACTATGCAGCCATAAAAAAGGATGAGTTCATGTCCTTTGTAGGGACATGGATGAAGCTGGAAATCATCAGTTTGAGCAAACTATCACAAGGACAGAAAACCAAACACCGCATGTTCTCACTCATAGGTGGGAACTGAACAATGAGAACACTTGGACACAGGGCGGGGAACATCAAACAACAGAGCCTGTCATGGGGTGGGGGGAGAGGGGAGGATAGCATTAGGAGATATACCTAATGTAAATGACAAGTTAATGGGTGCAGCACACCAACATGGCACATGTATACACATGTAACAAACCTGCACGTTGTGCACATGTACCCTAGAACTTCAAGTTTAATAATAAAAAAATGTGACTTGCTGAACACATCATGCTGTAATTTTTCTCTCTCCAATTACACCTTAGGTTATTTATCAGCAATTGACTTGGGAATATTTTGACTTATAGAAAACAAGGAGATTGATAAATGTGATTTGGATATTTGGAAGGGAATAGATTCGTGTGTGCTGATTAGGTCAACTATTACTTGGGGGGATTGGAACTACAGAGAAAGACAAGATCAGTGGAGGGGAGAGAAGAGGAGAGAAGGGAGAGGGAATGTGTGTGTGCTTGATTTAGGGCCTCCTGACATTTTTCCTGACCCCAGTGGTCTATGGCATGAAGAAAGTCAACCCCATCCTTCGTTATCACAATAAGTGATTCCCTACTTATTTACACTAAGGTCTTTTTTTTTCTTTTGTCAAGAGGTTACGGAAACTAAAGGAAATTCTGAATACTATGCTTACTAGAGGGGCATGGGTACACCCACACCTGCACCCAGATTTATTCAGGAATATGGGAATGCAAGTCCTTGCCACAAAGGAGGTACTAAATGAGAAGACCACTTTCTTATTGTTATGAACTGCAAGTTTGTGTCCCCCACCAAAGTTCATCTTTGAAGCCCTAACTCCCAGTGTGGCTGTATTTGGAGATGGAGCCTCTAAGAATGAAATGAAGGTTAAATGAGGTCATAAGAGTAAGGTCCTGATCTGATAGTATGAGTGTCCTTGGAGTCCTTCTAAGACAAGACACCAGAGAGCTCCCTACCACCATGGCATGCACTGGGGAAAGACTGAGCAGATGGTGACATCAGTCGTCTTTTAACAAATGCGTGTTCAACACATCAGTGAATGAATAAGCAAAAATCTGCACAGAAATCACTGTTTTATGGCAATAGCAGGAAACAAGTGAATGGTACATCAAGCCTGGAGCCCCAGTTGAGTCCTCAAGTGAAAATACAAAGATCAGAAGAACTTCATGTCAAAGAACAAGAGGAGTTAATGAGTAAGGCATAACAAAGTGTAACTGAGGTTAATCAAAAATATATGCATAAGAGCTTCCATTTGAAAAATTTCCCTTTTATTTTTTGAGTACAGCACACTTTTCTCTATTTAATTTCTGAAACATGTTGGGAAAATTACAACATAAGCAGTTACACCAGCACTAAGCATTACTTTGAAATACAACTACATTAAAACATAAGGTATTAACTAAACATATATTTGCATACTAAATGACACAAAGCAAACACATAATTTAAAAGCAACTTTAACAACAATAAAGCAATGACAATGGTGGCACTCTCTGATGATTTGTTTGGTAGGAATGTTCCAAAAGGTGCATACAAAAATAATTTAAAAAGATAGGTGTCCTGCGTTAACACATGCTGAGGTTAACTTTAGGAATTAGTTTTTAAAATATTAATGTTATTATTATTATTATTTGCTAACTTTTGTCAAATAACAAGATTCCCTCTTTCTTCTGATCTTGTGTCTTATTCTGGCGAGTCACACAGTATCAGATGCTATTTCCTCTGCTTCAGTGAAAGCATCCTTCCACCTATATTTTATGAAATCAGGTGCCTCCCTAGGTTTTAGCTGCTGTTAGATTGCAGGAAGTTATTTATTTCTCAGTATGTGACAGTTTGAGGCAGAGGTGAGGTTGTTTTTCACACTGACCCTAGTGCCAGGCAAAACAGAGCATTGGCCCTGGTGCTGCCAGTGGGCCTTGGACACTCTGTGACGGGAAGAAGGCTTCACCTACTTGTAGCACAGGAAGGGCATCTAGACAGGTGACAATTCAGTGTTCTAGCACATCCGAATGGCAACTCTTCCCTGACCAAGATGCTTTATTGCTTAGAAAATATGCACTCACACTGACACACAAAGGCACACACCCACCATAGACACACATATCACACTCATGCGATTCTTTCATAAGCCCTGTAAATATTCGATAATAAATACCTACAAGGAACAATCTAAGGCCGGGCGTGGTGGCTCACACCTGTAATCCCAGCACTTTGGGAGGCTGAGGCGGGTGGATCATGAGGTCAAGAGATCGAGACCATCCTGGCTAACACGGTGAAACCCTGTCTCTACTGAAAATACAAAAAATTAGCTAGGTGTGGTGGCGATCGCCTGTAATCCCAGCTACTTGGGAGGCTGAGGCAGGAGAACGGCGTGAACCCGGGAGGTGGAGCTTGCAGTGAGCCAAGATCGTGCCACTGCACTCCAGCCTGGGCAACAGAGCGAGACTCTGTCTCAAAAAAAAAAAAAAAAAAAAATCTAAAACAGGCATGCATTTTGCAAAGCCATGCACTATTTGAGGCCCTGTAACTTAATTTTAGAGACAAAGAGCTCTAGGTGAAAATCATTTACACTTTTCAAGAGTCAGCTTTCATGATAAAAATTAAATAGGTCTCCATAAGGATGGAAGCTTTTCTGTGAAGGCTTTTCATTTGGACCTCCTGATGTTTTCACTACAGTTCAACTCAACAAACAGGAATGGAATGTCTGACGTGCACCAGGCACCATACTGAGCCATGTGCCTTCTGCTCTGCATGGGTTCAGTTATGACACACGTACCCAAGGAGAACATGAAGGGTGATGAGCGCAGTCATTCTGTCCAGGCTGAGAAGGCCATCACCTTCTTCAAATTGTTTTCCTCCCACAACTCTGGACCATTTAAAACCGTAACAGCAATTCTTGGCCTCAGAGGCTAAATGACATTTTGTGCCCCCAAAATCAGTCTTCCTCTCATTACTCACCAATGCTAATTCTCTTCTAGGATTTAGAACACAGGTATCTCAACATTAATTTTGTAATAAGAACAGATGCATTTTGGATGGATAGTATCATATGCTAAAATTTGAAGGTTTTCCCATATAGAATCTATCTTTTAAAAATATTACTTGCTGAACACATCGTGCTGTAATTTTCCTCTTTCCAATTACACCTCAGGTTGTTTATCAGCAATCAACTTGGGAATATTTTCTAGGCAGGGATTAAATATTTTTTAAAAAGATGAAATAAATACTTTTAACAAAAACTATTCTGAGGGACAACTGAAGTGAAATGAATGAATGGTCTCAGAAACTTGGCTTTGTCATGGTAACTATTGCAGAGCCCATGATAAAATACAACTGGAACATAATAAAAGATGAAAGATAATTTAAGAGAAAGAAGTACTCACTTCTGTGCATTAATCCCATCAATTGCTTGAATCATCCTTTCATTCAATTCTTCTTCAAATCTCTTCTTTTGTGACTTGGTTCTATATGAAAAATGGAATATTATGGGTAAGGATATTATTAGTAAAATAAATATTAAGCCAATTTTTTAGAGATACATAATATTTTACATCCTTATGAGATACAGATGACATTTTGTTGCATGCATGTGCAATGATCAATCGGGGTATTTAGGGAATCCATTATCTTAAGTATTTATCATTTCTATGTGTTGGAAACATTTCAAATTCTCTCTTCTGACTACTTTGAATTACACAGTACATTGTTGCTAACTACAGTCACCCTATTCTGCTATCAAACATTAGAAGTTATTCTGTTTATCCAACTAAAGTTTGGGCCCACTGACCAACCTCTCTTTACCCACCCATCTCCCATCCAGATAGTCTCTGGTATCTATCATTCTACTCTCTACCTCCATGAGATAAACTTCTTTGGCTCCCACATATGAGTGAGAACATGCCAAATTTGTCTTTCTGTGTCAGTAAGCCTATTTTTCTATGATGTCAAAAGCTCTGTTTAATTCTGCTAATCAAGTAGAAAAAGAAACAACAGCCTATGAGCAGGCTCTTCTCTATTAACATCCAGCCACTCTTTGGATTGAGTGAATAACTAAAGTTTTTGGGATAGTAAAGATGTGTCCTTATTCACTCACTGTGAAATTTACTAGGCATTTACAAGGCAACACTGAAAGATATATACTCGGTGTTTGAGATAAAGTAACTTTCTCTCCTAGGAGATGTATTAGCTTTTGACTTGTTGCCTTCATAAACTTTATTTTATGAAAGAATACATTGGTTCTGGAAATTCCCCTGTAAAAATGTGGCTTGGTTGACAAAATAGTCATTCCTTTTTCGTGTTTTCCTTGGTCAACTCTCAAAAATTTGCAGAGCTACAGTCTTATTTCAGGTATACCAAAGCTTAATTGTATGTATTTAAATGCTCCTCAGTTTTCAAAGCACTATTCACAGAAAACTCCACTTTTATTTGCAAACCATCTCACTTAGTTTCAGAAGCAAATAACCTTTAGCCATAATATAAGATACTTGCTGAATAAATTGTGCCAAATAGTAAGAGCTCTCCAAGGTTAATTTGACAATTTGCATGAGAATGATGTCAGGAGAAAACCAAAATAGTACCTATTCTTAGAAGTTAAATATCCACTGCAAAGATTAAAAGCACGGCCTGCTAGCCTGAACAAGGCTATGCCTATATCATGGTTTAGGCATGAATTCTGTGTGTTATGGTTGATTAGATTACAAATGAATAGACCATCTAATCTGGAATAAAAATCACACTTTCCTGAGTTCAGAATTGCCTCTACATATAGATAAGAATAGCATTAAATATGCAAAGTCTCATTTATCTGTAATTAAATCTCACAGAATTATCATTAATGAGATGGATGAGTTTTCCAATTCCATCATCCTGTTTGTGGATTTGTGCCTTCGGGCCCTGTCTTCTTCAAACAGGCTGAGAGCAGTTTTGGTTAAAAAAATAAAATGAATCATATTAAGTGATCCTCCCACAGATATTGAGCCAAATGAATTAAGAGGTTTTAGCATACCAAATTCCAAGTTGTTTGAAGCAGGCAAATTAATTTTTATTTTCCTTAAAAAAAAAAAAAAGCAAGGAATCCTTTACCAAGCAACTAGTGTGGCTTGCACATTCTCATTTATAGCTGAGACCTGTAGGACCTTAGACCCTTCATTTAACGTTTATCAGTCCCACATCTAGACTTGAGCTTCTTGACTTCAATTTGATGGCTTTCTCTTCTGCAAAGTCTAAGAAGGAGCAGTGTAAGAATGTTGAGGCTTACAGGAAAATGTAATTCTTCGATATTTTGTCCAGTGCTAACAATGATATTGCCTTTGTTAACCTGTTTTAGGATTTGATTAGATGATGCCTGTAGAGAGCTCAATGCTGTAAATGTGACATGCAAAGTAGCCAATAAATGCATGCTTTCTGCATGATTTGAATTCACTAATTATCCGGACAATAATTCTTGACATACAGACACTTTTCTTGTCTCTGCAGTCTTGTGACCTCTGCCATGGAGAGGATAAGGTCCCCTGGGGCTGATGATCTCCCCACCAGGAGTCTTCATTTGCCTCCAGGACTCTCTCCCTCTGACTTCCAGCATCTCTCATCTTCCCATCCTGGTGCCTTCCCCTGGGCTCCACCATTGGCCTTCCCACTGCTCTAGGACCCCAACCCCTGTGTCCAACACATCTCCATTCTGTCTCCCTGGCTCCTTCCCCAGGCCCATGCCAACACCTTGCTTGAGCTGATAGGTCTAAGCAGGCATGGGGAGGGACATGTGACAGGAGTGTGTGGGCCAGGCTGGAGGCTCAGACAGGTATTATGAGGCAGTCCACTTTACAAAGCCTGGAAGTGCCTGGGCATCCTGGGTAAGTCTGACTCAGAACTGGGGTTCTCTCCAGGAGGCCTTGAGGCCACCAAAGATCAATGACTACAGAGACAAATGGAATAAATATGGAAGAGGCCTTTACTAAAGCAGGCAAGCCTGAAGAGCAGTTAGGAACTTGTGCTCTGCGGTCACAGAGCCTGGGCACAAATGCTGGCTTCATCTCCACCAGCCATGTGACGCTGGCATTCTCCTATCCCTTTGTGCCTCAGCTTCTTCCCTTCCAAAATGATAATGGCAACAGATTCTGCCTTGCAGTAACGCTGCAGAGACCAAATTAGAGTTTCTATAGCCTAGTGCAAATAAAAACAACAGCTTCTTATCATTGTCTTCCAGACTGCACTCATCCCGGCTTACGCTGCCCCACGTAATACTGGGGTTCCATGACACATTACCCATCGTAACTTCTATAAATAGACTCTTAAAGCAGGATTGCTGGAAGGAAGAGACAGATAACAGAAGAGACTATGAATATAAAGTGAAAGGAAGTCTGTGACATTTCTGTGGTCAGTTGCTCATAGATGTGTCAGCATCTTATTGGCCAGAGGCACCGTGCTGTCTCCAGGTGTCTTATGGGCTCTCTAATATGCCTCAAATTAGCTTAAGTTCTCTTTATTACAGTATATGCCACTTAATTATAATGCTTCAAAAGCTCAAGAACCAAATTATCCTCATAACATAAAGACTATGAATGTTATATCTCAATGTTAAAATGTCAAATTTTGCATGAAGTCCAAATTAGAGCTCATCCCAACGGTCACTTAGAAGGATCCTGGGCTAATGTGCCCTGTTGCCTTGTTTCAGCAGGTTACAACCTATGTTTCATTTTTACTTGGGTACAATTCCTTTTCTATAGAAAATAGGTCAGATCTCATATTTTTCCTTAGTTTCTATAAAACTATCAATAGCTCCAATAAATTGACCTCTCTGGGGAGAAAGAAAGCCTGGCTTAGGGTTTGGAACTACATCTTACACTGGTTATCTGAATGTCCTAATATTGATTTGATTAACTCCCAAACCAATATTAAAGTAAAACTCTGTGCCCGAAAGATAGAGGAACAGGGGAAAAAAGGAGTTGGTGCCTGGGATTTTACGGTGGCTGCGACAGGGCGTGTGGAGACATTTGTGGGAAACTTTTCTCTTTTTTTGAGCAGAGTGGATAACCCTTTATTTCACTATAGACAGACTGGATTTATCCTGCTTTTACCTTTAGAATTCAACAGAAAAGTGTAACTTTTTTCTTTTTATTTTTTTTTTTTCTGAGACACAGTTTCACTCTGTCGACCAGGCTAGAGTGTAGTGGCACGATCTCGGCTCACTGTAACCTCTGCCTCCCGCGTTGAAGTGATTCTCATGCCTCAGCCTCCCGAGTAGCTGGGATTACAGGCATATGCCACAACACCCAGCTAATTTTTTTTGTATTTTTAGTAGAGACGTGGTTTTGTTATGTTGGCCAGGCTGGTCTCAAACTCCTGATCTCAAGTGATCCACCCGCCTCAGCCTCCCAAAGTGCTGGGATTACAGGCAGAAAAATGTAATTGTAAGCAACATACCCATTTTAAGACAATTCACTTTTTTTTTTACCACACATTAATATTAAGAAGAGTCTCTTTAGGAAAACAGTTTAACATTCTAAAATGAGTACCAGGTGGTGTTTTCTTTCTCCCTCTCTCAATTCTAACAATAAGACCCCAATGATTCTATTTTTAGAAGCTGAAAGCAATTTAATAGGGCTTTTCAGGGGGAGCTGCTCTTTCAGAAGTAGCCCTTGAAATTACCATAATTGATGATAATTACTCTCAGAAATGAATAAAGAGCAATAAGCTTTAAAAAATCAGATAGAGAGATACCATACCTTAAGGTGCGATTTTGAAAATTATGCTGACCCATGGGTACATCCTATATTGAGAAAAAAGGTTATTAATTGTCAAAACATGTTTCAAGAAGAATGTTGCAATGATAATTAGGTGAAACATATTTCCTCTTTTATCATGGACAGTAACATTTAACTAACAAATAATTAATTACTCATGTGGAGAAAAAGAGCTTAATCCTAAGTGTGAATCAAGTTGTAAACTCAGTTTATCTTTGGAATGTTGCTGTAATCTCTAAACTCTGGATGCTAGAAGCATGAGGATTGTTGTCTGGAGTTTTAAGATTTATAGCCTGTATTATCAGATCTGATTTCAAACAGTGGCCTGCCGGCGACTGATATCAGAGTTACCATCAGTAACCTATGACCATGTGAAAATGGACTTTGGTATCAGACAAATATTAGAAAATGCTGTAGAAAGAACAAAAATATAACCACAAAATCTGTAGTCATCCCCATCACTGAACTGGGGCGTTAAGAAACAGTACCATTGGTTAAGTATGTGAAATCACAAACCATTGGACAAAATGAAGAAATCGGCAAAGGAGCGCTGGTAGTTCCCAAGAGAAATGGAAGAGAGACAGAATTTATAAGTGGAAAAGCCACTGTCAAATATTCAATAATAGGCTTTCAAGGAAAGATTGCCTTTACACATTTATAGTGGGAATGAAAATAAAAGTTGGAACAAAACTGCTCCAAAGAAACTTTGGTTTGCTGCTTTCATTTCCAAGGTTATATTAAGATATGGATTTAGCCTACGGAAAGGAAAGATTTTTTTGAAAAAGTGATTGAGCTCCAAGTTTCATTCCATACAGTAAAGTACTGTATTATTCAAGAGCTCTATCAATGTTGAATCAAGAGTGAATGGAGTTCTGTATAGGGGATTAGATAAAGGAATCACTTTCAGCAATGTCAGTTGTTTGACCCTGGGATTTATGAGTGAAAACTCCAGTGAGGTCTTTCTGAAAGTGAGTGAGACACACAGTTAAGTCAAAGTGGTTTGGGCTTAATGCATCACCAAAAACTTGGGGCTTTCTTAAAGTATGCTATACTGCTACTAAGGCAATCCAAGCCTGGCTTTGAATCTGCAACAGGTGGGACCAGACGGTTAAGAAAATAGAGTTCGTTCAAGAGGTCCTTTGATTTTTATAAACAAATTTCTGAAGTTGAGGCACTCAACAGTTCTGGCCATATCTTGAAGAAGGCATCTTCATCAACACATAGCATCAGATTAAAGTCAGACTGAAACCATTCCTGGATCCTACGCTCAGATAATAAAAGAGACAGTCACTCTTAAGTCTTAAGACAATAAAGGCTGATAAGAAATAAACAACAACAACAATATACCTGGAAAAGTAAGCCTTTTCCCCACAGGAACACATGAAAAACAGCACAGGAAATCACATTCGACTATTTATATATGATTCTTATTCCTTAAAAACCAACCAACCAACCAATTGCTGATGTACAATAAATCCCAATGGGAAATGGAGTTATCAGACACAGCACTAACTAGCAAGACTGAGGCTAACTTATCCAAATTACTGTTTTTCATGAGTGACAGAAACATAGGCTTTCACTGGTTGGATACTGGAGTCCTAGGATGCTGTTTCTCTAACAGATCTAAATGCTGGAAGGCCCCAGCTGCCCCAGGCCTCCCACCTTGGATTGTTCTCTTCTTGATGATTTTATCTAGTCTCATGGCTTCAAATGTCATCTACAACCTGATCACGTTCACATTCATGCCTCCATCTTGGACCTGTCCCGTGAGTTCTAGACTTGCAGATCCAACCGTCTACATCCTCACTGCACTTAACTATAGGTTAGAAGCGGTCCAGCAGAAAAGTCTTAATTTTCCATCTTAAATAATCTGGTTTCCCCCTTGTATTTGTCATCTCAATTAATGGCATCATCATTGTTCCAGCTGTGGGGCCAAAAAGTTTGGATTCATCTCTGTTCCTAATGTTCATGCATATCCAATCCATCACCAAGTCTTATTGGCTCTACTTTCACGTTAGCCCCTGAATTTGCTTCTCGTTGCTTCCACTGCTAAACTCTTAGAATAAGGGGGTATCATTCTCACCGGGGACCCCTGCAGTCTTGCTCCATTATTCCAAAGCCTAAATTATATCATGACCCTCCCTTGCTAAGATTCTCCATGACTTCCAATTGCACACAGAATGCAATATAAAATTTACCGTGGTGCATCTCACCCCATGACCTCCCTTTGCTCATTGTTCATGATGCTCCAGCCACAGCAGCTTCCTCTCTGTCTCCAGGGGACACCACACTCACTTTCATCTTTGCGCCACTGACTTTGTTCTTCTGCCACCTCCTCTTCCTATTCACTCATTTCTCCCTCTGAGACTCCCTCAGCTGACCTACTACAGTGGCCATCCCATTCACTCCAGATGCCATCACTAAATTTTATCTTCCTCATGGCCCTCATCAGCACCTCACATGATCTTGTTCATTTATTTATTTTTCTATCTATGGTCCCTCCTTTGCTATTAAAATGCAAGTGCTAGGACTTGTGCAATCTTACGGATTGTCTGATGGGTCATGGTCTTCCGTCTGATAGTCACATTTACTTTTTAGTTGAAAAAAGATGAAGAGAAGTTGGGAGAAGAAATATAAATAAGCCAAAACATAAATGCTGAGCCCCTGCCTGTTGGGAGTGGGAGTGTCACTTTGAGACCTTGGGACAGGTGGGGGCCCAGGGCGACTGAAAAACTCCACTTTCACCTGACAACTGGCATGTTCCTTCTCATCAGACAATAAGAATTATGTAATACTGTATTTTTAAAAAGCTGTAACTGCATCCTTAGCACATTTAATAGCATTATACATGAAATTTTACCCCCAGATAGTTTTAAAATCTAAAAATACTATGGGGATTATCCTAAGTGCTTGGTTGTATTTACTTTTCTCTCCTCCTATGGGCCTTTCTATTTTCCTTCTCCATTGCAGCCATCTTATCGCAGATGTCCCTGGTGTAAGGAGCTTTCTCATATGCTGGAGGTCACAGGGAAACATGGAACCATAACAAGATAGTATCCACTGCTGCCCACACAGCCTGGACATTTGGGCAATGAAGAAATGGGCTTGATGATACTACTTAAACTCCAAGGGCATCATGCCTTTGTCTTTTTATTAAGAACCTCAAGGCTTTCTACTTCATGATAGAAGTTTTTCTTAAAAAACCCCTCAATTAATAAATAGTTGTATTTAATTGCTACTATCAGTTGTAAATAGCACTGTCTTGGGTTATGAAGCTATAATGCAAAATCACGCTAGGGTGGAACCCTTAGCAATGTCAGCATGGAGCTCACTCATACCCTGATGGTTGTTCATAAGGGCCTCTCTGAGAAGAAGAAGGTGATAAGTTTGTTTCTTACAGAAAGGAGTTATTTTGGCAGGAGATGCCCAGCCTTTGGTTTTGGGAAGTTAGCTTTCCCCCAGTGCTCAGGCATTGGAGGCAGGGGAGGGCATACCGTGGTGCTGATCTTGCCGTTCTCTGTGGTCATGCTGTCCCTGTGATGTAGGTGTGCAAAGGGCTTGGCTGCCCCCCAGGACTCCAAGTACCGGGTCATGCGGACCGAGGCCCTCATTTTGGCTCCATCAAGGGTGTGGCGAGGTCTGAAGAGATGCTGGGGGCTCCGTCGTTCTCCCTTGGGGTGAGAAACAAAGCATCACACCTGGCACAGCACAGGGCCACACATGATCCTTTTGGCATCGACCTCATTGGACTAGGGTCATTCCTCCTGACAGCCCTCTATTCGCCCTCTGTGTTTTCTGTCCTTATTCCTTCAGTGTTACTGGGGAACACACTATTTGAGTTGAGGGAATCTTTTTTCAGCTAGCAAAACATACATGTAATTGAGACTTAGAAAAAAATAATGATATGTTAATGGACATTTTTTATTAAGTAAATTCTTAAAACAGAATGTGCTGATCTGTTTAGCTTTTTCTTGATGGTTGTGTTTTTCTAAAGTGATAACTGTAGTGCTGTTTCTAATGCTACATAGCCCCAAACATCGTGTTTTGGTGTTCTTTACCTGAACGTAATGTTCTTTGTACATGTATTTTTTGAGCCTTCCCCCGTCCATCATCTCCCAGTCCCTGCTGCTTGCCACACATCTATCTCCAGATCGATCATCAAGCTAGTTGAAAGTTTGTCTTCAAAGGTGAAACTGGGGCTTCCCAGATGCTACCATAAGTAAATGTCCATAAAGTTGATCTTGTTGATTTTATGATATTGGTTTTCATGGTTCAGAGGTCTTTCTTGCTGATATTTGCACCATTTACCAGCTGTGTAATTTGGGAAGAATTACATAACCCCTGAAAGCTTCAGATTCTTAATCTGTAAATAGTGATAATACCCATTTGGCAGGAATTTGAGAAGGGTTAAAAGAAATGAGAACTCTAAGCCCCTTGATCTGGCCTAAATGTGGTGTGAATGAAATAAGAGATAGTTTCTCACTGTTTGTATGGGGTGGATCATCTCAGGCAGTAGATGTTCTTATGTTACGGAAGGTAAATATGCTTGTGCATACAGACAATCTCGCAAGCATGTCTATGTAATATTTATGTGTTAATCTTTCAAATATTTCTTCTCTTCTTTTTTTGTATATGTTCATCCTATTTTACTTAATTGGATTTTTATCTTCTAAAGCCCTAAGTCAATCATTTTCTCTTTATTTAATTTCCCAACTGACAGGTATCAACAGCTGTGCCCACTGGGAGGCTTTCAGATGCAGCATCCACCAAGGAATACACCGACTAACACACATGACAGCCTGAACTAGCAACCTGCATCAACACCCCTGCAGAAAAGCAGTGCATTTCAACTGCTCATTTAATAAGTATTTGAATTCATAATTACAAAACATCTTCTGTAATTAAACCACCATATGCATTTAAAATATTTTGGGGACAAAGAGTAGCAAAGAATTATATTGGATATTGACTAAAAACACTTATGAATATCAATAATTTGCTCCTCCTCCCTTTTCATCATAGACTCTTTACAATGATACTGACCTTGGGGTTGATCACAAAGTAGGTTTTCACCAGGTGCTGTTTTAAATATGGGTCCCTAATGTCACCATCTCCCTCCTCCACTTTATAAGCGCCATTCAAGTGCTCCAGGGTGACAGAAGAAATGTGAACACGTCTGAAATTGCATTTTAAAATCACAGTCAAGACATAAAAGGATAAGTGTGAAGAAAGGTTTCTATTTGCTCATGATTTCTGAAATAATTTATCCACTAAAGTTCTTAGGAGCACTGACCGCAATTAAAGTTTATATTCTATTGACCACTGCTTTGGAAAGATGCTCTTAGAGGTCGTGCACTACTAGTTTTGGAGCTTCTCTGCACTCACCGAAACCTGCATGGTGGGTGTGGTGAATTATAGCAAATACAACTTGATTATCTTGAATTTTTATGAGAATATCTTTGAAATGTATGTCATGGGCATTTTAGGAAGTATGCTAATCTGTATAATAATGTAGACTTTCTTTCTCAGTGCTTGCTCTCGTGCTTCTCTAAACTACAGCCCTTGATAAAGATTCTCTTGACTGAAATACGTTATTCTCCCCAGAGAAGGATGCTGTAGTCACTTATTTTAATATAATGGTTTTAGAGGTCAACAGTTCTAGACAGATGCCATATCTGGACTGTTTTGTAAAACATCTTTAAATCAGATCTCTATTCATACATTTGCAAATAAGTAAAAGTTTGTAATTTACTGTCTGATATTCACAGTCTTTGAACTATGGACAACGGGGTCGTGACGCAGGGACTTGAGAGCTCGTCTTTATCTGCTTAACATAAGAGGCCGTTGGGCGTGAGTAACATGATACCAACAGAGGCAACAGAAGTGATCAAAAACTGAGCACTCCGTCATTAGGCTGATAATCTGTCATTCCTAATAGTTCTGCCTGCTTGAAGAAAGAAATCCAATGCTTGGCCTTACCCAGGGACCCCTCCAGCTTCCATGTGGTTGGCCAAGGTCACATCATGTGACCACACATCATATTGCCACTTCTGCAGACCAATCACGCCACACAGGACATTCCCAGAATGCACGCCCACGCGCATGTTGATATCAACTCCAGTAGCATCCCTCACTTTCCTAAAGAGAAGGGAAGTAAGATCATGATCAAGTAACATCCACTGTTTCCTTTAACTCTTGGCCAATTTTCCCAGTATTTTATTATTCAGAATTTTTCAAACTGTCGGAAATGACCATAAACCTTCCTATGGCAGGAGATCACTCCTCTGAGCTAAGAAGGGATTTTCCTTCCAGTCACTCCAGATTAGACCAATGTTCTTGCTATTAAAGCTAGATCAGGCCAGACTATAGTGATGACAAAACGTTTTGGCTATAACTTTTACTTCTGCAATGAATATGTATCAAGCAGCTACCATGTGCTGGCACATGTCTGCATTTTCATACTAGAATCACGTGACATTGCCTTGTAATGTCAGAAACAGTCTTAAACAGGGTTTGCAATTTTAGTTCTTAGCACAATGTACCTCTCCAACGAATATCTTCTGCTAACAAGAGAACAATATAGCTCATTTGTGAGCTTAATAATGATTTTAGCCTACATAAGAATTTTTAGCAAAATAATCATGACATTAAGCCTTTCCAGTTGTGCACATTCTTCAACAAAAAGAGAAAAAATACTTCTTAGGACCTTATCACCAACTCATTAACAGAGAAAAATGATGAACTTCAATGAAGAAAAAATGGAAATGCTTGGCAATGCTTATTTGTTCTTGCTGGCTGAATACATTAAAGTAGTATTGCAAAACAAGTATACAGGAAGATGTTCCTAGTTACATCGAAAGAATTACCCCAAGAGGCAATGTGGAGGGAAGCAACGATGCCGACTGCAGCACAATCAAATAAAGACACCACCACTTGTGAATTGTAGTGAAATGAATCATTAACATCTCAAAATGGCATAGGCATGTATGTCATGCTTAAATGATATAATGATACCATTTTAGCATGCTAAAAATGATCAAACAAAACGGACCCACGATATAAAAATAAATCGCACTCTGAAAAAAGAATATAGAAAGATATTTTCCTTCCCCATTTCCTTTCCTCTTTTGCCCTCACTGTCTTCCTTTCTTGCTTTTGCAAAAAACCCAGCTACCCATTTGGCTCTATGCAAGTCATCCAAAACTTTCCTTCCTGCCCCACAAAACGAGCCAGAGCATCAGCAGGACAAGGAGACCCACCCCCACCCCTCTGCCCTGCATCTGCAGGCTGTGGCTGTGCAAGCACCCAGCACCGGGGTGTCCCCACCTCCGGACTCTGCTTATACTGACTCCTCTTCCTGCTCCCCATGCCCCCAAGCCTCCCTTTGGTGTCATGTGGCCAGCTGGCATTGTTCTTCCGGACTCAGGCACAGCCCCACTCAGAAAGGCTTTCTGTTCTCTCCCCTCTAGGCTGGTCTAGGCAGCCTTGCTGCCTCTGTCCTGTAACTGCCCTGAGGGCAACTAGCACTCCCTGTCTGTCTCCATCTCGGCCCTCAGCAGAAATTCAGCCTGGGTGGACACAATCTCCAAGTGGATTGTTTACCTCTCAAAGGGTTCAAGGCCCAGTGCAACAGCACAACTTCACACAAGTTTACTAATGGATCAAGGTCATTTTTGAAAAATGTACTGTGCTTCTGTCTTTGAGCAATGATGATTCTGAAAAATTCATTAGAGAACCCATAATTGTTCTTAACATTTTATGTTGTTGAGAGGACATTTCCAACCACGTGGCGTTTCTGTTTACCAAAATAGGCCAGCAGAGAGCCAAGGAAGGATAAAAAGGGAGGAAAAAGGAGTCTCAGACTGTCCACTTGACAGAGCTGAACTCCTTAACGAGCTGACTGGTTAAAACATTAAAACCGTCTCCATGTTGTCTTTTTTAAAAAATGAGTTGACCATGGGTTCAAATGAATCAATTAGCCACAATTTTTTTTTTTTTTTTTTGGAGATGGAGTCTCACTCTGTCACCCAGGTTGGAGTGCAGTGGCGTGATCTCGGCTCACTGCAAGCTCCGCCGCCCGGGTTCACGCCATTCTCCTGCCTCAGCCTCCCCAGTAGCTGGGATTACAGGCGCACGCCAAACCGCCCAGCTAATTTTTTGTTTTTTGGTAGAGACGGGGTTTCAGCGTGTCAGCTAGGATGGTCTCGATGTCCTGACCTCGTGATCCACCCGCCTCGGCCTCCCAAAGTGCTGGGATTACAGGTGTGACCCACCGCGCCCGGCCAACTAGCCACATGTTTTGTTGCATGTATATTCAATTTACATGATCTATAGAAAAACGTTGAAGTCATTGCTTAAAGCTTGCAAGAGTAGTAGGTAAACAGTACAGTTTAAGAGAAGGCTTAATCCCTTATAAAATCAAGGTCCTGAATATTACTTGATTAAAAATAATTTACATGTTCATGGCAGAAAAAAGAAATGTTTCTAAGCATTGGAAATGTTCCAAAACTGCAGCTGAAGTGCCTCTGCCGTGGTGCCTGGGCTAGCAGGGAATGAGGTGCTGCTAAGTGTGGAGGTGTGAACACAGAGAGAAGAGCAGGCAGCTGTCTGGGACTCATGCTGCTGGTTCCTGACACTGAGACCATCTGGCAAAAACCCAAGTGCCAGGTGTGCACGTTCCCCTCACCAGCTTAAAAAATGAAAATTCCTGTCTGGTACCCATCCCACGCACGGCTCAATGAATGGGAATGGAAATGCACATCCTTGCATGGGAGAGAGGATGAAAGTGGACAAACAATTCCTGGAACGTGCTGAGATGTCCTCTCTGTTGCTGCCCTTTCATGGGGGTAGGGGTGTAACAAAATAAACTTTTTTTTTTTTTGGACAGAATCTTGCTCTGTTGCCCAGGCTGAAGTGCAGTGGTGTGATCTTGTCTCACTGCAACTTCCATCTCCTGGGTTCAAGTGATTCTCCTGCCTCAGCCTCCAGTAGCTAAAGTTACAGGCGTGCACCACCAGGCCTGGCTAATTTTTGTATTTTTGTAGAAACAGGGAAAATGAACATACTGTCCAAGGTAATTTTTAGATTCAGTGCCATCCCCATCAAGCGACCAATGACTTTCTTCACAGAATTGGAAAAAACTACTTTAAAGTTCATATGGAACCAAAAAAGAGCCTGCACTGTCAAGTCAATCCTAAGCCAAAAGAACAAAGGTGGAGGCATCATGCTACCTGACTTCAAACTATACTACAAGGCTACAGTAACCAAAACAGCATGGTACTGGTACGAAAACAGAGATATAGACCAACGGAACAGAACAGAGCCCTCAGAAATAATACCACACATCTACAACCATCTGATCTTTGACAAACCTGACAAAAACAAGAAATGGGGAAAGGATTCCCTATTTAATAAATGGTGCTGGGAAAACTGGCTAGCTATATGTAGAAAGCCGAAACTGGATCCCTTCCTTACACCTTATACAAAAATTAATGCAAGATGGATTAAAGACTTAAATGTTAGACCTGAAACCATAAAAACCCTAGAAGAAAACCTAGGCAATACCATTCAGGACATAGGCATGGGCAAGAACTTCATGTCTAAAACACCAAAAGCAATGGCAACAAAAGCCAAAATTGACAAATGGGATCTAATTAAAGAGCTTCTGCACAGCAAAAGAAACTGCCATCAGAGTGAACAGGCAACCTACAGAATGGGAGAAAATTTTTGCAATCTACTCATCTGACAAAGGGCTAATATCCAGAATCTACAAAGAACTCAAACAAATTTACAAGAAAAAAATCAAACAACCCCATCAAAAAGTGGGCAAAGGATATGAACAGACACTTCTCGAAAGAAGACATTTATGCAGCCAACAGACACATGAAAAAATGCTCATCATCACTGGCCATCAGAGAAATGTAAATCAAAACCACAATGAGATACCAACTCACACCAGTCAGAATGGCGATCATTAAAAAGTCAGAAAACAACAGGTGCTGGAGAGGACGTGGAGAAATAGGAACACTTTTACACTGTTGGTGGGACTGTAAACTAGTTCAACCATTGTGGAAGACAGTGTGGTGATTCCTCAAGGATCTAGAACTAGAAATACCATTTCACCCAGCCATCCCATTACTGGGTATGTACCCAAAGGATTATAAATCATGCTGCTATAAAGACGCATGCACACGTATGTTTACTGTGGCACTATTCACAATAGCAAAGACTTGGAACCAACCCAAATGTCCATCAGTGATAGATTGGATTAAGAAAATGTGGCACATATACACCATGGAATACTATGCAGCCATAAAAAGGATGAGTTCATGTCCTTTGTAGGGACATGGATGAAGCTGGAAACCATCATTCTCAGCAAACTATCGCAAGGACAAAAAACCTAACACCACATGTTCTCACTCATAGGTGGGAACTGAACAATGAGAACACATGGACACAGGAAGGGGAACATCACATACCGGGGCCTGTCGTGGGGTGGGAGGAGCGGGGAGGGATACCATTAGGAGATATACCTAATGTAAATGACGAGTTAATAGGTGCAGCACACCAACATGGCACATGTATACATATATAACAAATCTGTACTTTGTGCACATGTACCCTAGAACTGAAAGTTTAAAAAAAAAAAAAAAAAAAGAAACAGGGTTTCACTATGCTGGCCAGGCTGGTCTCAAGCTCCTGACCTCAGGTGATCAGTCCACCTCGGCCTCCCAAAGCTCTGGGATTACAGGCATGAGCCACCATGCCCAGCCCAAAATAACCATTTTATTGATCACCTTGTCTACTATACATGAAACAAACAGAGGAGGAATGTGGAATCCCTTGTTCCGCAAGTGGCAGGTAACAGGGACGCAAAGCCATTGCCTGACTTGAGGATTAAGTTGAGGGATCAGCAAGAATTGGGAGAGGTCCCTCAAACCTGTTGACATTACTGAGATTCTGCACACATAAGATATTACTGATGCATCAATGATCAAAAAATAAATAAAATGTGGTATATACCTACGGGGGAATATTACACTAAAAGCATCAAAAGGTGCTAACACATGCCACCACAAAAATGAACCTTGACAACACTAGGCTGAGTGACAGAAGCCAAACACAAAAGGAAAGATATTATATGATTCCATTTACGTGAAATATCCAGAATAGTAAAAATCACAGAGACAGAAAGTAGAATAGAGATGGCCAGGAGCTGGGGAAGGGGTAATTGGGAGTTACTGCTTAATGGGTACAGAATTTCTGTCTGGGGTGATGAAAAGGTTCTGGAAGTTGACAGTGGCGATGGTTACACAACATTTTGAATTTACTCAACATCACTGCACATAACTGTACATTTTTATGTATCACTGTACATTTTTATATACACATAAAAATGATTCAAAGGGTAACATTTAGGGTATACATATTTTATCACAGTAAAAAATGTAATAGTATTTCTAATGAACTGGTGACATGCCAGTGCATGTAATGTAAGGATTCTTTCTCCGAAAACATCTTCAAGACATTGGATTAACTTAAACATTATGGAACTGGAAACAGTTCATTCAAAAGCAGAAACAAGGCTTTAGTAAATGGGTGGATTCTTTAATCCAATGTGTTATTGATGCACATAATTTTGCCCTTCCTAAGACTCTTTTCCACAACTAATTGAAAAGGAAATAAAACAAATACCTCCCTCCAATAGTACTCATTTCACCTTATGTTTGAAACCAACATTGAGGTTTTCACCAGCAGCAGGTTACAAATTTGAAAAAAAAAATATATTTTTTTCAATCCAATAGTTCCACTGATTGGATTCACTTATACCTAGATCCATAGAATTAAAAGTAGTTACTTACTTTTGAAAAAAAGCTAAAAACTATTTTTCATGTATCAGAGAGTACATATGATTTACTTATGGGAAGAAGCAATTATGGCTATTTCTCACACTATGCATTTTGTGTAGGAAACTGAGTTCACACTAACCACTCTTTCCATCTCAACTCTCTCATTGACTTCATTTCCCTCCCATTTCTGATCTGTCTGACAAAAGCATGCAGGAGTTTTCTATGGAGCTAGTGAATATGGAACATGCGGGTCTCTCCATTTCATTGGCTGAGGCTGTGTGTGTGTGTGTGTGTGTGTGTGTGTGTGTGTGTGGTGGGTGCGAGGGGGTGGGGGGTGGGGGCATTAATCTTCCCAGGACCATGCTGGGGAAGTCACCTGTTAATATTTTAGTCGCTTCAGCATATGACCAACACAGTGACAACAGGACTTGATGTATTCTCACATAAAGCCCTTTCTACTTTAATCCTGAGACAAGGAATGAGAACATTAAGCTCACAATTCCAACGCTGTTCAGATTAAAAAAAAAAAAAAGTTGAGGATAAGGTCAAATCATTTACCAAAATGGACAATCAAAAACCCAATGAAGTACAATATTCCAATCATGCAGTCAGCAAACAAAAGGCTTTATTATTTATAAGAATATTCTGGCTTCTACAAAGGGCATTATTAAAGAAGGTACTGCTAATAAAATTGTGATGCTGGTAATAAAAATTACCCTTTTACCTTATATTTTTACTTTGTAGCTAGTCAATGGTAATGATATCACTATCCTATATAAGCAAATCTTCTCTGGAATCACAGTGAAAAAAATTACAGATACAATGCAGAAAATATATGTTACAAATACAAATTAAAATTAAATTCACAGAGCTGAGCATTTTTGACTCGATGAAAATATTTTTGTATTGGTTTTTATATTAACTGCAGTCTGGTTGTAATAACTACCTCTTCCCTTACAATGTGTGTGAAGCCACAGAATTTGTCAGAAATTGGAAAGATGATAACGTGCACACTTTTACCTTAAGATCAAAGAAGATGTTCAAAATTTCTTTTAAAAATCACCTTTGAAACAAACAAAACCGTGCCTTCCTATAGATTTCCAACTCAGTTTCACTGTAGTCTAAGGCTCATAGTAACAATACTAGGCTGGGTCAGGCAGTGCATACCTACCATGTCAACAGTTTGGGAGGCCAAGGCAAGCAGATCGCTTGAGCCTAGGAGCTCAAGACCAGCCTAGGCAACACAGAGACACCCCGTCTCTACAAAAAATACAAAAATTAGCTGGATGTGGTGGTGCTTGCCTGTGGTCCCAGCTACTTGGGAAGCTGAGGTGGGCAGATTACTCTGGGCTCAGGAGGTAGAGGCCATAGTGAGCTGTGATCTTGTCACTGCACTCCAGCCTGGGTGACAGACCATGACCTTATCTCAAAAGCAAACAAACAAACAAAAATAATACTAAACACTTAATGAAGTCTTACTTTCCATTGCATTACTCACATCCCAATAAATGGGTTTCTGCACAATTATATTGAAATGCACAATAATGTATTTAATGCCAGTAGGCAGAACAATAGAAATAGTCACAGGTGAGATTTACAACCCCAAATTGTTAGACAGTTAAAAAAAATGCTTACTGGCCGGGCGCGGTGGCTCACGCCTGTAATCCCAGCACTTTGGGAGGCCGAGGCGGGCGGATCACGAGATCAGGAGATCGAGACCATCCCGGCTAAAACGGTGAAACCCCGTCTCTACTAAAAATACAAAAAATTAGCCGGGCGTAGTGGCGGGCGCCTGTAGTCCCAGCTACTTGGGAGGCTGAGGCAGGAGAATGGCGTGAACCCGGGAGGCGGAGCTTGCAGTGAGCCGAGATCCCGCCACTGCACTCCAGCCTGGGCGACAGAGCGAGACTCCGTCTCAAAAAAAAAAAAAAAAAAAAAAAAAAAAAAAAAATGCTTACTGTTGTTTCCTGACTCAGGAAACAACAGATGCTGGAGAGGATGTGGAGAAATAGGAGCGCTTTTACGCTGTTGGTGGGAGTGTAAATTAGTTCAACCGTTGTGACAGACAGTGTGGTGATTCCTCAAGGATCTAGAACTAGAAATACCATTTGACCCAGCAGTCCCATTACTGGGTATATACCCAAAGGATTATAAATCATTCTACTATAAAGACACATGCACACGTATGTTTATTGCAGGACTGTTCACAATAGCAAAGTCTTGGAACCAACCCAAAAGTCCACCAACGATAGACTGGATTAAGAAAATGTGGCACATATACACCATGGAATACTATGCAGCCATAAAAAACGATGAGTTCATGCCCTTGGCAGGGACACGGATGAAACTGGAAACCATCATTCTCAGCAAACTAACAGAGGAACAGAAAACCAAATACCGCATGTTCTCACTCATAAGTGGGAGTTGAACAATGAGAACACATGGACACAGGGAGGGGAACATCACATACCAGGGCCTGTTGGGGAGGGGGTGAGGGGAGGGATAGCATTAGTAGAAATACCTAATGTAAATGATGAGTTGATGGGTGCAGGAAACCAACACAGTACATGTATACCTATGTAACAAACCTGCACGTTGTGCACATGTACCCCAGAACTTAAAGCATATAACAAAATGCTTACTAAGCAGTCCACTTACTTTATGGCTTCACACATGTCCAGCCCCATTTTCACACAGTTCTTGGCATGGTTAGGGAGAGATATAGGGAGTCCAGATACACAGTAGTAGCAGTCTCCTAAAATTTTAATTCTCATGCATTCATTCTCCTGGAAGAATAAATTACAGAATTTCAGTTGCATTAAGCACTTGCAGAATGATCTAGATTCATGTAATATCATCAAGCGCCAGCTCTGCTCACACCATTCCAGGGGCATCTGGAGAGAGCAATGAGAACCAGTTGGGCTTCCCTTCATTACTCAACCAGAATGAGCTGCCCTCCCCTACATGCCGATTTCCAAAGAGGAATAAAGAAAGAAAAGGGGAAAAAATGAGAAAGAAGGGAGAATGTTCTGGAATGATTTACACTTCATAGAAGCAGAGAAGGATGGTGATGGGGCCAATCTCTTTAGTCTGAGCAGCTCCAAACATTAAGGGTGAAATAAAACATTCTATGCCCAGCTGAGTCTTTCAGAGTAGAAAATGATGACCAGCACTCAGTATAAATTAGAATCTCAAGTCCTTCCCTACTGTGCTTATGGTTTCTTTTATTTATTTTAAATCCAAAGCTGATTCTTACCTGCAGATATGTCACTTCTGATAGACATTACCACACCTAATAAGCTGCCATTCAATACTGCCAAGTAATTTAAAACTTAATTCTCATCTTAGGCTCAACTGTTTTAATGTAAAATTTGACTACCTCATTATTTTTCTGGGCTAAATTTTGTATTTATATTTTAATATTTAGATTAACTGCATTCATACTTGTTGATCCTATATTTGTTTCTATAAATCAAGCTTCCCTCCCATACTTCCCAAACAGCTATTCTGAGACTAGAAAACATGACAGTTACAGTGAATGGCAATGGTTTTGAGTTCCTTAGTGTAAGGTTATGTGCTTTACATAGTACTCAGTGCACTGGGGTATCTGTTTGCTGACAATAACCCCCCGTTATTGAACTGTGAGCCATGAACTCATATCGAAGGCACACTGCCCCTCTGACCAATGATGGATAAACCAATGGCTGGATAGTCAGCCGAGGGTGTATACTCCTTTGTTCCACTGATTAGAGGAAGTCACGTTGAGTACTTCTGTTATGGGTAATGAATTGTGTCCTTCCAAATTCACATATTAAAGTCAGTCCTGATACCTGTGAATGTGAACCTATTTGGCAATAGCGCTCCTGCAGATTTAATTAGTTAAGAGGAGGTAGAACTGGAATTGGGTGGGCCCTTAACCTCTAAGAAGGGGAAATTTGTTCACCGAGACAGGCACGTAGAGGAGAGAATGTCATCTGAACATTGGAGTTATGCTGTTCCCAGCCAAGACTGAAACGTTTCTTCCTAACATGAACAGGTAGTCCAACAAAAATGACCTTTTATTAATTCAAACTTTTAAGGCATCATTTAAGTTTCAAACCTTTCTTTTCTTATAAATGAACACCCACAAAACTCACCCCCTTCCTTTGGCTTGGTAAAGGAAGGAAGCAGAGCTGTGCTTTTACTGATTTTTTACAATCTCCAGTGAGAGTTGTCATGGTCGGTGGAACTACAGAAGGCAAAAACCTTGGGGAGTTTGGCCCAAGAATGATCATGCTAACATCTGCAAGCCAGATTTATTCCTAAGAGACTCAGCTGGAATGTTCTGTCTTGTTTAAAAGTGATCTAAATCACACAGTGAACTAAATTTAGGACCTATTCTTCCATAGCTAAATAACTGATATTAGTAGGCATAATGAAGCATTTTTGTTGTTGCTGGGAACAATTCAAAGAGAGAATTGACCAGAAACATTTAATGAGAAGTACAGGGCTTGCAGGAAGAAACTTTTTGTCATCGATATTGCCACCCACCAGCAACTGTGGCAGTTCTAATAAATAATAGGGTCTAGTGTGGTTTCAGACGGTTTCAGGTCATTTCCTATCTGTGAAATTTCCCATGAAAGAGCATATGAATGGAAGACACTAAACTTCCATTTCTGTTTAAGTGGCACAAGAATCAAAGGATTAAAATGAGACAAGAGTAAGTGAAGGCTTTGCATGGAAGATATGCATTCTATTTCAGGAACTCTTCCAGGGTCCTGCTTAACAATAGGAATAGAGGATGTTGGCAACTAGAGGAGTGGAAATGATCCTACCAGATCCTTGACATGGAAATGCCTAAAAGAGCACCTTAAAATAATACCATGCAGAGAGATTTGCAAATGGAATCTCACTGCCTGGAATGTATTTATTATATGTGTGCTGAATTATACATAGGGGGAAGTTTTAAAATAGATAAAAACGTGATAATGATATGCCATGGCGTTTTTTCATCCCTGAGACAGGTTTGAGGCTTATGAAAGATCAATAGCAAAGAAATCCAACAACTTCTACAAACAATGTTCCTAAAGGATGCTTTTATGAAAAAGTAAACTATTGATAGGTGGATGAAGAAAAACGAAACCAAGAGTTTAGAAATCTTCAGAGAAGAAAAGAATCCATAATACTCACCTTTGCAATTTGATCAAACTTTCCAAAGAGCTCATTCAGCATGTGGACTAGTTCTCCCGGGGAGCAGTCACTTGCCAGCCGGGTAAAGCCAACGATGTCAGCGTATAAGATGCTGTGGGAAGAAAGGAGGTGAGGAGACAGAGTTTTCCAGTTTATACATTTTTTAAGAAAGTAATAATAATTTTTCCATTAAAATCATGTAATTTTGCTTATACTTTATATTTTCATGAGTAAGAGGTCATTTTCTCAGATTAAGAATATATAAACATTTTTTTGAACTTGTTAAACATTTTTTGAGGTTAAACTTTTGTAGTTAAGATGGGGAGTGAAGCAGCAAAATAATTTAAAAAAATTCTGTTTGTACTGAGTCAAAGAAGAAACTGGAAAAATAATCCTCTTTTTATAAAAGATTACTTAAATGATTCTGGAGTCCTTCCTATCTGCCAGGATGAAGCAGACATGGAATATCTTCCTGACGTTCAGAATTTAGCTGGGAGGATGTATTGAACAAATGTGAACATCAACAAATGTCCAGTTACAAATCATAAAAAGGGCTACAGAGGAAAACGAGACAGTGTTATGACAGAGAAGAGTAGGGGCAGATTGGACAGTGAGGAGGCCAGGAAGGTCACTCTTCGGAAATGACAGAGCAGCTCCCTTCATGGGATGTACACACTAGGGAAGGCGAGTGTGAGATTCCTCAGAGCTTTTTATGTGTTTAAAATAGGAAAACACAGCACCTGTGTGCGCACTGCAACTTTTCCTACACAATAACATGTTTCTGATTTGTATCAAGGTCTTATGAAGAAGCCTAAATTTCTGCAGATGGTTTGAGATTCACAAAGTGAATATGTATGCCTTAAGATGTCCCATGGAACAAAACAACTACTATTTCACAGTCATTAGGATGGCTCTTATAAAGCATACAAATAATGGTTGTGGATGAGAACCTGGAGGGGTACACATGTGTTGCTGGTGGGAAGGTAAAATGATGCAGCCACTCTGAAAAACAATATGTTCGGTCCTCAAAAAAATTAAACAAAATACCATATGATTCAGCAGTGCAACTTCTGGGTATATATCCAAAGATCTGAAATCAGGAACTTGAATAGATATTTGTACATGAATGTTCATAGCTGTAGTATTCACAACAGCCAAAAGATGGAAGCAAACCGAATGTCCATTGACAGATGGATGAATAAACAAAATGTGGTCTATCCATACAATGGAATATCAGGCAGCCTTTAAAAGAAATGAAATTCTGACATGTGCTGAAACTCCCGAAAACCTTATGCTAAGTAAAATAAGCCAGGTACAAAGAGCAAATACTGTATGATTCTACATATATGAGGCACACAGTATAGTCAAACCATAGGGACAGAAACTAGAATGGCGGTTTCCTGGGACTTGGGGGAGGGGGAGTTGTGGAGTTGTTGTTTAATGGGTTCGGAGCTTTAGTTTGGGATGAAGAAAAAGTTCTGGAGATGGATAATATTGATGGTTGTAGAACAATGTAAGTGTCCGTGATCCAACTGAACTGTGCACTTAAAATTGATTGCAATTGTAAATGTTATGTTATGCATATTTTACAACAGTAAAAAAAAGTACAAAAAGGGGCACCAGTCAGCAGGGTCTCAGCCAGAGCAGGGCAGGACTCTGCTGTTGGCCATACTCTGCTCCTTCTGCTAAGCCCAGGATGTGTGGCTGCACCTTTGAGGAAATACTTGCTCCTCTGCTGAGGGACACGATCTGTGGGAATCCTCTGATGGTTACAGGAAAATCAGGGTTCCTGGGACAGCTTTACCCTCCACTCTGTTCAGATGATCCCCTAGAAATCATCCCTACTTCTTTTCTTCCACGCTGACTTATAGTGGCAGGGATCACAGGTGCTGAGCCATTGTGCAAGAGGAAGGATGAACGATGCTCGCTCAGAGAAAGAGTCCCTGATTCAAAGCAGTATTGGGAGGTAGCATGTGTGGATGGGCAGTTGACTCCACTTCCTTCTTGCTCACGTCATCCACAGTGCTTCTTGTGCTCAAAGCTTACAGTGAACAAAGCAGCTCTGAGATAGGCTGCCTGTAGATAGCTTAAGCTGGTCCAGAGGTTATGTTACAGCAAAGGGATTTAAAAAGTAAGCAGATGGCCGGGCGTGGTGGCTCACGCCTGTAATCCCAGCACTTTGGGAGGCCAAGGCGGGTGGATCACCTGAGGCCAGGAGTTCGAAACCAGCCTGGCCAACATGGCGAACCCCCATCTCTACTAAAAATTACAAAAAAACTTAACTGGGCACAGTGGCAGGTGCCTGTAATCCCAGCTACTTGTAAGGCTGAGGCAGGAGAATTGCTTGAACCCGGCAGGCGGAGGTTGCAGTGAGCCGAGATTGCACCATTGCACTCCAGCCTGGGTGACAGAGTGAGACTCCGTCTCAAAAAAAAAAAAAAAAAAAAAAACAAAAAACAGCAGGCAATTGTGATGCAAGGTACAAAGCTGCAAAGCATTACGGTAGAGAAAGTACAGTGCACTTATGGGACCATAGAGGGAGAAAACCCCACCTAGAGCCTGACCATATTGCCACTTTAGAAAGATCACTCCTGCTGTGGCAACCTGGACGCAGGCAGGTCAGTTAGAACTATATCCTTGGAACCCTGGAGAGCCCAACTGAAGGTTTACAATGTGCTGAAATAGAAGTGGACAGACATGGGAGATAGGAAGAAGAATGAACTAGATTTGTCACTAATTTGATGTTGTGGGGGGCATTGTGTGGGAGAGGGAAGCATTGAAAATGAAGATCCTGTTTCTGGCTGAGCAACAGAGTTCAGAAATCAAGGTTTGTGCAAATCAAAACAAGTGTGTAGAGGAAGAGGAGTAGTCCAACTTTGGTTGTGCTGTGCTTGATGGTGGTGTCTTAGATGCATGTTAAGTAGATGAGTATGGAAAGCTATGGTTGAGGCCTGTGTATGAGCATCATTTAGGTGGGAATTAAAGTCCCAGAAGACGACTGGAGAGAAACCGAGAGGAGGTAAGAGAGAGCCCCCAACATACTCTCATTTACGGGAGAGACTTGATTTATGGAAAAGAAAAGAACAAAACAGATTGTCAGAAGAAAACTGAGGGAATGCAATGTCATGAGACAAAGGGATGGGAAAATTCTTTAAGTGGGAGGACAAGGCCAAGGGGTCAGGTACACGTGAGTGGTCAAAAAGTGACTTAAAAATATTTCCCAAGATGGGAGGGGCATTGCTGAATTTCAGACATTTAAGGCTAGAAAGAGCCATTAATAGCATAATACACTTAGATAAGTAAATGTTTCTTCTATAATTGTATAGGCAAAACTCTCACAAACCTGAAGGCAAGCCAGTATTTTAAATAATTTTACTCCTTAACATGTGTGAACTTTCTTTAAATGTATTTAGTTTTTACTATCATGTATCCATCCAGTCGTGCTTCCTTAGTTGCCATTCATACACAAATGTGTTTCTGTTACCTCCTTCCTGATATGAGTTTCCTATATCACACTGACATCTGTGTATGCTTGGGTATTATATAGCTAATCTAAAATCTGGTGTCAAATGAGATTTGTCCCAGCAATGTCTTTAAGTAACGGTTAAATTTGTTTCTCTTTAATAAGCTTCAAAAAACCTAGACCTGAAGCAGCCTGGCTCTTCTAAAAACTCTAATGACTAAACGAAGACCATCAAAACATAACAGATGAGGTCAGATTCATGCACAGGTTACTTATGGCGATAACTCAGTGATATGGTTTGGATTTGTGTCCCCACCCAAATCTCATGTCGAATTGTAATCCCCAGTGTTGGAGGAGGGGCCTGGGAGGCGATTGGGCCAGAGGGGTAGATTTCTCCCTTGCTGTTCTTGTGATAGTGAGTGAGCTCTCACAAGGTCTGTTTAAAAGTGTGTGACACCTTCCCCTTCCCTCTCTTTCTCCTTCTCTGGACATGTAAAACGTGCCTGCTTCCCCTTCACCTTCTGCCGTGATTATAAGTTTCCTGAGGCCTCCCCAGTCATGCTTCCTGTAAGGCCTGCAGAACTGTGAGTCAATTAAACCTCTTTTCTTTATAAATTACCCAGTCTCAGTTAGTTTTTTATAGCAGTGCAAGAATGGACAACTACACCCAGCTAGAATGCAAAGCAGTGTATTAACATACTGAGTGGATGAAAGAACAAACCCCCAAAAGACGTGGTACTGGGAATGGGAGGGGCACAGAAATCGAGACGGTCTGGGTGGGCCTCGCTCTGCTGTGGCTCGGAGACAGGGGCAGGAGAGAAATGGGAGGGACAATCCTCTCCAGCCTGAAGTGAGGCCTCCTCATAATTTCTCTCTAGAGCTCATGGGAGACAGAAGCCCCACACCAATCTCTTTCCCTACTATAATCCCATGATGATAACATGTTAGTTTTCTAGGCACTGTAATTCCCAGAACGACTCCTGGGAAGTAGATATGAGTATACCAGTCTCAGAAAAGCAGTAACTTTCACGGTAAATTAGCTAAGGTGCACATCAGTGTTCTGTGACTTTGGTCACTGGTCTTCCAGACCTGAGAAACTCATCGTGCTGATGGAGAGAGGAACACCCAGCTTCCCTGGGATGTGTTGTCTTCACAGAGGCCCTGCTCCTGCAAAGTCTATTTGGAGGACTCAGTCTTGTGCCTGGAGATCCCACAGACTCTCCCTCCAATCTTACTGCAATCTGACCACGGGGTTTCCAGAATGAAGACCCCGCTGTCCCCTTCACTCCTTTCTGTGATGGATGCTTGGCTACAGAAGCCAGGGCTATGAAGGACAACTCAATCCAACACAGCAAACAGCATCCTATTTTCTCATCTTAATGTGAAGGCCCTGAGAGGCAGGAACAGGTGAGTGGGATGGCAGAATCTGTGTGATTATTTCCCCTGCAAAGGATCCACTGTCACAAAGGAGAGATGGTGATATGAGGTGTGAGATCCCAGGCAAAATGTCTCCAGTCAGGCAGACTCCCAGACCAGCCAAGGAGCAAGCATAGCGTCGTACCTCACGTTTGTATGCCGCTTCACATACAGGTTGTGGAAGTTATTTGTGTTCTCCATCTGGCCCGCCTTGGGGCCCTGCAGCCTCTGGATGATCTCCGCTTTCATCTCCATGGCGATGTGGGCCGGCAGCAGGGAGAGCAGAAGCCGCTCCTGGACAAGGTGGGGAAGGAGGAACAAATGTCTCTCAGACACCTCGGGGGATGACCAAATAACATTGGAGATCCTCACTGATTTGTAGGAAGGCCAGTTTGGGAATTCTTTCCTGGAAGCTAAAATACAGATTCTAGAAATATATATTGGGAATAAAAAGAGATTTTCTAAGGTCGGACTGTATCATTATATTATTTATTATTTATTGCATTCTAAGTGTGTGTTCTTCAGTATGAAGAATAAAGGGATGCAAAGTTATTTCCCCAAAGATTTTTAAATCTATTTTGATTTTAAAGTAGCAAAGCAGAAACAATATTAAAATTTCAGAAATCACTGGTCAGTCTAAGATAGAGAACACTCATTTTTGCCTGCATGTTCATTTCTGAGCTAAAATACTAGCTTTATTGCACTTAAGAAAGACAGCTGATATTCCACCTATTCCACATTTCTTAAATAAGATATATACTTCCAAAGATTTCGTTTCCTCTATAAGCACCTAATCCTCTTTAGAAATTCTAAGCTATTATAAAAATGGAGTCAGAAATGTTAGCTTCTGTAAAATGTCATCCATAAGAAACTACAGGTGGAACACAAGGAAATGATAACATATGAGCTTTTTGAGTACTTTTGGTCTTTATATTCAGTAAGTCCAGGAAACAATAAATATTAGTAAACAATATTGTACTCATTTTAACATAAACTTATTCTAGTTAGAGTGGCATTTTCTCATTCTCCTCAATGAAAATACACAATAGTTTTTGGAGGAAAAGTCTAACAGAAGGGTAATCTTCAGGACATATATCCATCCTGGAGAATTTTAATGTTAATCCATTTTAGAAAGCATCATATTCTTTAGCTATTGTAGAGTTTAGCAACTGATATTCAATGTTGATAAACAAATATTTGTTCAATGAAACACTTTATCTATCACATCTTTATCTATCACATTGTCTGTCTTTCTCTTTTTCTTTTTTTGGCAAGCTGATGAGGGATTAGGGGAGGAGGGGAAGCTCGGATTTGCTTCCAGGTTCACAGGGTCAGGTGTCTATCTCTTTGTCTACTCCTAGTGCACATCGCTTTGGTGGCTGTTGGAAACTTCTGCTGAGAGAGCTGAGGGTGGGTTAGGAGTACATTCTGATGATCCTTTCTCCCCGCTCATCCCTCCATGGAAAGACAAGGGCAAAGGCAACAGAAAACACAGTATGTGCTCATAGGGGAAGCTCAGTGTATAGAAGCTAGTTTCTCCATGTACTGGCATAACTGAGCATTGATCATTTGTTCATTCATTCATTCGCTTATTCATTTATTCAGAAAGTATCAATCTTTGAGCAATAAATGCCATGCCCTTTGAAAAGCACTAATGGTAAATTAAAGAAGGCTGCAGAGACTGCTCTGCTTCAGTTGCCCTTTTGTTTCCCAAGAGTCAGGCATTAAGCTTCCTCCAAACACCAGCCTGTCCATCTAGTCTCGTCTGACAGCAAGTGCACTGTGTGTTGAAGTCTTGGTTATGAATGATATGATACCAGAGACCCTGTCGCATTCTTCTTTGATTTACCATTAGCGCTTTTGAAAGGGCATGGCCTGATCCCGCTCTCGTCTCAGAACCCACTTGAAAAAACCAGGGGGTTTGTTCTAAGTTAATGTGCTTCTATTGCTAGCTTTCATCATCTTTATATAAAGAACTACTCCATCATCTACCCACATTTGGCTACTAATCCCCAAAACGCATAAACTTGCCACTTGTCTTCAATTTCTCTATGCTTTGGCCTCTGTGACTCATGAAATGGTTAGACCTTTGGGAAACTCTAAAGGTAATCAAACTCGTGATGTGCCCATGGAAGTGTTTAGCAGATAGAAGTTGCCCTGTAAGTTTAGGGATTGAGTTCTGCTAGTACTGCCTCCACTGAATTCCATTTCTGCAGGTCCTGAGCGTACACTACAGTGAGGCACCCTGTGGGTGGTCACTTCCTATTCTTTCTGTTTATTGATTAATAGATGGAATAATTGGGTGTGAGGCCAAAATATTACATACAAAGTATGTAATATCCAAAGTCTATTCATACCAATAGAGGAAAGCTGGTGAGGAAAGTGTGAAATTTCCATCCACAAACATCAAAGACCTGGTCAGGCACGGTAGCTGATACCTGTAGTCCCAGCACTTTGGGAGGCTGATGCGGGCAGATCACCTGAGGTCGGGAGTTTGAGACCAGCCTGGCCAACATGGTGAAACCCCATCTCTACTAAAAATAAAAAAAATTAGCTGGGCATGGTGGCAGGCACCTGTAGTCCCAGCTACTTGGGAGGCTGAGGCAGGAGAATCACTTGAATCTGGGAGGCAGAGGTTGCAGTGAGCCGAGACTGTGCTACTGCATTCCAGCCTGGGCAACAGAGTGAGACTCTGTCTCAAAAAAAAAAACAACAAAAAAAATCAGGAGATCTCTCTGGTCATATCCTCAGACATGAACAGAGGAGTCCCTGATGGGAGAAGGGAGGCATGTGGCTTTGAGGTTTCCCATTGAATCTGTCATAATCAAAGCAAGTACATGTTGAAAACAAATGTTAACTTCTAAAGCAGTGATAAGGAATATTAACAGGTAGACTATAAATAATTACGGGTCTGGATCTAGGCTATCTATTTGGAAATCCCAGTAGCATCTGTTCATCTACAGAGATGTCTTAAGATTGGCTTGATTAGATTAAAACCCATTTTGTACTCTTTCTGATGGGTGATGAGTCAAAGGCTGAGACAAGATGAAATGCACCAAGCCACAGGTGCTCAGTGTACATAACTCTCCATTAGCAGAGCTTATGATGATAACCTGTGTGTAGGTGGATTCAATACCATCTTCCATTGAATTTAAAACAATCAGTCAACTTTCCCAGTGTTTACATGAGTTTCTAGCTATGCTTCTTATAGCTGAGGCTGTCAATATCCTACTCATATTCCCTTCTTCCTTGCTTGGGGGTCACTGTAGATTGTTCCTTCCTGAATGTATGCTTTCCTGTGTGTCCGCTAATGAAGAGGTAGCTGATGAATAAATACTCCAGCTTTTGCAACAACATCCCTCAGTGAGAAATCGGTCGGCACATTGCTCAGAGAGTCCCAGGCAAGATTGAGCCCTGCTTCCACCATCAGCCCCTTTCATGAGCTAACTTCCCTCTTTGGAGGGAGCGGACCTCATGGTCCCACGCCCTCACCCTGCTAAAGAGAACCACTTCCCAACTAAATTACTGTAACCAGACCCTTGTCTTAGGATCTGCTTGTGGTAAACCTAACAGACTTTTCCAAGCATTGTCTCTCCTCCTCCTATATTCTGTAATAAGATTATGCTAAACCCCAAATCACACAGAGCCGGTCCTTCCTGAAAGATACAGATTCTAGGATCAAAAAAAGAGAATCAAATATAGTAATCCTTTTCCACACTCAGAGCCTCATTTAACAACCAAATGTAAGTTAAAATCTTTATTTTAGACCCAAATGTAGAAGGATGACTGACTTTTAATAGGTGGTTTAAAAAATATAGAAAGTAAACTTCATATGTTGTACAAAACAAGAATTTTTTCTTTTGTTGGAACTGCTAAAGAATCCATGTGAATTTAAGCTGAAATGAAGACGTTGGTAACTGCCACCCAGCCTAATAAAAGAACTCAAGCCTTCCCCCATCATTCAACACTGGCACCACTGGTGGATGGTAGATAGCACTGCACCTGGTGACAGCTCAGGGTCCATGCTTTGAGTGTGCATATGCCCTCTAGGTGATCACAGTGCTGGGCAATTGAATGAGTTTCCAAAAAAAGCCTGAGCTCAAAAGTGGTGAAGCAAGACTCCTTCTTTTAAATTTAAAATGTTCTGATCTGAAGGAAAAGCCCACTATTATGGCATCCATGATAAATTTCAGCCCAATTTGTAAAATCTGACAATGTTAATAATTCCATTAATATTTTAGCATTTTGCAAATGTAGCTGTGTGCCCTGCCAAATTATCTGAAAGCAACACACACACTTAAGTGCTTAATATACTGGGTATAACTTAGCTACATTATTTTCCCAAGTTTGTTGGAGAAATTCCTTAAGGATACTTTTGAAAAATTAAGTTGTCATTAAACTGATGGATGCACACTGGTTATTACTTCTTTCTCTTTCTAGTAAAGCTCATGCAACTACTGAGAATCTGTCTAATTTTGGCATATTCAAAGGTTATCTGATTAATAACTTGCCCTTGATTTGGGGGTTCCATTTAACACATCCCTTTGTTAAACCTCCAATTATTATTCATTAGCAATACATTTTTCTTAGAACTTGTTCTTTTAAATTATGTCTGATATAAGAGATACAGAGTTAATTTAGTAAATTTCAATGTACTAGTGATCAAAGTTCAGAACAATCTGAGCTCTGAAGTGTTTCTAAACTAATGAAGCAAGGCAGACATTGTAGCTACATTTTATGTCTTTTTTTAGACTATTTCAATTGGTAGGAAAATCCAATTGAAGCAAAGAAGACTTGTACTTAAATTTTAAGCTAAGATATAGAAATACATACTATACCCTGTTCCTTCAATAAACCATGCATGTAATAGATACTTAAAGCTCCTTTACTTTCCAAACGGGAGGATAACAATGAAACACTCCTTTCATATGAATCTTTAAGTTTTTCTTTTGTAATTCTTATTTTAAAGGCAATTTCAATTACATCAGGATGCTAAATCAATGGGATAAACAGAAAGGATGTTGTAAGTTTTTCTCCTTCTAAAAGAAAGTAGCTAACAGAGTGGACAAACACCAGATCCCTAAGCAGCCATTGGGCCACCTGTGGCTCCTTCACCCATGTACTTAGGAAACAGAAATCATTTCATAACGTCCTCCAGTATTAAAAAGCTAGTTGTCCATCAACACAAAATGTTGCCTATGCTGCACCTCCCCCAGCTCCTATCACGCATCTTCCTTTGCAGCAGGCTCCACGTCTCCAAGTCTCAGACAATAACAGTCCTCCTCCAGCCTCAGCCTTCATCACCCTGTTCTCCCAACAACTGCTACTGTTGCTGTTTCCCATTACAAAATTCAGCTTTTTCTTAGGTCCCTCAGTAGAATTTTTGCTTCATATCAATCAGTTAAAACTCTTACTCTTACTATTTGAAAGATCTTGCTTTATCTTTCTCTGACTTTTACAAAAAAAATTGGTCATCATATTCACATGGGATGGAGAATAGAAGGCATCGCAGTAGAAATGGCTCTGAAGTAGGAGAAGATGGGATTCCACCCTTTCTCTGCCACCTCAACCAAATCGGTCAGCCTTTGGTGCCCAGCTTGGTCATCTGGACAATAGGTCTGTTGGGCTAAGGAGTTGAAGGCCTCCATGTCCATGTAAGAGCACAGCTCTTCAAAGAACCATGGGAGGCCCTTTCTAGAACTTACTTTCCACCGTCCTAGAGATGACTACATCCTGCTGCACCCAAGTGCCCAACCACTAGCACCACGCAGAGGAAAGAACCCAAGGGATCAAATTCCCACACGGTGGCGAAGACTGCAAGTCCAGATGGCCTGAGGGCAAGGAGACTCCAAGTGGGATCCAGAACTAGCACCCAGGGAGGAGGCTGAGTCTGGGTCGTATGTTCCTTGCAGTGTCTCTGACTTGTGGGAGGAGGATGAAGAAGGGCTGAGATTACTGAGGAGCGACTTTAAAGGCCAGTGTTTTCATATCTGTGTGCAGAGGGAAAGTCAGCCTGCTTCTTTCACAGCCTAGGAAACTGGAATGTTTTGTGCATATTAAAGTCACTAGGCACTTCAGCAAATCAGGTGACCCTTTTATAAGACAGCAAGTGCTTTCCTTGCATGCATATCTTATTTTCTCACTTAACAAACCCTGGTCACATATAATATCATTTAGATTTAAACATGTTTTGACAAAAAAAAAAAAAAGGCACAACAGACATAGATGTGGCTCCAAGGGAGTGAAGCCAGGTGGTCGTCACCTGCGAGTTGAGACTGGATGGAACTCGTCTTCCAGCTTCACAGCCAGCTCTTTCCATCCAGCTGGATTTGCAGGTTCAAGGAGATGACCAGAACATTTTTAGAGAGTACATTGTTAAAAGATGCTGGAAAGAATGAAATTATCACTCACATGCGATGACTCTTCAGTTAGCAGTTAGAGAAGAAAGTGCTAATCAAGTCAAATTATAAAGTATGCCTTCAGTCACTGATGACAGTAAATTGGTATTTCTAAACCGGAACTGTTTATCATCAACAGTCAATTCAATTCTCTAAAATAGAGCCTCTAGGGAAATGAGAATCACTCAAAAGGTGGAAAAATATTCAATCCTTGGATAAGAGTCTATGGAGGTCATCAGATGAGAGCTGCAGCTGTGCTCCCTGGAATAGGCACAGGGCACCTTGTGGCACACCAGCACCCAAGTCAGCCCTGCAGGCTGGTGCACCTGCAAAGCCTGAGCAAGCATAGATCAGCACCAGTGTGAGAAAATCACCCAAAGGGGAATCTCATCCTGCAAACATGACCGCCACACTCACACACCATAAAGTGAAAAAGCAAAATGCTCCACAGGGGAGCCAAGTCTGATTTGACTTGCCTCTCAAAGAGTATCCATGCATAGGTAAGCAATGCCATCCAGTCTGACAGGGGCAATGCCAGTAGAGGCACGCTGGGGAGAGAATGGGTGAAGACAGACCATGCTCCTGGGCACTGGCCAAAAACCCTCAACATAAGGTACAGAAGGCCAGCCAGGTGGTGGCGCCAGCCTTTGGATTTCTTCTGAGGAGGAGGACAAAGTGGAGATGCTGATAATATCATTGACAGAAGGAGATAAGAAGAAGAAGGAAAAAGTGGTAGCACATTGGTATCGATTTGATGAAAGGTCCCAAGGAGCAAAACAGAATATTTTTTTATGTTCAAATGCAACCCCTCAGAGCAACTCTATGCTACAGATGACAGATACATGATGCAGTTATGTACATGCTACACTTGCAATGGACTGGACTATCGTTCTGAAATGTGTTGACTCTCCCTCCCATGCCCCCCTGGGAGGCAATGTACCTTGGTAGGACCAGTGACATGTAAGCAGCAGTGATATGTGCTCCTTCTAACAAAAGCCTTAAGAGCCACTGTGGGCCTCATCATGCTTTCCTTTCCCTCCTCTTTGGGACCAGCAGTGTCACAGATAGTGACTTTGAGCCTGGGTCCCATTCATGGTGCAAAGTGGCAGTCCCCCTACAGTGGACAAATACAAGTGAGAAACCACTATTGTTCAGCCACTTTGATTTGGGAGCCATTTTTATCACCGCTTACCCTAGCTATTGCGACAGATGCAAATTCATGCAAGTATGTGCACACCAACCTATGTCCTCCGTCCCTGAATGCTTAGGATTTTCTCAGCTGCTCTGACGTGGGGAGAGGTCACTCATTCACTCACGTGGTGTGCCCACAAGCTGCAGCTTCAGGGTAAAAGCTCTGGAAAGCCCCTCTGTGAAGTGCTGATTCTTCTCCCTCACGTAGAGTAAGAGGAGGTTGAGCCTTGGCAAGGCCATTCCACCTGTGAGGAGTCTTCAGGGCAGGGACCTCATGACTTTGAAGCCCACACTGGTAACCCCCACTTGTCTGCCTTGCAGTCCATGGAAAAAAAGGCTGAGAATGTGGTCGTTTCAGTGGTGTCAGAATTACACAGAGCAGGAATGATCCCACCGAGTACAGGGACAACTTTGTACTAATGTGCATTTCTTCCTCCAAAATAAAAACCAGAGGTCATGTCTCTAAAAGATTTTCTCTAACTAGAAGCTGGAGTCATGATAATTCACTCATTCTACTTCGTGGCAGATGTTATCCTACATGCAAATTATTGTTGTCTATATTCTCCAAAGTTTTAATTCTCATTGGATGCAAAAGTAATGGGGATTAATCAGCCAGTCCGGTTCCCATCCTTAAGAATGCTGGCAGCATAGCATTACCATCCTAAACTCAGGGAGGCAATGAGGCTCCTCTGAAAAGCATAAGAAAAGGAACACTATGATCTGTCCAGAGGGGCACAGACTCCAGCTCCCTCCCTGATGATGCTGAAACTGTGGGCTCACTTCCCTTCATCCTTGAGAATCAGCCCCTCCCAGATTCAGTCTTGAAGAGAAACAGAGCTTGGATGACAGGCTCCTCCCACATTCATGGTTCTCTTTTGGAGTAGGCTGTGCTGCCAAGCTTAGACGCTCGAATTTATAAAACCATCATGAGTATAAGAGAAGCTTGAAGGGGTGAGAATGAGCAACAGAAGGGGGCAAAGCCATGGGAGGGGAGACCAGACCCTGAAATAGCTCTGCTAACTTTCACCTTAAAGGGGGTCTATAAACTCATGTTTGCAGCATTCAAGGTTGTTGACTGAAAAAACGGGTCTCTTCTTTTGCACGGAAATGCACCCTCTCCTATTATTCCCAGGCGATTTTAGAACTGCTCTACTTGCATGCAGACAGTGTGCTCTTAATTCAATATTCTTTCTTCCACTCAACAAATATTTATCAACCACTTCCCATATATCAGTTCCAGGTCTAAACAATTTCTAAGTATTGTCTTGCTTAATTCTCTCAGCACTTAATGTTGTAGATATTATTATTTCTCCCATTTCTATGAAGAAGAAATTGGAGACCAAATAGGTTGCATGGCTTGCTAAACAATCCAAAGTAAGGAGGTGGAGGAGTTGGGATTAGAACCAGTGGGAGGAAAGTAGTTAGTGGTTAATTGCTCTTAAGCAGTTTGCTAAACTTTACCCAGGAAAAAGGGACAATACATAAATAGGTGCAAGAATAAATAATGTAGCTCCAGCTGGGGACAGGAGAGCAATCGTTCCATAGTGAAGTGTCTTAGGGCATGACTGATTTTCTTTTATTTCAGTGGGGACAATGGCCCCCCTTTTTTTAAATGGTTTTGAAGTCAGAGATTTGAACCCCAAAGCAAAACTGCTCTTGGGGCGAGTACCACAAGTATCCCACACTGTCGGCAAACTCCCAATCTCTCCCCACCAAGCCAAGCCCAATCCAGGCTGGAAGCACCCCTGGGTGAGAGTTGGTGCCCAGAGCAAAATTGTAGCCAATATCAGAAGGCTTCCTTTGAAAATATTGTCAACTGGGGAGATTTCCGGAAAAAACTGCACTGCATTTCTCTCTTGAACACATGACTGAATCCTGAAGCGGTCACATACATTTTCTGCTGTGAATGCTTGGGAAGGTGAGCCTAGGACACTCTCGCACTGAGGCAGATGTCCACACCTCTGCATATTTGTTCTGATAAATTAAGTGCTCCATGCCAGCTCCCACAGAAAAGCCTCCAAAGATACAACCCAGGAGATAACAGCCTTTAAATATTGTGCCTGTCTTCAAACACTAATTGTCCCTGTGGGCACTGATGTAGTTGATACCAAGAGATGTACCCATCATTTCTGCATAACAACTTTTCAGGAAAGAATAATAAGTGAAGAAAGAAAGGCTGCAGAACTGTTCTAATTCTCACTCTGCTCATGAAACAATGTCCTGAGCTTCTTCAGATAAGGATTAAAGATGCAAAAGGCAACTGCAGGGAAGTCATCACATCAGAAAGCGGAAAGCCTGTCACGATCCTGGAATTTTATTAAATGTAACTCAATGACTGCAGCTCAAACTCAAAAATAAAGGTGTTCTTCTGCTGTAGCTTGCTTGGCTATCAATTTTCTACACATACATATCCTATTTCTGTACCTATGTTGCTGGCACATGGTATTTTTTAAGCTTTCTCTTTGTCTTTAGAAAATGCATTTTAGTAATTAGAATGCAGATTTTCTTTCAGGGACTCCTCCTTCTAAGCTTCACCAATAGCTTTGTCTTTGGAGGAAATCACATCAAATATTAGCTAAAAACAGGCTGTCATGTGTCCCACTACCTGACAAAAATAAACCATGGCTTAGAGCTTACAGAATTTAAGAAATCAATCATGTAATGCATTTCCTTGCAAGTTACATAGGATGAAAACTCAAGTTTACTTTATATATGTAATGCATTGAGAAATCTTGATTGGGTGTGTTTTCTCACTCGCTTATTGAATCTGAGTAAGTTCTTAAGACTAGCCAAAACTTTAAGTCCAGAGGAAGGCAACTGGCAGCCTGTGGACTGAGCCTGGTCAGTCAGATGTACTCTGATTAGCTTGCAGAGTGCATAGTTATGTGTACATGTTTAAAGAATTTGAACCCCTTCAGATAGGTCATGCACTGTACAGCTTACCACAGCCCTTGCCATTCCTTAATGACTTGCAAGTTCACTGCACACATTTACCACATCTGCCTATACTCTAAACCATGGTTTCTCACCCTCAGCGCTATCAGCATTTTGAGCGACATGGCTCTTTGCTGTGGGGGGCTGACGTGCAAACTGCAGGATATTTAGCAGCATCTGTCCAGTAGACTGAGACATAGACTAGACTTTAGTACCCTTTACCCACCAGAGGTCAGCAAGACCCCCAACCCCTTTTATGACAATCCAGACTGCTCACAAACATTGACAACTGTTTCCTGGGGGGTAACAGTCTCCCTCTGGTTGAGAAACATTCCTCTAAATATAAGACTTCTCCTCTGGACTTTTAACCTAACTAATTTCCCCTATACTCTTCCCCTTCATTTACCTCTGTTCCTCTCCACCTTGGACTCTGTGGCCCATCACTTTCACTGTTGTCTTGCCCCTGTCATTCCAGAATGGCACCTCTCCAGGACATCACTAGGATGTACACCATCACTTCTCACATGCCATTGGCTATACCGAGCACTAAGGGATGCAGTGACATATCTCTATTCTGGGTGAGACGTACCCAGCCACAGAGATCATCTTACAACAGAGGAAGAAGAAGAGAACAAGTACTGGGAGACAATCCATTGGTCTCTGTCACATGCAGAGAACTCAAATGCAGCTGTTTGCAAATGGAAACTGTCACCTTCCCTCCAAAAGCTGTCCCTCCGTTTATAATCTTAGCGTAGTCAATATCTGCCCATGTGCCCAGCTGCCCATGCAGAAACCTGCTTTCATACCTGACTGTTCTTTCCTTCTTACCAGTCCACATCCAGTGAAGCAGGCTCCTGCCATTCACACTTCAGAACCTGCCCCTTCCTCAACCTACTGCTCTGCCCAGTTCTCAGCAACCTCTGTCACCTAGAGAATCACCTCCTAACTGGCTTCTCTCCTCCTGTCCTCCTTTTCCCTCACCTTCTCTTCTGCAGTGGGGGTCTTTCTAAAATGGGAAGCAGTCAAATAAGCTCAGCTCCAGCTCTGAAGTCTTCTAACACGTTGGACAAGGCCAAAGCCCTTCAGTATATTACAAGATATGATATACCCCAGGCATCCCACCTTCTTTATTTCTTCCTCCTCCTTTCTTTGACCCTGCAGCCTCAGACCCGCACTGGAGCACGCTCCCCCGGGACCTGGATGGCTGGTTCCATCACGTCATTTCCACCCAGTCCTTTGCTAAGGCTATCCCCACCAATTCTCCAGACAAACTTTCAACCACCTCCTCCCTAAGGATGCCCTCCCCACCCACAGCTAGGCTAGGTGCTGTGTGCTGTGTTAGCTGTCAACATTCACTTTGCTAATGGCTCCTGAACTCTGCCAAAGTCACCTGTTTGCTTCAAGCGTAGGTGTTAGTGAGCCCAGACTGTGCCTTCTTCAATATTTTGTTCCCAGTACAGAACACAGAGGCCATTGCCTGGCATAGGAAGACAAACAATAAACATTTGTTGGATGGATACAGGAGTGAATGCATGATTGTGTGACCGAATGCCTCATTACACTTTGAATAAGATTTCACTGAGGAACTCATTAAATAATCTGATTTTTCAATGACAGAAGCCAGGAGAACATTCTGGCCTCAGCTCTGTCACTCTTTAAGTGGACAATGGGTAAATTACATAACCTCTTGACCTTTCGCCTGAGAAATGATGAGGTATATTACTGCTGTCTCTTTCAGTTCTAGGTGTCTCCCATTCAACAAGGTGTCAGGAGGAAATGGTAAGACATCCTTGAGGGTGACAGCAGAAAAGTAAATACACTTTGAATTCTATTTTTGGTTACTGTTGAACACCTATGTGTCTTCTCCATTAGAAGAACTGATTGGAAGATGTATATAAATATATATGTATATGTTATGTATATTATGTGTGTGTGTACATCTCTCTCTTTCAATTTTATCACAATATGCATTATTGATATGCATGCATAGATTTCCAGGGGAACTGCAGAGAAGGAAGAGTACTTTAATTCTTTCCAATGTGTTTCTCAAAGGTCTTCTGATATCTGATCTTTCTAGGGCTGATGAAGCAACATTCTCCTTTCTGTTATTCTGTAGGTACAAGTCCAAGCGCTCATGTTAATCACATCGTTGAACGCTACTCCTGTGGCTGACTCCAGCTACACGCCATGACAGAAGACATGTGGCCCAGAATTGAGTGTGGAAGAGCCAAAAAGGGAATGAATAACTTATAAACTGCAGCCCTGCCAAAGTGAAAAGAAGGCAAGTTTTCTGCCAGGAAGCAGAAATCAAGATCAGCATGGAAATGGAAGTCATGGCTAATGAGAAAATGCTATATTACATTAAAAAATATTTATTGATTAATTTGAATAAGTACATTAGCATAAACAAACTCAGGAATTCTCAACTTTGTCATGCCAACAAAAATATTTATCAAACAGTAAACAGATGCTTAAGAGTACTAAATTGACATGTATAAAGCTGAGTCTGGTAAAATATTAAATCTTATGCAGAGATTTCTAAGGAAAATAATGTGTTATTCTCACCAGCTATGCACCCACGCTGACTTGAGCTCAAGCCTGGCTTGGTTTAGGAAGCATTAATATTTCAATCATCTATTGCTGCAAAACAAATCACCCCAAAACTAGTGGTTTGGAACAACAATGATGGATTTTCTTCTCCTGATTCAGTGGGCTGGGTGGCTAGGTACTGGGTCCTCCTGGTTTTGCTGTCAACAATCCCATGATTGTGCTCGGCTGGAAGGTGGGCTGACCCTACAAGCTGGCCCCAGTGACATGTCTTTCTGGCCATTGCTGCTGGCCATGGGCTGGGACTTTGGGTCTTCTCCATGTGGAGACTCATTCTCTGCCAGGTTGGACTGGCTTCCCTAATGGTGTTCTCAGGGCAGCAGTCCCAGGAAATGAGAGAGGATCTTCAAGAACTTATAAGGCCAGGACTCCAGAATTCACAGTCACTACCCTATTTCCTGTTAGTCAACGTAAGTCCCAAGCCCTCCCAGATTCAATCGTGGAGAGGAACCGTTCATGTTTTCCATCTGCCACAGCTTGGATGACAGGCTCCTCCCACATTAATGGTTCCAAAGGCTTGGTGGAACCAAGGGTTAAGTAATTTCTTTTTTTTTGTTTGTTTGTTTTTGTTTTTTCTAGATGGAGTTTCTCTTTTGTTGCTCAGGCTGGAGTGCAGTGGCGTGATCTCGGCTCACTGCAACCTCCACCTCCTGCGTTCAAGCGATTCTCCTGCCTCAGCCTCCCGAGTAGCTGAGATTACAGGCCCGTGCCACCAAGTCCTGCTAACTTTTTGTATTTTTAGTAGAGATGAGGTTTCACCATGTTGGCCAGTCTGGTCTCGAACTCCTGACCTCAGGTGATCCGCCTGCCTCGGCCTCCCAAAGCGCAGGGATTACAGGTGTGAGCCACCGCACCCGGCTGGGTTAAAGAATTTCTACAGTGAATCTGGGGGCTCAGGTCCTCTCCATAAGGGGCCCTGAGAGCAGGCAATACAGAAACTCCAACTTCAAGTCCAGTTTCAGCTACCTAAATTCCAGTTTGAATTTCTGTGAATTCACCTTGTGTCCAGTTCTATATTCAATATATTTCTCTTCTGTTCATTCTTGTCCAAACGTATGGCCAAGGCTGGACTGAAACTCCACAGGATAAGACACAGAAGGATTGGTCCTTCTAGGAGGACATAGGGTGAATACGCAAATTATTATCACTCAGCTCACACTGTGGCTTCTACCTCAAATTAACATTTGGCAAATAATTCTTAGAAATGCCTTAAAACAAACAAGACAGACAATGGAAATGAAGCAGCTGTCTACAAATGCAGTGACTCACTTTCAGTTTATTTTAAGACTGTTGTAGACGTAAATCCATATGAATTATCTCAGAAAGTATTTTTTTTTTAATTCATGTTGATGTTTTGTCAAGAAAATTAAAGTAAACAAAAATTAGACAGGTTTGAGAAGATTTAATAAACAATTTTGAACAAAGAAAGAAGGAAATTAATGAAATGACATTTAGGTATGTTTCATGATTCATCCTTTAGTGATCCATTGAAATATCTGGGACTGTTCTGTTCTCTATTTAGTGACTATCTATTTAGTGATTTTACTTAAATACTTTTTTGCTAGCTGATAAAAGCACACCATACCACTACCCGTAGCAAGATGTTCTTTGCATATGATATAAGCAATTATGACAGAGCAGAAGATCCTTAAATGTTCAAAACTCTCAATTCAGTAGATGAATCTCAGGCTTTTTATGCAACTTGGATTCAAAACTGAAACTCACATCAAATGTCTGATCCTCACTCATCATTTACCCAATACTGCAAAGCTACAGAATAGAGTATCTTGTTTTAAAGTAACACATCTGAAAAGTAAAACAGAAGTATTTATTAACTTTCAAAGTGATTATTTCAAAAACATCATATAATAAATACTTGAATTCACAAATGTTCTCCTGTAGCTAAATGTTCTTTATCGGGAAAACTATACACTCGCTAGTCTTAACTTGCTAATATCATCAACATAATACCAACGATATCAATTACCTAGTAAACTCATTGGAGTCCTCTACTACTGCTAAAAGAACTTCAAGCCTAAACATGCCCACGAAGTTCATAATTGGATCCAGTCCTACCTACACACCTGCCCACCATTTCATTAACATTCTAGAGAGTTGTGGCTGCTGATTCTTCCCTGCACAGTCTCTCCTGATATATTTTGTTTGGTTTTGTTACTACTTCTCCTTTAAAATCTGCTCTTGCCCCACAGTGGTAGGGGATCGCAGGGTTAAAGGAATTAATATCCACAATGGAACAGTGCCTGGTTTGCAGAAAACCTTCATATGTTAGCCTCGACGGGCGCAAAGTCTCTTTTGACAAGTTCAAGCCTACATGCATCCTTCTTTTCTCTGAATTAGGATGGCACATAGTCAGTAGTGCCCCTTGTCACTTAATTATTCTGTAACTCTTTCACTTACATTGGTCATCCCAGTTGCCCTCCAAATCATTTGGTGGGGGAAGGGCAGGCAGAAATAATGCATTTTATTTACACATTCTTTGCACTTCCAGATGTTTATTTCACTTATTTAATAATGATCAATAATTATGGTTCCATTTTTTGATAACCATAAAGATATGAATACGGGTGGCCAAATATTAGTGTCATATTAAAACGATTGGGTAGAACTTCCCTATACAATACCTAACAAAATAGACCAACATTTCTTTTTCTTTTTTTCTTTCTTTTTTTTTTTTTTGAGACAGAGTATCACTCTTTCACCCAGGCCGGACTGCAGTGGCGCTATCTCGGCTCACTGCGAGCTCTGCTGCCTCCCGGGTTCACGCCATTCTCCTGCCTCAGCCTCTCGAGTAGCTGAGACTACAGGTGCCCGCCACCACGCCCAGCTAATTTTTTGTATTTTTAGTAGAGACGGAGTTTCACCATGTTAGCCAGGATGGTCTCGATCTCCTGACCTCGTGATCCGCCCGCCTCGGCCTCCCAAAGTGCTGGGATTACAGGCGTGAGCCACCGCGCCCAGCCAAAATAGACCAAATTTCTAAAATGCAACAAAGGAAATTCACCACTACAGCCACGACACAAAAAAGGTCATGGTTCAGTATTATAAACTTCAAAAATCAGTGGCCAAGAGGAGAAAGAAGATTCCAGAGCTAAGCATAAGATGGAGGTGTGCTTGACTTTTAACCCTCCCCACCCCTCCAAGCAGTGGCTCAGAACTGACAAAGTCAGAGAATTCTTCTGAATACCCACAAAGTGGGGCTAACAGCTATATTCAATTTCAGACCTAAGGATGATGAAAATCATTGCTTGGTTGGAAACACAGAAAGTGTTTTAAAAAATGAATAAAATGGAACAGTTTCTCTTGGTTAGAAATGAAGCCTTCCAGGCTGAGGAATGGATGGAACCCCAAGTTTGTCCTCCTTGGCAAGAGATCTGCTCCCCTCCAGGGGGTGAGCACACTCGAAATGGCGCGTAACCAAACACAGGGAGAAAGCCAGCCCTGCTGTCCTGTGGGCGCCCTCCCCGCACCAATACTTCCCTCTGCCCGCCTCAAAGCAGATAGAGCACTAAGTACGTAAACTGCACCCACCCCACACCGAAACCACTGAATCGCCAGCCTCCCATACAGCGGGAAAAGGGGTAAGATGTGAAGGCCAGGAGCCTGGAAATACGATGCTCCTACTGGCTCCCAAATGAAGCAGAAAACAACCTCACCACGACCACCACCACAAGTGCAAGGAGTGATGCCGTGGGGGCCAGGAGGGAGCAGTGGGGGTCAATCCAACACCGAAGCTAGGGACAGCTGACGACACACGCTGAGACTGGACCCTACCCTCTGAGGCCCCTGCCAGCGGGCGGCTAAACCCAGGGAACAGCCTTTCCTCCTCCTTCATCTTCCAGTGGATCATTTTCTCCCACTGGACACATGGGTGTAAGGAACTAAGAGTGCTTAGGTGCCCTGACAACGTAAGTTTATCGGGGGGTAGGAATCCCAGAACACATTCCAGTGGCCTCACAGACATGCCTCAAATAGAATGGAAACAGCTTCCAGGATACAACAGCCCTGGAGGCTGCCCTTCATGATCTTGCCTCCCAGCCCTGCTCTGAGGCCTCTGGCTACTACGTATTGTCAGGGTCTCAGCTTCCCCTGTCCCCCACCTCTTGCCTATTGGCTTTCCTGCGGGGCTGCATTCTAAACCAGTGGTTGCAACCAGGGACAACTTCATTCCCCACACGAGTGGAGGTTGGGCAGAGCCTGGAGAAAGGCTACTTGGACCCAGTGGGCAGAGGGCAGGGATGCTGCTATGCATCCTGCAGGGCACAGGGTGGACCCTACCTCGATGAAGTACCCAACTCCAATGCCCACAGTGCTGAGGTGCAGAAGCTGGCTTAACACAGGCTATCACATCAGGTTTCGTGCACATTGTAGGTTTGTTTGATTTGTTTTGTTTTGTTTTGAGACGGAGTCTCACTCTGTTACCCAGGCTGGAGTGCAGTGGCTTAATCTCAGCTTTCTGCAACCTCCACCTCCGAGCTCAGGTGATTCTCATGCCTCAGCTTCCTGAGATGCTGGGACCACAGGCATGTTCCACAACACCTGGCTAATTTTATATATATATATATATTTTTTTTTTTTTTTTTTTTTTTTTTTTTTTGGAGAGACAAGGTTTCACCATGTTGCCCAGGCTGGTCTTGTAGTCCTGAGCTCAAGTGATCCACCTGCCTTGGCCTCCCAAAGTGCTGGGATTATAGGCACGAGCCACTGCACCCAACCATTGTTAAGTTTATAAAATTCGGTTTTGCTTAAGCATGTGATGAAGTAACTTGGTTAATAAAATTACATGATATAGTACTCCTGACCCTTCCAAGGAGGCATGTCCTCTGTGTGGTGTGGGATACTATAGTGTCTCCAGCCTCAGAGGAAAGAGGCAGAGTCACAGCACTGTGGGATGACATCCCAGGACATGGAGCCTCCATTCAGGCGGAGCAGAGCAGGGGCTGGCATACCACCCCTGTAAAGGGCTGCAAGTGAATAGTTCAGGCCTTGAGCACCATGGCCTCTCTGCCATGACTACCCAACTCTGCCACTGTAGACTGTAAGCAGCCATAGCCAATGTGCAAATGAATGAGTGTGGCTCTGTGTTCCAATAAAACTTGATTTGTGAAAAATAAACAATTTCATATAATTTTCACTTGTAATAAGATACATATATTTAGTTTTTAAAACATCAGCCAGAAGTGGTAGCTCACACCTGTAATCCCAGCTACTCGGGAGGCTGAGGCAGGAGGATCCTTTAAGCCCAGGAGGTCGAGGCTGTAGTAAGCCATGATGGCACCACTGCCCTCTAGCCTAGCCTGGGTGATAGAGCAACACCCTCTCTCTTAAAAAAAAAAATCATCTAACAATATAAAAACCATTCTTAGTACTCAGGCCACATAAAAACAGGTGGCAGGCCAGATTTGACCCACAGGCGGTAGTTTGATGACTCCCAGTATAGAGAAAGTTCCCTTGAAAAGTTTCAAAGTTAAAGGCATTGCAGACACATTAAAAATGTCACTGACAATTGAATTAAGGACAATAAAGTTTATATCCTTCATCCGAAGGGCATTTTTACTATTATCTCCATAATTTGACACTCACAGCTTACTTAACATGTTGTACTTTACAATAAAAGCCATACAATAGATCTTTTAGAAAATAATAAATTTTAAGTTATCACTGAGTTCTCAGCTGAGAAGGAGAGTGTGGTAGCTTTGGAGTCAAGAGTCTGGATCAAATCCCACCCCACCACCTCCTTGTGTCCTGATAGTATATGGGCTTATGCAGGGACCTGGCCACGTCTGAATTTAGGTGACTGCTTGCTACTGAGATAGCAGCCATCAGAGAGCACAAAAGTCACTGCACCAAAACCAGAAAATGGAAATTCAAGTCCAAGCTCACCCACTCATTTGAATGAGACTCCAAGTCACTCCCTAACCTTCCGGGGCATCATTTTCCTCACCTGAAAATGAAGGGGCCGGACTAACACTCTGAATATCTTTCTTGCTGTAGAAGCTGGTGAGTCAATACTTCTACAACATGTATTTTTAGATAAAGCCAAAAAAAAAAAGTCTACTTGAGTGTAGCTGCAAACAAAAGTATCTCATTTCCCCACTCAGTAGCTAATTCTCTAGCAGTCAGAATTCAAAACACATGTTGCTTGATTTACGGTGGCAACCAGTAATTTGTGTGAGAAAGACTTAATTTAGAAGAACGCACATGTCATTTTTTTTTCATCACCAAGTAAGAGTTACAATTAGTTTGATTCATATGCTGTCACGGATGTCTCCACCACACTCATAGTGAACAATAAGAAGTTTCCAAGGCAGCTCTTTGATGGAGAGAACTATTTCTCAGTTGTGTAATTAATACTAAACATAAATCCTCCTCCGTTTCCCTGTTGACTATCCCATGCTCACTCGAGCATCATTGTCTATGAGTGATCATTAAGTAGAAAAACCACTGAATATGTTTGTTTTTTTACTGAATTTTGTTTTGTAGCATTTTGCCTTTGGGAAATTGCCAAAATTAGTAGTGAAATGCCCCAAATAACCAGCTGAAAAAGTTGGGAAATACCTTAACTTTTTTTCCCATTATGACACATATCTTAAGCAAAATTTTAACAATATGATTCCATTGAAAACCAGATCAATCAAAATGTTTTCTAATGCTTGTTATACAAATAAAGAAGATGCAAGACTGGATTTAAAATACACATAGGCATGCTGTTCATAGCTGAAGAACTGAAGTGGTCATGATCATTTCTAGTTGCAAAATTCCTCTCTTGCCTAACATCTGTCTCTAAAATAATTAAAATCACATTAAAGATTGATTTCCTCAAGAAGAAATAAAGCACTACCCAGAGACGGAATCTTAGAAAAGTTATCACATGGGATATGGAATAGCAGATATGGGATCAATGGAGTTCATTTTAGAGTAGGGGTCCCCAACCCCCAAGCCAAAGACTGGCTGGCCTGTTAGGAACTGGGCCGCAGAGCAGGAGGTGAGTGGTGGGTTAGTGAGCATTACCGCTTGAGCTCCGCCTCTGCTGTCAGATCAGCGGCAGCATTAGATTCTCACAGAAGCATGGACGCTATAGTAAACTGTGCACGGGAGGGATCTAGGTTGCGTGCTCCTTATGAGAATCTAATGACTGATGATCTGAGGGTGAACAGTTTCATCCCAAAACCATCCTCTCCCCTGATCTGTGGAAAAATTGTCTTCTACAAAACCCGTCCCTGGTGTCAAAAAGGTTGGAGATGGCTATTTTATAACATGCATGTGTGCACATATTCCATGTACCATTGAGCATATATTTCTAGTATATAAACCAAGTTTTTGTTTTCTGTTATAAGGTTAAATAATAGCATAGTAGTATATGTGCTGAATAAAGCCATTCAGTCCATGTACATTTTGTCACAAAAATAAATATAACCATTTTTTAAATGATCAAATATTTTACACACAATACCTACTCAATCAATATTGAGAAAATGGATATTATTATGAGACATAAGCTCAGTCCCATCGGCTCGGGCTATCACAGTCTCTTAAACTAGGTAGACACGGAATAATCAAACTGGTTAGAAAGAGGCAGAGTGAAAAGTGGGAGGGGCACCACCATCTTTCACCACTGAAAGGCCCTCAGTGCCACGCCTCCCTGTAGTGTTTGCAGGTCTCATAGTCCATATGGCCTATTTTTAGGCTGATTATGCAGTGTTTTTCATATACTGGGCAATGAATGAAAATAAATACATTAAAACCCAAAATATTAAGTAAATGAAAAAATAACATTGGTGACAACTTAACTGTCTGGAGTGGTTACCCTGAGCCAGGCACCATGTGCTGGGCCATAAGAAACACAGAAAGCCCATATGTTGGGAATGGTGACTATGCCCATAAACCATTGAGGAACATGACCTAAGCTCACATTGCCTGGGGGTGGCAGAGCTACAGTATCCCAAAGCCATCCTCTACATAACCCTGCCCGTGTCATCTATCCTGTCTCTGAAACAACAGTATCTTTCTAAATGCAAAAGCTAACCCTGCTGCTTGCAACTTTAAACTCTTCAGTGGTTCCCCATTGCCGGCAGCAGTGGCTTTTGACCTGTGTGATTAGGATTGATGGACTGGAAGAAAACCCTGTGCACGTACACACTGATAATAAATAGAGAGAGATGTAACTGGAGCAACTGGTTCCCCCCACAAAAACTTACCTTTTTTACATGAAATGCGCTGACATTTTCTATTCTATTCTGTAAAAATGCAAATTGCAACCCATGGAATTGATTTCATGACCCACTAACCAGTGCCACGTAAACTGAAAACCACCCATCTGAATGGTAAAACGTAAATTCCTTGGCCAGGGATACCAAGTTTTCTGGGATCTGGATTCTCATCTCTCAATGTGATCCCAATGCACCCAGATCCTCCCCTATATCATTTGATTTGCAGTTCTCCCAATGAATGGTCTCCCGAGCTTTGTGTACAAACTCAGCCCTCTGACCTACCGTGTCCATCTGGGAACTCCTGCTTAGACTCACACACCTGGACAGTCCTAGATTGTCTGGCTTCTCACCACCCTTCGACCCAGGTAAGTATTTATTAGTTTAGAGGGGAAGAGATATTCCTTCTGCTTTACTTGGCTATTTACTGTATTGGAATTTGGACTTGGCTCATCTACACTCTTGATTCCTTTTGTTCCTACCAGTGTATTCCCTCTAATTCTTGTTCATTTCCTCCTTTTTAGAAGTGTCAGCAGTTCAGGTGATTCCCACAATATTCACAAGGTGCACTGCTTCCCACCATCAGGCCCAGGATGGCTGCCTGCTGTGCCTCCTCATACTGGGTGCAGTTAGAACCAGGCACATTTCAATATAGAATTATGTTTCAGGAAAATAGTGGAGTAGACATGGATTCCAGGCTACTCTTAAATTAGTAAAGACTGGAGCTATGGTGGATTTCAGGCTATTCCAAAATTAGTATAGACTGAACAAGTTGTTGAGCAACATCACATCCTCATCACACTTCACATCTTTGGGTTGGAATTTCAGAGCAGCTGGCATCTTCTGATGCCAAGCTGATCTCAGATGACTGGAAGATGAAAGACAAGAAAACCTTTGTCTGACAAATGTCTTAGCTATAAGACAAGTAATGCCATACTCTTTTCTCTCCACCATTAAAAACACACCCTTTCTGTTCATATCAATTATTTTTCCCCACATAAACATATTTATATTAAAAAACAAAAACTCTTGTTTTCTAGATCAGTATTTTCAAATGTGTGCTTATTGTTTTTAAATTCTCCATGTTATTCTTCTGATTTCTAGTGATCTCTGAAGTACCCATGTGTATTAGTTAGTTCTCCAGAGAAACAGAAAAAATAGGATGTGTCCATTGCTGTCTATCTGTCTATTGAGAGAGAGAGAGAACATTTACTTTTAGAAAGTGGCTCATGTGACTGCAGGAGCTGGCAAGTTAAGATTCCACAGGGCAGATGAGCAGTCTGAAGGTAGCCTGGAGGCAGAATTCCTTCTTCCTTTGGAGATTTCAGTCTTTCTCTTCAGGCCTTCAGCTGAATGGATGAGGCTCACCCGCATTATAGAGGGTAATCTGATTTACTCAGAGTTTACTGATTTAAATGGTAATCTCATCTTAAAAATAACCTTCACAAAAACATCTAGTCTTTGACCAAATATCTGGGTACCATGGCCTACCCAAATTGACACATTAACCATCCCACCATAGTTTCAGACAACTTAAATAATGAAGCACATACTTTGTAGAAAAAATATTTCCTCTCATCCTCACTAATTTTTCACTGGAGTTGTTTGTGTTGAAATCTAGAGGGATCATACAATTCATTTTTCCTGTCTTATTCTCCAGGAGAGTAGCCCATTTACCTGAAATGGCACAGACAGGTAGCTGTCAGCAAAGAAGAAGTCCTTGTTCTACAGAAGTCACACCAGATCACCATGGCATCACCTCTGCATCCCTGATACTGTCGTAGTGAGCAGACCCCATGTCTACACCATCAACGCTTAGAACGTCTTCTTAATAGAGGGAGGGAGGTTAAATAAGCATTGCTTTCACTTTCAATATCCTTTCCAACTATGGAATACTTTCATTTTAATTGATTTAATTACTTAAAGGCAATGAAAATTTAGTTAAGTTTAGTTAGTGGAAGATGATACACAAAATTGTTATCATATACAATGGTTACCTCATTGTGCTACCCACATCAGTGTAGAATGTATTCATTCCGACAGACAGAATGGCCTTTTCACTCCTGAACAAGTCTTGACATGTTATTTTATGAGCTTGGAAGGGGATATTATCATGTTAAAAGTATGAAGAAAAGTCAATGAATCACACATCTTAAATACTGAGAAACAGTTACTCAAAAAAATGTAGATATCTTTTGGAGTTTGGAACCAGATGAACAGATACCAAGAATGCTGGCTCTCCTGTTCTGAGGTCTCTTTAGCCTGAAACTTTCTGATGGTTTGAGAGTGGAACACGCGACCTTTGCAAAACATCTACATATTGAAGCCTGAAGGCAGAACTGAAGAAAGAACATGAAGCTTTCCTTCCCAAGACATGTCAGTCATCCCCGCCGAGACACCTATTATTTGTTTACTCTTGCACTTTCCCTCATCAGGAAAGTGGAAAAGCCTGGAAGTAGCTGCAGTAATCCTCTCCCCTTCTGACAGCTTGTGAGACAGTTTATTTGCTCATATGCTCTGAATGCTCTTTTATTTACCCGAGCATGAGTCTTGCCGTTCTTCATCCATCCATCTCTTGATATACATTGGGCTATCCCATCAAGTTCCAGGACAGCGCTAGCTACTGAGGACAAACAGGTGCCTAGAACACAACCCATCCCTGAGGAGTCCTTAGTCTATGCAGAGGAACTGGGGCATGAAGCTGAGACTAGTAATTAACCAGCTACCTTGGTAGCTGTTTTGTAAGAGTTATGTTCCAGGGAAAAACGCAAGCACACGGAGGGAAGACCAACTGCTAGGGAATAGAATCCATGACCCTGACCCACAGTGGGAGAGGATGGAGCAGGAAGGCAGGAAGCCAGGGGGGCAATATCAACTGAGCACAGAGCCGTAGGCACCGCCAGCACTGGCACTGAGGCCCCATGTGGGAAAGAGCTGAGCATTTAGAACCAGATAATGGGGGCTGAAGTCCCAATGCAGACATTATACACAGCTGTGCAATCTTGGACTTTACGTATGGGAATCTCAGTATCATCATCAGACCCATAAAGAAAACTCCACCCGGCCAAGCACAGTGGCTCACGCCTGTAAACCCAGCACTTTGGGAGGCCGAGGCGGTCGGATCATGAGGTCCGGAGATCGAGACCATCCTGACTAACACGGTGAAACCCCATCTCTACTAAAAATATAAAAAATTAGCCGGGCGTGGTGGCGGGCGCCTGTAGTCCCAGCTACTCAGGAGGCTGAGGCAGGAGAATGGTGTGAACCTGGGAGGCTGAGCTTGCAGTGAGCCGAGATCGCGCCACTGCACTCCAGCCTGGGTGACAAAATGGTCCTGGTGTAACAGGAGCACAAATAAATGCTAGTTCCTTTCCTCCTGGCAGCCTAGGAAATGGCCTCTTTAACATGTCGGTGGTATACGGAGGTGGTTCCTATCTCTCATAGAATTTAGACAAAGTGATTAAAGACTTTTTTTCCTAAGAATTAAATAAGGGCTGGGCGCAGTGGCTCACGCCTGTAATCCCAGCACTTTGGGAGGCCAAGGCGGGCGGATCACGAGGTCAGGAGATCGAGACCATCCTGGCTAACATGGTGAAACCCTGTCTCTACTAAAAATACAAAAAATTAGCCGGGCATAGTGGCGGGTGCCTGTAGTCCCAGCTACTCAGGAAGCTGAGGCAGGAGAATGGCGTGAACCCGGGAGGCAGAGCTTGCAGTGAGCCGAGATGGCACCACTGCACTCCAGCCTGGGCTACAGAGCGAGATTCTGTCTCAAAAAAAAAAAAAAAAAAAAAAAAAAAAGAATTAAATTAAAAAAAAACAAAACATAAATAGACCCAGAACAGATATCTTAAAGAGTAATATCAGAGAGATAGAGATGTGGCCGGGCAGCAGCTGAAATACAAGGAAAAAGAGCAGGAGAAGGAAACGAGCCAGTGTCTCTCCAGCGATGACCTAAGGAAAGGCCCCAGGAGAGACCAGTTGGGTTCAAGACCATCATCCATGTCCAGGTGTGACCTCGTCACGACAAGGAGTCCCAAAGCTCCACTTGATCTTATTTCTACTTGTGGGGCACGATGATGAAGGTAACTGACCTGCAAAGGGGGGAGTCACACATGGATGAGGTGGGACTGCTCAGCATCAATTCATAGATAATCTACTTTCTGCTTTCGATGCCTCAGTGTCTGTGAGCCTGGTGCAAGAGTGGGGTGCGTGTTTGGGGTGCTGACAAATTACACTGCTGAGTTCCCAATGGGAAAGGCCAGCCCTGGCTGGATTGAAAGGTCTGGCTGTTATCTGGGAAGCTATCTTGGTGGACATCCAGATGGACAACTGGGACATCCAGGCGGCAGCTGTGATCACTGCTGCCTTTAAATGCAGCCAAAGAAGGGAAGGAAAGGACAATGGTGTTGATGAAAAGAGTCAAACTCTGTAAAATATTTGAAGAGACTTATTCTGAGCCAAATATGAGTGACCATGGCCTGTGACATAGCCCTCAGGAGTTGCCAAGAACATGTGTCCATGGTGGTTGGGGCACAGCTTGGGTTTATATATTTTAGGGAGGCATGAGACATCAATCAAATACATTTAAGAAACACATTGATTTGCTTCAGAAAGGTGGGACAACTCAAAGTGAGGAGGAGGGGGCGGGGCTCCCAGGCTATAGGTAAATTTAAACATTTTGTGGTTGACAATTGGTTTGAGTTTATCTGAAGACCTGGGATCAATGAAAAGGAATGTTGAGGTTAAGGTAAAGGACTGTGGAGACCAAGTTGTACTGTGCAGAGGAATCTCTCAGATAGCAGACTTCAGAGAGAGCGCAGGTTGTAAAATGTTTCTTATTAGACCTAAAAGGGTGCCTGTCTCTTAGTTGATGATTTCCTGGGTCTGGAAAGGAAGAAGGAAAAAATGGGGATTCTCTATAGAAGGTGATTTTTCCCACAAGAGACTTTGCAGGGCAATTTCAAGGTATAGCAAGGAAATATATTTTGGGGTAAAACATTTTGATTTTCTTCCTCGTTATGCTCAGATTGGAAAGTAAGTCATGATATACAGGGTCACAGAAAACCCATGTGATGAGAATGTATGGTTTGTAGGGCATGACTCCCCAGACCCCTTAGATAGGAAATTGGGCAAGATAAAAAGTCAGAGCTTAGTTCTCAATGGCAAGCCTGTCAAGCCAGTGCTCCCCAGCAGGGAGTGTCTCCTTTCCATTCCTGAAGGGAAAGTCCTCCCTTACCATCGCTCTCTGAAAGTGAAAGTCTTACTGGAGGAAAGTGAGAGTCTTATTGTAAAAACGAATAGTTCTTTACAGTTGAAGTAAAATTTTTAAAATGAGTTTTCAATTCAGCTGAGAGAAAAAAAAATCACATGTTTTTCACATTGAACAGTTTGTGGCTATGTCCTTTAGGCTATTTGGTCCCATCTTTTGCCATTAAATGTTTTTATTAGAAGGCTTTACAAACAAATTCTTTTGAAATGTTCATTTAACCTCCATTTCGATGGTTTCTATAAACAGAAACTGCTAGTGTTACCTTGAAAACCCACTTCCAGTTTGTAGGGTTTTGTCATGCTAAACCTGGAAGCTTCCAGCTTGAGCTCAAAGGAATGGAAAGGGTACTTTAGGCATTGGATCCACACAATGGCCTCTCCAAAGAGTCACACTTCGGAAATCCTCTTCCAGCTTGAACTTCTTCAGTTGCTTCAGATACCTTCCTGACCTCTGCAATTCCCAGTTTAGAGAAAATTTCCCGTATAGCACAGAGCATAAACCTCCTTCCAAGAGAGAGTTCTGAGCTATGCAAAACTCTGCAGAGGGTGTGCCTGGCCTCAGGTGTTTGTCATTAATCTCAGGGCCCCACTTGCTAGAATCCCGACCCCAAGCCTATCGGCCTGACCAAATATGCTTCGTCCAACAGCCTCATGCAGCGGTCCATCTATGGAGGGCTCTGGCTGGTCTTCCAGAAGAAACAAGGTTCAATGATCAAGATCATGAAAGTGGCAGGCCCTAAGTAAGCCCCATTCCAGGCTCTTCCAAAGGACCTGGAATAAACACCCTTAATTCATTTCCTCCAACATGAGATTCCCAAGCTCACTAATGCAGAAGCCATGAATGTCTTCAGAGTTTCTCAGTTACAGTGCACAGTCCTGAGGTCTGTTGGTGGGCACTGAGGCTTGGGTACTAGGCTCCAGGCCCCCCCGTGGGAGGTGCTGCAATGGGCAGGATGCCAAACACAAAAGTGCACCCAGAGACATGGGGTGACTCTCACGCTAGGCGTGAATAGGGTCAGTGCCTGGGGCTTCCTGGAATTGTGCTTTTCACTGGGCCATTTATGCTTTATGTGGAGTGCCTGGGTGATGAGTTGGTGCTGCTATAGGTTTCTTTCTTCCTTTTTTTTGGTGTGGCTAAATCTGTGTCAATCTAGAAGGTGTGTACCTAACTCTGTCTACTGTAGTAATTTAATAGATGCTTATTAGTAGTATTAAGAATTCTGCTAGTGATATAAAAACCAGGAGATAAACAGATCAATATATTCGTTGATCTGGACTGCTGGATTTCTCCGTTAGGTCTCTAATATCTACTTAATCCAACACTAAACAGATGTTTGACAATCAATTGCTAATTCAAAATGAATGTATGAATTTCACTGCAGACATAAAGAAGCAGGCATGGGGTGAAGACCTCATACCACTCTTTAAACAGACGATGGTTTGGGTAAACTGTTGTGGTTCTATCAATTTCCTTGCTCATGCTAGGATTGGACCTGCTTCTGAGCATGCCAAAGGCAGTGTACCCAGAACTTCTCTGTGCTCTTGTTGCCTTCTGTAAAGCCCTTTCATGAAAATCTCTTTCAGGAGATTCTTTACGCAGGCTGACAACCAGGATAGGGTGGTCCGTGTGCAACAGCATCCAGGTAAGTGAGGCTAAGGATGATGGAGGAAACCGCGGTGGCTTTGGGGGTAAGAGAATAAGTATTCTTGGCAATGCTTTTCTAGACCTAATGCAAAATGTGTTCTAAGCTGTGTGAAATGCTACTAAAACATCCATGGTCCCAGCACTATAAATTAAAAATAGAACTGAAGGCAGTGCTGCCGTGCTGGGCTGGCAGGAGGCTGGCCATGCAGAGAGAGGCAGGAGGACATCTGTCTGCTGGGAAGGCTAGGAAAAGACTGACCAGGCTACTTCCGTGCTGGTGGCCACTATGCCGTGGAGGGGGCAGCAGCTGTTATCTGCACTAGCAACAGTTGGATGAAGGAGTCTCAGTTGCATTTCTGCCTGTAACCTTGAAATTGAGGAGAGGTATATTCGCCAATGGTCCCTTGCTTCCAGAACACTGATGGATGCTAAATTTTGCACATTTGCTTGTTTGGGAAATGCTGATATCCTAACCTAAGGAGTTCTGTTATCCTTTAGACCCCAGTATTGTCTCCCTAAAATCTAGAAATTATTTTTTCTTTTTGGTGTTTGTGTGTGTTGTACCAATAACTTTTATGTTATCCCTTGAGTGACAGTGATTAACAAAAGTGAGGAGGCTATGCGTGGTAAGGAGAATAATGGCTTTCCTCAAACATTCACATCTGAATGCCAAGAACCTGTGTATATGTTACCTTGCACAGCAAAAGAGACTTTGCTTTCAAAATAAAATAAAGATGAGGTGAGAAATGATCTATTTAAAAGAACATGCTATGGAGATATCATCTGTGAAAAGCATGCAATTAGAAATGTCTTTTTGTGTGATTTTCTTGACAAAAACACTCTAAACACTCTCATATCTGCACAGTGATATACCTTAGGAAAAGAATGTTTAAATTCAGTTAAAAATCTTCCAAATAAAGATTCAATGAGTCTTAAATCCATTTGCTTAAAAATAAAAATACAATTTTTTTGGTTGAATTTCAAGAACTGATTGACATCAGGACAGATGGAGACAGATCAGCTGAATTTTATCAAAACTTCCATGTCAGTGTGAACAGGATTGAGAAGTGAATATCGTGATTTGGAAGCCAGGTCACTGAGTATTACATCATTGAATCATTTATTCGACCATTAAAACCAAGTGTCGGGATAAACCAATCTTTGTAACAAGTATTTGATTGCAAAGTGTTAACTAAAATTTTCCTAAACATACCTTTTGATTGGGAGTTTAATCCACTTGCATTTAATATAATTATTTATTGGGAGGGGTTGCCTTTGCCATTTTGTTCACTGTTTTCTGTTTGTCTTGTGGTTCTTTTGTCCCTCTTTTTCGCTTTTGCCAAGTATGCATTTTCCATCATAAGACTCTTACCAAAAATATTAAAGGTTTAAAGTATTTTTGAGCTATTAAAAAGTAGATCTTTTAAAATATGTTTTAAATCTTTGTCTACCCTTAATTTTAACTTGTGATTTATAATCTACATAAATATTAGCACATATAATTTATGAATAAGCAAATATATATAATGACTGGTCAAAAATATTTACCCATAGGTGTGCACAATCAAAACAGTTTTGATGCCCCAAGCTTTAGAGATATATACCCCTGTCCAAATCACCCTTGTTTGTTTTCAAGTAGCCAAAGAAAATTAAAAAAAAACTTTACAAATAAGGAAATACACTGCCTTGGGACTTAGGGAAGCCAGTCATGCAGTGAAGATTTTTTGAGTTTCTACATTGCTTGGTGTTGGGACACTGGATTCTGCCTCCAGCAGCATGTACAAGGATCTTTCCTCACCTCCCATAGCTACCCTTCCCTGCTTCTGAGCTGAGATGGTTAATTTTATGTCAGCTTCAGTAGGCCATTGTGCCCAGTTGTTCGGGCAAATGGTAGTATAGATGTCACTGTGAAAGTATTTTTTTTTTAACATGTGATTAACATTTACAATTAGTTGACAGATTAAGTAAAGCAGATTACCCTTCACAACATGGTTGGGACTCATCCAATCAACTGAAGAACTTAAGAGTGAAGACTGAGATCCCCTGAAGAAGAAAGAATTCTACCTCCAAACTGTAAAATGGAAATTCTACCTATGTCTCCAGCCTTCTGACTCCAGACTGCAGTATCAACTCTTAACTTACTCTCCAACCTGCTGGCCTGCCTTACAGATCTCAGACTTGCCAGCACCTGTGATTGCATAAGCCAGTTCCTTAAAGTAAATTTCCTTCTCTATATATACACCTATGCCATTGTTTGTGTTTCTCTGGAGAACCCTGACTGCCCCACTAATCCATATGTAAAGGGAGCAAAATCAGAGTCAACAACCCTGTCCTGCCCATGCCTCTCTCATTCTTCAGAGAAGGATCTGAGCAGCTCAATATAGCTTCTCCTTCCCTTTTCCTTTCTCACAGTCCTTCCTTCCTTCCTTCCTTCCTTCCTTCCTTCCTTCCTTCCTTCCTTCCTTCCTTCCTTCTCTCCCTCCCTCCCTCCCTCCCTCCATCCTTTTCTTTCTTTCTTTTCCACTTTTATTTTGAGTTCTGGAGGTATGTGTACAGATTTGTTAAATGGGTAAATTGCATGTGGGTGAATCTTGGTGTAGGAATGATCCACTCATGGAAGTAGTAAGCATAGTACCTGATAAGTAGCCTTCCAACCCATGGCCCCTCCCACCTTCTCCTCTCAAGCAATCCCTGGTATCTATTGTTTCCATCTTTGTGTCCATGTGCATTTAATGTTAAGCTCCCACTTATAAGTAAGAATATATTGTACTTGGTGTTCACACTTACATAAGTAGCTCCATCTTTTATTACTGTGTTTACACAGGTCATCTGGTTATAGCCAATTTATTAGGCACACCAGTTTGGAAAGCAGGTAGTATGTAACTGGAGGCTCTCGCCGAGCACCTGGACAGTTGTGTGTAGCTGGGCCACAGTTCTAAATGCAAAGTCGAGTTTTCCAACTACTCCTAGGAATCTCTACTTTCATGTAAATTGCACAAGAATAATGAAACTGTTTCTTGTAAGTTGGGTCATTCTGGTGGTGTCGGCTCACAGCAGAGGTATTACTTATCCTTTAGTAACTCAATTTCCTGGTCCCACAAGTGTCCTGTTACAAGCTATGGACATAAGAGGACTAACTGCAAGTATAACTCTCAGAAACCACAGAGCTGTGGGTTTCAACACCAATTGCTAGAGGTTTTCAGCACATTTACAGAGAAAGAGACAATAAGTTTGGTGTCAATTTAACCAGACTGTTTCCATTTCCATTCAAAAGCTGGTGAAACACAATGAAATAACCAACACAGTACAGCAATCTGGGTATTATAAAGATAAATAGAACACAAATGTACATACTCACACATACACACAAAGAAGTCATGTTGGTTTATGCCAAATCTCATCTTAAATTGCACTGCATTGGAGAGATGTATGTAATTAGTTAAGTTACACATTATTTAACTGGAACTGGATTGAATAGAGTGAACAGCTGCAGAATAAGGAAAACCATACCTATGCTGAAAAGCAAACCTCTGTAAAGTTTTAGCCAGCAGCATTTCTCGTTTCTTTCATCTCAGAATCTGAGTATTAGCACATTGAAATATTTAGTTTTCAAAAGACTACATAAACTGCATCTTAGTGTTTTAAACCAAATCACCAAGAAAATTCAGTGTGATGGTAAATTTTACGTGTTAAGTTGACTGGGCCATGGTGCCAAATATGTTGTGGTCAAGCATTTTTCTAGATGTTTCTGTGAGAGTTGTTTTTGGATGAAATGAGCATTTAAATTGGTGATAAATCAAATTGTTCTTCCTAATGTGTTCAAGGCCTTCGAAAAAAAAGAGTTATTTCCCCCAAGCAAGAAGGAATACTGCAGTGAACGGGCTTTGAACTTGAACTGCAGCATCTGCTCTTCCCTCGGTCCAGCATGTAAGTTCACCCTGCAGGTTTTGGAATTGCCAGCCCCTATAATTGTGTGAACCAAACTTAAATGTCTTTCCATAGACACACACATTTTATTGGTTGTGTCTCTGGAGAACTCTGACTAATACACTTCAGATTTATACAATTTAATCCTTCTGCTTCCTTAGATTTGTGCTTTTTACAGAAGCAATGCAGTAAATACACTTCTTGGTGGGTGTGGTGCCTCATGCTTGTAGTCCCAGCTACTCGGGAGGCTGAGGCAGGAGAATCGCTTGAACCCAGAAGGCAGACATTGCATCACACCACTGCACTCCAGCTTGGGCAGCAGAGTGAGACTCCATCTCAAATATATATATATATACACACACACACACACACACACACACACACACAATTCTCTTCACTGGTGAAAAGGAGAAACAAAAACTTATAGAAAAAAAGCAAGTGAACATGACAAAGATCTGCACAACCCAAGAGTGGACAAATCTTCAGGAGAAGGGATTCAAGGAACCGGTTCATGAGAAAAACTGGAGAGGACAGCAACTATATGGAAACAGAAACTTCAGTTGAGGAAAGGTAGGGATATTCTCCACCCAGCGTGCAGGGGTTCAAAACAGTCCATCAGTGCAGTGCATTGGTTGGGTACAACTGAAGATCTCCATGTTCAGTAAAAGTCTTTGGCTGATCAGCTTTGATATCTGCCTCTTTGAACCTAGAAGAGGGTTCGTGTCGAAGGGTGAGGGACTCCTGCATTCACCACTGGAGACCTGAGGAAGGCAGAGATGTCACTGCACCTGGGGGTCTGGGTCTGCGACACTCATTTCCAATGAATGGTCCCTCCCGTCCATCAGCCTCAGTGGGAGCTGGGAGCTGCCTCCCTCCTCAGTCACAGCTGTCTGCTCTGCCTGGTTCTTATGGCTTTTCGGGAGAACTAATTGCTGGGAATTTTGGCATCTAAGTTTCAGCTGAGAGGGAAAAGTAAAGGTCTGGATTGTGCATATCTGAACAGACACTTGTGACCCCCGGAAACCTCATGGTGAGGAGACATTTCTATTGCAGGGGAGGCACATGTTTTTGGTCCTTGATTTGCGAACTTAGGTGATTAACCCTCACGTGTGTTTCGCCCTTAGTGCAGGAAAGAATGAAAGAGCATACCCCTATTAAGTACTTTGTTTATGCATTAAAAATTAAAAATGTGTCCTGGCATGTGTACACATGTGTGCATGGCAGGGAGATGGTGTGGGGCTGGAGCACAGGCAGAGAATAGCATTGGCTTGGGAATGGAGAGCCACTGTGACATATTTAACCCTGATCATCACTTCATGTCACTTTAATGTTCAGGGAAGACAGCATCATAGCACATATTTATTCCCATGTTTGTAGAAGACTTTGCCCTAATCTACACATTGCCCTAATCTACACATTCTGCATACGCAGAAAAGTATGCGTGATGAAGGAAGCAGACACTCAATGACTCAATGAGCTTCACTGATTTTCAACTATCCAGCACCCTGCCTCCTCAGCCCTCCAGTGGACTAACACTTTCCAAACTCCTTCATTTTGGGGAGCATGTTATTACAGGTTGAGCATCCTTTATTCAAAATGCTTGGGACCAGAAGTGTTTCGGATTTCAGAATTTTTTGGTTCTTGGAATATTTGCATATACAAATGAGATATCTTGGGGATAGGACCCAAGTGTAAACATGAAATCCACTTTTGCATATACATCTTATACACATAGCCCAAAAACAATTTTATACAATATGAATAATTCATACAATTTTAATAATTGCACGTGATGAAATTTGTGTTAAGCACTGGTGTGTGGAATTTTCCACTTGTGGTATCATGTTGGCACTTAGAAAGTTTCCGATTCGGAAGCATTTCAGATTCTGGATTTTCAGATTCTGGATACTCAACCGTTACTATGTGTTCAGAATTTGACAGCTCAGTCATAGAAGACTGCAGACTCTAAAATCAGATGCTTTCATTCCTAGGGACTATACCTGAACCCAGGATCTCTCATCCCCCTTCAGAGGGATTACAATCGCACATCTGCCTGAGTCACAGTGCACTCCCTCACATCCTTCCCACTTTGCTTATGTAATGAGATGATGAAATGCTGCCATATAGAATTCTGTACTCTGGTTCGAGTGCTATGAGTGGGGATGGGACAACTGGCTGCTCAGCTACCCAGACAATGAGGAAGGCCCTCAGGGCCCCTTTGACATGAGAGACTAAAAAGTATTTATAGCTCTATATAGACTTTCTGTTCAATAATGTCATTTAGTGAATTTTCCCAATTAATTTTCCCAGAGTGCTTATTACTTGGAATCAATTGATTAATTTTGTTGTAAACAATCCTGAAAAATTTTAAAGAGTAGAATCAGCATAGGATCAATGCAAGTCATCTAAGGAAGTGTTTTAGCACTAGCAGTTGGCCGGGTGCCGTGGCTCACGCCTGTAACCCCAGCACTTCGGAAGGCTGAGGCAGACAGATCACCTGAGGTCAGGAGTTCGAGACCAGCCTGACAAACATGGTGAAACCCCGTCTCCACTAAAAATACAAAATCAGCTGGGCATGGTGGCACATGCCTGTAATCCCAGTTACTTGGGAGGCTGAGGCAGGATAATCGCTTGAACCCGGGAGGTGGAGGTTGCAGTGAGCCAAGGTCATGCCATTGCACTCCAGCCTGGGCAACAAGAGTGAAACTCCTTCTCAAAAAAAAAAAAAAAAAGAAAATGAAAAAAACCTAACAGCTCATGTTTGAGGAGAGGTGTCTATGAGACAGGTGCTGTATCAACTGCTTTCCATGTTAACATCACAAATACCCTTATTTTACAGGACACAGCTCACAGGTGGTGAAGAAGCATCTGGGTCCAGACAGCTGAGCTCCAGAACCCAGACTGTGGAGACTCTGGTGTTTCAAAAGGTGATCAGATGCAGATGGGTGAGGGCTTTGTTTTGCTTCCCCACAATTCCTACACCATCTAACTGTACATTTACTTCTGACAAATAAAACATGTACTTTCTTATAGTTCTGTTAATTGGGCCACGTGATGGTTAATTCTACATGTCCACTTGACTGGGCCACGGCATGCCCAGATGAGCCATGATTTCTGGATGTGTCTGTGAGGGTGTCTGCAGATGAGACTGGCAATTGAATCAATGGACTTGGTAAAGCAGACTGCGCTCCCAGTGTGAGCGACCACCGTCCAATCTCTACTGAGGGCCAGAAGAGAACAAAAGGTGGAGGAAGGAGGAATTAGTCCCTGTTTTGGCTTCCAGCCTCCTGGCTTCAGCTGGAACGTCAGTCTTTTTCTCGTGAGCTGGGATTTTACATCCTGGACGTTCAGGCCTTCAGATTTGGCCTGGGTCACACCACTGGCTTTCCTGGGCCTCCAGCTTGCAGAAGGCAGGTCTTGGCACTTCCCAATCTCCATAATTGTGTTAGTGAACACTTCCCAATAGATCTCTTCCTGTATATATCCTATGGCTTCTGTTCTCTAAAGACCCCTGACTAATACAGTCCTAAAAACATTCAGACACTCAGAAATAACAACACAAGCAACAAAATAACACAATCAGGTAAAGTGCCATGAACGTAGCGCCCCTTTCCTACACAACCACTTTACAGTTACTGTTGGTTCCTTAGTCCCAGCCCTCAGTCATGGGAAACGCCTGCTCAGGACGACTTCCACGACAAAAGCCTTGGGAGCCATCCACCCCAAACTCAGAAACAACATTTCTAGATCTCTCAGTGTCTAAAACCTAACAGGGATCTCAAAGGGCATCTAAAATTTGAAACACGAATGTTTCAGCCAGTCACATCCTCTAGGTATGCATTTCAGAAGGTGCCACTCTCCAAGTAGGCAATGCTTATTTGCATTTTTTCCCCTAAACAGGGATTTCCAGGTCCCAAGATCTCGGCCTCCTTTTCAGTATTTCAAGATGTCCTAGGCTGCTTCCCCTTACTATTGACAGCAGTCCTGGGCATGTACACTCCTCTGGGCATTCGCATTTTCAGTGGCAGCAATGTTTATTAACTGCTCCCGTTTTCCACCCCTCTGTGTTTGCATGGGTGGAGGGCAAGGAAGGTGGGGTGTTTGGAGACACAAAAGGAGTAAGTCAAAGAGCATGAGGAAATGACAAACTTGTAAAATGAGAAGGCAGAAACACATATAACTCTAATAAAAGACAGGAGAAACAACCACCTGCCAGCATCCCCGCCTATGTCACTACATCCCTCCTGTAAGGGGGAAATGTCTGCTCCTGCTCCTGTCAGAGCTTCATGGAAGGAACCCATCCCTTCCTTCCTACTCAAGGATGTCGCTCCAACAGCCTATCTACCTCTCCACAACATCCATGTTTCCTTCTCTGCTGGATCATTCCATAGCGTACAGGCATGCTGCTCATTCCCTCATCTGTAAAATAACCTTCTCTCGATCCCGTTTTCCCTCTTGGCCTCCCTGTGCTGCAGTGAGGCTTCTCCCCGCCACCCCACCAGAGCTCCTCTTGTTAGGACACAGGCCATTGCCTTCTTCCTTCCTGAAACCCTGTCTACTGGGCTGTCTCTGTCTAGACACCATGCTCACCTGGCTTTCCTCTCGCTGGATGCGCCATCTCTTCCCAAGGCCCTTTCCTGACTTCTCTTTATCTCCTGGCTCTCTGAATGTCAGGAGTCCCGTGGTGACTGCGCCCAGCCTCAGGGTGGTAAATGCTACTGATCTGCTGGCTTCTCTCAAATGCAGATCTCTGGCCCAGCGCAGGTCCATGACCTCTAGACGTGTGGCTCCACTGGTCTTCTCAACAGCTCTTCTGGGATTTCTACCAAACTCCTCACAATGAAGTCTAGAACTGAACTCTTAATCTGCCCCCAAACTGACTCCTCCCCCAGGAGTGGTAAGAATTTATAATTTTTGAAAGCTCATGATATTTTGTGATAGGGAAATACCCACATAATAATATTTTATACTCATAAAACATGGGAAAAAAAGTGTCAATTGCAGAAGGTTATCTAAGGCAATTTTTGTTTAAATCAGTCAGCAAATATTTCTCATTTAGATCAGTATCCTCACTGTTTTAGATGCCAACATCAAGATAAAATATTTGTAATAAACTACCTAATATTTTCTAAGCTCTGTGTGCCAGGAAAAGAACAAATTCTTCACGTTTTTTTTTTTTTAAGACAGAGTCTCGCTCTGTCACCCAGGCTGGAGTGCAGTGGCACGATCTCACTCACTACAAGCTCCACCTCCCGGGTTCATGCCATTCTCCTCCCCCAGCCTCCTGAGTAGCTGGGACCACAGGCGCCCGCCACCACGCCTGGCTAATTATTTTTTGTATTTTTAGTAGAGATGGGGTTTCACCGTGTTAGCCGTCTTCACGTTTTTTACTCATTTAGTCCTCCCTAACACTGCAGCATGCATGGGGATGATTATCATCATGACTTTTTACATCTTCAAAGTCTCAACAAAGAGCAACTTGCCTGACATCTCACAAGAGTGAAACCCACGCCCAGGCTGGCCGGCTCGAGTCCACACTGCCTGCTCAGGGTATGAGAGTTGTCATGGCAAAAGGAAAGGGACAGAAAAGGAAGTATTTTGAAACTATATGTCTTAGAAATTGTACTTAGCATAAAATGTAACTCCTGTTGACAGAACTACCAGCATTCTGCACTGAAATGTCAGCCCTCCCTGTCTACACCCACAGGGCTAACAGATTCATGGAAATCAAAACAATATCATTTCCAGCACACAGTAACATGGAAACAACTCAGCATCATGGAATTTACTCATTTTGTCCATTCTAAAACTTGCTTCTTCCTCTTTTTTCTTTTTTTCCTTTTCTACACGTTTCTTCTCCTTCTGGATGATATTTTATTGCTCTCTTCACAGAGCTCACTGAAAAATGTATGTAATAGTGACAGGTCAGTGTGTCTTGGTCAGGGCACGCCACAGAGCAAGAGAGGGTCTCTTTGTAGAAGGCAAGGGAGCATCATTCCCCAGGCACTCATGAAGAACCTATGCCCAGCATCACCAGGTTGTCTTAGCATGTGTTTAATCAAGTAGAATCAGTGTCAGATCAGTTGCATTCACTTCACTGAGAGCCATACACTCAACATCTTTGAGCTTTGTGCTCCTGGTGTAAAATGAGGTTAACCTGACAAAAGGAATTCTATAGACCTTGTATACAAAATTAAGTAATCGTTATTCAACTGATAACAATTATACAGAGAATACAATGTCAGTTTTTAAATAGCATATCCAAAATGCGTCATACCCTAAAGAGTAGATGAAAGGGATAGTTCTCTGCATTGTTGTTATAATGTTAACTATACGGCCACGCTTTAAAAAAGATCAATGGGAAAAGTATTTTACGGTTGACACTTGAAAACTGAGTTTTTGTTCAGCAAGAAAAATAGCTCCAATTTGTATCAATCTTTCCCACTGATCTCTCTCTTTCTGTTCTCTTTCTCTCTCCTGTAATATAAAGGATTCATTTTTATACATGTCACTACTTAATGGGAAAGGTAAAGGAAGTGCCCACGGCTATAAGCAGGGAATGATTTAAAACTTGTACTGTTCATAGTTCTGTTGATCAGTTTTTAGGTCTGTGATAAATGTTGACATATCTCCTGCTCAGGGCTGGAACTCTCAGTAGGGTTAAAGTGATTTTTAAAAGAGGTGAGGCCAGGTGCGGGGGCTCACGCCTGTAATCCCAGCACTTTGGGAGGCCGAGGTGGGTGGATCACAAGGTGAAGAAATAGAGGCCATCCTGGTCAACATGGTGAAACCCCCGTCCTTACTAAAACTACAAAAATTAACTGGTCATGGTAGTGTGCACCTGTAGTCCTAGCTACTTGGGAGGTTGAGGCAGGAGAATCGCTTGAACCCAGGAGGCGCAGGTTACAGTGAGCCGGAATCATGCCACTGCACTCCAGCCTTGTGACAGAGCGAGACTCCATCTAAACAAACAAATAAATAAATAAATAAATAAAAAGACGTGAAGGTTGGAAGAGATGTTCATTAATGGACATGGTAATGGTTAACACTGAGTGTCAACTTGATTGGATTGAAGGATGCAAAGTGTTGCTCCCGGGTGTGTCTGTGAGGGTGTTGCCAAAGGATATTAACATTTGAGTCAGTGGGCTGGGAAAGGCAGACCCACCCTCCATCTGGGTGGGCACCATCTAATCAGCTGCCAGCGCGGCCAGAATAAAAGCAGGCAGGAGAGCATGGAAAGACTAGACTGGCTTAGTCTTCCAGCCTCATCTTTTTCTCGTGCTTCCTGCCCTCGGACATCGGACTTCAAGTTCTCTTGGACTTTCAACCACAGACTGAAGGCTGCACAGTTGGCCTCCCTACTTTTGAGGTTTTGGGATGCAGACATCCCTTTGGGATGAGGCTTCCTGGATCCTCAGTTTTCAGATGGCCTATTGTGGGACCTCACCTTGTGATCGTGTGAGTCAATACTCCTTAATAAACTCCCCTTTATATATACATCTATCCTATTAGTTCTGTCCTTCTAGAGAACCCTGACTAATACAGACATGAAATCAAAATTTACTAGAAGAATTGGCCATCAAACAAATTGCACTTTTTTGTATTGTTTCCTCTATCTTTGGTGCCTCGGATACGCTTGCTGGACAAACAGTTTTAAAGAAGAATGCTTTGATGCTGGGTTTCAAATTAGGACCCCTGGGTTGGGATGCGTACCTGCCACTGATCATGCAGGCAGCTACATAATCTAGAAGAAGCAGAGTTGCAGAGCTGCTGGATGAATCCCAGGCTGCATTCCTCTCCACAGGCCTCCCCTCTGCCAAGTCACCAAGGAGTGGTAACCTAACCACCGAGCAACGTCTTGTCAGTAAATCAGCACCCATTTATGCAAACATTACTCCCTGGGCAACCGCCCTACAAACAGAGAATGATTTCTGTTCCAGAAGCCATCCCGCCTTGCTCAATTCCATTTTGTTAGGATATGGGGAAAACATGTCTTTGTTCAACTCTATTTTCTTTTTAAATTGACCCTTACTCCATAAGGCTCAAAAGAATTGAAATTTTTAAGAGAAAATCACAGTTCACACTCTGTCCTCATTATTTCATTTAGAAAAACAGCAGCAGCAATACTGGAACATACAGAAATCGCAAGCCACTGTCCGGGGGGCAAGAACATAGAAAGGAAAGTCACAGAGGCTCCCACGCAGTGGGCTCAGGAAGGAGGAAGGCCTCTGTGGGGTTCCTCCATCCTGTGTCTGGAGGTGCACTTCTGCTACTCAAATCTACATTCCACTTATATAGTTCGTACTGTAAAGTATTTTTTAAGACATTACTATCCCTGAATTTTACTTAATCGAATCTAATTCTTCTCATGAGGTCCAAAAGACCAAAGGATATAAATTAATATTTATGGTAATGGCAGCTGTCATACACCAATGGCCTCATAGTGGTGGCTATCATTCTAGACAGTTTTCATTTCTGAGCCTGCACACTCAGGGACAGTGAAATAAAGGAAGTGTGACAAGGAGGAGAATGTGCGTTTGTGTGTGTGTGTGTGTGTGTGTGTGTGTGTCTGTGCCTGCACGTGGACTTGTGACCAAAGTGATGGCTTTGGGTTTCACTCCCTGGGGTTAAGATGAGAGTAATGCCAGTTAATGAACTATTTTAAAGGCTCAATGTGGCTGCTGTATAGTGGATACATTAGGTAGGCAGGAGTGTGAACAAGGACAATTCAGTGAGTGCTGAGGTCCAGGGAGAAGAATGCTGGCTTGGATGAGGATGGTAAGGGGGAAGGAATAGTGTCTTTGGGTTTACTTTGAAGGTAGAACTGGGGCCATCTGCAGATGGCTTGGATACGAGGAGTGAGAGGAAAAAGTCCAGTATGGCTCCTCCTAGAGTTCTGGCCTGGGAAAGTGGGTAAATGGAGTATCATTTACCTAGAGGGGTAAAGAGGGGGAAAGTTGGTTTAGGAGGCCATCAAGAGCTCTATTTTGGTCATGTTTTGTTTGAGATATTCATTAATTCAAATGAAGACTATACTAAGCAGTTGGACTTTGAGTCTGGATTTCAGGGGAGAGATAGGAGCTATGGAGTTATTAGTGTGTAGACGGTTGTAAAGCAGTAAGAATGGGTGAGATCCCTAAGGGTAAATGGCAGAGAACAGACTGGAGACCTAAGCCCTGGTACACTCTGGCCTTCAGAGGGGTCAGGCAAGCAAGGCATCCTGCCAAGTCCTCTCCCTCTGAAGCACTGCATGCTGTGGTCTGCAGCTTTTATTCTCCCACATAAATACAATAAACAGAAGAAAAAATATGTACTTTCATTCTTCTCTTCCTCTCTCTAGAAATGTACATGCTAGTAGGTAGCTTAGTAAGAGCTGTTTAGATCCTCCAGACTCTTAGAATTTGTTAAGTTTACCATGTTTAATGAAGAACATTGAGAGCTCAGCTGTGCTTGCTATAAACTGATGATGCATCCATAAATAAATGCAATGTCCAGAGAGCTCAAATGTCCAGGCTTAATCTTATGGCAAATCAGAATGCAAGCAACCAAAATTGTTTTTAATATCAATGTTCCAATTCACATCAACACAATATTTGTGGTTCTAGGAGATAAAGGGAAGCATTTTACTCAGTTGTTACCCAAATGAGAAGCAGAGCAGGAAAATGGCATTACTTATGCTTTTCATATTTTAAAAGTTTTCATATTGTTAGAAAAAAGAACAAAGAAATTCTTTTAGTGAGGCTATATCTCTAAAAGTGGATCCCACTATGTAACCCTGAAGATGTAAAAATGATAGCATTTTCTTAGCCGAAGAACTGATGTATCACAGAGCTCTCAAATTTATGAGACAGGTTTTATGTCCACTAAGTTCTATAGCTTATCTTCTGAGCTATCACTGTTTGCCTAAGCCATAACCATGGGCAAAAGACCTTCTTCCAATTCTATTATTTTTCAGAATGTGACAGAAAATCTATTTTGCCTACAATGAAAGAAATGACTCACTTCACAAATTTAAAATAATGCCTTTTTTGCTTATCAAAATCATATTAAATGATACAAAATGATTTTAATTCATTTTATCGATAGTTAATATTTTCTGGATGTTATGACCTGAGACTGGTATATTGTATACATATTTATATATTTCAATTCTCACAGTAAGTCAGTGTTTCTAACCCCGCAGGGATTTTACTTGGCAAAGTTTTTCTTAAATCATTAGGAGACCCTGGCTTTTTCTATTGCCATGGCATTTGTTGCAGTGAGTGCTTATTACTTGAAACACTAGTATGAAGAATAGTGAGGTTCTTGGACCGCAACTGATAATATTAATGGTAGAACATATTTCTAGGCAAAATCTTATTTTCCCATCATGTCATAGTATTCTTCCCCGTAAATGCAAAGAAGTTTCACTTAAGAAACTTATATTCTTATGCTTTGCTCTGAAGAGTTTTTTATAATGAGCACACATGAGTATTTAGTTACTGAAAATAATTAGCTAGGATGTGAGTAATGTGCCAAAAGAATTGAACATTCTGCCCACAAGATAGAAAAGATAGGAAGGAGTGAAAGGATTCATAGAAAATACCTGAAAATTACAGTCAAAATTGGAGATACAGTAAAACTGAAAAGAAAAAAAAGGCAACCAGTCATATAATTTTCTTTGAAGGCTTCTAACAGATTGAAAATAATACCAGAAAAATGTGAAATCTCATGGACTATTAAGGCTGGAAGAAAACCTATTATGATAAGGTCTAGAATCCTCATTTTATGCAGGAGGAAACTGAAGTCCAGAGCGCATTTAAATCCCTCTTGGCATTGCGCCTTTTCCCCAGGCTCCTTTAATCGGACGGAGGAAGAAAAGGAGAAGGTCCGCTTATTTGTTCTTTTGCTTTATACTTTAAGTCTGAAATATTTCAATACAGAGGGGAAAAGAGAATATTAGAAAACATGAAAGTCAAGGACAGTTGTACCTACAGCAGATAGGATTGATGAGTCTTTGTAGATGTTTAAATTTCTAAATTTTGCCAAATGATGGTGAAAAAGGAAGAGAAGTCTAGAGTAAAAGGCCAAATGCCTGGCAACACACTAGCTGGTTTATAACCTTCATTCTCAGTACTTCTTGATCTTCCTCTAGTTGCCATTTTCTTAATTTTTAAGATGTGTCAACGAGCATTGAACATTTCCAAAAGCTTCCTTTGGGGCTACCTTTTCCCAAATATTTAGGGCTATTTCTGAGGTGTGTATGGTACATGAATTTTGGTGCAAAACCATCCATTCACAGGTCATGGAAAGCAGGTGGAGATGGGGGTCGAACCTCTGCAAGCACACAGGGCCCACATGCACTGTGTGCTGGCTGCTAAGCCTGCTCTAAGTCTCTGATACCTGCAATTTGTCTCAGGAAGAATCTTGTGTGGCAGATATTATCATTGCTTACGTGGCCTGCTCTGTGACTCTCATGCCTACAATTTGTCTCGGGAAGATTTCTCTGGGGCAGATATTATCATTACTTACATGTTACAGGTCAGAAAACTGAGGCACAGAGTGTTAAAAATCAACCAAACAGAACAAAACCCCAAATGAACAGAACCAAAAATCCAGGGTTGGTCACATATCAGGCAGAGCTGAAAGGCGTGTGTTAGAAGCTGAAAGGCACATTTGCACATCTCTGAAGAAGGACAAGGAAAGAGTCTGCTCAGTGAGGGAATCCTGAATAGGATGAAGGTCTCACCTTTCTTCAGGGCACAAAACTTTCCTACAATAACTTTTTATGGGGAACTGGTTCAGATTGAACACATCAGAGGATGATGCTGGAACATGGGGCAGCGAACGCAGGCAATCCCAAGACCAAGTGTTCCCAAATAAAACCTGTCCTTGAGTCTGGCCTTCAAGATGGTGGCCGAAATTGCCCATTTGCTCAAGCTTTTCTCGAAAACCCGGTAATTCTCCACCCTATGCCTTGCTGGTGATAATATAACAATATGGGATCATTTTATGGAATGTGAAATTCGTTATATTTATGCAGAACTTGGTTCCCTCAGATGAAACATGCTATGAAAACACAAATACCAACAATGCTGAGCTGTACGATGTGCTTCAGGGAATTCTGGCTTTCACAGCTTAAATGTAATAAGCACTATTTACCTGGTCCTAAAACTGAAATTTCATTGCACATAGACGGAAGAAAATAGTGAAGGCTCAGAGTACTAAACTGCATAATTCAAGGAGAGGTCTTGTCCTTGTATAAACTATGCCTTTCTCCTTCACACTGAATGTTGAATTACCATTATAAGAGGGTCTTTTAAGCTTATTAACCCATAATCCTCTTTGATGAATATAAAAATCTAATTTTCTCCTTTAAAGCTGTATGAAATTAAAAGTAAAGCATTTACTGTGATTTAAAGCAGTGAGATAAACTATTTCTATAAATATGTGTATTTGTACTATATATATATATATTTCTTTATATATATAAATAATAAGTTCTCCTAGAAAATATGTCCATTACCTCAATACCTCTCAAGGTAAAATCATTTGATTAAAAACAATTTCTGGCTTTGTTATTCTTGCTGTTTTAATTAACAGTGTTATTTTTACATTAGGTAACTACAATTATTTAGTCTTAATCAAGTTTTACTCGTTTCTTTGCTTCCAACGTTTTTTTTAAAAATCCCAACATTTTTTCTCTTTTGTTTGAATTCATTTTTGTTTCACTGGAGGAATCCACAAATGCCATGCCATAATAGATGTGCGGAAGTTGCATTTTCTGAATCCACATTTGCCTGAAAGTCTTTGTTTTAACCTTATTTACAAACAGTAGTTTGACTTCGCATATAAATTGAAGTGCAACATACTTAAGTATTTTTAAGATGTTTGCTTTATTGTTTTTTGACAACTGGTGTTGTTTATGCAAAATGCAAATCTGACTCTTGTCCCATGGCAGATAACCTAGTTATTTTCTCTCTAGAAGCTGTTAGGATTCCTTTCTTTATCCCTAACACTGAAATAGTAGCAGCACAGCAATGAGTCTAGCATGGTTATTTGGAAAGCCTGTTGAATAAGTGAAGACTCAGGCTCATAAGGGGAGCATCTTATCATTTCCTCATTTTTTTTCAACATAAACAAATGTCTGTAAATAGTGATGTAAAGAAGGATGGGGATAAAGTTGTTACTGGGCAGAAATTAATGTATTTGATTAGGAATTTGTTCACTCACTGGTAACCTGGTGATCCAACCAGTCATCCTCCTTCCCAAAGTTCTTATACCACACTGGACATTGTCTCATTGGTAATGAAGGTTGAATGTCCTTTAATCTTACTGCTCTTCAGTGTCTCTTTCTTCATTGTCTGTTGGCTGAAAAAGTATATCCTGGCCTTTATGGATTGGGCCAGCTTTCTTTTCCAAGGACTTTGAAGGTGCAAATGCCGGCTCCGCTTTTATTATCACTTTTTGAAACTTTCCAGTGAATCCAGGAACACACCACTTAGGCCTCAGCCATCCATCTATCCTGATATAAAGCACTGGCTACTTCCCATGGACTTTCTTTAGGCCATTTGCAATTCAAAAAATATATATCTTTAATAAGCACATGCACCTTGAGTGACTATAAAAATGTGTAAGATGCCCACAACTTGACTAAGGCAGGTAATGTTATTATCTCTGCTCTACAGATAAGGAAACCAAGGACTTGAATGATGAAGTAACTTTCCTAAGGACACACAGTTATCAAGGGTTTCTAAGGATTCACAACCAAAGAGCATGAAACTACAGCCATGCTCATAACAAGGACAGAATTGTCCCTCTCAACAAATGATTCAAAGAAGAACATCAGTTAAGGGCACTGCATTATTAACTAGGGTGTTAACAGACTCGCCCTTGTTCTGAGACTAACTGTGCCTTGGGAGGATTAATATGATACTACTGTATGGCAAGAATTTGGTGGGGCGGAGTGTATGAAAACTTAAGCTAAGGGTGTAGCTTTGGGAATGGCAAATAGAAACTACGATATATACAAAGAATTATATAACAGAGCAATTAATTGTATGGGGGACAAGAAAAGAAAGTGAAAGCCAAAAAGGGAGGTTTAGAGTTTGGGTGGGAGAGAAAAAGGTGTAGTCATTCACAGAAATAGAGAGGGTGACCGAAGAATGGCATTTGGGCAAAAACGGTGTTTGAACATTCTGAGTTTATGGTGTTAATGAAATATAGATCTGAAACTCAAGACAAGGTACAGGAATTACTGAATTGAAAGCCAATAATCCAGACAGGGTGACTAAAAATGTATGATGGGCTAAAAGCTGGCCAACATAAATATGGAGAAAATGTGCCCCTGTGCAGAGTCCTAGAGAATGTGTGTGTTTGGTGGGTAGGAATAGAAACGGTGTCTCCAAAGGACAAGGAGAGGAAAAAAGAAGTCAGAGAACTGAACTGGTACCAGGTGATGCCTCAAGAATAGTTTTTCCCCAAGTAGACAAAAATGTGGGTAGCAGAAGGAAACACTGAGGAAATCAAGGAGGAGGATGGAAAATGCCTTTAAATTTAGGAAGTGTTTTCAGTTGAACGGTGAATTTAGATGGCAGTTCAACAGCAAAGTTAAGAAGTGGGTAAGTATTGAGGAAAGACAAAAAAGAAAAGTAACTACTTTTTCAAGAAATTTAGTGGTGAGTGAAAGGAATCAAGAATGAAGACACTATTTGTGAGATATTTAAGAAAATATAACTTTTTTAGTTTATTTATTTTAAAATAAGAGAAACTGGAATGTGTATCAGCAAGGGATAACACAGACATGCATTATTGGAGCCATTTAATAAAAAATAATTATATTGTTAAAATGTGGTAAGGTATTCTAAGATGCTCAGAAGACATGTCAGAAAAAGAAAAGAGGTCTTAAAAATAATACTTTAAAAGAAAACACACAATGGAATGTGATTATTATTTTAAAAAATTAGTCCCTCACTAGTTGAGATTAAAAAAAAACTAAAATAAAATTTAGAAAGACTAGGAAACAACACTAAGTATCAGGAAACAGAATGAGAGACACTAGATATGGCATAACAATTCTTACCACAAATAAAAATGGACTATATTTATTTCTCCAAAAAGCAAACTATGTTTAGATTTGGAAGTAAATCAAAATGTCATGGATTAAAAGATAAATGTTTAAAGAAGCTAGAAAAAAAAATCACCAAAATATTGTTAAGGTGTTATAAATTTTATTGTGGAAAAAAAAAAGAAATGAAACCAAAATGATGAGCCTTTCCTGTAAGCACAGACCTAACAAATCTGCTCCATAGAATAATGTCATTCAACACAGCTTTGGTATCTCTGGATATCAGAAAATATAAAAATTTCAGGGGATGAAAACAAAAAAGTGTAGTTTGTGGAAGAGTAATGCATATGAGCTCAGGTAGAAAGCACTAGAGTGAATAGAGAATTTACTGAGTGTCTGGATACAAGATAAATGTACGTCCCAACAGTATTACTGGATATTATTTATAATCAGGTAAAATTCATGCTGAAAAAATTAATCTGTTTGCTACAGCATGCTAACCTATAAAATTTTTAGAATAGACATTTAAATTATTTAGAAACTGCAGAGAAAACACTAAAAGCATGCTGATGGATTTAATGGCATATTTTCATAAATAGAAAAATCCAACATTTCTGAATGGGAAGGCTAAAGAAATACATTTGAAAATCTGAAAAAAAAATCCTACCACAGTCTCTGTAGACAAAGAAAAAGGATTTAAAAAAATAAAAAAAATTCTAATTAGAAAAATATACTGAAGAGTGTTTTTTGTTAGTAGGTATGGTTCTTTCATTTCCACATTTAGAACTCCCTTAATGAGCTCTTGAAAGGCTGGTCTAATGGTAACGAATTCCCTTAGTGCCTGCTTGTCTGGAAAATATTTTATTTCTCCTTTGATTATGAAACTTAGTTTGGTGAGATATGAAATTCTTTGTTGGAATTTCTTTCTTTAAGAATGTTGAAAAGAGGCCCCCAATTTCTCCTGCTAAAAAGTCAAGTCTGCTATTAGCCTCATGGGAATTCATTTGTACATGATCTGATCTTTTTCTCTAGTTGCCATTAAAATTTTTTATTTAATGTTGACCTTGGACAGTCTGGTGACTATATGCATTGGTGATGTTCATTTTGTATAGTATCTGGAAACAGCATTCTGGACATCAGCTTGGGAAATAATTTATGACTATGTCCTCAAAACCAATTGCAACAAAAACAAAAACTGACAAGTGGGACCTAATTAAACTAAAGAGCTTCTGTACAGCAATAGAAAATAATAACATTGTAAACACACAGCCTACAGAATGGGAGAAATTATTTGCAAACTATGCATCTGACAAAGGTCTAGTATCCAGAATCTATAAGAAATTTAAACAATTTAACAAACAAAAAACAAATAATCCCATTAAAAATGGGAAAAAGACATAAACAGATACTTCTCAAAAGAAGACTTACAAGCCACCAACAAACATATTTTAAAAATGCTCAATATGACTAATCATTAGAAATGCAAACTGAAACCACAATGACATACCATTTCACACCAGTCAGAATAACTAGTATTAAAACAGTCAAAAAAACACACATGCTGGTAAGGCTGTGGAGGAAAGGGAATGTATATACTGTTGGTGGAAATGTAAATTAGTTCAGCCACTGTGGAAGGCCATGTGGAAATTTCCTGAAGAACTTAAAACAGAACTACCATTCCACCTGGCAATCCCATTACTGGGTATATATCTAGAAGAAAATAAATCATTCTACCAAAAAGACACATGTACTCATATGTTCATTGCAGCACTATTCACAGTCACAAAGACATGGAATCTATCTAAAAGCCCATCAATGGTGGATTGATTAAAGAAAATGTGGTATGGATACACTATGGGATACTATGCAGCCATAAAAAAGAATAAAATCAGTCCTTTCCAGCACCATGGATGCAGCTAGAGGCCATAATCCTAAGCAAATTAACACAAAACACAGAAAACCAAATACTGCATGTTCTCACTTATAAGTAGGAGCTAAACATTGGGTACTCATGGACATAAAGATGGGACGATAGACACTGGGACTACTAGAGGGAGGAGGGAGGAGAGAGGCAGAGGGGCAAGAGTTGAAAAACTGTTGTGTGCTATGCTCAGTACCTGGGTAATGGGATCAGTCATACCCCAAACCTATCACTCTCTGAATCTAAAATAAAAGTCAAAATGATATACATATATCATTGGTGATAATCTTGCAAGATATATTTGTGGTAATCTTGCAAGAGATATATATATATCTTGACAAAGGAGACATCATAATATAATAAAACACAGAACGATAACTCATAAATAAGAGAAAAAACAGCTTCACATCTTATACCACGATCATCTTTGTTATTTAAGTTTGAGGTGCTTGGGAATCTCTGTGTTTTTGATCTGCATTTTTACAACTCTAGTTTTAGCACAATAAATATAGATAGAGATTTGTAGAATCTGTGAATCTTGGGGCAGATGTAATGGACAGTCTGGCTGCCATGTAATCTACAAAACTATCCACATCTTTGTCAGGTACTGAATGCCCCACCTCAGCAGCTGTAAAGGGCTGCAGGTATCATAGAGTGTCTGGGTCCCTACCCACATCCTTGAAAGAGGGGTTGTGACTGCAGAGCATCAGAACTGGGTCTCATAGTTCTTATAATCTCCTGCCTTGAAAGGCATAGAGTGGCAGGCAAGACAGATAGGGTAAGATCAGCTTTTCAAATTTCTCATCTCTCTACTCAAAGAGTGCTCAATGATGAAAGGCTGAACAGTGAGCAAGCACAAAACTTTCTTTGAGGCATCAGAAAAGCAAATTTTCCAAATCCATTCACAGCTGGATAATCATATTAGCTGTTATTTCTTTAGTCTTAGAAGACAATCTAGCCCATTATCCTCTGTTTCAAGGGTAAAGAAAGATAGCAAGATATGAAATAAACTAGTCATTGCATAGAGACAACACCTATGAAATACCATGAAATTGGTATATTTCTATTTTTCTGCATAATGATATTCTTGATTTGACCTGCTCTAGGCTTCCCTCTTATATTGTTCATTTCCCAATTAAATGAAAAAAAAAATAATGTTACCAAAGGCAGAAGACAGTAGTCATAAATGCTAATTTACATGAGAAACAGTTACCATTTTTCATGAAAACATATCAAAAGCAAACTTTATTTAAAGACATTTTAAATTTTTCCCATTATTCATCAGCAACTTTGAGAGATCTGTCAATTCTTTCTAATATAGAATTTGTCACATTTTATGTTCATTTCTGTCAGCTGATGAAGTACATTGCTCTATAGTGGAAAAATTTTCCTCTGTTTTTCAATAAAGCATTCACAATTCCACTCATATCTTTTCAAGAGGCCCACTCATATAAAAGTGTTATGTCTTCTGAGCCCAGATTTTGATCATGATCTAAATGCCTCTTTAAAGGGTAGAATCTGGTTTGACATTTGCCTTTTTTTACTGACCCACTCCTTGCAATAGCCACTCGTAAATATTCCTCTAAACATTTTTTTCCTTGACTCGTTAATAAAATTCACCAGCGGAAATCTGGAATAATAATTATGTTAAGTACTGTACTTATCAATGTCAAAATCTAACACTGTTTTAAAGATTCATTATCCTGCAAACTGTCGTCACAACTGTATCCCTCAGCCAAGTGTTTTAATAAAGACTAGCTTAAATGCTTGTTCTTCCTCAGATCTGGATTAATTTAACAGGCTGGGATGATGTCGAGCTTGTGTTTTATCTTTGACATAAAAATTGCATCTTTCATAACACAAAAAAATTCCATGTCTACACTCCCTACTGGAAGGAGACTAATCACTTCTATAACAATAAGGCTAAAATAATTCAAGTTCGCAGAAATATGTCAGCCAAAATCACACTAGAAACTAGAGGAATACAGGCCTGGGAGGGAGAATGAAGCATTGTAAATCTCTGCTGTTTATCCTGGCTTGGTGTTTGAAGTTTCAAGATGACCAAGTACTACTTTTGTGAACGATGATATAAGTGAGCCTCATAATGAATAAGAAGGTGTATGCAATAATACCTGAGCTCATCCAGAGCAGTCATGAGGTATGGAGTATGCAAAAATTGCATTTAACCTGCATACAATTTAGAAAAGATAGACGGAGAGATTTACGAATGGAGATGCTAAAGGGTGTAAGAATAACTCAGGAGTCCAAAGATTGCTAAAAACGATCAGGAGTACAAAGTATTGGAAGACATGGTTTTAGGACTACTGATAATAACTAATTATTACAAAATAAAAAAGCCACAGGTGGCAGCTCCAGCCATCTCCTTGGGTTAAATGTGAGAAAGCAGCAACAGGTGTCCTAAGCCTTTCTCACTGCTGTGCAGTGGACTCTTGGTCATTTTGAAACATAAATCTCTGTATGGATTAATACATATTATGAAGGTTGCTCAGCGAGAGAGCAAGAGAGAAAGAGCAAGCTAGTGCAGAACATATTTCTGTGTTTTGTCAGTTGGTGTTTGGAGAGTATATGTTCTCACTTACTCCATGCAGGCACTGTAGTAGGTTCTAATACTCTAAAGAAAAATAATGAAATAATAGCCATTGTCACCTGTATTAGTCCATTTTCACACTGCTGATAAACACATACCCGAGACTGGGCAATTCACAAAAGAAAGAGGTTTAATGGACTTACAGTTCCACGTGGCTGGGGAAGCCTCACAATCATGGTAGAAAGCAAGGAGAAGCAAATCACATCTTACACAGATGGCAGCAAGTGGAGGGAAACTCCTGTTTTTAAAACCATCAGATCTCATAAGACTTATTCACTATCATGAGAACAGCATGGGAAAGACCCACCCCCATGATTCAGTGATCTCCCAGCTAGACACTCCCATGACACATGGGAATTATGGGAGCTACAAGATGAGATTTGGGTGGGGCCACAGAGCCAAACCGTATCACCGCCAAAGATTTCAGAGTCTAGTTTCAGGATGGCAGAAATGGGCCCTAAACAGGCCAGCTAGGAAGATGACGACCCTAGGAAATGAATCTCTGAGTCACTTCATCCGGGATCCAACTCTCTGGTGGCTGCTGAAATGGCTGCTGCATTCCAGTGATCCTGGACTGGCAGAGTCACAGGAAGAGTCTGTGCTAAGACTTCTGCAAGGCACTTACACACATTGGCCTCATGCTGGGAGTGTGTTTTGTTTCTTTCATCATTGGCATCATGCCTCATGCCAGGAGTGTGTTTTCTTTCTCTCAAATGCACTTTTGTTCCTCCAATCATTGGTTCCTGCCCTGAAGGAACAGAAACACACTAGAAGGGCAGAGTCCACACTACTAAGTAAACCTTGTCCAAGGGATGGTCATTTTCTTCAGGGCAGAGGTCATAGGTGCGGGCTGCTGAGCCTCAAATTCTATCAGATGGCTCTGAACTCATTCTACAGTCAATGATAAAATATTCCTGTTTTTATTCTATGCTACTGGTTTAGAAAATAAAGTCTTAATTTCCTGGAGAATCTGCCTCACGAGGAGCCAGAAAGGTATAGAAAATAGGACCACACACAAAAAAATATATGATAACAAAGAAAATTCCATCTGGAGGCCAAACACGATTTGCTAACCTCCTGTCACCTTGAAGCTGCTCAGTCACCAGGTGCCCGAGTCCACAGCACAGTAGTGAGAAAGGCTCAGGATATCTGTTGCTGCTTTCTCACGTTTAACCCATGATGGCTGGAGCTGCCACCTGTGGCTTTTTTATTTTTGCATTTCAGCTCTAATAATTCTACTGGCTGCTGATTGATGTTTACCTGGAGGAGAAGCTCCTAGCCTTTTTGCTTTTTCCATATTTATAATGAGGATTGTGCTTGTAGTTAAACTGCCCAACCTTGAAACTCTCATGCTCTGGATAGCAGTTCTTCCCTGGAATATGGTTATAACATGACATGCACTGATATGTGCTGATTCTTTTGCCTAGAGGATCAGTTGGTTTATTTTTAACATTTAATTTTATATTTTTACTTTAATATACCTTCTAAAACATAGTTAAACTTAGTAGAGGCTTGAATTTTTGTCTTAATGTATTCTTTTCATTTTACCTAAAATCTTGTTGACATTTTATTCCTTTTCATGCTTTCCAGGTTATTTGCCTATTTTAAAATAACTTTTCCTTTGTTTCTATTTGGATTAAAACCTTTTTAGTAGCTATTACTAGAACATTAGCTACAATGGACTACAGCTGTGATTATTTAGTAACTGTAATGAATGTAATGGAGCAAACTCAGTTGCCTTTCTTCTTCTTCTTCTTCTCTTTTTTTTTTTTTTTTTTTTGAGACGGAGTCTCACTCTGTTACCCAGGCTGTAGTGCAGTGTTGTGATATCTCGGCTCACTGCAACCTCCGCCTCCTGAGATTACAGGCACTCACCACCACATCTGGCTAATTTTTGTATTTCTAGTAGAGACAGGGTTTCGCCATTTTGGCCAGGCTGGTCTTGAACTCCTGACCTCAGGTGATCCGCCTGCCTTGGCCTCCCAAAGTGCTGGGATTATAGGTCTGAGCCAGCACACCCGGCCCCAACTGTTGCCTTTCTATAAAAATCAACCAACCCTTGTACCCATCCCTTCCTTAGAATCAATGATTCAGAATACAACATATTAGGAAAACTATGTAATATAATAAATTAGAAATAATTAACAGGCAATTTAAAATGTATTACCAAAGATGCATTATTAAGATGTGTAATACAACTTTGATTTATGCCATGAGCATAGAAAATCTTGAACAAACAAACCCCGCGGCATTTCTTGGCTCCTCTTCTCTGCTACATACATCAGAAGAGCTGTGGGAACTCACTGCATGGCTTCCGCACCTCCTGTCTCCTCTTCACCTAACCTCAGTCACTTTAGCATGATTGCTCCACTTAAACTTATTGTCCAGGCCACTGGTGACCACCATTTGTTCAAGACCAGTGGTCACTCCTTTACCCTCTTCTCACTATGACTCTACAGCATGTGACTATGTTGGCCACTATCCCACTTATACCTTCTTCTCTTGGCTTCTATTGAACCATTCTCTCTGGCTTTTCCCCTATTGTGGTGAATTCTTATAATTTTTTGTTGCTTTGGCATCAATTTTAAATTTAGATTGGTCTTACTCATGCAAAGCCTAATCATGTTTGACACAGTTTCCATCCCCCCTACCTCCTTGCAGTTTCTCAAGGTGGTCAATCAAGACATCTGCCTTGTATACTGCCTTCTGGTAACCACCTCCCTGTAGGACAGCTGGATACACCCTACTAATCCCCACACCCTGCATAGACTGCACAGGTATCCCACCCACACTGACCTTCTCTCAGTCACAGCATGATGCCATAGGGCATGTGCCTGCTTGTTCTAAACCCACCGATTAGAAACCTGATTGCACAATGTCCTGAACCCCAGCGAAGGCTTTGGCCCACAGCTCCCTCTCTCTCTCATTCTGCACCTGCTGGTTGAGCCTGTGTGTCCTGGATGGCTCCCTGCTTTTTGCTGGCCCTGCAAATGGTGCTGCGCCCTCTCTTCTCCAGATCTGTAAACAATAAACTGCTTCTGTTATTTCATGGGTTCTGATGAGTTGCCTCTTCTACCCCATCCTAACTTCTGTCCTGGTCAGGGCTCTCTGGGAGAGTGGCTGCCTTGGTAGGAATAAACTAGACACAGGTCAGATGAGAGCCACAAGGGCATGTGCCAGGATAAACAAGCTTCCCGTGAGAGGGACACCTGGCCACAGGCTAAACACTTAGGTATCAGGCTGTCTGTGAGGTCAAAGAAGGATCCCATGAAAGGCACATGGGAAAAACCCACAACCACATCCCCAGGATCCCCGTCAGGGCAGGGCTAGAGTTTACAGCCACTATCATGAGAGGGAACTCAAGACTAAATTAGGAAAAAACAAATCATCTATATAACTGGTTGATTTTTCTCAGTGACTTGGGCTTCTTCATCTTCCTCTATTCCTGCTCAAATGTTAGTGTGCTTTGAGGTTTGGTCCTGGACCCTTTTTATCTTTTCTAATCCCACTCTCTCCTTGGGGCATCTCATCTGGTCCTGTAGCTTGAAATAGGAACTATATGCTGATGACTTTCAAGTTCACATCTTTAACTCCAGATCTTATTTACAGCTGCTGCTTGGCATCTTGAAATTAGCTGTTAAAAACTCAAATCTGGATTTCTACTGTACCTTACCTCCCAATAAATAAAGTGACCAAGATGTTGAAATGTTAGATGCCACACCAACCATCATCCAGTTGCTCAAGCTCAAACCCCAGAAAGTTCTCTTCATTATTTTATTTTTATTTCACTCAGCAGCTAATCCAAAAGTAACCCATACTAAATCAATTTTAAAATATGTCCTAAATCTGTCCACTCTCACCCAAGCTATTCCTGTATCCAGCCTGTACTGCTGCCATAGTATGCCATGGCTTCCAAGGAGTCACCTACTAACACTCATCCCTTCTCCAACCCATCCTCTACTAGGAGCTAGAAGGATCCTCTAAGACTGTTAATCAGTTTACGTTGCTATCTTACTCAAAACCCTTCAGTGACTTCCCACTCAGTATAACATCCCAAGTCCTTGACCCACCTTGCAAGGCCCAGCGTGTAGTCTGGCTCCTGCCTCTCTCCCCGCAACTGTCCCACTGACCCCTATGTTTCTCAAACAGGCCACCTGGCTCCTGACTCAGGACCTTGGTAGTTCCCACTTCTTTTGCTGGGAACATTTTTCTCAGGCCCTCCTAGGTCTGAGACCTTCAGCAATTCATATTTCAACCTAGATATCACATCCCCAGAGAAGCCTCCCTGCCTGGCCCCTCCAATAGGCCTCTTGGTCTTCTCCAGCCACCATGCTTTGTCACATTATCTTGTTATATCTTCTCATGAAATTATGGATTTGATAAGTTACAGTCTATCACCTGCTATTAGAATTTAAGCGCAAAGAGAACAGGGACCTCTAGTCTTGGCTACCTCTGCATTCCCCAACCTGGGAAAATTGCCAGCACCTAACAAGCCAAAAAAAAAAAAACCTGTAAATTTGATAAATAGGACAAGAGGGCTTTTCTGCATCTTGTATAATCCTGTATTTAACAGAAGAATATATGTAAAAATACTATGCAATTTGAAAAGGGTATGAATGTGTTTATGTGAGTATCATTATCTCACATGCCTCTTGCATTGCATTCTGAGTGCATCATATAGTCCACATTTATGACAACGTTAGTCTTTGGGGGGAATTGTCACATCCAGTAACACACATATATTAAATGGCCCATCATCCGTAAGTACATTAAAGGACTTTTCTACAGAAGTTCTAGGATAAAATAAAATCTTGACAGCACTCAGATAACCCTAAAAGTATAATCTCCAAAAATAATACCATTTGAAAACACATATGCAATTTACAAAACCCTAAAGTTCATGAGTCCTAACCTTCAATTTGTTACAGATATAAATGGATACCTCGGTTCAGTAAACACATCACTAGTGCCATAGGAGGTATATGTATCTGCAACTGTGCTCATGGTAATATACTATTAAATATGCATGATCAGTAACTTTAACATTTTGAAGTCAGCCCCATGAAAGTAAGTTCAAAATGCCTTTCCCCCCCATTAAAAGGCATAGTGGCCTATCTGTGATTACATTTGCAGGAAGAAAAATATGATGGCAATCACAGAAGACTTGAGTTTTGTTTCTATATGTGACAAATATCACAAGAATGTTTAATGAAACAAAAGGGCTCATTTTAGAATTGCTTTTTATTGGGTTTATTTTACTGGTATCAAATGATGTCAAATTGTCTTGAATCTTTTAACTAGATTATTCTTTGCCTATTAAACATTCTTACCAGCATCAAAGTACCATATCACAGAGTATTAAAAATAGGCAGTCCCCAGGAAATATTGAAAATTCTAGGGCTCTCAGAAACATCAAAATCAGGTCCTCTCCTTAGTACATGACTTCTGGTTTTGGGGGCTTCTTATTATCAACAAAAATCTGCTTGTGATAATCTGGAGTAATATAACTGTTTCCAGGTGTTTCTTCAACAAGACAGGTGAGTTGCTTCTTCACTGTGGACATGAGCAGGAGGTCTTGCTCAAGTTTCTTACACAGAGAAAACTTCTAGAAGGTTTAATTTTATCATTTGGCTTTTCTACTGCCATGATGTAAATAGACACCTGCATATATTTAACCATTAAAAGAATCTCTGCTTAATTAATTGCTATAATTCTTTTTTATTTTTATTTTTTCCTTTAAAGCAAAATGTCTATATTTTTTCTTTTTCTTTTTTTTGAGATGGAGTCTTGCTCTGTTGCCCAGGCTGGAGTGCAGTGCTGTGATCTTGGCTCACTGCAACCTCTGCCTCCCGGGTTCAAGCAATTCTCCTGCCTTAGCCTCCCGAGTAGAGTAGCTGGGATTCCAGGTGCCCACCACCACACCCAGCTAATTTTTGTATTTTTAGTAGAGACAGGGTTTTACCATGTTGGCCAGGCTGGTCTCAAACTCCTGACCTCAGGTGATCCGCCCGCCTCGGCCTCCCAAAGTGCTGGGATTACAGGCATGAGCCACCGCGCCCTGCCAAAATGTCCATTTTTTTTTTTTTAAGAATGAACAAATAGTTGCTAATGTGGCTTTTGTAAACCCCTATAATGGCCTGCATTTATATTCTTTGTTAGGCATCAATACTGGACAGTGATTCCTGAGAGTTCCTTCATCCTCCCCCTGGATCTTGGATCTGTAACTGTTGACTCCTCCTTAAAGGAGGTTGATTGCACAGTCATAGCACAATCTTCATTGCAATCTTCGCAAATTTGTGGTGATCTCAACCATTCTAACTAAAGGACTTCTCAGAAAATACTGCAGACTTGATTTAAGGATTATTGACAATTTTCTGGAGTTAATTTTCGTTTCTCATTTAAAAGCATCCATAAACATCATGGCAAAATTGTAGCATCCTGAAACATCTTGTCCTGGAACTTCTCAATGAGGCATGACATCTGAGCTTCATGAGAATTTAAGTAACCAGTATAATACAGTGTGGTGCAAACTGTGAAAATATTTCTTAAAGATCATTCCGATGGATTGGAATAGCAAACACTGTGATGAGAACCTTTTATAACATCTCAGCTCTTCATTTTTTTTTCAGTTTTCAAGTAAAGTGTATGTGTAGTCTTCCACATCATTTAATGTTACACCAATGAGAGTTGAGATAAAAGCAATAACCAACACTGGCTTAAGCTATGCCCTCTGCACTGGGGAAGAGATGCCAAAGAGAAAAGTATATACTAATCATTTACAGAATGAAAAAAATGTGATGACCAAGATGGATGGAAGTTATGGCCTCTTTACCAAGGAGGAGATACCAAAGAAAAAAATGACACAACTAATGATTTAATAAAAGATGAAAAGTGGAGATCTCAAAAACATAAGCAGGGGGCGTGGAAGAGTTTAATTAATGGTCTGAGATGTCAGAACCCAGGCAAGGCCTTTATATCTGAGCCAAACTGTACCTGCCGCACGATGTGTGTTTCTCCTGTTAGGCTCTCTCTGTTGGGCGCATCCCCCAGCCCTGCACCTCAAAGCTCAGGCGTGACATTTATATTAAAATGTGCTGCTTTAATTCTTCAGCAACTGCAGTGAGAAAGTCTCACTGGCTTGAATTCCTCTCACACTATTAATGTCCAGCTTGGCTTTATGAAAAGGTACATAACTGTTGAGATGCCTCACCTCAAGTCCATGTAACAACTCAGGTGAAGACAATTGGGTAAAACAATTAGTCTTGTCATTGATGAGTCCTCGTAAGGTCCGTTTCATTGGCAAAAGGTAAACTGAACATGCAGAGATGGGGTTGGTAAAAGACTGTTTTGAATAACTCACCACCACATGTCCAAGCAGACAAAGCTGCAGACTCCTCTGTTCAATCTTCTTGCCTCCAGGAAGAAGAAAGCTGACCCTGGAGGGATCTTTGGGGATGGCATGGCTGGCATCAAACCCTCCCCATGCCTCAGCATGGTCATGGAGGGAGTAAGATGGCAGCTGATTTCTGTTGCTTCATGTTAGTGCATGAGAATTCAATGGAAGAACAGCTACTGACTGCCTTCTTAGCAGGATACCATTTTGGATGCTTAAAGTTGCTCAAAGTTGTTCCTACTCTTTTTAGGACTTCCATCAGAGAGTCCTTCACGTCCTGGAAAATCTCCAGTTAACATTCCCAGAGATCAGACCAGAAAACCCATGCAAAACCAACTTGAAAGACAGAAGGGCCCTGGAAGTTACACTTACTCACTGAGTGATCTGGGGCCAAGTAATGTGAGCAGTTTCTTTATTCGGTTTAAATGGGAAAAACGACTTAGGTCCTAGAGTTGCTGTAGGAATAAAGAAGACGGAGAGTGGTAGGCTGACTAACGGTCCCACAAAAGTATCTCCATCTTAATCCTTGGAATCTGGGACTATGTTAGGTTACATGGCAAACCAGGGATTTTGTGGATGTGATTAAATTAAAGATCTTGAGATGGTGAGTTTATCTTGGATTAGCCCGGTTAGTCCAGTGTAATTACAGAAGCCATAAGAGTAAAGCAGGAGGGTTGGAGTCAGAGAAAAGGAAGAAGATGCAACAGCAGAATCAAAAGTCAGAGACAGGCCGGGCTCAGTGGCTCATGCCTGTAATCCCAGCACTTTGGGAAGCCAAGGTGGGTGGATTGCTTGAGATCAGGAGTGCAAGACCAGCCTGGGCAACATGGCAAAACAAATACAAAATACAATAAATAACAAAAGTTAGCCAGGTGTGGTGGTGGACACCTGTAGTCCCTCCTACTTGGGAGACTGAGGTGGGAGGATCTGTTGAGCCCCAGGGGGCAGAGGTTGCAGTGAGCCGAGATCATGACACTGCACTCCAGCCTGGGTGACAGAGCCAGACTGCATCTCAAAAAAAAAAAAAAAAGACAAGGAGAGAGAGAGAGAAAGCAATTGAAAGATTCTACCCTCATGACTTTACATATGGTGGAAAGGGTCTAGGATCTAGGAGCCAAAGAATGCAAGCAGCCTTCGGAAGCTTGAAAAGGCCAGGAAATGAATTCTCCCTTCAAAATCTCCAGAAAAAAACAGCCCTGCTAATATCTTGACTTTAGCTCAGTGAGACTGATTTTGGACTTGTAACCTCTGAAACTGTAAGATAAAAAATCTGTTCTGTTTTAAGCCATCAAATTTGTGGAAATTTGTTACAGCAGCAATAGGAGTCTGATACAACAGTACACATAAAGTACTACATAAAGTACCCAGGACATTATAAAAACTTAAAGAAATAGTACTTGCTTCTGTTTGCTTTTCCAAATTTTAGCAGCCCAAATCTAGAAAAACTTCAAAAACTCTTCACCTTGCAAAACAAATGAGCCATAAAATGCATTCAATAAAGCCGTTATAATACCTGCTATCACATTAGGATTAAAAACAGGTAAATTTGTCATTATCTACCCAGCCATGACCACCCAAGGATCACTTTCTTGTTCCACTAAATTCTGCAGAGAGGAAAACAATTTTGCATCCAAGGACAGCCAGAAAGACTACAGCCAGAAAGACTACAGCCAGAAAGCCAGAATCCCCACAGAGAGTTGCAGAATCCAGGTATAGCATGGGGTCTCTGAGCCTCGCCCGACTAGTATTTTTTACTAAAAGGAATGTTCTGTCATATTTGATCCACAGGATGGTTCAGATTAAGTAAATCACATAAAAATTTGTTAAATTATTCTAAAACAAAGACAATATATAAATTAAAGAGGGTTTATTCTCCCTCTATGAAATAGCAAACCTGGCTTTTACTCCTACGGAAACAGCATTTATTTCAACTGCCTAGGCAGTTAGCAAACAGTGTTCTTATTTTGCTGTGAATCCAGCTCTCATTAATTCCTGAGAGCCTATTACATACCCCAGAGAGCAACACTCACTGAAATATGTTTTCTCAGGTCTGATAAGAGCCATCTGCCACACTACACGGTGCTCAGGAAACAGCTGCGGATTTTACTGTGGGATATGAAACTTAAGACAAAAGTCAAAACTCGAGACAGGTGAATACCTTCTGTTTCTAAAGGCGGCCTCAATTCCAATGCAATGCATTCTTTTCCCTACCTTGTAAAAAGTCATGATTTTTATTGTTCATAATGAGAACATTTTTAGGGCAAGAACACAACTCTGAGAAAATCTCTAGCAACATTTTTCATTCCTTCTTCCCTCAAAATCTTATAGTACAAATGGCCACTTTATTCAAGCATGGGCTTTAATCTTTAGAAATTCATCTCACTTGCATCTGAAAAATATCACAAAATCTGAAGAAAAGACAGCATGGAGTTTTGCAATTTTGAAAAGATTTCAGAATCGTTAGACAGGTCCCAATAGTTTCAGTGCCCCCCCTCCAATCCTGGGTGAAGAGGGACGGCTTCCTGGGCTAACCCGCCACTGTATCCTCTCCAAGGAGGAAGGACAGCAGAGAGTGGGGCTGTGAAGCGAGGCCAAGGAACTCCCAAGGTGGCCGCCTCTCAACCTCTGGGAGCACCAGCTCTCTCTGACGCAGCTGCTAACGTGTACATTAAATTGGATGCTATTTATTTATCTAAACAATGACTGAAACTGTTTTCTGGCTGGTCAACACATATCCTTCCGGAATGAAGAACTTTGAAGGACATTACTGTTTGCCACAGTGACTGTGGATGAAGCGAAAGGTGGTTTGTGGTGCAGGGTGAGCAGGAAGTGACACAAGGAACCCAAACCTGAATTTGATCAGTGGCCCTACTGGGCCTCAGTGTTTCAGGGGCCTCTCCCTTCTATGAAGGTCACACAGATTGCCACTGGCCAGTTTTTACTAGTTTCCTTAAATCTATCAGATTATATCTTACTGATGGTTTTTTTTTTTTTTTAAACCAAGATAATCTCTTCTTCCCATTTAATTACATGCTGGTCTGAGAAAAGTACAAACACATCTCATCGTAGACACATATTCTCCGAAGCCCTAACAAGAAAGGTACTGCATTCTAGGAGTAGACTCTGGAAATGGACTTCCAACGCTTGTGACAAAATGCTCTTGTGATGTGAAGTTGTATTATATTAAACATATTTAATATCAGTTCTTATTTCTTTAAAGTGTCCCTTCTCACTTTCTTTATTTTTAAAAGAATCACTGACTTCTTTTCTGAAACTAGTAGATGCATGTCTTTCTAATGTCTCCCATGATGGTTCAGTTCTTGAGCTCCACAAGGTCAATGTGGCTCCTCTTACCCTCAGCTCACTGTGGCAAGGGATGCCATGTGCTTTCAGCTGCTCAGTTCTCTTCAGAGAAATATGATGTGCAGGTGAGGTCAGTGACCTGAAACTGCTTTTATCAAAGCTGTTCCTAAAAATATTAGGTTATGTAATCCATCTACTTGGAATTTCTGTTCTCTGTAGCTTTAGTGCTATTTTGAAGGAGATTACAGAGCTGATGAAAAAAAAGTTAAACATGTCTGTCGGGCCCAACTTGCTCCAGTCTGTACTGCTTGAGAAAGGAAACCATCTCTCCCAAAACATTTGAACCCTGTAGCATGCACTACAGCAGGACCACCCATGAGTGCTAAGGGCTCCTTGTCCAAACTGTGGAATTTTCTAGAACACAGATGTAAAACGTTACTGAAAATAGGTACATAAGAATAAACTGGATAATAGTCCCAAGTTAACAACTATCTATGTCTCTTAATTTTGAATTCAGAATTTGACACACATCTAGAACAAACAAACAAACAAAAACATCGGTTCCTGAATACCTTTGCTATATAGGTGGTAAGACAAAATGTATTTTTTAAAAACAAACCATATTTTCTAATCATACCAATGCAAAGGCAGTGTTTACAGTTATATCCCAGTGCCTAGAGCCATGCCTGCCACAGCCTTGGTGTTCACTAAATATTTGTTGAATGAATGAACTAATATCCTGGATCCCTGTTTTCAAAAAAGAATGATTACCATTCAGCAGTCCACACATAGACAAAGGACTAGTGCCAAAATTTAAAGGATATACTTTTTGCTCCTACCACAATACACTTTGATGAAATTTTATAGAGTGAACTAACTCAATACAACTTCACAAACAATAATTAAGGATCCATGATATGCCAAACACTGCTAAGAGCTTAGGTAATGTGATGAAGGCCCACAGGGAGGGGGAGCACAGTGTTTATAGCCAGCCATGCTAATTATTAGCTTTACAGACTGGATTCTCAGTGAGAAATACACAAACCCAGGAACACACAGCTGTTCACATGGATATCTGCCATCACCCGGAGTGAAGCACAGCAAATCCAGGGCCCCTCTATGGCTTCTTCTCCATGTACATCTGTTGTGCCTGCTTTCCACCATCCTTGGTGATATCTTGGTCCCCACACATCTCCTATTGTCTCCATTGTTTGTTTTCTGTAATGCTTCCTTGCAGTCTATACATTTCCCTGATGTGCATTTGTGTCACCCACAACAATCAACCTAGGATGCCCCTGACAACGACACCTGGCTCCTCCCCAGACTCTTCAATCACCTCCCTGAGGAAGACTCCAACATTTCATCCTATGTGGACAACAGGCGCTGTAGGAAGTGCTGTGATGGCACAGCACGGTGAGGGGGCGATGAGGGGGAGGCTCGTACTTCTGCTGGTGCAAATGCTTGTCATAAACACTAACCAGAAGTGAGCATTTTCACGAACTGTTCTTATTTGACTTCCCCAGCCACTTGTTGATGATGGTTGGCGTATCTGGCTGTGGGTGATCCTGGGTCCCTTGGTCTGAAGGCTGCATGGGGAAGATGCAATCTTTGCTCTTTTGATCATAACTCTCTATTACAGTTTAGATGCTTGTCCTCTCCAAATCTCATGTTGAAATTTGATCCCCAGTGTTGGAGGTGAGGCCTGGTGGGAGGTGTTTGTGTCTTGGGGGTGGATCCCTCATGGACACATAAATGCCCTCCCTGGGAAGGGAGTTTGAGGGAGTTTCTCACTCTATTGTTCCCATGAGAGTTGGTTGTTCAAAAGAGCCTGGCACTGCCCCTCCTTCCCTGCCTCTCTCTTGCTTCCTCTCTCGCTAAGTGATCCCTGCACATTACCCATTATCCATGAGTGGAGGCAGTTAAAGGCATTCACGAGAAGTAGACATGGCACAGGCTTCTTGTGCAGCCTGTAGAACCATGAGACTAATAAACCTCTTTTCTTGGTAAATTACCCAACCTCAGGTATTCCTTTATAGCAGCACTAAGCAGACTAAGACACTCCCCAGGTGCAGAGCCCAGGGTTTCTTCTCTGATTTTTCTGAAGCTCATGAATGAATGAACGACACTCAACATTAATAGTAACAGCATCATTTTAATAATGACTAAAATAATGTGGATGTAAGATGAAACATCCATTACCTGTTGACGTTTTTCAAATTCCAACTTGATCCGCGACTTGATGCAATTACAGGTGTCCTGATATGTTTGCTGAAGAGCGAGTTCCATGAGGTGCTTATGGTAGGCTCCCGCCAGGTTCCCACAGATGAAAATGATCACATTGGCCAGGATCTAAAGAGACAGAAAGAGCTGCTCAATAGGGTAACTGTTTCTCACTTGTGAATACAATCAAAACAAAGTGCACATTAGCAACAGTCTTCAGAGAGATAACTGCAGGAAGTTAATTTTACTTCTGTTTCCAAAGTAACATTTTTATTTGCTTAACAGAAAACATCAATCTCCAGAAGAGTTCTGCCCTTTTCTTGGATCCATGCCCTTTGGTAGATGACTTTGCAGTCCCTCCCTTGACTTTGGGCTTAGCCATGAGATCTGCTTTGCTTTGGCTAATGCAATGTGGACAGAAATAATCACGAGCTAGATCCAGCCCAGGATTAGGAGACCTTTTGTTTTTCAGGTCACTCTCTTGCACCTCATTAGGAAAAGAACACTTCCGGGTAGCCCACCAGTCCCAGGATGAGAGACACATGGAGCAGAGCTGCCCTAGTCAACCTGCAGTCTATTATTGTGTACCTCTGAGATTTCATGGTTGTTATGCAGCATTATTGTGATACAAACTGCCCTCACACCAAAACTGTATTTGCTGAGCCTGGATAAGTGACATTCACCTATTATCTTTTGTTTATGTAGAAATATGGTAGTCTTTCAAAACATATAACTCATTATTCTTTTCATGATAAAAACAATTCATGTTCATATAATTTGGGAGAAAAACAAAGATATAAAGACAAACTAAAAATAATCTATAATTGTCCTGCCCAAGCAGAACACTCTGCTTTCCATACGGCCTTGTCTGCCTACTCCATTTTCCTCTGTATTCTCAAAATTGGTGGCATACTTTACTTTGTCAAGACCTCTATCTTGTTCCAAGAAGCTTCAGTTCATTCTGAATGTAGTTTTGTGCTTTGCTTTAACATTTAATAAAATATTTTTTAGCTCATGTAAGTTCTGTAGAAACAACATTTTAAATTCTTAGATAATATTCAGTTCTGTGACTGTATCATCCTTTAGATATGTCCATATTGTTCAATACTTATTAATATTCTGTGCATTGCATTATGCTATAGTGGTCAACCACATGTATAAAGCTTTGGCTTCATATTTGATCATTTCCTCAGACAAAATTACTGAAAAGCCAGAAGTATTTTTAAGTTATTGATATGTATTGCAAAATTGCTCTCAGGAAATGTTCAATTTACATTATCATCAACAGTGTATGACAATGGTCTTTTTAGTGTAACCCACTATTTACATAGAGCAAGCTCTTGTGTGTTCATGGCAAGACCTACAGGTCTACCTGTGAGTGGATAGACACATCTGGTTAAAACCCACCCTACCCTCCATTTCCACATGACTTGTATTCCCACCAAGACAGGTCACTAGTGGCTTTAATAACAAGTCAGTGGCATCAGTTCCGAATATCCTATGCTCCTCCCTAAGAATCTCCCCAAAACACAGACCACTTTATCACATTAATCATCCAACGTGGTGAGCAGGAGTGGCTGGAACCCATTATGGGAATTTTATTTCTAAATCTTCAAGGTTCCTTGTGACAGGACTGAACAGAGAATCATAGCTGTCCTCCTTCTCTATGCGGTGGGGGAGGACAGTCCTCCCAAGGAGAGCAGGAGAAATTGGTCTAACTTGAGGGTTTGGGAAAAGGATATGAACCCTCTGCATCTTACCCCATCCTCCCCCATAAGCAGGGTCTTCCTCCCTGAAGTGGGTGGTCATCTCCATGTCCTGCATTCTCAGCCAAGCAGTGGACCTAGTGGGCCACTTGCCCCTGTGCTGGGAAAGACCTTGATTTGGGGACAGATGGCTGTAGGGAAAGATGGGTAAACTCAGGGGATAATCAGCAAGATCATTTATTCCTAACTGTACTCTCCAAATAGGTGTAAGTGTAATAAGGTGACATTTTGTTCTCCATCTACCCAATGCCTTGGTCTATCTCTCAAAGGGTTCTGAACACAGGAGGAAAACAGTGATATTAATTATTAGCCTCCTCAAGTCCTACAAAATAAATGTTTGGGATACAGAGAAAAAAGAGGACAGAGTTAGAAATTAAAAGAATGATGTGACGAGGTTCTCTCTGAATAAATGCAAATGCACAATAGAAGTGGGGTCCAGAATGATGCAGATTAGAAGGGGCCTTCAAGGCTGTTCCATGTAACTCACTCATTTCACAGAGATTTGGGGCCAGAGAGTTCCTAAAACGCACCCACATTCTTAGAGCTAACCCCCATAATGTCCAGTTATGCATCTATATTTTATCTCCTCCACATTAGTATGGATAATTAAAATCTTTGCTGGGAATTGCTCTGTGTGTGTGGTCTGTGTGTGGTATATGCATGTGGTGTGCATACATGCATATAACTTGTGTGTAATCTGTGTGTGAAATGCATGCTTGAGTGATGTGTGTGCAGGTGATATGCAGGTAACACACGTGCTCTGTGTGGAAGGCCTATGTGCTCACAGTCTGTGTGTAAGGAGGTGCAGCAGCCCAGCACTTCAGAGCAATGTGGCAGTCTTCAGTATTACTTCTACACATTTTCTAGCATCACAGGGCTCTCTTCCTTCTTATTGCCATACTTTGATGCATCACCTTTTCTGGGAATGTCAGTCCTGGAGCATGTGGAAAGCCCTGATGACCTTCCTGGCTTCCGATTAGAGGGGACCCTCCACTAGCTGAACAGGAGTTGATTTCAGCACCGTGTCCAATGGTGCATTGTCAATTAAGTCCTGCCATACTTTGCTTCCGCAAAATGGCCATCTGCTTTACTAAAAATTCTTCAGACCTTGTCATTGCTGGATATGCTTTGAAGAACAGTGCACCAAAGAATGCAGGAAATGAGAGAAGCCAACGCAAACCATGCTGCTCAGAGTTAGAAAATACTAACTCCTTCCTTATTAGGTGTGGCTGAAATAATAATAAAAGCAACTCAGTGATTATTCATGAGAGCTTTTTCTCTTCCTCCTCAGAAAATGCCTTCGAAGCAAACCCGTCAACATTTTAGGGAGTACATTTCTCCAAAATAAAAACCAAGTGTAAGCAACAGAACTGAATGAAGCCATCATCTGTCCCTGGGCTTCCTCTGCAGGGCATAGAAATGGGGTACTTTGATACCGACACTGACACTCCAATATGAGTCTCTATCCTCTGGAATGTGAGTGCTGCCTTGTCCTGTTTTCCTAGAATCCCACTCCCCACTTATTTCCTCTGAATTCTCTTGGCTCAGAGGGCCTTGTTGTAACAGAACAGTTGGCCCTGAGTGTCACGGCTCTTTCCTTTATTGCCATAGGCCTTTCTTCCCCCACGCTGGGGCAGCCTGTATAGGGTAGTGCCCCCTCTGTGGCAGAACCCTAACAGTAGACTGAATTCAGGGTGCTCCCCGCTGTGCTGCCTGGCCCTGTGCACAGAGCCAGTGTAGCTGACCAGGCCAACGTTTCTTGTCCATTGAGAGGTTTCCAAACATTTGACAACAGAAGCTCATCCCAAGCAAGAGGAGGCCCCCTGGAGAGCAATGAGGCTTTGCACTTCTTGCTGCCTGTCTTCCAGCCAATGCTCTCCAACTGCCACATTCTACTGGCACACTTGCACTGCCACAGCAGGTAAGGAAAAACCTTCTTGGAGTCATTCATTCTGGATGCTGCATTGCTTCCAACAAATGTAATTTGAACCCCTCCTGTCTGTAGATAATGGGAAAGAATGCCTTTACTGATTTTTAATTTATATATTCAAAGGAAAACTTTTAAGCAATATACAACGTAGGGCTTTAATGTCAAATAGAATATGATATGTCTTTTCTGATGGAAAACTTATCAAATTATAAGCCTGTTCCTGATACCCGGTTTCATCCTTGTATTCTAAGGTTAATTGAATTGACCTTGGCATTTTGATAATGACACACATTTACAAATACAATTGATGTCCTAAATAATTTTTATTTTAAAATGATGCATGCATGGAATGACTTTATACAAGACCTAGGGCTGCAAGGAAGTGATTAGGTTACAATTTTCTTTTCAAAAATAATATCAAAGCATTTTATTTTCCAGAAGACTGTTAAGCAGAACCTCTGACAAACAATCCTATTTCCACAATGTTGAGTTTGTTTTATAACATCATACCATCTTGATGTCTCCTTTTATCTTCTTGCTTCATTTAGCTACTTTCACATCTGTCAGAAAACAGGAGAGGAACTTGGCCTCCAGAGATGTCTTAGGAGGAAAATAAATTATTTAAGGTAATAATAGCAGTCAAGGTTTACCCTGAAGATTAAAACCAGGTCTTGAAATTGAGTATGCGCGGGGTCTGGAATCTGTGTAAGTGGAACCGTGCCCACACGCCCACATATCCTCACAGAGGCTTGCTGTCCATGCTGCACCCCATCATCTCTTGATGTAAACGTGGGGTGATTTGTCAACACTTCACATGCTTCTCAGAGGATGCAAATTAATGAATCCTGTACTTCTGGGAAGGGTGGTATCTACTAGCAAATTATTATTATTTTGCTCCTTTCATAATGACCACCATAGCCCTTCTAAATATACCTTCCATCTTTTCACATTTAAGAGTACAGAGAGCAGCGCAATCAGGAGAATGGACTTGTTTTATTATTTCATCTTATAGACGAGGCAACAAAAGGTACAAACAATTAAGTGACCTGAGGGCTGTCCCCAGGCCAGGAGAGGCTCTCCAGATTGTCCCTGTATATTCTACACAGCCCTTATTCATACGCATACAGTCAGATTTCTCCACCACACACACAACCCCCTCTAGGGGATGGGGAAGGTGTTTTTGAGGAATTTCTAAAGAGACACATGTTATTTTTTAAGAAACTAATTTTTTTCTTTATAAAGCATTTGTGTTTATGCTGTAAAGTGCTTTCATCATTTAAAGTTATGTTAAGTTCTTGGAGACCATACGCCTGTGGAGTCTTTACTGGTTCAGCTCATGCATCTGTGCGTGTTTAGAGGAGAGTGAGGGGAGGGTCAGGCTGCTCTCATCCAGGTCATGAGGCACAAGTGTGACCCCTCTGAGGATTATTTCACCTGAGAAGAAAACATTTAAGGGTATCAGGTCATTGTCTTTAAACATTTGAGAAATTATCACGAGTTAGGTGACCACTCAGATCCCTTGTTATGGCTTTGATATGTTATGCATTTTAAAGAGTTTACTATTCTAATTCTTAACCTCATGTTGGGGTGGCAAACTAAAATGGCCCAAGCAGACACCAGGCAGCACCCTGCAGGCTGAGGGCAAAGCCAGGCTCCTGGTAATGAGGGAAATGCCATCACTTAATGACAGTTTTTTTTTTTTTCTATGAACTAACTGCACAGTGTCAAAGGAGAAAAGTTATAGCATTTGATACAGGTCATCAGCTTAAAACAAAGCAGATCATAAATATGCAAAAACACCAATTATAAGTCAAAGGAAAATAAAAGGGAAGACAAGGACATGATGAAGAGAGCTGGGAATGAATATTCAGTAAGCTCACATCTCATAAGCATCCAATTTGGCTTACAGAAAGCAATGCTCTTGCCTGGGGGAGAAAATAATCAGGTACAGTTTTCCTTAACTGATCTCTCAGACATGGCTGCAGAGAATCCCAATCCCATCTCCTTAGCATTTTTCACAGCCCTCTAAGAATTAAATTTGCTATGTGCGGTGGCCTCAGGGTTTCTGCTCTTTATCAGTCATTTAGTGACAATCAGGAACACTGTGCTTTGGTTAATGACATCCAGTGATCTTTAGGTCATGTGCTAGGATCTTCTAATTTGAAGTCCCTCCAAATGAGGAGGAGTGGAGTGAGACAGGAAGGTATAAAGAAGACTGAAACACCAACAATCTCAACAATGGATGTTATTAGGGCTTTGGGCTAAAAGACTGGAACCAAACATTGGGAGTCAAATGCAATTTGATTTCCCATGGAAGTTTCCATTACAAAATAGATAGTACTGTTGGTCATGATTATTATTTTCTTTATTCTTTTTATACCACATCTGTTGCTATTAAGTCTTTTTGAATAGCAGGCATCATGTTATTTTTCCAGATATATTTGGACTGAAGGGCTAAAGGGTCTTATAATTAGATAGGGCTCATGTCTGGCTAATAACTAGAGTGTGGCAGCTTGGAGTGCTCTTTGCTCTTCTCAGAACTGCTCCAGCAACTCTTTAAAAGCCAACAGGAAGAGATAAGCCTAGAAGATCCTCAGATCGTTATAGAAAGTTCCTCCTACAAATTAATTCATTGAGAACACAGTTTCCCTCCAAGAAGAGAAAGCTGAATTAACCATGCAGAAATCCAAACTTGTACTTCTCAGCTCAGTGACTGCAAACTTGAAATCGATGGGGAGAAGATTCACTTGATTATAGTTTAGAACCAGAGAAAAGGGAATAACATGGAGTTTCCAATACTCAGGGCTCCATAGAAGAAAACAACACAAGCCATGAAGATTTTGGCTTCCCTATTTTCTGCAGAGGAGGGTACTGTCACCCTGTTTACTCTTCTGTTCATTCTCTCTTTGACTTCAAGCACACAGAACAATCTTAGCTTCAGGGTTTAGCTTCTCTCCACTATGGGAAAAGAGAAGATGAAACAAGTGAGCTGTATGAGGAAGTTACAAAGATAAAAATGGAAAAGGAAAAAGAACACTGTCATCAATTTCTATGATGGAATATCTTTAAAGAGTTACACAGAGCTTTATATTTCTCCACAGGAGATTTTTTAGTCCTTTATGATAAGTTAAAGCAGAGAGAATCACTACCACCAAAACTCATATTCCACTTCGCTTGCATCCAAAATAGGGCAGATGTTTCCTTTTCATCCTTGACCTATTCTGCAGACCATTTCTGCAAAGCAACACTACCAGATCTTCTCCCTACTACCTTCTGTCTCAACACAGCTTCAAGCCCAATTCCGAGAGCACCTATAGACTACAAAGCATGTTTGTGAGCATTAGTCTCTGTCCAGACAGCCGAAACACTGTCTCGTGACCCAGTCTGATGTTTGGATAATTGCATCTGATATTTGGTCAGGCAACAAGTCAATGATTACCTAAACTTTACATCGCCACTGATACCTATAGAAGTCATTATCTCTTTGGTCTTTTTGAGTTTAGATAGTCGAATGAGTGTTCATTATTCCAAAGATGTTTGACCTGCGTATTTCAGAAACCCAAATTACTGAATAGTCCTGGATCTTCCAAGAGGCTTACTAAAAATGCTGGTCTCTGTGTCTTCCCAAACCCTGTCTCCCAAAGTAATGACACAACAGGAGGACACATTTTTAAGTGCTGCATCTCAATGCTTTTCAAAAACTTAGAAACATAAAATTATACACCAATTAAAACAACAATTTTACTAGTCTTAAATCAGCTCTCCTAATGATCTGCACCAACCAATATACACTTTGCCTGGTTCTGGTGATTTCAGTGGACTTAAATGCTTAAAAAATAAATTTTAACACACTCTAATTCAGACTTTTCATTAATTTAGACAGATCATCTCTCTAATTAATCTGAATCAATGAAGTTTTGCTTCATTTAAACACCATTTCTAATTCTCTTCATTCACCACCACTTAATAGGTGACACATGTGGTCCACAACCACTCATTTAAAAATTTAAAAGCTGACAGGTATTTAGTTTTATTTAAAAGCATGACCAAGGCTATTAGAGAGTCTGACTTACGCAGCTTAGTTTAGGAGAAAATAATACTCCATTTTAGGGTGAACATGTGGAGTATTCCCCTTCTATTACCATAGCACACAAGAAGGGAGAAAATGTGTTTTGTGGGTACAAGGAGAAGGTTGCATTGCTATCACATTTTCAACTGGCATTGTGACCTACCTATAGCCCCATTTATAATCTACACAATAGAAGGTCAATTTGGAATTACACATAAAAAGTGCAGAGTGCCCCGCTGATTATGACTGAATCAGAAAACACCTGATGAAAGGATATGGGCCTAAACATTGACATCAAACGTAAGAAGACAATGGAGAGACAAGATTGCACAGAGGTATAGAAATAACAACTCAGGGATGCCACGGCCAATCTCACCTGGGGATTTAAACATGATATTAGTAAGCACATCCGTAAGGAAATGACAGCTTGCAAAATCCTGTGAAACAGTCATGGACTCCAAATAAAGGAGAAAAATACTGAGTGCTGTGATTCACAAGGCCTACTTTGAATTGGAATGTCCTTTTTGGTGTGACCAAAATATTCCGCATAAAGTCATAATGTAATTATAAAAGGATGCATCACTGAAACCATTTGGGAAGGGGAGAACAAAAACTTTTCTATTACAAACGAAACTTTGGTTGTTTCATTAATCATATTCATTAGGAAAGAGCATGCCTGGCCACTGCTTCCCTTGATAGAATCAAATGCTGAAAGGTACTCAAAAGCACTCTCCCCACAGTGTACTCTTGGGTTTACCCCAACCACCTTCCTTCCTCTCCTGGTGTATGTTTTCCTCAAAACCATGTTCTGTAAGAATGAAAAGACAAATTTTTAAACTCATTGGCACCATACTCTGACTTCTTGTAAATTTTTGTCAGAGAACATGTATTATTTTTGCCCCAAACACCAAGTGACATCTCATGTTTTCCCAAGTGGACAAGACTGCAGCTGCTTTTCCCAGTCAATAGCATTCAAAGACCACAATCAAAAGGAGTGGGCTTTGCTAAATATGTGCATTAGTATGCTATGATTATGACTACTACTACTACTACTAATAATAATAAAATACCACAGACTGGGTGGCTTAAATAGCAGACATTTATTTCCTCACATTTCTGAAGGCTACAGTCCAAGGCCAAGTTGTAGTTAGGTTTGATTGAGGCCTCTCTCCTTGGCTTGCAGACGGCTGCCTTCTTGCTGTGACTTGGCCTATTTTATGCTGCAGTAGACCACAGACTGGGTAACTTACACAAAACAGAAATTTATCAGCTCACAGTTCTGGAAGCTGTAAAGTCCAATATCAAGGTGATGGCAGGGTTGGCAGTTCTCATTCCAGGAAGGAGCCTTGAACACGGCAGCCTCTGCAGGGGAGGAATGCTTTGTCTCCCATGGCAGAACACAAAAGATCAATGGGAAAAAAAGGGATTAACTCCCTTTTATAACGGTGTTAATCACACCCATGAGGTCACAGCCCTCATGACCTAATCACTTTGTAAAAGTTCTACTTCCTAATAGTGTTACAATGGCAATTAAACTTCAACATGAGTTTCAGAGGGGACAAAAATTCAGTGACCTCACAGGGTCTCTTCTCTGTGAGCACACAACCCTGGTGTCTCTGTGTGTCCTAATCTCCTCTTCTTATAGAGACACCAGTCAGATTGCATTAGGGCCCACCCTAAAGATCTCATTTTACCTTAGCCACCTCTTCAAAGGCCCTTTGTTTAAATACAGTCACATTCTGAGGTGGTTAGCCTTCAACATAGGAATTTTGAGGGAACACAATTCAGTCCATCACAATATGACATTAAGTTTTAAAGACATTTTATTTACACATCACCAGAGAATCTACTGGAATGTCAAAATGGGCAAGCCTTAGACATTTGGGGCTGGTAACTCTTGCAGAAATTCCATGTACTACCCATGATGGTTTAATGTGCACCAAGATGGGATATTCATTAAATACCCTTTAGTCATTCCACAAAACATTTGCTGAGCATTTATTTTTAATCAATTAAATTTTGTACTCTCCCCCTAAAGTAATTAATGTCATTAGAATAAATGCAATAAAACAAGCCAACAATAGAACTCAACAAAGCAAACAAACAATTTAAATGATACAAGGCAGGCTTCTCATGAGCTGGAGAAGTGAGATTTTAATTGCAGCCACTAGGTTCTCAGAGTGATGGCTATGAAGTTTCTGCCATTGGGATCATCATTAGTTTTCTATATGAGAACATACAAATGCTTGTGATTGAAGGAAGACTGGTGATAAACTTCTTCTGACATTATTATACTCCTTCTGACATTATTATACTTCTTCTGACATTATTATAAAACTAATTGCAAAAATAAAACCACTAATGCAGAGGTTCCTGAGTTTTCCTGGTTCATAATACTCATTAATCTTTTTATCATGTTACTAGACTAAACGAAATTCCCAGGAGTTTTGTTTATTACTTAGTGAGGTCATAGCAACTTAAGTATTATGCCCAAACAACTTAGTACTTGATGCAAAAACCACTAGCACCACCATATATGAAAATAAAATATAATATTTTTATTTCATTCTTAAATAATCATGGTGAAATACTAATGATGATCAGTGGCCAATGTGTCTGTTGAGTGTTGCATAACTTTACAGATCATGGATTCTGATTCAATACTGCCACCTACATATCCCATTGCATCTTAATATCTGCATCGTACTGGTTTTTGCTCACAGCAACAACAAAAACCCAGCTTTGCAAAGACATGATGTCAACAAAGGAATGCTGCATGATCTAATGTTGAAACTATGAACTATCTCAAGAGTAGTTTGCTGAGCATCTTTGTATTTCCCTTGAAATTTTATAATATCCTGGAGTGCCCCTGGGTGCCTTGGAACACAGTCTGGAAACCACGTCACCAAAGAACTAAAGTTTTGATGAAGTAAATAAATATACAAATTAATTAAATAAAATAGTTATTAAAACTATGATGAACTTGCTATCTATATTCTCTTCCAAAAATTTTGAGACAGTAGCAGATACTTCCTTTCTGTGCTCATTTTTCTTCTTCTGAGACAAGAAGCAGCCATCTAACATACCCCATGAGTCCAGATTTGGTCAAGTTCTCACTTGAAAAAGATGGCTTGCAAGAAAGAGCTATAAGTCACATGAAGTGACAGTTAAAAATTATTGGCCGGAAAACCAGCAAGGAATTCAGAAGTGCCCCAGAGATAGCAACAGAAGTTTCCTTACCACATATGGATCTGAGGAGGCAAGGGGAGTGATATGGTCTGGATTTGTGTCCCCACACAAATCTCATGTTGAATTGTAGTCCCCAGTGTTGAAGGAGGGGGCTGGTGGGAGATGATTGGACCATGGGGGCAGATTTCCCCCTTGCTGTTCTTGTGATAGTGAGTTCTCATGAGATCTGGCTGTTTACAAGTGTGTAGCACCTCCCCATTCTCTCTCTCTCTCCTGCTCCACTATGTGAAGATGTGCCTGCTCCCCCTTTGCCTTCTGCCATGATTGCAAGTTTCCTGAGGCCTCCTCGGCCATGCTTCCTGTAGAGCCTGCAGAATGGCGAGTCAATTAAACCTGTTTTCTTCATAAGTTACCCAGTCTCAGGTAGTTCCTTACAGCAATGCAAGAGAACAGACTAATACAAGGAGGGACATGTTGCTAGAACCTGGAGAAAGGTGTTACTGCTGGGGAATCAGCTACCCAACAGGAGATGGTGGAAGCAGTCACTGCAAACCTGTGTCCTGGCACAGGGGCTGTTACAGCCTCAATCCCTGACCTCATTCTCCTCTTGCCCTGCAGTCCCCTGGCCATGCCTCCCACTTGCCTGACCCAACCTGAAGCCAGAGGGCAAAGGAGCTGGTGACACAGTGCTTCACATTCACTTCCACAGGACAGCAGGGTGAGAAGAGTGACTATGGGTCTGGAGCAGCAAACAGGGACCACCCACCCCAAGTTCAATACCTCAACCTTGTGCAAAATCACAGCTAACAAAACCAAAGGTGGACTTTTGGGCTGATAAGATTCTGTCTCCAGGAATTAGGTTTGAGTCTTAGAGGTTGAGGGCACCAAGATGAAGACCATGTAAACTGGCAGTTGAAGCTACCATTTTGGGAATTCTGTAATGAAATTTTATACAGACAGAAAGGTGAACCAAGAAGCTGGTTTTGGGGAAAGGAAGGACAGGGCAGATGTACACAGAGGCAGAGATGGGCCACTCAGAGGGGATAGAGAGATGGAGGTTCTTAGTCGTAGGAGGGCTGACCAAACTTTAAAAAAATGGGATGTGAGATATTTCAACATAACCCCCTTTCACAAATTTACTCAAACAATTTTGTTTTCTGTTCATTGTGATCTGGGGTCTCTGTTGACACTCATGAGATGCATGAAGCTCATCTTGTGTCAACTTAGAATTAGGTTTGATGACTATGGATAACATTAAGTAAATTAAAGATGCATTATTGATTGCTCAAACTGGTCAAATTTAGAGTTATATTAATTCTTCAAAGCCTGTCCTCCCAGTGCTCTCTGGGTTACCTCCTTGAGTTCTCTTCTGTCTACACATAACTTTAACGTAAAGCCTGCTCTTCAAAGAGGCATATTCTTTTGTACAGTAAATAATATGACTGGTTTTTGTCTTTTATTTCTTGGAAGAAGATTAAATCCTTGGGCTATCCTGAGTAATAGGAATGGTTTTGTTATTGGTGAGCCTCTTGGATTATACCTGAGTTTATCCTACAAGATAAGATGAGGCTCAGGATGGCTGGTCATCTGCACGAACAATTGTGTGATTAGAGAAGCAAGGCTTTGAGCCACATAGCATAAACCTAACCTCTGGGGAAGGGAGCTGGAAAGTGAGTTCAATCACATAGATGATGATTCAGTCAGTCACGCCTATGAGATGAAACGCCAAGAAAAACTTTGCACACCAAAGCTCAGTGGTTGATGAACACACTGATGTGCCAGGGGAGGTCATGGAAATTGGAATTTGTAGTCAGTTGGTTAGAAATGCAGGTGACCTGGGGACCCCACCCCCCACCGCCAATCATGGCTGGCATCTGAGGGACAGCCTGGTGGAATTCTGAGCCCTTAACTTTTGGGGTCTCCCCTAATGCGGGATGGTTAGTGCCACCAGCTGGTGTCAGAATATCTTCCTTTCATGAGGTGTCATTCATTAGGTGATAACTGCCCCTATACTAGAAGCTCCGGTGATAGGACACACCATATCAGCCTGCATTTCTGTAGTTGAGCTATTTGTGCCTTCTCCATCTCTGGTTTCCTGGGATTCCTAGGGCTTCTCCAGTGTGCCTGTCTCAGAGCTCAGCTTATGAGTTAACAGCTCTTGTGTGCAATCTTTTTTTTTTTATTATTATACTTTAAGTTTTAGGGTACATGTGTACAATGTGCAGGTTTGTTACATATGTATACATGTGCCATGTTGGTGTGCTGCACCCATTAACTCATCATTTACATTAGGTATATATATATTTTTTTGAGTCAGAGTCTCACTCTGTCGCCCAGGCTGGAGGGCTGGAGGACTGGAGTGCAGTGGTGCAATCTCAGCTCACTGCAAGCTCCGCCTCCCGGGTTCACGCCATTCTCCTACCTCAGCCTCCCAAGTAGCTGGGGCTACAGGCGCCCGCCACCACACCTGGCTAATTCTTTGTATTTTCAGTAGAGACGGGGTTTCACCGTGTTAGCCATGATGGTCTCGATCTCCTGACCTTGTGATCCGCCAGCCTCGGCCTCCCAAAGTGCTGGGATTACAGGCGTGAGCCACCAAGCCCGGCCTCGTGTGCAGTCTTATCCAGCAGTTGCCCTTGGGTGACTGGAGCTATCTCTTAGTTTTAACCACTCTCCTTCTCACCCTTCACTCCCATCTTCCCTACCCCCTCCCGGAGCAGCCAACGACTCCTGTCATCAGCCATTCCCTCATATAGTCAATGACTGACAAATACAGCAGCATTCCTGCTTCAGGGTAGAATAAACTCCAGTGCTCCCCATGAGATCAGACTGTGGCAAGGCCTCACCCCAAACCATCACTCTCATTTGCTCAGCTTCCTCCTTCCCTATCCTGCCCACCTCACCATGGTTCAGGGTTTGTGCTAGGCCCCGCCTCAATTTATCCCTATCTCAGGGCCTGCTTCTGGGAAGCCCAAACAAAGACACCCTGTATCTGCATTGCATAAAAGCCAAAAAGCCACATATTTGACTATTTTGTCATTTCATTGAAGTGCAAAAAGACTTGTCTTTCTTGAGGAAATAACATGAGGTTTCCTATTTATAGTGCATGATGTTCTAAATACCTAATTAGGTGACTTCTAAATGGGAAATGATTCCTTTTTATAGGATCTAGGTCCTTTTTTTTCTTGCTGGTATCCAACTGTGAGAAATTCAGAATCAGTTCTAAGAATAAAAAAAATGGAAACTATTATGTTTTAGGGAAAAAGAAAACGTTCGATTAAGAGCTCTGTGTATTGCCAACAACTCTTTTCAGTTGAATTTTCTTTTCTGGAATAAGATGTCTCATGCACCCCTTATTACTCTGAGACTTTTACCATGTCATCAGGCACTGGATAGTACAAGAAAAAATTTCTGCCACATTAATTTGAGTCTAGGTCCAACTTCTAGAATCATCTCATTGTTGTGCCTAGATGAGCTTTGGATTACTTGCCTAACAAAACCGTTGTGATTTATAAAAAATTACACACTTATGCTTACTGGGCACACTTCTCTTAGGAAGCATGACAGTGTTTTCCATATGGTGGGCTTCACACACACTTTTTCAGCTTATAAAGAAAGTAAGAGATAAACCCCCAACCCTCATTTGGAACTGTCATGGTCAAAATAAACTCTCCACTGTTCCCAAGTCTAAATGCATTTCTGGGATGAATTAACATGCTTCCTGATGGTGTGAAGAGGTATTACAAGCCAGAAATAAAATAGAAATCCATCCAAGCCTACTAGAATTTTGAAGAATGAGTATAAAATGTTAAAAATATTCATTTCCATTTTTTCCAGTGGATATATTATATAATAAACCTGCCACTAAAAAATCAAGCATAAAACAATTAGATGTTTAACAATCAAGACTAAAACTATTAGTCCAGAGGTACCAATTTTTTAAGGACCTTAATAAAGAGTGGGCACACTAGGTAAAAACTAATGAAGTTTTTTTGGTATCATATATAAAATGAACTTTAACAAATCAGAATGATATTTATCTTCTCATTATTTAACTACTTTTCTCATTATTTAACTACTTGAGAAACATTTAATATATTTCTTATGATTTAATAAGGCTATGTCACATATAAAATTAAACAAAAGCAGCAAAAGAGTTTACCTACAGTTTAAAGGAGAGAGAGTGTCCTCATAACTCATCTTTATACTGGAAAGAGGAGAGATACAGAATGCAGAGCTTCCCATGGTCAGGTGGCCCTAAAAGTTGTTTTCCTAACAGAAACATTTAAATTCTGTGCTTGCTACAAGGAATAGTTTTCACACCTCAAGGATTTCTATAGCAATCACTGCAGTGAAAGATGCTGATGAGAAAAAAAACCATGCCTGGCATCAGAATCACTTGGGAGTAGAACCGAAATGAAGAAAAGCAGTTTGATTTTAGATTATGCATTTTAAAATTCCTTTATTTAGATCAAATTTGACAACCAAATTCCATAATTTGCAAGAAAAGCACTTTTTAACTCCACTTCAATGCATAAGAAAACCACACAGGCCTGGACCATCACTCTATCAATTGTCTCCAGGCAACAGGGAGTCTAAGCCACCGTGCTAACTCACTCCTGACTGCTTAATGCTATGGCATCCATCTCTCCCTCTTTGAATCATTCCCAACAGCCAGTGAGCCTACTCCTTAGCTAACAACACCCTTCCTTAACACACACATCCTTCCATCTTCTCCATTTCTCATTTCCCTTTACAGCTGAGCCTCTAAGACTTGTCTACTTAAGCTCTTTCTATTTCTTGATCCCTGTCTCTCCTGAATCCATTTCATGTAGCAACCCAAGGCACCACCGAAACTACTCTAGGCAAGAATATCAGTTACCTTCAAGTTTGCCAAACCCAATGTCTCCTTCCTACTCTCTCCTGACCTCACTCCTGAGTGGCTCTCTCAGCAGCAGCTGGGCCCTTTCTCCTATGGAGAATCCCAGCCTGCCTCAGCTGCCCTGGCATCATGCACCCTGGAGTCAGCCCATCTCACTGAATCCATTGCCTTAATTCAAATGTTGGCAATCTCCAGGGCACTGCCCAGGTCTACTTCTCTTTAAATTCCCCCAAGTTCTCCCTTGCAGCATCATCCATATACCTAACTTCTTCAACACCATCGAAATAACACCAATGCCCAAAGATATACCTCTAGCCTACATCTTTCTTCTGAGGACTAGACACAGAAAAGTAGGCCTCTCCAATTTAATATGTTTCTTATGAAAGTATCCTACCCTAAATTCTTTATACAACCCACCCCTGTCTGCATCTCCACATTCCATTCATGCCCTGTCTCAGCTCCACTCTAGGCATGAAGCCCTCCTCTGGGTTGCTCCAACTTGGCCAGGCTCAAGCCCTTGCACACATACTTTTCTCTGCCTGGCAATCTCATGCCTGGCTCTCTCCCTGTGTGGAACTCCTTCTGCTCATTCCTGGCTTGTATGTCAGGGGCTCCCTGGGCACACTCTCTTAATGCCTTCCTGCTATTCTCCAGGACGGCTTCCTCATATGTCTCCAATATCACTGGAGTAATACTCCCTGATACTTCTCCAACATCAGTAGAGTAATACTCCCTGATACTTCCCCAACATCATTTGCCAAAAGTAAATGTTTTGCATTTCTCCATCTGCTTATTGTCTGTCTTTCATGTTCTGCTCTATGTTCCTTGAGGGTCAAGATCCCACCTGTTTTATATTCCCCTATATATAGATTGGGTAATCCATATAGAACTTATTGGGACATGTACTGATAAGTATTTATTAAATGGATAAATAAAATCCCACATACACCTATGATTCAGTACATAAGAATTGGAAATATCCTAATTCATGTATTGAACAAAAATACATTCTTTCATTCAACAAATATTATTGACAGCCTCTTATGTGCCCCAAACTGCTCAAAGTGTAGAGACTGTAATTTTAAGAAAACTTTTTAAAAAGGTCAAAGCCCTGCCCTTATGGGCTTATATTAAAATGTGAGTTTTTGCCCTAAATCAATTCAATCTACTTTTCCGCCTCTCCTATTTAGTGAGAAAACTTTGTAGTTGCTTCATAAGATATTATCCCTGAATATCAGGGTTATGCCTTGATATATACCTGCCATCCCTTCAGTAAATCCATGCAAATTATACTCAGAAGAGACATGAAGAATTTGGACCTGAACTTATCTTATCAGAGTTAAACTGGAACCATGAAGCTATGTTTTGTCACCTGAAAGGGAATGAAACCTTCCCAGACTGGCCAGATTTGAGTCTGATCTGTTGGGTAAACTAAAACATCTAAAGAAAGAATATGTGCATAAAAAAGGGGAAGTGGGTGGTGAAGATTTCAATTATGGAAACATGGAGAAAGGCCTGTCTCTTGGGGGGAAAAATGGCACTGTCTAGAGGAGAAGGTATCCTGTCAGCAGACTTCAGTACCTGGCCCATATGGCTGGCTCACCCCTCTAGCAGAAATGCATACTTTAGGCTTTCAGAGTTTGATGTCTTAAACTATGCATTCTCAACAGAGGTCATAGCACCCCAAGAGGGAAACAATAGTTCTTGGGGAGGGCAAAAATGCACACATCACATAAACAGATACGCAATATACCTGTGGCATTAGATTTTCATGAGGGGCCAGGTAGGAATAAAAATATCTAAAGAGTTTCCTTAGGAGGGAGTCTAATAGAAAAAGATCTAGAAATACTGCTTTAAGCATTTATCTTTAATTTTTATTTTTTTGAGACAGAGTCTCGCTGTGTTGCCCAGGCTGGAGGGGAGTGGTGTGATCTCAGCTCACTGCAACCTCCTCCTCCTGGGTTCAAGCAATTCTCATGCCTCAATCTCCCAAGTAGCTAGGATTACAGACATGCACCACCACGCCCGGCTAACTTTTGTATTTTTAGTAGAGACAAAGTTTCCCTGTGTTTCCCAGGCTGATCTCTTGAGCTCAAGCAATCTGCCCGCCTTGGCCTCCCAAAGTGCTGGGATTACAGGTGTGAGCCACCACACCCAGCCTGTTTTAAGCATTTAAATCAGCCCTCCAACTGTGTTATTTCCCTGCTCACAGGTGATCTTTGGATAAGGTGGTTTCTTACTATAGAGACAATTTAAGAGGTAGTTTCATAAACTGTCTGGTCTATCGGATAGTCATATTCCTCATGATAAATTAACAAATTAGCATTCTGAGTTTAATTAATTAGCATTCTTTTGTGCCTGTAATTAATTAATTCTTTTTTGCCTGCTAAGTAGTTAAAACTAATCAGCATCCCAAGTCTGATAAAGGATGGATTACTCCTAGGATCATACTTCAGAGCTCTCAAGGCTGAAGGCCACTCCTTCAGAAGAGTGACCTCTCCCAAGAGGATGGATGCTACCTGTGTTGACAGGTCTCCCCAGGAGACACATCTTTGGTGTGATTACATCATTCACCAAATTTAATACCAATTTATTTATGACTCCACTAGCCACAGATTCAAATATGGCCTTCTTAGTTTATGTATCTTTCTCATTTGGTAATATACAAGTTACAGCCAATTCTGCACACAAAGTTCACCAATGCTTACAACTATAATGAATCAAATAAAAACATCACCATCATATATAAATGCAAATTTCATTTATAAACTATGCTCTGGTTAGGGAAACAAAGACTTGTAATATTTTAAATCATGTCATTGATTGTAAGTGTCATGCAAATACGTATTCTGATTTGTTGTTAGCAATTGGAAAGGCGAAATAAAGCTCCACCAAGGTGCTTTACTCGTGAGAGCTCATGGGTCCTCAGGGGTGCAGCAGGCTGTGCAGTGGAATCACTTGGCACTTGCAAAAGATGCACACGGGCCTGGAGCCCACTCCGGAGTGTCAGTGGGTTATTACTTTTTAAAACATAAATCTCCCCAAGTGAATATGTTGTGCACTACCAACAGAGAAACTGATGTCAGATAAGAAGCAGATGACTAAACGTGAATTCTTCCAGATCCAGAACAAAGAAACAGTTCAGGTGGAGGGAAGAACTGAGAATGTGATAATGAATGAATAATGGCTGATGCTAATGAGCATGAGCTTCCTCCACAGGAATGCTAAAAATGTGAGACCTGGTGTAATTTTTTAAACCAAAAGAAAGTCATCCTTCCACTACATCAGGAGGGCTGCTGTACTGAATAGGAAAGAGAGATGAGCAACTCAGTTAAGAGAACCAGAAAGTAAACTCAGATGAAGCTGAGGTGGTGTGGGACAAAAAGGGAGGGAAGCGAAGGCAGAACAGGATCAAAGGGCTCACAGAAAGACAGCTGAGGCCCAAGCTCAGGTGCCCTGCATGTGCAGGGCAGGTGGAATTTCAGAAGACCCGCAGCAACAGGTGAACTAAGAACAGGGGTGGGAATGGGATGGAAGACAGTATGGACATAACATGACATCAAAGATTATACTCTTGGGAGGATAGATTTTCCTGTAACTTCTAAAGGAATATTTAAAAAAAACACTCTTTTGGAATTATAGCATTTATACATATAATGTATGTATACCTTTCATTCCGAAAGCAAATAGCAAATATTCCATAGCTTCGGTGATAAACGAAAAATAACAAGCATCAAGTGAGAACTAGTTAAATGAGTGTTCTGATGTGACATATCATTCTCTTGTTCCTTTGTTTGCTGAGTATGATAGCATTTGGTTTAGCAAATCTGATAAAGTTTGGATTAATGAGGGGATCACACTTCAGAGCCTGCAAGAATGTGCCCGGGTAGAGCCTTCAGTAATAATAAATGTTGCATTTAAATGATCATGGACCAAATTTAGATTTAAATGTAAAATAATCTCTTCCATAATGTTTGCATAAATTAAATTTTGCATTAATAGTTAATGCAGATAAAATATCCACATAATTAGTTGTGTTTTTCCAGGCTTCCCCTTCATTTTTACCTCCACATCACCATTGGACATAAGCCCAAACAGGAACACTGTCACTCAGTCAGAATTTTCTCTCCCTTTAAAAAAAATTTTTCCATATCCAAACCTGGGCCACATTTATTTTTCTAATTTCCAATCCAATTTTTGAAGTACATTTTTATCGAAGTAAAACATATGAACAGAAAAGTACATATATCTTAAGTGTCTGGCTTGATAAATCTTTAAGTGAATAAATCCACGTAAACAACACCCAGATCAAGAAAGAGAGCATTACCATATACGCAAATCAATAAATGTAATCCAGCATATAAACAGAGCCAAAGACAAAAACCACATGATTATCTCAATAGATGCAGAAAAAGCCTTTGACAAAATTCAACAACCCTTCATGCTAAAAACTCTCAATAAATTAGGTATTGATGGGACGTATTTCAAAATAATAAGAGCTATCTATGACAAACCCACAGCCAATATCATACTGAATGGGCAAAAACTGGAAGCATTCCCTTTGAAAACCGGCACAAGACAGGGATGCCCTCTCTCACCGCTCCTATTCAACATAGTGTTGGAAGTTCTGGCCAGGGCAATCAGGCAGGAGAAGGAAATAAAGGGTATTCAATTAGGAAAAGAGGAAGTCAAATGTTTGCAGACGACATGATTGTTTATCTAGAAAACCCCATCGTCTCAGCCCAAAATCTCCTTAAGCTGATAAGCAACTTCAGCAAAGTCTCAGGATACAAAATCAATGTACAAAAATCACAAGCATTCTTATACACCAACAACAGACAAACAGAGAGCCAAATCATGGGTGAACTCCCATTCACAATTGCTTCAAAGAGAATAAAATACCTAGGAATCCAACTTACAAGGGATGTGAAGGACCTCTTCAAGGAGAACTACAAACCACTGCTCAAGGAAATAAAAGAGGATACAAACAAATGGAAGAACATTCCATGCTCATGGGTAGGAAGAATCAATATCGTGAAAATGGCCATACTGCCCAAGGTAATTTACAGATTCAATGCCATCCCCATCAAGCTACCAATGACTTTCTTCACAGAATTGGAAAAAACTACTTTAAAGTTCATATGGAACCAAAAAAGAGCCCGCATCACCAAGTCAATCCTAAGCCAAAAGAACAAAGCTGGAGGCATCACACTACCTGACTTCAAACTATACTACAAGGCTACAGTAACCAAAACAGCATGGTACTGGTACCAAAACAGAGATATAGATCAATGGAACAGAACAGAGCCCTCAGAAATAATGCCGCATATCTACAACTATCTGATCTTTGACAAACCTGAGAAAAACAAGCAATGGGGAAAGGATTCCCTATTTAATAAATGGTGCTGGGAAAACTGGCTAGCCATATGTAGAAAGCTGAAACTGGATCCCTTCCTTACACCTTATACAAAAATCAATTCAAGATGGATTAAAGATTTAAACGTTAAACCTAAAACCATAAAAACCCTAGAAGAAAACCTAGGCATTACCATTCAGGACATAGGCGTGGGCAAGGACTTCATGTCCAAAACACCAAAAGCAATGGCAACAAAAGCCAAAATTGACAAATGGGATCTAATTAAACTAAAGAGCTTCTGCACAGCAAAAGAAACTACCATCAGAGTGAACAGGCAACCTACAACATGGGAGAAAATTTTCGCAACCTACTCATCTGACAAAGGGCTAATATCCAGAATCTACAATGAACTCAAACAAATTTACAAGAAAAAAACAAACAACCCCATCAAAAAGTGGGCGAAGGACATGAACAGACACTTCTCAAAAGAAGACATTTATGCAGCCAAAAAACACATGAAGAAATGCTCATCATCACTGGCCATCAGAGAAATGCAAATCAAAACCACTATGAGATATTATCTCACACCAGTTAGAATGGCAATCATTAAAAAGTCAGGAAACAACAGGTGCTGGAGAGGATGCGGAGAAATAGGAACACTTTTACACTGTTGGTGGGACTGTAAACTAGTTCAACCATTGTGGAAGTCAGTGTGGCGATTCCTCAGGGATCTAGAACTAGAAATACCATTTGACCCAGCCATCCCATTACTGGGTATATACCCAAATGAGTATAAATCATGCTGCTATAAAGACACATGCACACCTATGTTTATTGCGGCACTATTCACAATAGCAAAGACTTGGAACCAACCCAAATGTCCAACAATGATAGACTGGATTAAGAAAATGTGGCACATATACACCATGGAATACTATGCAGCCATAAAAAATGATGAGTTCATATCCTTTGTAGGGACATGGATGAAATTGGAAACCATCATTCTCAGTAAACTATCGCAAGAACAAAAAACCAAACACCGCATATTCTCACTCATAGGTGGGAATTGAACAATGAGATCACATGGACACAGGAAGGGAAATATCACACTCTGGGGACTGTGGTGGGGTCGGGGGAGGGGGGAGGGATAGCATTGGGAGATATACCTAATGCTAGATGACACATTAGTGGGTGCAGCGCACCAGCATGGCACATGTATACATATGTAACTAACCTGCACAATGTGCACATGTACCCTAAAACTTAGAGTATAATAAAAAAAAAAAAACAAAAGAAAAAAAAAAAAAAAAAAAAAAAAAGAAAGAGAGCATTACCCCAGAATTTTCTCCTGCTTGAAAGCAGATGCCATACTGGAACCTTCACTGGCCCTAACGACGGTGTCTTCTTCTACACACTCCAGTAACACCAGTTATTAGAACATCTGTGGGTATGCTCCTACATATGGTGAGTTTCCCGTCTAAAGAACACCCTTCCTCAGGCTCAACAGTAGCTTCAAAATGGCTGCATGGGCACTCTCCGTCCAAGGAGGTGGTTACACCACCACATTCTAAGCAGCATTCACCTATATATTTCAAGGGAAAAAAATTCTGCAGCCACGTGATTTATCAACCTGGGAGTTAATTATTGCTTACTACATCAACAGCTGTTCTTAACAATTCTGGCATTCGAGGAGATGCCAGTAAGAGGTGGGGCAGTGAGGACATGTGAACACCAGCACAACCTGGGTGGCAGAAGCCCTGTAGGGGCTCTGGCAACACAGTCGGGAAACACTGCTGATCAGCTCTTCAAGACCTTTCCCACCCCTTCTACCTGGCTACCTCCCACTACAGACGCTGAACATCCACACATTGGCTTTCCCAGGCTCTCCTGTGACTGGAAAGGGTGATGGAACAAGATGTGAATGAAGTCAGCCTCAGGAAGGAACGGCCTCTGTGGTAAGTAGCTTTTAATGTCCTAATAAAAAGGAGCAGATACTGTTCGTGGGACACTTCTACTTTGCTACTTATTCTGCTTGCCTTGAATGTAGATGAAATGGCTGGATCTGCAGCAGCCTCCTTAAGAGGGTGACAGCAAAGCCAATGGGCTCCTCCAGACATGAGTCCTGATTTTATTAATTGGCCAGACCAAAGCCAGCAGCCCCCATGTCTGGACTTCCTTTTATGTGAAGCAAATAAATTCCCATTTGTTTAATCCTCTGTAGTCTGGTTTTCTGTTTATTGGAGCCAAATATAAGGCTGACTCATATATTTGGAACAGCCCAATTGAGTCAGTAAACACAGCCTTGCCTATGCTGTAGGATACGCTTCTGTTAACATGGAGTTTGCTCAGTGAGTTTGGTGTGAAGCAAATGAATAAATTGAGACCACCTACAAAAGCTATGTATGTGGCATACCTTAAATAAACTGGCAAACTAGTCAGAGAAGGAATTCAGACCAACCTGAGAAAAGTTAGCTGTTTTATGAAGGCAATAATGCCAAGAGAAATTTAAGAGGGAATTTCTCTTGGCAAGAGAATTTAAGGGTGAATGGAGCATTGTGTGGAACCAACTAGAGGAGACTTCTTGTAGGTAGAACTTGGGCAAAATGTTGAAAGGTAAGAGTGAGGCTGCCCTGTGCATGAAGGTCTGCAAGCTGAGAAGAGGCAAATCCAGCTGAAATGGGAAAGACATCCTGGAGTGTACCTGGTGGAACATTCAAGAAAGAGCCATAGAAATAGAAGACACATTCTTTCCCTCAGGGAGCTATTATATGGTTAAGAGAGTTATGTATCACCAAAGGAGGAAATCGAAGCAGATTTTACTCAATTGCCATTCTTTGATTGTAGTGGTTTGAATGGTGACTCCCTTCTTCCACCAAAAATTATGTCCACTTGGAACCTGTGAATGTGACCTTACTTGGAAAAAATTGTACCTTTGCAAATGTAACTAAGTTTATGATTTTGAGATAAGATCATCATAGGTTAGAGTGGACCCAAAATCCAATGACAAATGTCCTTCTAAGAAGAGAAAACACAGTGCAGAAGGCCATGTGAAGATACAGACAGAGGTTGCAGTGATGCAGCCACAAGTCACAGACCACCCAGCATCACCAGAAGCTGGAAGAGAGAAGGGAAGATCCTCCCGTAGAGCCTCCAGAGGGAACATGGCCCTGCTGACACCCTGATTTTGGACTTCTGGGTTTTGGAACTATGACAGAGCAAATGTCACGTTGTAAGTCACCAAGTTTGTAGTAATGTATTACAGCAGCCCTAGGGAATGAATACTCTGATGCACACAGCATGCATCACTGCTGAGGGAGCAGGAGGGAAATGCAGGAAGGCATGACACCTAAGGAAGGATGGGAAGGAGAGAATGGGGTGCTTGGAACAGAGTGAAGAGAAGAATGAAGGGTCTGGAAGGAACATGATGACAGACCTGAGGTTTCTGTGTTGGATAATGGTGTGGGTTGTCTCATTCATTAAATGAGTGATTTTCCTTTAGCAGAAGGCCATATTGTTTAAGAAGTTTCTTATTCTCTTTAAGGCAAACTGAGCTTGCCTCTTGGGGCTTAGTTCCATGCAGTTTCAATATGAACATGGCTTGAAGGTGAGAGTTTGGAATAGGTGAACTTCTAGAGTCTGTACAAAAGTTACCGTCCTACCTAAATCTTAGTGCCAGATATTTCAAATGTCCCTTTAACTGACTTTTGCCCTGTACAGAGGCCTGAGGTATATGCAAGTGTGATGGAGTTGGCTGTTCCTGAATTTCCTCCACAGTTTTTTTTTCTTTTTAATTCATCACGATATTTGTTTAAAATTGAGCTATTAATAACTTAATATTAAATTGGCCTCAAAAACTACTGTCAAAAGAAAAACCTGGATCAGGTGGTGAGGGACAATGAGGGAACTCTGGCCTTGAGTCTTGGGCAAAGGCTTTGACCACGTGGCTCCGTCCTTCACCCTGGGAAAGACGGGACTGAGTCAGTCATCCTGAATTCCAATTCCAACATCATCCACTGAAGGCTTTGAGACTGGTCTAGAGGCCTCTATGGTACCAGCTTCCAAGAGATTTTAAAGGATTTCAAAATTCATGAACATAATCCACCCAAAAATTCTTGAAAATTTGTAACACCAGTGACCTTCATCCCAATTGCCAAGGCCATAATTCTGAACTTTCTGATTACATGAACCTATTCTCAGAAATCTCCAATTCCTTATCATCCATTCTGCCTTTCCAGCCTCCTATGGCCTGGCTTCACTCTAAACTTCACAGTGACCTAGCTCCCCAGACCCTGCCATTTTCTGCTAATCTATCAGCCTATTTAATGGGAACTCACCACAGATGGTCTGAATTTACCCACCAGACCCCTGGTGACCACCTGCACTGTGCCCAGCCAGTCATGAATCACTGATGGATGCCATTATCTTATCCATTCTTCTGCTCAAAGCACAATTCCAGAGGATTCCCCATGGATGTTGAGACTGAGCCACTCCAGCCTCATGGTCTCCAATCTCAGCATGCTTTCAGCACCACCAGCAAGTCACTAAGTACAGCCTTCCTCTCACTTTCGTCTCCCTCTGAGACCATCTCAGACCCTCTCCAGTCTCCCCTGTCTCAGCCCTTGCCTTTGTGCCTTGAGACAGTTGTGCTTTCTACTTCTAGAAGACTGAGGCCATCCTTTAGTTCCTCAAGGTTTTGCCAATGGCTCCAATTACATTTGTAGCCATGTCCATACCAGTTTCTCCAGTCCACTGTGCCCTCCTGTTCAAGGACAACCTCTCCACCTTGACCCAACACCCTTCCCAGAAACTTCCTCTGGAGCCTCACTACAGCTCCATCCCTTCCCTCTCTCCCATTGATTTGGCCACTGAGGGGGATGCTTGCATTTCTCCAGATTCCACTCCATGCCTTCCCTCTTTATCTCTATCAAGTTTCTTGAAAGAGAAGTCAGTTCCAGTTTCAGGTGTGCACCATATTTCCTCAGGGAAGCTTTGCAGAACCCTGAAGTCCATCCCACATAGAACCCAGTGAGTCAGCATCCCAGGACCCAGCACAGGAACCTGCTTTCAACAAACTGCCTGGGTGCTCCTTGTGTTGCCCACCTGCTGATAATGTGGTCTATGCTCCTTCCTCCCTTTCCACCCTTTAACTCACTGCCCACCGGGATTCCTTTATATGCACGATGAAGTCAATGACAACCTTTCCAATTGCCAAATCCCAGGAGCATTTTTAAGCCTTTATATACATTGTTCCTGTGTTTCTTGGAGACTTTTGACATTTCTAATTCCTTCCTCCTATTTGGCGACCTCTTTCCATACTGCACTTTGAGATCTTCTTTCACTGATGATTCCTTGCGACTCTTCTGCTCCTCTAGCTCCACACACCTTGAAACCCTCTAGGATCGTGCCTTTACTCTCACAAGATCTCATCTAAGTGACTGTGTTGGCTCCCATGGTTGATACAATCCCCCACAGTGTAATGTCCTCCAAATCTGTGTCTCCAGCCCAGACCCCCTTCCTTCCATAATTCAGATGATCAATCACAGCCAGCTGCCTGCTATCTACCTGGTGGCCTCACGCACATTCTAGAATATGGACAAAAGGAATTCCCCATCTTCCTTCCCTAAAATTATCCTGCCTCCATTCTCTCTATGCATTTGGTGTCTCCTCCCACTACCCAATCACTGAAACTAGCAACAGGACATTCCTCCTTGACCTATCCTTTTCCCACACCACTCATCAACAGTCAGTAAGCTCTCAGTTTTGTTCACAAAATATCCCTTAAATCTGTGTCCTCCCCTTTTCATTCCTGCTTCTCCTACTCTATTTCTCAATCAACTCTGGATTCTCACAAAAAAACTCGTACTGCCCCTGGGCTGTCCCTACTCAAATCTATCTGTCCTTGGGCTGTCCCTGTACAAATCCATCTGCCCCGGGCTATCCCTGCACAAATCCAGCTGCTCCTGGGCTGTCCCTGTACAAATCCATCTGTCCCCGGGGGCTGTCCCTGCACAAATCTACCTGCCCCTTGGCTGTCCCTACACAAATCCATCTGTCAGAAGTCACCAAAATGCAGCAAATGAGCGCAAGACCACCTGCCTCAGTCAGGACATGTGGGGCAATGCTGTGGCAATGAGCAGCTCCCAGATCTCAGCATCTTCACACAAAAAATGTCCACGTCTCCTTCAACTCTGAAGTCCACCATGGATTCCAACAGAGGGTGGGGAGAGCTCTGCTTAATGAAGGCACCTGGGAGACCCAGGCTGACATGGGCTTCATCTCAATGCAGGTGTCCACAATCACTGTCAGAGGGGAGACGATGCAGTGGCTCTTTCGGGAGGTGTCACACATCACTGCTGCTCACGTTTCACTGGAAATCAAGTCACCTGAGCGCAACGGGGCTGGGAAGCACAATCCTATCGTGTGTCCACTGGAAACAACTCACACCCCCAGCACCCACACCTAGCAGCCCTCTGCCTCGAATTCTCCAGCAATTCTCCACTGCCTTCAGGTCAGGGCCTCCAACTACCCTATGTATAATGAAGACCAAGGATGTGTGTTTAGAATACAAAATTCCAGAACCCCCCACAGAAAATTCTGATCTGTTTGAGATATAGTACAAAAATGTGCATTGCAATTAACCTCCAAGGGGATTATGTTACTGGTAGCCCATGAGCCATACTTTAAGAACTACAAGGTCAAGTACAGTAGTGAACTTCTTAAAATAGTATAGGATGTCCTTGATGGTGGGACTCAGGCTTTCTCTAGAAGTCCATATTTAGGCTCACCCCTACCCTGCAGCCACCTTGCTTCTGAGGTGAGGTTACCCACGAGTCTGGCCTCGAGGCTTTGCCCTCCTCCTTGCTCCCACTCCCACCTTTCCCTTTCTCTAACGTTTGGCCACTACGGAAGTGACTGTAGGACTCAGCACAGGAGGCACTAAAAGACGAAAGCTTTTTAGCTCCCAGTCCAGCCCAAGCTGCAAAAGGTGGCCTCTCTCATGCACTCCACCACACCATGCGTATCTTGTATTTCAGTTGACCACTAATAATTATGTACATTTATGTGTTCTATGTAGTGTTTGATCTATGTATACGTTGTGCTGGGCATGTTCCAGGGCCTGGCTGGGGGCTGGATTGCCCACTGGAGAGGAAAGCTCCTTCAGTAGAATTTGCCAGTAAGACATTGCAAGGATTTTTCCACCCCCAAGCACAGGGCAAGGTACACAGGTGTTCTATGAATTATCAAGGGGTGAGTGGGTGAGAACGAATGAATGAATGTCTATTCCAGCTCTACGCTACTACTGCTTTTTGTTTGTTTTTGAGGCAGGGTCTCAGTCTGTCACCCAGGCTGGAGTACAGTGGTGCAATCATGCAATCATGGCTCACTGCAGCCTCAACATCCCAGGCTCAAGTAATCCTCCCACCTCAGCCTCCCGAGTAGCTGGGACTATAGGTACAGGCTACCATGCCCTGCTAAATTTTAAAGTTTTTTTATACAGATGGGTTTTTGTCATGTTGCTCAGGCTCATCTTGCACTCCTGGGCTTAAGTGATCCACCCACCTTGGCCTCCCAAAGTTCTGGGATTACAGGCGTGAGCCACTGCGCCTGGCCACTACTGCATTCTTTACCCTGCCTATTCTACTGCTCCTGAAGGGAAGCATCGTGGATGGCAGGGTTAAACCCTGTAAGCAGCAGGAGCCTAGAAGCATCTCACTGCAGCTCAACCTTCTGCTCCCTGGAGAGGGGGCCTCTGGACCCAGCTGGGCGCAGCCTGAGGTGCCCAACTTCTCAAAGAGGTCTCTGTGCAGCTTCTGCCTGCACTGGCTAGAACGTTTGCTTTGAATCCAGCCCAAACCGCAGCCCTGGCCTCACCCTGGCCCTGCTGCCATTCCTTCTCCTGCCTTCAGGCATAAGCCAGAAATAGCAGCTGGCAGAGCAAAGAAGGAGCAAGTAAAAGCCTAATATTGTTTCCTTGCCCTTCAGACAGCTAAAAAAAAGACCAAGATAAATAGAAATTTCTGGATTTTGCTCCCTGGATACCTGCAACCTGAGACAAATCTTTTGGGTTCTTACAGGAGCTCAAAAAGTGGCTCATGGAGCTGTACTTCCTCATTCACTAGTTTTCCTGGACTCCCTTTCTTACTTGTAGAAATATGTTTAACTTGGCTGTATCATTTATATGTAGCCCTTCTTAATTCCTGTTTGAAGTGAAATGAGGACTAAATTTTTTAAAACAACGACTACTCTAATTTACTGATTCAGTATAGGCCCCAACCTTGAGATTACATTGTCTGTGGCATCTAATTCCATGAGTACTAGTTAATAACAATACTAAAATAATTACAATAACAATAGTAGCAACAGCAACAACACAGGTGGGGTAGATGCAGCTTTTACTGAGTGCCAGGCACTGTTTCCAGCGCTGTATATTTATTCATTCACTTAACGGGTTTAACTCCCACCTTAAAGATGAAGATGTGAGGAAAAAGGTGTGAGGTGACCTCCCCGGGGATCTCCAGGGAACTGCACAGCCTGACTCCAGAGCTCCCAGCTCAGCCACCCACTCACTTGCCTCAGATGAGGGAATTACACTCTTAATTTTTAGAAATTTTGTTGTCATTTTAGGTATTTCGTTATTGTTCACATTTTCTCAACTCACTAGAAGACAACTCCTTTGACAAACTAATCACTCAAGTAATTGGATCACTCCATTGTAAATAACAACTGTATTGTTAGTGAGGAAACGGTGGAGATACTTATTCGTGTGGACCTGGAGTTTCGTATTGCCTTGGGTTCTGATACCCCAGAGCTAACTGGTGGGGGGGGGGAGTTTTTGGATCGGGCATTTGGGTATCATCAAAAAGTATCCATTGGCAAGGCTGTTATCATTTTGTGTGTCTAGTTATCCATTTGAGAAATGAACATTAAAAAATTATTTTGTACCTGCAAGAGGAACTATGATAGACAGCTTACCCACTATGGAAGACTGGAAGAGACAGAAAATAAATAAATTCCTCAGTATATATTTAATATAATCCTATAATTTAATATAATCCTAAGAAAGGATTATATTAAACTAGCATCACCATATAAAATTTCTCATATGTCTATATAATTTGCTACTATAGTCAGCCCTCCATATCCATGGGTTCCACATCTGTGGATTCAACCAACTGCAGATCAAAAATATTTCTTAAAAGATGTATGTTGAGTGTGTACTTAATATGTACAGACTTTTTCTTGTCATAATTCCCTAAACAATAGAGTATGCCAACTATTTACATGGCATTTACATTGTATTCGATATTATAAGCAGCCTAGAGGTGATTTAATGTATCCAAGAGGATGTGCACAGGCTGTATGCAAAAATTACACCATTTTATATCAGAGACTTCAGCAACACAGATTTGGGTATCTGTGAGGTGGGGGGTCTGGTAACAAATCTCCTTTGGCTACTAAGAGATGATTATATTTACAAATTAAGTCACTTGTAATGTAGAGACATCAGAGCTTAGGAGATGTCAAACACTCCTAAGTTTTGAACATTAGAGGGGAATTTCTCTCTCCGACAAGAAGATATGTGAGATAAAAGAAAATAACAGGATGGTTGTTCCTTGAAGGTTCATGCTATGTTTTTAAAAATAAAGCCAGGAACTAATATCATTTCATGTATATTTGGAAAAAATAGATTTAAATGCTCCAAAATAGTTTGAAGGCTTAAACATTAACACAACAAAGGTTTACAGGTAATGACTCATTAAAATATTAATACAGTATATAAGTATTAAAATAAATGCTCCAAAATTAGCAATGGCCAATAAGGAATGTGCTATTTAATTTTAAGAAAAGCGAAGCTAGTATTGACTCATTCTTTAATAGTAACTCTATTGTTTTTAAATTTATTCCTACTTTATTTCAAAGAACTTGCACTGGGGTGTGATCAGGTGTTTGGGTACCTGTTGCAACGTGGTCATTATAAGGGAATAATTATAATTAGCTAATGAACAAAACCACTATCCCTTTGTAAACCACTTTGCCTTGAAGGACAAAGAAAACAGATTAAAAGGGGAAGGGAAGGCAAACCAATTTAGAATGATATACCAATATGTCAAATAATTGGCTTAGAGAAGCATGAACAGATAGCATTTAAAAGCAGGCTCTGGACTCTGTCCTTTGAAGCTGCCCTTGAGGCTCCGTTCTTCCTTAGACATAATCTTTCTTCCTGCTATGAAATAAGGTTCATGATGTTAGTCTAAGAGGCTAACGGGGCCAGCTCTTTACATAAGAGCTTTGGATATTTTTCTTCCATAATTTTATATCCTTTCTTTTGGATGAATGTTTCCCAAATATAGAAAATCCTACCCACCTGGTGACGTTTTATTTATTTGGTCATTTGTTCATCAAACATTTTATTGAGGACAAGACAGACAAGTCCCCTGCTCTCATCAAGATTTATGTTTTGGTTGGGGACAATAACAACAAATGCATAAACTCATTAATTAAGTCAATAACTAATTAAAGACTGCAATGTGCAAGGAAGGTGCTGTGGAGAGGGTCACACAAGAGTTCCTGGCTACTTACAAACTGGGACATTTCAGCAAAATACTGTTTATTGTTTCAAAAGCTAGAAAACATCTGGAGCTTTCTCTCGAATGGTATTTGAGCTTCTCAACTTCCTTTACTTTCAAAGGTTGACCTGGTACACATCTGCCCAACATCCCCCAAACCTTGGGGTCCTATGAGCTGCCTCTGGCTCTCTCTCATTCTCCACATCAGATTAGTTGGTGTATTTAGATATTTCAATGTGTGTGGCTCACATACTGAATACCTCCTACCACTTCCATCACTAATGCCCAGGTCCAAGCCACCATCACCTCTCGTCTGGATTTGCAGTGGCCTCTAAACTGCCCTTGAGGCCCTGTCCTTGTCTCCACCTGTCTCATCTCGGCACTGTAACCAGTGCCAGATTGGATGAAAGTCAGACCATGTCATTCTTTTACTCATAATTCTTCTCAAATCAACCCAGAGCAAAAGTCAGCGCCTTTAACACACTTCCCAAGCTATTTGTGGTCCACCCACGTCCACCTCTCCAATCTCAGGGCTGGCTTGCTTTTTCTTGTACTGTACACTGGTTTTCTTGCACTTTGTACCTAGAGTTCTCTTAACCCAAGTATCTGCATCCTTCAGTTCTCAGCTCAAATGACACTTTTACATCTCCTCTCTCCAGCTCTGTATAGCGTTTCCTGCTTTACTTTTCTTCTTACAGAAGTGTGACACTCTGTCATGTTATTTTTTTTTTCACGTTTGTCTATTGTCTCATCTTCCCCCAATTAGAATGTGTCATGAGAACAGAGTTTTTATCATTTGTATGTATAGCTTTCCCCAACATCTTGAAAAAGGACCTGGGGGCATTTAGCTAATCTATGTTGAATGGATATTTTTGAATGGATATGTATCTGTTTGGGTCAGTATTCCATAACAAGGACAGTCCCAGTCTCTTCTTTTTGAGTGAGTTTTAGCAGATTTTGGCTATTTTTTTTTTCTCATCCTATCCTTTCCTTCTTTCTCCTACGCTCCATCCCTGTTGGTAACAAAGTCCTGTGTGACATTACAGGAGGAGAGAAATGAATACGCTCATGGGGTTGGCAGAGGAAGATCCCAGACTCCACGCCTTTTCTGTTTGCATGCGAACGGCCTTGGCCAGGATCAAGCCAACAACCTCTTTAATTAAAACTCCTGCAAGACAAGTTCACTTTCTTGTCACATGTCCTGTTCATGAGCTAGTTTCACACTTTACACTGAAATAATATAGAGGTACTTTTGTGCGTGGGTTGTGTGTGGGTGTCTTTGGTGCTCTATATAATTAAAGTAGGATTTTCTCCATTGCCTAGTCCCAGATGAAGCCCAGAATTTTTGTTCAAATTTACTTCATTCTAAAACTTCACTCCTTCAAGGTTTTCCTCGATTTGCGCTCATCCCCCAGAGGGCGCTGGGCAGCTGCTTCCACAGCTCTCCCTCCTGCTATTGGTCCCCAAACCTATGTGCATTTTATCTCTCAGATATACAAGGTTTGGTGCCAAAAATATCTACCTATAAAACGTGAGTAACATAAAACCTCAAGCTATGCATTCTATCACATACAACATGGTAAATCGCACAATCCCAGGAGGAATTCTCTTTTTCCTTAAGTTTTGTCTTCTGAAGGAAATAAGTCATCCTTCATTACTATTTAATAGAGGTGCTGTAGTGGGCTGGGGGGTGCTTCATGTTCTACACAGTTAAAGGAGGGTTTTCTTCATTGCCTGGTACAAGATGAAGCCCAGTTTTTGTTCAAATTTAATTTATTCCAAAACTTCTCTCCTTCAGAATTTTCCTCTGTTTATGTTTATTGACAGGGTAACAGTTAACTGATGATTGTTTTGGCATCAATACCAACCTTGATTTCACAGTATGTTATCATTACACGGAAGGAAGGTCTTCCTTACTATTTTACTTATCTTATAGTTTTCTTATATATTCTCAAGACTTTTTATTTTTTGTAAATTTTACCATTTTTTTTTCCAGTTCCCCTAGTACAATAGGTAGGAAAGAATGGGCACTGCTGGGCATTACGTCTTCCCACTGGGAGTCTCCATTGCCATGTCTCCAGATTTTATTTTCTTTCAATCGAATTATATTTTATTTGCCTATAGGTGCTGAAACATTCTATTTTAATCTATTCCTCATTTAGTTCACCCATCATTATTAATAACAAAGTTTTTTTACTATAGAATCTTTTTTTATTCATCCAACGATATCAGCTTCCATCTGAAAGAAAACATTTCTAGAGTCTGTTTTCATAATATTTAAAAATGAATTCCAGATGAATTATATTTGAATTAAAAAGCAAAAATACACTAATAACTATTTAGGCGACCCTCTTTGTAATATTGGCAATGGGAGATACTTTTCTAAACAAGACTGAAACCTAAAGGCAATAAGAAGAAAGAGCCATATGTGCATACCGCATGTTTAAATTGAGTAGTGAATGCCACTGTAAACAAAGGCAAAAGAAAAATGGCAAGCTTGGATAAATATACTTGTGACACATATTAAAAGTAAAAGTTAAACATTCCTATTAAATATGTAACTTCTACAAATTGAAAAGGAAAACAATGCTATGGATAAGAAGATTGAAAAATTTACTTCAAAGACAAGGAAATCCAAATGGCCAGTAAATGTGTAAACAGAAACCCAGTCTCACCAGCAGCCAGGAAAATGCAAATAAATTAAAATGAAACACCATTTTTACTAGTCCTTGGCAAAAACTCAGAGGCATAATATCCAATGACTTCTAACCTAGGTGTGTTTGATTCTATGCGTGGATTGCCTTCCTGGGTTTTTGCCCAGAGCTGGAACATCTGGCTCTCCTGGTTTGAGGGCTCATGGCTGAGATGTGGTGCCCCACTTCTTCCCTCTAACTCTCTAGCCCTAGAGAGAGTATTATAGGAAGGATGGAGACTTATACAGTTGCTGTATAACCATCGACATGATCAAAATGAGTATTTTTAGTACTTTGAGGTAGACAGATAAGAGACATTAAATATTAGACCTAGTTTGAAAATGATCAAATTAAAATAAAAGGCCTCAGAAGACTCATTCATGGTAAGTAGCCCATGGATGGGAGGTGCCAACTTAAGTTTCCCGACTGTATGTTCACATCACCTGTCCTGTTCATGTGCAGAATCATAAATGTGATCATTACTTTCTTAAACTTTCTGATAGAACCTATGCTGAAAGGGTGGTGTTATACAAAAATTGCAAGAGTATCATCTTAGGAGTAGTAAGTTACAAACAAGTTTCATTGCATAAAAAGCCAAAAAAACAAAGTTCTGTCTCTGAGTTTTCTGACATAGGTATACCAACTCACAAATATTTTACTTCCCCTTAAAAAATGTAAACTGCACGCTTTAGATAGTGATCAACTGAATTATGTATAATTCCATAAACTATTCTAATTAAATAACGTCACCAGTAATCACGTGAGCAATTTCAAAAGCTAAAAACAAAATCATTCCAAAATTTGCCTACTATAATTTTGAAGATGTGTATGAAATCATGATAAAACTGAATTACCTTTAAAATATAAGAATCCATGGATTTGAAAAGCAACCACTTTTTCCATTTGAATATTATTTATTTTTCTAATGTTAAAATATTTCAAAAACCAATTACAGAAATAAATAATAAGAGTCTTGACTATATTAATGGTTAAGATAAATTAATACCAAACTTTTTAAATGCCTAGAAGCAAAAACATACTGGACCCTTTTCTCTATATATTACACATAACCACATTTACATTATGGATTCCTGTGGGCTGACTTTGTCCACACCATAATGTTCATTACTTTTGGTATTATTATGAAACTATGGTATGGTCTTGTCAAATAATTTTGTGTAATATTTCACCTTTTCTGATGACAGAAAACCAGGCAACACACTTAAACTATTAAGGTATCTACAGAGAGAAAAGTCTTGCTTTTTTTTTTTTAACATGGTCACAAGTGAACCACTTATTTTTTCCCCTAAATCCAAACAAGCACAAAAGTCTTGATATTTAAATATGGTTTTGGATAAAGAGAACATAAGGATCCTAGAATGACTTACATGATTATAAAACTATTTTTAAAAACAGAATTTTAAAAAGAATAGCCAACATTTAAATGTAATCTAATTTCGCAGCAGTATGTCTCCAATTTATTCTGTTCTCTGTTACATCTGTCAAGAAAAGCTTCTATCATTATCTGAGTAAATGAAATTAGATGGCAAAACTAAAAGATTTACAATATCAATTAATAATCCCCATATTCTATGCTTTTTTGCAAGAGTCCCAAATTTAGCTTTCTTATACCTCTCTTTACCTTATTACTCCTTTTCATCCTTTGCACTTAGTTGAAGTGCGGTGACTCCCCAAGTGACTCATTTCATTTTATCTCATTTCCAATAGCTCCTGTCGGCTTTGATTTTGGTTTTAGCAGACGGAGCCTAAATCCTTGCTTGGCCATGGGATTTGGGTTTCTCCAGCAGCCAGACGTACCAGTGTTGGCCACACGGTTGTGAGCCACCTGTGGCTAACACCTAAATAGACAGGTAAGGATGAAGCAGTTCATGACCAAGAGGCCTTTTGGAATCAGCTGTGAAAGGACCCATTTAACATTGCATAACCCAGGCTTTACTTCATTGGATGGCTTTAATATATCTGGGAGAGGAAAAAGGGGATTTAGTAGTGTTTCCTCTGGATGCACAAATAATGAAAAGTGCTGTGAGCTCCCGAGTGCTGTATCATTGGTTACCCCCAACAGCCCATCTCTGTGCCCTGGAGGAGCAAGAGGGAAACCCTTCACAGATGCTTGAAATTTGGTGGACAAACAGGAGGAACACTCAGGAAAACAGGAGCAGAATTTAGGGCCCAGAGAGAGTCCCTTTTAGACTTAGAAATGTCTTCCTTACTACAAAATTAGATATTCACCAATATGTATTTTCTTTCTTTTCTCTCCTTCCTTCCTTCCTCCTTCCCTCCCTCCTTTCTTTCTTTCTCTTTCTTTTCTTTTCTTTCTTTCTTTCTTTCTTTCTTTCTTTCTTTCTTTCTTTCTTTCTTTCTTTTTCTTTCCTTCTTTCTTTCTTTCTATCCCTCCCTCCCTCCCTTCCTTCCTCTTTCTCTCTTCTTTCTTTCTTTTTTTTTGCCAGTGGACATTGTTTATTTCTTTCCAGTCTTTTTTACTTTGTCTATGCATATTTTGTAAAAACAAAATTGGAATCATTTTTTGTTGTTGTTGGTTACAGTGTATGTTTTTCATCTGTTTTCCCTAGCCTTTTACTAAAGTCTTTAAAAAATCAGACAGTAGCAAACCCTTTAGAAAATAAATTAGGGTGAATAAGGCAATTTAATGCTATTAATTTTTGTAATGGTCAAGGTTATTGTGCAATTATCAAGTGGCTATTAAGGACCATTACAGTGCCTTGCAAATCAGTTAGTTTTACCTGCTGCATTTCACTCTTAAATTTAATCACTTTAGTTTTTTACTCTTAACTCTTCATTTGGAATTTATTTTAGCTGTTGGATAGTGAAGGTTTAACATAATTTTTTCCCTCAGTGAAGGAGCCAACTCCTAATACCTGTTTATCAGATAACTTTTATTTTCCTCCTTTACAATATTTTCCTTACTTACGTGTCGTATTATTTGTTTCTTTGCTCTTTGATCTATTCCAGGGATTGGCAAACTACAAACTGCAGGCCAAATCAGTCCTGCAGCTTGTTTTTGTACAGCCCAAGAGCTAAGAATGATTTTTACATTTTTAAATGATTAAAATAAAATTCCCAAGCAACATAATGTTTCGTGACACATGAAAATTACATAAATTTCAAATTTCAGTGTACATAAATAAAGTTTCATTGGAACAGAGCCATGCTCATTTACATGTTGTCTATGGCTGCATTTGTGCTAAAACAACAGAGATGAGTAGTTTGGCCCATGAAGCTGAAAATATAAGTATTGTCTCGGCCTTTACAGAAAAAGCTTGCCATCGGTGGCAACAGTCCATTGATCTATCCACTGGTTCTTAACCCATAATTGACGGTGCATTTTTTAGATACCATGTCTGGTTTACTTTTAAAAATAAAATACAGCATTATTTTATCCAGTTACCAAAAAAGGCCCAGTGGGCTGTTGATTCATATTTTTACCATTATAAATAAATCTAGCAAAGATTGGCCTTGTTGTAATATGTAATATTTCCACCCAACATGGTATGTCCACATTTCCTATTTATGTGGATTTTTTTATGTGTTTCAGGAAAGAATTTTAGTTTCCTTGTACATGTTTTCTATTTTTCTCATTAATTTTTTCCAAAACATTCCATTTTAAAAATATTTCTGATAGAATCCTTTCTTTTATGATATTTTTATAACCATATTACTGAAATAAGGAACGCTTATCAGCCTCTTACATTGCTTCTAATTACTTTTCTTAATTTTCTTGGGTTTTTCTGGTATCAACATATTATTTGCAGTAACAATAACAGGGATTGTAATAGTAGTAATAATAAATTTATACTGTCTCTCTAATACTTACAGCTTTTTTCTTTCTCTTGACTAATTGTATTAGCTAGTATTGACACAATAATTTTAATAAGACTGTTGGCCTGTCCTGGTCATTTTAATGGCAAAGTAGAAGAAGAGACATCAGCAGTCCCAGACTTCTGGCAGCTGAACCCCTAATCAACCGATTCTCTCAACGTTTCCCTATCCTCTTCTACGACCCTGTGTTTATGTTCTCCTTTATTTGCTCCTTCTCCAAATCTTTCCCTTACTTGTCCATAATATAAATAGGAATCATTTTCTAAATTGATTGCTGTCATTCTGAATATAACTTTGTTCTTAATTAAAGATGAAGGGCTTCATCCGTGAAGTAATCCAGGCAGGTTTTAATCCGCTACCACATTTCAGGCACCTGGCCCTACCTAAGATTCAAGGAATGGAAAGATAAATCCCACCTGTTCCCTAGAAGGTACAGGAGCCCATCAACTGTGGAACTCTGGGGGAGGCTGGTCGTTGAGAACGAAGACTGTTTTAATTTTTTTTTACTACATCATGTATGATATTTATAATAGATGTCAATGCTTTGACTTAAAGTAAAAATAAAATTGAAATGAAAGAAAACGCTATGCGTCATCAAGCATCTCGCAACAGAGTAGGGAAGATGCCACATAAATAGATCAAACTCATGACACTGCTTAGTGCCACTGGACAACAATTAGACAAGGATCCCCAAGTGATCACCTGGGAGGAGGGACGCCACCTCGGGAAGGAAGCAGGGTGAGTGGGGACACCCTGCAGCAGGTGATCCCTGAGTTAAGTCCCAAGGGATGAGTTGAAGTTAGTCCTGCGAGTGATGGTATGGTGCAGCTGAAAGTCAGCACTTCGGGCCTGGGCAGGAAAGGGTTTGGACCTGACTCCACCTGTCACTGGGTCTATAACTCTAGACACTCTCTTCAAATCTGAGCCTCAAACTGTTCACCTGTAAACTAGGGGATTAAACGATCTATATCACCTATATCTATGTCTTTGTCTATCTATCTATCTATATACCTGTGTGAAAATGTACAGACATAAATACTATCTCTACAGATAGATAAATTAGATGATACTGCATCTACAAATAGAGATCTGAAGGGATAGATAGACGAAGATGTGGCGATGGATGTAAACATGGACACAGACATAGAATAGGATCCATGTAGGAGCTCCATTCAAATGAACTTCACTTGCCTTTGTCGTAAATTAAAGAGGACTCCCCAACGCTCACCTATCACAGTCCACACACTTACACCGCCACCCAGCTGCAGGCCTTTCTCAGCCACTCTTGATGAGTTTATCATGGGCCTGTCTGGGCAAGCTAAAGACAGCCGGTGAGCTGCCTGAAGACATCCCCCGAGATGCACGGCGGGCTCCTGTCAGCGGCTCATTAGATGACCTTGTCTCCTATTCGAAAATGAAGACCTGCAGCAAATGTTACGGGTTGAATTAACTGCATAGTTCCTTTCCCTCACATTTGTCAGAACTCAGGAATTGACACAGAATAGTTTGGTGTCGACATAGGCCTGCACTGAGATCTGGAAAGGAAGACAGGAGGATGAGAATGGATGAGGGTGGGAGAAGCTGACAGAAAGGACAGGCCTGTTAATGTGGTTGGGACCTTGAAAGTGGCTGTTTTAAAAAATTACCATTCTGGCTTGAGTTTGCACATCAATAATTTAGTATAATTTTTTTCTCAAACTTTAAATGCAATGATCAGCTTGCCATGGATTAATCCAAATTTATCATATCGGTTTGCCAGAACAAAAGGAAAACGAGATAAATAAAACAAGTACATTACTTTCCCTTTCTAAATATAGTGATAATCTTACCTACCAGTCATGATACAGGGAAAAATATAAGCCAAGTTGGCTGAATTTAACTTTACCAGTTACTAGAATACAAGTTGTGTGTTAAGAAAACAATGAAATGAATGATGTATTTTCACTAAATGAGAACTCAAGTTTTAAAACATTGTGATAGTCAGCATAAAATATGCATATAATTACATGTTTTACCTCTTTTCAAGAAACTGTATATATTTAAGGAGTACAGCATGGTGTTTCACCATGTACATACAAATCGCGAAATGATGACTGCTGTCGAGTAAGTTAACATAGCCATTGCTTCACATAGTTACCTTTTTGGTGGTGGTAAGAACACCTAAATGCTACTCTTAGCAGTTCTGGTGTGCAATTCAATGGGTTTGGATACTAATCCCGAAAGACACAAACTTGAATGCCATAATCCTAAATGCTGAAATCCTGAAAGCTGAATTCTGGGGAAGGGATTAGTGTGTTTTGGGTTGTAGGTAGGATAATGATGTTAGTTGCATCATGGTAGGTGGAACTATTAACTGTTTATTGTCTTTATTTGCATTTGAGAGAAAATTCAGATTGTAAATTGGCTATGAAACACAGTAACTATGGAAAACTTCAGTTTAAACGTGTCATTTGCCTGCATTAGCATTCATTCCAGTTGATGATATTCCAGGAGCATTTAATAAATTAAAACCACATTTGCCTGAAGAAGCCAGTGAAGTTCCTGACTGGATTGAAAATAGTATGTGTCTGCTAGGATAAAGGGACACGCAAGATGTTGCTATTCTATCACCATTATTGTTTCCACTAAATTCGTGGTCTGTGGATGAATACGTGTGGAATGGATTTCCACATACACAAAACAACATAGAGGCATGGCACAGAAGATGGGAGAATTTGACAGGGAATGCTCATCTTGATGTATATTGACCAAATCATAGAAGAATTTCAAAAAAATTGAAATTGCCACGTAGAAAATGAATGTGAACATATTCTCAGAGGAGACCCAGGTCCCAAAAGAAAAAAAGCAGCTATTCATTGTGATGCAAGACTTCTAAATATAGTTAATGATGGTGAAATCTGGCCACCTCTTATATACTATGTCTGTGCCCATAGCCCCCTGTAATATACTTTTTCATAAATCAAATATTATTTTTAGATTTTCAGTTGTTTCTTTTTAGAAAACATTTTTTCCACTATTTTACATTGTCAGCATTATTTTTAGTTTGTGATGCTGTGTATTTCATCTCTGCATCACTTTCAATAGTGAAGGTATAAATTGTGTAGAGACTTTTAGAGAGTTCTAATTCATTTCACGCATTTTGGCAAATTTGCGTCCACAAAAGTGCATCATCACAAAGTTAACTTTTTGTGTAAGTATTGTATATATTTGTAAAAATGTTGAAGCTTTCTCCATAAATGAAGATATGATCTTTTTGTACACCTGCATTTCTGATAAATAAAAATTTTACAAGATCTCAGCTCTTTGGGCAACTGTGGTGGTGACCCACCATAATTTTTTTATCAATTTCAGCAAAAGACATTTTTACATAAAGACTTCGGTTGTTCGTCATGGCATTTCAGATAACCACAGTTACAAAGCTGGGTGCACACAATCTCCAAACATAGTGATACGTGTCTATACTTTCTTCTTTTTGATCTATTTCTTTATGAACACAGTTCATCTGCTCAAAACTATTACAGCCATACTAGTGTCCTTATTATACCTGAGTATTTATGCAAAAATATGCATTATTATTGCCTATTTTATTGTGCAAAGTGACCTATGAAGTGTTCTGTCATGTTTTTACATGTTCTCAAGAAAATTCCCTTTTAGAAATATAAAGAAATATCTTTAAAACTTATTTTTTTCCGAAATGATATTTTTGGAGTTTTGATCCTTCAGGATTTCAACATTCGCTATCATTGTTTTTGGGATTGTGTCTTTTAGGACTATCCCAATCCAATATTATTAATTATGCTTTACATTAGGTCTTTAGTACCATTTAATAATTTTTGACAAATGCATCCATCAGAGTAAAGAAAAACCCTATAAAGATGTGGAACATTACCACTATGGAAGAAATCACCCCATTCTCAGTCATTCCCTTTCCTTCTTTCCTAGAGGCAACCACTTTTCTGCTATTTTTCATCCAGTCTTACCCTCATATAAAAAAATCACTCAGTACACTTTGCATTGGGCTTCCTTTCATTTAGCATATGTTTTCGTGACTTATCTATGTTGCATGTAACAGTTGCTTGTTCCTTTTTACTTCTCAGCTGTATTCCAGTGTATGAATACTTCATAGTTTGTATAGCCATTATTCTGTTCCTGGACACTTCAGCTGTTCCCAGTTTTTGCTATTTGAAATCAAGCATATGTGGTCACATTTTTATTTCTCTTGGGTACATACCTAGAAGTTGAATTGCTAGGTCACAGAGCAGGTGTGATTCATTTTGAAAGAAATTGCCAGATCTTTTCCCCAAATGGCTATACCATTTTGCACATCTACCATCAATGTACAAAAGGTCCAGTTATCCGATAACTTTGACAATAACTGGTGTTGTCATTCTTTTAAATTGAGTCATTTTGATATATGGGTAGTGTTATCTCATTCTGGTTTCAATTTGCATTTCCCTGATGAGTGCTGAATTTGAGTCCCTTTTTATGGGTTTATGGGACATTGATCTATTGGTGGATCCTTATGCTAGGACCACTGTATCCTGAATAGCAAAGCTAACCAAAGTTAAATACTTTAACTTTGTTCTACTTTTACAAGATCACTGTGATTACCCTAAGTCCTTTGTATTTCAATATAAATATTATAATCAGTTTATAAATTTCCACAAATAGACTGTTGAGCTTACCATTAAGATTGATTCACTATGTACAATAATCTTGAGAAAATTTTCATCCTAATATGTTTGAGGTTTCCAATTCATGAGTAAAGTATACTGTTCTGTCAACTTTGGTCTTTTTAAATACATCTTAAATGTGTAATTTTAAATGTAGAGATCTAATTTGTCTTTTCTTAAATTCATTATTAGATATTATAATTTTTGAAAAAAACTGTAAAGGAAATTAGATTTTTACTTTTATTTTACATTTTTTCCTACCAGTATATAAAACACAACTGATTTTTGTACATTGACATTGTATTCTTCAACCTTGCTACACTTGCATATTAATTCTACTAGTTGCTTAATCAAATTCTTAGAATTTTCTATGTATATAACTGATCTATGAAAAAGACAGTTTTACTTGTTCCTTTCTATGTTTTATGCCATTTTCTTTCTGGCCTCTCTTCATTTGCATGCCCTGCAGTAAATATTAAATAGAAGTTCCTTGTTCCAGACTTTAGAGGAAAAGTGTTTAATATTTGACCATTGAGTAAAATGTTAGTTTTATTTTTCTCATATATGCCCTTTTTCAGTTTAAAATTTCTACTTTCTCTTCTAAACTACTGAGTGTTTTAATCACATAGGAGGGTTAAATTTTGCCATGTAATTCTCCCATTTATTGTAATATTCACATAGAGTTTCTCCTTTGTTCTGTGAATGTGTTAAACTATTCTTAGGATAAACTTAATATGGTCAAAATATATTATTCTTTGTATATATTGGTGGATTTTATTTGCTAAGATTTTAGTAAGAATTTTGTGTATAAATTCATCTGGAATATGGGTCAGTCATTTTCTTTTCTACGATCTTTGTTAGGTTTTAGTATCTCGGTTATTCTGGCCTCATAAAATGAGTCGACAAGAGTTCTTTCCTTTTTAATTTTTGAAATGGCTTGTGTAAGATTGGTGTTATTTTGTTCTCTAAGTATCACTGGTTCATCTTAAGAGGATTTGTCTCTTACTCTTTTTCATTTTAACAGTTGTTTTCAGGTAATTATCTATTTGTGGATCCTTATGCTTTTAAGGATTATTTTAAGCCCATACATGTTCACGACTGTTATGTCCTCCTAATGAATGCAGAATGATATTATTGTAAAATGTCTGATAATAATCTGTCCTGAAACCTACTCTAAATAATGTTAACCTAGCCACTCCAACCTTACAGTGCCTGTTTGCCTACTTATCTTTTGCTGCCTTTTATCTTTAACCCGTGTCTTTATACTAAAAGTGCATCTCATGCAAACAACATATAACTTGGTCTTGCTTTTTACCTATTTTGAAAATATCATCTTTTAGTCAGTGTTTCTAGTCCACTCACATTCAACATAATTATTCACATGGTTAGATTTAGGGCTAATATTTTACTAGTTATTTTATGTTCATCCTACATGTTTTACATTCCTCTTTTTCTTTTCTTTTCTTTTTCTTTTTCTTTTTTTTTTTTTTTTGAGACTGAGTCTTGCTCTGTCGCCAGCCTGGAGTGCAGTGGCACAATCTCAGCTCACTGCAAGCTCCACCTCCCAGGTTCAAGTGATTCTCCTGCCTCAGCCTCCCAAGTAGCTGGGACTACAGGCATGTGCCACCAAACCCAGCGATTTTTTTTTGTATTTTTAGTAGAGATGGGGATTCACCAGGTTGGCCAGGATGGTCTTGATCTCTTGACCTCGTGATCTGCCCACTTCGGCCCCCCAAAGTGCTAGGATTACAGGTGTGAGCCACCGCACCTGGCCGTTTCTCTTTCTCTACTTTTTCCTTCTGTAACTTATTCTTTTTAACCCCATTTCAATTAATTGATTGGATTTGCAGCTATACCTCTTTGCATTACTACCCAAGTGATTGCTCTAGTGATTAAAGTTGATTTAGAATTAATATTGTACACCTAATATGAGAATCCTGGAACTCTATGTGTTCATTCCAATTCTACTATACAGTATACTCTATATATGAAATATATGTGTGTTTGTATGTGTGTACACATACACTATATACTATCCCTGTCATGTATTACAATGCAAATATTACAAATTTTTCAATATGATGTTATCATATCCATCTTAAACTTCCATATGTGTTTTTAAAATTAAGATAAAACAGGTTTTTTGTTAATATTTACAAACATTTTACAATTTCCAAAGGTTGTTCTTCTTTCCTGGCAATCCAACTTTCCATCATTTCAACTCAGTCTGAAGGAGTTCCTTTACTTTCTCATACAGTTCACGTCTGCTGGTGAATAATGCTCTTAGTTACTGTTCATTTAAAATGCCTTCATTTTGTCTTAATTCTTGAAGGATATTTTCACTTAGAGTTAGAGCTGTGGTCTAAGATGTTTGTTTTCTTTTAGCATTTTAACATTGTTATCCCACTCTGTTGTGGCTCCATTGATTCTGATGAAGTGTCAACAGTCATTCATATTGTTTCCCTTCGATCTGTCAGTTTTCTCTGGCTATCTTTGAGATTTTCTCTTGGTTTGCACCAATTTGACCATGACATGTCTGGTAGAGGTGTTCTTTGTATTTAGTTAGCCAGGCATTTACTAAACTTCTTGAATCTGTATTTTTATTTTCCCCCACATTTTGGACAAATTTAGCCATTATTTCCCCAAATATATGTTCTTCTCCATCCTCTCTCACTCCTTTTCTGTGACTCCATTACAAATATGTTAGGCTTTTTATCATATAGATTACTGAGCCTTTGCTGTCTTAAAAAAATCATTTTTCTCCCTGTTCTTCAGATTAGATAATTTCTAATGGTCCTGCTCATGTTCAATACTATTCTTCTGTCATCTCCAATATGTTGTTAATCTCACTCATTAATATATTAACATTGCAAATTTAGATTTCCAGTTCCAGAATTTTAATATGGTTCCTTCTTATAGTTTCTATTTCTCTGTTAAATTTATGTCTTATGGTTCACTGTACTTTCTTTTGCTTCCTTTTTAAAAACTTAATTATAACCACTTTATATTTTTAGAGTGATTATAATTTCTTTTTTAAAAAGTAATGTTAACTTTATTTTAGATTCAGGGCATACATGTAAAGGTTTTTGTTTTTTTACATGGGTGTATTCCAAGATGCTGAGGTTTGGGTACAGTTGATCCCATCATCACCCAGGTACTGAGCATAGTACCCATAGTTAGTTTTTAAACAGGTGTCCTCCTCCTTTCCCCTTCTAGTAGCTCCTAGGGTCTTTATTCAATGAATACCCAATGTTTAGCTCCCACTTATTACTGAGAATGTTTGTTATTTGCTTATCTGCTTCTATGTCGATTCACTTAGGATCATGGCCTCCACCTGCATCCACGTTGCTGCAAAACACATGATTTTGTTCTTGTTTATGGCTCTGTGGAATTCAATGCTGTAAATATACCACCTTTTCTTTGTCCAATCCAATGCTGGTGGCCACTTAGGTGATTCCATGTCTTTGATACTGTGGTTATAGCCACTTTAAAATTCTTGCATGCTCATTATAGATTCTGTGTAATGGTCCTATTGGTTTCCACTGATTGTCTCTTTTTTAACATGGTCATTTTTTCCTTGTTTCCTATTATTTATTTTAATTTTGAATTGTAGACTAAGCATTATGAATGACATGTTATAGAGACCTTACATTCTGTCACATTCCTCTGGAGAATATTGATTGTTTTGTTTCATTTTAGTAGGAGTCAAACTCCATATCTGGTCTCTCCCACAGCGGGCAGCAGCTGAAATCTCCATTCTGTTATTTTATCCTCTCATCCGTCCTCCTGGGATGCTGGCTGGATCATGCTTATTTCAACAGCCAGTCTCAGGTGTAGAGTTTATATGCAGTATTGGCTGTTCTCTCTCTCTCTCTCTGTCTCTGTGGATCTCTTTTTTTTAGGGTTTTCCCTCATATTTAGCTACTGTAGTGATGTTGAACTCTTTCTTCCAGTAGTATAATCCAGGGAAAACATAGATTTCCTTTTTAAAATTTTATCCATCCCAACTGGCACTGAGTGGGGTTTCCCCTAAGGCCAAAATCTATAAAAAGAGAAAGGTCATCCAGGTGCTGTTTGTCTCCTTTAAGTATTGACTCCAACGTAGCTCTGTTTCTTTTGGGCCACTTTCCAGTGCCTTCAGGTGGTTTTGTTTTATATTTTGTCCAGGATATGTATTGTTAGGTATAGAATGATTGGCTTGACGGAAGTGAAACTATATTACCCCACTGGAAAAATGAAGAGACTGAGACACAGAGAATAAATGACTTTCCTAAGACTTATCATTCCAAGATGAGATTTTTATATTTAAAGACAATGACTTTCTCAATTCAATAGGAGATATGTCTGAGTGGCTTACGTGGAGTCCATCTCTGTTTGCCCTAGTCCTAACCCAGCACGCTGTCTGGGTTCCCATTACTCAAACTAGCCAACCAGGATGGACCGTATTTGGACTCAGAGTGGCTGTGTGCCCACCATGAAAGACCTCCCACCACAGGTTTGCAAGGAACTTACTCTGTTGGGAGCATCGAGGAGCATCAGGAATGGGAGTAGGGGATGTCAGGCACCGTGGGTTGACACATTGACTGTTCAAATATGAAAACTAGAAATACAGAGGAGCCTCCTAGCTTTAAGACAGTTCCTACTTTGGAGTTAGGTAAAAGTAAGCTCCTAAAATAAGATGCCCACGATTCCAAAATATTTTATTTCTTCACAGATATCAGATAAACAAACAGAAAATTTATTGCAAAAAAACCTAAACCACCACCATAACAACAAAATGCAAAATACATCAACAAACAAAAACTTGCTAAAAAGAATAATTTCTCTTTTAAAAATACCTAGGCAGCAAATAGGAAGGTGTGAAAGATATTTCAGGGTGTGGAAACAGTGAGAATAAAGAGCTAAGTGTTTACACTGGGGGAACCTCCGTGCTGTATTTATATAACTTTCTCAATAAAAAAGCACTGGAAACACACTCAAGACTTCTGTTTCAATTTGACCACTGGCACCACATCAATGCAAAGCTGCCATTTCAGAAGGCCTCCTCTGGCTGGAATTTCTCAAAGTGCTCTCAGACATTACATGCCAAGAAGCAAAACACCAAGTCATTCACATTAAAAGCATTCTCCTTTCATGTATCTTTCAACAATGAATATTATGTTCATATAAATTTTGCAAGTTTGCACAAGATACACAGCAAGGAGCCTTCAGTCTGTTGGCTTTTATTTGAGATAGCTGGAGGGAGCTCTGTTGAAAATGTGATGTCTTTTCTGAGAACTAAGGATGCCTATGACAGACACAGGTAAGTGTGTTCCCACCAGCCCTCCTGCCTTAGCTATAACAGTTATAGGGTTAAGACGAAGCCAAGAGGTGGGAAAATCTCTTGTCCTTCTCTGCTGCCCATTTCGCTGCGTTGGTGGGCCCCATAATTTGACTTTCCTTTTACTCTTGTCAGCAATCAAACTGTAAGTGCTTTTAACCAAACATTTTTCTTTTCGCTGGTCAATGGGAGTCAAGTAACAAACTCAAAATTTCACCTTTTCTACTGTTTTAGAGGTAAACTATGGCCCTTGAATTTTGTAAGTTTTGTTGTCATTGATTTATTATTATTATTATCATTAACACTGGTAATTCTAAAAAATTAGTCTAGGGGACACGGCATACGCAGAGGGTACTTAAAATGTCATGAGACAGTCTTCTCCTAAGTTTCATCAGCTGTTCTTGGACTCATGACTGGAGCCAGGCTCACCACTTCTCCCAGCTGTTGGCTCCACCCCCAGTGCCAAATTCACTATCAACTTACTTTATTCCTTAGGTACAAATCATACACACCATTGCCTTTTAAAATACATCTCTATCCTAGCTATATGAGTATCAAAATCCCATATACATATGTAAATTGCAAATTTGATGGATAGTAAAATTGTTTTTAGTGCATTATAAATTGATCAATCCAGTTTAAAGTCCTCTGCAGACCACAGAACAGCTTCATGCACATGCTTTAAGACTATCTTACTTTTTTTGGTAATATATCTGATATGAAATTCAAATTGAAAGACTCTTTCTGATCCTGCAGTGTGAGTAAGATGTCACCTCTTTAAAAGGCTTTCCCTGTCCACCCTGGAATACTTTAACAACCACATTTCTCTGGGTAGCAGAGACTGACTAATGTTTCGAATATCCAATAGTCTATGAAAAAATAATAGAGAAACTAACAATCTTCGTATCACAAACTAAAGGAAAACAGAATCATACTCAGGGCAAATCAGGGAGGAAGGAATTGAGTATCTTGAGATGTTGGGACTGCTTAATTAAGATATACATTAAGCAATGCTATGATGTAAGAAAGTTACCTTTTCAGTAAAGATAAGTCTATTCAGGAAAACCAGACTTGCACATGTATTTTCTTTAAAATAGTCTGCCAATTTTAAATAGGTTGCTAGCTCTACTTATTAAGCAAGTTCTGTTTAATGTTTGGGGATGTGCTCAGAATACATTTCTAGTTAGGAAAGCTCTTAACAGTGGTGTTGGTGGGGAAGGGGGTGTGGGTAAAATGGTTCATTTTCCATCTTCATTTACAAGCTGTGTGACCTTTAAGCAAGTTATTTAAATTATCTGAGCCTCAGTTTCATATTCTGCAAAGAAAAAACAGCACAGTTTGGTTCATTTAAAACAAAATAATATGTTGAATAATATTGCCTTGTCTAGTGTCTGGCACACAGCAAGCACTTTCAAAGGGCCTGTTGTTATTACTTACCCAAGAGCCCTTGCAATTCTTGGATTATAATACCAGCTTTTACATAAGGTATCATGAAAAGTTGCCTTAGTTTGTATAAGCCTGTTTCACCTAAAACATCTAGCATGTCACTGTCCTGTCCATTCCAAATGCCAACCGGAAAAACACAGATGCAACAGAGAGGAATGGGAAGCATTTTCCATCTGTAATTAACGGGCCTCTGCCCGTTCACCTACTGGAGCATCTCTGGAGTGTACATGAATACACTTTCCAGCCAACCCTGTCCCTCCCCCAAGGAGTCATAAACCGAGGCTGAAGATTTAGCACAGAACCATCTGTGGCAGCCCTGTGACAGCTCTGTTACTGCCACCCGCCTCCTGGGAGGGCCTGTGTGCAGCACAGTGAGCCAGAAAGAAAACATTTTCGGCTCCGCTCCAATGGGGGCTGGGAGGAGGGAAGGCAGAGGATGCCCAAACACACAGATTTCTGGTAGAGAAGTCTGCAACCCAGAACATCATACCCAGCCAGAGCACCAATTTCAAAATATTTCAGTCTAAATAATCCTTCCTTGTTGCTTTAGAAAATAGAAAAGAAGTATCTCCAGTTGCCAAAAATACACAGACATACACACACACGCATTCACAGACAGACTTAATATTTCTTAATTACTGAAAAACAGCAATATTATGTTAGAGGTAATTCATTTTAAAGATGCAGATTTTGTTTTCTCATAAGCTTGATTATTTACACTAAATTATAGGGGTTTTTTTTAGCATTGGTGTTAGAACATTTTGTTAAGGTTGGTTGATGGTACATATTTGAATATAAAAATACAGTTTAAATTACTTTAAAAAACTGATCCATAATTGGATATGTAAGGTTTGCAGTTTTCCAAAAGCGTAAATATAAAATGAATGGCTTTATCAAAGGTATGCACAGCAAGAGAGGATCTAGGACTGTGGAATATTTAGGACCGAGGAAGTCCTAAATCTTCAGAATATTTAAAATAAGAGATAATTTTCACTTAAATCAACAAAACAAGAACAAAAAAGGAACCAATAAAAAATGAACCAATGAAAGAATGAATAAACTGCTGGCAAATGAATGCAAAAGCACTGCACTTCCAAAATTCTAAATCATCTTTATGAAACCTAAGCAATCATACATTACTGTTTCTTGAACATCTTTCTTACATTTAAATAAATTAAAATTGAGGTTTTTAAAAAACAGTTTTGTGTTTTTTTCATTATTTTAATGCACGGGAAACAGACAATCCAAAAGAAAAAAAAATCACCAATAATGTCACCACTCCAAAATAATTGATCTTATTTCAATGTGCATCCTTCCAAAGATTATATTAAAATGCAGACATTTTTCTCCTTTTTATTTTTTAATTTAAAAATTTTTTTTTATAGAGAGACACAATCTTGCTATGTTTTTCAGGCTGGTCTGAAATTCCTGGCCTCAAGTGATCCTTCGGCCTCAGCCTCCCAAAGTTCTGGGATTACAGGCATGAGTCTCCACACCCTGCCACAGACACTTTTGTTTACACAAATGGAATTGTACTACTGCTATCATTTTAAAACCTGTTTTCTTCATACAATACTATAAGAATTTTCTCATATTGTTGGTCTTCACTGTCTTTATATTATTTTATTTGGGTGTAAAAAAAAATGTGTCTAATCCACTCCCTGGTGTCAGACACCTAATTCTTTCTAATCTTTGCCATTCTAATTCAATAACCATTCTTAGAAACTAAATTTTTGCATGCATTCATTGGAACTTCTTGGATACATGATTACAGGCTTCCCTGGTGACTCAAAGGATGTCCTCCATGTGAAAAGCATTGCTATGTTTCACTAGATTCTCCTCTACATCTGGGATCTAATTTAAAGGTCAGGGGTAGTATATGAGAGAATCCACTTGTATGGGTCTCATCAACTTTAGATATTACATAGATTTGAACGCTTTGCCACTTTGCCTAAGGATGCTTTAATTTAAACATTGTAAAGAAGATATTTGCATCTGTTAGCTACGGTATTTATATGTACGTGTGACAGAGCCAGGTACTCCATGCCCATTGCCATGGGTTTGTTTTTTTTCTCTTGCCCCATTACCTTGTTGTAGGAATCTTCTGGAAACATTTCTTTAGCCATTAAGAAAATCAACCCTGGAGAAATAGGAACACTTTTACACTGTTGGTGGGACTGTAAACTAGTTCAACCATTGTGGAAGTCAGTGTGGCGATTCCTCAAGGATCTAGAACTGGAAATACCATTTGACCCAGCCATCCCATTACTGGGTATATACCCAAATGACTATAAATCATGCTGCTATAAAGACACATGCACACGTATGTTTACTGCGGCATTATTCACAATAGCAAAGACTTGGAACCAACCCAAATGTCCAACAATGATAGACTGGACTAAGAAAATGTGGCACATATACACCATGGAATACTATGCAGCCATAAAAAATGATGAGTTCATGTCCTTTGTAGGGACATGGATGAAATTGGAAATCATCATTCTCAGTAAACTATCGCAAGAACAAAAAACCAAACACCGCATATTCTCACTCATAGGTGGGAATTGAACAATGAGATCACATGGACACAGGAAGGGGAATATCACACTCTGGGGACTGTTGTGGGGTGGGGGGAGGGGGGAGGGATAGCATTGGGAGATATACCTAATGCTAGATGACGAGTTAGTGGGTGCAGTGCACCAGCATGGCACATGTATACATATGTATCTAACCTGCACAATGTGCACATGTACCCTAAAACTTAAAGTATAATAAATAAAAACAAAAACAAAAACAAAAACAAACAAAAAAAAGAGTTTAAAAGGCAACTGCACAATCTAACTCTTGCTACCCGCTCGGGACCCCTTCCACGCTGTGGAAGCTTTGTACTGTCACTCTGCTCAATAAAGCCTGCAGCTTTTTTTCTCAAAAAAAAAAAAAAAAAAAAAAAAAGAAAATCAACCCTGTATCCCAGAGGCTGCAAATGTTTTCCCAGTTTTTTATGTAACTTATATTGTTGATTAGAATAATTTTAATGTATATAAATAATCATGTAGTCACATACACATCTTTTCCCCGTGTCTATCTTTCTAGAACCATGCATCCATGCCTCTGAAATATGTGAGCACACACCCCTGACACCCACTCCAGTCACCCTCCACGGAAAACACCTTCAATCCTTCGCTCACACTTCATGTGAACATCAATTTGCATGTTTACCATGTGCTTTGTTATATCACTAATTTCAAAAGGTGAATTTTAAAGAAAACAAGCTTCACTTCAAATAAGGGCAAAACTTATATTAAACCTTATTGCATTGATTTGCTAGTGGTGTCATAACGAAGTACCACAGACTAGGTAGAATAAATCACAAAAATTTATTTTCTCACAGTTTTCAAGGCTAGAAGTCCACAATCATGGTGTAGGCAGAGTTGGTTTCTTCTAGGGCCTCTCTCCTTGGATTGTAGATGGCCGTCTTCTTCTGGTGTCTTCACATGGTCTTCCTTCTGTGTGTGTCTGTGTCCTAATTGTCTCTTCAAATGAAGATGCCAGTTATATCAGATTACAGCCCACCCTAAAGACCTTGTTTAACCTTAATTACTTCTGTAAAGACTCAATCTCCAAATATAGTCCTATTATGGGGACTAGGGGTTAGGACTTCTACATATAAACTTTGTGGGGAATAACTGGCTACTCATATGCATAAGATTGAAACTGGACCCCTTCCTTACACCATATACAAAATTAACTCAAGATGGAATAAAGACTTAAATGTATAACGCTAAACTATAAAAACCCTAGAAGACAACCTAGGCAATACCATCCAGAACATAGGCACTGGCAAAGATTTCATGATGAAGATGCCAAAAGTAATTGCAACGAAAGCAAAAATTGACAAGTGGGATCTAAGTAAACTAAAGAGCTTCTGCACACCAACAGAGTAAACAGACAACCTACAGAATGGGAGAAAATTTTTGCAAACTATGCATCTGACAAAGGTCTAATAACCAGCATCTATAAGGAACTTAAACAAATTTACAAGAAGAAAACACATTAAAAAGTGGGCAAAGGACATGAACAGACACTCCCCCAAAAGAGACATACATGTGGCCAACGATCATATGAAAAAAAGCTCAACATCACTGATCATTAAAAAAATGCAAATGAAAACCACAATGAAAAATCATCTAACACAATTCAGAATGGCTACTATTAAAAAGTCAAAAGAGTAACAGATGCTGGCAAGTTTGTGGAGAAAAAGAAACATTTATACACTGTTGACGGGAGTGTAAATTAGTTCAACCATTGTGGAAGATGATGTTCAACCAGTGTGGCAATTCCACAAATACCTGAAGATAGAAATACCATTTAACCCAGCAATCCCATTACTAGGTATATACCCACAGGAATATAAATTGTTCCATCATAAAGACACATGCAAGTGTATGTTCACTGCAGCACTATTGACAAGAGCAAAGACATGGAATCAAACTAAATGCCCGTCAATGATAGACTGGATAAAGAAAATGTGGTATATATACACCATGGAATACTATGCAGCCATAAACAAGAATAAGATCATGTCCTTTTGCAGGGACATGGATGAAGCTGGAGGCCATTATCCTTAGCAAACTAATGCAAAAACAGAAAACTGAATACTGCATGTTCTCACTTATAAGTAGGAGCTACATGATGAGAACACATGGATATACAGAGGGGAACAATAGACACTGGCGCCTATTGGAGGGTGGGAGTTGGGAGGAGGGAGAGGATCAGGAAAAATAATAGGTACTAAGCTTAACACTTGGGTGATAAAATAATTTGCACAACAAACTCCCATGACACACGTTTACCTATGTAACAAATTTGTACATATACCCATGAACTTAAAAGTAAAGGACAAACAAAATTTGAGAGGGGTGACACAATTCTGGCCATAGCAATAATTAATACAATCCTTAATACAGAAGAACAAACTATACAAAATTTTAATTCTGGGTGTGTGCATGCATGTGTTTTTGGAAGAGATTCACACTGAAATTAGCAGGCTGAGTAATGAAGATGATCCTCACCAATGTGAGTGGGTATCATCAAATCCACTGAGGGTCCAAACAGAACAGAAAGGTGGAGGAAGGGCAAATTCGTTCTCCCTTCGCTTGAGCTGAAATGTCCATCTTCTCCAGTCGTTTGACATCAGAACTCTTCCTTCTCAGGCTTTTGGACACAAACAGGACTTAACACCCTTGGCTTCCTAGTTTCCAGGCCTTTGGACCAAATTGGACCACTGGCTTTCTTGCATCTCCAGCTTGCAGATGATAGATCATGGAATTTCTCAGCCTCCATAACTGCCTGCGCCAATTCTTATAATAAATCTCTTCTGACACATATCCAGAATATATACTGCTTCTGTTTATCTGGAGAACCTATTGGCTCTGCTTCTCTAGAGAACCCTGACTAATAGATTCCATACCAAAAAAAATTCCCATAGCATATATTTACCAAAGTGTAAGTTATTGCTTCCAATTTTTATAGTAAGTCTCTAATAACATATCAGCAAAGCCTATTTCTGATAGAATCAACAATCAATGCATTAACAAGGAGAGTGTTTCTAAACCTTGCAAACCTGAAGGCCTAGGGTTTCATAATGAAAGAATATTGACAACAGCCAAGGACAGATGTCAGTGCCCTTCTATGTTACAATTTTAAACACAAATAAATAGCATCAGAGTTTTACTCCCATGAAATTAAGTTAAACCAATACAATATTTGAATTGTGATAAATTTATTGTGACTTGAAAGAAAGTTTCTAGAAGCCACATTCTTGAAGGGAGTGTGAAATTCTGTAGTGTGGAGTTCAAATATATTTAGACATCTCTTTGTGGCTGTTTTTTACTCCCAAACACAAGCATTTTTTTTTTTTTTTTTGTCCCTTGACTCCTCCTTAGCTTACATAGCTATGTATTATCTTCTTTTTTTCTGCATTTTTTCTTCATCTCATCCTCATTTCTGGTCCACTTTTAGTCACTCCTACCCATGTCCAGAGGCGACAAAACACTGCTTCACTTTCTCACGTCATACTGAATTAAGAGGGAATACCTGCTCAATGTTGCCTAGACTTACAGAAGTTTAAATTTCAGTGGTTACATGAAATGTTGAAGAAAAAAAGGTTTTTAAACTGCATTTATTACAACAAAATTATAGGATGTTAAAATATTTTAGTTGGTCCATTTAAGTTTCTCATGATGATATTTAACACACAGTTCAGCTGTTCTGGTCCAAAAGTCAAGGCACCAACCAGTGGCTTGATCTAAGATTTTCTATGTTTTCATTTTGCCCCTAGAAATATGTGACTGTCAGAATTTGTAGTCACAGCCCCTCAACAAATCCCAATTATGATCTGATTGGAAATTTAATCATTCAGGGAAAAGCTTAAGTGAAATTTTCAAGCAGAAGTCATAGGGTTACACTTATAGTGATTGTGTGACCTTAATCTAGTCATTCAGTCAATCAGTTTCCTTTTAGAAAATCAATGATACTGGTTTAAAAGATATGTAAGGTCCCTTGCACTTTCAAGATTATTAATGGTTTAATAATTAATTAATGTTTATCCATTGAAAATTCATTTTCAAACCACAATGAACTTTCCCATACACGTGTGAGTAGAAGACTGAAACAGCACAGCTAAATTAAGTTGAGATTCAATGCTCAGTAACCCCAGTTGGGTCAATTACATCAGTCTTCTTTCCTTCTCCAAAGGCAGAAAACCAATCTTTCTGTCTCTCTTAAGCCTGAGCAGTTCACCATTTCAACTATGGGCTTGGAGCTCAGGAAGTCAGAGTCATACTGAGGCCACAGTTCAGAGGAATGATTAGGCAAGAAGTTAGGCAAATGGAATATGAAAAAGTCTTGTATATTCCAACTGGCTTGGTGACCTAGGGTTGGAGGGAAATTAGGGAGCTAACTATCTGGAGTACCCTGGTAACTGAAGAACCCTAAATAAACCTCTAGGGCAGCAGCTGTGGAGTGTGTCGATGACAGGTGAATAGGCATGTTCCTCAGCAATCCTGGATCATATCCTTACATTGTTTAAAGCAATTAATTATCTCTTTAGTGCCCATAATGAAGGCCAAATTATTTTGGATGAACTATGTGTGTTTTTCATGATTTGGCCCAAGTCTTTTTCAAGCCTCAAGCACTCATCCACATCCAACAGCCAGGTCAACCCACCCTTAGCAGGTGTGAGATTCCTGAACACACCTGCATTCTTAGATCTCTCTGTTATCCAGATTCTGTCCTGCGGTATCCTCTGCTTTGGAACCATCCCCACCTGCCTTAGGTGTTGCTTAGGTGTTGAAAAGTTCTTTCTTTGGTGTCCGTAGTGCCTTGCTCACATCATGCCCTACACTGAACTGGGTTGCTCATTTCCATCTCTATCCCTCCATGAGGCCATATGGATCCTGCATGATGAGCTCTTCATCTATAGCTACTAAGTAGAATAAACCTCTTAATGCAAAATAGCTTCTGTTTCAGTAGCACATTGCAGTCTACCATAGTTGTTAGTCTATTTGACAAACAGCCCATGTACAGACACTGCAGGTTTTACTGCCCAGTTTAATTGGAAAAGATGGGAAGTCTACAGATGTTCACTTAGACTCATGCAGCTCCATGTCATCATGGCTGACAAACTGAGGAAAAAAAATGTACTTCACATGCAAGGAAAGCTACGCGGCTACAAAGAATAAGACATTTTCTAGAACAGTTGTCAGTTGAATAGAATGAAATAAAATTTCACCTTGGTTATGCACTGTGCTGTGAGGAGAGGTGGTGAATTTTTGATTTAACTAGAAAATTCTAAAGTGCCGTATTTTATCTCCAAGAAGGGGAAAATTCCAGTTCTGGTAGCAGCAGCAGCAAACAGCCTATCTGGTGTGAAACCATTGCCTTTATTAGAAGCCAACACTATGGTCATGCATCAACACCTCCCATCTTGGACTCTGTTTTCACTCCCAGTGAGAAATTCCACCATTAAACTATGGAACACCTCTGGAAGTGAGACAAAGCACTCATACAACAAAATTTCCATGACCCAAGAGAAATAACTTTAAAAAAAAAAGGGCTGTCAAACAGCTAATTATTTTACCATCATTAAGGATAATACCATATGCTTCTTCAACTTTCTTTTAAATATATCTTACTAAGGATTAATTAAGAGGTATGCATCTGATTAAACCGTATCAAGACTGAAAGGCTGGAGTGCCAAAGATTAGAGCCCAAGATATTTAAATCAGTTAATATAATATCAATTAGGACTGCCAGGACCACGTGGACATGAACTGGCTATGAAATAAATGCTGCTGGAGAAATGTGTGTGAATAAAAGGAAAGCTGTAGTTTGATTTTGAGCTCTCATTCCATACTACATTGAGTGCCAAATGAACAAAAAGTGAAATATTTCTAAAAATCAGATCACAAACTATTAAAAACAAAACCCAGAATGTTGTTTTCTCTTAAATGGATAGAACCAGCTCTAATGAAAAAGGTGAGCACACAACAAGAAGGCAGTTAAAGACAGAAGACATCTGACAGAGAGAGAGAGAGAGAGAGAGAGAGAGAGAGAAAGAGAGGACGACAGAGCACTTTGTTGCATCTCAGCTTTGTACATCCATTGCTTTTTGATAATTCAGTGTAGGTTAGATTTTTCTTGTGTTTCTGTGATCTAACATACTGAATTCTTTCATAGATGCTGACCAAATAAGAAAATGTGTGTTGAATAAATACGGAAATGAGGCAATTATATAAATGTTATGTACTTCTATACAGTGAAGCCCAAGAAAACCAAGACCAAACAGGAATTGGGAAACATCAGAAATAAATATGACTGGTAGAGTTTGAATTTCCAAACTGCTTAAATAAAGCTAAACTCAACACAACCATATTAACTTAGACTCACACCCAGTCCATTACTTCATGGCTGAAAAATTGAGAAAAAATTTATACTTCACACAAACAAAGGAAGCTATACAGCTAGAAAGAAGGCCAGAAGATCAAAGTTTACACAAAAAGAACTACAAAGAAGAACACAGCCCTTGAAGAAAATGTCAGCTTCATTGGTAATTAAAGGAAAAAGGACACAAATTCCTGAAGTATCAGTTTTAACTTATCATTTTAGGGAAAAAAAATAAGCAAATGCTAAAATCCATTGCAGATAAGTTTATTGTGCTTGGATCAACAGAAACCAGAGAGAAGTCTTTTAAACTAATTCTACTTGTTCTTGGGAGCTAATTCAAAATACATAAGCATCAAGAACTACTGCCCCTCAATTCAAAGATAATACAGTAGTAAACCTTTAAAAAATCAAAGCCTGCAGCAATAAAATGGTAAGCAATAAGTGATTTAGACACATACAAAAATTTATCTAAACTGTTATCCAAAAAGTGGAGAACAAATTATATTTACATCATGATTGTCTCTAAGAAAACACTATGCCAATGATAGACACAGATTGAAAAGAATCTCACAAATGTAGGTATCTATTAAGTGATGAATTGGCAATATAATCTACTTAGAATTATTTTAAAATGCATTTTACAAATAAGTCACTTGAAACTGGTCAAGACAGACTTGAAATAAACTATAATGAACACTTGCTATTTTCTTAGCCATTTTAATACCTCCCCCCCAGGCCAAAACACTATGATATTTGGAAAGTTCCAAATGCTACTTTGCAATTTGACTGGGAAAATCCCAGAACATGTGGACAACCATACAGTTACTAATTCTGTTTTTTCTTTGTTTGTTTGTTTTGCCACTGAGGAATCTGAGGTCCCATAACCTGACACATTTAGTATCTCACCTAGAAGGAACTGGCCCCTCTATCCCATGCCATCTCATGACACCAAGACTCCTGGCTGTTGCGAAGTTGACATCTACAAAGTGGGGCTTATTTCTACAAACACACTTAGTAAGAAGAAACAGAGTTTGGGAGTGTCCTATGAGTCTGTTACTCATAAGAATAGCGTCCCTTTCTCTCTCTCTCTCTTTCTCTTTTTAGAGACAGGTTCTTAGCTCTGTCACCCTGGTTGGAGTCCAGTGGCTCGATCGTATCTCACTGGAGCTTCAAACTCCTGGGCTCAAGCGATCCTCCCACCTTGGCCACCCAAGTAGCTGGGACTGCAGATGTGCATCACCATGCCTGGCTAATTTTTTTAATTTTTTTTAATTTTTGTAGAGACAAGATCTCATCATGTTGCCGAGCTGGTCTTGAACTCCTGAGCTCAAGTGATCCTTCTGCCTTGGCCTCCTAGTGTTGGGATTACAGGCTTAAGCCACTGCGCCCAGCGCAGTGTCCCTTTCTCAACGTTGATGGGAAGGCATCTTCGCACATGAGTATTTGACAGCTGCCTTCAGAATGTGCTGACCCATCTTGGTGCAATTCCTTGCTGAACCCAAGTTCTTCCTCCCTGATAAACATCTGTGTAGCCGTTTCCCTTGCTCCAAGAGAAAAATCCTTCTTGCAAAGTACATTTTGCTCATTATTATGAACATAAGGCTAGATATACTTTTTCTTTCATTTGGAAAAAAGCTAAGTGAGCTTTCTCAAAGCAGGTTTCTGAGAACTAGGGATACTATTAGATGTTAAATGGAAAAAGTTCCCATGGTCAAATACATTTATTTGGGAAAAGCTGGATTGCTCAGGACTCAGTGCTCTGGGATTCTAAGGGCTGTTAATCGTCATTTGGCAATGCGGTTTCTTAGGGGAGCAGACAGCATATGGCCATCCCCCAGAACCATCTGGACACAGGCTCTTTGCCTGTAGAGGTGTCCTCAAAGACTTGGGTCTGTGAACACATTTGGCAGATACTGGTCTACATTGTTATATAGACACATGCCCCCTGGACTCTGTGCTAAGGCAGCCACTGGCCTACAATCAATTTTATTTGTAGCTCAAACTACAATTGTGTGAGCATGACTTTGTTTTTTGAACTTTGGGATTGCCACAGTCTGTTTCCAAATCTTGTGAAGCAAACTGATGTTGGAGAAAATAAGCGGCTCAAAATAGTGTTTACCGAGGCTTCATTTCTTCCCTATTGATATTAAAATGGAGGCCATAAAAATTATTATAACCAAGGGTGTCTGTAAGTTCTGCGGTTATTTCAGCATATAAGAAAGATAAGTCTAATGAGAACTACTCAATTCTGCATTCATTTCTCTAGCTTTGAAAAGAAACTGAAAGCACTTCTGATAAATGTCTTAATGAGTTGCCCAGCGTTTCATTTATGTGTGCTTTGAAAGGCTCTTGAATAATATCAACTGAATTTGCAATTAACTTCTGAAAGTAAAAAGACTGACCCTGAAGGAGCCCAGCAAGGAGAAAGGAGAAACTTTTCCTTCTAGTCCAGCATGTGAGCTGGGCCACCGGCATGAGGGCTTTACAGCCCATGTGCGTTTATTCCAGGCTCTGAGTGGCCTGGAGATGAGCAAGTTCACATCCACCTGCTTCAGCATTTCTATTTGTTAAGTGATAAATAAAGTGATGACTGTTACATGTGCATGACTGCTAGGCAATTTGCATAAACCTTAGAGAAACCTTTATGTAATGATGTGTGTTCTTGAATTCACCACGATCTGTTGTCTCCGATGATGCTTTTTCATTATCTCTTGGTAATAGTCTTGTATACCATTAGGCTGTTATTTTTGTGAATCCTCAAGAACAGAACAAAACCTTCCGCTTGCTTTGGGGTGACATTCGCTATGCTTTATTTGAGCTCTGTTAGGTAGTGGCGGTGCCCGGGACCCAAGTGATTTATAATGTACCTTTCCTCAAAGCCCAAGGCCCTTAGCAGGCAGGGTGGCAGGATGAGCATTTCAGGTGCAGGAAAAACTAGTTCATAATCTAGAGAAACAATAACTATGAGCAGAGAGCGATTTGAGTTTGCAGAAGTAGGCTGATGCAACTATGAAGATCACAGGCAGGGACATGGCACACAGGATGGGCTTCCAGTTTTAATACCCGCCAGCTGGGTGGCCTTGAAGGAATCAGTCACCCTCTCCATGCCTCCCAGGCCTCCTGTGAGGAGTGAATGGGTTAATATATGCAGAGGGCTAAGAAAAGTGCCCAGCATGCTGGAAACCCTGTAGTAGGCCATGGTTATTGTTTGCACTTAGATCACAATGAATCCCTTGAACTTCTCAGTAAGTACATTACTCATATCATAATACATCCCTCATTACAATAAGAAGAGAATATTAAATTTGCCATCTCCTTAACCTAGCATATAAATGTGTCCTCATGCTTCATGGCTATGGTGGCTCACAGAATAGGAAGAAATAGCACTAGACCAACAGATAACCAACCCTAGTTAACTGCTTTTGGGGGAAAGGTGTTATCTAAGTAACTAAAGCTACCATGTTCAAGGGGAGAAAAGAAGGTCTTGAATATATTTACAAAGACTATGTTTTACAGAATTAATCTTCAAACAAATGATCTGTTTAATTAAATTCACTTGCAAATCAAATAAGAATAAGGACATAAGCATTGCATGTGACCAGAATTAGTCTAAATGTGCAATTTCCATATGGGAAGTGATTGGGATGGTACTTATGATAAAAGCAAGAGGAGTCTTTGTTTAAATCAACTGTAGTACCCAGCCTATTTGATCATGCACTCACACAATCAATATTTATGGAACATAAACAACGGGTAAGGTGCTGCAAGGTTACTAAGTGTCCTTACTCCTCTAAACCTTAGGACATGAAGAGAACCAACAGCAATACGTTTTAAGATAGAAAGTAAAATTGAGGCCAGGAACTTGCAAAGTAAGCACTGGATGCCTTAAAAAGCTATAAAGTTCCTGTGTTCTCATATACGATACCTCTGCCTTGTGCTTTTCAGGAGGACCCAAGGTGCACCCTCACAGGGATATGCTACTTTTTGTCTAGGTAATACAAAGCTCTATATATGAAGTTCCACTCTACTCCATATTCATGATTAGGACTGCTATGAATGTGTTATCAGGAAGACTGCAATACATGCAGCCTGCACATTTTGATCTTAAGAATGAAGCAAGTGATTCCAAAAAAACGAGTGCCTTTGGAGCAGACCTTCATAGCCCAAGTCTCCAGAGCCTGCCAGGCTCACAGAAGCTTCTGTGGACTCAGGGGCGCCTCAGGGTATGATCAGCAGCTTTCTTTTGCAGGGTATGCTCATCGCTAGTTTCCTCTGCATATTTTATTTTTTACTCACCTGCTGTGAAGTTCTATATTGCTGCACCCTAGAGGACTGTGGAAAATTAAGGATTTCCCTCAGTTACAAAGACAGAGGATACAGATGGAGTGGTATTCATACATAGCAAGTTCATGTTGGTTCCATTAAAACCATGTAACCTGCTAATTCCTTTTAACTCTACTTTCTTAAAAATAAATATCAGAGATCACCTCTTTCATAAGTAGATCCCAAATATGGTGGGATCAAACACTAAATTTGTCTCCAAGATGTCAGGAATGAGAACAAGACCAATATAATGCATTTAAAACAATGAGCAGGATAGCAAAATAAGCTGATTAAACCTGAGATACAGAATTTAAAAAAATTAAATAAAGGAAATGTAGTTAATAAGAATGTCTTGCCATTTTCCTTAACTGAAATGAGAACCTAATATTGCCCTACAAAGGTGGTTCTAGCAAATAGAGAAAATAAAATCTGATGACTTATTAATGGAGTCCCAGGCTCAGTCTAGAAAGCAGTTCATAAACCCACTGAGAATAAAGAAAAGGACAGCATTTGGTAAAAACTTAAAGTCTTGTAGTTTCTAGCTAAACTAACAGCCTTTGCTATTTTGAAACCTGTGTTCATCAATGTCGTCTGTTTCCCACTACTAAGGCCGTGTGTGTGTGTGTCTGTCTATGTCTGTCTGTCTGTGTACACGTGTGTGTCTGTGCACGCATGCTCCAGGATGGAAATGATTCAAAGAAATTACTTGTGTAAACTCTTTAAGTGAAATATAAAGGACTACTACATTTCCTGTTCAGCACAGAAAATGACACTAGTCATTTTGTACAACAATGGCCCTAAACAATGAGTTGTCATGGTAAATAAAATTCTACAAAGATCATACTGAAGATAAGCAAGAGAGTCCCTTCCATTATTATCAGATGCTATAAGGATGCTCACTCTCACCACTTTTATTTAATATCTTTCCCAGAGTTTAACTTCGTCAGATACATAGATGTAAATAAAAAAATAAAATCAGGGATATAAATATTAAAAATTATTATAAATGATAATATAATTATACCATGTCATAATTCACAGACATGTTCATCTATGTGGAAAAAACAGAACAAAAACAATAGGATTACTAAAAGTTCAACTAGTTGACTTGTTAGAAGCGCCAAATATTAAAATTGAGAGTTTTTCTTATATATATATCAACAATAATTAGTTAAAAACATAATTTTAGAAAATTATAAACCCATTCATGGAATCAACAAAACTATATAAAACACTCAGAAATTAACAAGAAATCTATAAGGCCTACATACATACTACGGAGTCTATGGATGTATACAGAAAACATCATGCAAATACAATGCTAAATGTGCAATACGATATTCCTGAGTGTGAAGACTTAGTATTATAGAGAATCAAAATTAGCTTAGACCTAACCAAATTGGCAACTTGGAGAATCTGAATAATTCCGTCTGGTTAGAGGGAAGACAGCAAGGCATAAAGGCAGCTGCAATGGCATCATGGCAACAATATGAACAGTTTATTCCTAAAACAGAATGAGTCCCCAACACAGTGACGTGTATCTTCTTAGATGCCAAACATATAACTTGTGTAATAGCTAAAGCAGGCATTCTCCATTATGTTACAATAACCATGTTTCAACACCTTGCAAATATGTGCATTCGGAAATTATTTATACATTTTAACATTACTGCAAAGATACATATTTATTATTTGTCTTCACATTCTAAAAGTTCACATTTTATACGGCCATGCACTGCATAAGAAAGTTTCAATCAATGACAAATCACATATACAATGATAGTTTCATAAAAGTATAATATTGTATTTTATTGTACCTTTTCTATGATTAGATACCCAAACGCTTACCATTGTGTTACAACTGCCTACAGCATTCAGAACAGCAACATGCTGCATATGTTTATAGCCTAGGAGCAAGAAGCTGTGCCACACAGCCTAGGTGTGTAGCAGGCTACACCATTTAGGTTTGCGTAAGTACATGCTATGATGTTCGCACAATGATGAAATTGCCTAACGATGCATTTCTCAGAACACATCCCTGCCATCAAACAATTCATGACAATATTTGAATATATCTGTTAAAAGCATTGAAAAAATAGAAACATAAAAAATGAAAATCACTAAATAGTATCAAGTTTCAGAAGGAGCCCAAGCATGCAAGCATGTGTCTTCAGGTCATGCTTAATCATAATCGTAACCTTTCCTTATGAACGGTTAAAAGTGAGTGGGAACAAAATATCAACAATGAAAACAAACTACGAACATATTTTTAAGAAGAAAGAATAAGCAGGCTGGGCCCAGTGGCTCACACCTGTAATTCCAGTACTTTGGGAGGCTGAGGCAGGTGGATCACTTGAGGTCAGGAGTTCGAGACCAGCCTGGCCAACATGGCAAAACCTGTCTCTACTAAAAATACAGAATTTAGCCAGGCATGGTGGTGCATGCCTGTAATCTTGGCTACTCAGGAGGCTGAGACAGGAGAATCGCTTGAATCTCGGAGGTGGAGGTTGCAGTGAGCTGACATGGCACCACTGCACTCCAGCCTGGGTGACAGAGCAAGAATCTGTCTCAAAAAAAAAACCTGTTAGTGAATTTGGACAGACTTTTTTCACATTACTGTTCTGCATAAGAAACATATGTGAACACCTTCAATTCAGGCTGGTGCAGAAGTCTCAAGACCACAAATTTCAAAAAAATAAAGCTCAAAATGATACATGAATATCAGACATGTGCATAAAGGGTCAACACTATTAAAAAAATGCAGGCAGTTATTTCCAGGTAGATATGAGATAAAGACAATTTTAAGTGGCATTTTCTCCCTTGCACTAGAAAATTTGTTACTATTTTTTAATTGCTTTTTAAAATTGAAAACATTCAAAAGGCAGAAGAGTACAGAAAAAATAATATAGCAAACACCTTAAACTTGCTATCATACCATCTTTAAAAATGACACACCACACAGTACCACACCAGTTAGTGAGCAACACCTAGCGTCCCTCTCTCCAGAGAGGCAACTGGCATCCAGTCTCTTTCCACACATTCACCTTATGTGGATCTCATCATAAACAAAATGCAGGGCTGTTATCTATGTCTTAATTTTACAAAATGGCATCTTGACATTTACCCAGTTTCCAGCAATGGGCTATTTTTACTCAATTTGCTGTTTTGAATAACTGTCTCTGTTAGTGCACATATGTCTAGTTCATGGCATCAATCTCTGATTAATGCTCTTGTCTTTGAATAAACCACAACTGATTATTCACTTTCCTATCAATGGACACTTATTAGTTGTTATCAGTAGTTTACTATCATAAATGATGCTAAAATAAATATTCTAAAATCTATCTCCTTGGGAGAACTCACTACTCTTTCCAGGTATAACAGGCAAGTGCCATTTCTGCTCCAAATTTTCATAAAAGTTTTATCTTTCTGAAGTAGGCTTTTTCATTTTCACCCCCAACAGCAGTATGGTCTTTCTTGCTTCTTCATATGTGAGAAAGCCAGAAGCATTCCCCTTGAAAATCAGCACAAGAAAAGGATGTCCTCTCTCACCACTTCTATTCAACATAGCATTAGAAGCTCTGGCCAGGGCTAACAGGCAACAGAAAGAAATAAAGGCATCCAAATAGGAAGAGGGGAATTCAAACTATCCCTGTTTGCAGACAACATGATCGTATATCTAGGAAACCCCACAGACTCAGTCCAAAAGCTTCTTAAGCTGATAAATAACTTCAGCAAAGTCTCAGGATATAAAATCAATGTGCAATAGTCACTAGCATTCCTATACACCAACAACGGTCAAGCTGAGAGCCAAATCACAAACAAACTCCCATTCACAATTGCCACAAAAAGTATAAAATACCTAGGAATACAGCTAACTATGAAGGTGAAAGATCTCTACAAGGAGAACTACAAAATACTGCTCAAAGAAATCAGAGGTGACACAAACAAATGGAAAAACATTCCATGCTTCTGGATAGGAAGAATCAATATCATTAAAATGGCCATATTGCCTAAAGCCATTTATAGATTCATTGCTATTCCAGTTAAACTACCACTGAGATTCTTCACAAAACTAGAAATAACTGTTTTAAAATTCATATTAAACCCCAAAAGAGCCCAAATAGCCAAAGCAATCCTAACCAAAAATAACAAAGCTGGAGGCATCATGTTACCTGACTTCAAGCTATACTACAGGGCTACAGTAATCAAAACAGCATGGTACTGGTACAAAAACAGACACACAGACCAATGGAACAGAATAGAAAACCTGAAATAAGACCACACACCTGCAACTGTCTGATCTTTGACAAACCTGACAAAAACAAGCAATGGGGAAAGGATTCCATAAATGGTGCTAGGATAACTGGCTAGCCATATGCAGAAGATTGAAACCAGACCCCTTCATTACACCACACAAAAAAATTAACTCAAGATGCATTAAAGACTTAAATGTAAAACCCAAAACTATGAAAACCCTGGAAGACTACCTAGGCAATACCATTCTGGCCATAGAAACTGGCAAATATTTCATGATGATGATGCCAAAAGCAATCACAACAGAAGCAAAAATTGAAAAATGGAATCTAATTAAACTTAAAAGCTTTTCCATAGCAGAAGAAACTATCAATGGAGAAAACAAACTATAGAATGGGAGAAAATTTCTGCAAACTACGCATCCAACAGAGGTCTAATATCCAGCATCTATAAGGAACTTAAACAAATGTACAAGAAAAAAACAAACCACCCCATTAAAAAGTGGGCAAAGGACATGAACATACCCTTTTCGAAAGAAGATATACATGCAGCCAACAATCATATAATAAAAAGCTCAACATCACTGATATTAGAGAAATGCAAATCAAAACCACAATAAGATACCATCTCACACTAGTTAGAATGGCTATTATTAAAAAGTAAAAACAAACAGGCCAGGCACAAAGTGCCTGTAATCCCAGCACTTTGGGAGAATGAGGCAGGTGGACTCCTTGATCCCTGGAGCTCCAGACCAGCCTCGGCAACATGGCAAAACCCCATCTCTACTAAAAGCACAAAAATTAGCCAGGCGTGGTGGCGTGCACCTGTAACCCCAGCTACTGTGGAGGTTGAGGCACAAGAATCACTTAAACCCGGGTGGCAGGGGTTGCAGTGAGCCGAGATTGTGCCACTGCACTACAGCCTGGGCAACAGAGTGAGACTCCATCTCAAAAAAAAAAAAATAAAACCAAAAACAAAACAAAACAAAACAACAGATGCTGGTGAGGTTGTGGAGAAAAAGGAATGCTTATACACAGTTGGTGAGAGTGTAAATGAGTTCAACCAAGACAATGTGGCAATTCTGCAAAGACCTAAATACAGACATACCATTCGACCTAGCAATCCCATTACTGGGTATCTGGGTATATACTCAAAGGAATAGAAATCATTCTACTATGAGGACAGATGCACATGTATGTTCATTGCAGCACTATTCACAATAGCAACAACATGGAATCAACCTAAACGCCCACCAGTGGTAGACTGGATAAAGAAAATGTGGTACATTGTGGAATACTATGCAGCCATAAAAAGAACAAGATCGTGTCCTTATGCAGGGACAGGGATGAAGCTGGAGGCCATTATCCTTAGCAAACTAACACAAGAACAGAAAAACAAATACCTCATGCTCTCACTTATAACTGAGAGCTAAATGAGAACACATGGACACAAAGAGGGGAACACACTCTGGGGCCTATTGGAGGATGGAGGGTGGGAGGAGGGAGAGGATTAGGATAAATAACTAATGGGTACTAGGCTTAATACCTGGGTGATGAAATAATCTGTACAACAAAACCCCAGGACACAAGTTTACCTATATAACAAACCTACACATGTACCCCTGAACTTAAAATAAAAGCTAAAAAACAAACAAACATGTTGTGAGGCTATTTCAGGTATGTCAGACTTTAACATGTTACCAGTCCCATGGTTGTGCAATTATACCTCCTCGTTATTCAATTTGCATTCTTCTGATTACTAGGGAGGTTGAGCATCTCTTCCCCTGTTTACTTGTCATTTAGATACACTCACTTGAGTTATATATATCACATATATAATATGTGTGATTATTATATATATCTATAAAGTTTATATATATATATAAACTGTTTTTGCTTCATGATTTATAGGTGAGATAACTTTTATTAGCTGTATTCATTGAAAACATCCTCTCCTGGTCCTGATTGTTTCTTTACTTTTAAAATGGCATCTTTGCACAAATAAAATTTTTAATTTTAGTGAACTAAAATCATCTATCGTTTCTTTGTAGTTGGTGCTCTTTGGGTCTAATGCAGCAGAACCCACTCTTTTTGACACCAGAGGCCGGTTTTGTGGAAGACAATTTTTCCACGGATGAGGTGGGGCAGGGGGGTTGGTTTCGGGATGAAACTGTTCCACCTCAGAATATCAGGTATTGGATTATCACAAGGAGCACACAACCTAGATCCCTTGCACGTGCAGTTCATAATAGGGTTCCCGCTCTTATGAGAATTTCATGCTGCTGCTGTTGTAACAGAGGCGGAGCTTAGACAGTAAAGCGAGCTCGCCTGCTGCCCACCTGATGCCGTGCGCCCCAGTTTCTAACAGGCCATGGACCAGTACCAGTCTGCAGCCCTGGGGACAGGGACCCCTGGTCTAAAGTTCCCTCAAAAGCATAAGCCATAATGGAAAATATTTTAAACTCAAAACATATAATGTTGAAACTTCCCGTATGAAAAAAGTTACCACTGGCAGAATTAAAGCTTGACATACTGAGAACAGATGTTTACAATCACAATAATGGCTCAACTAATACATACCTAGTAAGAACTCTTGTGATGCAAATTTATTCACAAATTTACTGTTCATTCATTCATTCATTTTTACTCTGTTGTTTATTTTCTAGAACATAAGTCTCATGGTACCAGAGATCTGCAACTATTTTTTATTTATTCCTGTAGAGCAGTTCTAGGGACATAATGACTTCTCTACACTATTCACTGACTGATGAATGAATTACTGCACACAAAGGAGATGCAATCAATATGTGTAAAAATTTATATATAAGGTTGTTCATTACAGAATTATTTAGAATATTGAAATAGTGGGAATTACCTAAATCCATAGCTATTGGCGGTGGGTTACATAAATTATATTCTTCAAGCACCCAATATGGTAGCTGCTCACCACAAATAAGTGGTATATGTGGTTGTGAAACTAAGTTTTTTATCATTTTTATCTTAAATTTAATTTTAAATAGCCACATTTGTCTAGTGGCTACCATATTGTGCAGTACAGGTCTATCACATGAGATACAATGCAAAGTTTTTGTTATATTCATTTGAATTTTATTGTTTATCACCCAAGAATCATGTCTGTGTGTGTGTGTGTGTGTGTGTGTGTGTGCGCTCACATGTGTCTGTAAAAGAAGGGAGATCACTGATTTTCCTGAGTTGAATTAGAATTTAAAATTAAGTCTCATTATGAAAACATATGTATAATTCAAAAAGATACATGAAAAGATACATGCAAATGGTGCAACCACATAAATTTATAAGATACAAATGGAGCCTAAAGTTATGGGAATGTCATATTCCTAAAATAAATTATACATGCTTCGAAAGTACCTAACCCTCTCATTTTAAGTTCATCTTTCAAATTAGCTCCCTGTGTATTTAAAGTGCTTTTTGACTATGGACATATACAATTATATTTAAATAAATATCTGTAACATACAAACAGTTACCAAATAAAACTTGTGTTCTATCTAGAGTGAAGCAACGGAAATTATACCATGAATTAACTTTCACCAGTGTAAAAGCTAAAGATCTGAACAATTTGCCAAAAATCCATTCCTACCCGAAAACACAAACAAGCACAAATATTGCAAAACATAAATATCAAGTGCCACTTAAGTTTTCATAATTTTTACTAGAATAGGTTCTTGAAAGCAAACATTCAAATATGTAGCAGGCGTTCAATGGATGTTTGCTGAACGAATGAATGGCGGTAACTGAGTGCAAGATGCATCTAACTCCCTGTAGGATGAAACTTTCCAAGGAAGAGATCCTTGTAGGCCACAGGCAGATTCAACAGGGCCATCATATAACAGTAAGTTGGATACATGATTGTCAAGATGTATCTTAAAACAGTTCAAATATAGAAAGGGACATTGATGAATTCAGTGCACACCCACTCACGTATTCATGGCATAAAGAAGGCATGACTTTTGATCTGAGGATGAACTGCTTATGAAACTGCCACTTCCTTCCTTCAAGCATCTTGTGGGGAGGTGGAAAGGATACATTCTGGATGACACCTGGGAAGCTGAGAGAGGACCAGGTTGCAAAGAAACAGCATAGTTCCCGTTCCTTCACATTCTGGGGATAGTCACTTACCTCTATGAATAGCTAACAAAAACTGTTGAGACATTTGCATATATATAAAATATTTCACAGAATTTCAGAAGGTTCCTAGATCCTATGAAATCTATCATGAACCATGTGCTCCAGGCTTGAATTTCTAGCCAGAGCCTGACACTTGACCTGCAAAACAAGGCAGATTTGACCCAAGACCCTCTTTACTGGAACTTAAAACAAAACAACACAAAAAACTTGATGATTAAAGGAAGTTGATCTGGCCACTGAACAGACATGCTTTTTGGCCTTAAATGATCAAATCTGCAGTCTCATGAGCTTACAAAGAGCTTAGTACATATATTTTTTTAAAAGAACCACAATATGGAAATGCACAACCAAACCCCACCTAGACTCTTATTTATGGCAAGTAAACATTTGTTGATTATAATTAAAATCAAATATGTACTTCCAGCTCCCAAATAACCACTTCTTTATTAAGAATAGCATATTGTCCCCATTATGGTTAAAATGCAAAAGTATGTTTACTGTTTAGAATGTCATTGGAACCCTCAAGTTCTCTCATGTGGGACAAAAGTGCTCAGAATAACTAATGCCTCTATTGAAAAATCAAGACAAATCCCTTTATTTACTTACTTTTCGTTTGAAAGAAAATCTAAATTTAAGCACATTTGAAAACATCTGACTAATCATTTTCTTTTCTTTGGTCGGCCTTGGCATAACTACTTTCAGAAGTGAAATCACTAATAAACAAATTCCTATTTATTTGCTTGTCTGTTTATTTAAACCTGCCCTTTTTCTCCAATGCCCTTTTTTTAAAGACACAAGATGCTTGAATGGCTGATTTTCACTTGTATAACTTCTAAGCCTTCCATGTTTCTTAAATAATTCATGCCATAGTGGGATTTTCAAAGTAACTCCAGCAAGAACTCATTTTTCTAACCTTAACATGTTTGCTATTCCCTCACATTTTCCTTTCCATATTGAGAAGGAAATAGAGGTTGCTCTCGTGCTTCTAGCTCTGTGTCCCACTGGGAACACCCTGGGTAAGGTGCTCTGGATTGAATCAGAGGATTGGGTGCTCCCAAGCACTGGCTGGGGAGAGAGAAACCTTCAGTCCCTGACCCCAGGGTTCATGCACAGTGGGAGCAAGGCCATCTCGCCAAGCCCTGGGGCACCCCACAGTTAATAGCCACCATACCCTCCCTGCTTCTGTCCCCTCAGCTTATCTGCAGCAATGTCATGCTTGTCTGCAGGGTCTTGGTGATGCTTCTCTCAAAATCATTACCCAGGCCCAACTGACTTTAGTTTAATTTAAGACCATCTGGAAGCAACGGGGCAGGTGAGCTATTGTTTTGTAGTCTGCCCACTTTTTCCTTATTTTTCTTTCTTTTTCCTTTCTGGGAAGCCTGAAAAGAAGGCCCAGACTTTCCTAACACAAGTTGAGTCTGCACAACTGATGCTCAAGCCTTTTCTTTGACCTAAGTAGAGAGCCCGGAAGGGCCTTCCACAGGGCCAGGTCAAAGGCCAGCAGCCTTCAGAACTGCGCTCCTCCGAAGACTGCAGTGAACGCCACTGTGGTTAACCTCACATGTAATGAGCTGCAACACTTTACATGTGCTTTTTGATGAGTTTTGATGAATCTGGGATCCTATTTAGGCACCAGAACAGTCAAGATATGGAACATTTCCCTAATGAGTACAGAGATCGTGGGTTCACACTGAAATGCTAACTTAAATGGTTCTGTGGCCATCTTCTCTTACCAGCATGTTTTTGGGCTTAAGCATCTGTTGAGAATACTGAACTTGTGTGAGTCTGAGTCTTATCAGGCTTTCCAGAAAGGAAAAGGGCACTGAAAGAAACAAAAAGTGGTCAGACTACAAAACAATAGCTAACCTGTCCCCTGAGTGGCCAGTTTAAAGCCCCAGGCTTGGCCAGCACAACAGCAGCCTTTTTCTTTACTAGTAGGATGGAGGGTGGCCATAGAAGGTCCTCCCACTTAAAAAGAGTAATAATAAATAATGTATTATCAGAAAAATATTTAAAAATACCATACAGGTTCTAAAGCTTTAGTACAAGGGCAACCTAAGAAAAAATATAGCCTTTTTTACAAACGCTGAGATCTCCTAAAAGTTAATAAGGCCAAGTTATTTGGTACATTCATAATTCAAAATAACAAAATATTATGAGAATCTACTTAACCCTTCTTTCTTCAGAGCTCTTTCTACCATTTTACTTGAATGACCTAAAAGTGATTTTTGGGGATCAGAAGAAGTTGCCACAGAACAGTTTTAACAAGTATCGTGTTCAATAAATATTTCTAACAAGACTAACGTTACTGTATTCAAAGTCTCCCAAGCAAGTTAGGCACAACAGATAAAATTTCTTCTAATATTCTTAAATACAGTATGTGGATGATTTTATTTCCTCAGCAAAAGAAAGAAAAAAGATTTGCAATAAAGAAATACAGCTTCTCCTTAGTCCTGACATGTGCAGAGAGGCTGAAAGAGTCTGTCAACCATCAAAATACTGCTTCTCACTGATGAAAGACTCAGAATCCCAGGCCCTCATTTTCAGATGGATTTTTTAAAAAACAATGTAATTAAAATGTAGATTAAGGAGAAAAGTTTGTTTTCCACTGTCTTAACAAGTCAGTTTATTTGAAGAGGTTTATCCCAGTACTTCAGCTGGTTTCATGAAAGAACCCTTTCTATACCTGATAGGAAGCTCTGTTCACTGAAAGCAATTATGGCCAATTTATTACTCTTTCCAATCGATAGGTCTATTAAAAATCTACCTCCAAATATTATAGGATTCTCATTAAGCCATTGATAGTAATTTTAATTAAATGGCACAACTCTGTACTGATTTCATTATTTTTAGCTGACATATTGTTCAGGTAATAAAATTAAATATACACAATGAACAAATAATACATTTCCCACAGGCATATACATACAGAAAAAAGATATTGGGCATAAGTTTAGACAAGGTTTAGTTATGGAGTGGCTTTCAAAGGCATCTGTGACCTCTGTAGGTCTCTCCAAATCTTTTTCAACCAGTTAATAATTACATACTGGGCATTCAAAGAAACATATCTAGTAGTATGTGATAAAAAAGATCTATGGCATCTCTTGAAATAAGCTTCCTACAAAAATACAATCTGCCATTGCTGATTAACACTGATACTGGTTTTGTTTGGATATCAGTGTTGGCTGTTCAACCCTTTGGAGGTTGATAATTCAACCCTTGGGAATCACTAGTACCTGATACACTGTAGACTTTCCTAAATATTTGGAATAAGTAAAAGAACACATAGATAAAATTATTAATGTATTCTTAAAGGAAAATCATAGATATTATTTCTAAGTACTTTTGAGTCTTTATATGGAAGCCTGTGTCTACTGAGTTACAGGACAATGCAAAATAAGAACACTGATCTTGACGCTTCCCTGCAATGGAGACTTGGTTGAGTCATTTCAACCCTCTGAAGTTCAGTTTGTCAATATTTACAATGGGACAATAATAGTAACTTTATCGATTGTCAGGAGGATTAAAAGAACTGTGAACATAAATAGTGCAGGCTCTGAATCCTAACTGTCATGAACTCAGAATAGTTTTCTTTCCTTTGCATCTCCCAACCCCAAATAAGATTTTTAGAGCCACCAAGAGAGTGAAATTTGATGCAGGGAAGACTGATTTTTGAAGACAAGGAAGCTCTATTCATTAAAAGCAATTATGACCCTTGAACACAAGGATCAGAAGGTTAAAACTTTTGCAGAAGATTTTCAATTTTTGGTATGTGTGGGTCAAGGAAAAAGAGAAGGAAGGAAGGAAGGAAGGGAGGAAGGGAGGGAGGGAGGGAGGGAGGGAAGAAGGGAGGCCTAGCTCTCCTTGTGAGTTGTCAAGAAATGCTTCTTAAATCAAGTGACTCTCAAGCTGATTTTAAAATGATGAATAGAAATTGTGAGAAAAGAAGGGTACAAAGACAAGAGAGAATGCCATGGAGTGTCCACTATCAGATTCCAGGGGCCCCAGGGAGCAGGTGGCTCAGGCATTTCTAAGCAGATCAGTGTGGCTGAGATGCTGAGTGTGAGTGGAACCGCACAGGTGAGGATGAAGGGCATGGGATACCATGCTGGGATGGGCGCTGCCTCAGGTAAGTGATGAGGGCCCACCAAGGTGTAATGCAGGGAGTGGACTGGGCCCAGAGGCAGGGAGACAAGACACAGGGATGCTGGCTGTGGGGCAAGAACACTCTTCCAGAATAATAGAAGGCAGGAGAAAATACAGTTCATGGCCAAGAGGGACATAGACATTTCATGGGGTCCTGACAACAGGCTTGGTCATCCCAAAGTTGACAGAGATGTCTAGAGAAGAAATGTTTATCCAAAGTACTTCTTCATATGATGCAATTTTCACTTCAGGGTCACTGCCATTGAGATATTCCCATAGAACAATGGGAGAGTCAAAGTCTCATTTTCCACAGTGATGCTCATTCCAGACTCATACTTCTTCTTTAATGATACTTCTGGGGACAGGGATTTTTAGACCCAGTAGACTGTTAATGGTTAACTTTCTCAGTAATAAGTAAAAGGGAATTTATAGAAAAATCAAGATGTGTTTCGTTCTTTAAAAAAAGTTCTTCATCAATTCACAAAACAAAGAAGGCTTGGGTTCCAATTTTAATAGTGAAAAAGTTCCTGGTTGTCATTTGAGTGAAAGGTGAGCCACTCAATTCAATAGAGAGAATTTTAGAGAGGGCCATAGTGGGTGAGGATTAATCTGTATTCTTACTTTTGGAAGGCTGGAATGCCAAAACAGGACCTCAGGGTTCTATCTGCAAAATATCCCTGGGGTCCCAGGAAAACCAAGTGGAGAGACACAGCAGCCAGTTGTTGGGCCACTAGATGAGAACATTCTGAATTCCAAAGAGGGAAGCTGTGAGAAAAATAAATCATGCAAGTACTGGAAATAGACTTATCTGAAGGAGGAGCTGACAGAAAGTTTAGTCTATCCAGGATCCTGTGGATAGTGGCTGGAGAAAGCCACTTCCGGGTACGACCTAGGGCTACATCCCACCACTCACACGCTGCCTGGCCTCTTGTCGGGGGACTGCATCTCATGTTCCTGCACAATGAGAATTTTTGAAGGGAAAATATCCGGGCTACTTCGTAGGGCCCTAAAAATGAGAAACGAATGTTGGCACTTAAAACAAGACTATCAAAATTTAGCCAAAGGAGTCATAATCACAGGGAGAGAACTCTTCAGATTCAAGTGGTGGTGAAGCCAAGATCAGCAGCAAATGAGCACTTGCTTGTGAAAGTGTCTTAAAATGCAAAGAAAATTTGAGAGGGTGATACCTTCCCATCCCATTTTCTTCAGGCATGGTCCTGTGACTTGTGATCCCCTTCCTATTCGGGGAATTACATTTTCCTGCCCAGCTGACATAAAGTTTGGCTAAAGTATGATCAGTGAAAGTGACCAGAGCCCCTTCTGAGCAGAAGCTTTAGGGACATCACAGGATTCTGCCATCTCCCTTCCATTTGCCATGAGCCCAGCAATGCTCCAGATGGGAGTGCTGCCTTCGCCAGGGATCTGGAGGAAAGAGGATGGTGTGAGAACTGCAGCCCACTATCCACAACAGAAACCTAATGTAGCAACAGGAAGCAGCTCTGCTGTCAGTCACAGGGATCTCAGGGTCATTTGTTACAGCAGCATCACCTCACCACTCCTGCTTCATATGCCAACTTCATGGCACTGATGGTCCCTTGTAAGAACTAGAAGAAAATGTGAACAGGACAGAGGCTATAGCAGTTATGTAACACTACCAGCTTCATGAATGTCTTTCTAACTTGTTTTTCAGTATCATTATCCTCGCCTCCAAAAACACCACCTGTAATTATCTGCTGCTAACAGCAGATGAACGACTCAGCCCTGGGGTTTCAGGACAAATGAATGCACTCAGCCTACTATCTCTCCTCCCAGAGTGAGAAACAAAGGCAGACAAGTAAATATTATGGTTGCATGTTTATTTTTAATTTCACAATGTTCATTTGTATGCAAATCACAGATGGCTTTGGGGTTCTAGGCAAGCTGCCAAGAAGATTCTTCAGGGCCTAAAGTATGGACATACTGTGTCAACTCGACTCCACTTTCAACATATTTCAGGAATTAGAGCACTTCAGCCTGAAAAAACATTTCAGATCCACTGCTATTAAGAAAAAAACCATTAAAGTTACTGGCAAACACTGAGATTGTAATAGCTTATTCTTGAAGGGACAGAATAATTAGGAGTTGCTGGTGCAAAACTGAAATAGAAGTTGTTCATGCAGACACAGACATACAACACAATGACAGGCAGGTTCATGCTCACTCTGCCAGCTGTTCTAAAAAAATTTGCTACAAATCTTTACTCTTACAATGATTTCTATGTGGCATTTTATTTTCTCACCCAGTTTTAAATTATTGGCTTTTACATTATGATATATATACCTGTACATACACACACTCCTATATATACACACAATTTACAACATAAATTTATATATTATCTATACTATAGTAATATATAAAAATATATTTACAAAGTAGACCCTTCATGACTACTTTAAGTAGATAATGCTATTTTTTCTTTTTATACTGAAGACAAAAATTAATTTAAAAAGAAATAGTTCACCTATACAAACTTCTCTAGCTAATATTTGCACTTCCCAGACAAAACTGACATGATATGTTTGTTTAATTCGGCCCTATACAGAAAAGAAAACAGTTTCACAAATGCCGCTCAGATTCAGCCCTGAAATGGGCAGGTGTCAATGGAAGCAGCAGCAGTTTCAGCTTAACTTGCATGGATCCCAGAGGGAGAATATGGGGTTCCCAGAAACTAGGAGGAATTTATAAAGGAGGAGCAGCATGCTGGGGCCACTACCATAACTAAGACTCCTGAATCTCAGAGCACAGGAAATAGTGTAATGCTGTCCATGGGCTTCACCAGTGGAAAGCAGTGAGCTGTGGGAAAGTCCCTCCAGGACGGACGACTTGCATAGTCCCTCCGCAAGAAGTCTGACATGGTGAGGGTGTGGGAAGGAGCAGCTCCATTGTCAAAAACAAAACCATGAGAGAAGTGACTGAAAGTAGACAGCAGGTCAGCCCCTGCTGACACATCTACTCACTACAAAACGTTGCGTGTCAACCCTGAGAGAGGCACAGGTAAAGATCACCTGCTTGGAACTGGGTATGCCAGGCACGCCATTGATAACACAGGGAACAAGGAGACAGGCAAGCTCAGAAGCTCTTTAATTCTGAAGGCTTGTAAGAAATTCCTGGAAAGCCCACCTTTCTGCATCTGAACCAGGGGCACCTGGCAGGTCCTGGTCTCCCCGGACACGCCCATCTGCCAGCGTGTGTCCTCAGGTAAGAAAGACAGGATGCGAGACCCATACCTATGACTGCTCCATTAAGCTTTTCAGGATCTCCTGGACTGCATTAGGGCCTCTCCACCCATGCCACCCAGGCCTGGTGCTCAATTTCATCAGCAGGGAAAGAAAGGGGACTACTGTAATTATCCAAGTATGTCTGTCTTGTCCATTAGGTTATGAATTCATAGAGACACAGAGTATTTCCTGAGTCTGTATTGAAGCCCAGGCACCATAGCATTGGATGAGAGAATAAATCAAGTAAGAAAGCCAGCAGTCTCTGCTGTGGGTCCTGCTTTTACCCACTTGTGGTGTGACACCCCCAGCCTTCCCTTGAGGAACATCCTATTTATGTGTAGTTCCTCATCAGTAGCAGCAGCTCTGCTATTCACCATTTGAGAGTGTGCAGGAGTAGCATATTCTGAGAGTAGATCCCACTCTCATATACCCATGGAACTTTAAAAAATGATGGGAAGAAAGACACTGAACAAATAATGATGTAAAGTTGTTTATGGTGAATGCCAAACGGGCTCAGGAGAAGGAACATGGGGACTTGCCTGGGCCATAAAGTAAGGTTTCTCTAAGGAGGTGACAATTTAAAGCTGAGCCCCAAGGAAGAAGAAGGAGCCAGGAAATGCTGCATTGGAGGAGGTGTGGTGCCTTCTGTAAACGAAAGAAGGAGAAGACAGCTGAAAGAGAGGCGAGCTGGAGAAGGCACAGCCCACGGACGGCCTTGCAAAGGCATTTTGATTTTAGTCTAGCAGGTTGTGCATCTTAAGCATAACACATGATCCAGCCTGCTTTTGCAAGATCTAAGTGAAGGCGTGAGGGAAGAAAGCAAGTATGGAGCCTCATGGTATATTCTGGAATGACCCAGACTTGGAGCCTGATTGAATGCTCTGGGGAAAGGGGAATCATTGGCTGTGGGTGCAGGAGGTGGCATCTACATGCCTGCCCCCGAATCCAGCTCTGCCACTTCCACACTGTGTGCCCTGGGCCAGTCGCTTCATCTCTCCCAGGCTCGGTCTTCACACCAGAAAAAAGGAGGTAGGGATCTTATTACCAGGATTTAACAGAACAGAACGTGTCAAACACCTTGGAAACTGCTTGCTCCAGATAGGAAGCCCTGAATAAATGCTGTTGTCAGCCACCATCTCTATTATCATCGATGTATTTAGTCATGCGTTACCATTCATTCAAAGCCAACTCTGGACATAGCTGGGAAAATAAAGACCTAAAAGAAAGCATTAGATGAACTGGATTTCTGTTCTGTCTTGTAAAGAAAGGACCATAGGAATCCGCACAAGAAAACATAACCTTATTAGGGTACTTTTCCGAAAACATTTTGTGTCCCCTAACGGAGGGCTGTATGGCATCAGTATTGGAATAGGTGAAAGGAGTTACTGATGGGAGGGAAGAAGCTTATCTTTAAGGGATGGCTTCCTAAGACAGAAGAAGTGAATTTCTGTCAATAGTTCTGGAAAATGATCATTAGGAAGTAGAAATTTCTTCAAATGTCTGGTCTGCAGTAATCCCCGTCTGCACACACCCAGCGCAGACAACTTGCCTGGAGAAGCTGTGGTGGCTCTGACAGTACATTCAATCTCCCAGCCTCCAGTTACCATAGCTGAACTGCCCATACGGAAGGGATTACCTGGGAAGTGCAATTGTGGGAAAGAAGGAAGAAGCAAAAGGGCTGTTTATCGGTTGGCGTGTAACCCACCGACCGCATGCTGAAGGACTGCCATGTCACTGTCAGAATGACCTTCAGAAAGAACTAACTGCCCCTCTGAAGGACAGGCCAGCTTCTCCAAGCACAAAATCGTCGACACTTTAAAAATAAACACTGTAGAAATAAACCCCTTTTCTAAGCTGTGACTTTGGGGCGGGGGCAGATAGGTCTGGACAAAGTGTTCATTCACTGGAAACTTCTACACGTCGAGAGCAGAATGGGTGCTTGTTCCTTGGCCACACAGGCACAGAGATCCTCCCATAACCAGCTCTTTCATTAACAGGAAGGTGAAACTTACCCTGGTTTTTAAGTATCCAGGACACTCAAACACTCACCAGTAGGAAACAGGTTCTCTAATAAATTATTTTTCTTTTCCTTGTAGAAAGGAGAGAAACCAAAGGCACCACATTAGTGGATACTGACCCTGGTAAATCCAATATGGTTCCCAGAAGCACTGTAGAGAGGGATGCGTGAGGACACCAAGTGGAGGGGCATGCATCTGTGCAGCCAGTTTCCTGGATGGTGCCCAAGATCCACCTCCTACTGATATCTGTGTTCTGATGTTATCCCATCCACTTAAGGGTGAGACCCAGTAACCTCCTTCTTATGACCAGAATAGGCAAAAGTGACGGGTCAGATGTCACTGGCCAGATTAGGCTCCACAGACTACGGCTCCCATCTTGCTCCTATGCTCGCTCTCTCGCTGGTCTCTGCAGACCTCTTCCTTGCTAGCCCAGAGGAAGCCAGCTGCTTCATGGATGGACTCAGGGCAGGTAGGCCCAGGCCTGGCCCCAGTGCATACCCATCAAACACTCAGGGTTCCTTGTGCTTTCTCCATGGGAGTCAGTCGGGTGGGGACAGCCAGGTTACTCCTGGGTTTCATTCCTTTTTTATTTCTGCATGATTCCCTTTTCTCATGTCTCCAGGAGGAGGGACTTCCCTGGAAACTCTCTCCCACTCTTTTCCTTTATTTTACTCACCTCTCCTCCCAGGAGGGTGTGGGCCTGAGCATGAGCAGAACAATCTCCCCACAAGATGTCCACGTTCTAATCCCCAGGGGTGAGCTGAGCCATGGCCCCTCCAATGTTGTTCACATCCTAATCCCTGGAACCTGTGGATGCTGCCTTCCATGGCAAAAGGGACTTTGCACACGTGATGAACCTCAGGAGCTTGAGATGGAGAGAGCATCCTGGATGACACAGGTGGGTCCAGTTAATCACAGGGGTTCTCGTAAGATGGAGGCAGGAGTATGAAAGAGGAAATTGGAGACGTGAGGGTAGAAGAAAGGGGTGGAATGATTGAGGAACGCAGCAGCCTTTGGAGGCTGGAAAAGGCAAGGATAGAGATTCTCTCATAAAGTCTCCAGAAGGAACCAGCCCTGCCAACACCTTGACTTTACCCCAATGAAACTGGCTTTGTATTTCTGGCGTCCAACACTGTAAAATGTGTATTGTTTCAGGCCACCAAGCTTGTGGTAATTTGTTATAGCAGCTTTGGAAACCAATGCTGCCTGCTGGCCTCAGCTGGTCCTCAATAGCTCTGCAGGATCTGCCTGTTTCTTTTCCATGGGGAGCTAATGTTCTGATGGGTGGGCTCTTTGTCATGGGGAAGGGGCTCAACCCAGAGTGGGGCAGGGAAAGGATGGGGGTTAAGTGCTAGGGAGCTGACTTGCTCTCAGGCCTAATGGGGACAATCTTTTTTTTTTTTTTTTTTTTTTTTTGAGACGGAGTCTCGCTCTGTCACCCAGGCTGGAGTGCAGTGGTGCTATCCTGGCTCACTGCAACCTCCGACTCCCGGGTTCATGCCATTCTCCTGCCTCAGCCTCCCGAGTAGGTGGAACTACAGGTACCCTCCATCACGCCCAGCTAATTTTTTTGTATTTTTAGTAGAGACGGGGTTTCACCATGTTAGCCAGGATGGTCTCAATCTCCTGACCTTGTGATCCGCCCACCTCGGCCTCCCAAAGTGCTGGGATTACAGGCCACAGTGAGCCACTGTGCCTGGCCAATGGGGACATTTTTATCTCTATCCCTGCTATTGATGAGTGCATCTCTCCCTTGGTTTTGGAAGAGAGATCTAAGATGATATGCACCTCTATTAAGTTGGTGCAAAGGTAATTGTGGTTTTTGCAATTACTCTTGCACCAACCTAATAAAACCTTCATCGGTTTCACATGTGTGAAGGGACTCACTAACTGTTGGGGAACCTAGGACTGGCAGCTGAACTCACTTCAGGTTTAAAGCATTTTAGAGTGAAAATAAAATTTAGGATTTACATATTACTAATTGATCTAAAAGGGTCAACTCAAATAAGAAGATTTATTTTTTCAAAGAAACAAAGTAAATCAAAATATTGAAATACAATACTAATCCAATTAATTAAAATATTAATCAATTGAGATATTAATTAGATTAAAATATTAATTAGATTCAGATACTGTACTATAATAGCATTATGGTGAACATATTTATTTTAATGATGCCTTTGAATATGATGTACACCAAGCAATGTAATAAAAATTTGCTTGATACCTTATAAGAAGATTGTACTCCACATACGTGTTGTATGTGTTTGTATATATCTATACACAAACATATATATGCATATTTTTATTTCCACTTTTATCATCTTATCATATAACATAGGATGTATTAATGATAGCACAATATTCAAGTTACAGGATATAAAAAAGTGAACAGCACTCCACAGAGTCTGCACACCCCTCTGGTGATGTCAGTGTATTTTCAGTAGTATGCAGGCCAGTTGTTTCATGCTATGAAGAAACATGGCTTTGTTACTGTCTTTGTCTAGAGAAATGGTTTAAAGTGGATGTGCCTGAGTGTCCAGTTGACAAGGGGTGGAATGTGATAGTTTTATGTGTCCACTTGGCAAGGCTATGCTACCTAATTATTCTCAAACAATTATCTAGGTGTTGCTGTGGAGGTATTGTGCAGAAGTGATTGACACTTACAATCAGTTTGACTTTAAGTAAAAATGGCTACCCTTGATAATGAAGGTAGGCCTCACCAAATCAGCTGAAGGCCTTGAGGGCAACATTGCAGTTTCTCAGCGCTGCTGCGTGGCGAATGCCAGGGTGCTATCATTTCATAGCCATACTGCTACCACAGGCCTTTCACTTCTCAGTGGACCATGAGTTTCTTCCATCTTCCTTTTTTACACAGTTTTTACATAAATGCACTACACTTTGTTTAGCAAATCATGAAAGGACAGAATTGGAACAGAGCTCAGGATCATTTTCTCCAAACTCCTCATTTTAAATATGAGGGTATTTGCTCAGGGCTTCACAAACATAATTGAATCAGGGACACTGGCAATGGCTCAATGGCCTCGAAGAGATCCATTTTTTTTTTTCTGTAATATTTTACCTGTCTTTCTTGTAAAGTATAACCCAGTTATGGACCCTGTGACAAAAATAAAACTCATCCCCAGTCTGCCATTAAAGTCACATAAATCATGTAACATTTTACTTTCAACACATGAGTTCTGAGAAAGCTGAGTCTCCTATTTGGACCATTTGGAACATCAGGAGAGTAGGTTGATGGGGGGGACTCTGCAGCCAGCCTGTCTAAGTTCAGATTCTACATCTTCCACTTATAAGCTGAGCCACTGAGTCATCTTTGGCCACTCCCTCTGAAGTAGAAGGGGCGACATGTCCTTCTGTGTAGAGTGTGGATGATCACATGAGTCAGGATGTGTAAAGTGCTTGGAAAAGTAAATGCTAGTTAACATAAGTCAGCTCAATGCTAACTAATGAGTGAATGTTAACCCACTCATTATTATCCATCCATTTCGTGGAAATAGTTGCATTTCATAGTAACAACATTATGATAGAGGCTCTTCAGTTTATATTATTTCTTTTACATGTATTTTTATTATTTTTGTTCTAATCTTCAACAATTTGTCACATGTTCTAACTGGATGAAATCTCTTTGGACTCTGTATTCCATTTCCATCAGATTTAGTATCTCTTCCAGACTTGTGACATCACTAGCTGCTCTAGGGCTGCTCTCAGCCTCTCCTCCGTCACCCAACAAGCCTTTGATCTCAAATGCAGGGCAGTTAGAACCAAGGGTGACGCCTGAAAGGTGTACCTGAAAATTCCCCTTCACATGGATATGGGTCACCTGACCATTGTGGGCCACCTGGTCCATTGGGGCCAGGTCCCCTGGTGACACAGCCTTCCCAGCTACACTAATGTCTTGTCCTTGGGAAGCTCGTGTGTGATCTCATCAAGAATGTTGCTCAAAGACAGACACCCTCTACCTCTGACATTCCCCTGATTAAACAGCCCACTGTGTGTCTACCAGGAGCATGTGTTCCCATCAGACCTTTAATAAATGGGAAAGGATGTGTATTCTGGTGAATATATTTTCATTTCACAAGTCTTGCATTTCACACCATCTGCTGATTTGGGCACTTCTCATGCTGCCAGTCAGCTTAGATTTTATTTTTAGACCCAGCTTTGGGCAGACCATGAAAACCCTGCAGGCTACATTTTCAGATATTCTGTACAAAATATCTCAACGGTCTTTTAAGACCCCATGAAACTGGATTGTGACTCAGGAGCTTAAGTCACTTAGAATCACTTGCTTATTTCATGAAGAGAGAAACTGGAGTTGATGCAAATGTAAACGGCTCCAGTAGCTGATACGCTGTGCCGAGATCATGCACACTGGTCAGGAGGGTTGACTATAGGCGGGCCATTGTATGGGAAGCACAGCATTAGGAGAACGTTCTCAGCTGAGAGAGTGAAACCTGAGGCTGAACAAGCAGACTGCTGTGACAACTCCAAAGTACAGGACGGAAGTCCTCGAGTGCCTTTTCATCTTAAGAAGTCTCTGATCTTCCCTTGCTCCCACCCCCTGAATCCGGACCAAATTCAAATGAGAGAATAGAAGGTGGGAAAGCAGGAGAAGCACTGTGAGTCAGCAATGCTTTAGTGAAATAAAGAGCAGTCTTATTTCACTGACAGGAGCCTGTCTTCTTCCAATGCAGACCCCAGCCGGGACAAGAACTGGGAGAAATGCTCACCAGTGTGTCCTGGAATATTCAGAATATTCATTCTGCTCTTTGGAGACTCTTTGGGGAAATATTTAACAGTCCCCTGCAAGCTGAAAAATTATGGCATGTGTGCCTAAATTGCCCAGACACTTCAACAGTGTCGAAAAATGTAAATGTGCTTCATGAAATCCGAAGCATCTGCTTAAAATCCAGCAGAGGATGTTCAGACACATTTGGGGTATTGCGGAAATTAGAGATGGAAAAAGGATAAAAATCTTACAGCCAGAGTGGAGGTGTTGAGACCAATTAGATAAAAACTAACCTCACATCCACCAGGGATTTAACACAAGTGAGCTTATTCTGAGACTCAAAGAACAAACAGATGAGGGTATGTTTTCTTTCTTTTTTTTTTTGGTTTGTTACATAGGTAAACATGGGCCATGCGGGTTTGTTGTGCAGATTATTTCATCACCTGGCCTAGTACCCATTAGTTATTTTTCCTGATCCTCTCCTTCCTCTCAACCTCCACCCTCTGAGAGGCCCCAGTGTGTGTTGTTTCCCTCTATGTGTCCATGTGTTCTCATCATTTTGCTCCCACTGATAAGTGAGAACACGTGGTATTCAGTTTTCTGTTCCTGCATTAGTTTGCTAAGGATAATGGCCTCCAGCTCCATCCATGTTGCGAGGAGTATATTTTCAAGAGAAAGAGTTGTTTTGGAAGTTGCATATTATAAGTTTTTGAAACAATAATTAACTGTGTTTAGTAACATAATTTTAACAGCAGAGAGTCAAGGACTTTGTGGGGTGATAAATTATTCTCCTGAAAGTGGAAATACGATTACGGTTTATTATCCTAGAGCAGGCCCATGGGCCAAGCCCGAACACTGCCTATGTTTGTACATAAAGTTTTGTTGGCCAACAGTCACACCATTTGCTGACGTGCTGTCCTTAGCTGTTCCTAGAGCCAAGCTGAGTAGTAGCCACCTACACTAGATGGCCCACAGTCTGAAAATGTCTCCTTTCTGACTCTTCCCAGAAAATGACTGTCAATCCCTGTTCTGGAACATGCACAAATCTTCCATTGCTGCTCATAATCTCACTCGAAATACCTATTGACAACTTCACAGTTGAGTGATTGGAAAGACCCAATATTACTTTAAGGCATCCTCTGGGTTCTAAATGCAGAATCTGGTACAGTATGCATGACTTGACTATGGCTAATTATTTAGTGAACAATTCTATTATAAAGGAAGCAGTTACTGTCTGCAAACTGTAGTGAATCCACATTTCTGGAGGTTAAGAACACAGGTTTCCTAGTAGATGCTAAGGTACATGAGGTTTTATTTTTTTTTTTTTAATCCCATGCATTTTGGTAGTCCTTTGAAAAGTACTGGAATATAGCAGTTGCTTAAAATATGTCTGCTGGATAGCTCAATGAACTTGCAATTGACATCAATGTAATGAATTATCTTAATTAACAAGAGACAGATTTATCAAAACTGTACTCTGATTTGTAAAAATACAATGTGGCTAAAATTTATACTCAAGAGGCTGAGCACAGTGACTCACACCTGTCATCCCAGCACTTTGGGAGACCGAGGCAGGTGGGTCACCTGAGGTCAGGAGTTTGAGACCAGCCTGGCCAACATGGTGAAACCCTGTCTCTACTAAAGATAAAAAATTAGCTGGGTGTGGTGACATGTGCCTGTAGTCCTAGCTACTCAGGAGGCTGAGGCAAGAGAATCACTTGAACCCGGGAGGCAGAGGTTGCAGTGAGCTGAGATCGTGCCACTGCACTCCAGTCTGGGTGACAGAGTGAGACTCTGTCTCAAAAAAAAAAAAAAAAGAAAAGAAAAGAAAAGAAAAAAAGAAAAAAGAAATTTATATTCAAAAAATTTGTGTTGAAAACCAGTGAACTACTCTTTCTGCTTGCCTTTCATGCTACATAATGGTTTCTGCAGTTTTGGACATTTAACTGTTGATCTAATTGACATAATGTTGCATTTCTTCCCATTAAGGTTTATATGATTAATCAATTAGCTGTTCTAGAAAACCATTATGGGATATCTTGCTTGATGTTTAAATGTATTAACATTTAAAATGTTAAAGTTTAAATGAGAAAACTCAAATGTTTTCTCCCATTTAAATATTTCAAGCAGAAGTTCTTTCCTAACCTTAAAGGCTGATAATGTGTGTGTTACTGAAAAATAAACAAAAAATAAGCCAGAGAGAAAGAAAGCCATAACCTAATAAACAGCCACCGTTTATTGGACACTTAACATGAGCCAAGCATTTAGCTGGGAATTACATACTCCCAATCCCTAATCCTCAGTCGTATTCCATTATTGGTCCTCTTTTACCGATAAGTAAACAGATGGCCAGAGAAGCTAAATCACTTACTAAAATTCATACAACCAATTCATGCAGAACTGGGATTGGAGCTCAAGTCTTCCTGGCTCCAAAATTAAAGCTGTTTCTATTATGGATCATGCTATCTTTGAAAAAGGGAAACATGTATTTTTATTCTGGGAGAGTCAACAAAAAATATTTTATATTATGTCTGACCAGTAAGCAGTATCTGCTATGTACCCGAGATCAAAGACAAAGTTCCTTCCCTCACGGAGCTCCCAGGGTAGATGGAGTCAGGAAAGAGAGTCCAGTGTTATTCAGGTGAGAGGAGAATTATGACTGCTCTGAGAGCTCGAATGTGAGCTCCTGGGATAGGCTCGTGGGCTATCAAAGACTTTCTGTGGGTGACACCTAGGCACTGGCCAGGTGACAGTGCTGGCATGCCCCAGATGGAGATAGAACAGACTTAACAACAGTGAGGAGAGGAATGGCCAAGCACAATCAGGGCCCTGTGAGGAGCCCAGCATCTGCAGAGCTCAGAATCCATGCAAGGGAAGGGAGGGGCCAGGCTGTGGAGGCTGCAGGGCCATGTCCTACAGGGCCTTGCATGCCGCACCAAGAGATGTGGACTACTTTGTTCTGCAGGTACTAGAAAGCTATTGAAGGATTCTAAAGGCAGACTTGAGTTTTAGAATGAGCACCTGGAAAGCAAAGGATGAGGCTGGGGGTTCCCGCAGCTCCCCAGGCAGTAAGTGATGCATTCTGACCCAGGGCAGAGGCAGAGGATGAATAGCAGGAAAGTGACTTGGGAGGACAGCAAAGAATGTGCAATAAACAGAATCTGGTGCCTAACAAGATGGAGGGGTGAGTGTGATGGAGGAGGCGACAAGTGGGTCTCCATTGAAAGGCTGGGAAGTACAGAGGATGGTGGTGCCATCTACAGAGACAGAGGACACTTGAGCAGGAAAATACTGAGTTGACTTTGGGAAATGCTTAATTTGAAAGCTTATGGGACACTGAAGTGGAGACAATGAGTTTTCTAACACTTAAGACAAACATGTATTGAAACCTGGAGCCAGGAATAAAAATGAATTTTAAATTATGTATAAATCAAAAGTCCTGTAATTAAATGGAAATGTTTTTACTTTGCAGATGTTATGAATATTAGATTTTAAAACATAGTAAATAAGAAATGAGAATTTTAAATTGGTCCAAAATGTAAGTTCAAAATAGTTTGTAAGATTTCCTATAAGAATCTAAAACCAGAATAAAATTTCTACACAGTCAGTGAGACTTTTAATCAAAATCCACAAAATTCTTTTATTTCTATAGGATATACAGAATTAAAGACAGTAAATAACTGTGATTTATTGATTACTTTAAGTCAAATTTTGATTAGAAATGACTGTTCTTACTCTAAATATGTTAGATCAACGTGAAACCTTATTTATAAGAAAAAAACTATTCCTGCACCCATCAACCCATCACCTACATTAGGTATTTCTCCTAATGCTATCCCTCCCCTAGCCCCCCACCCCCTGACAAGCCCCGGTGTGTGATGTTCCCCTCCCTGTGTCCCTGTGTTCTCCTTGTTCGACTCCCACTTATGAGTGAGAACATGTGGTGTTTGGTTTTCTGTGATAGTTCGCTGAGAATGAAAAACACTGCTAGGTAAGTAGGTAAAGGTAAACTCCAGCTGAGTCAAAAATCTAGAATGGGTTTTGATATACAGAAGATCAAGCAACAAAAAGAACTAAAAATGTTGGGAAACTAATTTGCAATGATATATTGAGGTATTGCATGGGTAAGATCCCAGTTCCTAAAGTCATCTGAGAAAATTCTTCAAGGGAGGCAATCAATCAAGGTGAGAATCAACTGACCCCACTGTTCCTGAACCGACTCTGGGGCATGTGGGGGGGATGACAGTGACGAGTGGTGCACTCCACCTGCACAGGTGAGAGTTTCAAGTCGCCTCTTGTTCTTGGCTGGGATCCATCCACCCCTGTCTAAACGACTATCATCTCCAGTACTGTAATGGCCAAATCTGCCCTACACGATTGGTCTGAGGGTGGAAATGTGTTCCACTGGGGGCACCCCCATGTCTGCAATATAGGACTTCCACCCCATAAAGGTCTGGATAATCTTCAGCAGGGAAAGTCTGGAGGATTGGCCAGAAGAAAGCCCAGCTTTGCCTCAGAGAAACTCCTTTGTACTAAATCAGGAAACACAGTCTTCAACCTGTTAATAAGCCTTACATCAGAGTTTTATAAGCCACAGCTTGCAGCAGTAAAATACTGCACTGACAAAACTTCTTGAGCTAGATGTAGGACAGTTTACTTCCAATTAATGCCCTCAGCATCTCCTATAGTATTTTTGAAAATGCCTTTTATTCCATATTAATAGGAAATCAAAATGGCGACCTTCTCTGACTGGTTAAATAGCTAAAGTTAGGTGATCTCTATTGTTCCAGAGACAAACATCGCGGGGGCTGCTTGGAATCACACACCAGCCACGATACTTTCTATGGGTCATGTTAATATCATTAGCAACAGTTCAAACTTAGCTCATTTTTCTGCCAGTGACAAGAAATCCCAGATCTTTGAACTTCTCTTTGCATATCCGATTTCTTATTGTTTCAATCACCTTCGTATCCTCCCTCCAATCCTTCTATAATACTATAAATGTGAAGAGCTCAGAAAGAGATGTAAATCCATGTATGGATCTGACTCATCTTGAAGAAAACAAGAGAATAACATCAAAGTTTGAGGATGCCGGAAGCGTGGTCATTTTTCATGATTACCTTTAAAGGATGCCACTAACTCAGCTACTTTACATTTAGCTGTCATGCTTGGAGATGGTGAATGCAACAAGAAAGAACTGCCTATTATTGCCCTGGTTTGGAGATTCTGAAGACACCTAGAGGCTTTTTATTTGTCTACATTTGATCATGCATTAGAGTGATGCATTTATTCAAACACTCTAGATTTAGTCAATCATGCATCCATTTAATACTATGTGTACTCACTGCAAATAAAACTGTTATAAAGCTTTGGTCACTTCGGGAGGCCAAGGCGGGTGTATCACCTGAGGTCAGGAGTTCAAGACCAGCCTGGCCAACATGGTGAAACCCCGTCTCTATTAATAATACAAAAAAATTAGCTGGGCGTGGTGGCAGGTGCCTATAATCCCAGCTACTCAGGAGGCTGAGGCAGGAGAATCACTTGTACCTGAGAGGCGGAGGTTGCGGTGAGCCGTGATTGCGCCATTGCACTCTAGCCTGGGTGACAAAAGCAAAACTCCATCTCCAAAACAAACAAACAAACAAAAGCAAAGCTTTGGTTTCTGCCAAAGATCTCAGAAGCTCATCTCAAGGCCCAGGGAATGTGCAACAGAAGGAGAGGTGGGAAACACATAGAAATAAGCAGAGTGAAATATGATATGACTATGATACGAGGGGTCCTGTAGAAACTAATAATAACCAAGAGCAGGTTACAGCAGGAATATAACAGGGGGAGGCCCCCACCACATCAACCTTTATCTTCTGATCAGTGATTTACCACTGGCCACTTAAGTCCAGGGACACTGACACCGCCACACTGCCTTAGCTCTGCTTCTCGTCTGCCCAGAAACAGGTCTGTCTTCTGGCAGATGCAATTCAAAAGAGGAAAAGAAAGCAGGAATGCCCAGGGATTAGAACATCAGGCTGAGCTGCATGAGTCCTTAAAACAACGCTGAGACTCAAACCTGCTAAACTTCTACTAAACCAGATAAACCAGCCAATGGCTAGAGATCTTAGAAAAGTATCTTAAATTATGATAAAACTCTGCTCACTCTCTTTATCTTTGCTTTTCTTCATCCCTCCCTCATCTTATGTTTAATATCTCGGTCTAGAGTTTGAGGTTCAGACATGGCATAAAAAATAAATTTTTAAGAAACTAAAGAAAAGGTTAAAAACCATTTCCAGTTAAACACACAAAGACAACATTTCCTCTTCTCCATGTGGGAATTATTCAGAACACGAAAGAGAATGAGAAACATGCATGCAATTTATGTTTCCAACAACATTACATAATTGACAGAACCCTCAGCCACCAGCATGGGTGTGATGGCTACCAAAAGCTAGCAGTGCCCAGGAGTAGAAGCCAAGAAAAGACACTAGAAGAGAACACAGATTAGAAGGCAGGTGTCAGTAGGGAGCAGAGATGTGCTTGTCCAAAGTGAGGGGCCTGCCCAGAGGTAGGAAAGCCAAGTCAATGAGTTGACAATGGTATGAACGCTGGCAGGAGCCCCTGCTGGATTCAGGAGACTCAGGAGGCTGGACTCCAGAGAAAATGACATTATCAAGGAATATCTGCAGGAGACAGTCTATCTCAGCAGCATGAAGATCCCACAGTCAGCATCTCCATTGGCTATGGGAACCACTAGGACTGATGAGCACCATGTGATATGGGGATTTACACACAATAAATGCTCACTAAGTTCTGGTGCTAATGGTGAAAATAAGCAGCAACGGTCATACCAACATGTAGTTCATATGATAAGAACACATTGACAAAAAGAAAGGACATAGACAATTTCTAATCTTGATGCAGTAAAACTAAAATTAATAATAAAAACAGAAAATAAATCTCCTATTGCCTGAAAATAAAATACAGGTTTCTTTATGTCAAAAGTAAATCCCAACCAAATTAGCAAAATATATAGAAAATAATGATAATGAGCTCATCAGACACATAGAGGGAGAGCTATTTTTGAAGAAAAATGTATAGCCACAATATTTATGTAAATAAATGGGAGAGAAAAAAATGTGTGTTAAGCATCTAACCTAAGATGTTAGAAATACAGAACAAAAGAGAACCAAAATGAAAACATTAATTAAAAAATCAAGATAAAAATGGTAAAACAATAAAAATAATAAATATATCCCAAATTCATTTCTTGAAGAAATAAAGTAAAACAAACAAATCATCAGCCAGATGAATCATGAATCAATGGAGAAAGAGCAAATCCCAAAAATAAGAAACTAACCAGGCAAAATCAAGCGCAAATACAGAGGGAATTAACATTGAGAAGAGATTACTCAACTTTATGAAATACAATTTAAACCTTGAATGAAAGAGACTGCATTTATATGAAAATATCTTTGACAAAAACAACGTCCTGAAGAGAAAGTAAGTCTAAACAGAAATATTTTCACAGGAAAAATAGAAAACAATATTTAATATAGTGTGTATATGCATATATGTATATATGTGTATATATACATGTATATATACATATATGTTTATATATGTATATATCAAATGTATATATATCAAATGTTTATATACATATATACATATATATGTATACATATCAAATGTTTATATACACATATTTACATATAAATGTGTATATAAAAACATTTGAGATTAAAGAAGCTCATGAATAAAGCACTCAGAATCATCTCTGACCCATGGCCAGAGCTGCATAAGTGTTTGTTATTATTATTATTGAGATATGTGCAAAATCCTTATTGAGTTATTGCTCAAAAGGATCAAGCCACGAATTAAAGAAAAACACAACATGACCTATTGAGGAGAATTCTGAAAATCCAAGAATTGTCCCACATTACAAAAGGAGAGAAATCATACAGTCTTGTCCACGAATGATTTGTTTTAAAAAGTCTTTTGATACAGTTCTAGATTTACACTTAAAAAAACAAAAACAAAAACAAAGGAGTCCCTAAATAAGAACCAATGGCTACTTCCTTCGCAGTATAACACTTAATTAACCTAACCCAAAAGCTAGGAGAAAGCTTAAAGGGAAAACATTAGTCCTACTAAATAAAAAATTAGACAAATGTGTCTACTATGACTGCCTTGATAATTCTTTTCTTCCTGGAGGAACAAGGCAAAGCAGTTGGAAAGAGAAGAAAGTTTTAAAATATGTAAAGTGGAAATCTACTTGAAAATGACATGACTACTTACCCGGAAAACCTAAGGGGATCAAATGAAAAACTTCTACAAACAATGAGAGAACTCACAAGTGGCTAGAGGAAAAGTGTATGCACTGAAAATCCTATGAAACTCTCTCTCTCTTTCTTTCTCTTTAATGTGAACATATCACCTGTTTGTAAACTAGGCAAGGAGTATCAAGAATAGAAGTTCAGTTGCCTTACCTATCTGCAATCGTCCGGCAAGAACACTTTCTCTGTTTGCTCTATGGATGATAGTTTTGTTTCAACAAGGGTGAAATTCCCATATGTTTCTTCACTCTGAATTTTTGTAGTTTTGCTTTATTTTCCTATGTTACCATAAATACTTACCAAGAAGCTATCTTCATATGTTGTACACTACAGAGCTTAGTAATGCCTAAGCAGGCAAGAGAAGGGAAACCCCACAGACTCTCTGGCCTTAAAGAATACATGGAACAGTCTGCAATAACCCATGGAGGGAAAGAAGTACAAGTGCAGTCCAACTGTGGGTGTTAGTATCCGTGTTGGGTTGAAAAGTAGACTCGCTCAAAAGTTATGTCCACTGGAAACCTCAAAATATGACTCTTTTGGAATAAGGTCTTTGCAGAAATAATTAAGTATGCTGCAATGAGATCATCTTGGATTTAGAGTGGCCCCTAAATACAATGAATCATGTCCTTATGAGAGACAGAAGAGAGGAAAGTGCAGGGACAAAGAGAAGAAGGACACGTGAAGACAGGGGCATAGATAGGACCTATGAAGACTGAGGCAAAGGCATGCCGAGGACTGCTGGCTGCCACCAGAAGCTAGGAGAGAGGCATAAAAGCAGTCTCCCTCATAACCTCCAGAGGGAACCACCCCTGCTAACACCTTGGTTTTGATTTCTGTGAGATAATAAATGTCAGAATTTATAAATCTCTGTTGTTTCAAGCATCCAAGTTTGTAGTAATTTGTTAGAGCAGCCCTTGGAAACCAATACCGTTTCTCATCTGGGGGGTGGTCGAAGAGATTCAAAGACATGGAGCTGTAGAAGTGCATTTCTTCAAGACCACAAAACTTAGATGTAGCATGGTCGGATCCATATTATCAAGGTACCATGAAGCTGGTCAGAGTTAGAGGAAAACGGCGGCCCTCCAGGTCGCCTGGGTAGCAGAAGTGGGCTTCTCTAAGAAACAAAACACTCTAGACAAAGAGTGGCATGATAATCTAAGATAACCAGCTCTCTATATGCCTACTCTTGTATTTTTCCCTCTTACTTATGCCAAGGAGTGATTTGAGGAACTGTGTCTCAAGGGTTTTCAAAGGCTGCTATTCCATTAACCTTCAGGAGCTCAGACCCTCAGGCATTAGCAGAACTTTCTAACTGCACTCATCAGTGTAGCGTAGGCTTCCAGTATCTTGCTAGGATGAAGTTCAGCCATGACTGAGGGATATTTGTACATGTATGGGGTCCTATGGGAGCTCCTTGCGACCTGAGAAGCCATTCCTGTGAACCAGGTCCTGAGGGTTGAATAGGAGTTTGCCAGGCAGGGAAGGGGTAGGAAAGGCACTCTGGGCAGAGGGTACAGCATGTGTAAATACGTGGAGATGAGAACGAGCATGGCACTGTTGGGGCTCCCATGGCAGGGAGAATAGAAGACAAGGCTAGGAAGGTACATCGAGGCTACTGAAGGGTCCACAGAGGAACCAGGATTTCATTCTGAGGATGAATGAAATCATCCTCAGAGGATGAAGCCACCAGGAATTTCAGGCAGAGAGTGAAGTGATCAGAGTTGTTTTTTGGATAGATGGTTATATCTGGATGAGGTACTGGGGCTGGGAGACTTGGCTCTGAGATGTGTCATTTAAAACAGCTTCGCGGCAGTGGGTCATACCTACAATCCCAGCCAAGATTCCTCCTTTGGGAGGCCAAGCTGGGAGGATCGCTTGAGGCCAGGAGTTCAAGACTGCAGTGAGCTATGATCATGCCATTGTCTTCCAGCCTGAGTGTCAGGGCAGTCAATCAGAACCAGACTTGGGCTCTGACAGTCTTACACATGTATGATCCAACTCTTGCCTTACTCAATTCATAGGTCATTTGGGTTTTGATTAGGAACATATTTCCCAAAGCATTTTTACACCATTTCTAAAAGCTTATCTAAAATTATGCAAATTTAGCAAAATACATTACTGCTGCTGCTGCTGCCTACTACTCATTGATGGCTAAGCACCAGATTAGCTTGATTCCAGGTTCTTTTTAGAGGTCATCACATCTAATCAGCACCAAGGCCAGCAACCAAACAAGGAGGTTGGCCATTGCTGCTGCCATTTTACAGATTGGAAAACTGAGCAAGCTAAATAATTAGGCTAAGCTCATGCAGTGTTGCAGCTTGGGTTCTCCAGGAAGCAGATTCTGAAATGAGGTTGTGTTTATTAGGGAGTGCCCTCAGGATCAGTTCCTGTAGGGAAAGACAGAAGTGGTGCTGGGCACAGGGAGAAGCTAACCTGCTATGCAAGTCCAACAACTAGCAAACTCACAGACACCCTGGAACTGAAACGGCTGTCAGAATTGCCTGCAATTGATCAAAATGGAAGGAGTTTATACCCTCAACTCTATCAGTCATGGATGTGGGCCACCCTCACAAGGGCACAACCTCAGGCTGGCAGGTGTTTTCAAGCATTCCCCAAAGAAGCTGATGGCTGAAAGCCAGCTGCAGACAACACTCTCAATGGCCAGGAAGCCAATGTTTACTTGAGGGGTACCTGGGACATCTACTTCACTGCAGACAGCTGTGAAGTAGGAGAAGCAGAGGCCAACCCAGATTCTGCCTGAGGCCAAAATGCTTGCTCTTCCCACCCTCTCACATTCGCTTCCATGTCCAGACATTCACGAGATGCTGAGAGGGGTTTCAAAAATAACTAGCCCAGAGTCTGGCCATTGGGATCTCTCATCTCCTAGGAAAGGTAAAAATTGATGCACATTATTCTCAAAGAAAGCATGCTGTGATTATTGCTGCAAAAACAGAAAGCACATCCCCTCCCTCTGCTCCCAGCCTGCCCAGCTTGTTGCACCCTGAAAACATAATAATGTTGTGGCCTACCATCCAGTAGTTATTATTTTTAATACCTGATGCTTCTGAGCACTAACTATGCACCTGGCCCACTTAAGTCCTTTTCATTAAGTCCTCATTCCTGCTGCCCTAGGAAGAGGCCATGATAATCATTTCTGTTTTACAGATAACTAGGATCAGCCCAGCTCTGTCTCTCCCTGGACTGTCTCCAAGTGATGATGTGTACATCCTCCTTCCATGGCACCAACTCACTGGGTTTCTCCTTACTCTTTAAAGAGAATCTCTTAGAACCGGAGCAGTGCTCTTGTTGAAGTCAAGCTACAGATATATGATTCTCTTCAGTTCATATAACTTAGCAGATTCCTCATTCTGTGCTGCAAGAACATAGGAGGAGTCTGTCCTGTGTGACTCTCATTGGGGATGCTGATTTTCTCATTGTCTTACACGGTTTCAAAGATTGATTACTGGTGGTTTAATAGATGCCTAGAATTAGTATCTTTCACAAACTACCCCCTCCCTAAAAAACAAACATTTGGAATGAGCAGAGCCTCGTTATCTTTGTAAGTAATGGATCAAACATGCACGGATTGGGGAAATTAAGAGAAAAATCACTGCCAAGATGCCAAGTGAAACATTAGTGAGTGGTGCCTCTAGCCAACATTTAATCAACTTAAAGTATCATATTCGACATAAACCCATTGCTTAGAATAAACAGAATACAGGGTACAGATGATGGAATCAAGAAGAGGATAGAGACAGTTAATGGATGGCTGTCACTTTTTATTTTTAAATAAATTCTTCTTTTTTATGCTCCTTTGATCAAATCTCCAAGAGAAATTCATGTTATGATAGGGCTTCCCTGTACCTCTGTTCTCCCAATGCCCTCCACAAAACAGCTCCAAAATGCTGAAAATGAACCTAGGTCTCATTCTACCATTACAGTCAAATTGTTAGTTACCAACATGAAAGTTCCATGTCTCTAACTTTCTTGTATTTTTGTTCTAGAAATTGCCATTGCATTTTTAAAGTCTGATGTCCTGCATTAAATGTTAATGCTGGTGTTTTGTTCACTGGCCCTACCAAAACTCTACCAAGGTATAGGTGTCAGGCCTGGGAAGGGACCAGGGAGGAGAAAGGAAAGCAGGGTGAGAAATGCATTTAGATTTGCTTTAGGATTTAGTCACCTTAGGCACTTTCCTATTTTTAGCTCCTCCCAATCCTTACTCCCATTCCTTCCAATTTTAATGCCTTTGAAAGAGGTAAGCAATGGCTTGCGAAACCTAAGAGATGGATTCTACTCAATCAATAGCTTCATGCTATACAGAATGGACAATGGTACAGTCTCCTTTTTCTTTTCCTGTGGAAAAAAATTAATACCCTATGTTCCCTGAAGACAAACAGTCAGAACAGAGATCCAAATTCCTAACAATTAGTCTCTCCCACAGCCAGAAACCGGGCAGCTGGTAACCTGCTGTTTTTCCTTTGAGCTTCTCAGATTAGATCCTAAATGCAATTTAATTCCAGACTCCAATATACACTTTCTGAATTATACTTAAAAAGACTCAGTTACATAACAAATCCACATTGCTATTGATTACACACTTGGCATAGATGATTTGCTGTATTAGGTGCAATCTAAAATTTTTCAAATTGTATCACAACTTAAATATATTAAAGCATCCACAGTGTAAACACATCCTATAAAATTTATCTAACATATAAGTAATCCTGTTATAAAATCAATAAGCACTCCTTAGCTTTGCTTCTTTAATAAATATGGATTCTTGCATAACTGGCTTGCTTAAGTAAATCTATATTCAAATTATCCTCCCTCTCAAGGGAAAATAAAAGATATATGAAACGAAAATTCAGAACGTGCTATGAATACCAAGGAAATAAAAGTGTAAGAAAAGTGAGTTTCAAATACAAAGTGCAATCATGATGTATACATAGGAATATATGGAAATTCCTTGAGGTTGGCTCATTATTATGCCAACAGTGATACTAACCTACAAAAGTACAGCAAATGAAGAACAGGCACGATGTATATGTACGATGAAATAAGCACTAAACACGCACAAGCTTTGGGCTGGACCAAGGCTCCTGACCTTTGGACCCACTGAGCCTGGCTGGAAGGCATGATCCCAGCCTCTGATATCCTCTGAGGGCCACACCACTGCCACCACCCCTGGGGACCAGGCAGGAGGCAGCCACCACAACATGAGGTGGGTGGAGAGAAGGGTTTCACATCTTCTTTTCCTAGTCCCAATTTCCCTTTGCCTTGATATGATGGTAAGCAAAAAAGACTCCTTGCTTCTATCATGGAACTTACAGTCAAATGCATGTTATCCTATGATATAAGTAAAATTTTTATTTTCTACTTAATCATGAATTTACTAAGGGCTTTTGGTTTTTACGCTAGATGTATCATATAGAAATGATATATTCTTAACGTGGATAATATAAAACTGCTTCTCTTTAAGTTTTCTGATAATTAAATATTGTCTTCCCTTCATCATTAAGGGATTCCAGCATGTCTTCATAATCCCAGATTCCAGAAAAATGTTTCTTCGAAATTCAGTTAGTATAACAAAGAAAAAACAATTATTTAAAAAACTTGCAGAGAACAGTATGAAATAAATCAGAGAGTGGCTGAAAAATATCTCTTCCTCTTTCACTAATAATTGCTGTGTTCAAAATGTGTTAGTTCTCTTTCTTGTTCTACCTTTTCTCCCTTTTTTTCTTTATTGATATATAATAGTTGCACATATTTTGGGGGTATATATGATATTTCGATACTTGTTTACAAGGTGTAATGATTAAATCAGGGTACTTAAGGTAGCCCTCACCTCCAACCTTAATCCTTCCTTTGTGTTGGGAACATTACAATTCTTCTCTACTAACTATTTTGAAATATATAATGAATTGTTGTAAACTATAATTTCCCTACCATACTACCGAACACTGGAAATTATCCTTCTCTCTACCTGCATTTTTGTACTTGTGAACCAATTTTACCACCCGCTTCCCTTCCCAGCCTTCCCTTTTCTTCTTGTCCTTCTCCTTCCTTCCTGCATGATTCAGCCCTAAAGCCATCAGACAAGGCCCCGTAAGGAAGCATCTGCACCAGCAGTGGATGGGGGAGGCCAAATTCATCCAAAGATGACAAAGCTGTGTGTGAGGTGCATCCAGAATGGGAAAGCCAACCGCAGGAGGACAGAGCCTGAGCAGAGGAGGGGACACCTAGGCACGGGGCAGCCCCACATGCGTGGGTGTCAGAGCTGGGACAGGGAAGAGGACACCCAGGTGAGGGGCAGCCACACACGCAAGGGGTATCAGAGCTGGGACAGGGGAGGGGATCCACACATGTGTGGGGTGTCAGAGCCTGGGCAAGGGAGGGGAACATGCTTGCAGGGGACAAGCTGGGTACAGGGATCAGAGCAGGAGCCAAGGGAGGAGGCATCTGTGCATGAGGAGGGGATGGCAGTAGAAACAGGAGGCTGGTTACAGACACGAATTGGTCCAATAAAGGAAATCTATCATAAATCATGGAAGCTAGGTATTTTTTACGGTTGATCAAGGGAGCTGCAATTGAAAGGGCAAAAACTGGAGTGAAACCTATGGTTGCTTGGAAGTGGAAATGTCCTTGAGAAGTCATGACTATTAGTATATACAAACACACACACACACACACACACACATCTATAATGTAGATGTAAATGTGTGTGGGCCTCACCTTGGTGCAGTGACACCCAACACCTAATGCCTAGATCATGCCTCTAAATGCTGTTCACTAAAAAAAAAGAAAAAGAAAAAAAGTCAGGGCTCCCGATTCTTTCATCAGAATCAGGACCCTAAAATCAGAGAGGGTTGATTTTAGGCCTGGAGCAGACAGGAATAAGATCAGCCAGAAAGATCTTGTTCCACTAGAAAGCAGGAAAGGGCTCCAAAGATGGTGGGAATGTGTCAAGAGGACACAGAGGCCAGCTTGAAGAGGCGCCCACTGCACAAACCAGAGACAATGTGGACATCAAAATAAATAGCGATGGTGGCCAAGCGCAGTGGCTCATGCCTGTAATCCTAGCACTTTGGAAGGCCAAGGCTGGCGGATTGCCTGAGCTCAGGAGTTCGAGACCAGCCTGGGCAACATGGTGAAACCCTGTCTCCACTAAAATACAAAAAAGAAATTAGCCAGGCATGGCAGCGTGTGCCTGTAGTCCCAGCGACTTGGGAGGCTGAGACAGGAGAATTGCTTGAACTCGGGAGGTGGAGGTTGCAGCAGGCCGAGATTACACCACTGCACTCCAGCCTGGGTGACAGAGCGAGACTCCATCTCTAAAAAATAAATAAATAAATAAATAAAATAGTGATGCTAATGGTGTATAATTGATTTAATAAAATAGGAAAATACAAGACTGTATAGATATGAATAAATAAATAAATTGAAACAAGTTAGATGCCTAGTTTCAAAGTGCCTTTCCACAAAATATGTCTTAATTATAAAGAGGAAAAGAGTAATTTCTATGTGAAAGAGTTGGATGGACAGAGCCATCATACAAGTGAACACCATAGGTAAGGAGACAAAGAGAAGCAACACAGCCCTGATTGCGCTCCGGGAGGATGCACCCACCACCGCTCTGTGATTCTTGCCAAAGATGCAGAACCGGAATCTATTCATGAGGAAGCATCAGACAAACTCAAGTTGAAAGACATATTACAAAATAACGGTCCTGCAATCTTCAAAAGTGTTAGGATCATAGGGCCAAAGAACCACTAAAGAATTGTTCCATCCTGTAGAAGATCAAAGAGACTGGAGAACACATTGCCATGTGTCATGCCATGCTTCTGAGCTAGGTCCTTTTGTGATGAAAGACATTGTAGGGAAAGCTGGAGGAACTTGAACAGGGTCCGGGCATCAGATAGCAGTCATAGAGCAATGTGGACTTCCCAGTGTTTGCAGGTGTCTTGTAGTTAATGTAGGAGAATGGTACTGTAGTAATACACACTAAAGCTTTTGGGGTGGTGGGGCATCAGATTGGCAACTTACCTCTAAATGGCTTAGCAAAAAAAATAATTCTCTGTACTCTATTTGCAACTTATTGGTAAGTCTGTTATTGTTTCAAAACAAAAGTTACAAAATATATTAGTGATTACACTTCAGGTTGAAAATGTGTTAAGGAATACCATCCATAATTTTCAGTTATTAATTAAATTTCCTTAATTAGGTGATACATCATGGCCTGAGAATGCCTTCTACTTCAAGGCAAATGCTGGTAAAATGAATTTCCCGAGAACAATGAACTCTCTTATGCAGCAGGGAAGGAGAATATGGATTTATCTTAAGTGAATATTTTGATTAACAGATAAGTTCTACGTGCTATAAGTGGATTGCCAATGTTCAAAGAAATAAAATGAAACAAAAACTTCTTAACATGGATCTGTGCGAAACAAAATGCACTCTTCCTTCCTTTGGTGGCTTAGAAGGCAGGGTGATATTGACTATAGTTTGCGGGCAACCTCTTTCTTCATATCAGGCCAGTATCCTTATTTTACATAGTGTTACATTCAACAATTACACTGCAGCAATACAACCACCAAATTTGTAACATTCTAATTTATATACACCATGCATAAAAAGAATTCAATAAAGTGTTTTTCTGGAACCTCAAACCAGTGGTATTTTTAGGTTATATTTCCAACAGTGGCCAAGGGTACTGAAAGCTCCTTTCTTCATTACTGTGATGTTTACCTACAAACCTCCCATTTCAAATCTGTTCGCATGTTCCACCTTTCCCAGCTCTTGGAATTACTGTGAAATTGTTTCTGAGAAAATGGGAAATGGACTTCATGTTATTCTGTTCTTTTGGGTGTTGTTCCTTTATAAAATACTATGGAGTGAAGCATTTTTATTCTTGGTGCTATTTTAGAATTATCGCATCTCTGGCTGTTTGCTGATAAGATGTATTTTTCTTTGTCGGTTTTTGAAACTGAGTAAATAAAAATTTAAGATTCCATCTTTCCCACTTTTTTTTTTTTTTTTTACCAATGCAGGAAAATAAAAATGCTTAAACAAAAAACCCAGCTCAATAAAGAATACAGTATTCAGTGACCTGCAATACATAAAGTTCTTCATGCAGTACTTCCTTTTCCCTTTTTTGTTTTAACCCTGTTTGATTCTTACAGACAGGTATTAAAACCTCTTCTTCTGAAATATTTTTTGTCCTATTACATCTGCACCAGCAGATACTTCATTTATTCCTGAAGGAGCAGAAAGGATAAGTACAAGGGATGTGTTCCAGGGTACCCCAAATAGTGAAGGTGCTGTGAGCCATGGCATGTTTGAGTGTCTGATTGCTCATGTGAGAAGGGATTTCCCACAGTGGCTGAGCAAATTGTTTTCTCATTTCTTTGTTTTTTTTTGTTTTTTTTTTGAGACGGAGTTTTGCTCAGTCGCCCAGGCTGGAGTGCAGTGGCGCGATCTCGGCTCACTGCAAGCTCCGCCTCCTGGGTTCACGCCATTCTGCTGCCTCAGACTCCCGAGTAGCTGGGACTACAGGCGCCCACCACCACGCCCGGCTAATTTTTTTTTTTTTTTTTTTTTTTTTTTTTTTTTTTTTAAGTAGAGATGGGGTTTCACCGTGTTAGCCAGGATGGTCTTGATCTCCTGACCTTGTGATCCGCCTGCCTCGGCCTCCCAAAATGCTGGGATTACAGGCGTGAGCCACCGTGCCCAGCTGTTTTCTCATTTCTACTGCAAAAACATGCTCACCACCCTGACCCATATGTGAACACCTAATGTTGAGCTTAACAGCTCAAATAAACGAGAAGATGGAAGAGTGGAACTTATAGGAGAAAGGAGAAATGCCCCACAGGAGAGGCTCTGAAGTGCAGAAACAGGAAGTGAAGGCTGGGGTAGAGATTGTATCCACAGGAGTGTTTCTTGCACTTCATCCCAGGCAAGGCTAGATTGTTCTTTTGAGTAGAAGGGTGGTTTCCAGGGGCTAGGGGTTGGGGAAAATGGGGAAAAGTTGGTCAAAGGATACACACTTTCTGTGATAAGATGAATAAGTGCTGGGGATGTAATGTACAGCATGGGTGGTGATGGATGTGTTCATTAATCTAAATGTGACAACCATTACACAATGCATACATATAGCAAACCGTAATGTTGCACACCTTGAATACATACCACCTTAATTTGTCATTTAAATATTATAAAATAAACATAAAACACCCACCTTCATTCTCTCATTGGATTAGTTACTGGCTGGCCTCTGTCTGTCTCAGGTGGTGCAGGTTCCTAGCATGTGTCAAAGGCAATGCAGAGAGGAGCCATATGGCCTTCCTCCTCTTCCTGGGAGTGGATGCTTCTTAGTAATATCCAAACAAGCCAGGGTGAAACTCTAGCCCACTGTGTAAAATTAGAGGCCACTGCCTCTACAGTCAGTGTGGATACAGGATGCTTAATGAATGCAGGTTTTCCTGGCTACTCTTAATGAATGTGATGTGATAAGCAGTAGGAGATGAGCATTGAAAAAAGTGATCCGCAGAAAGCTTTCCAACTGAGAGAGACTACTATAGACTCAAGAGTGAGCCTTCACTTCCACCTCAAGTTTCCAAATGAAATAGCACATCACGTGAAAGAAAAACTGGTTTCTCAGACCCAGCAGGGCTTAGGTGACCTATGCCTAAAGTTCCTTTAGAATGGCACAGTGTTGTCACAACTGCAATTTTCTCAGCCCCACTGCATTTTATGTCATGGCTGCATTTGCTGCAGTTGATCTCCACAGAGCAAATTAAATGCACTTTTAATAGGTAAAACAGAGAATGTTAGGAATAACTCCAAATCATCCTCATGTTTATAGGTGTACATAATTAGAAATCAAACAGCGTTTAAAATGCTTGTAACTAATTAAATAGAATGGCTTCTTTGAAATGCTATTTATTAGTAAGGAAAAATTTGTTGTTGTACCATTTTAAAGAATTACTTTTTTTTTAATGCTCATAGACCTGATAGAAAATTTTAAAATAAAGAAAATTTTTATCTTTGTAAAGAGGGTTTTGAATATCAAGGTAGAGCAAAGGTGGGAACAAACTATGAAATTAATCGTATAAGTTACTTCACTATAAAAATGAGTATTGAATTATAACATATAAGAACACCTTTTGACCATCAAAATCATACCACCATTCAGCAATCACAAAATAGAATTGTCACATCCAACTTTCCTGCTACCATTACTTTTACAGTTGCTAATTGCTAAGTGACTGTTGATCCCACCAATGGCAGTGGAGTGGGGCTGGCTCCTCAGTGTTATAGGGGGTCAGTCTCAAGGGGCAGAAAGGGAACAGCTGCAGGTACCACACTACACACACCCTGAATGGGCCAGCAGCACCTGCCTCACCCCCTGGTGGGATGTGGAAAGTCATTCTCCATGGATGTGGAGGTGCACCCACCTGCCAGACCAGGTGCTCCTTGCCTCCCGGTGTTGCAGACAGGCAGACGCTAAGCACGATGGTGTGGGAGGAGGAGGTGAGGACGCTGGCAATGATGGCGTCTCGCATGTTGAAGGGCAGCATGGTGTACACCACGAAGATGATGAAGAGGAAGAACGATACCTACGGGCAGAGAAGAAGAACAATAAGAGTCACCAAATATTCTGGTTTCTAAGAGCCTCCTGTTTCCATGCCACTAAAGGCTGCATAGAACAGCATGAGACATGCTCATTTTAGAAATAATCTATAGACAAAATAGGGCAGTCGATGCAAATAAGTCCACTGGATTACAATAACAGACTAATCGTTGTGATGGAGAAAAGTTTGTTTTCAAAATTTTGGGACTTCACTTTGGTATCCAAACCACTCCATGAGTATGGATGCAAAGCTGGTCCTAAACTATCAGGGTTCTGTATCTTTGCTTTAGAACATGCACTGAGGATTCTTGAAGTGATCTACCAAACTGCAAAGGGAGACCCACAGAGGAGGGACAGGCATCATCGGGGACGGGGGTGGACAGGGTGGAGACCCATGGAGGAGGGGCAGGTGTCATCAAGGGGAGTTAGTGAAAGCAGATGCCGAGAGCACGGGTATGTAACAAACAAAATAAAACAGCCTGTGGATGGCTCAGCTGCCAGGGAACTCAGAGTGGCAATTCCTCGAAGTTAAACATACACAGCAGTTCTACTCCTGTGTATATTTCCAATAGAATTGAAAACACGTACTGAAACAGATAAATGTACACCCATTTCATAACATCATTTTCCTAGCAAACAACCCCAAGGTGGAAACACAAATGTTTATCACAGGATGAATAAACAATATGTGGTATATCCACACAATAGAATATTGTTCAGCCTTAACATGGAGTAAGATGCGAATGCATGCTACCATACAGGGGAACCTCAAAAACATGCTAAGTGAATAAAATCTGGGCAAAAGACCTCATAGTGTATGATTCCTTTTACATCAAATATCCAGAATAAGTAAACCCATAGGGATGGAAAGCAGATTGGGGGTTGCCAGGAGCTGGGGGAAGGGGACTGGCTGGGGAACGGAGAGTAGCTGCTGACTAGGTGCACGGTTTCCTTCGGGGATGATGAAAACTTCTCTGAAACCAGATGAGGTGTTGGTTGCACAACATTGGAAATGCCAACTTAAATTGGGTAATTTATGTTGTGTGAATTTCAGCTCAATCAAAACAATCAACACGAAACCTCTCAAAGAAATGTTTGGCATGAAAAAGAAAATGGTTTAGTAGGTAATAAAAAACGATCATTTTCATTACAAAAGGAGCAGAGATAGAAGAACATCAAAAAGGATGAAAGGTGAACAATCCAGTTGGAAGGGACTGAGGTCAGGGAAATAGGGAATGGGACATGTGGCCAGCTTCCCATGCGGCTCTTGACTCCAAGCAGAAGGGAAGCTAAGGAAAGCATGCCCCACTTTCAGTGTGACCTGTGTCACCTGAAGGGGACGCTCAAGCGCTGCACAGCTGGAAGGACGTGGTGCAATCACGCCAGCGCTTCTGGTACCAAGTATGGATGTGAGCTCCTGAGAAGAATGTGGGCAATAAGCTAGGCTCCTGACGGATTTAAAGAGGGAAGCCTGGGAGAAAACCAGGCTTCTTCTCTCCTGGGAATCTGCACCACGTATTACAACCTGAAAAGAACCATCTGTCACCACTTCACTATTCCAGGGTGGTGTCTGATCAGCTGTATTTATGTAATTGTCATACACAAAAGAGCACAGGAAAGATTCAGGAGACATAGCCTAAAAATAAACGTGGGTCCTGAAGAGGCACTCTTCGATTTGGCACTCCAGGCTTTTTGGAATAGGCTTGCTGAATGAATGCTTATTAAGGCACTCCGACCTGAAGAAGCATTCATTCTGCAAGCCTGTGTGAAGCTCCTGTAAATGCAGCCAGGTTCTGGAGGTGGAGGGTGCAGGACAGAGCCCCAGCTCTCAGGGGCCTCAGGGCCCAGCAGAAGAGATGGTCATACATGCAGCTGTCATCTCACAGTCTGCGTCCTGAGAGAAGGGCACCTGCCCTCACCGGGAGGAGACAACAGGGTGGACTCTGAGCACCTTCTCTAATTCTTCTGAGTCCAGCCGTCTCGGGACAACAGCCAGGAGAAACCCACTGTGAGTGGGAAAAATGACCCGGAATCCTCATCAGGAAGCCTAGATTGGGCATGGACCATCTGCTTCATGCCCCCGTCTCCTCCCATTCAATCTATATTTAAAAGGGCCCTCAGGCCAAAAACTGTGGGGGAACACATTGCCATAGCAATATTTTTTTCTGGTAAATATTTTTTCTTTCACCTCTTTAAAAATAAAGACTCTGAAGGTTTTTTCAGTAAAGCATTATTATTTAGCATCATATGCATTCCACTTGTTCCATTCCATATTTGGGATGTGAAACCAAGGCAAAAAGTATTGTCTTAGACCGTTTATGTATAAAAATGCAAAGTTTGGCTGGGAAGACATATCAGGCATGCCTTTGGAGGGACCTGTAGTAAGCGATGCTCTATCTACACAGGCAGGCTGGGGCACCTCCCTCACTTCATCTTCCCAAGGAAGGAACATGCATGAGTTCTAGCCCCAAAATCATCTTCCAAAGCCACTAAGAGCTACCACCAGCACACACTGGTGGTGTGCTGTGCAGATCCTTTCCCAGGTCTCCAACGAATCTGACTGAGAACCACTGAGCTATCAGAAAGGTTTCTTTAGGAATGGGAAAATCAATTGTTGTGTATTTATAGCTTATTGAGCAAATGAAATTTATTTTGGAATCTCTGTGTTGCCCTCCCAATTTACAGAAAGTATGTTCGATTAAGATACTGTTTTTTCTACACATAACATTTATGTAAAATCTTATATCCCACAACAGGTATTAAATGAATAATTTCAGGTACCAGAGTTGACAATTACAAAAGAGAACCTCTCTTTTATGATTACATATTTGCTTCTATGCAAAAACCTTTAGCATTTCTTTAAAATTATCATAACTTTTGAGTAGCTTAATTTTGGATAACTTTAAAATTCTAATACCGTCTCCATTAAAATATACTTCGGCAAATATTTTGAGCCTTGAAATGGAAGTCTGTGGAAGGCTTATCCACAATAACCAAATGGAAAATAGATCTTCAGTTTTCTGAATACAGAAGTCCCTGTTAAGTATTCATTATGAGATGGCAAAATTAATTTTCAAGGGTCAATTGCGCAAATTGCATTAAATCAAATCAGAGGTTTCCGTGGTAGCATTTCAGGAGTTTGGCTAGTGGTGCTTGGGGAGTGTTCGGCAGGCAGGACAGGGAGGAAGAAACTCAACTGCAGCTTCGAGTCCCATAGGGAGAATGTTCTTCACTCCTTATTAATCTCAAAGAGTTCTCATTTTTTTTAAGCCTGCTTTCCAATGCAACTTCAAATAGGGCCATATGTAAAACTAAAATGGATTTGGCACATGTAAAGAATGTGTGGGTAAAAAGCTCCAGATAGTCGAATGCTATCTCTTGGGTTTCCATGTTACCATGGGGACATTCCCCATGGATGACATTCCCCTTAGATGTACCTCTGTCCAGAGGCTAAAGAGTGCAGAGCCAGGGATCTCATTCCTGTGATCCTCTGCAGAAACCCCAAGTTTGCACAATAGCTGAGGCAACAGCACTCATTCCAATAAAAGTTTCAAGTGTGTCTCTTAACTCCAGCTCCGCACTTGCCTTTTGCAAGACATGCCTATCTTCCTACGTATCTTCTACTTGCATCTCAAGCTCCACAAGTTTCAAATCAACCAAGAGCTTCTTTATGTTCTTAAACCTGTTTGTCTTGCAGGATAACTCAAGTCTGCCCATAATGCCTCTGTCTCCAAAAACCCAGATGCAAATCCTTGAAAGTCACCTTTGAAAATTCTCTCCTCACAGCCACACTCAAAAACAGGGTCTTCTCATTTTAGGATTCCAGACCAGTGGGTTGTCTCTGTCTGTCTGCTTCTCTCCATCCTGACCTCACTGAGCTGGTTACTGGCGTTTCTGTTTGTTAGGAAATAGAGTTCTATACTCTTTCCCTCTTTGCCCTGCTGCAAACAAGGGAAACAGAGTGTGTACCCTTCCTCCTTCGTGTCCATTCCATGCCTTTCTCCAAGCCTCGGGTAACCATCAGGACTCTTTACAAATAACTATTGCTTTCTTCCTTCTGGGCATGTAATATAATTGCATTTCACTATTGTCATTTCAGTTAGGTGAGGGGCGAGTGGAAACTTTAAAATCTTATGCACTGTTAGCCATGTCCTCTTGCCTCCCTGGCAACCATGGAAACATGGAGTTGAGGCTTCTACCATTCTGGGTCCCCAGACCCAGACTGAGCAGCACAGTCTCTCAGCTGACCCACACAAACCTGTGTTCATGTGAGTGGTGACAGTCCTTTGTGATGTTAAGCCCGGAATTCCTAAGCACAGTTCAACTAGTCCTGACTGATATCAAGTTTACAGAAACACACACCCACACTCATGGGATGTCTTACTGATGTCATATTTATAAAAATTGGGTGCTTTTATATATAATACTCTGCAATTTGCATTTTTTCAATCAACTATACATCATGGGCCTCTTTCCAGGTCTATAATCACAAATATATTATTTACTTTTTACTAGCTGCAAAATATTCCATGGCAATGGGTGCACCATCTTTGACTCTAGTATTTCCCCACTGATGCTCTCCCTCCTGGCAGGATGGGAGCCCTTGTCTAATGCTGCTGCAGTAATGCTCCTTCAGTTCTTCCTTGCTCCAACACCATCCTTTCTCTAATCCAGATAGCATTCTACTGCCAGATGCATGATTCTGAATGCACAGGTCTCACGTGTTTCTCCCTTGGATGAAAACCTCCTGTAGCTTGCCTCAGACCACCTGCACAAAATGGAAAACCCTCCCCTGCCTCCACCCACACCCTCTAGTCCTCTTCATTGGCTTTACTTATTCACAGCATTTAAAGTCCCCATTTATTTGTTAATTTTCTCCCTTGACATGGGTAAGCATAGTGACAAAACCAGGAACTTGATTCACTCATAGCCGAGACCCCAGTGCCCAGGACAGTACCTCACATATGGTAGATGCCTCATGAATATTTGCTGTCTGCAGGAAAGACTATTATACATCCTAATATGAACCAAGCCATGACCACCTCATTAGCATCTACTCACCAAATGCATCTCTAAAAACATTCCAACATCCTCCTTGTTCCAACTGGACTCGCCATTAGCTATAGACATGCTAATCTTCAAATTACCATTTCTTTATTTAGTAGATCAATTACACTGAAACACTCAACTGGACAGACATTTGTCAGATGCCTATGGCAGGCAACAGCAGATACTGGGTTGAATCAGGAGCAGGCTCAGTTTGGGCAGCCCGTGTTCTCAGCCCAGAGAAGCTGGCCCCTTGCAAATCCCCCACTCAACTCTCTTGACTCAGCACATCTGCTCCTGCCTACCCCAAAACATAAGATCTTCCAAAGAAGGCCATTTTTGAAGAGTTTGATACAACAAAAACTCACTAGGCAAGGAGAACATGAACACTGTCACCACTTTTTCATGAAGAAAGCTCTTTTGTGGAGCCAAGCTCAAGCTCATCTTCTTTCTGGAGGGTGGGCATAACCCCCTGGGTGAGTGTGCAGTAAGAGCTCCTTGTGCTAATGAGATTCTGAGCTGAATTTTTTAAAAGGCAGTGGCATAATTGTGCAGCCGAACAAAGGTAGAGTGGAAGGGACCATTTAATCCATCTCTTCAAAGGCAGGCTGCAGAAAGCATAGGACTTGGAAGACGAGCTGCTCCAATGATTTCATGGCTTCTTCAGATCATGTGTCAAGTGCATTAGCTTCTTGAGGCTGATGTAACAAATTATCACAAAGTGGGTGGCTTTAAACAATAAAAAATTTTTCTCTCACAGTTGGGAGGCTAAAAATTTAAAATCAAGGTGTCAGCAGGGTTTGTTCCTCCTGGAGGCTTTGAGGAAGAATCTATTGCAGATTCTGGTGGCTCCCAGCAATCCTGAGCAACCTCTGATCACTCCACTGCCATCTTACATGGCCTTGCTCCCATGTGTCTGTGCCTCTGCACAGCGTTCTCTTCTCCGTGTATCTCTGTCCAAATTTCCCTCTTGCTATAAAGACCCCAGTCATTGGATTTGGGACTGATCCTAAATCCAGTATGACTTCATCTTAACCTGATGACATCTGCAAAGACCCTATTTTCAAATAAGGGTCACATTCACAAGTACTGCGGATTAGGACTTCAATATATGTTTCTTGGAGAACACAATTCAACCCATAACATCAGGTTTATGCTGTAAGCAAACCAGGGTTTAGATCTCAAGTATTTTCTGCCCACTTCACATCCCATGTTCCATTCCTGAGTCAGACATGAAAGGCAAGTGTCTATAATATCAAGGTTACTTACAATTTATAAATCCAAACTAATTTGATAGAAATATTCTATTTTTACTTTTTGGACATAAAATTACTATGAAAATGGAGAAGAGTTGAGGTACAGCTTAAGCAAATGTAGATCACGGTCATGGATAGGTCCTGACTTGATTCTACACACATCAGGTCTATCAGGGTTCCACTCTGTCTCAGGCCTCTGCTTCAAGGTCCATGGACTTTCACAGTGTGGCTCAGTATTTCTTTCAGAGTGCAATGACAGGCCAAAATATTCCCAAATATGCCAATCATAGATTAAAAGATGAAGCTTCTGGTTTTATCTTTCAAATGACACTCAACTCTAATGTATGAATGGAGAGTTTCCATTTGTTGCATTCTTCCCTGGAATGTATAAGCAAGCAGAATCAGCAAGCTAATCAAGATTAGCTACAGAAAGCACAGTGGTTCTGTGGAGAACACACCATCAGAGAAATACTTCCTATTTTTGTTAGGCTAGTAACATTAAAGGAAATAACATCTCAGTGAACATAATGTATTTTATAACCAAAGGCAGAGCAATTAAAATCATTTTTCTCTCCAAAAAATCTAAGAAATTAGAAATACCATTGTATTTACAGTAGTAACTTAATTTTCAAAGACACAGATTTTACCAAAAACCACAGGAATTATACCTTCCAACAATAGTACCGCAATATAGTTCTTATACATTGTATCTCATTGTTGTTGCAGAATACAACTAGAAATGCCAAAATTTAGTAAAAATAGTCCAAGGAAATTTAGAATTCTTAAACATATTAATCTAATTGAGCATTCTTAATGGTAAGTTCTAAGTTCAAAGTAATGTTTTCTCATTGGATGTCATCTATATCTCAAAGAATTGATGACTTTGAGAATACTGATGACTTTGATACCATTTATTAATTAGGTACATTGTTTAAACTTTCTGGAAACATAACTAGAAAGCTGTATAGTGGAAATGTACTTTAACATTTTCGATAACAAAATCTGCAAAACAATAAACATGTTTTCACCTAGATGATTATTTTCTTATCTTGTTCCTTGATAATACTTCACATAAGGATTACTCTGAGTCACAAGTTCTTTTCATACAAATATCACAACTGTGTAAAGCCATCTTCTGTTTAATTGGGGGAACCTCATCCATCCCAATGTCTAATGCTAAACTGTCAGTGTTACAGATTCTTTGAGTATCTCTTTATGATTACCCTATTTCTCAAGTTTAACTTCTTTTCTCTTCTCCTCTCTCCCCAGATCTTTCTCTCTCTCTCTCTTGCTCTCTCTCTCTCTCTCTCTCTCTGTGTGTGTGTGTGTGTGTGTGTGTGTGTCATGTATTTTCCACATATTCTCCCTCACTGAAATTCCATCACATCCCAGCTCTGGTTCAGTTGAGAAATCACCTCTTCCCATGTCAAAGACCCAGGCGGACCCACAAGTATACAACCAAGAGAGGGTCTACTGTGTCTCCAGTCTGACATCTCCTCATCTCCTCTACAGAGGTCTGGATCTCTGGACCAGGTTTCAGCAGCAGTTCAGGTCTCAATGCTTCCAGATGCTTCCACAGGTCTCTTAGATTCCATTCTCTTTTCAATGACTCTGGCTTCCCCAGGCTTCACAGAACTTCACATGGGGCTGCAGGCTGAGCTCCACTGGCTCAGCTCTAAGGTCGAACTCCTAATTCCCATGTTCATATACCATAGTGGATTACACAGACCTTATGACCAAATTGTTAATATTATTTACAGGAAGACATGACACAGAGACTCTAGATTATCAAAACAGGCCTGGAATATGTGGATGCAATTTTCACAAGGAATATTTTATGCCCCAACTCCAATGAATCTCTGTCCTTCTTGTACTCTCTCCCATCTCATTTAATAAAACCCCTAATCCCCAAACCTAGGAACTATTCTTAATAGTTTTCTCTTCCTCATTCTTTCCATCCCTACAAAAACATCCAGAGCCCATGTACTCCCTCCTGCCTGTGGCTACAACATCATCCAAATCACATGATCATCCCTGGATTCCTACAACAGCATCCAAACAGCCTTTCTTACACCAGTGTCCCCTAGAATGAATTTTCCACACAGAAGTCAAAACAATATGTTAAAAAGTTAAATCTGATAACAGTAATCCTCCTCTGTTTATAGCCCTCTGATGGTTTTCTTTTTTTTTTTTTTTTTTTTTTGATGGAGTCATGCTCTACTGCCCAGGCTGGAGTGTGATGGTGTGATCTTCGTTCACTGCAACCTTCATCTCCCAGGTTCAAATGATTCTCCTGCCTCAGCTTCCCAAATAGCTAGAATTACAGGTGTGCACCACCACGCCTGGCTAATGTTTGTATATTTAGTAGAGATGGGGTTTCACCATGTTGTCCAGGCTGGTCTTGAACTCCTGGCCTCAAGTAATCTGCCCACCTCAGCCTCCCAAAGTGCTGGGATTACAGGTGTGAGCCACAGCGTCTGGCCCCTCCAATGATTTTCTGTAACACTTAGAATAAATTCAAAGTCCTTATCATGCCAATAAGGGTCTCTCATGATCTAGTCCTGGTGCTATCTCCAGTCTCCCATCCTACCAACTCCCATCACTGCCATGTTCATACTCCCTCTACACCGGCCCTCCTGCTGGTCCCTGAGCAACTGCAAGACCTTTGCAGTGGTTGTTTTTCTGCCCCAAAGTCCTTCCCCAAATCTTTCCTTGGCTGGCTGTTTCTTGTCATTCAAGCTTACCACTCAATTGTCACCTCCCCAGAGAGAATCCCCCTGATCTCCCTATCTAAAAAACCCCTCGTTTTCTTTCTTGCTAATCACACTACATTTTTTTTTCTTTTTTGAGACAGAGTCTTACTCTGTCACCCAGGCTGGAGTGCAGTGGTGCGATCTCAGCTCACTGCAGCCTCTGCCTCCCAGGTTCAAACAATTCTCCTGCCTCAGCCTCCTGAGTAGCTGGGACTACAGGTGTGCACCACCACACCCGGCTAATTTTTTGTATTTTTAGTAGAGACGGGGTTTCACCATGTTGGCCAGGATGGTCTCGATCTCCTGACCTCGTGATCTGCCCATCTCGGCCTCCCAAAGTACTGGGATTACAGGCGTGAGGCACCGCCCCTGGCCCCTACATTCTTTATATCATTATTGCAATTAGAATGTTTATTTTTACATTTTTAATTTTTTTTATATTTTTGAAAATTTTTATCTTCTGTCTTCCCCCATATATATGCAGGCTCTATGGGGACAAGGACACTGTTGGGATGGGTCCCTGCATTTGTGAATTCTACCCAGCACCTAAAAAACCTCAATGAAGATTTGCTGAAAGAAGGAAGGAAACACTTCAGGCATAGTAACACTTGAAGGTTATGAGTAGGGAAGCCCCAAGGAGGCTGACTGAGCAGAGGCAGGTTCTCAGCAACGTGGAAGTCCAGGGCATGTGTCAGGTGCTGCACACACGTGTTAATTCCCTAGTGCCTCAGGCAGCACCTCGATGGCAGTCATTTTATCCCTGCTCATCTTAACCTCTTTGCAGTAACAAAGCAGAGTATCACAACTCTTCATATCGTGTTCTTCACTAAAAGACACACACACACTGTAAGTAAGTAAAACCACCTTAGAACAAGTAATGAAAATTAAATCAACTCCTTTGCATCCACTGTATGTTCTGTACATTTGGTAACCTGGGTCTCATGACTTTTACCTGGAGAGCTGCACCATCTGCCCTTTTCTCCCCAGTTCACTGACAGAGTGGGAGGTACCAGCATCCTCAGTACTTCCCATGATTTCCTGGAACAACAATGACACTGCATCCTATTTGATTTTGTGGAGCTCAAGATCTTTGTTACCACCAAGTATGGTGCTTGGGCCTGAGCCTAGCCACACCTGGGAACTTGTTAGGAATATACTCTCTTGGACCCCACCCTAAATTGACTGAATCAGCCTCTATGGTAACCCTGCTTCCCAGGTGCTGTGCCTGTGACCCACACTGCTCCGAAGGGTTGTCAGTGAGTCCTGTGATCAGAGTTACTCTTGCTATAGTGACAGCCACTGCAGGGGAGTTTCCAATATTCCAACCAGATAAGGATCATTCATTCAGCTCTGCCATGCAGTTCTACTCAAAGTCTGGCGCTAAATAAACGTTGACTAAATCAATGAATCAGTGAACTAGGAAGAATAATTATGCATCTTTTGACTTGGTTACTAGTTTCTATTTCTTGACACCTCCAAACCAAGTTGATTTTAAAATAAAAACCATTGAAAAAATACATATTTCCTTTAAATTTCATTTCTACTTAATAAGAAAAAGGACCACATCAACAATTACAGAGGACATGAGACTCTGGCCTTTTTCAGACCTTCTCTGTGTCATCATTACCCCATTCTGCTACTTCTGTTTTACTGACGGAGAGCTCTTGT